>NC_000023.11:64962542-66212542 GCF_000001405.40 Homo sapiens
CAGAGCAATTAGACAAGAAAATGAAATAAAAGTCACCAAAATTGAGAAGGAAATGGTAAGATTATTGCTGTTTTCAGTTGACAAAATCTTATTTGTACAAAACCCAAAAAATTCCAAAAAGATTGTTAGAATTAATAAATGAATTCAGTAAAGTTACAAGATGCAAAATCAACATACAAAGTCAGTTGTGTTTCTGTACACTATCAACAAACTATCTGAAAAGGAAATTCAGACACAATCCCACTTATGATAGCACCAAAAAGAACAAAATACTTAGCAATAAATGAAACTATAACGTATTGATGAAAGAAATTAAGGTAGACACAAACATATGGGAAGACATACATGTTCATGGATTGGAAGACTTAACCATACTACTCAAGGCAATCTACAGATTCAATATAATCCTTATAAAAATCCCAATGGCATTTTTTTTTACATTCATGTAAACTCCAAGTAGCCAGAACAATCTTATCCCCTGATTTTATAATATATTACAAAGCTGCAGTAATTAAAACAGTATGGTACTGCCATAAAAACAGACATAGAGGCCATGGGAAAAAACAGAGAGCCCAGAAATGAATCCACCCACATACAGTCACTTGATCTTTGACAAAGTTTACAAGAATACACAATGCAAGAAATGATAGTCCTTTCAATAAATGCTATGGGAAAAACTATGTCCACATGCAAACGTATAACATTGGACCCTTATCTTATACCATACACAGAAATTAACTACAAATGTATTAAACACTGAACATAACTTCTGAAACTACAAAACTCCTACAAGAAGCCATAAGAGAAAAACTTCAAGACTTTGCTTGTGGCAATGATTTAATGGATATGACACCAAAAGCACAGGCAACAAAAGCAAAAATGACCAAGTAGGATCACATCAAATTAAAATGTTTCTGCACAGCAAAGGAAACAATAAACAGAGTAAAATGGCAAACTGCATAAAGGATGAAATATTTGCAAATCATATATCTGATAATGGATTAATTTGTATAAAATATAAGAAATCCTACAAACCAATAGTACAAAAGCTATTAACCCGATTGAACACTGGGCAAAGGAGTTCCATAAACATTATTCCAAAGAACATAAACATGGCCAACAGGTATAATAAATATATAAAAATATATAAATCCAGCACTCCTACTTCTAGGTATTTGTCCAAAAGAATTGAAATCGGGATCTCAAAGAGATATCTGCACTCCCGTGTTTATCATGGCATTAATTACAATAGCCAAGATATGAAAACAACCTAAATGAATGAATTAACAATGTAGTATATTTATGCAATGGAATATTATTAAGCATTAAAAAAGAAGGAAGTCCTACAATATGAGATAACATGGACATAATCCTAAGTGAAATAAGCTAATCACAGAAGGAGAAATACTGCATGATTCCACTCATATGAGGTATTTAAAATAGTCAAATTCTTAGAAGCAGAGAGTAGAATGGCAGTTGCTAGGAACTGAAGGAGGGGGAAACGTAGAGCTGCTATTCAATATGTATAAAGTTTCAGTTGTGCAGGATGATAACTGCAAGAGATTTGCAGTACAACATTATGCTTCTAGTTAACAATACTGTATTATAAATATAAAATTTGTTGAGGGTAGATCTCAAGTTCTGTGACCTTACCACAGTAAAATTAAATTAAATTAAATTAAATCAAATTAAATTAAATTGAATTAAAAATACAGGTAACTGAAGACCAAGAAGAAAGAGGAAGATAAAAATATTTGAAGAATAAATGGCCAAAAATCTTTCAAATTTGATTAAAGCTACACGCCCACTGATCCAATAGATTCATCAAGCTCCAAGCATAAAATCCATAAAGAACATCACACCAAGCTATATCATAATCAAATTGCTCAAAACCAGTAAAGGAGTCAGAAACAAAGGATATGTTACACAAAGAGTATCAAAGAATGTTGGAAGCAAGATGACAGTGGTGTATCACTTTTAAAGTACGGACGAAATCCATGCCAATATAGAATTATTTACCCAGGGAAAACAACTTTGAAAACAAAGGTAAAATGAGAACTTTTCACACAAGGAAAGGTAAAATGCTATATCATCAGCAAACTTGCACTACCACAAATGTTAAAGGGAGTCCTTCAAGCAAAAGGAAAATGATAGCAGAGGGAAATGTATCAAAACAAAGGAATACAGAGCACTGAAAATGGTAACTACATAGAAAAATATCATGATTATTTTCTTCCTTAATTAAGTTACTTAAAAATATAATCAACAGTTTAAACCAAAAAGTACCAAAATGCAATAGCACAGAGGCCAGAAAGGGAGAAATATAGTGTTGTATGTTTCTTACATTATATGTGCAGTATTATGCGCTCAATTGAAGGTAGGTTGTGATAAGTTAAGGATGTATATTATAAACTCTAAAGCAGCCACTGAAATAATAAAACAGCATTATAGCTAATAAGTCATAAAATAAGTTAAATGGAATCATAAAAATGCAATGTGGTATCTTGGGTTAGATCCTAGAACAGAAATAGGACATTATTTCATTACACACTGGTGAAATCTAACAAACTAATCTACAGATCCAACAAAATCCTATTAAAATCCCAGTATGGTTTTTGGTAGAAACTGACAAGGGGAATCTAAAACTCATAGAAATTCAAAGCGCCTAGAATAGTCAAAATTATTTCTGAGGAAGAATAATGAAGTTGGAGAACCTACATGACCTGGTTTCCGTAATTATTAAAAAGATATAGTAATCAAATCAGCAAACTATTGGCATAAAGATACACAAATAAAGCAATGAAGCAGATAGGTCAGAAATAAACCCACAGATGTAAGGACAAGTCTTTCAAACAAATGATAGTGAAACAGCTGAACATCCAAATGCAAAAGAAAATCCTTAACCCGTACCTTGCAACATACAAAAAAATTAAGTGAAAATGGATCATAGACCTAAACGTGAAACCTAAAAATAAAATTTCTGGAAGAAAATATAGGAGAAAATCTTTGTGAATACGACTTAGGCAAACATTTCTCCTAAATGGCACAAGAATTCACAATCCATAAAAAATACTGATAAATTGGATTTCTTCATCAACATTAAAAGTTTCTGGCTCAGTGCGGTGTCTCACACCTATAATCAGAACACTTTGGGAAGCCATGGCGGGAGGATCGCTTGAGCCCAGGAGTTCAAGACCACCCTGGGTAACATAGTGAGACCCTGTCTCTACAAAATATTTAAGAAAAATTAGCCAGGCATGGTGGCACAAGCCTGTAGTCCAGTTATTGGGGAAGCTGAAGTGGGATAACTTCTGGAGCCCAGGAATTCAAGGCTTCAGTGAGCCACGATGGCACTGCTGAACTCCAGCTTGGGTGGCGGAGTGATATCCTGTTTCAAACAAAGAAGCAAAAAAAAAAAAAAAAAAAAAGACATTGTAATTCAAAAGACACTGTTAAGACAATGAAAAGATAAGTCCCAGACTGGGAGAACATGTTTGCAAATCAAGTGTCTGGTAAAAATGTGTTTCCAGAAAATGTAAATAACACTCAAAACTCACAATCAGTAAACAAACAGCCCAGTTAAAAAATGAACAAAAGGTTTGAATAAACACTTCACAGAAGAGGATATATGGGTGGCAAATAAACTCATGAAGAGATACTCAACAAGATTGGTCATTAGGAATATGCAAGTTAAAACTACTGTGAGCTATCACATCACACCACTAGGATGGCTATAATGCCTTTTTGAGGCAGACACTAACAAGTATTGTTGAGGATGTAGAGAAACTGGGACCCTCATACACTCCCTCTTGGGATGGAAACTAGGACATCCACTTTCAAAAACACTTGTATCTTAAAAAGTTATACATATACTTACAATATGAAACAGAAATCTCACTCCTGAGAATCTAAGCAGTAGAAATGGAAACATTTTTCCACAAAAAGACTTGTACACAAATGTGCAGAGCAGCATTATTCATAAGAGCCAAAACAGTGGAAATAACTGAAATGCTCCTCAACTTGTGAGTGAACACCCAAAATGTGCGATATCCATGCAATGGGATATTATTTGTCAACAAAAAGGAATGAAATACTGTTACATGTTACAATGTGAATGAATCTCAAAAACAATAAGCTAAGTGACTGAAGGCAGACCCAAAAGGCCACATTTGTATAACTATTTATATGCAGCATCAAGAAAAAGCCACTCTATTTAGACAGAAAATATATTACAGGTTTCCTGGGGCTGTGGATAAGAACAAAGATCAACTGAAACTGAACAAAGAGCTAATTTTGGAATGATGGAAATTTTCTAAAATATTATGGTGATGATTGTACAACTCTTTAAATTTATTAAAACATGCTGAATTGTACACTTGAAATGGATGTTTCCTATGGTATATAAAATATAACTCAAATTATCCTGTAATGACCTCTTACTGCACCCAGAATTAAATCTAAACCTACAACTCCCACTAAACATAACTTCTAAGCATGCTCATGTTTTCCCAGAAAAATAAATGACTTGTCAAAAGGCTTACGTAGAGGGAATGGATTTTTTTAAAGTTTGCTGATTAAGGCAGCCAGGAGAAATGAGAAGGAGCTTAATGGCTTAATAATAAATAAATAAATAAATAATTTGTTGCATTTGAGGTAGATTGCCTTTACTATGGTCTTCAGGATTTGCATCTAATTCCCAGCCTTCCATTCTCTGTCCAGCAATTGAGAAGTTTGAGCTAAGATTAAATCTAAATAAAAGGCCCTTCCTCTCTCTAATCTACAAAGAGTGTCATGCCAGTCACTGCTTAGATGTACTCACAATACCAAATTCCCTCTTTACAAACTTCCATCAATCAAGCAGACTTAAAAATTGTATTAAGCAAGCACCATTTATCCAGAAGTGCGCTGGTTCTTGTGGATGAATGATAAGATCCCTTCCTTCAAATAAAATAACTGATTGAGATCCAATATAGAAAATGGAACAAATCATAACTGTTATGGTTAAAGTGGAAGTGGGACCCCCAGAGTCATTAATCTGTCCTCAAATTCAACCACCACCTGACTCTATCACAGTGGCCCTTTAAAACCCTCCTTAGAATTCCCTGGGCTCGTCAGAACATTATTTCAAAGTCACCCATGAAATCTATCCTCTTTATTTCAGAGGTGAATAAATAAAGGTCCAGGATGGGAAAGGGACTAGCACAAGGCACATAGTCATGGTCCTCTGGGTCCTCTAAAAAGTACAGATTTATGCATGAAGCAACTTGAAATCAGAGTAATTATATACACGAGGGCTTTCTAGACAGTGGCACTATGCCATATTTCTCTCTTTAACCTCCACAACACCTATCATTCTGCTTTGGCCATAAGCGGGGCTCAATCATTACATTTGGAATGAGAAACTACTGAATGGTAGGTAGTAAATCCAGGGGAGTGATTATAGCATCAGTAGCCTCAGAGAAGAAAAGACATTACCATGGGTGGCAAGGATTTCATTCATTTGGTTCATATTTATTAAGAATCTATCTAAGTGACAGGAACTGAAAGCAACCGTCTGTTAAGAAAGGCTTTATTTAATAACAATAGCTATTATATTTGTGGTGCCTACTATGTTCCAGCAACTGTATTAGGCACTTTTTATGCTATCAAAATTTAATCTTCATAAGAACCATATCGGCAGGTATGTTTCACTTTATTTTCACACATGAAGAATTTGAGGCTGAGAGAAGTAAAGTGACTTGCCCAAGAAGACAAATTCAGGAAGTGGAAAATCCAGCGTTGTAAATCTGATCACCTTTCCATCACAACAAGGAACTTTCATCATATGATGGATTTAAAGCCATAAAAACCAGGCCAGTAGGGTGAATTCTTGTCCTGGCTCAGTCATCAATTTTCAGGGTGAAATAGTGCACTTCATGGAATCTCTTGGCACCTTGGAAATTCTACCTGGAAAGTAGGACTCAGTGTAGCCTTGCATGGAATTGTTGGATGCTTCAATGAGATGAAATCTGTGGAATGTTTGGCCCTACAAGTGAGGAAGCCATCCAGATCATTAAAGATGCAATTTTATATATAAAATTTCCTAATGAGATTTTTCCAAGAGGCTAAAGCACAGCTAGTATGACTCGTGAACCACAGGGAAACCACAGGGTTTTCAGGGTACTTTAGGGTTTCTACAGTCACCAGGATGACAGTCTTAGGTAACTTTTGGACCAGTATTCCTGAGCTCCTGTCCTAGTCTGTTTGTGCTTCTATAACACAATACCACAGACTGGGTAATTTGTAAAGAACAAAAATTTATTTCTCCCAGGTCCGAAGGCTAGGAAGTTTAAGATCAATGTGCCAACAGATTTGGTGTCTGGTGAGGGGCTTGGTCTCTCCTTCCAAGATGGCACCTTGTTGCTGCATTTTCAAGAGGGAGTGAATGTTGTGTCTTCATATGGTGGAATCACAGAAGTACAAAAAAGGGTCTAAACTCATTCCAAGTCATTTTCTAAGGCACTAATCCATTCATAATGGCAGAGGCTTCATGACTTAATTACTTCCCGAAAGGTCTCTCCTCTTAATACCATCAAAATGGTAGGATTATGTTTCAACACATGAAATTTGGGGTACATTCAAATCATAGCAGACTGCTAGGCCACAGGTTCTCCAGACAGTCTCCTGAGCCAAGACTATAAAACATTCAGCTGGATACCTTCTTTTCAATGATTTCTTTCTGGCAAATATGGAAGAGGACAGGTGCAAAGAAGGAGAAGTTCTAGGGCCATGGATCATCCATTGCTGGGACAAACTTGGCAGGCTCATCTGTCACCCAGTTTCAGAGGTGACTCAGCCCCAATGCACACTCAAAAAGCAGGGTAGGACAGCTGGGACCTGTAGGCCTTGAAGATGGGAAAATTAGGTGAAAAGATACTGTTTACTGGAGATTGATGGAAAAGTGCTGGTATTTGTTAATAAGTTGAGGGGATGATGAGAAGTGGACAATTCCAGATTATATTGTATAGGTATAACTGGCCAGGTCTTACTAATGCAGTTGTTCTCCACATGTAGTCCCTGCACCACCAGCAGCAGCATTGCCTGGGAACTTGTTAGAAATGTAAATTCTCAGGCCCCACTCCATATCTACTGAATCAGAGACCCTGGAAATGGGGCTCAGCAATCAATGATTTAAAAGCCCTTTAGGTGTAACCTCCTGCATGGTCAAGTATAATAACCACTATGCTAATGGTGTGGATGGAGAGGGTCACATAAAAAGAGGAATAAAGAATGGCTTCCAGATTTCAGCATAGTGAGGCATTTACTGAGATGGGGAAGACTGGGAAATAAAAATGTTTAGGGGTGGGGCTGGAGTTGAGGGCCTGTTTGAGATGCCAGTGATACATGCAAGGGTGTAAGTTAAATGGGCAGTTAGATATGTGAGTCTGGAACTCAAGGGAGAGATCAGAGCTATTGACTTTGATTAGAAGATCCTTCTGATGGGTCTTATTTATCCTAAGTGATGGGCCACCAAAGGATAGCCCAGCCCTGATTATGGCCCAGATTTATGCTCAGTAAATGTCACTGAATGAACACAAAGGAGCTAGTTTTTCCTGCTTACTCCAGTCTGGTGAGAATATTGCCTAAGTACTAAGCATTCTTCCATGTAATATTTATTTGCTCAACTGGAAACAAAGCTACTGTCAGCAAAGTAGATTTCTTATAACAGTTCATTCTGATAACTTTCTTACATCTCAATACCAAATGCCAACACCTTTTCAGTCTCTCCTGTGGCCAGCATTGTTTGGCTTAATTTGCCCATCCACAAGTCCCAGAGGTTCCAGTTGTCCTGTGCCTTGGTCTTGAGTAAGCACTGGTTCTGAGTCAATCCCCAAGCCAGGTAACAGAGGAGCTTACCAAGACTGCCACACCAATGGCGGAAGGAAAGGAAGAAGGGAGGAAGAGAGGAAGAGAGGAAGGGAGGGAGGGAGGGAGGGGGGAAGGAAGGAAGGAAGGGAGGAAGGAAGGGAGGATATCAATTCAAAATTCCATCATTAGATGGGATAACTTGAGTGCTATAATAAATCTCCCTGTGGAGTCTGTGGTTGGGGTATTGTAATTCATTTTGACTGGGGAACTCGAGAAGGTTTTGGAGAAGACGAGGCATTTCATATGGGTCTTCCTTGAAAAATGAGTAGGATTTAGATGCTTGGAATGGGAGAGTGGCATTCTAGAACGAGGAATCTGCAGAGGCAAAGGTCTGGTGGAACGGAAATATATAAAACAGTAAGAACTTCTATATGGCTAAAGGATAGGATTAATAAAAAGCAGTAGCAGATAAGGTCAGAATAGTGGGTATGGGACAGATTTCCGGGGAGGCAGCATGAATGCCATGGAAACACCGATAGGTAAATGTGTGTTCAACAGAGACACAGTAAGAAATGACGTAAGTGAGAAATGAATTTCACCTCATGACACAATACACACATACACATATTTAAAACTAAACAAAACCTTCTCCAAAGTATACCTACTACTTCATATGCAATGTATGTTGATAATTTCCTTTTTATTTTAAAAAAGGTTTTTTAAAAATGCTACTAGTGACCAACTAAATTCTTTTTATGAGCTAATAATGGGACGCAGCCTGTATTTTTCAAAAAGATTGTCATACACAATGAAAAGTTAGTGAAGATGTTTGAGAAATAAAATAACAACCATGCTTTAGGAAGGTAGTTCTCAAGGCAATGTGGATGCCATTGCAGACAGAGGAGAGACTGTAGACAGGGAAGTAATTCTTCAGATGGAAATGGATACTGCATTACAAATATCCATGCCAATTCATAATGAAGGCCTGAAATGGAGCAGTGAACTGGGAGGTGGAGAGTGGGGCAGGTATTGGGTAAGATATTCAGGATAGAAATAGAATTAACTAAGTGATTGCAGGTGAGTCATTAAAGAGAAAGGGGAGTCAACATTGACTTTCAGATTGCCATCTGAGGTAACTGTGCAGAGAATGGTGGTATTAAACCAAAGGTTTAAGGGGAGGAGCTTGATTGCTGTAGGAAGAGACGTAGATATAAAGCTGAGATTTATCTGTGAAACTTCCAGGCGGACAAGCCCAGTAGGCTGTCATATGTATGGGCTAAAGCATGAATGTGGGTGGGGTATAGAGGTTGGAGATTTGGAGGATAATATTTGAAGCCATGGAAGTACAGGAATTTACTCAAAAGAGTGTGTAGAAAGAAAAAAAGAAAAGAAGGACCCAGTCGAGAAACATTCATTTAAGAGTACCTACTTAACTCAACATCTCCTTCCAAAATGGTTTTTCTTTTTTTCAAGTGAGGAAAGCTCTTTGTGTATGGATATGTGTACATCGGGGTGTGAGTGTACGCAATACACATGAATGGATGGCATGTGCATTTTAAGGAAATATTGTTTTGTACTTGGGGAGCTGGTGTAGGGCTCTGGTCCATTTAATGGTGCCTGTACTCACTGTCTCTGTTTTATTACTGCTATCCTCCCTTTCCCTCTTTTCTATCTCCCTTCTTTTGTTCCATTCTTGTCTCTCTTCTTCCACTTATCTACATGCTCCTTCATCACCATTTAAAAGTCCAAGGAAAACATGGGCAAAATAGATTAGTGTAGGATTTGGAGGCTGAGGTTGGGAACATAATGTGGGAGTGTGATTGGGATTGGGAGGAAAGACAGGGGTAGGCGTGTGTTCAGAGTTAGAAGCAGAAAATGGTCTGTGGTGGGAGAATCTGCTTCTGATGTTTTTCCCACTGCAAATTCTGCCATTGGTGTGAGTGCTGAGTATGAATGCATATATTTCTGGGCTCGTGTCTTGATGTGTGTAAGGCTCTTAGCTTGACTTCAATAGGTCATTAGATGATGCTGCTGTCATCATTCCTGCTTCTGTCCAGCAAACATTATTTCTTTAACAGAAATATGCTGCTATGCTTATACTTCAGGAGATTTAGGATTATAGCAGTTGAAGAACTGTGAATAATGGTTAATCAGATAATCAGCATTTGTAAGGGCAGTTAATAACATTGAAATGTGCATGCCATGTGAATAGGAGGATATATTATTTTTTCTTTCCTAGCTGTGTAACCATGGGAAAGTTGCCTAATCTGTCTGATCCTCAATGTCCTTATCCGTAAAGTGGGGGTAATAATTCCTATCCCAGATTTCCTTTGGGAAGACTAAAGAGTAAATGAGCCAGGAGCTTTTAAATTAAAAGGTGCTTGACAAATGTTAGTTCCTTTCTTCAGTTTCTTTGACCCTTTGCTCCTTCCTTATTTCTATCTCTCATACATGTTTATCTGTCCATATGTGAACATCAAGTATATATTTATAGTACTTTCTCCATTTTAAATTCTTAAACCAAGTGGCTTAACCTTTGTATATTACTGTAAAATTGTCAAAAGCAGTTTAATTTAAGTCACTTTTGGAACACACACATTTGGAATTGTTATGTCTTCTTGGTAGATTGACTATTTTTCATTATGTAATATCCATCTCTAGGAATTTTCTTTGCTCTGAAGTCTGTTTTATTTGATATTAAGATGGCCATTCCTGCTTTATTTTGATTAATGTTTGCAAGGTATTTAGACTATTTGTTGTGAACATAATTATTGATACATGAAGGCTAAGTCTGCCTTTTTATTTTTTTTTCTGTTCATTCTCCGTAATTTTAGTTTCTCCATTTTCTTTGCCCTGCCTGCCTGTGGGTGACTGGAGCATTTTTTAAAAATTCATATTGATTTATTTATAATGTTTTGAGTACATTTCTTTGTATAGCATTTTCAGTGTTTTCTCTCAGTAATATATTATGTATACATAATTTATTTAATAGTCTTCTGACATTACCACTTTACATGCTTGAATGAAGTGTAGAAGCATGTCCTCCCCTTTACATCTCTTTACATTTACAATCCCCTTTACATTCCCCAGTTTACAATATAAATGTGTTAAATATTTCCTCTACATATGCTGAGACCACACTAGATAACAGTATAAATTTAGCTTCAATTATCAAAATACAAGAAATTTCAAGAGGAAAGAGAAAGTCTACTGCATTAACCATGCTTTTGCTTACTGTTTATTGTTTCTTTTCTGTTTTCAGAGCTTACTATCATCTTTTTTTAGGGTATATCTAAATTCCTTAGTATTTCTTCATTGGAGAATGTCTTGATTACCCATTCAATACTGAAGGATATTATTATTGGACATAGATTTATGGGTTGTCACTTCTTTTCCTTCAGCACTTACAAAATGCTAGGGCATCGTCAGTTTCTGATGATAAATCTGTCATTCTAATTTTTTTTTTCCTTTGTAGCTTTTGTTTCTCTTCAGCTGTTTTGAAGAAGTTTCCTTTTTCTTTCATTTTCAGAAGGTTGATTACAATGTGTTTTGGAGTGTGTTTCTTTGTGTCAATTATGTTGGTGTTTGCTCCTCTTCTTGAATCTAAATGTTTATGTCTTTTGCACAATTTGGGAAGATTTTAGTCATTATTTTTCCCAATACTTTTCCAATCCTGCCCTCTTTCTCCTGGGAATTTGTTGGCATAAATGTTAAAGCTTTTGTTATAGTGCCACAGTGATTTCTATTGTTTTATATTTGTAAGCTATTTTTTCCCTCTCTCTTCTCCACCTTACTGTTGAACCTATCCATTGAGTTTTTTGGGGTTTTTATGTTACTGTATTTTTCAGTTCTAAAAATGTCACTTTGTTCTTCTTTATGTTTTATATTTCTTTGTTGAGACTTTCTATTCATTTTCTGAGATTTTCTACATTATCATTTGTTTCAAGTGTATTGTAACTGCTCACTGAAATGTTTTTAGGACAGGTGCTTTAAGATCCTTATCAGATAATTCTAACATGGGTGTTATCTCAGTATTGGCATCTGTTTATTTTCTCTTCTCATTCAAGTGGATATCTTAGTATGGAAAGTGATTTTTGATTAAAAGTTGGATACTCTGGATCTTATTTAAATCTTTTGTTTTAGCAGTCCTCTACCACTCTCTTGGATGGAAGAGGGACAGTAGAAGTCCAGTTTCTCCACTGTCTCTTGACATCCAGTTTGGAGAAGGGCTGTTTGTTACTGCTGTTTAGAGGTGAAAGTTTGGCCTTCTCTCTGGGCCTATGCTGATTCCATCCTAGCTGGTTGAGGTAGAAACTCCTAGTTACCACTGGTAAGGGTAGAAGTCATGGTTCTCCATATGGTCTTCACTGGGAGAGGTCTATTTTCACTGGGGATTAAAGTCCTTGCTCACAACTGGTCCTTCTCTGGGCATGGGGTGGTGGTTCCTTTGAAGCTTGGTGAGAGTGGAAGTCTAGGCTCTCCATTTGCAAGCCTAAGCTTCTGACTAGCTGCATCGTTATGACAGCTGGCATTCTACTGTACTAAGGTGTCTCACTTTCTAGCTAGCTTCTGATGCTTTTGCCAAAAAAAAAAAAAAAAAAAAAAAAAATTGCAACATATTCCCTTCTCCTTTCCAGACTTTACCTGGGACATAGTGGGAAAAGGAATACCTTTGCAGGCAGACCAACAAAATGTGGCAATTTCAAGCTGCGTGGCTGTGGGAAAATCACTCAAATTCTCTGGGCCTCTATTTCCCCAGCTGTAAAGGAGGAGTAGGAAGCTCACAGGACTCTTGCTGAATGAGCAAAAGTAGGTCAAAGGGCCTGGCACACAGGGGCGGGAAGGGACTCAATAAATGATAGTTCCCTTCCTTTACCTCTCCTGTAGAAAGAGAGATGCAACCCCTCAAGAAGAAGAAGAAACCAAGGTGCTTTACCTACCACCACTAATCACCATGTGTAGGTCTCATCCAGCACTCTAAGGGTTAAATCTCATGATCAAAGTCTTATTTCTTAAAGAAACACACTTGACATCTTCCACCTTGGGTTCTCAGAAAACACTCCAGGGAGAGAGCTTGACCCAGGCCACTCTCAGAGTGAGAGCAAAAGCCAAAGCAGGGGCTCACGCTGAGAAGGCGAGGTGAAGAAAGACCTTGTGCCAGCCCACACAGCCCGCCTGGCGCTATTGTGTTCTGAGCAAGGACAATATCATCGCTTTGCCAAAAGCTGCTCCAGGAGCAACCGTGTAGCGGACTCCACTTCGGCAACTCCCACTTTGCCAGCCCGCCTGTCACCTCCAGCTCCTCAGAGCAGCTGTCGCGATCCCACCATCAGCGCAGCGACCGCGTCCCCAGTCCCCATTGCTCCCATCCCCCTCCCAAGCGCGGGATAGGAAGGAAGAAAGTGGCGAGTGAGTGAAAGGAAAACGAGCGCGCGCCATTCTCCCAGCTCCGCCCGCTGAGATTCCTCTGCAACCCCCAGTTGGCAGCCCCTGGCAGCAGCCACCAGCCCCGATGCGCTAGACTTGGCTCTCAAAAGCCTTTCCCGAACTCCAGGTTCTGAAGTTGAACAAGAGACTGGAAAAAAATCCCGACTCCTAAAGAGCAAGGAGCCAAAGACACCTTGGGGCACACAAGTACTTTTAAAAAACGTGTCCATGAATGCAGAGCCCTGACCTCCACCTCGAGAAGAATAAAACTGTCTTGGTACCAAACCCGTGTTTCTTCATCTTTGCTTTCTCAGCCACATCTGGCAAGAGGTCTCTCTCTCTCTCAACTCTCCTCAGCGCCCCTCCCATCCTCACCTCTCCGGCAAGTCTGTGGTGAATGGGCCCCTTTCCAGCTCCTCTAGACAAACAGCCCAACAATAGATAATTAGCCCTCTCCCGCAACGAAGGGTTGGAGAGGGGCGGGGAGGGGGACAACGTGCCACTTACCTGATCTCTTTAATGCTTTCCAATTTGCACATGATTTCTTGCTCATCTGCCATACTTTTCACTGTCAATTTCACGTCCCGAGAGATGTACAAATACACCAGCCAAGGGATACAATAGACACAATGTAGCCACCTCCTCCGGGCTTGGGGCTATGAGCCTGTGCGGTAGGGGCTTGGAGAGGCCTGGGAGCTGTAGTCCGGAGCTTCAGGGCCAGCCAGGAAGCCCGGGGGCCTGTAGGACTACAACTCCCAGAAGGCCAAGCGAGACATGCCTGTTTCCCTTCCTGCAGCCGCACTTTAAATCAATTTGTTATAGATAATTATGTCAAAGGTTGTGAAGAGTGCAAAGGAATGGGGATATTCGTCTGGCCCGTGTGTGGGAAAATGGAGAAAAAAATATTCCTGAAGGCAATTGGAGAGATGAGAGACATACCCATTCGCTCCCTTCGGGGGCCCTCGCACCTACCCACCCGCAAAAGATTAGCGGTAGTCGCTAATTACGCCTTGGGGATGGAAAGAAACCCTGCAGGGAAAGTAGCTTTGGAGACGTTGAATGTGCTAGCTGCTGCCTGGGGACCAGTAACTTTGGCATTCAATTTAGGGTGGGGCGGGGGTGGGGAAGAGGAGGATGGGAGGAGGGAGATGCTGCAAAAGCTGGGGGAAAGGAGAGTGGGTAAGTACTTCCAGCTACTTACCCATTCAACAAACAATTACTTAAGCTCGGACTTTGCCAGTCAATGGAAGAAGTACTGTAGGAGTCACCGGGCAAGGCAGATAAATAAAAGCAAATCCTTGCCTTTGAGGAACAGAAGAGGCTGAAAATTTACCTATTAATTACAGTACAGTGTGGTGTCAAAATACAGGAATAGATAAGGTGTAACCTGTGCAGAGAAGATGTAAATAGGTCTCAAGAGTGACTAAGAATTTGTCAGACCATAGAGGAGAATGGGCTCTCCAGGTGAGGATACAATAGAGAGAGAAAGGAAAGGATGAGTGGTTCAGAGTGCCTGAAATATAGGTTTCTTATATGAGGTGTAGAGGTGGAAAAAAGAAATGGGAGATGTAGTATTTAGAAAAGGCAGGTAGGAACCAGACTATGAAATACGTTAAATGTCAGACTAAAGGGTTTGGACTTAATCCTGTAGGCAGACATTTATCTAATAAACTTTTAAATTAATTAATTTATTTATTTATGAGACAGTCTCACTCTGTCGCCCAAGCTGGCGTGTAATGGCACAGATCTCGGCCCACTGCAACCTCCTTCTCCTGGGTTCAAGCAATTCTACTGCCTCAGCCTCCCGAGTAACTGGGATTACAGGCGCCCACCCACCATGCCCGGCTAATTTTTGTATTTCTTAGTAGAGATGGAGTTTCATCATGTTGGCCAGACTGGTCTTGAACTCCTGAGCTCAAGCAATCCACCCGCCTCAGCCTCCCAAAAGTGCTGGGATTACAGGCATGAGCCACTGCGCCTGGCCCTAATAAACATTTTTTAAGTGCTTATTCTGCACCAAGTAATGTTTAATTATTTTATGTTTCAAAGCACGGTAGTGATAAGGATGGAGGAATATTTTAGAGAGGGACTCTGGAAGCAAAGTGGAGAATGATTAGAGGACATGAGACCAGGTAAGAGGCAGTTACTCAGCGTGCACAAACAGGCCTAGAGAGCTGGACGTTGGGCAAAAGGAAGATGGTGACTCACTCCCAACTAAAAGTGAGTCAGAACTCTCTCTGAGTTTGTGCTTTCTTTTATTGAGCTTCAGTTTCCTCATCTGAAAAATGTACCTAGTGAGCCCACCTCAGAGGCTTGTTGGGAGGCCTCTATGAGATCATTCCCATGATCATGCTGAATACAGGGCTTGGTATTTTGTAGGAGCTTGAGAAGTTTGTGGAACATGAATCTCATGTCATTCTGGATGTCCACAGTGATTTTAAGCATTCTCCAGGGAAGAAATTAAAGCCCTTCTCTTCTTTGGATCCAAGATGTAATAACTTTCTTAACCATAAAATTCTCCCTGGTGTCTACATTTTCCTATTGTCTTGAAGGTTGCTATCTTGTACAGCCACTAGTTGGTATTTAAAGAACATTGAGTTGGTTAGTCACAAAGCCTGTGGATCCAGAGCCAAGAACTGGCCCCAGCTCTGTCCCGTAAGGGGAGGAGGTAAGCAACAAGCCTGCGTTAAGTGCCTGACATGTACTGGCTACTGTGCTGAGTCTGATATGTACAATCTATCATTTCATCCTCACAACCACTATGAAGGGGGCAAGTAGATTCATCCCCTTTTAGAAGGAAGAAAACTGACTCAGATAGGGAAAGTTGTTTTGCCATGTCCACACAATAAGTTATAAAGCTAGAGCCTGTGCCCAGTTTGGACCAAGTTACTTGCAGATTAATGAAGAGAGTGTGTCTGGAAAAAAAAAATATATATATATAGCAACCAAAACTACAATGGGGTCCCGAGTGTATGTATCTATGTCAAACATAAAGTGGTTTATAATGCATTAATGCTGGCTTGGGGAGAAGCGGAGGGTTTGTATGGGATGTGTGGGAAGCAATTTATGAACAGCCTTTGAGATTTTAAATTTAATGTCTCTCTCTTTTTCCATTGTCCCCTTCACCTTAAGAATCCTTACCACTGACTATGTTCACACATCTGGTAAAAGTCTGGATGTGGGTATGTATCTGTTTCAATTAAATATGTTAATGGGTTTAGAGTCTGATTTGGTAATAATTTGGGAACTATCTTGTCTTTCAAGCCTCACCGAAATCCTAGTTTACAGATGAGGAAACTGAGACCAAGAGAGGCAAAGGACTTGTCTGACATCACCCTACTTGGCTGAAACAGAACCAAGACTCCTGACTCAAGGGCCTGTGCTCTTCCTATGGCCCCATGCGGCCTGTATCAAGCTGCTGCTGCTACCATGGGGCCTGAATGCCTCTGTTACTTTTCAGCCAGAAGGTGCACTCCAATATAGGGTGTCTGCAGAGGGCCAAGCATGTCCCATGCTTCCAACTATGGACATTTAAGGGAGATAGCAGTTAATCTAAGAGAAGAGGCCATGGGAAAACCTGGAGCTTGGAAGAAGGTTTGTGCTATTTGTAACAATTAAAATGTCCAAATACAGAAAGAGTAATGTGCCTCTTAGCTTCTGCTGGTTTGCTTTTGGCTCCTTGACCTCCTTGAGAACAGATGTCTCACCTGTTCCTTGCTGAATTTTAAGAATCCAGGCTAGCAGTGAGAGGAAGGAAAATGTTGTAGAGAAACAGTGGGGAAGAGAAGGAAACTATAGCCTTCTGCCCCTTCTTCTGAAGCAGCACTTAAAACAGTATCTGCAAGCCAAGGTGGTGGCTTTTCCATAGTAAGTGTTCAGTAGCTCTCAATTGATCAGAAGTTTGCAATGGCTGAAACAATATTTAAGATATGGGCTAGCAGTGAGTTCTAATGCATGATTTTATTAGAAGAACTGATTGATTTGAGGGGTTAGAAATAAAAAAAAATCTTAGTTTTATCAGGGCCAACATTATTCTTATTGCTAAGGCAATAAGGCAGGGTATGTTGGGGTTAATACCATTAAAATGCAAGAAATTAGCAAAAGGGAAGCCAGTCAGTCTCGATTATACTTTCAGGGAATAGATCAAGACTTTAAAAATGGAGGCCAGAATATTGAATTCACAGATATTTCTTTGTACTTCAACAGTGAACTAAACTAAAAGGAGGCAGAGATGCAACAACAGTCTTGGTTCCAAATTGCCTTTCAAAAAGTAGTGCAAATTACTTATTAAATTTCTCATTATATTTCTTAATCAGCATTTCTAAGAGAAAAGTGAGCCAAAAGTTTTCAGCCCAAAAATGTTTATTGTGCACCTATGATATGTCAGGAACCATCGAGGTTTCAGTGAAGATTTCATAGCAGATACGACAGACATGGGCCCTGCCCTTACCAAGCTTACCATTTAGTGAGAGAGACCAGCTATTACAAAGATCATGCATACATATATAGTTATACCTAGCAATCAGGGCTTGAAATAAGTCTAGGTTCTGTGAGCAAGACACACACACATAAGGGGAGAACCAATTTAGTCCTGAGAAGTGGGCAAGGAGTCAGGGAAAAGCTTCCTGAACAAAACTAGGCAGGATGAGAGAGGAAGGGAGGGAAACAGCAGGAGGTATCGAGGATTAATTCATGCAAACAGCCAACAAATATTTACTGAACACTTACTACATGCCAGGCACTCTCCTAGGTTCCAGGGATATATAGTGCTTTGCATGTATTAAGTTAGTTTAATCCTTGCAAAAACTTCACAGGAAGTATATATTATTATCATCCTTATTTTACAGAAGAGGAAGTTGAGGCACAGAGAAGTTAAGTAACTTGCCCAGAGTAACACAGCTAGTAAGTGGCAGAACTGAGATTCAAATTTAGAGAGTCTGCCTCCAGAAGCCATGCTCTCACCTACTATGTTCTATTAGTTACCCAAGATCCCAGTTCTTAGGAAGTTTACATTCTAGTAGGAGGAGCCAGACAATAATGACAGAAAAGAAAAAAAAATAAACATAATAATATTTGGGGGAGATAAGCCCATAAGACACTAATTGAGGATAATAGGACAGAATGATGGCAGGAGGGGGAATGTTTTAGTTAGGATGGTCAGGGAAGGCTCCTGTTCAGAGATGACATTGTAGTGGAGACATAAGGAGTTGGGCATACAATGATCTGGAGGAAGAGTGCTCCAGGCAGAACGAATAGCCGGTGCAATGGTCCTGAGTCAGAAAATGCTTAGCCTATGAAAAAAAAAAGTAGGTAGGGCTCTGGCTGATTAAGGGGAGCAGAAGTAGACTGAGGAGACAGTTTATGTCATTGAACTGTTATTCTAAAAACAGGGTCTTGTAAACCATGGTGATGAGTCTGGGTTTTATTCTAATTACAATAGGCAAACATTGAGGGTTTTAAGCAGGGGAGCAACATGATCTAGTTTTTAAACATCACTGACTGCTGTGAGAACAGATTTTATTGGGGCAAAAGTGGAAGTAGGAAAACCAGTGGGAAAACTATTACAGTTGTCCAGGAAAGAAATTATGGTGGCTTGAATTACAGTAGTAATAGTAGATATGAAGAAAAATGGGCTGATTGGGAACATATTATTGGGCACAGAACTGATATGATTAGCTCATGGATAGGATGGAGAGGTACGGAGGGCGAGATAAGGCATCTAAAATGACTCCTGGATTTTTGGCTTCAGTAATAAGGTCAGTGCCATTCACTGAAACAGGAAAGACTGGAAGAGAACCGTACGATGTTAGAGCTAGAAGGCACTCACATGTGATATATGGAAAAACTGAAGAACAGAAATGGTAATTGACCTCCCTAGGTTAGGGAGTTAGGAGCTGAGATAGGTAATCTCATTCTTCACACTCTCTCAGAAAATTTTCATGTTCTCCATCACTTCAGCCCTTCAGCTGGGGTGTTGAGGGGTGTGTTTGAAGCCTTAACTTTGAAGATTCCCCTAGGAGATGGGACTTGTGGGTGATTAGCCAGAATTTGTATCTGCTTACATAGACAGTGCTAGGTATTCTCAGGCAATGTTTCAGCTGAAATTCTTGCTGTTTTTGATGGCTTTATGTCATTGAAATTTCACTCCTCTATTCTTTCTCACCTACCCAATGTCACTGACCTAGATCCCCCAAATGCAAATTTCAGGGAACAAAGATCTGGCAGTGGAAGTAGGGGAGTCCCATTTTTCCCCTCTGCAAGTCCGAAAAACCCTAGTGTAAAAAATCCTATTATAAAAGCAGTCTAGTGTACATCTACTGCATTTTCTTAGTAAACTTTCATCCACACCCTCCCCTCTTCTTCAATTCTCACCTCTTTGAGAGTGACCAAAACTGACTGTCTAGCTCCAATGACCTTCCGTTTCTAACAGCCTCCTTTATATCACCAGAACTAAGTATGGGATTGAGTTTCCAAAAGGGCTGAGTCTTACCAGGTTCCCTGCACATCTTTCCCAGGCTGGGGTACTTTAGAACTACTCATAGGGCCCTTGTCCCCCTCACAGAGCTGTTTAATGATTAAATGAAAAGAGATAAGTTATGAGAAAGCACCTAGCACATTGGTTGAATTATAATAGGCATTGATTACAGGTCAATATCCCTCATCCTTCTCACCACTTGCCCTAATTCTTAGAGTCATTTGGAGAACCCAAATTTGGGGATAATTCAGTGAATAGAAACAGGAGAGAAGCATGAAAAAACTATAAATAAGTTGTCTTGATTTAGGCTTGAGAAGACAATGACAGAGGCTTCATTTAGAAATCTCAAAATGGACAGGGCAGCATTTGATGTGAAGGTTGTAGCCATTATTTCCCCTAAGTTTGGGGCAAAATGGCTTCATTTATAGTAGAAGCGTTAGAGGGATGATAACTTATAAAGCCACAATGACAAATAAGCAACCACAAGGAAAAGATGGACAGATTCAACTGTATAAAAATGTACAATGAAAAATGACACTCATAAAATAAAAATGAAACAGACTGGGAAAGTAAAAATAACACATAAATCTTAGTAGTACCCCACCCAGGGGTTGGTTGCATTGTAAACAATAGACCAAACCTTATGCCTATGAATGAAACATCTGGTATCTGCAAGTAAACAGATTGGGAGAGGAGTGGGAAGGCAGATGTCCTCTCCTGGGCCTTCAAAATCCCCTTGCATATATCACGTATAATTGCCCAGCTTGACTTCCCAGATAGCCCTTCCTTTCCTAGCACAGGTGGCAGTATGCATAGTGGTGAGGCACCCAGACTCTTCAGTCAGGCTGCCTGAGCTCACCTCTGGTCTCTACTATTTTTAGCTATCTGACTCAAGGGCAAATAACTTCCCCTCTATGGGTTTTGGTCTTCTCGTATGGAAAATGGAAATGATAGTAATTGTAACTAACTCTTAGGGTTGTAATTAAATTAATATACGGAACTGGCTAAAACAGCATAATAAATACTGTAGAAGTGTCTGCTATTATTATTAAGATGGATATTCTTCAATAAACTTTCTTGTTACCTCCTTGTTTTCCATCATTGGCAGCCTAGCTCCCCTACCAGACAGGTTCCTATTATCCTCTAAATCACAAGACTTGAAAACGATTGTGCTTATCTACTTGGGAATGAAAATACCAAACAAATGCATCATAGATGTGGCCAATCTGTCATAAAATTGAGGATATAACAAATTTATACATCTGACATTATTTAAAAATATGAAAATCATGTTCCCAGTCCTATAAAATGACTGTAAATTTACTATATACACTGATTACATGATCTACTCTTCCAATTAATAAGATAAATCATATATAGTGTATGTTAGCACATAAAAATGTATCTCAACTTATATCATAAACTAGATCAAAAAATAACCTGTAGCTCTACGGAATAGTATTCAAACATTTAACTTAAAAAAGTTTTGCCTTCTAAAAATTTAGATAAGCTTTTTGGGGAATAATTTGAATGATTTTGGGTTTCTTGAGGGAAAAAGAGTAATTGAAGACACAAAGGAATTCAAGGAATGTCTTCTTGACCCAACATTTCACTTCAACACGTTTATTAGTAACCTCCTTGTTTTCTTTGTTGAAATTTTAGATTTGGGGGTACATGTGCTTGTTTGTTACATGGATATTATATGCATAATGGTGGGGGTTGAGCTTCTAGCATACCCATCACCAAAATATTGGACATTGTACCCAGCAGGCAGTTTTTCAACCTGCACCTCCCTCCCATCCTCCATGGTTTTTGAGTCTCCAGAGTCGATTTTCTCCACCTTTATGTCCATGTATACCCTTTGTTTAGTTTCCACTTATAAGTGAGAACATGTGATATTCTATTTTCTGCTCCTGTGTTAGTTCACTTAGGATAATGTAATCACCCAAGGGGTTCATCTTGCTCACTTCCCAGAAAAGCCAATGCATTGAGAACAGAAGGTTTTCACAATAGAAAAAGAGTTCGATAAATGCAAAGCCAGCTACACAAGAGGACAGGAGTTTATTATTATTCGAATCAGCCTCCGTAAAAATTTAGAGGCTAGGGATTTTTAAGAACAGTTTGATGGGCAGAGGACTAGGGAATGGGGAATGCTGTTTGGTTGCATTACGGATGAATTCATAGGGAGTCAAAGCTTGTTTTCTTGCACTGAGTCAGTTCCTGGGAGTTGGGGCACAAGACCAGATGAGCCAGTTTACTTCTCTGGGTGGCCCAGCTGGTCCATCAGAATGCAGGGTCTGAAAAATACCTCAGACACCAATCTTAGGTTTTATAACAGTGATGTTATCTATAGGAGCAACTGGGGAGGCTAGCAATCTTGTGACCACTGGCTGCATGAATCCTGAGCCATTATTTCTTATCTTGTGGCTACTTTGTTAGTTTTACAAAACAGGCCTGATCCCCAAGCAAGAAGGGGATTTGTTTTGGGAAGGGGCTGTTAGCATCTTTGTTTGTTAAACTACAAACTAAATTCCTCCCATAATTACCTTGGCATATGCACAGGCATGAGCAAGGGCAACTTGGAGGTTAGAAGCAAGATGGAGTTGGCAGTTAGGTCAGATTTCTTTCACTATTAGAGTTTTCATATGTCAGATTTTCCTCACTGTCACAATGTTCACAAAGCTGGTTTCAATAATGGCCTCCAACTCCATCCACGTTGCTGCAAAGAACATGATTTTGTTCTTTTATGGCTACATAGTATTCCATGGTGTATGTATACCACATTTTCTTTATCCAATCAACTGTTGGTAGACACTTCGGTTGGTTCCATGACTTTGCTGTTGTAAATAGTGCTGCAATAAACATATGAGTACAGGGGTCTTTTTTGTTATAATGACTTCTTTTCCTTTGGATAGATACCCAATAGTGGGATTGCTGGGTTGAATGGTAGTTCTGTTTTTAGTTCTTTGAGGTATATCCATACTGTTTTCCATAGAGGTTGAACTAATTTACATTCTCATCAACAGTGTATGACCGTTCCCTTTTTTCCAACATCTGTTGTTTTTTGACTTTTTATTAAAAGCCATCTTGACTGGTATAAGATAGTATCTCAGAGTAGTTTTAATTTGCATTTCTCCGATTATTTCTGATGTTGAAAATTTCTTCATATGCTTGTTTGCTGTTTATATGTCTTCTTTTGAGAAGACATGTCCTTTGCCTGCTGTCCTAGGGGCTGGAGATCCAGAGAAATAAGAATAGTTCCTGCTTTGGGGATGCTCATAGCTTATTTGGAGATGGGCCCGTAAATAAGCAATGACAATACAATGTGCGCTGTGTTATAATGGAGGAGTGAATAGTAAACTCTGGGATAATGTAAGAGGGATTAAGAAACTCTACCAGGGAGAATCTGAAAGGGTTTCCCAGACAGGTGTTTTCAGAACTAGATCTGTTGCAGGCACCGTTAGAAACCTTGAATCAATTTTCCTATGGCAAGCAGAGGCATGCTGGTTGCTAGAGCCCACACTCCTCTAAGCCATCACATTTTGAGTAAAGGCTCACTGAACATTTCTCCTCTTGACCCTCTTACTTCCTCAGCTTATTTAACCCTATAAATGTTAGTGGGCATCAAAGCTGGAAAGGCTTCTCAGAAGACAGCTATATCCATGGTTTTTAAACTGGGTTTGGCAGAACTCTAAGATTTTAGAGTGAAGGGAAGCCACCCCTACTCCTTTTTTAACTAGAACTTAATTGGTATTATTTTCATATTTGGGGATTTTGTGGAAGATATTTTTCAATACAGTGATCTGTTGCTTAAAAAATATTTGAAAAACAGTGATTTATTCCAATTTGTCCTTATTTTAAAGACAGAAAAACAGGATAAAAGTAAGCAAGGCTTGGCCAAAGATCAAAGAAATGCAACAAGAAAAAAAGTGCTATTAAGACAAACATGCTTATCCTTTACTTGTCAAAGACAGCTTTTTGGTCTATTAGTCCTCCAGTCCCAAGCTAGATGCTCTGCCTTCCATGTTTCAAGATGTGGCCTGGTATAGCTTTATTAGCAGTGGCAAGCCAGGTCAAGCTAAAAGGGGCCAGAATCTAAGGCCAGGCATTCCCCCATCTCTCTGCTACTACATGCTGACATTGGAGTTAGTTAGTGAGGAGGGAAGACTCAGGCTCCAGGTATAAAGCTGGACTACGGTATATTAAGTGGCAAGCCATAGTTCAGGAAGCCAGTGGAGTATGACGTAAATTAGTAGGGGCATCCCAAGAGGTAGGAGATGCAGAACAAGGAGAGCTCCAAGGCAGTCCATGTTTTGAAGGTCCCAGTGGGCAGTTGGCTCCAAGATGGTGTGTCCATGGAAATAGGGGTTCCAGCTACCAGACTTCAGGTAGTCTCTAAGGTGGAAGCAATGGAGGAAGGTAGACAGATTGTCCAGTGAGAGAAAAGCCAGTCTTCATTTTAGAGGACCTGGTGACCTGGACAGCAAATTGGGGCATAAAGAACAAGGCAGGAGCCTAATGATAAAGACTGGGACAAAATGTCAATTATCTCCAAATTGACATACAAGTTTAATGGAAACTGATATCAAAATCCAGAAATATTTTCCGTAGACACAGACAAGATAATTCTTTTTTTTTTTTTTTTTTTTTTATGAGACGGAGTCTCACTCTGTCGCCCAGGCTGCAGTGCAGTGGCGCGATCTAGGCAAACTGCAAGCTCTGCCTCCCGGGTTCACGCCATTCTCTTGCCTCAGCCTCCCGAGTAGCTGGGACTACAGGCGCCCGCCACCAAGCCCGGCTAATTTTTTTGTATTTTTAGTAGAGACAGGGTTTCACTGTGTTAGCCAGGATGGTCTCAATCTCCTGACCTTGTGATCCGCCCGTCTCAGCTTCCCAAAGTGCTGGGATTACAGGTGTGAGCCACCGTGCCTGGCCGACACAGACAAGATAGTTCTAAAATTTATATAGAAAGGCAAGGGAACTGAAATAGCTAAAAACAATTTTGAAAGAGAATAAAGTAGAATAAATCATTCTACCTGATGTCAACATTTATTAGATAGCTACAGTAATCAAGGCTGTGTAGTATTGGTGGTGGAAAAGACATGGATCAATGGAATAGAATACAGGACCCAGACATAGACTCACACATATATGCCAAACTGGTTTGCTGGGTTTTTTTTTTTTTTTTCCCACAAAGATGAAAGGATGATCTTTTCAACAAATGATGGTGGAGAAAGTGAGTATCTGTTAGGAAAAAAAAATTTTACTCAAAAGACCTCATATCTTATGCAAAAATTAACTCAGAATGGATGATGGATTTAAATGTAAAATGTAAACCTATAAAACTTTTAGAAAAAAAAAGGAGAAAACCTTTTGGATCTAGGACTAAGCAAAGGATTTTTTTTTTTGGACTCATCTCAAAATTATCACCTCTGAATTCTTTTTTTTATTATTATTATACTTTAAGTTTTAGGGTACATGTGCACAACCTGCAGGTTTGTTACATATGTATACATGTGCCATGTTGGTATGCTGCACCCATTAACTCATCATTTAACATTAGGTATATCTCCTAATGCTATCCCTCCCCCCTCCCCCCACCCCACAACAGGCCCCAGGGTGTGATTTTCCCCTTCCTGTGTCGATGTGTTCTCATTGTTCAACTCCCACCTATGAGTGAGAACATGCAGTGTTTGGTTTTCTGTCCTTGCGGTAGTTTGCTCAGAATGATGGTCTCCAGCTTCATCCATGTCCCTACAAAGGACATGAACTCATCCTTTTTTATGGCTGCATAGTATTCCATGGTGCATATGTGCCACGTTTTCTTAATCCACTCTATCATTGTTGGACATTTGGGTTGGTTCCAAGTCTTTGCTATTGTGAATAGTGCCGCAATAAACATACGTGTGCATGTGTCTTTATAGCAGCATGATTTATAATCCTTTGGGTATATACCCAGTAATGTGATGGCTGGGTCAAATGGTATTTCTAGTTCTAGAACCCTGAGGAATCACCACACTGACTTCCACAATGGTTGAACTAGTTTACAGTCCCACCAACAGTGTAAAAGTGTTCCTATTTCTCCACATCTTTTCCAGCACCTGTTGTTTCCTGACTTTTTAATGATAGCCATTCTAACTGGAGTGAGATGGTATCTCATTGTGGTTTTGATTTGCATTTCTCTGATGGCCAGTGATGATGAGCAATTTTTCATGTGTCTTTTGGCTGCATAAATGTCTTCTTTTGAGAAGTGTCTGTTCATATCCTTCGCCCACTTTTTGATGGGTTTGTTTTTTTTTTCTTATAAATTTGAATTCATTGTAGATTCTGGATATTAGCCCTTGAGTAGATTGCAAAAATTTTCTCCCATTCTGTAGGTTGCCTGTTCACTCTCATGGTAGTTTCTTTTGCTGTGCAGAAGCTCTTTAGTTTAACTAGATCCCATCTGTCAATTTTGGCTTTTGTTGCCATTGCTTTTGGTGTTTTAGACATGAAGTCCTTGCCCATGCCTATGTCCTGAATGGTATTGCCTAGGTTTTCTTCTAGGGTTTTTATGGTTTTAGGTCTAACATTTAAGTCTTCAATCCATCTTGAATTAATTTTTGTATAAGGTGTAAGGAAGGGATCCAGTTTCAGCTTTATATGGCTAGCCAGTTTTCCCAGCACCATTTATTAAATAAGGAATCCTTTCCTCGTTTATTGTTTTTGTCAAGTTTGTCAAAGATCAGATAGTTGTAGATATGCGGCATTATTTCTGAGGGCTCTGTTCTGTTCCATTGATGTATATCTCTGTTTTGGTACCAGTACCATGCTGTTTTGGTTACTGTAGGCTTGTAGTATAGTTTGAAGTCAGGTAGCGTGATGCCTCCAGCTTTGTTCTTTTGGCTTAGGATTGACTTGGCAATGCGGGCTCTTCTTTGGTTCCATATGAACTTTAAAGTAGTTTTTTCCAATTCTGTGAAGAAAGTCATTGGTAGCTTGATGGGGATGGCAATGAATCTATAAATTACCTTGGGCAGTATGGCCATTTTCACGATATTGATTCTTGCTATCCATGAGCATGGAATGTTCTTCCATTTGTTTGTATCCTCTTTTATTTCATTGAGCAGTGGTTTGTAGTTCTCCTTGAAGAGGTTCTTCACATCCCTTGTAAGTTGGATTCCTAGGTATTTTATTCTCTTTGAAGCAGTTGTGAATGGGAGTTAATTTGACACCAAAAGCATAATCCATAAAAGGAAAAGCTGATAAAATGGACTTTATCAAAATTGAAATTTTTTTCTATGTGAAAGAAGATGAAAAGACAAGGTATACACTAGGAGAAAATATTTGAAAACTACATATTCAACAAAAGACTAGCATCTAAAATATATTAATAACCCTCAAAGTTCAACAGTAAAAAGTTAATACAATTTAAACAATTGTCAAAAGATATGAAGAAACATTTCACTGAAGAGGTTATACAGATGGTAACTACATGAAAATTTCTTCAACGTCATTAGCCATTTGGGAAACGCAAATTAAGACCACAATGCAATATCGCTATAACCTATCAGAAAGACTAAAATTAAAAAATGGTGACAATACCAAATGCTGGCAAAGATACAGAGAAACGGAGTCACTAATACATTGCAGGTGAGCATGCACAACGGTACAACCATTATGGACAATGGTTTGTCAGTTTTGTATTTTTAAAAAAGAAACATGCAACTACCACATGACCTAGTAATTGCAATCCTGGACATTTACCCCAGAAAAAAGTGAAAATTTATGTTTACAACAAACCTATACATATTTATAGTAGTTTTATTTATAATAGCCCAAAACTGAAAACAACCTATATGTTCTTCAGCAGGTGAATGTTTAAACAAATTGGTATATCCATACCATGGAATACTCCTCAACAATAAAGAAAACTATTGATACATCTGTGGGTGAATCTCCAGAGAATTATGCTGAGTAAAAAAATGTCAATCCCTAAAGGGATATGATTCTATTCATGTAACATTCTGGGAATGACAAAATCATAGAAATGGGAAACAGATTTGTGGTTACCAGAGGTTACAGAGGGAATGGTAGTGGGAGGGAAGTAGGTGTGGCTATAAAAGGGCAATATGAGGGTTCCTTGTGGTGGTGGAAATGTTCTGTATCTTGATTATATTAATGTCAATATCTTCTCTGTGGTATTGTACTATAGTTCTGCAAGGGGTTACTATTGGGGAAAACAGAGTACAATTTACATGAGATCTATCTGTATCATTTTTCTGCAACTGCATGTGAATCTATAATAAAAATAACAAGTTACCTAAGAAAAAATATTGTTTATCTTGATTACTGAGATTTTCAGCATTCCCTTAAAATTATGCTCAAGTCAACTACCTCCACTCACCTCACTCTAGCTTCAGCCCTGTTCCTTCTCTTTCTGTATCTCCAGGGCCTAGTGTAGACCCAGCCCTCAGTGAATTAATGCTGTACAGATGGGGAGTGAACGGCTTCCCCTCAGATGAATTATTCTCAGTCATACTATGCTCACAGAGAGAAACAATATGCCTTCTCTCCTCCTCCCCAACTTCTTTCTTTCCACTCTTGTGTTAATGATCAACTTTCAACATTTTTGAGGCTGTCTGATTTCAGTTTGGGAGCCCAAATATATCAGCAATCTTCTACCTTTTTCAGAGGCACATAGGGGCAAAGACTACACTGAAAGGATCCTAGACCAGGCATTGAAAATCCTAGTATTCAATGTAGGCTTAACAACTCATTGGATGTGGGACCTTGGACAAGGCACTTTACTTCTTGGAGCCTCGGTTTCCCATCTGCAAAAATGGGAAAATAATAATGCCTTCCTGTGAAGAAAGTATCATTACCTGGAAAATTCAGTGTAGCTGAAAGATCTGAATATTCATTTTAAATCTCCCTATCTCTGTGAAATGAAGATAAAAGAGGGAAGGTATGGGAAGATGTGATGGTGATTGTATAAGAGTTTATTTAGGCATTGTGGTGTTACATTGTCACACTTACCTCCACTAGACCTTGAAGATCATCCCAGTGGTCAATACTGGTTAAGCATAGGACTTATCAGTGGTTGAAAGGCTCAAATTTATTTCTATTTTTTAAGAACCCTGACATATTACAAAGTGGAGGGGTGCAGTGGTGCGAGCCTGTAAATCCAACTACTTGGGAGGCTGAGGCAGGAGGAGTGTTTGAACCTAGAAGTTCAAGACCAGGCTGAGAAACATAGCATCACCCTGTCTCAAAATGAAACAAACAAAACTATTCTCACAGCTTGCCAGGAGTGAAAGAAAAAAAGTAGAAACATTGGCAGTTCCTCAACAAGTTAAACATAGAATTACCCATATGACTCATTAATTCTACTCCTAGGTATATACCCAAGAGAAATAAAAACATATATCCACAGAAAAACTTGTATGTGAATGTTCATAGCAGCATTAACCTTAAGAGCCCAAAAAGTAGAAATGAACCCAAATACCCATCAATTGATGAGTGGATAAATAAGGTGTGGTCCGTCTTTACAATGAAACATTATTCATCCATAAAACAAATGAAGTATTGATCACATGCTAAAGCAAATGAACCTTGAAAATATGATGTTAAGTAAAAGTCAGACACAAAGGACTATATGTTTATGATTCCATTCATGTGAAATATACAGTATAGGCAAGTACATAGAGACAGAGAGTAAATTAATGGTTGCCAGGGGCTGCAGGGAGGAAAAAATGGGGAGTGACTTCTTAATGGGTATGAGGTATGAAAATGTTCAAGAATTAGATAGTCATGATGGTTCCAAAACACTGAAAATGTACTAAATTATACACTTAAAACATAACTGTATATTTTTATTGGTGAAATTTACGGTGAGTTATATCTTCATAAAAATGTCAAACCATGCCTTATTTCAGTGACAATATAAACGCTTCAGTCTCAACTTAAGACCTTTCATAAATGAGACATTCAGAGCAAATGAGCATTCTTGTTCACCTTCCCTGCCTGACTCCAATCTCCGACAGGCTCAGATTGAACATCCCTCAATCTATGTCAGCTACACGTCTGCTAAGATTGTAGCTGAATCCACTAATGCCCACATCCAGGCTCAAATATGCTCCAGTTTATAAGCTCATCAGCAAGAGTTATAATAACCTCTGCCCACTGCCTTGTGGGGTTCAGAATTTATTCACATTCTCAAACTTGGGTTTGGGTGATCCCTCACAATAGCTGAATTCCCCAAGCTTCCTTTATCCCAAGCATACCAAGAATTTAGTTATCCCAGGGACCAAAACTAGTCATGTTGGTACGTCATTCCCTAATTCGGACTTGCCTGCTCTGCCTCATGGTGTGCCCAGTCTTCAGGGCTAGATTTCTGCTTTTGTCCCATCTTCTGTGCTGATGGTTTACTGTGGTTGATACCGCCAAGTTCCATTCCCTCTTTTCCTCCCACACATACCAAGCACTATCAAGGCTCGTCATTCTCCAACCTGCTTTTACCGTCTGCTAACACCCTTACTTAAGACAGATCTAATCCTTGCACCTCCTGGATGCAGACTGTGTCCTGGAGCAGAATCTTCCCAAATCCCAGGTCCTACTTCCTTGGTGATTCCTGAGTATTTCACAGGAATCTGGATCCTTGGCTTCCTGACACACCTACTAGAAAGCTAAACTTAGTGATGTCACATCAGGTATTGGACCCTGGTCCTGGGCCCCTTAACTGTGCTCTCATTAGCCAACTTCTGCAAGCAAGGCTGTTGCATCCTCCACCATAGAGTTGCAAGATTTAGCAACTATACAAGATGCCCAGTTAAATTTGAATTTCAGATAAACAACAAATACTTTTTTTGTACAAGTATGTGTCGTGCAACATTTCAGACATATTAGGTTTTTTTGTTTATATAAAGTTCAAATTTAACAGGCATCTTGTATTTTATTTGACAACATTCCCCCAGTGGAGATGGCATCAGTTTAGCCACCTCTTCCCTTCAAGCTCCCTGTCTTGGTGTTATCACCCTGCCATTCGTGTGTTGTCTGATTTATTGATTTTAGATCTTAATCTCAGGTTTCCTAGTTGCTATGACCTGAGTCTTTGTGTCCTCCTAAAAAAATTATGTTAAAATCCTAACACCCAAGACGATGGTATTAGTAGCTGGGTCCTTTCTGAGGTGATTAGGTCAGTGTTCTTATAAAAGAGGCCAGAGAGAGGTTCATTCCGCCTCTGCCATGTAAAGTTACAGTGAGAAGACAGTCATCCATGAGGAAGCAGGCTCTCACTAGACATGGAATCTGCTAGTGCCTCGATCTTGGATTTCTCAGCCTCCAGAACCACAATAAGCAAATTTCTGTTGTTAATGAGGCACCCAGCTAATGGTACTTTGTTATAACAGTGCAAATGGAATAAGACTCTACTTATTGCTAAGGGTCTTCCTCTACCCTACTCCCCAAGAGCACCCCCTCCTCTTCATTTTAAACCTGCCAACTCTTTATTTCAGAATAATAAGAAGAAATGTTTGAGCACTTATGTGCAAACACTCTGCTTGGTGCTTTACCTGCAGTCTTTCATTTCATCCTCAAGGCAGTTGTTAGTTCAACTCTCGTTTTACAGATGAGGAAACTCAGATGCAAATAGGTGAAGTAAATTTGCCAAAACCACTTACTAAATGGCAGAATCAAGATCCTACTTAGGTGTATTTTCATGTGTCTAAGATAATTATTTCCCATGAAAAAGGTCTATATCAGAATTTTAAAATGTTTGTGTCTCCACTTAAAAAAATGCCTCAAGTATTTTATTTTGCAGTTATGGAAACATAACTTCACTTTTGCATGATGATTCATCATTAAATAATAAGTAACTTTCATTGAGTGATTAGTATAGCCTAGGCACTGTTAAACCTTTACAGGTATTATTAGTATGATTCTCACAACAATGCTATGAATTAGGCTCTATTATTATTCTCATTTTTAAAGCGGCAGAAACAGAGTCACAGAGAGGTAATGTAACTAGTCAAGGTCACCAAGTTCATAAGTGACACAGCAAGGGTCAAAGCCAGGCAATCTGACTACAGAGCTCATGTGTTGACCACTATGCAATGCTTTATATAAACAAGTCAAATAAAACAAGTCAAATAAAACAAGTCAAATAAAAATTATATTTATATTGTTCAAATTAGGATATTCTTAGGGATCCATGAAAAGTTTTGCTTTACATTATTCGTTTCAGGAACCCTGCACTCTTTTTTTACTTCCAATTTGTTCCTGTTGACTTTACCATTTCCAGCCTTTGAACTTCATGGTTGAAAGTCAGGTTCAGGAATTCATTTCACAATCATGAATTATTATTTGTGATGTACTTTTTGTGCTCTGCTTGGCTTTTTTATTTACTGAAGCAACATTGTGGTGTTAAAGCAACAGAATTTCAACAAATACTTATGGTAGATTCTTTAACAGTTTAAAGGTGGCCCAGTAGTAGGTGAAAATATTAGAATCTTAATCCTAGTCCCTTATTTGTCTCTCACCTTCTTCCACAAAAAGAATTTCATGCAGTTTACAGAGATACACACATTGCAAAACAAACAAACAAAAAAACAAAGAAAATGAAAGAGTAAAGAGGGACAAATGGGAAATAAAAGCATAAAGTAAGATACATACAAAAGTAGAACTAGAAAACAAAATCTTACATAACTGCTAGTGGTAGCCATAATTCTATCTCAGAGCTTCTTAACAGCCAAAGTCAGAAGGAAATTACAAAATCAGTCATGCTTTTCTAGGATTCATGGGGAAAAAAGCAAATCAGTTTCACAGAATCCCCTTGTCATTAAAAAAAAAAAAAAAAGGATTTTCTAGGTAATATCAGGAAAATGGCAGAGTAAACAACTCCATTCCCATCCCTCTACAGGAATATTTAAAAAGAAGCAGAAACTGTCAGAATCAACTTCATCAGGCTCTCAAAAAGAGTGGTTTATAGTAGCTGAGAACATGCCAAATCAAGAAAAAGGCAACTTTAAAATGGTAGGATATCTTGTGATGTTTTTACTTGTCTTTGCCCCACTGCCTCTCAAGCTTAGCAGTGGTCTTTTGTTTTGTTTTGTTGAGATGGGGTCTCACTCTGTCACTCAGGCTGGAGTGCAGTCTATGCCTCACTGCATCCTATGCCTCCTGGGCTAAAGTGATCCTCCCACCTCAGCTTCCCCAGTAGCTGGGACCACAGGCATGTGCCACCACACCTGGCTAATTTTTGTATTTTGGGTAGAGACAGGGTTTCGCCATATTGCCCAGGCTGGTCTCGAACTCCTGAGCTCAAGCCATCCACCTGCCTTGGCCTCCCAAAGTGCTGGGATTACAGGCGTGAGCCACCACATCAGGCCTTAGGTACACTTAGCTACATCTTGAAGATAGCAGCTACACTCTCAGTGTGGAACACTGGACTCTGGTTCTGGAAGAAGCATAGCAGACCTCACATGCAAACTATTTTCTAACTGTCTGGGGGCTGCCTGAAGGAATGATGCAAGGTGCTCTTTTCTGCTTTACCTACCTTGGAATCCTCTCAGGGCAGAAAACTTGTGAGCATTGCTTAAAAATATCGTAAAGCAAGGCAAATAAACAACACGAAGATGCTTGAGGCAAAAGATTAGCAATGAAATATGCAACAGGTCTGGGAGAAAAATCTGGGGGAGTTTGCTTGGGAAATCAGGGCATTCAAAGTATCTGTATATGAAATAATTTAGAGAGCCACACTTATGCCCAAGACAAGATGCATACTCAGAAAAAACCTGATAAGAGCACAGATTTCCACTGTGGGCTGATCCCTAGGCTCAGTGTTCAAAGGCTAAGATCAGGCTAAGTGATGAAGGAGCGGCCCAGCATAGAAAATTTGTAAAGACAGAAATAGGTGAATTTTTTGTTTGTTTGTTTTAGCTCTTGGAATTCAAGGAAATATGTCAAAACCATAGGTGAACACAAGCTAAGAAACAGAAACTTCAGTAACCACAGACAAGAAATACAGTATCTGCAAAAATAGGAAAAGTAATGAAACAGGCTATTACAGTGTTAAAAAAAAAACCCACCCAACTCTGAGAAAGAGAAATAATCAGATTTCCAGAGTTACCACATTATAATATCCAAATGTCCAGTTTTCAACAAAAAAGCACAAGTCACAAAAAATAAACAGGAAAAGAAAGCTTATTCAAAAAGAAAATAAACAGAAACTATCTCTGAGGAAGCAACAAAGACTTTAACACAACTGTCATAAATATGCTAAAAGAACTAAAGGAAACCATGAGCAATGAACTAAAGGAAATCAGTAAACAATGTATGAACAAAATTAAAATATTCATATAGGAATATTAACTTTAAAAAGGAACCAAACAGATTTTTAAGCTGAAAAGTACAATAACTGAAATAAAAAAAATTCACTACAGGGGTTCAGTAGAAAATTTGAGCAGGCAGAAGTCAGAATCAGCAAACCTGAAGATAGGACAACTGGAAGTACCCAGTCCTAAGAACCACAAACAGAAGATAATAGAGAAAGGTGAATAGAGCCTAAGGGACCTGTGGTACACCATTAAGTGGACCAACATACAAATTTGGGAATCCTAGAACGAAAAAAGAGAGAGAGAGAAATGGTAGAAACAATATTTCAAGAAATAATGACTGAATACTTCCAAAATTTGATGAAAGGCATGATTCTATACATCCCATAAGCTCAACAAATTCCAAATATGATAAATTCAAAGTGATACAAACTGACACATACTGTAATCAAATTGTTGAAAGCCAAAGACAAAGAGATAATCTTGAAAGCAACAAGAGAAAAGCAACTCATTCTGTATATGGGATCCTCAATAAAATTAACAGCTGATTCTCATCAGAAACCATGGAGGCCAAAAGGCAGTGGGAAAACATTTAAATTGCTAAAAGAAAAAATTGTTAATCAAGAATTTTATATTTGACAAAACTATACTTTAAGGATGATGGCACTATCAAGACACACCCAGATGAACAAAAGGTGAGGGAATTCATTAACACTGGACCACCCCTATGAGAAAACATATAGGAAGTCCTTCAGGTTGAAATAAAAGAAAACTAGGCAGTAACTCAAAACCATATGAAGAAATAAAGATTTCTGGTAAAGGTAACCAAACAGGCAAATCTAACAGCCAGTAATATCATATTTTTGGTTTCTAACACTTCTTTTTATTTTCTACATGATTTAAGAGACAAACTCGTAAAAAGAATTATAAATCTCTTATTGGTCACACAATATACATAGAAGTAATTTGTGACAACAACATAAAGTGTGGGGCAAAGATATATAGTGGCATTTATTTTTTTGAGACAAGGTCTTGACCTATTGCCCAGGATGGAGTGCAGTGGCACAATCACAGGTCATTGCAGCCTCGATCACCTAGGTGCGGGTGTTCTTCCCACCTCGGCCTTCTGAGTAGCTGGGACTACAGGCATGGCAGGACCACACCACCATGGCTGGCTAATATGTTCTTTTTTGGCAGAGATAGGGGTTTCACCATATTGCTCAGGTTAGTCTCAAACTCCAGGGTTCAAGCAATCTGCCTGGCTCAGCCTTCCAAAATACTGAGATTATAGGTGTGAGCAACCACGCCTCGCCAAGTAGCATTTTTTGTAGGCTATTAAAGTTAAATTAGTATCAATTCAAACTAAATTGTTATAAATTTAGGTTGATAAATGTAATCTACATGGTAACCATAAAATATCTAAAAGTATAAACAAGAGGCACTGAGAAGGCAATAGAAACTGTGCATGCAAAAAAGTCAACTAAACACACAGAAAAGGCAGTAATGGAGGAAATGAGGGACAAAAAAGATATAAGACATACAGAAAGCAAATAGCAAAATGGCAGAAGTAAACACAAAATATAAATAAATTAAACTCTCAATGAAAAGGCAGAGATTGGCAGAATGTATTTACAAACACGATTCAATTACATGCTGTCTACAAGAGAATTCCTTTAGATCTAAACATGCAACCATACTGAAAATGAAAAGATGGAAAATATATTCCATCCAAATAATATCCAAAAGAGAGCTGGTGTGGCTATACTAATGTCAGACAAAATAGACAAAAATACTTCTATTATAAGAGAAAAACTAGGATATTATACATTGAGAAAAAGGTCAGAAATATATTCCAATTATAAACATATCCACACCAAACAATAGAACCTCAAAACATATGAAGCAAACACTGACAGAGTGGCTAAATTTGTGGCCTAACATATCATCTATCCTCAAAAATATATGCACTTGAGAAAAATGTGTGTGCTATTGTTGTTGTGTAGTGTTCTGCACATGTTAGATCTAGTTTGTTGTGTTAAGTCCTCTATATCCTTACTTATCTTCTGTCTGGTTGTTCTATCAATTATTGAGAGTGGGATATTAAAGTCTCCAATTATTTTTATAGAATTATCTATTTTCTTCCTTCAATTTTATCAGCTTTTACTTCATATATTTTGATGATCCATCATTAAGTATATAAATTTTATAATTTTATATTGGCTATATTAAATGCTTTATTAATATATACTATTTTTCTTTGTCTCTTATAATCATTTTTTTAAATTGATTTTGTCTGATATTAGCATAACCAATCCTGATCCCTTTGAATTACTATTTTCATTTAATATGAATATTATTCCATCCTTTCATTTTTTTATTTGTGTCTTTGGATTGAAAGTGAATCTCTTGTAGACAGCATACAGTTGGATTATGTGTTTTTTTTTTTTTTTTTTTTTTTTTTTTTAATCTATTCTGCCAATCTTTGTCCTTTGATTAAAAAGTTGAATCTGTTTGCATTTAAAGTAATTACTGGGGTGGCTGGCAAGATGGCCGAGCAGGAACATCTCCGGTCTGCAGATCCCAGTGAGATCAACGCAGAAGGCGGGAGATTTCTGCATTTCCAACTGAGGTACGTGGCTCATCTCACTGGGACAGGTTAGACACTGTGTGCAGCCCACCACAGAGGGTGAGCTGAAGCAGGGTGGGGTATTGCCTCACCCAGGAAGCACAAAGGGTTGGGGAACTCACTCTTAGCCAAGGGAAGCCCTGAGGGGCTGTGCCTTGAAGAATTGTGCATTCCGGCACAGATACTATGCTTTGCCCATGATCTTCGCAACCTGCAGACCAGGAGATTCCCTTGGGTGCCTATGCCACCACGGCCCTGGATTTCAAGCACAAAGCTGGGTGGCTGTTTGGGCAGACACTGAGCTAGCTGCAAGAGCTTTCTTTTCATACCCCAGTGGCTCCTGGAATGCCAGCAAGACAGAACCATTCATTCCCCTGGAAAGGGGGCTGAAGCCAGGAAGCCAAGTGGTCTAGCTCAGCAGATCCCACTCCCATGGAGTCCAGCAAGCTAAGATCCACTGGCTTGAAATTCTCACACCAGCACAGCAGTCTGAAGTCGACCTGGGGCTCTCGAGCTTGGTAGGGGGACGGGCATCCACCATTACTGAGGCTTGAGTAGGCACTTATCCCCTCACAGTGTAAATAAATCCTCCAGCATGTTCAAACTGGGCAGAGCCCACCGCAGCTTGACAAAGCCTCCGTAGCAAGACTGCCCCTCTAGATTCCTCCTCTCTGGGCAGGGCATTTCAGAAAGAAAGGCAGCAGCCCCAGTCAGGGGCTTATAGATAAAACCCCCATCTCCCTGGGACAGAGCACCTGGGGGAAGGGGCGGTTGTGGGCACAGCTTCAGCAGATTTAAACGTTCATGCCTGCCAGCTCTGAAGAGAGCAGCACATCTCCAAGCACAGCATGTGAGCTCTGCTTAAGGGATAGACTGCTTCCTAAAGTGGGTCCCTAACCTGCATGCCTCCTGATTGGGAGAAATCTCCCAGCAGGCGCCAACAGACACCTCATAAAGGAGAGCTCCGGCTGGCATCTGGTGGGTGCCCCTCTAGGAAGAAGCTTCCAGAGGAAGGAACACACAGCAATCTTTGCTCTTCCGCAGCCTCTGCTGGTGACACCCAGGCAAACAGGGTCTGGAGTGGATCTCCAGCAAACTCCAGCAGAGGGGCCTGACTGTTAGAAGGAAAACTAACAAAAAGAAAGGAATAGCATCAACATCAACAAAAAAAGGACGTCCTGGCAGAAATCCCATCAGAAGGTCACCAACATCAAAGACCAAAGGTAGATAAATCCATGAAGATGAGGAAACACCAGCGCAAAAAGTCTGAAAATCCCAAAACCCAGGATGCCTCTTCTCCTCCAAAGAATCACAACTCCTCTTCAGCAAGGGAAACAAACCAAACAAGAATGAGTCTGATGAACTGAGAGAAGTAGGCTTCAGAAGGTGGGTAACAACAAATTCCTCCAAGCTAAAGGAGCATGTTCTAACCTAATACAAGAGAGCTAAAAACCTTGGGAAAAGGTTAGACGAATTGCTAACTAGAATAACCAGTTTAGAGAAGAACATGAATGACCTGATGGAGATGAAAAACACAGCACGAGAACTTCGTGAAACATACACAGGTATCAATAGCTGAATTGATCAGCAGAATAAAGTATATCAGAGACTGAAGATCAACTCAATGAAATAAAGCATGAAGACAAGATTAGAGAAAAAAGAATGAAAAGGAATGAATAAAGCCTCCAAGAAATATGGGGCTATGTGAAAAGACCAAACTTATATTTGATTGGTGTACCTGAAAGTGATGGGGAAAATGGAGCCAAATTGGTAAACACTCTTCAAGATATTATCTAGGAGAACTTCCCCAACCTAGCAAGACAGGCCAACATTCAACTTCCAGAAAAAAAGAGAACACCACCAAGATATTCCTTAAGAAGAGTAACCAGAAGACACATAATCATCAGATTAACCAAGGTTGAAACAAAGGAAAAAATGTTAAGGGCAGCCAGAGAGAAAGGTCAGGTTACCCACAAAGGGAAGCCCATCAGACTAACAGCAGATCTCTCTGCAGGAACCCTAGAAGCCAGAAGATTGTAGGGTTATTGGGGGCCAATATCCAACATTCTTAAAGAAAAGAATTTTCAGCCCAGAATTTCATATCCAGCCAAACTAAGCTTCATAAGCAAAAGGGAAGTAAAATCCTTTACAGACAAGCAGTGCTGAGAGATTTTGTCACTACTAGGCCTGCCTTACAAGAGATCCTGAAGGAAGCACTAAACATGGAAAGGAAAAACTGTACTAATCACTGCAAAAACATACCAAATTGTAAAGACCATCAACACTATGAAGAAACTGCATCAACTAATGGGCAAAATCACCAGCTAGCATCATAATGACAGGATCAAATTCACACATAACAATATTAACCTTAAATGTAAACGGGTTAAATGCCCCAATTAAAAGAAACAGAATGGCAAATTGGATAAAAAGTTAAGCTTATTGATGTGCGATATTCAGGAGACCCATCTTATGTGCAAAGACACACATAGGCTCAAAATAAAGAGATGGAGGAATATTTACCAAGCAAATTGAAAGCAAAAAAAAGCAGGGGTTGCAATCCTAGTCTCTGATAAAACAAATTTTAAAACAACAATTATCAAAAAGACAAAGAAGGGTGTTACATAATGGTAAAGTGATCAATAAAACTAGAAGAGCTAACTATCCTAAATATATATGCACCCAATACAGAAGCACCGAGTTTCATAAAGCAAGTTCTTAGAGACGTAAAAAGAGACTTAGACTCCCACACAATAATAGTGGGAGACTTTAACACCCCACTGTCAATATTAGACAGAGCAAAGAGCCAGATAATTAACAAGAATATTCAGGACTTGAACTCAGCTCTAGACCAAGTGGAACTAATAGACATCTATAGAATTCTCCACCCCAATTCAACAGAATATACATTCTTCTCACCAACACAACACAACACACTTATTCTAAAATTGACCACATAATTGGAAGTAAAACACTCCTGAGCAAATGCAAAAGAATGGAAATCATAACAAACAGTCCCTCAGACTGCAGTGCAATCAAATCAGAACTCAGGATTTAAAAACTCACTCAAAACTGCAAAACTGCCCCCGCCCAGCCAGCCGCCCCGTCCGGGAGGGAGGCAGGGGGTCAGCCCCCGCCCGGCCAGCCGCCCCGTCCGGGAGGGAGGCGGGGGGTCAGCCCCCGCCCGGCCAGCCGCCCCATCCGGGAGGTGGGGGGCGCCTCCGCCCAGCTGCCGCCCCATCCGGGAGGTGGGGGGCACCTCTGCCCGGCCGCCCCTTCTGGGAAGTGAGGAGCCCCTCTGCCCGGCCGCCACCCCGTCTGGGAGGTGTACCCAACAGCTCATTGAGAACGGGCCATGATGACGATGGCGGTTTTGTTGAATAGAAAAGGGGGAAATGTGGGGAAAAGATAGAGAAATCAGATTGTTGCTGTGTCTGTGTAGAAAGAAGTAGACATAGGAGACTCCATTTTGTTCTGTACTAAGAAAAATTCTTCTGCCTTGGGATGCTGTTGATCTATGACCTTACCCCCAACCCGGTGCTCTCTGAAACATGTGCTGTGTCCACTCAGGGTTAAATGGATTAAGGGCGGTGCAAGATGTGCTTTGTTAAACAGATGCTTGAAGGCAGCATGCTCGTTAAGAGTCATCACCACTCCCTAATCTCAAGTACCCAAGGACACAAACACTGCGGAAGGCCCCAGGGTCCTCTGCCTAGGAAAACCAGAGACCTTTGTTCACTTGTTTATCTGCTGACCTTCCCTCCACTATTGTCCTATGACCCTGCCAAATCCCCCTCTGCGAGAAACACCCAAGAATGATCAATAAAAAAAAAAAAGAAAAATAATGCAATATTTGGGATATATTTATAATAAAAAAATTCATTGTCTGAAATTCAAAAAAAAAAAAAACTGCAAAACTACATGGAAAATGAACAATCTGCTCCTGAATGACTACTGGGTAAATAACGAAATTAAGGCAGAAATAAATAAGTACTTTGAAACCAATGAGAACAAAGACAATGTACCAGATTCTCTAGGACAAAGCTAAAGCAATGTTCAGAGGGAAATTTATAGCACTAAATGCCCACATCAGACAGTGGGAAAGATCTAAAATCAAACACTAACAACACAATGAAAACAACTAGAAAAGCAAGAGCAAACAAATTCAAAAGCTAGCATAAGACAAGAGATAACTAAAGTCAGAGCAGAACTGAAAGAGATAGAGACACAAAAAAACCCTGCAAAAAATCAATGAATGAAGAAGCTCGTTTTTTGAAAAATTAACAAAATAGATAGACTGCTAGCGAGACTAATAAAGAAGAAAAAAGAGAAGAATGAAATAGACATGATAAAAATGACAAAGGGGGCCAGGCGTGGTGGCTCATGCCTGTAATCCCAGCACTTTGGGAGGCTGAAATGGGCGAATCCCGAGGTCAGGAGATTGAGAACATCCTAGCTAACATGGCGAAACCCCGTCTCTATTAAAAATACAAGAAATTAGCCAGGCAAGGTGGCGGGTGCCTGTAGTCCCAGCTACTTGGGAGGCTGAGGCAGGAGAATGGCGTGAACCCCGGAGGCAGAGCTTGCAGTAAACCAAGATCGCACCACTGCACTCCAGCCTGGGTGACAGAGTGAAACTATGTCTCAAAAAAAAAAAAAAATTATAAACGGGATATAACCACCAATCCCACAGAAACACAAACTAACACCAGATAATACTATAAACACCTCTATGCAAATAAACTAGAAAATCTAGAAGAAATGAATAAATTCCTGGACACATACACACTTCCAAGACTAAACCAGGAAGAAGTTGAATCCCTGAATAGACCAATAGCAAGTTCTGAAATTGAGGCAGTAATTAATAGCCTACCAACCAAAAAAGCCCAGGATGGATTCACAGCCTAATTCTACCAGAAGTACAAAGAGGAGCTGGTACCATTCTTTCTGAACCTATTCCAAACAGTAGAAATAGAGGGACTCCTCCATAACTCATTTTAAGAGGCCAACATCATCCTGATACCAAAACCTGGCACAGACATAAGAATAAAAGAAAATGTCGGGCCAATATCCCTGATGAACATCAATGCAGAAAACCTCAATAAAATACTGAAAAACCGAATCCAGAAGCACATCAAAAAGCTTATCCACCACAATCAAGTTAACTTCATCCCTGGGATGCAAGGACGGTTCAACATACGCAAATCAATAAACGTAATCCATCACATAAACAGAACCAATGACAACAACCAGATAATTAACTCAATAGATGCAGAAAAGGCCTTTGATAAAATTCAACATGGCTTCATGCTAAAAACTCCCAATAGTGTAGGTATTGATGGAACATATCTCAGAATAATAAGATCTATTTATGACAAACCCACATCCAATATTGTACTATATGGGCAAAAGCTGGAAGTATTCTCTTTGAAACCTGGCATAAGACATGAATATCCTCTCTCACCACTCCTATTCAACATAGTATTGGAAGTTCTGGCCAGGGCAATCAGGCAAGAGAAAGAAATAAAGTGTGTTAAATAGGAAGAGAGGAAGTCAAATTGTCTCTGTTTACAGATGACATGATTGTATATTTAGAAAACCCCATCATCTCAGCCCCAAATCTCCTTAAGCTGATAAGCAACTTCAGCAAAGACTCTGGATACAAAATTAGTGTGCAAAAATCACAAGCATTCCTATACAACAATAATAGACACACAGAGAGCCAAATCATGAGTGAACTCCCATTCACAATTGCTACAAAGAGATTAAAATACCTAGGAATAAAACTTCAAAGGGATGTGAAGGACCTCTTCAAAAAGAACTACAAACCACTTCTCAGGGAAATAAGAGAGGATACAAACAAATGGAAAAACATTCTATGCTCATGGATAGGAAGAATAAATATCATGAAAATGGCCATACTGCCCGAAGTTATTTATAGATTCAATGCTACCCCCATCAAGCTACCATTGACTTTCTTCAAAGAATTGGAAAAAACTACTTTAAATTTCATATGGAACCAAAAAGAGCCCTCATACCCAAGACAATTATAAGCAAAAAGAACAAAGCTGGAGGCATCACGCTACCTGACTTCAAACTATACTACAAGGCTACAGTAACCAAAGCAGCATGATACTGGTACCAAAACAGAGATATAGACCAATAGAACAGAACAGAGGCCTCAGAAATAATGCCACACATCTAGAACCATCTGATTTTTGAAAAACCTGACGCAAGCAAGCAATGGGAAAAGGATTCGAAATCTGGCTAGCCATATGCAGAAAACTGAAATTGGACCCCTTCCTTACACCTTATACAAAAATTAACTCAAGATGGATTAAAGACTTAAGCATTAGACCTAAAACCATAAAAACCCTAGAAGAAAACCTAGGCAATGCCATTCAGGACATAGGCACGGGCAAAGACTTCATGACTAAAACACCAAAAGCAATGGCAACAAAAGCCAAATTTGACAAATGTTATCTAATTACACTAAAGAGCTTCTGCACAGCAAAGGGAACTATCATCAGAGTGAACAGGCAACCTACAGAATGGGAGAGTATTTTTGCAATCTGTCCATCTGACAAAGGGCTAATATACAGAATCTACAAGGAACGTAAACACATTTAGAAAAAAAAAAAGCAACCCTATTAAAAAGTGGGTGAAGGAGATGAACAGAAACTTCTCAAGGGAAGACATTTATGCAGCCAACAAACATATGAAAAAAAGGCTCATCATCACTGGTCTTCAGAGAAATGCAAATCAAAACCACAATGAGATACCATCTCACGCCAGTTAGAATGGTGATCATTAAAAAGTCAGGAAACAACAGATGCTGGAGAGGATGTGGAGAAATAGGAATGCTTTTACAGTGTTGAGGTGAGTGTAAATTAGTTCAACCATTGTGGAAGACAGTGTGGCGATTCCTCAAGGATCTAGAAGCAGAAATACTGTTTCACCCAGCAATTCCATTACTGGGTATATACCCAAAGCATTATAAATCATTCTACTATAAAGACGCATGCACACGTATATTTATTGCAGCACTATTTACAATAGCATAGACTTGGAACCAACCCAAATTCCCATCAATGAAAGACTGGATTAAGAAAATGTGGCACATATACACCATGGAATACTATGCAGCAATAAAAAAGGATGAGTTCATGTCCTTTGTAGGGACATGGATGAAGCTGGAAACCATCATTCTCAGCAAACTATTGCAAGGACAAAAAACCAAGCACTGCATGTTCTCACTCACAGGTGGGAACTGAACAATGAGACCACTTGGAGACAGGAAGGGGAACATCACACATCAGGGTCTGTCATGGGGTGGTGGGAGGGGGGAGGGATAGCATTAGGAGATATACCTAATGTAAATGACAAGTTAATGGGTGCAGCACACCAACATGGCACATGTATACATATGCAATAAACCTGCATGTTGTGCACATGTACCCTAGAACTTAAAGTATAATAACAATAAAAAAGAATTTTTCAACTTCATTATAATCTTATGGGGCGACCTTTGCATGTGCAGTTGACCAAAACATCATTATGCAGCATATAACTGTATTTTAAACTGCTTTTCAATTTTAAACATTAAAAGTAGACACTTTGTGAAAAATTAGTACCTACTAGCTTTGTCTCCTCTCTCCTTAACAATTTTCCAGTTACATGATATTTATTTTATCCAGATTTGAAATATTTGCCTTTTATTCTGTAATCATAATTTCCATAGTTGTTTAGTATTAGTAAAGTTACATATTTAAACCAGCTATACTTTACTAAAATGTAAGTTTCATGCAGGCATGCTGAGTTATTTGCTTTGTTCACTGATGTATCTGAAGTGTCTCGAAGAATGTCTGGCACATAGTAGGCACTAATAAATACTTGTTGTTCAAAAAAAAAAAAAGACAACTATTTTAAAGTCTTTGTCTGATATACCTGCCACCAGATCTTTCTGAGGGATAGTTTCTGTTTATTTATTCGTTTCCTTTAAAAAGGGCCATTCTTTGTATGCCTTGTGATTTATCATTGAAAAGTGGACATTTGAATCTAGTAATGTTGGTAACTCTGAAAAGCAGATTGTCTCCCTTACCTAGGGTTTTCTAGTTTTTGTTACTGTTTTTATTTATTGCTTTGAAGTTTTTATTGTTGTAGACTGTCTCTATGCCAAGTATCAGCCTGAAGTGCAAATCTAAAGTCTTCATGGGTAATTTCTGAGCCTTGCCCTGGGCAGGCACAGTCATTTTTTAATTTTCCTCACATATACAGTTGTTTTTGAATGTCCCAGTCTTTAATATCTGGCTCTGAAGAGGGGAAAAAGAGAAAAGTAACAGGGGAAAATAAAAAGGGTGCCAGCCCTTCAAACTTCTTGGAAGTCACTGCAGCCAGAGGAGAAGGGACTTGTAACAACTGGGGAGGTGCAACAATAATGCCTTCTGGCTTCTTTGTACCTCTGTGATCAGAAGAATCAATCACTCTTCAATAAATGGTGCTGGGAAAATGGGATATCCATATGCAGATGAATGAAACTAGACCCCTATCTCTCACCATATACAAGAATCAAAATCAAATTAAATGGGATTAAATATTCAAATATAAGACCTGAAACTATGAAAGTATTAGAAGAAAACACTGGATAAACACTCCAGAATATTGGTTTGGGCAAGCTTTTCTTGAGTAAGGCCCCAAAAGCTCAGGTGACCAAAACAAAAATGGACAAACTGGATCACATCAAGCTAAAAAGCTTCTGCACAGCAATGGAAACAATCAACAAAGTGAAGAGACAACACATAGAATGGGATAAAATATTTGCAAAGTACCTATCTGATAAGGGATTAATAACCAGAATACGTAAGGAGTTCAAAAAACTTAATAGGAAAACAACAACAACAAATAATCTGATTAAAAAATAGGCAAAATAAGTGAAAAGAAAATTTTCAGAAGACACGAACAGCCAACAGATACAAAAAAAAAGTTCAACATCACTATTTATCAGAGAAATGGAAATCAAAACTACGATGAGATTTTGTCTCACCCCAGTTAATATGGCTTTTGTCTAAAAGATAGGCAATAATGGATGCTGGTGAGGATGTGAAGAAAGGAGAACCCCTGTACACAGTTGGTAGAAATGTAAATTAGTACAGCCACTATGGAGAACAATATGCAAGTTCCTCAAACAACTAAAAATAGAACTACCATATGATCGGGCAATCCCAATGCTGAGTATACATCCAATACAAAGGAAATCCATATATCAAAGAGATAACTGCCCTCCCATGTTTACTGGAGCACTATTCACAATAGCCAAGCTAAGGAATCAAACTAAGTGTCTATCAACAGATGAATGTATAAAGAAAATGTAGTACATACACACAATGAAATATTATTCAACCATAAAAAAGAATGAAGTCATGTTATTTGCAACAACCTGGATGGAACTGGTGGCCATTATGTTAAGTGAGGTAAGTCAGGCATAGAATGATAAATATCACATTTTCTCACTAATATGTGGGAGGTAAAAGAATTGAACTCATGGAGATAGAGTAGAATGATGGTTACCAGAGGCTTGGAAGGGTAGTGTGGAGGTTGGGATAAAGATGGGATTGTTAATGAGTACAAAAATACAGTTAAACAGAAGGAATAAGATCTAGTGTTTGGTAGCACAATAGGGTGACTATTGTTAACAATAATTTATTCTATATCTCAATATAACTAAAAGAGTAGAATTAAAATGTTCCTAAAACAGAGAGGTGATAAATGTTTGAGGTGATGGACACCACAATTGCCCTGACTTGACCATTACACATTTTACGATAGTATTAAAACATCATATGTACTCCATAAATATGTACAACTATTATGTATCCATAATAATTTACAATATTTTATTTTTTTATAAAGTAATTAGCAATACAAGCAAAGTTCTCCAATATTTGGAAGACAAGGTCCTTTTTGTGCCCTGCAGACTCCCACAAGCTCTTTGCAAGCTACTTCAGGAACACAGGGCACAGCTGCCTGCCACACGGATGAGTGCAGGGAGAATGGGTAGCTGCTACTGTGCTAAGACCTGAAATTGACCCAAATTAACTACACCTTACTGTCCAAGCCTTCTCTCAGAAGTTGCAAGCCTTCAATAGACTCCAGAGTTTGAAAATAGTTACTATCAGGCAGACTCTGCCAGTGCAACTGCTGTCTAGGTGGGGAGACAGATTCGTGATGCTTTCCACTCCACCATTGCCCCAGAATCCTCTATCCTGTGCCAACTATCTTTTCAAGGATATTTGTATAGCAAACAATCTTGGAAAACAGAGATAGTGTCTTCATTCAGAGCATAGAAGGTTTGCTTATTCTTCAGTATAATAAAGGTAATGTTTCCCTGCAAAGCAAAAGTCAGGCAGGTTTGTTTGCTGTGTATTATGAAAGATTCAGGTTCCCTAAGTTCAGGGTTCTTCAGCATGGCACAAATCCACTGCATGTGCATCCATACACCTGGGCCCTTTTGAATTACTCCTGTGAGACTTGGGGGGCAAGGGTAACCAACATAAATGTGATGTTTATGGTACTTGCTGTGCTGTAAGTAATAAAGTCCTTTGTCTTTGACCCAGGAGTGTCATATCTTCAGTCAGCACCAATGAAACTGTGTCAGCCTAACTTGTTGTCTTGCACATAGGGTAAAATCTCATACTCTCCAGAGTTCCTGACACTACATAACCTAGGTAGGAATGCCTGGAGCAGTCACATTTAATGCCAGAATTTGTGAAGACAAAGGAACATATTGAGAATTATTGAACTCACATTCTTGAATAAAGACAATGACTTTTTACTATCTATTAGCCTAAACTAATGTATAAAACAACCATAAAAAGGATGCATCAACTTCCAAGTGCCCACCACTCACAAATTAGGATAAACCTTTAGTTTCTCTTTTGGTCTTTTTAAAATTTCTCTTCCCTCTGGTTCTGTTGGTCTCCACAATGGAATTGTCTATTTTCTTAATTGAAGACCCTTATTGTTTGTGTTTCTGCTCACATGTGTAATGGACATCTTATTTTCAATCTGCACACTCAGATGTGCAAACATTGTAACTTTACTTACAATCAAACTTAGTACTACCTCAAGTCCGCTTCCTGTCCAGTGACAGAAAACTTAGCCTAGTAAAGTCCAGATATATTAAGTCACATTAGGGCTTTTCTCAGTTATACTCAAATAATTCAGGACTTTCAAATCTTTTTTTTTCTTTGGGATTGACTTAAATTCCCATAAGGAATATTTCCAATCTTTTTTGGGATTCCACTCCTATTGAAGCTATCCCATAGTAGGGGAAGGGTGGGATTAGGGGATGAGATACTTTGTAAAAGAGCCACAAATTAATTTTTATTCCTCCCCAAATCTCTCCTCTTACTGGAGCTCAGACGAGCTTTATCTTTTAGACTGAGTATGTCAGTAAGATTTTTTCCAAAATATTTCTTAAGCCACATAAAATAATTAGGGAAAAGACCACATGTTCCTTTATTGACATATTTTAGAATATGCATTTCTTTAAATATATTCAGTAAAACATAATTTAAAGCCAATATGATGAACTTTTTGTTGATAGGACATGGAGAGATTATTTAATATAAATACAGAATTTATTTTCATAGTTACTATTTTCAAACTGTTATTTCAATTATTGAAAGTAGTATTTGATTATACCTGCATAAACTCAGAGAAATTTAAAAATTTAGATAACCTCTTTGGTGAATTAGTTTTTTCAGCTTAATGCTGAGGCTTTCAGAATAAATGAGATTTAAGTTGGATCTTGAGTTGGTAGCTGAGAAACAGAATAAACAGTCTTTTTCTTCTAAGGTTTAGATAAAAAATCAAACAAACAAACAAAAAAAAACTTCATCATGCCAAGCATAAGGCAAAGAGCTTTTCTACAAATGTTGATAGTTTTGTTCCTCACTATAATTCTATGATAGGTATTATTATCCTTATATCACTTTTGAGGAAGCCGAGGCTCAAAAAGGTGAGTGACTTGTTTCAGGGTCGCTTAGCTAAGTGACTGAGGCTAGATTTGAGTCTGTCTGACTCTAAAGCCCATATTCTTTCCACTGTGTTACACCATGTTCCCCCTTTGCTCAATCCATTTTCCTGGCTCAATTCTTATGTGATTCTGGTCTGTGAGAGAATTAGCTGGATTTAGCGAGGCCCTGGGTGAGGGAGAGGTCTGGAACCCAATTTCAATATTTGTATAACGTATGGTGGCAGTGAAGTTCTTCTCCCAGGATGCAATTTACAGTCTTTTTTGACAATCAGATTATGGTAGTAAACCAAGAAAATTACAACCCCATAGATCTGGGACACAAATTGAGATGGACATCAACAAATATTTTGTGGAAGTGAACGAGTTCCCTGGTGAGTCAATCTGCAGTGACTGGGGCCAATAATGGTCAGATGCAGGGGATAAAGTATGCCATCTTTTTTTTTTGTATTTTTTTTTGTTGTTGTTGTTAGACTGAGTCTTGCTCTGTTGCCAGGCTGAAGTGCAGTGGTGCAATCTTGGCTCACTGCAACCTCCGCCTCCTGGGTTCAAGCGATTCTCCTGCCTCAGCCTCCTGAGTAGCTGGGACTACAGGCACATGCCACCACACCCAGCTAATTTTTGTATTTTTAGTAGAGACAGGGTTTCACCACGTTGGCCAGGATGGTCTCGATCTCTTGACCTCGTGATCCACCTGCCTCAGCCTCCCAAAGTGCTGGGATTACAGGCATGAAGGCATGCCATCTTTGAGTGGCCTACATTAATGTAGTTGTTTGGCAGACTCCAGTCTAGGTAGCTCTACAGCTATGAAAGCCATAAAGAAACCTAGTACATTAGCCTGTAATCCTAGCGACTTGGGAGGCTGAGGCAGGAGAATCACTTGAACCTGGGAGGCAGAGGTTGCGGTGAACCGAGATTGTGCCACTGCACTCCAGCCTGGGTGACAGAAGACCCCGTCTCAAAAAAAAAAAAAAAAAAAAAAGAAAGAAAGAAAGAAAGAAAGAAAAGAGAAAAGAAAAAAAAGAAAGAAATCTAGTACATTAATTGCAATCTTTAAGTCACATGCTTTAAAAAAATAACTCAAGTATTCATGCAAGGCACGTTTGGTTGCCAGTTACAGAAATTAGCTCAAGTAATTGAGGGTTATTGTAATGATACAGTAGAGACTCTTGTGTAACACACTTAGAAGAACCAAGTTATGTCTCAGAGAACTGGAAAACCTTTCCCTCTCTTGCTCTCATTCACTCTCTCTTGTACTACATAATCTTACTTCTTCCTCTCTCAAAACATCTGCTCAACAATCATATTTTTAAATTTATCCTCTGTTCACTATCCGAGTGTGCTTAGCTAATCATAGTTGCCCAAAAATGTAAGTCCCAGTTCTCTACATGACTACATCAGGTAGGCATGGTTTCAGCAGCAATAAACAATTCCAACTACAGTGGCTTAAACAAGGGTTTTTCTCATTCAATAAGTATAGATGCAGGGGGTTATCAATGTTGATAGATTAGCTCAATGATAGCAGGACTAACATTTCAGTGACCTTCTCCATGTGCTTGCAAGGTGTTTACTTCAATTCCGGCCATCATATCCATATTCGTGGCAGGAAAGATAAAGAAAGAGATAGAAATTCTAGCTGTTTTTGTCTCTTTTTATTGGGAAAGAAAAGCATTTTCAGAAATGCTCGACAAATTTTCCCTTACATTTCATTGGCCAGAACTAGTCTTATGGCCACACCAAGCTGCATGCAAAGGGAGCAGGGGAAGTGAACTAGGCACATGGTGGACCTGAAAAAAATCTCAGGCGTGCTAGCAACGAAGAAAATGGAAATGGATACCGTGTTGGCAGTTATAAGTCTCTGATACAAGGACCTGCCAGCTCAAATCCCTGCAGCAAGTGATATAGTCTCTGTGTGGTCTAATCCAAGTCAGTGTCTAACCTCCAACCCAGGGCAATCAGGAAACAGTGAGGAGGGTTGCCTTGTTGGGGCTTTGCCAGGGATAGCTATTCTAAGGAGTGTGGAAGTATTCATGTAATAGGTAAATTTCTAAAGTGGCTCCAGTGATCCCTGCCTTCTAGTATCCATTTCTCTGTGTAATCCCCTCCTATTAGGGGCAGGCTAGACTTAGTGACTTGCTTCTGATGAACAGAATATAGCAAAACTCACGGGATGTCATTTCCTAGATTAGGTTACAAAAGTTTGCAACTTCCCTCTTGCTAGCAGACTCTCTTTATTGATTTTTTTTAGCTTGCAGGCCTTGATAAAACATGCTGCCATGTTGAAAAAGCTCTTGTGACAAGGAACTAATGGCAGTCTCTCTTCAATAACAAGCAAGGAACTGAGGCCCCTCAGTCCAACAATCCACAAATAACTGAATCCTGCCAACGACCATCTGAACTTGAAAGTAGATTATACCAAAGGTGAGTCTCGAGCTGACTAGAGTCCAGCCAACACCTTGATAGTTACCTGTGAAAGACCCTGAAGCAGAGGACTCAATCAAGGTATGCTTGGATTCTTGACCCACAGAAACAGTGAGATAATAAATGTCAGCTGTTTTAAGCTGCTAGATTTTAGGGGTAATTTGTTATGCAGCAAAACAATTACAGAAAAGAAATGATGGACAACTCCAGAACATCCATTTAAACATTCTGCCATGGGCTAACAACTCATGATTCAGATATTTTCTCTTCTGCTCTCTCTTCTCACAGCTGTCTGCTTGTGTAGAAAAAAAAAGCTTTATAATAATCAGGTTAGAGCAGTCTTAAATTGGAACTAAATATTTCATAGGTGAATGAGTTCCCCATCTTTGAAGGAATTCAAGCAGAATCTGACTATCTGTTAGAGATTTTTGTAGAAAGGATTCAGGCCTCATGAGTGGATGGACTAGATGGGTGCTTTCTAATTCCTTTTACATGACAGAAAATAATACTTGTATGTATAGCACACCGGAGGTAAACAACAGGGCTGCTTGTGGCTTGAGTGACTAGTTTCCCTAGGTCCTACACAACCATTTTGAGGGCAAAAGGGATTCCTCTGCACACTTATAATTCACACTAGTGTGCCTTGGTACACTGATTTGGAAACCCAAGATGAGATGACTTAAGGCTTTTATATACTTAGATTCCCTGGAGCTATGGTTCCCATGGTGTCATTCCAAGAACAGCACAGTCAGCATAACCTGGGCACTTTTAGAATGCAAACTCTCAGCCTTTCCCTAAAACTACTAAGTCAAAAACTGTGAGAGCAATTCATGGGAGGAACTGTGGAAGCTCAGCAATTCATATTTCACCAAGCTCTACAGAAAAAACTGGGTTTAAGTCTTCATATTTGCACTTTTTGGCTGTAATCTGTGGGAAAGTCACTTTGCCTCTCTGGAACTCAGTTATATAATCCATAAAATTGGGTGAATAAACTATCTCCAAAGATTAAATGATATATTTATAAAGTGTGTAGTGTAGTGCTCAACACATAATAGTTATTCAGTAAATGTTAGTTCTAGTCCCATCAACAAAACTGAACTGAATTTATTTTAAAGAACATTTATGAACATATTCAGTAGCATGAAATTGCACAAAATGATACAGAAAGCAAAAATCACCTACAATTTCATATAATTCTCAATATTATGTGTCTATAATTCCAGTCTTGTTTCTGTACCCAGTTATACTTAGAATAAATGAACTGCCTAAACAACTTCTAATTGTGAGTAATGGCTGTACACTGCCAATTCTTGATTGTCCATTTGGCTAATCATTGGTGGCAAATTAAAATCCCAAACTGGTTTCCCTCTGCCACACAGCATGTATCTGTGTGGCCTTCCCCTGCCATCAATTAATATTTGCTTGAGAATAAAAATTCCTTTTCATATCAGCCTAAGGGAAACAAAATGCCAAGAAATCAGAACCAGTATTCCAGAGCATGCTAGAAATAGGACTCAGATTACCTGGAACATTATTTCTCTCCATAAAAGCAGGGCTTTGAAAATTGGCCCTTGAAGCACCTACTATGTTTTAGGCATCTCATTTAATAAAACACTGAATCAGACACACTCTTAATGGACAGTCTAATTTACTAAAGGAGTTAAAATAGGCATATTGAGAAATTCAATATAGGTCAGGTCTATTCAATTTAACTCAACAAGTATTTATAGATTACCTACTATGTTCCATGCAATGATGGGTATGATGGCACCTCACTCCTCAAGGGGATCACCACTTGGTAAGGACAAGAAACACATAAAATCCAAATGTTGGCTGGGTTAGCCTTACTCCTCAAAGATCTTGGAATAATTGGTTTAGGCCTCTCTCATTCCATGATATGTGAACTCCTGACTTTCCTCATGATTCTATGATAATCCCAGGGGCTTATACACTCTTTTCTCAGGTTCTTTTCTCTGCCTCCTGCATCTGCACTTCCTATACATATTTCATTTTAATACAGTATACATATGGACCTCAACCCTTCACTAGTTTATACAAGAAATCTATTCACAATAATACTTTCATGAGTTCTAGACTTTGTTAAAGATTTGGAGGTAAAGAGAAAGCTCAGAGCAGGAACCACGTGTCTTCATCATCTTCTTCCTCCTCTTCCCATCTCTTCTCTTAGTCTTCTCCCTCCAAGATTGCTCCCATAGTTTCAAACACATTCCCCTCTATTATGCAGAACACTTTTATCCTCCCCAATTCCTTCCTACTAGCTTGCTTACCCCAATCCATAAAGATATATAGCCAAAAAAGTTCATTTTTAAAATGAATTACTCTCCTTGCAAGGCAGCTAGGTTTATATTTAGCAAATTTATTTTTGCATTATATCTATAAATAAATATATTAATGTGGCCGACCCTGTTAATTGCCTTCCTAATACCCATTCCCCTTTTCTTTTTTGCCAAAAAGAGACTTAAATTGGTTCTGGGCATCATTGTGGCCAGCTTCAGGTGAGATACTAACTTTCCCAGCTTCCTTCAAGTCAGGGTGGCCATGCACCCAGTTTTGACCAATGATCTTAAGTGGGAATCACCTGGGGAAGCTTATGGAAAAGCTCTTGCTTTTCTGATAAAAGAGACAGATGCAGCTGATGCTGCTTCTTTACCCTAGGGAAAGTATTGATTGGCCCGCCTGAAATAATGTACTTATCCCCTGGTCCAATCAACTATGTTTAGGGAGTATGATCATGTTGTAATAATATAACAACTCTTGTTGCAACCATGTAGGTTGTAGGATGCACAAAAAAGATGAGAGCAGACTTTTTAGAGAGAGTTTTGGAGTAGATAATCCCATAAGTACCTGCTAGAATAAAGTTAGAAGATGAATCGTATTGGGAATGTGAAGAGATTTTGTTGGTTTTGGCTAGAATAACCAAGAATGCTCAGATTCTGCCTTACTCTTAATTCTCAATTGTTCCCTGAGAACAGAACAATTAAAAAACTGGGAACAGAGCATCATGTTATTATTAGTTGGACCAGGGCCCAATATGTCTAATACAGAGTTCTGGGAAACCTGATTTGAAGTACTTGGCTAGAGTTCTAAGAGAGTCTAGTATTTCCCTAACTAAGGATGAATAAAAATATTACCTTTCTATCAGCTGCATATAGCTAAAAAGAAAGAACTTTGATGATCCCAGCAAAATGGAAGGAGGAGCAGCTGAGACCAAGGCTTTGCCCAGCTGCCTGGTCTGTAGTCTAGTGTTCCCATTCTTTGGCCTACAAGTAAATGTGATCCAGGCATGTCTCACATTCTGATCTGTTGGTTTGATGTTCCCTTCCGTTTAGAAAGAGGGAAGAAAATAGTAGGAAAACATGTGGAAACCATCTGCTAGAGTTATTTCTGATGTGAAAAGAGCCATCGGGACTCCTCTCCCCTTAGATTATTCTGCATTTTTTCTCTCACCTCTTTGGGCTTAATAGTCAAGATGATGGTCAGCCATAACCATCCCCCTTGTGAGGGAAGACCCATGAGTTCTACCCCTCCTTTTCTAACACCATCTCCCTGACACTCATCAATTATTTTGTTTATCCTCCTAGGACCAAAGCTGCACAACAGTTCAAACATTTACTTGCTATTTTATTTCACACACGAAATTATGCATAGCTACAATTTTCCAACCTGGTTCAATGAGTACTGCATGGTAGCATAGTCCAAATAATGCAACATCAGAACAGCAATATCAGAATGTCTACATTTGAACAATATGAAACCACTCTAAGTATTAAGTTTCAGGAAAGTTAAAATTTCATGCTGAAATCTATGTACTATGTAGAAATTGAATTCCCAAAGAAATTAAAGCCAAAAATAACTTTCTCCCCAATTTATTATTTTGCTGTATCTCAGCCAGAGGAGGTTTCACCAGATTCCTAGGTGGAGTCTGTTTTCCTTCAGCAGCTGCATGCTTGGCTATATTTCACTAGGGTTGTAACTCCTCCAGCACTTCTGAAGCTGCAGTGATACAAATTCAAGTCTCCCTTGGATACCACTTTTCTCAAGTTTCAGTTCCACACTCATAAAATGTAGGATCAAATGCTTACGACAATCTTAAGCAAAAATAACATTATCATATTGCTGTTACCAAGCCTATTGTTCAGATAACAAGGATAGAGGGTGAAACAGAAAAAAATTGGGGTTTTAACTTCATCTGTATGCCTGTCAATTTGTGCTAACTGTGTAGTGTCTATAACCCATTAAATAAAATTCAACTGAGAATTCTACCACTGAACCACCAATGCCAGTATCTAAAGAGCTTCTGCATAGCAAAAGAAAACACCAATAAACACAACTCACAGAACGGGATAAAATATTCACAAACTATGCATCTGACAAGGGTCTAATATCCAGAATCCATAAGGAAGGAACTTAAATCAACAAGCAAAAACTAAATAACTCCATTAAAAAGTGGGCAAAATACATGAACAGACACTTCTCAAAAGACGACATACAAGCTGCCAACAAACATGAAAAAATGTTCATTGGTTGCCAGCAAGATGGCTAAATAGGAACAGCTCTGGTCTGCAGCTCCCAGCAAGATTGACACAGAAGGTGGGTGATTTCTGCATTTCCAACTGAGGCACCTGGTTCATCTCATTGTGACTGGTTGGACAGTGGGTGCAGCCCATGGAGGGCAGGACGAAGCAGAGTGGGGTGTTGCCTCACCTGGGAAGCACAAAGGGTTGGTGGATTTCCTTCCCCTAGCCAAGAGAAACCGTGAGAGACTGTACCTTGAGGAATGGTGCACTCTTGCCCAGATACTGTGCTTTTCCCACAGTCTTCACAACCAGCAGACCAAGAGATTCCCTCCGGTGCTTACGCCACCAAGGCCCTGGGTTTCAAGCACAAAACTGGGCGGCCATTTGGGCAGACACTGGGCTGGTTGCAGGAGCTTTTTTTTTTCATATCCCAGTGGCACCTGGAATGCCAGCGAGACAGAACCGTTCACTCCCCTGGAAAGGGGGCTGAAGCTAGGGAGCCAAGTAGTCTGGCTCGGGAGGTCCCATCCCCATGAAGCTGAGCAAGCTAAGATCCACTGGCTTGAAATTCTCACTGCCAGTACAGCAGTCTAAGGTCGATCTGGGACACTCAAGCTTGGTGGGGGGAGGGGCGTCTGCCATTGCTGAGGCTTGAGTAGGCAGTTTTCCCCTCAGAGTATAAACAAAGCTGCCAGGAAGTTTGAACTGGATGGAGCCCACCTCAGCTCAGCAAGGCCACTGCGGCCAGAAGGCCTCTCTAGATTCCTCCTCTCTGCGCAGGGCATCTCTGAAAAAAAGGCAGCAGCCCCAGTCAGGGGCTTATAGATAAAACCCCCATCTCACTGGGACAGAGGACCCAGGTGAGGGACAGCTGTGGGCGCAGCTGCAGCAGACTTAAATGCCCCTGCCTGACAGCTCTGAAGAGAGAAGCAGATCACCCAGGACAGCATTCAAGGTCTGATAAGGGACAGACTGCCTCCTCAAGTGGGTCCCTGACCCCCATGTATCCTGACTGGGAGACACCTCCCAGCAGGGGCCGAAAGACACCTCATACAGGAGAGCTCTGGCTGGCGTCTGTCAGGTGCCCCTCTGGGACAAAGCTTCGAGAGGAAGGAACAGGCAGCAATCTTTGCTATTCTGCAGCCTCTGCTGGTGATACCCAGGAAAACAGGGTCTGGAGTGGACCTCCAGCAAACTCCAGCAGACCTGCAGCAGAGGGGCCTGACTGTTAGAAGGAAAACTAACAAACCAAAAGGAATAGCATCAACATCAACAAAAAGGACGTCCACTCAGAGACCCAATCCAAAGGTCAACAACATCAAAGACCAAAGGCAGATAAATCCACGAAGATGGGGAGACCAGTGCAAAAAGGCTAAAAATTCCAAAAATCAGAACGCCTCTTCTCCTCCAAAGGAACACAACTCCTCGCCAGCAAGGGAACAAAATTGGACAGACAATGAATTTGACAAATTGACAGAAGCAGGCTTCAGAGGTTGGGTAATAACAGTCTCCTCTGAGCTAAAGGAGCATGTTCTAACCCAATGCAAGGAAGCTAAGATCCTTGAAAAAAGGTTAGATGAATGGCTAACTAAAATAACCAGTTTAGAGAAGAACATAAATGATCCGATGGAGATGAAAAACACAGCACAAGAACTTCATGAAGCATACACAAGTATCAACAGCTGAATCGATTAAGCAGAAGAAAGGATATCAGAGATTGAGGACCAACTCAATGAAATAAAGCATGAAGACAAGATTAGAGAAAAAAGAGTGAAAAGAAATGAACAAAGCCTCCAAGAAATATGGGACTATGTGAAAAGACCAAATCTACGTCTGATTGGTGTACCTGAAAGTTACAGGGAGAATGGAACAAAGTTGGAAAACACTCTGCAGGATATTATCCAGGAGAACTTCCCCAACCTAGCAAGGCAGGCCAACATTCAAATTCGGAAAATACAGAGAACATCACAAAGATACTCCTTGAGAAGAGCAACCCCAAGACACATAATCATCAGATTCACTAAGGTTGAAATGAAAGAAAAAATGTTAAGGGCAGCCAGAAAGAAAGGTCGGGTTACCTACAAAGGGAAGCCCATCAGACTACAGCAGATCTCTCAGTGGAAACCCTAGAAGCCAGAATAGTGTGGGGGCCAATATTCAGCATTATTAAAGAAAAGAATTTTCAACCCAGAATTTCATATCCAGTCAAACTAAGCTTCATAAGTGAAGGAGAAATAAAATACTTTACAGACAAGCAAATGCTAAGACACTTTGTCACCACTAGGCCTGCCTAACAAGGGCTCCTGAAGAAAGCAATAAACATGGAAAGGAACAACCAAAACCAGCCACTGCAAAAACACACCAAATTGTAAAGACCATTGACACTCTGAAGAAACTGCATCAACTAATGGGAAAAATAAGCAGCTACCATAATGACAGGATCAAATTCAAAGATAACAATATTAACCTTAAAAGTAAACGAGCTAAATGCCCAATTAAAACACACAGACTGGCAAACTGGATAAAGAGTCAAGTCCCATCGAAGTGCTGTACTCAGGAGCCCCATCTTATGTGCAAAGACATAGATAGGCTCAAAATAAAGGAATGGAGGAATATTTACCAAGCAAATGGAAAGCAAAAATAAAGCAGGGGTTGCAGTCCTAGACTCTAAGAGACTTTAAACCAACAAAGCTCAAAAGAGAAAAGAAAGGCATTACATAATGGTAAGGAATCAATGCAACAAGAAGAGCTAACTATCCTAATATATATACACCCCATACAGGAGCACCCAGATTCATAAAGCAAGTTCTTAGAGACCTACAAAGAGACTTAGATTCCCACACAATAATAGTGGGAGATTTTAACACCCCACTGTCAATATTAGACAGATCAATGAGACAGAAAATTAACAAGGATATCCAGGATTGAACTCAGCTCTGGACCAAGTGGACCTAATAGACATCTACAGAACTCTCCACCCAAAATCGACAGAATATACATTTTTCTTAGCACCATATCGCACTTATTCTAAAACTGACCACTTAAATGGAAGTAAAACATTCCTCAGAAAATGCAAAAGAATGGAAATAATAACAGTTTCCCAATCCACAGTACAATCAAATTAGAACTCAGGATTAAGAAACTCACTCAAAACCTCACAACTATATGGAAACTGAACGACCTGCTCCTGAATGACTATTGGGTAAATAACTAAATTAAGGCAGAAATAAAGATGTTCTTTGAAAACAATGAGAACAAAGACACAACATACCAGAATCTCTGGGACACATTTAAAGCAGTGTGTAGAGGGAAATTTATAGCACTAATTAAATGCCCACAAGGGAAAGCAGGAAAGATCTAAAATTGACACCCTAGCATCGCAATGAAAAGAACTTGAGAAGCAAGTGCAAACAAATTCAAAAGCTAGCAGAAGACAAGAAATAACTAAGATCAGAGCAGAACTGAAGGAGACAGAGACATGAAAAACCCTTCAAAAAATCAATGAATCCAGGAGTTGGTTTTTTGAAAAGATTAACAAAATAGATAGACCACAAGCCAGACTAATAAAGAAGAAAAAAGAGAAGAATCAAATAGCTGCAATATAAAATGATAAAGGGGATATCACCACCGATCCCACAGAAATACTAACTACCATCAGAGAATACTATAAACAACTCTATGCAAATAAACTAGAACATCTAGAAGAAATGGAGAAATTCCTGGACACATACACCCTCCCAAGACTAAACCAGGGAGAAGTCGAATCCCTGAATATATCAGTAACAAGTCCTGAAATTGAGGCAGGAAATAATAGCCTAGCAACCAAAAAAAGTCCAGGTCCAGACGGATTCACAGCCGAATTCTACCAGAGGTACAAAAAGCAGCTGATACCATTCCTTCTGAAACTATTCCAAACAATAGAAAAAGAGAGAATCCTCCCTAATTCATTTTGTGAGGCCAGCATCATCCTGATACCAAAACCTGGCAGAGACACACAAAAAAAGAAAATTTCAGGCCAATATCCCTGATGAACATCAATGCGAAAATCCTCAATAAGATACTGGCAAACCAAATCCAGGAGCACATCAAAAAGCTTATCCACCATGATCAAATTGGCTTCATCACTGGGATGCAAGGCTGGTTGACCATATGCAAATCAATAAATGTAACCCATCATATAAACAGAACCAATGACAAAAACCACACGATTATCTCAGTAGATGCAGAAAAGGTCTTTGACAAAATTCAACACCCCTTCATGCTAAGAACTCTCAATAAACTAGGTATTGATGCAATGCATCTCAAAATAATAAGAATTATTTATGACAAACCCACAGCCAATATCATACTGAATGGGTAAAAACTGAAAGCAAAGTCTTAGGATACAAAATCATTGTGCAAAAATCACAAGCCTTCCTATACACCAATAACAGACAAACAGAAAGCCAAATCATGAGTGAACTCCCATTCACAATTGCTACAAAGAATTAAAATACCTAGGAATACAACTTAAAAGGGATGTGAAGGACGTCTTCAAGGAGAACTACAAACCACTGCTCAAGGAAATAAGAGAGGACACAAACAAATGGAAAAACATTCTATGCTCATGGATAGGAAGAATCAATACCATGAAAATGGCCAAACTGCGCAAGGTAATCTATAGATTCAATGCCATCCCCATCAAACTACCAATGACTTTCTTCATTGCTTCTTTTTATCAGGTTTGTCAAAGATCAGATGGTTGTAGATGTGTGGTGCTATTTCTGAGGCTTCTGTTCTGTTCCATTGGTCTATATATCTGTTTTGGTACCAGTACCATCCTGTTTTGGTTACTGTAGCCTTGTAGTATAGTTTGAAGTCAGGTAGCATAATGCCTCCAGTTTTGTTATTTGTGCTTAGGACTGTCTTGGCTATGAGGGCTCTTTTTTGGTTCCATATGAAATTTAAAGTAGTTTTTTCCAATTCTGTGAAGAAAGTCAATGGTAGTCCTGAGACTTTGCTGAAATTGCTTATCACCTTAAGAAGATTTTGGGCTGAGATGATGGAGTTTTCTAAATATACAATCATGGCATCTGCAAAGAGAGACAATTTGACTTCCTCTTTTCCTAACTGAATACACTTTATTTCTTTCTATTGCCTGATTGTCCTGGCCAGAACTTCCAATACTATGTTAAATAGGAGTGGTGAGCAAGGGCATCCTTGTCTTGTGCCAGTTTTCAAAGGGAATGCTTTCAGTTTTTCTCAAAAGAAGACATTTATGCAGCCAACAAACATATAAAAAAAAGCTCATCATCACTGGTCTTCAGAGAAATGCAAATCAAAACCACAATGAGATACCATCTCATGCCAGTTAGAATGGTGATGATTAAAAAGTCAGGAAACAAGAGATGCTGGTGAGGATCTGGAGAAATAGGAATGCTTTACACTGTTGGTGGGAGTGTAAATTGATTCAACTATTGTGGAAGACAGTATGGTGATTCCTCAAGGATCTAGAACTAGAAATACCATTTGACCCAGTAATCCCATTACTGGGTATATACCCAAAGGATTATAAATCATTCTACTATAAAGACACGTGCATACATACATTTATTGTGGCACTGTTCACAATAGCAAAGACCTGGAACCAACCCAAATGCCCATCAATGATAGACTGGATAAAGAAAATGCGGCACATATACACCATGGAATACTATGCAGCCATAAAAAAGGATGAGTTCCTGTCCTTTGCAGGGACACGGATGAATTTGTAAACCATCATTCTCAGCAAACTAACATAAGAACAGGAAACCAAACACCACTTGTTCTTATTCATAAGTGGGAGTTGAACAATGAGAACACATGGACACAGTGAGGGAAACAGTACACACCGGGGCCTATCGGCGGGTGGGGGGGCACTAGGGGAGGGATAGCATTAGGAGAAATACCTAATGTAGATGATGGGTTGATGGGGGCAGCAAACCACCAGGGCATGTGTATACCTATGTAACAAACCTGCATGTTCTGCACATGTACCCCAGAACTTAAAGTATAATAAAAAAAAGTTTACCATCACTAGTCATCAGAGAAATGCAAGTCAAAACCACCATGAGATACCATCTCACACCAGTCAGAATGGCTATTATTAAAGTCAAAAAACAACAGATGCTGTTGAGGCTGCAGAGAAAAGGGAACACTTATACACTGTTGGTTGGAATGTAAATTTGTAAATTATTAATAGTTCAGCCCCTGTGGAAAACAGCTTAAAGATGTCTCAAAGAAGTTAAGGCAGAGCTACCATTTGACACAGCAATCACATTCCTGGGTATATACCTAAAAGAATATAGATCATTATATGAAAAAAACAAACAAACAAACAAACACATGCACTTGTATGTTAATCGCCACACTATTCACAATACCGAAGACATGGAATCAATCCAGGTGCTCATTAATGGTAGATGGGATCAATTAAATGTGGTATATATACACCATGGAATACTACACAGCTATAAAAAATGACACCATGTCTTTTTCGCAACATGAATGGAGCTGGAGGCCATAATCCTAAGTGAATTAATGCAGAAACAGAAAACCAAATACCACATATTCTCACTTGTAAGTTGCCGCTAAACATTGAGTAGACATGAATGTAACCATGAGAATAATATACACGGTGACCTGCTAGAAAGGGGAGAAAACGAGAGGGGCTTGGGTTGAAGAACCACCTATTGAGTATTATGCTCATTACTTGGTCTAATATATCCACATAACAATCCTACACATGTACTCCCCGTATTTAAAATAAAAGCTGAAAACAAAATAAAATAAAATTCAACTGAAAGAAATTGCCTGTGGAGAGAGCAGTTGAGCTGTCATATTTATTTTCTAAAAGCTTCATGAAATTCCAAATCCATGGTTTTTTTGTTGGTTTGTTTTTTGCTTTTTTTTTTTTTTTTTTTTTGAGTCACGGTCTCGCTCTGTCAACCAAGCTGTAGTGCAGTAGCACAATTACAGCTCACAGCAGCCTCCACCTCCTAGGCACAAGCCATCCTCCCACCACAGCCTCCCAAGTAGCTGGGACCACAGGTGATCACCATGTCTGGCTAGTTTTTTTAAATATTTGGTAGAGACTAGGTCTCAGTATGGTGCCCAGGCTGCAAATCTTTACTAGTTCTGTGCTGCTACTATTGGCACTTATCAAACATCCATAATCGTATTGCTTTCCTTCAGATTTTGAATTCTCCAGACTTTGGTTATCTAAATGGTAATATAAACATTTCTCCTACCATTTAAATTCCTGCCACAACAAGATGTGATCTGTCTGGAGAAATATACCACTCCTCAGCTCCGAGTGAGAGAGTGGGATTAGGGAAAGCAAGATGCCATCCCTCCAACCAATGCCCCAAAATATGCAAACCAAAATCATTTTTTATCCATAGAGTCCATAAGGAGAATTTTGCTTTCTCCATGTGGAACTCTGCCTTGTAATCTAGCTTAAGTGCAGCTCTCCTCTTCAGTCTACATCCCCCAGGGATCTCTTACTTCAGGAGAGAATCTCTTCCCCTCTAAATACCAGCTGCAACTCTGATTACTAAACATAGGATGCTGCACAAAATATTTTCTGTGTAAAGCTATGGGAAAATGTGATTAAAAAGTGGCTCACTTGAAGCCTTAATGAGGTTCCCTAATGGCATTCCTGTCCCCAAGCTCAAATCCAAATGTTACGGTCCTCTGACCCAGCCACATAACACATAAATCTGAATTGATGCCAGTCTGCTTAGGTACAGAGAGAGAGAGCATTGCTGAAACTGCCTCAAGGTAGGCCCTGGCCCTCTTACAGTATCCACCCACAGGGACAGAGGAGGAATAGGAATGGAAGGACCACGAATGGGCATGAGACCTATTTGCAAATATCAACCCCACCCTTTATTAAATCTGACCTAATCAGTGTCATGCCATCTGACCTATAATAGAAATATTTCCCTTTGGGGAGGAAGGAATGAAGGGCAGAGTAGAAATATAGGTACCTTCCAGATACAGGAAAAGGGCCATTACAAATATAAATTATTCAGGCAAAATGGTTGTGGAAAGAACTACTGTTTTTCAGGCAAAGGGAAAAGAATAAGCAAAGATGCAGAAGAGCTAAGCAGTTTAATATGGGAGAGCAGAATGTTTGTACAGCTATTCAATTCAAACTAGCTTGAGCAACGAAAGGAATTTAGCGGCCGGGTGCGGTGGCTCACGTATGTAATCCCAGCACTTTGGGAGGCCGAGACAGGTGGATCACGAGGCAGGAGATCGAGACCACCCTGGCTAACACGGTGAAACCCTGTCTCTAATAAAAATACAAAAAATTAGCCAGGCGTGGTGGTGGACGCCTGTAGTCCCAGCTACTCGGGAGGCTGAGGCAGGAGAATGGCGTGAACCCGGGTGGCAAAGCTTGCAGTGAGCCGAGATCGCACCACTGCACTCCAGCCTGGGCAACAGAGCGAGACTCCGTCTCAGGAAAAAAAAAAAAAGGAATTTAGCACAAGGATAGAGAAGTGTCTTATGGAACCCAAAAACAGGAAGGCAGGTGGGCTTCAAGGAATAAGCTGCAGCTAGGAACTCAGCTGCTATCTGGACACTCTCCCTCTTTCACTGCTGCATCTCTCTGTGTTTCTGCCTCATCTTTTATAGCAGACCAGCATTTTCTTTTTCCCCAGACCATATGGTAGAAAAGTTGCTGCTGCCAACAGCTATGAAGTTTATACTGCTCAGCATAAGAAAGCAACCAGACCACGATGAAATATCTTAATCTAGATTCCAGACTCCCAAGGAAGGACTATAATAGTTCCAGATTGGTTAACTGTGGCCAACGGGTCACATAACATTAAAAACTTCTACAGTAACATTAGGATGGAAGTGATGGAAAGAGAAGCTCCAAGAAGGGTGATGCTCAGCACAGAATTGCAAGTAGTATTAGATTCCTGAGCATGAAGTAGAATGTAGAGAATGGTAGGGGATATGGCTGGAAAAGAGACAGATTATGAAAAGTAATGTGGAGCTTGAAGTGTAATCAATAAGGAATGGGGAATAGATCTGAAACGTTTTTAGCAGGGAGAGAATTTGGTAAGGTTTGCATTTTTAGATAACTTATTCAAGAGGCAGTGCAGAAGATGGTTTGGAAGAGAGGTAAGAATGAAGGTAAGGAGCCTGATTAGGAAGTTGCTGAAATACTCCTGAAAAAAATTAGGAGGAAATAAATAAATTAAGGCAAAATTGGTGGTGGTGCAGGTGTAAAAGAATGATGAATGAATATGAGAGATATTTAGGAGATAGAATCAGCAAGGCTTATTAACTTAGTTAGATGTAGGAGGTTAGAAGAGAGAGTCTGAGGTGACCTTTATGTTTTTGGTTTGGGAGACAAGGTAAAATACACCTACCCAGAGAGGGACAATAGGACCGTTGGGGGCCTACCAAACTTAGAAGTGCATCCACTCTTGGGATTAGATCATACTTTGCTTTGTTTGGTCTCAGTGAGACAGAAATTTCAGCACACCAAGAGACAGAGATCAGGCAAAGGGTTTCATGTGTCCTTTATTCGCTATTGAATATAATGCCAAATGAGGTCCAGATCAACCTTCTGTTTGAAGTGGGCATCTTCAGTTGTCTGAATTGTCTTGATTCCAGAAGATGACATTCGTCATGCGGGAATTGAAGGCATACTACAAAGGAGATTTTCCTAAAGCAGAGATCTGAGCACCTGGAAGAGCTGAAGAACTACCAAATGGCTATTCCAAGAGGCAGATAAAGTGGTTTTTATCCCTCTCTGCCTCCTTTTTCTTTACTTTCAATAGGAAGAAATCTGAGTGAAGTGCAGTTATAATTTCCTTTTGTCCTATTTCAGACACAAAAAGATATATACCTCCCTAATCTATGTATATATATTGATATCTATCTATATCTGTCTAGCCAGCTATCTAGCTAGCTAGCTAGCTAGCTGCTATAATCTAGTAGAATTCCCAGAGGGCTTTTAAGAAGAGGATATACAAATTCATCCATTCATTTATTCAACAAAGATTTATTGAGAGCCTACTATGTGGCAGGTACTATTCTAAGCATTAGAGATACAGCAGTGAACAAAGTAGGCAAGAATCCCTGTCTTCATGAAGTTTCAATTCTAGTGATTCAACTTATTCTTCCTTGGTGCATATATGCAGCTTATTTTTCAGGAAAAGTACAGAAGTCTTGGCTTGAGTCACATAAAATGATCATAATGCAGTCATTTCATCTGTTTCTGTGAGAAGGTGAAATCATTATGTGACAATACCAGGGTCTCCCTTTGGGGATTTTTTTTTTTTTGAGACAGAGTCTTGCTCTGTAGCCCGGGCTGGAGTGCAGTAGTGCCATCCTGGGTCACTGCAACCTCTGCCTCCTGGGTTCAAGTGATTCTCAGGCCTCAGCCTCCTGAATAGTTGGGACCACAGACGTGAGCCACTATGCCTGGCTAATTTTTGTATTTTTAGTAGAGACAGGGTTTCACCATGTTGGCCAGGCTGGTCTCAAACTCCTGATCCACCTGCCTTGGCCTCCCAAAGTGCTGAGATTACAGGCATGAGCCACTGTGCCGGGCCTCTCTTTGGGGAAATTTTTTTGGGGAATCTACCCCAACAAAGACAAATAACCCATTAGCATGGGAAAATACATTCAAGCATGGACAGGTTGAATTTGAACTGCTTGGGTGGCATCCAAGTCAGGATGTTGAGTGGACAGTTGGACCTATTTATCTAGATCTCAGGACGGTGGTCTGAGCTAGTAATATATATTTTAAAGTCATCCATGTGCAGGTAATAGAGCATGGAGAGTAGAACAAAAGAAATAGGCCAAGAGTGGAACTATGGGAGGGGGAAAACTAACGTTTTAGGGGTAGGTTGAAGGAGAAGTGTCCATGAAAGTTACATAAATAAAAAATATAAAGAGGAAGGAAAAGAACAGAGAATGTATGTCTGGAATCAAGTGGAGCAGAAACTTTCAAGCAGACCCAAATGATCAATACTATCATATGTAGCAGTGAGGTCCAATAACAAACATACTGAAAAGTGTCCATTGCATAGGGAAATTTGTCAGTAACTGGTGTTCTTAACAAAATAGGTTTTAGTGGAGAGGTAGAGGTTAAATCCCTATTACAGTGGTTGGAGGGTGAATGGGAAGTGAAGAAATAGAGGCAGTGAATGTAAGATAACCACTTTTGAGACCTCTGGGTGAGAAGGAAACATGATAGGGTAACAGGAGACACTTCTAGGAAACTGAAGGAGGCTCCAGGATCACAGGAGAGTATGTCTTTTAAGAATGGAAGAGTCTTGAGTATGTTTACAGGCTGAGGAGAATAATATAGTTGAGACGGACAGTTGTAAGGTACGTGAGATAGAAAGAAAAAGTGGGTAAGACCTCTGAGGTGCTAGATGAGACAAAGATCAGGAGCTCTAATAGGAGATTTAGTCTATGTGAGACTGGAGGAATAAGGGTATAATATGGGAGCAGATGCAGATTGTAGGTGAGAAAAATTCCTGTAACCTGCAATTTTTTTAAGGAACATAAGGTAATAAAGTCACCAGTTGGGTGGCAGATTTGCTGTGTGAAGGATGAGGTCATCTGCCATAGTGGAGAATGGTTAAAGTTTGGAGAAATAGCTGAGGGGAACTGGAGAAGGACTGACCAAAAAAAAAAAGGATTGCCAAGTAGTTCGTAGATGAGAAACTAAATCTGTGGCAACATCAATTTGCGTTAAAAGGTCATAGTGATGTTCTTCAGAGGAGCTTAAATGGAAACAGTGAACAAAAGATGAAGATCTATAGCATACAGACACAAAGGGTTCAAGTGTTTGAAATTCTAGGAATTACTTCAATTCTGGAGACTCTTTATTTTTTTATTTTTCTTTTTTATTTTTTGAGACAGGGTCTGGCTCTCTTGCCCAGGATGGAGTGCAGTGGAGCAATTGCAGTTCACTGCAACCTCTGTCTCCTGGGCTTAAGTCATCCTCCCACCTCAGCCTCCCGAGTAGCTGGGACTACAGCCACATGCCACCACACCCAGCTAATTTTTGTATTTTTTTTTGTACAGACCGGGTTTTGCTACATTGCCCAGGCTGGTCTCGAGCTCAAGCAATCCACCTGCCTTGACCTCCCAAAGTGCTGGGATTACAGGAGTGAACCACTGTGTCTAGCTGACCCTTTATATTATATGTCAAGACAAACTCATTCAAGGAGCTTTCTCAGAAACTTTACTCAAAGTCTATTTCCAATCCTATATCCTCCTCCACAAATACATCTGTCAATTTATGATTTCATTTATGTAAATTATTTATTAACTTGTCTTCTTGCATCATTAGATTATAAGCTCTTTGGGGCTGGAGCACTGTCTAATATTTGTACTAGACTCCTAAACAAGTAATAGTACCTTGCCTTTGACAAAGACTCTCTGCTTGACCAAATTTGAGTCAGGTCCTTGTGAGCCTTCTTCTCAACTAAGCTTGGCTTGCTTAGTTCAGTTTTAGCAAGAATCCTGCTGAGTCAGTTTAGTGGAAGTCCCCTACCCTTGGTATCTGATCATTCTGGATATCTGATTAGATATCTCATCTCCCACCCCTGATATCTTATTACCCTGGTCTGCCTTTAGCAAGATTTCCATCATGTTGGTTTAGCAAGAATTCCCCTAGACTTAATGTTTCCTCTTAGTAATTTTCCAATAATTGATGCCTCCACTGTGCTCCTTGTTTATAAATTCCCACTTATAAATGTTACTCCCTCCCTTGTTGGACTCAGAGTTGAGCCTCATCTCTCTCCCCTACTGTAAAACTCCATAATAATAATCCTCCTTAAATTAAATCTTTCTTACCATCTTTAACAAGTATCATGAAAAATTTTCTTTAACACCGTATTTAGCCATGAGATATAGACCTTTTCCAAACTTTGGCATGGCATACAAGGCATTTCATAATCTTTTGCTCAACCTACTTCTCTATATTCAACTCCATTACAACTTTACACTTCCCAGCCCATAAATACAGATAAAATATGCATAAGTCACACTTTTCTACTTTTGCTGAACACATCATGCACTTTCAAATTTTCTGGGCTTTTGAATATACTTTTTCCTTTGCATGGGATATTTTTATCCCCTTTTGGCAAATTCCCACTCATCTGTTGACATCTTCTTCTATGACTTTATTTATTCAAGGAAGACCTACTCTTGATTTACTAGGTGCATCTACTGTGCCAGCACAGAGTTCTGTTTTTGAAGAACTCACTGATTTGTAATTGTAAAGGTAAATGAAGGTGAATAAGGAAAAAAAAAAGAAATGAAAAGAAGGTGAATAAAGAGAAATATATTATTTTCTCCTCCTTAGCTTCTTAATGTATCTCCTTGGGGGACAGAGTGAACCTTTATCCTTTCTCTAACTTTTGGAATGTAGATAAATCTCTCCAGAGACTACAGAGTCTCAGTCTCCAGTTTTATAATGCACACATATTTCCAAGGTCAAGGTCACATTTCTCTTTGAAATGTAAAGACATGTCTTCAAAGTTAATGTAGGAGCCCATCTCAAGGTGTAACCATTTGTCTTTCAGGAAGACTAGAGGTATCTTTAGGGAGGTAAGAAAAGTTTTATTATTCTGTTGGAAGAATTCAATTAACTAAACAAATAGCTGCCTCAATTCTCAAGTGGACTGTTGCAATATATAAGTTGTATAGAATTTTATTTTGAATTTGCAGTCTCTTGAAGGCTACTTATATGCATGTACTCTGTTGTGCTTACTCAATAATAAATCAGCTTTCTTTTTTTTCCATATTGATATAGAGAGGTCTGTTTGTTGTAGGAGTTTTTACCTTTCTATCGTAGTAAAGGCAGATGCACTGATGTGGGCAAAGGAGCTCAGATTTTATCTTGAAACCCCAGGAAAGATATTGAAGGAGTTTAAGTACAGCAGTGGCACAGTTCTTTATATAGAAAGGAACACAGAAGAATTAAAGATGACTAGCAGCATTTTATATATGTATTTCTCTATACACTGATAAAAAAATGTGTGATAGAATGTGATTAGTTCAATAAGTGAACAGAGAATATAGGTTTTATGTGGTAAAATACAGGTTTTAGAAGATATAAGCAAATTTTGTAAAAAGTCTGTCCCTGTGAGTTACTGATGGTCATTAGAAAAGGCTGAACACTAGGGAATTGTTTTCCTTAGAACCTGAAAGGCATGTCTGTTCCATACGGAAGGAAAGGTATGAGCTGTGTGAGAACTCTATCCAAGCTCATTTCCACATTCATAATTGTAATATATATTCCCTATGTTATGGTCTTCCACATTGGTTCCAGCTTGTTGATGATCTCCAATCTGATACTTCTACTTAATTAGTTCTAGAGTGATTCACTCTTTTTCGCCTTTCCAATTGTTCTTCTCTTTCTTCAGTACTTTTTGGCTGGTCTGTATAAAGTTTCATTTTAGTTTGACAGTCCATTTGAGCTCTCCTCTAATGTTTCTTCTTTCTTTCCTTCCTTCCTTCCTTCCTTCCTTCCTTCCTTCCTTCCTTCCTTCTTTCTTTTTTTTGGGGGACGGAGTCTTGTTGTGTCGCCTAGATGGAGTGCAATGGTGCCATCTCGGCTCACTGCAACCTCCACCTCCTAGGTTCAAGTGATTCTACTGCCCCCGCCTCCCAAGTAGCTGGGATTACAGGCAAGTGCCACCACGCCTGGCTAATTTTTGTATTTTTAGTAGAGGAGGGATTTTGCCATGTTGGCCAGGCTGGTCTTGAACTCCTGACGTCAGGTGATCTGCCCACCTCGGCCTCCCAAAGTGTTGGGATTACAGGGGTGAGCCACCATGCCTGGCCCTCCACTAATGTTTCACTGGCACTTATTATAGGGCTTCTTAAAGTTCTTACACATGGCATAGCTATTTTTACACTTTCTAAAATGTTTAAATATTTTATTAAATAAACATCCAGCAGGGCACATTTTGTAAATATGTTTATACATTGTATTAAGTTTAATACAGAACCTCTAAACCTAATTTCAAAAAGATCAAGTAAATAAGCCCCTAGAATATCACACAAGTTTGTACGTAGCCATTGCCTACATGTCAATTCTCAGTGTCAATATTTTAAAATTAAAAAGTGTAGTTTTAGAAGAATCACTGGATATTTACATGTTAATTAACTGGAGGGTTTATGCAGATTTCTTACCCAGGTGAACCTTTGGGAAATATGTCTAAGCACTTTATAGATCTAGATGTGTCTCAGAAAAGGTAAAAACTGGTCTGTGGCTGGGTGCCTAAGGGGGTGTGGAAGGAGCTAGGGCTAGAAAAATAGAGGCAAGATCTTAGAGGACTTTGAATGTTAAGCTAGGGAATCTGTATTTTCTCCTTTATTATAGATAATGAATCTATTGAAAAATAACTCCAATTTTTACTAAGCGCTTACTCTGAGCCACAGTAAGTTATGTATGTTAAGTGCTTTACATTCACTTTTCCATTTAATCCTCATAACTACTCTATAGGTATTATAATTATCCCCATTTTACTGATAAGGAAACAGATTTAGACAGGTTAAGAATCTTAGCTCAGGCCGGGCACGGTGGCTTACGCCTGTAATCCCAGCTCTTCGGGAGGCGGAGGCGGGCGGATCACTTGAGGTCAGGAGTTCAAGACCAGCCTGGCCAACATGGTGAAACCCCGTCTCTACTAAAAATACAAAAATTAGCCAGGCATGGTGGCTTGCACCTGTAGTCCCAGCTACTTGGGAGGCTGAAGCAGGAGAATTTCTTGAACCCAGAAGTAAGAGATTGCAGTTAGCTGAGATGGCGCCACTGCACTCCAGCCTGGGCGACAGAGTAAGACTTTGTCAAAAAAAAAAAAAAAAAAAAATTCCTAGTTCAAGGAAACAGAGCTACTTGGTGGTGGAGCAGAAATTCAAACTTGGCTGTAATTTCAAAGCCCATTCTCTAAGCCAGAAGGAAGTGAGATTAGATTTTCATTTGATCACTGGTAGAAGTATGAGAACAAATTGCAGAAAGACAAGTCTAAAGGCAAAGAAACCAGAGAGTATGCTGTTGCAGTAGTCAAGAATTGTTAGGCCCTATTAAGGGAGGTGACCCTTAACCACCTGAGTTATGCAGACGAGTGACATAGTCAGAGAAGTTATTTAGAAAATTACCCTGGCAGCCCTTGTGAAGGATGAATTGGAGGAGCCAAGACAAATACGTAGGCAAATAAAATAAAAACAAATAAAAGACAAATAAAAGGCAGTGAGACAAGTAGTGAGGTTGTTGGGACTGTCACTCTTAACCGCAGAGGTGCCTGTCGAGGGGCTGGGAGACGGTCGTATCCCAAGTCCTCGGGCCTATCGAATTGCAGAGCATCCTGGACCTCTCCTCACCCACGCTTACCTTCACGTCGCTCCTTCTAGGCCTTAGGAAGTGGGGTTTTGAGCACTTTCTAGGTCGTAGGCCTGCTGGTCTGAGCTCCGACAGCGGCGCCAGCGGTGGCAGCAGTCGCCGACAGGGGTGGGGCGCATGCGCACAGTTGCTAGGCAACGGCGGCCGGGCGCCGCGGCGATAACCGCGCCGGGGCTGTGTGTGTAGGCAGAGGCGCCAGAGGAGGAGGAGCAGGAGGATGCAGCTGCGACCGCGGCCCCAAGAGGGAGCCGCCGCTGCTCTGTGGCCAGGGGGGCCCAGGGACTGGAATCAGGCCTGGGGGTCGCATCGCTGAGGGGACTGGTAACGGCGGTCCCTCCAGAGGCTCAGGCCTAGTACCCCAGGAGGGTCCGGGCCGCTGGGCGAGCGCCTTCCCCCCATCGCCTCCCCTCGTCCCTCCACGTCGATGGTGGTGAAGTTGGCGGCGCCACGGAGCGCAAGGCACCAAGCTGTCTCCCTTGCACCCAGCTCCTCTCTGGCCCCGGCTGTTGGACACCTGCGCCGCCGCCTTCTCTCGCCCGCCGAGCCCACCCCCTGCGGCGGGCGGGGGAGGGGCTCCCCCCTGCAGGGGCTGCGTCGAGCAGGGCGACGACGGGGACCATAGGAGAGTAGGGGTGAGTAGTGGCACCGCACTCGCTCGGTTCTAGTGCGCCTTTCCGGCCTCCGTGGCCCCAGGAGGCGAGCGAATCGCTGCTTTCTCCTGCAGAAGCTTCTGACGCCTCTCCCACATCTGCTCGCGGCTCTCTATTCCCTTCGAGGTAGTTTTCCTTCTCATAGCCACCACTTTTTGGTCTCAACCCTGGCGTCCAGGAATGCGGGGTGGGTGCTTAAGGCCTGGCTTTGCTTCTTAGATGCCATAGATGCTGATAATTCTACGTACAGTCACGCAGCCTGATTCCTGATTCGTGGACAGACTCTCCCAGTGCCGTGCTCGCCCCTTTCCCCTCGCTCTGGCTCTGGCTCTCGCTCTCTCAGGAGGCTCAGCCTGACCGCGGGCTTCTCAGGAGCCCATTCCCCGGGCTGCTGTCGCTCCATGCCTCAAGGTTTGAACACATAGCTGGAGTGGCCCCTTACTTTTCAGTGTTGTTGCTACTCGTGTGCTAAGACCTCCCGAAAGCCTTGTGCCTGGCTTCTGACTCCTGACATGTACGTTAGGAAGATAGTACTTATATTAAATAATAAAAATAATAAAACAAACACACACTCCATTTGACTTCTAAAGTGCTATCAAACTTGAGAAGTAGGCAGAATGGCTGATTCATAATAGGGGAAACTGGTTTTACAAACTACTTTTCATCCAGAATGGCATACTTCTTTTTTATTATAAATACGATGATGAAACCTAAAATATCCCCAATAAAAGCGAGGATGGGTTGTGATATATCTGTTCTTCCTGAGGTAGCCTGCAGTTGAAGATAGTCGGTTCCAGAAAACATTGGCATGAGGCACCGGAAGTGATATTCTGGACAAGGTGATTAGATGAGGTTCTAAAGTTGTGAGGTGCTTTTTTGAAAATTAGCAACATTATCTTTGATGAATGAGGTTGTTTTCTTAAAAGTAAGTGGTTGAAAAAACTTACAGTCCACAGATGACACCTATCAAAAGCATACTGAATTTAGATTAGTAATTTTGATTGTAAGATAGTTCTGTGAGCAGACAAAAGATGGGTTCTTTTCCCTCCCTATTGGTTTTTAAGCCATTTCAGGTTTCGTTTATCTGATAAGACGTGGCGAGAGAGAAGCGTAATAATGGAAAAGCTAAATTTTCTTTTTTTTGTAAATGCTTTTGAGCTAAAGATTTTTAAAAAGGATATATAGATGCCATTTATGATTAAATTTATTGGGTGAATCTGTCAAGACCGCAAACTTTGTTAGTTTGGGGTAAAATGCTTTGCTTTGGGAGCTTTCATGTTGTTTGAGGTTCTTTGGGGGTATAGTTTAAATTAAAGCACAATATAATTCTAGTACCACTGCAAAATAACCTCAGAGAGTATTGTTTGTTTTGTGCATTAGCAAGCTGACATGCTTCTAGTTGCTAGATTCCAAAGGTAATTTTTTTTTTGTTTTGGAAAAGCTTTTGATGAATTTAAGTCTGAATTATTTGAAATAATAGTGTATCATATGAATACTTGCTCTTCACCTTCACATACTTAGAGAACCCTGCAGTAATTTGAATCCAATCTAGTATTCCATTGAAGTGAGTATGACTATGAAGATGCCGCATACTCTTAAGAGCATTTACCTAGGGTGTCGTAATCACATTATAAAATAAAATTGATGGCTTATTTTGCAAATGCTATCAAAGCACTTGTTCAGTGAACTCTGGAATGAAGTTTTTTTTTTTTTTTAAAGTGACTTTCAACAAGTTTTTATTTTCTAGCTTCTAATGAATGCCTACTACTATACCAGGTATTGTGGAGAATAGAACAGAAACAGCAATTTACCAGTTGGGTAAATTGCTTACCCAATGGTAAATTACCGATGGGTAAATTGCTTAGCCATTGGAAAAAGGAAAATACATATATGAGACACCATGGTCAACAATTGGAACAGAGTCATATTGAATAAGGACTGAAAGAGTTAAGAGTAAAGGGAGAATACTGTAGGCTGGATTTTTCTGAGAAAGCTTTGTAGAGAAAGTCATACTTGATTTGGCTCTTAATAGAAGTATAAGCTTTCTTAGAAGGTGGAAGAGTTCAGCATAGCATGAGCTAAGGCACTTGATTTTCTAATCCTTTTGCATATTTTCTCCTAGGTAAACCTAAAGGAGAAGAGGACTGTCAGTGGCAATTAACTTCTTTGTAGTGGGCATAATTTTCTATGATAAACTACATACTAAATTAACAAATTAAATATAATTTCACAGATATACATGCTATAGAAATCAGGCTTTAAAATAATCATCCTATTTCCTGAGGCAAGTGAGAATGTTTTCTAAGCAGATATAGGTAGAGTGTTAAGTTCACATGTTTTTGTAACCTGTACATTTTTTTTTACTGTCTATTAAGAGACAGTTATATTCTAAGTGTTTCATACAACACTGGTCTGATAGTACATTAGATTATTAATATGCTCCAAAGACTATTTCTTGATAAAATAAATTAGGGAAATTTTATAAGCAACATTCATTTTGATTCATTAGTATATGATAACTTAGTTTTTAGTACTACATTTAGTACTGCTATTGCTACCATTTTCTGAAAACAAAGGGAGGGGTATGTCAGAGTCCCACAAATTCATATCTGTCAAAGTTCTAATATCATGTTATTAATGTATATATTAATAATTGACAACATCAATGTTTAAACTGCAATTACAAACCTCTGCAAAGCTTATTTTGGTACATTTCTAACAACCTTCCGCTATATTGAAAATTAGTCAGATGACTAATTGTCTCCTAGGTTTTAGTCAGCCATTGTAAGTTGACATTTACACAGAAAAATAACGAGGTATGGAGTTATTCCATCCGTAGAGAGGTATGTCTCCTAACAGAAATTCACATATTAGAATTCCAAATATAAAGAATTCACAGATTTACTCTGAGGAACAATATACTCAAACTTGAAATTTTTGAGGCTTTATACACCTTCTGTACCTTTTTTTTGGTATCTTTTGCTGCCAGCAGTAGTCTTCTTTGATTAAAGTTAACTTTAATTCACAGTAGCTAATAGTTTCTAGGCTCAACAAATATAATTGTTATTTTGAACATCCTCTGCTTAGCACATTAGCTATTAAATAAACAAGTTATTAGAGAACAGAATGGCTTATCTGGACACAGTCAGCAAATAGCTATGATTATTGCTGGAAATTAACCAGTTAACAGATAGCAAAATATATGGAGAAGGCATTGGAGTAAATCATTTTTGCTAAGTAACTATTGTACATTTCTGGTCTTATGACAGTATCAAAGGGATGATCTTTGGAAAGAGGAGGGAAACTGCCAAGAAAATTAAAATTACCTCGTATGTCAAATTGTAAGTACTGTGGCGATTTAAGGCAGGTACACATGTTAGTTAAATTGCTAAACCTCAGTGGTGGCAGCATGTAAAATAGGGTAAAGAACTGTCAGTCTCTGTTAAGTAACATAGGGTCATTCTCAATATTTTTACCTAATGACTGAGTCTGGAGGTAGGACAGTATTACATTGAGTACCACTGATGCATCTATAAGTTATAATTTTCCTTAAATACGTAGTTTTAAAAGAATTACCATATGCTAAACTATGATCTTTATTATATCATTGGACTAAAAATTTTCCCAGCTGAGCACAGATCTCTCAATTGTATGATGGAAGTTTATGAGATAAATGTCTTTTTCCCAGCAATTCTTTTTAAGAGCAAGTTTTCCTGGAGCATAGCATTTTTTACTAAGTGAAAGATACCTATAGCCAATTCAATGTAGGAAAAAAAAAAGTGGAGACTACCATTCCTTCTTAAAGTGTGGTATCCACAAAGAAAATAAATCAAACACCTTCATATATAAGTTGTAAACTAATATCCACAGGAGCTGTCTCATACACAGTTATTCTCTCAGTATCATATCTTATGAATTGTTAATCCCTTTTAGACTCTTGGTATCGGAAAGTTCCCTTGTAGTCTGACTCATTCGTATTTTCCTATTGACAAGTGCACCACTGGGATTTGACAGGAAGATTAACTTTGTTACTGATAGTATTCTACTGTAATAAGTTTTTTGTAACAATTTTTAAAATGCAATAAATATTAACTGAAACCTGAAATTGAATTTTGACATGATTAATAATGTGAAAATGGATATATTTCTAAAATACTATTCACTTAAAGCCATTGTACAGTATTATTATCACTATAACCTTTCACAGCCTTGAATTACATAGCTCCTCATTATGCTCACTTTCTGTACCTCACTTCTACTTTTCCTAACTACTGTGTATATTGATTTGTTCTCACTGTCACTCTTCAGCTGCTTCTTTGGCCTTTAAATTAGTTTCACAAAAGATATCTATCTTTTTATAAAGTTATTTAGGAAAGATTTTCTGTGATTGTCTAAAAAGCCAAACCCATATTGGATAAACTGCATTTAAAACTGGGTGATTTGACTGGAAGTGGTATTCAGAGGAAGAATTGTCCAGGTTCTTTTAAAATACTGTGACTAAATCAGGCAATTTTTGAGTCACTAGGTTTTTATTTCAAAAATAATTTATTTTCTTTACCCTAGGAGGTAAAAGGTCAGAAGGGGTTGGGTCCTTCTGGAATAAAAGTAGGGATCCTTTCATTTGGATTGTTTCAGATTTCCTCATTGCGTGTTTACCATCTAAACTTTATGTAGTTATACTTATGAACTTTTTCATTTTAGAATAAAGAGGAATAACTTCTCTGTTCTTCCAGGCTGTCTTATTACTACTGCTTTGTATTTATGTAGCATCTTTCATCAGATGAATTCAAATAGTTATTTTTTATATTATGTGACATTTCTTACCATCTTTTTGGAATTAATTTTTCTTTCAAATTGAATACTAGTTGACATATGGGGGTGTGACATAAGTAATAAGTTTCATTCCACAGGTCATATATAAGCCAGTCTCATTACTTTTAAGTTGCTCCTTGCCCTTTTCAGGGCTGGGTATATATTATATACTAATATATGTAATGATTCTTGCTGAGTTTAATCTTTAAATGTGCACATAGATCCTTATATTCTGTTTCTCTTCCTGCATACTTTTAGGACTATCATTAACTGTTTTTTTTTTTTTTGCTTATTATCAATAGATTTAATCTTGGATTACATAGTTGTTGCTGCCAAATTTGTTCAGATACCTGTGAGTCTGTAGAAACAAGGAAAAAAAATAGGGGTATGAGAAAAATGAGTCTTAGATTTTATATGTTTCAAATTTTTCTTAATTTGCAGTAATTTAGGGAGAAGAAGTCTAAAATGAGTGAAGTTTTGAATTTTAGATTTTTTTTATGAACTGCAGTTTTTACGGTTTTCTTGTACATGTATTAATCAGGATTAGGACAAGATCCCTTAGGGATCTTGATTTAATAAATATATGAGAATGATTTATCATTAGTGAGTCAATGGATTATATGTAAAGAGATATTTCTAAAGTCCTTAAAGTTGCTTGGAAGCATTGTTTAGTTCTTTTGTTTTGTTTTGGGAGGGGGGAGTTGAGACAGTGTGTCACTCTGTTCCCCAGGCTGGAGTGCAGTGCCATGATCTCGGCTCACTGCAACTTCTGCCTCCCTGGCTCAAGCGATCCTCCCACCTCAGCCTCCTGAGCAGCTGGAACTACAGGTGTGCGCCACCACGCCCAGCTCTATTTTCAGTAGAGACCGGGTTTCACCATGTTGCCTAGGCCAGTTTTGAACTCCTGAGCTCAAGTGATCCGCCCACCTCGGCCTCCAAAAGTGCTGGGATTACAGGCGTGAGCCATCGTGCCCAGCCACATTTGTTCTTTTCAGTAGTTTTAATATCCTTTCTACTATCTTGTTTTTAAATTTGTTCAGCAAACTCTTTATTCAAAAATAACCCTAAAGTCACTTTAATTTCAGCTTCTTTCTGAATTATTACAAATTCTGAATCAGTGGGGTCCAAATTACAGTACAACAAAATTTCATTAATTCAGGCCCCACTAACCAAGGACTTGTTATAGGCTAGATATATATAGTAGTCGTGCTAAAAATGAATTACACTCTACAGGAGAAGCAGCCAGAGTCCTACCAGAGGTTAGGCAGCATTGGAGCTTTTTTACTGGGTATCTGCATATGATACTGAATTAAAATAAGTTATAAGAAGGGAGGAACATCTAGGTTTTGTGTATTTAAAAAATCTTCTAAGTGCTCTATTACTAATCAGAGCCATTAACTGTATTGGGCTGTTTACAAGAAAAAGGATTTGAACGTCACTTAGTGTAAGCAAAATTGAGGTAGGTTATGGTAAACTGCTTTCAGATGTTTTAAAAACTGTAGTAGCAATGTTATCTGCATGTAAATTCTGTGCACTTACAAACTCTTCCTATCAATTAATCAGAGTAAGAAAGTAAAGTGTGCATTAAAAGTTACACTTAGTAGTCTTTGTATGTTGATGGTGTTGCTGCAGCTCTAAAAGTAGTAAAACTTCAGGACCTTCTTCTTCCCCAGTTCTGAAATAATAATCATATAATGAGTGCATGCATATTGGTACTGATTTGTTCTATTTTTGTTACGATGCAAGAAGCACTAAAATCCAGCATTTCTGATGTTCTGAGATGAAATTCTTCTGACAATAAACTGGAACTTCCAGTCTGGCTAACTTATTAAAGTTACAAGGTTAACTTGTTAAAGACTTGAACTAGGGTGAAGCTGTCCATAGAGCACAACTACACCTAATACTAGAGTTGCTAGAGGCATGTTATTTACTACTTACACTCTTTTAAGAAGGGAAAAAAAGCTAGTTCTTTGCTTCATGCCTATCACAGTAATGATAATTTGCCTCTATTGTGTAACTCATTGCTCTTTACTTACAGATTTTAGATCTTAAGAGTAAGGGAAGGAATAGTACACAGGTTATTGGATTGACTAGAATAAAAACTTAGCTGTTTGGAAAACTAATTATAATTTTCTCCGTCTCCCACTCCCTTTTCCATTCCTATGACATGTGTGAAAAAACTTGGCACTTTGTGTATTTATGGATGAGAGGAAGAGAGACTGAGTATTCATGTAACAGTTTTCTCACAGCTGAACACTGAATGCAGAATAGGAATTAGTGAAATCTATTTGATTCTTAGTAATCTGTGCTAACAGGGGAGTATAAGCTTAGAAAAAAATAAAAACTTTTGATTTTGAAAGATAATTTTATATTTACATTTGAATACAAATGTTTCTAATCTAGATAGCCCTGAAACTCAGTTAACTAAAGGCTATGGAATACAATAACTTGGCTCCTGAATTTTCTAATTACTAAGGATTAATTTAAGTATGTAATGAAACTGAAGCAGAAATGCTTTGTGTAAGATGTCCAAAATTTTAGGTTGTACTTTACACATAATTTGTTTGTGAACCACTGACCCAGTTGTGTGTGTCTTGATTAAGGATTTTTGGTTGTACATAATAAAGGTGTACTTCAAACTAGCTTAAAGAAAAAAAGAGTTTATTTTAAGTATAAGAGGAAAAAGAAAGTGCAGAAAGTGTAGTCTAGGTGCATGAGAGACTTCAACTAGGTTGACCAGCTGTCCATAGCTAAGGGAATTTTCCTCCCTCTTTCTCTTCTCCTTCAACACCCCTGGGGCTATAGGGTCTTCTGTTTATCTTTGTTTCTTTCAGTGTATCTACTTCATTATTCTCACTTAATCAGCACACAGCCAAACCTGGTTTATTCAAGAGATCCCAAGTTTACATATTCTAAATTCAGGCAATCAGAAGAGACTCAATATCTACGAATTCCAATTCTCAATTCTGATTGACATAGGTTGGGCTATATGTCCAGCCAGGATCTGATTATCCATGGCTAGAGGGGCAAGATCATGTCATATAAATATGGTTATTAGGCCCCAACCCTAAGTGAAGGGACATACAATTCCCAGAGAAGGGAAGATTGTGGGCTAAACAGAATCTCAAGTAGTGTCTACCACGAAGTATAAACTGTGGTGCATGGAATAAACTATATGAAGACACATGTATGTTTCTTAAAAAAAAGCAAAGTAGAGCACATTTGCCATATGTTTATCTTCATTCATAGAACAATAATGAACATTAGAGATCATATTATCTACCCTCCTCATTTTAAGGAGAAGCAAATTGAGACCCAGAGATAATTTATAAAAATATGAAAACATCTAAGGTTTTTATATATAAATTTCTATATATAATTATATAAGTTAATACAAAATATTAATAGAAAAGCTGTGACTATAATCTGAACCTTGTGGTTTCTAGTTTTTCCTAGATACTAGCATCCCATTAACCAGAGTATCTGATAAAATGTTAACACACTTTAAAAGAAGTCTCATAAAATATGCAGCAATGTTTGATAGATATTTTTGTCTAAGCAAGTAAATAAAGAGGTAAAGCAAAACAATTTCCCCATGTCAATACAGTGAAACCGAAATAATATCAGAAGCCCATAGGTAATATCTGATTTTTTCAAAAATAAAATCTTAAAAGACATAAGAAAAGAAAATATTTGAAGAACAAATAATTAATTTGATTATATAATATAAAGTTGCTACACTTAAAGAAGCAATGATATAAATATGATATCTTGGCTACCAGGAAACCTAGATTGTAATCAAATCAGTTTTTTCCTTTTGATCTATACATTCATTCAACATTTATTGAGCGTTGCTACATGCACAGCCCTGTTTTAGGCACTAGGGATACAGTGGTAAACAGAACAAAGACCCTACACTCATGAAGTTTGCAATCTAGAGGATGTTACAGACAGTGAATAAGCAAATAATACGTAATATATACCATCAGATAATGATAAGAGCTATAAGGCTGATAAAACAAGATAAGGGAATAAGGAGCAATAGATGATGCTATTCTAGATACAGTGGTCAAGAAAGGGTATCTGATGGGGTGACATTAAGCAAAGACCTGAATGAAGCAAGGGCGTAGGACATGTGAATATCTGGAGGAAGAACATTTCAGGCAGAAAGAATAGAATATGCAATGGCCCTGAGGTGGGAGCCTGCTTGGTATGTTCAATGAATATCAAGGAGGTTAATGTATCCAGAATGTAGAGAGTGAGTGAGACAGTGGGAGAAAATAAGGCCAGAGATGTATTCAGAGGCCAAAACATATAGACTTTTGTAGGACAAAATAGGAATTTGGGATTTTATTCTATATGATGGGAAGGCATTGAAAAATTGAGAGAGGGTGATTTGATTTGATTTATATGTAAAGAGAGAATATTGACTTGATTTGATTTATATGTAAAGAGAATATTCTGGCTTCCACATGGAAAGAGCAAGAGAATAAGCAGGGAGACCAATTAAAGAGGATGTTACAGTAACCCAGGCGAGAGAAAATGGTTGGATTAGGGTAGTAGTACTGGGGAAAGTGAAAATTAGTCAGATTATGAAGATATAGACACACACACACAGAAATACATATGTACAGTCACACCTCAGATATTGCAGGTTCAGTTTCAGATGACCACAATAAAGTGAGTATCACAATAAAGCAAGTCATACACATTTTCAGTTTCCTAGTACATATAAAAGTTATATTTATGGCCAGGAGTGGTGGCTCACACCTGTAATTCCAGCACTTTGGGAGGCTGAGGTGGGAGGATTGCTTGAGCTCAGGAGTTTGATACCAGGGTGGGCAACATAGCAAGACCTCATCCCTACTTAAAAAAAAAAAAAAGTTATGTTTATACTATACATCAGTCTCTGAAGTGTACAATAGCACTATGTCTAAAAAATCTTAATTCTTTTAATTAAGAAATACTTTATTACTAAATAAAATGCCAAGAATCACTTGAGCTGTCGGTGAGTTGTAATCCTTTTGCTGGTGGAGGATTTTTCCTTGATGTAGATAGCTGCTGACTGATCAGGGTGGTGGTTCTTGAAGGTGGGAGTGGCTACATCATTTTCTTAAAATAAGACAAAAAAGGAAGTTTGTTGCATCAATAGACTTTTTCTTTCACAAGAGGTTTATCTGTAGCATGTGATGCTGCTTGACAACATTTTACCCACTGTAGAACTTCTTTCAAAATTAGAGTCGGTCCTATCAAATCCTGCTGCTACTTTATCAAAAACGTTTATGTAATATTCTTAATTCTTTGTAGTTGCTTCCATAGTGTTCCTAGCATTTTCTCCAGCAGTAGATTCCATCTCAAGGAACCACTTTTTTTGCTCATTCATAAGAAGCAACTCCTCATCCATTATTGTTTTAGCATGAGATTGAAGCAATTCAATTACACCTTCTGTCTCCCCTTCTGATTCTAATTCTTCTGCTATTTCTACCAAATCTAGTTACTTATTCTGGTGTAGTCTTGGACCTGTCAAAATAATCCATGGGGATTGGATCCACTTCTTTCAAATTCCTGTTAATGTTGACATTTTGAACTCCTTCCATGAAGCAAAATGTTCTTAATGGCATTTAGAATGATGTATTGTTTCCAGATTTTCAAGATCCAGCAGAGGAATCATTGTCTCTGGCAGCCGTAGATTCATGAAATGTATTTCTTAAATAGTAAAACTTGAAAATCCAAATTACTCCTTGATTCATGGACCGCAGAAGGGATGTTATGTTATCAAGCGTGAAAACAACATTAATCTCTTTGTACACATCCATCAGAGCTCTTGGGTGACTAGGTGTATTTTCAATGAGCAGTAATATGTTAAGAGGAATATTTTCTTGGGAGCAGTAGGTCTCAACAGTGGGCTTAAAATATTCAGTAAACCATGCTATAAACAGATGTGCTGTCCTCCAGGCTTTATTGTTCCATTTATAAAGCACAGACAGAGTAGATTTAACATAATTATTATGGGCCCTAGGATTTTTGGAATGGCAAATGAGCATTAGCTTCAATTTAAAATCACCATCTACATTAGCCCATAACAGGAGATTCAGCCTGTCCTTTGAAGCTTTGAAGCCAGACATTGACTTCTCTCTAACTGTGAAAGTCCTAGATGGCATCTTCTTCCGATAGAAGGCTGTTTTATCTACATTGTAAGTCTGTTGTTTAATGTAGCTACTTTCATCCATTATCTTAATTAGATCTTCTGGATAACTTGCTGCAGCTTCTTCAGCACCACTTGATGCCTCACCTTGCACTTTTATATTATGGTTGCAGCTTCTTGCCTCAAACCTCATGAATCAATTTCTGCTAGCTTCCAACTTTTTTTCTGCAGCTTCTTCACCTCCCTCAGCCTTCATAGAATTAAAAAGAGTTAGGGCCTTCCTCTGTATTAAGCTTTGGTTCAAGGAAATGTGGATGGTTTGGTTTTTCATCTGGACCGCTAAAACTGTCTTAACAGCCATAGGCTGTTTTGCTGTTTTATTATTCATGTGTCCAGTGAGCAGCATTTTAATTTCCTTTAAGAACTTTTCCTTTACATTCACAGTCTGGCTAGCTGTTTGGCACAAGAGACCTAGTTTTTGGCCTATCTTGGCTTTTGATATGCCTTCTTCACTAAGCATAATGATTTCTGGCCTTTGATTTAAAGTGAGGGATGTGCTACTCTTCCTTTCACTTGAACACTTAAAAGGCCATTGTAGGGTTATTAATTATCATGATTTCAATATTGTTATGTCTCACAGGATAGGGATGCCCGAGGGGAGGGAGAGAGATGTGGGAATGGCCAGTTTAGCAATCAGAACATGTACATATTTATTGATTATGTTTGCCATCTTCTATGGGGACTTGTTTGTGGTGCCCCCAAACAATTACAATAGTAACATCAGAAATCACTGATCACAGATCACCATAACAGATATAATTATAATGAAAAAGTTTGAAATATTATGAGAGTTAACAAAATGTAAGAGAGACATGAAGTGAGCACATGCTTTTGTAAAAATTGTGCCAATAGATTTGCTCAATGCAGGGTTGCCACAAAACTTCAGTTTGGAAACAAAAAACAAAAAACACAGTATCTGCAAATCGTGATAAAATGAGGTACCCCTGCATATTATTTTTGAAATGAAGATTCATAGAAAGTTGCAATAAATGTACAGGGAGATCCTGTTCATAGCTCACCTAGCCCACTTCATTATGTTGCATAACTACAGTATGATACAGAAACCAGGAAACTAATGTTTATCTAATTCAGTTTTCCTTACTTTTGTAAGCACTCTGTGTATGTGTGTGTGTGTGTATAGCTCTACTCATTTTCTCACATGTATAGTTTCTAACAATTGTCACCACTCCAAAGGCTCTTTCAGGCTAACACTTTATAAAGACACACTCACCTCCTTTTCCTTCTCAAACATCTGATCTCTAATTTGTTCTGTCTTTCTCTGTAATTCTGCTATTTCATGAATATTATATAATGTCCCTCTTTCTTCCTAGTAATTTTCTTTGCTCTGAAGTCTCCTTTATCTGATATTAGTATATGTACTGGTATTTTCAAAAAATTCATATTTCAATGATATATATTTTTCCATCCATTTTCTTTCAGCCTACCCATGTAGGTGTATTTAAAGTGAATTTCTTGTAGACTGCATATAGTTGGGCTAAGTTTTTTTTTTAAAAGAAAAACTACTCTGCCAGTCTCTATCTTTTAATTGGTATATTTAGACTAGTTTATATTAAAATAATTATTCATATGTTGGGGCTAAGTCTTTAATTTTTAAAATTGTGGTAAGAAATAACATGGTATCTACCCTCTTAAGAAAATTTTGAGTGTACAGTACAGTATTATAAATTATATGCACATTAATGTCCAGAAGATATCTAAAACTTTGTATCTTGCATGATTAAAACTCTATACTCATTGAACAGCATCTCCACATTTCCCCGTTTCCCTGGGTTCTATCAATTTGATTACTTTTATGTACCTCCTATAACTGAAATAATGTAGTATTTGTCCTTCTGTGACTAGTTTATTTCATTTAGCATAAAGTCCTCAGGATTCTCATGTTGTATGCCTGGATTGTATGACTGGATATGACAGGATTTTCTTCTTTTTAGAAGCTGAATAATATTCTATTATGCACATATGCCACATTTTCTGTATCTATTCATCCATTGATGGACATTTAGGTTGTTTACACGTCCTGGCTATTGTAAATAATGCTACAATGAAGATAGGAGTGCAAATATCTCTTCTAGATACTGTTTTCAATTCTTTTGGATAAATACTTAGCAGTGGGGTTACAAGATCATATGGTAGTTATATTTTTAATTTTCTGAGGAACCTCCATACTGTTTTCCAAAGTGGCTACACCATTATATAGTCCCAACAACAGTGCACAAGAGTTCCAATTTTTCAATAACACTTGTTATTTCCTTTTTAAAGTAAATTTTATTATACATAAGTGAGGTATACATATATAATGATGTTATGAGGTACACATATATAGTAAAAATATTACTATAGTGAAACAAATCAACATATTGGGTCATCTCATATAGTTACCTGTTTTCCCTCCTGTGGCATGAGCAGCTGTAATCTGTTCATTTGGCAAAAATCATGAATACAGTGCACTACTATTACCTATAGATATCATGTTTGTAAGACCTAATGTACGACACTAGTTACTTTCTGGTTTTTGTTTTGTTTTGTTTTAATCATGGCCATTTTAATAGGCATGAGGTGATCACTCATTTTGGTTTTGATTTGTATTTCTCTGATGATTAGTGATGTTGAGCATCTTTTCATATACTTCTTAGCCATTTGCATGTCTTCTTTGGAGAAATATCTATTCAAGTCCTTTTCTCATATTATAATCAGTTCATTTTTTCTATTGAGTTGTACAAGTTCCTTTTATAGTTTGGATATTAACTCCTTATCAGTTGTGTAGGTTTTCAAATATTTTCTCCCATTCCGTGGGTTTCCTTTAACTCTGTTGATGTGTTCCTTTGCTATGCAGAAGGTTTTTAGTTTGATTTGGTCTCACTTGTCTATTTTTCCTTTTGTTGCCTGTGCTTTTGGTGTCTTATCCAAAAAATCATTCCCAAGACTGATGTTATGAAGCTATTTCCTTATGTTTTCTTCTAGGAGTTTTATAGTTTCAGGTATTACAGTTAAGTCTTTAATCCATATTGAGTTGATTTTTGTATATTGTATAAGATAAGGGTCCAATTTCATTCTTTTGCATGTAGATATCCAGTTTTTCCGGCACCATCTGTTAAAGAGATTATCATTTTCCTATTATGTAGTCTTGGCACCATTGTTGAATATCATTTGACTGCATGTGTGTGCGTTTGTTTTTGGGCTCACTATTCTTTTCGAAATTGGTATATGATTGCCTTTATGTCAGTTTCATACTGTTTTGATTACTGTAGCTTTGTAATATGTTTTAAAATCTTGGAGTGTGAGGTCTCCAACTTTGTTGCTCTTTCTCAATATTGTTTTGGCTATTGGGAGTCCTTTGTGGATCTATGTGAATTTTAGGATTGTTTTCTATTTTTGTAAAAAATGCCATTGGGATTTTGATGGGGATCACATTGAATCTGTAGATAGCTTTGGATAACATGGACATTTTAACATTATTAAGTCTTCCAATCCATTAATACAGATGTATTCCAACTTACTTGTGTCTTCTTTAGTTTCTTCCAACAATGTTTTGTAGTTTTGTAGATGTAAACTTAGGTTGTTAATTGAGATCTTTCTTTCTTTTAATGTATGTTTTTATCTCTATAAAATTCCCTATTAGTACTGCTTTTGCTGCATCTCATAAGTTTGGGTATGTTATGTTTTCATTTTTGTTGGTCTGAAGATATTTTGAAATTTTTATTAAGATTTCCTGTTTGACCTATTGGTTATTCAAAAGTGTGTTTTTTAATGTACATATTTTGAATTTTCCAACTTTCTTTAAGCTATTATAAAAGCTCTTTGTCACCTTGGTTAAGTTTATTTCTAAGTATTATATTCTTTTGATGCCATTGAAAATACAATTGTCCTGATTTTTTTGGATTGTTAATACCTAGTCTATGGAAGTGCAACTGCTTTTTATTTGTGATTTTGTGTTCTTCAACTTTATTGAATTTGTTTATTCTAACAGGTATTTTTGTGGAGTCTTTAGGATTTTTTATATATGAGATCACTTCATCTGCTAAAAGAGATAATTTTTCTACTTTCTTTTCTATTGGATGTTTTCATTTTTTTTTCTTAGCTAATTGCTCTGGAGAGGATTTCCAATGCTATGTTGAATAGAAGTGGTGACAACAGGCATCCTTGCCTTGTTCCTGATCTTAAAGGAAAAGCTTTCAGTTTTTTATCATGAAGTATGATGTTAGGTGTGGACTCTTCATATATGATTTTGTTGACCATATATGGTTTTGTTGAAAATTGTTGAGGCAATTTTCTTTTGTTCTTAGTTTGTTGAGAGTTTGTCACAAAAGGGTGTTGAATTTTGTCAAAAAATATTTCTGTGTCTATTGAGATGACCATGGAATTTTTATTCTTCACTTTCTTAATGTGATGTATCATATTAAGTGATTTTTTATATGGTTAGCCATCCTGGATTCACAAGGATAAATCTCACTTGGCCATGATTTATAATCCTTTTTAATATGCTGTTGAATTTGACTTGCTAGTATTTTGTTGAAGATTTTTGCATCTATGCTTATCAAATATATTGGCTTATTGATTTCTTTTCTTCTTGTGTCTTTGTCTGGATTTGTTAAAAGGGTAATGCTGTCTTCATAAAAGGAGTTTAGAAGTATGCCTTCCCCTTCAATTTTTTTGGAAGACTTTAAGAAGGATTATTTGTAGGGGGGTTATTAACTGATTTAATCTTCTTACTAGTTACAAGTATGTTCAGATTTTCTCTTTCTTCATGATTCAGCGTTGGTAGGTTATAGAGTTCCAGGAATTTATCCATTTCTTTCAGGTTATTGAATTTATGGACAAATAGTTGGTTATATTGATTTCTTTTAATCCTGTTAATTTCTGTGGCATCAGTTTTTATGTTTCCTCTTTCATTTCTGATTGTTTTGAGTCTTCTCTTTTCTTATGCTAGCTAAAGATTTGTCAATATTTTTTATCTTTTCAAAAAAGCGCTTTTAATTTTATTGATCTTTTCTATGTTTTTTTCTTCTCTGTGTATTTCTGCTCTGGTTTTTATCATTCCTTTCCTTCTGCTCACTTTAGTCTCAGTTTGCTCTTCTTTTTCTAGTGCCTTCAGATGTAAAGTTAAGTTGTTAATTGAGATCTTTCTTTCTTTTTTAGGTGGAAGAAATATGGATATGCTGTATTCTGTTTGAAAGGATTCATCATGAACCAGAAAAAAATCAATGAAAAGGGGCATTTCACCTAGATTAAATTTTGCAATTTTTAAAAAGCATATGAACAAAGAAACTATCCTCCAAACATCCAAATAAGGAAGAATACTTTACCTAACAATAGGAACAAATTAAAAATAATTGATTCAGCCTAAGACTTTTTTTTCAGCGAAGAAGTAGTTTAATAATTGCAGGGCCAGCCAAATAAGGAGAAAGGGAAAAAACTTCTCAAACCCATCTCTCTGAGAATTTGGAGGCTAGGTTTTTTTAAGGACACTTTGGCAGGCAGGGGATAGGAAACTTTTAAGAAATGATTGACTGGGGATGAAATCACAGGGGTACCTAAAACTGTCTCGGCTTAGCTGAGTCAGTTCCTGGGAGGGGGCTGTCTTGGGACCAGGTGGCATCTCTTGGTCAGCTCTTGGTCTGCTTATAAATCTGAAAAATATCTCAAAGACCAGTTTTTTTAAGTTTCATAATAGTGATGTTATCTATAGGAGTAGTTGGAGAAGTGTAAAACTTGTGACCCCCAGTTACATGACTCGGCAGCTGTAAGCAACTTATAGAAAAACACATAAAGCAATGGCAGGTAATTGTTTAATTATGTCTATTGTTTAGCAAAGTTCATGGCCCCACCATAATTCTTTTTCTAATTATTATTTTTTAAAATGTTTGTGGGTACATAGTAGATATTTATATATTTGGGATACATGATATGTTTTGATACGGACATCCAATGTGAAAAATCACATCATGGAGAATAGGGTATATATCCACTCAAGAATTTATTCTTTGAGTTATAAGCAATACAATTCCACTCTTTAAGCTATTTTAAGATGTACAATTAAGTTATTATTGATTATAGTCACCCTATTGTGCTATCAAATAGTAGGTCTTCTTCGTTCTTTTTATTTTTTTTTGTACCCATTAAACATACCCACCTCCCCCCAGAACCCTACTTCCCAGCCTCCATTGTTTTGATTATCAGATCCCACAAATAAGTGAAAAAATGTTATGTTTGTCTTTCTGTGCCTGGCTTATTTATCTTAACATAATGATCTCCAGTTCCATCTATGTCACTGCAGATGACTGAATTTCATTCTTTTTTGTGGTTGAGTAGTATTCCATTGTGTATATATGCCCCATTTTCTTTATCCATTCATCTGTTGATGGACAAATAGGGTGCTCTCAAATCTTAGCTATTGTTAACAGTGCTGCAACCACCATAGATGTTCAGATATCTCTTTGACATACCGATTTCATTTCTTTTCTGTATATACTCAACAATAGAATTGCTGTTGTATTCACTATCTCAATTTTTAGTTTTTTAAGGAACCTCCACATTATTCTCCATAGTAGTTGTCAATTTACTTTTTTACCATCAGTATATAAGGGTTCACTTTTCTCTACATCCTCACCAGCATTTGTTATTGCCTGTCTTTTGAATATAAGCCATTTTAACTGGAGTAAGATAATATTTCCTTATAGATTTGATTTGCATTTCTCTGATGATCAATGACATTGAGATCCTTTTCACCATTTAGAAGTATTCCCTCCTGCTCTATTGTTCACATGCCTGTTTGCCATTTGTGTGTCTTTTTTTTTAATTATACTTTAAGTTTTAGGGTACATGTGTACAACCTGCAGGTTTGTTACGTATGTATACATGTGCCATGTTGGTGTGCTGCACCCATTAACTCGCTATTTACATTAGGTATATCTCCTAATGCTATCCGTCCCCACTCCCCCCACCCCGCAACAGGCCCCAGGGTGTGATGTTCCCCTTCCCATGTCCATGTGTTCTCATTGTTCAATTCCCACCTATGAGTGAGAACATGCGGTGTTTGGTTTTTTTTCCTTGCGATAGTTTGCTGAGAATGATGGTTTCCAGCTTCATCCATGTCCCTACAAAGGACATGAACTCATCACTTTTTAAGGCTGCATAGTATTCCATGGTGTATATGTGCCACATTTTCTTAATCCAATCTATCATTGTTGGACATTTGGGTTAGTTCCAAGTCTTTGCTATTGTGAATAGTGCCACAATAAACATACATGTGCATGTGTCTTTATAGCAGCATGATTTATACTCCTCTGGGTATATACCCAGTAATGGGATGGCTGGGTCAAATGGTATTTCTAGTTCTAGATCCCTGAGGAATCGCCACACTGACTTCCACAATGGTTGAACTAGTTTACAGTCCCACCAACAGTGTAAAAGTGTTCCTGTTTCTCCACATCCCCTCCAGCACCTGTTGTTTCCTGACTTTTTAATGATCACCATTCTAACTGGTGTGAGATGGCATCTCATTGTGATTTTGATTTGCATTTCTCTGATGGCCAGTGATGATGAGCATTTTTTCATGTGTCTTTTGGCTGCATAAATGTCTTCTTTTGAGAAGTGTCTGTTCATATCCTTCACCCACTTTTTGATGGGGTTGTTTGCTTTTTTCTTGTAAATTTATTTGAGTTCATTGTAGATTCTGAATATTAGCCCTTTGTCAGATGAGTAGATTGCAAAAATTTTCTCCCATTCTGTAGGTTGCCTGTTCACTCTGATGGTAATTTCTTTTGCTGTGCAGAAGCTCTTTAGTTTAATTAGATCCCATTTGTCAATTTTGGCTTTTGTTGCCATTGCTTTTGGTGTTTTAGACATGAAGTCCTTGCCCATGCCTATGTCCTGAATGGTATTGCCTAGGTTTTCTTCTAGAGTTTTTATGGTTTTAGGTCTAACATTCAGGTCTTTAATCCATCTTGAATTAATTTTTGTATAAGGTGTAAGGAAGGGATCCAGTTTCAGCTTTCTACATATGGCTAGCCAGTTTTCCCAGCACCATTTATTAAATAGGGAATCCTTTCCCCATTTCTTGTTTTTGTCAGGTTTGTCAAAGATCAGATAGTTGTAGATATGTGGCATTATTTCTGAGGGCTCTGTTCTGTTCCATTGGTCTATATCTCTGTTTTGGTTACTGTAGCCTTGTAGTGTAGTTTGAAGTCAGGTAGTGTGATGCCTCCAGCTTTGTTCTTTTGGCTTAGGGTTGAATTGGCAATGCGGGCTCTTTTTTGGTTCTATATGAACTTTAAATTAGTTTATTCCAATTCTGTGAAGAAAGTCATTGGTAGCTTGATGGGGGTGGCGTTGAATCTGTAAATTACCTTGGGCAGTATGGCCATTTTTACGATATTGATTCTTGCTATCCATGAGCATGGAATGTTCTTCCATTTTTTTGTATCCTCTTTTATTTCATTGAGCAGTGGTTAGTAGTTCTCCTTGAAGAAGTCCTTCACATCCCTTGTAAGTTGGATTCCTAGGTATTTTATTCTCTTTGAAGCAATTGTGAGTGGGAGTTCACTCATGATTTGGCTCTCTGTTTGTCTGTTATTGATGTATAAGAATGTTTGTGATTTTTGCACATTGATTTTGTATCCTGAGACTGCTGAAGTTGCTTATCAGCTTAAGGAGATTTTGGGCTGAGACGATGGGGTTTTCTAGATAAACAATCATGTCATCTGCAAACAGGGACAATTTAACTTCCTCTTTTCCTAATTGAATACCCTTTATTTCCTTCTCCTGCCTGATTGCGCTGGCCAGAACTTCCAACACTATGTTGAATAGGAGTGGTGAGAGAGGGCATCCCTGTCTTGTGCCAGTTTTCAAAGGGAATGCTTCCAATTTTTGCCCATTCAGTATGATATTGGCTGTGGGTTTGTCATAAATAGCTCTTATTATTTTGAGATATGTCCCATCAATACCAAATTTATTGAGAGTTTTTAGCATAAAGGGCTGTTGAATTTTGTCAAAGGCCTTTTCTGCATCTATCGAGATAATCATGTGGTTTTTGTCATTGGTTCTGTTTATATGCTGGATTACGTTTACTGATTTGCATATGTTGAACCAGCCTTGCATCCCAGGGATGAAGCCCACTTGATCATGGTGGATAAGCTTTTTCATGTGTTGCTGGATTCGGTTTGCCAGTATTTTATTGAAGATTTTTGCATGGATGTTCATCAAGAATATTGGTCTAAAATTCTCTTTGTTTTGTTTTGTCTCTGCCAGGCTTTGGTATCAGGATGATACTGGCCTCATAAAATGAGTTAGGGAAGATTTCCTCTTTTTCTATTGATTGGAATAGTTTCAGAGGGAATGGTACCAGTTCCTCCTTGTACCTCTGGTAGAATTCAGCTTTGAATTCTTCTGGTCCTGGTCTTTTTTTGGTTGGTATGCTATTAATTATTGCCTCACTTTCAGAGCCTGTTATTGGTCTATTCAGAGATTCAAATTCTTCCTGGTTTAGTCTTGGGAGCATGTATGTTTCCAGGAATTCATTCATTTCTTCTAGATTTTCTAGCTTATTTGCATAGAGGTGTTCATAGTATTCTCTGATGGTAGTTTGTATTTCTGTGGGATCAGTGGTGATATCCCCTTTATCATTTTTTATTGCATGTGTTTGATTCTACTCTCTTTTCTTCTTTTTTAGTCTTGCTAGCAGTCTATCAATTTTGTTGATCTTTTCAAAAAACCAGCTCCTGGATTCATTGATTTTTTTGAAGGTTTTTTCTGTGTCTGTATCTCCTACATTTCTACTCTGATCTTAATTCTTTCTTGCCTTCTGCTAGCTTTTGAACGTGTTTGCTCTTGCTTCTCTAGTTCTTTTAATTGTGATGTTAGGGTGTCAATTTTAGATCTTTCCTGCTTTTTCTTGTGGGCATTTAGTGGTATAAGTTTCCCTCTACACACTGTTTTAAATGTGTCCCAGAGATTCTGGTATGTTGTGTCTTTGTTCTCGTTGGTTTCAAAGAACATCTTTATTTCTGCCTTCATTTCCTTATGTACCCAGTAGTCATTCAGGAGCAGGTTGTTCAGTTTCCATGTAGTTGAGCGGTTTTGAGTGAGTTTCTTAATCCTGAGTTCTAGTTTGATTGCACTGTGGTCTCAGAGACAGTTTGTTATAATTTCTGTTTTTTTACATTTGCTGAGGAATGCTTTACTTCCAACTATGTGGTCAATTTTGGAATAAGTGCAGTGTGGTGCTGAGAAGAATGTATATTCTGTTGATTTGGGGTGGAGAGTTCTGTAGATGTCTATTAGGTCCTCTTGGTGCAGAGCTGAGTTCATTTCCCGGATATCGTTGTTAACTTTCTGTCTCATTGATCTGTCTCATGTTGACAGTGGGGTGTTAAAATCTCCCATTATTATTGTGTGGGAGTCTAAATCTCTTTCTAGGTGTCTAAGGACTTGCTTTATGAATCTGGGTGCTCCTGTATTGGGTGCATATATATTTAGGATAGTTAGCTCTTCTGGTTGAATTGATCCCTTTACTATTATGTAATGGCCTTGTCTCTTTTGATCTGTGTTGGTTTAAAGTCTGTTTTATCAGAGACTAGGATTTCAACCCTTGCCTTTTTTTGTTTTCCATTTGCTTAGTAGACCTTCCTCCATCCCTTTATTTTGAGCCTATGTGTGTCTCTGCATGTGAGATGGGTCTCCTGAATACAGCACAGTGATAGGTCTGGACTCTTTATCCAATTTGCCAGTCTGTGTCTTTTAATTGGAGCATTTAGCCCATTTACATTTAAGGTTAATATTGTTATGTGTGAATTTGATCTTGTCACGATATTAGCTGGTTATTTTGTTCATTAGTTGATGCAGTTTCTTCCTAGCCTTGATGGTCTTTACAATTTGGCATGTTTTTGCAGTGGCTGGTACCGGTTGTTCCTTTCTATGTTTAGTGCTTCCTTCAGGAGCTCTTTTAGGGCAGGCCTGGTGGTGACAAAATCTCTCAGCATTTGCTTGTCTGTAAAGGATTTTATTTCTCCTTCACTTATGAAGCTTAGTTTGGCTGGATATGAAATTCTGGGTTGAAAATTCTTTTCTTAAAAATGTTGAATATTGGCCCCCACTCTCTTCTGGCTTGTAGAGTTTCTGCTGAGAGATCTGCTGTTAGTCTGATGGGCTTCCCTTTGTGGGTAACCCGACCTTTCTCTCTGGCTGCCCTTAACATTTTTACCTTCATTTCAACTTTGGTGAATCTGACAATTATCTGTCTTGGAGTTGCTCTTCTCGAGGAGTATCTTCGTGGCATTCTCTGTATTTCCTGAATTTGAATGTTGGCCTGCCTTGCTAGATTGGGGAAGTTCTCCTGGATAATATCCTGCAGAGTGTTTTCCAACTTGGTTCTATTCTCCCCGTCACTTTCAGGTACACCAATCAGATGTAGATTTGGTCTTTTCATATAGTCCCATATTTCTTGGAGGCTTTGTTCATTTGTTTTTATTCTTTTTTCTCTAAACTTCCCTTCTCGCTTCATTTCATTCATTTGATCTTCCATCACTGATACCCTTTCTTCCAGTTGATCGAATTGGCTACTGAAGCTTGTGTGTTCATTTCCTAGCTGTCGTGCCATGGTTTTCAGCTCCTTCTGGTCATTTAACGACATCTCTACACTGATTATTCTGGTTAGCCATTCGTCCAATATTTTTTCAAGGTTTTTAGCTTCTTTGCGATGTGTTCGAACTTCCTCCTTTAGCTCGGAGAAGTTTGATCGTCTAAAGCTTTCTTCTCTCAACTCCTCAGAGGCATTCTCTGTCCAGTTTTTTCCATTGCTAGTGAGGAGCTGCATTCCTTTGGAGGGGGAGAGGTGCTGTGATTTTTAGAATTTTCACCTTTTCTGCTCTGTTTTTTTCCCGTCTTTGTGGTTTTATCTACCTTTGGTCTTTGATGATGGTGACATACAGATGGGGTTTTGGTGTGGATGTCCTTTCTGTTTGTTTTCCTTCTTACAGTCAGGACCCTCAGCTGCAGGTGTGTTAGAGTGCTGGAGATCCACTCCAGACCGTGTTTGCCTGGGTATCAGCAGCAGAGGCTATAAAACAGCGAATATTGCTGAACAGCAAATGTTGCTGCCTGATAGTTCCTCTGGAAGTTTTGTCTCAGAGGGGTAACCAGCCATGTGAGGTGTCAGTCTGCCTGTACTCGGGGGTGCCTCCCAGTTAGGCTACTTGTGAGTTAGGGACCCACTTGAGGAGGCAGTCTGTCTGTTCTCAGATCTGAAACTCCATGCTGGGAGAACCACTACTGTCTTCCAAGCTGTCAGACAGGGACATTTAAGTCTGCAGAGGTTTCTGCTGCCTTTTGTTCGGCTGTGCCCTGCCCACAGAGGTGGAGTCTACAGAGTCAGGCAGACCTCCTTCAGCTGTGGTGGGCTCCACCCAGTTCAAGCTTCCCGGCCACATTGCTTACCTACTCAAGCCTCAGCAGTGGCGGCCGCTCTTCCCCCAGCCTCACTGCCACCTTGCAGTTGGATCTCAGACTGCTGTGCTAGCAATGAGCGAGGCTTCGTGGGCGTGTGACCCTCCGAGCCAGGCGCGGGATATAATCTTCTGGTGTGCCGTTTGCTAAGACCATTGGAAAAGCACAGTATTAGGGTTGGAGTGACCCGATTTTCCAGGTGCCGTCTGTCATTGCTTTGCTTGGCTAGGAAAGGGAATTCCCTGACCCCTTGCATTTCCCGGGTGTGGTGATGCCTTGCCCTGCTTTGGCTCACGCTTGGTGCACTGCACCCACTGTCCTGCACCCACTGTCTGACAAGCCCCAGTGAGATGAACCCAGTACCTCAGTTCACAATGCAGAAATCACCTGTCTTCTGCGTCGCTCACGCTGGGAGCTGTAGACTGGAGCTGTTCCTATTTGGCCATCTTGGAACCACCCCCCCCCCGCCCCAGTTTGTTCATTTTTGCTTTGGCTGCCTGCGCTTGTGCGGTATTGCTCAAAAAATCTTTGCCCAGACCAGTGTCCTGGAGATTTTCCCCAATGTTTTATTGTAGTAGTTTTAAATTTTGAGGTCTTAGATTTAAGTCTTTCATCAATTTCAATTTGATTTTTGTATATGGGAAGAGTAGAGGTCTAGTTTCATTTTTCTGCATATGGATATCCAGTTTTCCCAGCACCGTTTATGGAAGAGACTGTCTTACCCAGTGTAGGTTCTTAGCACCTTTGTTTAAAATGAGTTTAGTATAGGATTGGGGATTTGATTCTGGGTTCTCTATTCTGTTCCATTGGTCTGTGTGTCTGTTTTTATGCCAGTACCATGGTTTTTTGGTTACTATGGCTCTGTAGTATTATATAATTTGAAGTCAGGTAATGTGATTCCTCTAATTTTCTGATTTTTACATAAAATAGCTTTGTGTATTCTGGTTCTTTTTCATTCCATATAAACATTAGGATTGATTTTTCTATTTATGTGAAGAATGTCATTGGTATTTTGATAGGGATTGCATTGAATATGTAGACTACTGTTAGTATGGGCATTTTAACAATATTGATTCTTCTGATCTATAAGTATGGAATATTTTTCCATATTTTGGTGTCCTCTTCAATTTCTTTCATCAGTGTTTTATAGTTTTCATTACAGTGATCTTTCACTTCTTTGGTTAATTCTAGGCATTTAATTTTATGCATGGCTATCGTAAATGGATTACTTTTTCAATTTCTTTTTCAGATTGTTCACTGTTGCCATATACACATGCTACTTAGCATTGTTATGTTGATTTTGTATCCTGCAACTTTGCTGAATTTATCATTTCTAGTAGTTTTCTTGTGGAATTTTAAGGATTTTCAAAATATAAGATCATATCATCTGCAAACAAGGATGATTTAACTTCTTCCATTCTAATTGGGATGCACTGCATATATTTCTCCTGTCTCATTGTTCCAGCTAGGAATTTCAGTATTGTGTTGAATAACAGTGATGGCAGGGTGTATCCCTGTTGTGTTCCAGATCTTAGAGGAAAGGCTTTCAGTGTGAAACTAGCTATAGGTCTGCTGTTTTTGCCTTTAATTATGTTGAGGTTTTATGTTCCTTCTGTCCCCTATTTTTTTAGGGTTTTCAACATGAAACGATGTTGAATTTTATCACATGCTTTTTCCATATCAATTGAAATGGTCATATGATTTTTATGTTTCATTCTGTTGATACGATGTATTGCACTGATTGGTTTGCATATGTTGAACCATCCTTGCGTCACAGGGATAACTCCCACTTGCTCATGATGAATGATCTTTCTAATGTATTGTTGATTTCAGTTTGCTAGTATTTTGTTGAGGATTTTTGCATCAATATTCATCAGATATATTCACCTGTAGTTTTCTTTTTTTGATCTATCTTTGTCTGTCTTTGGCATCAGGGCAATACTGGACTCATAAAGAAGATATTCTCAAAAGAAGACATTTATGCAGCCAACAAACATATGAAGAAAAGCTCATCATCACTGGTTTGGAAGTCTTCGTTTCTCCTCTATTTTTTAGAATAGTTTATGTAGGATTGGTTATTTGTTCTTCTTTCAATGTTTGGTAGAAATCAACAGTGAAGCCATCAGGTCCCAGGAATTTCTTTACTCGTAGACTTGTTACTATAGCTTCATTTTCATTACTTGTTATTGGTCTGTTCAGGTTTTGGATGTCTTCCTGTGTCAATCTTGGTAGGTTGTATATATCTAGGAATTTGTCCATTTACTATAGATTTTCCAATTATTTGGCATATAGTTGCTCTTTGTAGCTACTAATGATCCTTTGAATTTTTGCAATATCAGTTGTAATGTATCCTTTTTCTTTTATGTTTTTTTATTTTTATTCTTATTTTTATTTTTTTATTATACTTTAAGTTCAGGGATACATGTGCAGAACGTGCAGGTTTGTTACGTAGGTATACATGTGCCATGGTGCTTTGCTGCACCCATCAACTCGTCATCTAGGTTTTAAACTCCACATGCATTAGATATTTCTCCTAATGCTATCCCTCCTTTTGTCCAACATCCCCCAACAGGCCCCAGTGTGTGATGTTCCGCTCCCTTTGTTCATGTATTCTCATTGTTCAACTCAAATTTATGAGTGAGAACATGCGGTGTATGGTTTTCTGTTCCTGTGTCAGTTTGCTGAGAATGATGGTTTCCAGTTTCATCCATGTTTCTGCAAAGGACATGAACTCATTCTTTTTTATGACTGCATAGTATTCCATGGTGTGTATGTGCTGCATTTTCTTTATCCAGTCTATCATTGATGGGCATTTGGGTTGATTCCAAGTCTATGCTATTGTAAATGGTGCTGCAATAAACAAACATGTGCATGTGTCTTTATAGTAGAATGACTTGTAATCCTTTCAGTATATACCCAGTAATGGGATTGCTGGATCAAGTGATATTTCTCATTCTAGATCCCTGAGGAATCACCACACTATCTTCCACAATGGTTGAACTAATTTACATTCTCACCAACAGTGTAAAAGCATTCTTATTTCTCCACATCATTTCCAGAATCTGTTGTTTCCTGACTCTTTAATGATCGCCATTCTAACTGGCATGAGATGGTATCTCATTGTGGTTTTGATTTGCATTTCTTTAATGACCAGTGATGATGAGCTTTTCTTCATATGTTTGTTGGCTGCATAAATGTCTTCTTTTGAGAAGTGTCTGTTCATATCCTTTGTCCACTTTTTGATGGGGTTGTTTTTTTCTTGTAAATTTGTTTAAGTTCCTTGTAGATTCTGGATACTAGACTGTTGTCAGATGGATAGATTGCAAAATTTTTCTCCCAATCTGCAGATTGCCTCTTCACTCTGATGATAGTTTCTTTGCTGAGCAGTTCTTTAGTTTAATTAGATCCCATTTGTCAATTTTGGCTTTTGTTGCCATTGCTTTTGGTGTTTTATCCATGAAGCCTTTGCCCATGGCTATGACCTGAATGGTATTGCCTAGGCTTTCTTCTAGGGTTTTTATGGTTTTAGGTCTTACGTTTAAGTCTTTAATCCATCTTGAGGTAATTTTTGTTTAAGGTGTAAGGAAAGGTTCCAGTTTCAGTTTTCTGCATATGGCTAGCCAGTTTTCCCAGCACCATTTATTAAATAGGGAATCTTTTCCCCTTTGCTTGTTTTTGTCAGGTTGGTCAAAGATCAGATGGTTGTAGATGTGTGGTGTTATTTCTGAGACCTCTGTTCTGTAACATTTGTCTATATATATGTTTTGGTACCAGTACCATGCTGTTTTGGTTACTGTAGCCTTGTAGTATAGTTTGAGGTCAAGTAGTATGATACCTCCAGCTTTGTTCTTTTGGCTTAGGATTGTCTTGGCTATACGAGCTCTTTTTTGGATCCATATGAAATTTAAAGTAGTTTTTGTAATTCTGTGAACAAAGTCAATTGTGACTTGATGGGAATAACATTGAATCTATAAATTACTTTGGACTGTGTGGCCATTTTCACGATATTGATTCTTCCTATCCATGAGCATGGAATGTTTTTCCTTTTGTTTGTGTCCGAGGTCTATTTCCTTGAGCAGTAGTTTGTAGTTCTCCTTGAAGAAGTCCTTCATGTCCCTTCTAGGTTGTATTCCTAGGTATTTTATTCTCTTTGTAGCAATTCTGAATGGGAATTCACTTATGGTTTGGCTCTCTGTTTGTCTATTATTGGTGTTTAGAAATGCTTGTGATTTTTGCACTTTGATTTTGTATCCTGAGATTTTGCTGAAGTTGCTTATCAGCTTAAGGTGTTGTTGGACTGAGACCAAGGGGTTTTCTAAATATACAATCATGTCATCTTCAAACAGACACAATCTGACTTTTTTTCTTTGTATTTGAATACCTTTTATTTCTTTCTCTTGCCTGATTGCCCTGGTCAGAACTTCCAATAATATGTTGAATAGGAGTGGTAAGAGAGGGCATCCTTGTCTTGTGCCAGTTTTCAAAGGGAATGCTTCCAGCTTTTGCCCATTCAGTATGATATTGGCTGTGGGTTTGTCATAAATAGCTCTTATTATTTTGAGATACGTTCCATCAGTGCCTAGTTTATTGAGTGTTTTTAGCATGAAGGCCTGTTGAATTTTATTGAAGGCTGTTTGTGCATCTGTTGAGATAATCATGAGGTTTTGTCATTTGTTCTGTTTATGTGATGGATTATGTTTACTGATTTGCATATATTGAACCAGCCTTGCATCCTGGGGATGAAGCCAACTTGATCGTGGTGGATAAGCTTTTTGATGTGCTCCTGGATTCAGTTTGTCAGTATTTTAGTGAGGATTTTCACATCAATGTTCATCAAGGATATTGGCCTGAAATTTTCTTTTTTTGTTTCTCTGCCAGGTTTTGGTATCAGGATGATGTTGGCCTCATACAGTGAGTTAGGGAGGAATCCCTCTTTTTCTATTGTTTTGAGAAGTTTCAGAAGGAATGGCACCAGCTCTTCTTTGTACCTCTGGTAGAAATTGGCTGTGAATCCCTCTGGAGCTTGGCTTTTTTTGGTTGATAAGCTATTAATTACTGCCTCAATTTCAGAACTTGTTATTGTTCTACTCAGGGATTCAACTTCTTCCTGGTTTAGTCTTGGTAGGATGTATGTGTCCAGGAATTTATCCATTTATGCTAGATTTTCTAGTTTATTTGCATAGAGGTGTTTATAGTATTCTCTGATGGTAGATTGTATGTGTGTAGGATCTTTGGTGATATCCCTTTTATCATTTTTATTATGTCTATTTGATTCTTCTTTCTTTTCTTCTTTATTAGTCTGGCTAGCAGTCTATTTTGTTAATCTTTTCAAAAAACCAGCTTCTGGATTTATCGAGTTTTTGAAAGGTTTTTCATGTCTCTATCTCCTTCAGTTCTGCTCTGATCTTAGTTATTTCTTGTCTTCTGCTAGCTTTTGAATTTGTTGCTCTTGCTTCTCTAGTTCTTTTAATTGTGATGTTAGGGTGTTGATTTTAGATCTTTCCCAGTTTCTGATGTGGGTATTTAATGCTATAAGTTTCCCTCTAAACACTTCTTTAGCTGTGTCCCAGAGATTCTGGTATGTTGTGTCTTTGTTCTCATTGTTTTCAAAGTACTTTCTTATTTCTGCCTTAATTTCATTATTTACCCAGTAGTCATTCAGAAGCAGGTTGTTCAGTTTCCATGTAGTTGTGTGGTCTTGCGTGAGTTTCTTAATCTTGAGTTCTAAATTGATTGCACTATGGTCTGAGAGACTTTGTCTTATGTTTTCCATTCTTTTGCATTGCTGAGGAGTGTTTTACTTCCAATCATGTGGTCAGTTTTTGAATAAGTGCTATGAGGAGAATGTATATTCTGTTGAACTGGGGTGGAGAGTCTGTAGATGTCTATTAGGTCCACTTGGTCCAGACCTCAGTTCAAGTCCGAAATCTCCTTGTTAATTTTGTGTCTCGCTGATCTGTCTAATATTGACAGTGCAATGTTAAAGTCTCCCACTATTATTGTTTGGGAGTCTAAGTCTCTTTTTCGTTCTCTTAGAACTTGCTTTATGAATCTCGGTCCTCCTTTATTGGGTGCATATATATTTAGGATAGTTAGCTCTTCTTCTTGTATTGATCCCTTTACCATTACGTGTTGCCTTTCTTTGTCTTTTTTCATCTTTGTTGGTTTAAAGTCTGTTTTACATAGACTAGGATTGCAACTCCTGCTTTTTTTTTCTTTCCGTCTGCTTGGTAAATATTTCTCCATCCCTTTATTTTCAGCCTATGTGTGTCTTTGCACATGAGATGGGTCTCCTGAATACTGCACACTGATGGGTTTTGACTCTTTATCCAGTTTGCCAGTCTGTATCTTTTAATTGGAGCATTTAGCCCATTTACTTTTAAGGTCAATATTGTTTTGTTTGAATTGGATCCTGTCATTATGATGGTAGCTAGTTATTTTACCCATTAATTGATGCAGTTTCTTCATAGTGTTGATAGTCTTTACAATTTGGTATATTTTTGCAGTGACTGGTACCAGTTTTTCCTTTCCATAGTTAGTGCTTCCTTCAGGAGCTCTTGTAAGGCAGGCCTGGTTGTGACAAAATCTCTCAGCATTTGCTTGTCTGGAAATGATTTTATTTCTCTATTGCTTATGAAGCTTTGTTTGGCTGAATATGAAATTCTGGGTTGAAAATTCTTTTCTTCTAGAGTGTTGAATATTGTCTCCCATTCTCTTCTGGCTTGTAGGGTTTCTGCAGAGAGAGCCACTGTTAGTCTGATGGGCTTCCCTTTGTAGGTAACCTGATTTATCTCTCTCTCTGCCCTTAACAATTTTTCCTTTGTTTCAACCTTGGTGAATCTGACGATTATGTGTCTTGTGGTTTCTCTTCTCGAGGAGTGTCTTAGTGGTGTTCTCTGTATTTCCTGAACTGAATGTTCGCCTGTCTTGCCAGGTAGGGGCAGTTCTCCTGGATAATATCTTGAAGTGTATTTTTCAACTTGGTTATATTCTCTTTGTCAGTTTTAGGTACACCAATCAATCATAGATTTGGTCTTTTTACATAGTTCCATATTTCCTGGAGGCTTTGTTTGTTTTTTTTTTATTCTTTTTTCTCTAATCTTGTCTTCACTCTTTATTTCATTAAGTTCATCTTCAATCTCTGATATCCCTTCTTCTGCTTGATCAATTTGGCTATTGATACTTGTGCATGCTTCACAAAGTCCTCGTTCTGTGTTTTTTCAGCTCCATCAGGTCATTTATGTTCTCTAAACTGGTTATTCTAGTTAGCAGCTCCTGTAACCTTTTTTCAAGGTTTTTAGCTTCCTTGCATTGAGTTGAAACATGCTCCTCGCCTTGGAGGAGTTTGTTATTACCCATCTTCTCAATCCTACTTCTGTCAGTTCGTCAAACTAATTCTCCATCCAGTTTTGTTCTCTTGCTGGCAAGGAGTTGTGACCCTTTGGAGGAGAAGAGGCATTCTGGTTTTTGGAATTTTTAGCATTTTTGCACTGGTTTTTCCTTATCTTCATGGATTTATCTACCTTTGATCTTTGATGCTGATGACCTTTGGATGGGTTTTTTGTGGGTGTTCTTTTTATTGATGTTGATGTTATTCCTTTCTATTTGTTAGTTTTCCTTCTAACAGCAGGCTCCTCTTCTGCAGGTCTGTTGAAGTTTGCTGGAGGTCCACTCCAGACCCTGTTTCCCTGGGTATCACCATCGAGGCTGTAGAACAGCAAAGATTGCTTCCTATTCTTTCCTCTGGAAGCTTCCTCCCAGAGGTGCACCCACCAGGTACTAACCTGAGCTCTTCTGTATGAGGCGTCTGTCGACCCCTGCTGGGAGGTATCTCCTAGTCAGGAGGCATGGGGGTCAGTGATCCACTTGAGGTGGCAGTCTGTCCCTTAGCACAGCTCGAGTGCTGTGCTGGGAGATCCACTGCTCTCTTTAGAGCTGGCAGGCAGGAACATTTAAGTCTGCTGAAGCTGCACCCACTTGCTCCTTCCCTCATGTGCTCTGTCCCAGGGTGATGGGAGTTTTATCTATAAGCCCCTGACTGGGGCTGCTGCCTTTCTTTCAGAGATGACTTGCCCCGTGTGTAGGAATCTAGAGAGGCAGTCTGGCTACAGCGGCTTTGCTGCCCTGCGGTGGGCTCTACGCAGTCTGAACTTCCTGGTGGCTCTGTTTACACTGTGAGGGGAAAACCACCTACTCCATCCTCAGTGATGGCAGATGCCCCTCGCCCAACCAAGCTCGATTGTTCCAGGTCGACTTCAGACTGCTATGCTGGCAGCGAGAATTTCAAGCCAGTGGATCATAGCTTGCTTTGCTCTGTGGGGGTGCAACCTGCTCAGCAAGACCACTTGACTCCCTGGCTTCAGCCCCCTTTCCAGAGGAGTGAATTGTTCTGTCTCGCTGGGGTTCCAGGGGCCACTCTGTTAAAAAAAAAAAAACTCGTGCAGCTAACTCAGTGTCTGCCCAAACAGCTGCCCCATTTTGTGCTTGAAACCCAGGTTTCTGGTGGTGTAGGCACCCAAAGGAATCTCCTGGTCTGCAGGTTGCAAAAACCGTGGGAAAAGTGTAGTATCTGGGCTGGATAGCCCCATTCCTCACAGCACAGTCTCGCACAGCTTCCGTTTCCTAGGGGAGGGAGTTCACCGGCACCTTGAGCTTCCTGGGTGATGTGAGTCCCTACTCTACTTCCGCTTGCCCTCTGTGGGCTGCACCCACTGTCTAACCAGTCCCAGTGAGATGAACCGTGTACCTCAGTTGGAAATGAAGAAATCACCCTCCTTCTGTGTTGGTCTCGCTGGGAGCTGCAGACTGCAGCTGTTCCTATTCAGCCATCTTGCCAGATCCCATTTCTGATTTTATTTATTTGTATTTTCACTCTTTCTCTTAGTCTGGCTAAAGGTTTTTAAATTTTGTTTAATTTTTCAAAAAACCAACTTTTTGTTTCATTGATCTTTTTTTTTTATTTCAATTGCATTCATTTCTGCTCTGATCTTCATTATTTCTTTTCTTCTACTAATTTGCATTTGGTTTGCGCTTGCTTTTGTAGTTCTTTATGATGCATCATTGGAATGTTCATTTGAAGTTTATTCTCTTTTTTGATGTAGGCATTGGAACTATGAACTTCCCTCTTGGTATTGCTTTTGCTGTATCCCTTGAGTTTTGGTATGTTATATTCTATTATCATTTGTTTCAAGACATTTTTCAATTTTTTTTCTTAATTTCTTCATTGACCACTGGTCATTCAGTGGCCTTGTTTAATTTCCATCTATTTGTGTAATTTCCAAAATTTCTCTTGTTATTGATTTCTAGTTTTCCATTGTGGTCAGAGAAGATACTTGATGTTACTTTTTTTTTTTTTTTTTTTTAGTGTTTTAAAACTTGTTTTGTGAACAGATCAGTGTGTCTTGCTTTTTTCTTTTTTATTCATTCAGCTAGGTTATTTTCATTGGAGAGTTTTGTCCCTTTACATTCAATGTTATTACTGATAAGTAAGAACTCCTGCCATTTTGTTGTTTTCTGGTCTTCTCTTGCTTCTTTGCTTCCTGTCTTCGTTTAGTGAAGGTTCTTTTCTCTGGTGATATGATTTACTTTGTTGCTTTTTATTTTTTGTGTATCCTTTGTGTGATTTTTGGTTTGAGGTTACAATGAGGCTTGGAAATATTGTCTTATAATTCATTATTTTAACCTTATAACTTAACACTCTGCATAAAAAAACAAACAAGCAAAAAGGAAACTAACAAAAACTCTATGCCTTAACTTTGTCCCTCTGCTTTTTAACTTTATGCTGCTTCTATTGATATCTTATTGTACTGTCCGTGTCTTAAAAGTTGTTGGAGTTATTATTTTCGATTTGTTCATCGTTCATTCTTTCTACTTAATATAAGAGTAGTTTACATATCACTGTGACAGTGTTATAATATTCTGTGTTTTTCTGTGTACTTAATATTACCAGCAAATTTTGTACCTTCAGTTGATTATGTATTGCTAATTAGCATCTTTTTCTTTCTGGTTGAAGTGTGCCGTTTAACATTTCTTGGAGAATGTCTTGTATTGATGAAACCTCTCATCTTTTGTTTTTCTGGGAAAGTCTTTTTTTCTCCTTTATGCTTGAAGGATATTTTGGTCAGATATACTATTCTAGGTTAAAAGTTTTTTTTTTTTTCCTTAAGCATTTTAAATATATCATGCCACTGTCTCCTGGCCCATAAGGTTTCTCCTGAGAAGTCTGCTGTCAGATGTATTGGAGCTCCATAGTATATTGTTTGTTTCTTTTCTCTTGTGATTTTAGGGATTTTTCTTTATCTTTGATCTTTGGGAGTTTGATTATTAAATGCCTTGAGGTAGTCTTCTTTGGGTTCAATCTGCTTGGTGTTGTATAAACTTGTATTTGGATAACAATATCTTTTTTTTAGGTTTGGGAAGTTCTCTGTTATTATCGCTATGAATCAACTTTCTTCTGCTGTCTTTTTTTCTACCTCCTCTTTAAGGCCAATAACTGTTAGATTTACCCCTTTGAGGATATTTTCTAGATCTCGTAGGCGTGCTTCATCATTTTTTATTCTTATTTCTTTTGTATCCTCTCAATGTATATTTTAAAATAACCTGTGTCCAAGCTTACTCATTCTTTCTTCTAATCACTAATCCTTCGGTTCTGCTACTGAAGGACTTTGATACATTCTTCAGTATGCCAATTGCATTTTACAGCTCCAGAATTTCCATTTGATTATCCTTAATTATTTCAATCTCTATTAAATGTATCTGATAGAATTCTGAATTCCTTCTCTGTGTTATCTTTATTTTCTTTGAGTTTCCTCAAGGCCCTGGGGCTCTGAAGTCAACAGGTGGCAAAGCAAGCCAGGCCTGTGTCCTCCTACTTTATTGAGAGTTTTTAACATGAAGCAATGTTGAATTTTATTGAAAGCCTTTTCTTCATCTATTCAGATAATCATGTGATGCTTGTCCTTAGTTCTTTTTATGTGATGAATTGCACTAATTGATTTGCATGTGTTGAACCAACCCTGCATCCCAGGGATGAAGCCTACTTGATCATGATGGATTCGCTTTTTGATATGCTGCTGGATTCAGTTTGCCTGTATTTTGTTGAAGATTTTTGCATCTATGTTCATCAAGGATATTGGCCTGAAGTTTTATTTTTTGTGTTTCTGCCAGGCTTTGGCATCAAGATGATGCTGGCCTCATATAAATAGTTGGGGATGAGTCTTATGTTCTTAATTTTTGGAACAGCTTTTGTGGGAGTGGTACAGATTTTTTTTTTTTTTTGTACATCTCATAGAACTCGGCTGTGAATCAGGGCTTTTTGTTTGTTTGTAGGCTATTTATTACTAATTAAATTTCAGAGCTCGTTATTGGTCTTTCAGAGATTCAATGTCTTTTTTATTTTCAGTCTTGTGAGGTTGTATGTGTTCAGTAATTTATCGATTTCTTCTAGAGTGTCTAGTTTATGTGCATAGAGTTGTTCATAGTAGCTCCTGATGGTTATTTTTATTTCTGTGAGGTCAGTGGTAATGTTCCCTTTGTCATTTCTGATTGTATTTATTTGGATCTTCTTTCTTTTTTTCTTTCTTAATGTAGCTACTGGTCGGTCTAGTTTTTTCAACTTTTGGGATCATTAGTGTTTTGTATGTTTTTTGTTTTTTTGTATCTCAATCTCCTTTATTTCACTTCTGATTTTGGTTATTTCTTGTCTTCTGCTAGCTTTGAGACTGGTTTTCTCTTGCTTCTGTAGTTCTTGTAATTGTGATGTTAGGTTGTTAATTTGAGATCTTTTTAACTTTTTGATGTGGTGTTTAGTGCTATAAATTTCCCTCTTAACAATGCCTTAGCTGTGTCCCAGAGATTCTGGTTTGTTGTGTCTTTGTTCTCATCAGTTTCAAAGAACTTCTTGATGTCTGCTTTAATTTGATTATTTACCCAAGAGTGGTTCAGGAGCCACTTGTCTAAGTTCTATATAATTGTATGATTTTGAGCAATTTCCTTAGCCTTGACTTCTATTTGTATTGCATTGTGGTCCAAGAGTGTGGTTGGTATGATTTCTGTTTTTTTTTTTTTTTTTTTTTTTAGTTTGCTGAGGGTTGTCTTATGTCCAATTGCATGGTCGATTTTAGAGTATGCATCATGTGGCAATGAAAATAATGTATACTCTGTTGTCTTTTGGTAGAGAGTTCTGTAAATGTGTTTTAGGTCCATTTGGTCAAGTGTTGAGTTCAGGTCCTGAATTTTTTTGTTATTTTTTTTAACCTCAATGATTTTTTTTCATATTGGCAGTGGGGTGTTGAAGTGTCGCACTATTATTGTGTGTGAAACAAAGTCTCTTCATAGGTCTCAAGGAACTTATTTTATGAATGCGATTGCACCTGTGTTAGGTGTGTATAGATTTAGGATAGTTAGATCTTCTTGTTAAGTTGTACCCTTTACCATTATATAATGCCTTTCTTTGTTCTTTTTGATCTTTGTTGGTTTGAAATCTGTTTTCTCTGAAATTAGAATTGCAACCTCTGCTTTTTTTCAGTTTTTTTTTTTTTTTTTCTTAGTAGATTTTTCTCCATCCTTCATTTTGAGCCTATTGGTGTCATTGTATGGAAGATGGGTCTCTTGAAAACACCATACCATTGGGCCTTGCTTCTTTATCCAGCCTGCCTGTGCCTTTTAGTTGGGGAATTTAGCCCATTTCCATTCAAGGTTGATATTGGTATGTGTGGATTTTCTCCTGTCATTATGTTAGCTAGTTATTTTACAGACTTGCTTTTGTGGTTGCTTTTTATTGTCACTGGTCTATGTACTTAAATGTGTTCTTGAAGTGGCTTGTAATGATCTTTCTTTTTGATATATAGTGTTTCCTTCAGGAGCTCTTGGAAGGCAGTTCTGGTGGTAACGAATTCCCTAAGCATTTGCTTTTCTGGAAAGGATCTTATTTCTTGTTTGCATATGAAGCTTAGTTTTTCTGGATATGAAAATTTTGATTGGCATTTCTTTTCTTTAAGAATGTGGAATATTGGCTCCCAATTTCTTCTGGCTTGTAGGATTCCTACTGAGGCGTCCACTGTTAGTCTGATGGGCTTCTATTTGTATGTGACCTGACCTTTCTCTCTAGCTGCCTTTAGCATTTTTTCTTTCATTTTGACCTTGGAGAATCTCATGGTTATGTGTCTTGATGATGATCTTCTTGTGAATTATCTTGTGTGAGTTCTCTGCATTTCCTGAATTTGAATATTGACCTCCCTAGCTAAGTTGGGAAAGTTCTCATGGATGATATCTTGAAATATAATTTCTAAGTTTCTTCCATTCTCCTCATCTCAGGGATACCAGTGGGTTATGGATTTGGTCTCTTTACGTAATCTCATATTTCTCAGAGGTTTTGTTCATTCCTTTTCATTCTTTTTTCTGTATTCTTTTCTGACTGTCTTATTTCAGAAAGGCAGTCTTCAAGCTCTCAGATTCTTTCTTCCTCTTGGTCCATTCTGCTATTAATACTTGTGATTGCATTATGAAATTCTTGTAGCATGTGTTTTCAGCTCTATCAGGTTAGTTATATTCTTTTCTTTACTGGCTATTTTGCCTATCAGTTTCTGTAACATTACAGTCCACATTTCTAATGTTGTTTCTGTAATTTCAACCATCTCAGCCTGGTTCAGAACCCTTGCTAGAAGGCTAGTGTGATAATTTGTAGCAAAGAAAGCACTCTGGCTTTTTGAGCTGTCAGGTTTCTTGTGCTGGTTCTTTCTCATCTTTATGGGCTGATGTTCATTTAGTCTTTGAGGTTGCTGTCCTATGGATGAGTTTTTTTTTCTTTTATCCCATTTGATGACCTTGATAGTTTGTGGTATTTGGTGGGTACAGTCAACTTGCTTTGTTTCTGAAGATATTGGGGGGCAGGGCTCACTCTGATGGGTGGTGGCAGCCAGAGAATTTCATAGGGCTGTGGCAGTGAGATCTGTTCTTGTTCACATGTCCTAGCAGCAGTGGCAGCAGCAACATGGTGGGGTGCATGCTTGTTGGCTACCATAGGGCATTAACAGGTGCCAGGGTGCAGGCCTCCATATGGATGTTTGCAGAAGCAGAGGAGGTAGCATGCCTTGGGCACTGGGGAGACCCCTACTTGTTACTGTGCACCTGGTCATGCCAGTGTTGGTGTCAGCACACAGGTGGGGTGTTGGCAGAAGCAGTACTGTGTGTGCCCCCTTTGCACATTCACACAGGTGGAGGTGGCCTCTCAGGGTGGCAGAGTGTCCTCTGTTTTCTGAGCCTAGTTTCACTCCAGTGGCCATGTTAGCCCAGAGGCAAGATGCTGATATGAGTGGTGCTGACAGGCTCTGTGCCTGCAAAGATTCTGACTGCAATGGTATGGTTGGGGGATGGGAGGAAGAATGCAATCACACTGGCAGCAGTGGCAGTGCAAGGTGTACATACACACACACACACGCATGCATGCACACACATACGCTGGTGGGACAGAGAAGGCAAAGTCTGTCCATGCACATGCATAGTGGCAAAGCAATGTTGGGGTGGCCATGCTCTCGTAGGAAGCTGCAGTGGAGTGTGGGAGGGGACAGGTTGTTATGTGTCTGTGGGGGCCACTCTGCTGGAACTCTTTTCTGGCCAGGCATGGTTCACCAGTGCAAGAGCTACAATGTAGGCCCCCAGGGCACCTGAAGCCACACTGCAAGCAAGTGCAGCCAGGCTGGGGCCCTGGGAGAGGCCGGCAGACCAAGGGGTGTTCAGATTGGACTGGTTTTGTGTAATGGGCAAGAAAATTCTGTAGAGTTCAGGTATGACAGTTCCCCTAGAGCTAAAGTTTCCTATGGAAGCAAGTTGAGCCTAGGAAGATGGCCATCCATGGCTGCACTTCGCTATATTCCCACATCAAACCCTCTGGGCTCTACGCCAACTGGAGTGCTCCCTCCTACCACTTCTCTAATGGCTTCCCCTGCCAACTCAAGTGTCCGTGGTGGGAGAGGGGTCTCATCCTACCAGAATTCCAGAAGCCCATTGTAGAGCATGTTGCTTCTTGCCAGTTCAACTCACCCATTCTCCCAGAGTTGTTGGAGGCCAAGAACAAGTCCTGGTGCACTGTAGCCCTGTGCAGGGTTCCCAGCTGCCTCCTCCTTCAGCCAAGCTTCTGGTCTTTCCTCCATCCACTCTTAGTGCCGTACCTCTGAAGATCTGCTAGGAGTGCGCCAGTTGTCCCAGTCCCTCAGTGGCAGCTGGTTCACCTGGATGCATCTAGTCAGCCATCTTGCCCAGCTTCTCCAGTATTCTAATATTTTGTTTTGTCTATATGTTTACTTTTAGCAGTGGAGGTTTTATTTTCATTTATCTTTGGGCTGTTTTCTATTATCTTTTCATATCAACTTCAAAGGACTCACTTTAGCATTTTTTCATAAGGTGCATCTAGTTGTGATGAACTCTCTCTGCTTTTGTTTATATGAGAAATCATTTCTCTTTCTATTTAGAAAGACAGTTTTTCTGGATATAATGTTATTAGTTAACAGGTTTTTTTTTTATTACTTCAAATCTATGATATCATTCCTTTCCGACCTGCAAGGTTTCTGCTGATAAATCTACTGATAGTTTTATGGGACCCTCTTGTATGTCATGAGCCACTTCTTCTTTAAAAATTTTCTCTTTGTTTTTGACATTTGACAATTTAGTCATAATGTAGTCAGTTTGAAGCCCTTTGGTTTCCTATTAGTTGGGTTCTGTTGGGCTTCTTGAGTCTAGATGTTCATATTCTTTCCCAGATTTGGGATATTTAGGCTATTATTTCTTTAAATAAATGTTTGTCCCTTTATGTCTCTTCTTTTTCTTTTAATATCATAATGTGTATATTGATTCACTTGATTGTGTCCCATAAGTCCTTTTAGACTTTCTGCACTTCTTTTTTATTGTTTTTGTTTCTCTGACTAATAATTTCAAATTACCTGTATTCGAGTTTGTGGCTTCTTTCTTCTGGTTGATCAAGTGTGATATTGAAACTGTCTAGTGAATTTTTCAGTTCACTTATTGTATTCTTTAGCTCAAAATTTTCTGTTTGGGTGTTTTTATGTTTTCAGTTGATTTGTTATTTTCATTTTATTTATGTATCCTATTGTTCTGAGCTTGTTGAGCATCCTTATGATGGATATTTGAATTTTTTGTCAGATAATTCATATATCTCCTTTAGGGTCAGTTCCTGGAGACTTATTTTGTTGTTTTGGCTTTGTGCCATGTTTCCTTGTTTCTTTGCTTGCTTTGTACCTTTATGTTGGATCCATGCATTTAAGAAAATGACCACCTCACCAAATCTTTATAGATTGGCTTTGTGCAAGGAAAGACCTTCACAAATCAGCCTAATTAGAGATTTTGAGGTCCTCTGAGACATTTTATGTGTATATTTCTTCTCTGGACTTGTATATGCAAATTTTCAATTAAAGAGATTTATTAGTTCACATCTCTCTTTAGTTCTTAGTTTCCCCCAAGCTTCTAGAGTGTACTGAACCATATCAGTGCTTTTAATCTAGTAAAATAATTGAAGTCTGTTTTAAAGTAAAAGAAGTTTCTTGGTCAGACCCCAAAAAGCTATAATGTTGAACATACACTTTACTCTTCTGTCTCCCCTCCCTGAGGGAGAAGCCTTTGAGCTGTGTTAACATCTGTCTTCTCTACTGCATATCCTGTGGAATAGCAGCAAATCACTTACATCTCTTTTGTTTTCAGCATCCCCCAGACATCTAGACTATGCCAGTCCTGTCTGCCTTCTGAGAGAGATGAGAAAGAAACCCATTTCTCAAGCAGTCCCCCCAAAAAGACAGAATGTGGGACACATGCCACAACTTTTTCCCTTCCTAGAGAGAAGCTGAGAATTGGGAGTTTTCACCCTCTCGTTCTATGCCGAGCTGGGAGGAGGGAGTATGGTGAGTGAGTGCTTTTTGCCTAAACTTTTGCCCTTGTTCTCAGTAGCCTTCAACCTAGCACACTTTTTCACGAGTCTCCAGATACAGGGAAGACAGAAATTACTTCCTCAGCCTTCCCCCTAAAAAGTCTTCATGTTGGACGTATGTTTCAGCCTTCTTCTTTTTCTCTCTAGGAAGAAGCCAAGAATTGGGAGTTTTCTGCTGATGATGCTATGCTAAGCTGGGCAGAGAGACCATGGCGAGTGAGTACCATGAATTTTCCTACCAGCTTCAGTGTGGCTGATTTTAGCTTGCCTGTGATGCAGGAGCCTTTTAACTAGTTTCTGGATTTCTCTTGAAGGGAATCGATCTGTGTATTTTTGCTTGTTGACTTGGTGTCTCCTTTGGAGGAAGGAAGTTTTCTGACTTTATCTATTCTGCCATCTTCCTGACATCACCAGTCTCTATTTTATTATTTGTTTTCTTTTTGTTTCTTCTTCTCTTCTTTCTTTTTTTTTTTTCTTCAAGGTCTTGCTCTATCACCTAGGCTGTTGGAGTGCAGTGGTGTGATCAGAGCTAACTGTAGCCTTGAACTCCTGGGCTCAAGTGACCCTGTAGCTAAGACTACAGGCATGTGCCACCATGCCTAGCTGATTTTTGTTTCACTTTTGTAGAGATCAGGTCTCACTATGTTGCCCAGGCTAGTCTCAAACTCCTGGCCTCAAGCAATTCTTCCACCTCAATCTTCCAAAGCACTGGGATTACAGGAATGAGCCACCATGCCTGGCTTGTTACCCCTGTTTCTTGTTATTATTTAAATACTATTTCAGCCCCACATTCTTTCTCATCTCCTACTGGGATTCTGATGATAACACAGTTGTCCTGTCTTTTGTTATTGTTCCACAGATCCCTGAGGCTTTCTTCTTTTTGTTTCTTTTTCATGCTATTTTCTCTTTGTTTGGATTGAATAAGTTTTGTTGATATATCTTTAACTTCACTGATTCTGTTCCTCACCTCTAATCTAGTATTGAGTCCATCTGGTGAGTTTTAAATTTTATTTTGGCTGTTGTATTTTTTTAATTTTATAATTTACATTTGGTTCTTTTTTAAAAATAAATAATTCCTATATCTTTGTTGAGATACTCTGTCTGCATTTGTTTAAAGATATTTTTAATTACTTGTTGAAGTACTTTTATGAAAGTTAACTTTCTTATCAGTTTTAACTTTCTTATCAGGTGACTCCAACTTCAGAATAATCTTGGTATTAGTATCAGTTAATGATCTTTTCTCAGTCAAATTGTAGTTTTCCTAGTTCTTTGCATAAGGAATGATTTTCCATTTTATCGTGAATATTTTGGTTACTATTTTAGGAATCTCTTGATTCTTGAATCTATTTTAGCAAGTAATGATCCTGTTTAGGTTTAGAATATAGGTTCTGGCCTATTTTTTGTGGGTCTTAGGTCTAATCACAGTTTAGTTTTCAGAGCCATTCTGATGTGTTTTGTCTTTCTGATGGTGCTGCAGCACCCATTTATTCCCTACTAGTGCCATCTGCCATGGCACAAAGCACTCTGCTGGGCTACCGGGTGTCATTGAGCCACCTTATCCTGCAGGGGATGAGACAAAAGCTACTGGCACTGAGTCTTGTGTCAATTAATAGAAGACTAAGAGATGGTGGTGCCCTGGGTTTGGAATGGAAATTGGGTGGACCAGCCCTTCTCTGCTTCCACTGCAGGTAGACCAGCCTGCAAGCACTACAGGTGTTGAGCCAGGGTTGGGTTGGACTGCTGGAGCTTCACTGCTACTCCTGTGAGCTGTCAGTGTCCTAGTTGTGGATCAGGAGTTAAGATGGCCCATCAGGGTTCTGAAGCTACTTATGTGGGCAGATCAGCTCACCTGTTGATGACCTCATTGTGGGTGGAAGCTGGATTTTCCAGGAGCTTTGCAGCTGCCTCTCTGTGCAAATCAGGTTATTCTCGGGTACCTTGGCTGTAGAACAGGAGTTGGGGCTCTCCACTAGGTCTCTGTTGGGCTTTTTACTAGAACATAGGCCAGAGAAGGCAAGGTTAAATTTGTTTTTGTTTTTGTTGTTGTTGTTTATGCCTGTTGGCAGTTCTGGATTGCAGGTCTCCCCAGTGCCTAGTCTGGGATATTTAGGAGGTAAAAAGAAAACTCAGGGAACTCATAGCATTCTTGTTCCTCACATCTTTAGGTTGCTAACTCATATAGTTTCTTACCATATTTCAGAGTCCTTTTATTTTTTCTGTTCAGTAATTTCCAGAGTGTTTAGTTGAATTTAGAGGAAGGTAGCATGGAAAAGTAAGTTCACAACATCTTGTTCCAGAGATTCTGGATATATATTAATGGTGAAACTAACAAGATTTGGTGATGGATTGCATTTTGAATGTGAGAGAAAGAGATTCAAGGGTTGTTCCAAGGATTTTATCCTAAGCAATAAAGTTAGTGGTGGCAGCATCTACCAAGAAGGGAGACAATGGAGGAAGACCAGGTTTGATGGGACTAGGGCTGGGAATTAATGTTAAGTTTGAGATATGTGAGTGATAATGTCTATTACACAGTTGGATTTACAAATATGTATTTCAAGGATGGAGATATAAATTTAGAAGTAATCAGATTATAAATTGTAAATACAGCTGTGAGACTCAGTACAATGACTTTAGTGAATAAGTATAGATAGAGAATGAGTCCAAGGACCAGCTCTGGCACATTCCAACGTTTCAAGTTCAGGAAGTAAAAGAATCGAGTGAAGGAGATGAGAATGAGTAGCTAGTAAGGTAGGAGGAACATAAGAAGAAATAATTGTCATGAAATCCAAGTGAAGTAAGTATTTCCAGAATGAGGGCATAATCAATTGTCACAAATGTTGCTGAGCGATCAAGCTAAATGTGATTTGAGGATTGACTATAGGATTTGACAATATGGAGATTATCATTGACCTTAGTGAGAGAGATCTCAGTGGAGGCTTGAAATCAAAGATTGATTGAAGTGTGACAAGAGAGTGACAATACATGGTATGGAGACAAGGAGAATAGACAACTCTTTGGAGGAATTTTCTTTTAATTTTTAATTTTTGTGGGTACATAGTAGGTGTATATAGTAATGGGGTACATGAGATATTTTGATATAGGCATGTAACACATATAGTCACATCATGGAAAATAGGTCATCCATACCCTCAAGCATTTATCCTTTCTGTTAAAACAATCCAATTATACTTTTTTAGTTAATTAAAAATGTACAATTAAATTATTATTCATTATAGTCACCATTTTTTGCTATCAAATATTAGAGCTCATTCATTCTTTCTAATTTTTGTACCCATTAATCATCCCCAATTTCCCCAAAAACCCCTACTACCCTTCTCAGCCTCTGGTAACCATCCTTCTACTCTCTATCTCTACAAGTTCGATTGTTTTGATTTTTAGATACCACAAATAAGTGAAAACATGTGATGTTTCTCTTTCTGTGCCTGGCTTATTTCACTTTACATAATGACTGTGTCATGTGGTTTGAATGCCAACTCAGTGGCAGTACAAGAGAACACTAGACAGACGTCTAAGGTTTTTTACTTCAGTCCCTGACACCAGGATGGCACCTCTGGACCCACCTGGGACCCGAGGGACCTCACTGCCCTGAAGGGAAGGATGCAGGCCTGGCCTGGCTTGCTTTGCCACCTTCTGATTAAAGAGCTGCAGGGCCTGGAGTGAACAGAGGCAGTAACCAAGGAGTGGTTACATCAGGCCTTGGGTGAGACCTAGTGCTCTACTGGATTCAGGTCTGACCCAGCACAGTCATAGTGGTGGTGGCCACAGGGGTGCTTGTGTCACTCTACCCCCACCTATAAGTGGCTTGGAGTGCAGGAAGAGACTCTGTGTGGGAGAAAGAAAGGGAAAAGAACAAGTATTTGCCTGGTAATCCAAATAATTTTTCTGGATCTTGTCCAAGACCATCAAGGCAGTACCTCTGTAAGTCTGCAAGAACCACTGTGTTACTGGGCTTGGGTTGCCCACAAAAACAGATACAGATTAGAACACAACACATAAGTACTTTCAAATACCTGGAAAGCCTTCCCAAGAAGGAAAAGAACAAACAAGCTCAGACAGTGAAGACTACATTAAATCCTTAACTCTTCAATACCCAGACACCAAAGAACATATACTAGCATCAACACTACCCAGGAAAACATGACCTCACCCAGTGAACTAAATAAACCACCAGGGGCTAATCCCAATAAACAGAGATATATGATCTTCCAGACAGAGAATTCAAAATAGCTGTGTTGAGGAAACTTAGAGAAATTGAAGATAACATGGAGTTGGAATTCAGATTTATCTCAGATATATTTAACAAAGCAATTAAAATAATTTTTAAAAATTAAGCAGAAATTCTGGAACTAAAAAATTCAGTTGACAAACTAAAGAATGCCTCAGAGTCTCGCAACAGCACAATTGACCAAGCAGAAGAAAGAGTAATGAGCTTGAAGACAGGCTATTTGAAAGTACACAGAGAAGACAAAAGAAAAAAAAAAAAACAATGAAGCACACCTATGGGATCTAGAAAATATCCTCAGAGGGGCAAATCTAGTAGCTATTGACCTTAACGAAGAGGTAGAGAAAGAAAGAGATAGGGGTAGAAAGTTTATTCAAAAAGATAATAACAGAGAAGTCTCAAACCTAGAAAAAGATATTAATATCCAAATACAAGAAGTTTATAGAACACCAAGAAGATTTAACTGAAAGAAGACTACCTCAAGGTATTTAATAATCAAACTCCCGAAGGTCAAGGATAAAGAAAAAATCCTAAAAGCAGCAAGAGAAAAGAAACAATTAACATACAATGGAATGTCAAAATATCTGGCAGCAGACATTTCAGTGGAAACCTTACAGGCCAGGAGAGAGGGCATGATATATTAAAAGTGCAGAAGAAAAAAAACTTTCACCCTAGAATAGTATATCTGGTGAAAATATCCTTCAAACCTGGAGAAACAAAGGCTTTGCCAGGCAAATAAAAGCTAAGGGATTTAATCAATAACAGACCTATCCTACAAGAAATGCTAAAGGGAGTAATTCAACTATAAAGAAAAAGATGTTAATAATCAAGTAATCACCTGAAGGTACAAAACTCACTGGTAATAGTAAGTACACAGAAAAACACAGAATATTATAACATGTCACTGTGGTATGTAAACTACTCATATCTTAAGTAGAAAGACTAAATGATGAATCAATCATAAATAATAACTAAAACAACTTTTTAAGGCATAGACAGTATAATAAGATATCAATAAAACAGTAAAAAGTTAAAAAGCAGGGGGACAAAGTTAAGTAATAGAGTTTCTATTAATTTTCTTTCTGCTTTTTTTTAATGCAAAGACCATTAAGTAGTTATCAGGTTAGAATAATGGATTATAAGATAGTTTTGCAATCCTAATGGTAAACCTCAAACTAAAAAACATATGGATACACAAAAAATAAAAATAAAATAAAATAAATTATATCACCAGAGAAAGTCACCTTCAGTAAAGAAAGACAGCAAGAAAAGGAAGAAGAAAGGGAAGATCACAGAACAACCGGAACGCAAATATCAAACTGACATGAGTAAGTTCTTATTTATCAATAATAACATCAAATGTAAATGGACTAAACTCCTGAATCAAAAGATGTAGAGAGGCTGATTGGATGAAAAAAGAAGATCCATTGATCGGTTGCTTACATGAAACACACATTACCTATAAAGACACACATAGTCTGAAAATGAAGGGATGGAAAAAGATATTCAATGCCAATGGAAACCAAAAAAGAGCAAGAATAGCTATACTTACATCAGACAAAATAGATTTCAAGATAAAAACTGTAAGAAGAAACACAGATCACTATAAAATGATAAAGGGGTCAATTCAACAAGATGATGTAACAATTTAAAGTATATATGCACCCAACACTGGAGCATCCAGGTATATAAAGCAAATATTATTAGTGGTAATGAGAGAGATAGACCTCAATACAATAATAGCTAGAGACTTCAACACCCCACTTCCAGCATTGGACAGATTTTCCTGACAGAAAACCAACAAAAATAATCAGACTTAATCTAAACTGTAGACCAAATGGATCTAATAGATATTTATAGAGCATGTCATCCAATAGCTGCAGAATACACATTCTTTTTCTCAGCACATAGATCATTCTCAAGGATAGACCATAAGTTAGGTCACAAAACAAGTCTCAAAAAATTGAAATAATATCAAACATCTTCTGTGACCACAATGGAATAAAACTAGTAATCGATAACAAGAGGAATTTTGGAAACTACACAAATAACATGGAAATTAAACAGTGTGCTCCTGAATGACCAGTGGTCAATGAAGAAATTAAGAAGGAAATTGAAAAATGTCTTAAAACAAATGAAAATGGAAACACAACATACCAAAACCTATGTGATACAGCAAAAGCAGTCCTAATGGGGAGTATATATCTATAAGTGTCTACATCAAAAAGGAGGAAACCTTTGAAATAAATAATCTAGTGATTCATCTTAAAGGACTAGAAAAGCAAGTACAAACCAAATGCAAAATTAGTAGAATAAAATTGATAATAAAGATCAGAGTAGAAATGAATAAAATTGAAATGAAGAAACAATACAAATGACCTAAGAAACAAAAAGTTACTTTTTTGAAAAGTTAAGCAAAATTTATAAACGTTTAGGCAAACTAAGAAAAAGGAGAGAAGATACTAATAAAATTAGAAGTGAAAAAGCATACATTACAACTGATACTGCAGAAATTCAGAGGATCATTAGTGGTTATGATGAGCAACTATGTGTCAGTAAAATGGAAAATTTAGGAGAAATGGACAGTTTCCTAGACACATACAACTTATCCACTTTGAACCAGAAAGAAATCCAAAACCTGAACAGATCAATAACAAGTAATGAGATCGAAGCTGTAATAACAAGTCTACCAATAAAGAAAAGCCTGGGAGCTGATGGCTTCACTGATGAATTCTACCCAACCTTTAAAGAACGAAAAGCAATCCTACTCAAACTATTCCAAAAATTAGAGGAAGTAGGGAGACTTCCACAATCATTCTATGAGGTCAGTATTACCCTACCAAAACCAGACAAAGACATATCAAAAAAATAAAACTAAAGGTCAATATTGTTGATGAATGTTGGTGCAAAAATCCTCAATAAACTCTAGCAAACTGACTTCAACAATATGTTAGAAAGATCATTCATCATGACCAAATCGGATTTATCTCTGGGATTCAAGAATAGTTCAAAATACACATGTCAATCAATGATGTACATCATATCAACAGAATGAAGGAGAAAAAAAAAACATATGGTCATTTCAGTTGATGCAGAAAAAGCATGTGATAAAATTCAACATCACTTCATGATAGGAACCTGCAAAAGAACAGGGGATAGAAGGAACTTACCTCAAGATAATAAAAGCCATATATGACAGACCCACAGCTGGTTTCATACTAAATGGGGAAAAACTGAAAGCTTTTCCTCTAGACTCGGGAATGCAACAAGGATGCCCACTGCCACCCCTGTTATTCAACACATTACTGGAATTCCTAGCTGGAGCAATGAGACAAGAGAAAGATATAAAGGGCATCTACATTGGAATGGGAGAAATCAAATTATCCTTGTTTGCAGATATGATCTTATACTTAGAAAAACCTTAAAATTACACAAGAAATCTACTAGAAATGATGGAAAATTCAGTAAAGTTGCAGGATAGAAAATCGACATAACAACATTCAGTAGCATTTCTATATGCCAGCAGTGAACAATCTGAAAAAGAAATTGAAAGAGTAATCCCATTTACAATAGCCACACATAAAATTAAACACCTCAAATTAACCAAAGAAGTGAAAGATTGCTATAATGAAAACTATAAAACACTGATGAAAGAAATTGAAGAGGACACCAAAATATGGAAAAAATGTTTCATGCTCATGGATTGGAAGAATCAATATTGTTAAAATGTCCATACTACTCCCAGTACTCTACAGATTCAATGCAATCCCTATCAAAATACCAATGACATTCTTTACATAAATAGAAAATACAATCCTAAATTTTATGTGGCATGACAAAAGACCCAGAATATGCAAAGCTATTCTAAGCAAAAAACAGAAAACTAGAGGAATCACATTATTGACTTCAAATTATATTATACTACAGAACCATAGTAACCAAAACACTGTGATACTAGAATAAAAACAGACACACAGACCGATGGAACAGAATAGAGAACCCAGAATTAAATCCACAATCTTACACTGAACTCATTTTCAACAAAGATGCTAAGAACATACACTGGGGAAAAGACAGTCTCTTCCATTAATGGTGCTGGGAAAACCGGATATCCATATGCAGAAGAATGAAACTAGACCCCTACTCTTGCCATATACAAAAATCAAATTGAAATGGATGAAAGACTTAAATCTAAGACCTCAAAATATGAAATTATTACAAGAAAACATTGGAGAAAATCTGCAGGACATTGGTCTGGGCAAAGATTTTTTGAGCAGTACTCCACAAGCACAGGCAGCCAAAGCGAAAACAAACAAATGATCACATCAAATTAAAAAGCTTCTGCACTGCAAAGGATACAACCAACAAAGTGAAGAGACAATCCACAGGATGGGAGAAAATATTTTCAATGTATGAATCTGACAAGGGATTAATAAGCAGAATATATAAGGAGCTCAAACAACTCTACAGAAAAAAATATAATAATCTGATCAAAAAATGGGCAAAATATTTTAATAGGCATTTCTTAAAAGAAGACATACAAATGGCAAAGAGGCATATGATAAGTTGCTCAACGTCATTGATCATCAGAGAAATACAAATAAAAACTACAATGAGATATCATCTCACCCCAGTTAAAATGGCTTATATTTAAATGACAGAGAATAACTAATGGTCGTGAGGGTGTGAAGAAAAGGCAACCCTTGTACACTGTTGGTGGGAACATAAGTTATTACAACCACTATGCAGAATAGTTTGGAGGCTCCTCACAAAACTGAAAATTGAGCTACTATGCGATCCAGCAGCCCCATTGCTGGGTATATACCCAAATAATGGAAGTCTGTATATTTAAGTGATAGTTGCACTCTCGTGTTTCTTGCAGCATTTTGCACAATAACTAAGAGTTGGAAGCAACCTAAGTGTCCATCAATAGATGAAGGGATAAAGAAAACATGGTACTTAGATACAACGGAGTATTATTCAGCCATAAAAAGAATGAGATCTTCTTATTTGCAACAAGGTAGATGGAACTATAGATCATTATGTTAAATGAAATAAGCCAGGCACAGAACGACAAACATCACATGTTCTCACTTGTTTGTGGGATCTAAAAATTGAATCAATTGAACTCATGGACATAGTTGAAGGATGGTTACCAGAAGCTGAGAGGGGTAGTGAGGAGATGGGAGTGGGAAGGTGGAGATGAGTGATGGATACAAAAAATAGTTAGAAAGAATGAATAAGACCTACTATTTGCTAGCACAACAGGATGATTGTAGTGAATAATAACTTAAGTGTACATTTAAAAATAACTAAAAGAGAGTAATTGGACTGTTTGTAACACAAAGAATAAATACTTGAGGAGATGGATGCCCTATTCTCTTTGATGTGATTACTTGACATTGCATGCCTGTTTCAAAACATCTCATTTATCCCATAAACATATATACCTACTATGTACTCACAAAAATTAAAAATAAAAAAAAATTCAAAAATGTGAAACCAAATCACCATGGTTTTGTGGTATTTTGTTTTTATTCTTAAGATTTAGAGGCTGGGTGTAATGGCTCACACCTATATTACCCCAGTTTGTGTGGCCGAGGCTGAAGGATTACTTGAGGCCAGGGGTTGAAGACCAGCCTGGGCAACATGGTAAGACCCCATCTCTACAAAAAATAAAAAATTAGCCAGGCCTGGTTTGAAGCACTGGTAATCCCAGCTACTCGGAAGTATAAGATGGGAGGATCTCTAGAGCCCAGGTGTTCAAAGTTACAGTGAGCTATGATTGTGCCATTTCACTTCAGTATGGGCTATACCCTGTCTCGAAAAAAGAAAAAAAAAAAAGATTTTGAAAGAATCACATATTTAGGGATACGTTGGACATGTAGTACAAAGAACTTTTTAAAACTACCATTTGAGAGTCAGTTGCTGACCTGATTCATTATCACCCTTGAATATTTTAATACATATTTCCCACAAACAAGGACATTCTCCTACATGATCACAGAGCATACAGCAAAGTAACAATGATATCAGATATTAGATATTAGATAACAATCTAATCCTCAGATCTTAATTCACATTCTACCAATTGTGCTAATAATGTCTTTTTTTTTTTTTTTTGGAACACGGATCACTTCAAAATCATGTGTTACATTTATCTGTCATGTCTTTTTGGTATCCTTCAGTTGGTACAGTTTCCTGCTCTTTCTTTGCCTTCTATGACCTTGGCACTTTTGAAGATTACACACACAGTATTTACATCTATATTTATTTTTATCTATAAATATTAAAAACCATGAATTCTAAAGCCAGTCCTATATCACAGGATTTGTTCTTGTTTTCTCTTTTTCTTTGTAACAATAAGAAACCTGACTTCTATTTTCCTTAATATATTTACTTGTTTGAGAAATTTCCTTGTAACCAATCTTCCATTTCCACCAGGATGCAGATAGTCTCTTTATCTTGTTCAGCAATTGACCTCTCATTCCAGCACACCCTCTCCACACAGTTACCATTTTCACTGCTGTGGTCTGAATGTTTGTGCCCCGCCACCGAAATCCATATGTTGAAACCTAATTACTGTTGTGAGGCTGTTAGGAGTTGGGGCCTTTAGGAGGTTATTAGGTTATAAGCACAGAGTTTTCACAAATGTTATTAGTTATTGCCATTATAAAAGATCCGAGATAACTTCTTTGCTCCTTCTGCTATATGAGTTACTGAGAAAAGAAGGTTGTCTGTGAGCCAGGAAGTGGCCATCATCAGGCACTGAATTTGTGGGTGCCTTGATCTTGGACTTTCCTGTCTCCAGAACTGTGAGAAATAAATTTATGTTGTTTATAAGCTACCCAATTTATGGTATTTTGTTATAGCATCCCAAACAGACTAAGATATTCTTCATTCTTTGACAACTCATGCCAGGCTTTGCCTCCACAAGGATAGCATCCTAAGCTTGTTTCAGCTCTGATACCGAATGCTGGGCTGGCCTCCAACATGGATACCCACCTTACTCTGCTTGGGCTCTAATACCCCATGCCAGAGCACCCTGAGCATGGATACCTCCCTTATCCTGCTTGGGTTCTGATGCTCTGGCTGGCCCTCTCTAACACACCCAGGCTCTGAGTCTTCTCTTTAGGTCTGCTCTCTGAGTCTAATGGATGGCCTCATCATTACATTTAGCTCCGATACCCACAATAGGTGCGTTTCCCTCATCATGGATGCCCTTCTCACCTCCCTTGGGCTCTGGCATACCAGGATGCCCTCTAGGTGAATGCCCTCCTCATCCTGTCAGGGCACTGACACCCTATGCTAAGCCAACACAGGCACACCCTCTACCGTGGACATCTTTCTTGCTTTTGCTTTATTCCACCTAATGGCTTTAGTACTGAGTTGTTTCAAAAAGGAGAAAGGTTAATTGAATTTAACTAAAGTTGGCAGTTTCCCAAGGCAATATGGCAAAGCCAGAGACTGGCACGGGAGTTGAAGATATATACAAGGGATAACTAAGGGATATATACAAGGGATAACTAATCCAAGGGTGATGGATTTTAAAATCTAAACTGAATAAAGACATGAGAGGACACAGGGGCGATCGAGAGTCAAAGGTGGCAAGGTGAACGGACTAGATGCACAATCAGAGAATTTTAGGAGTGCTCGTATTTTAGAGAGCCAGTAAAGAGAAGGGTGATAGAAAGTAGTATGCATGAAAATGAGACTTTGGAAGTGATCCATTACAGATAAAGGTCTAGGATCTGACATAGGACAGGGTAGCTAAGCTAAGGTGGAGGAAGATTAGGTGAAGGTCATTAAAGGAACTGAGAGTACAGAAAACTGTTGTTTATGTCAGTAGAAAACTTCAGAAATACTTGGGAAGCAACAGGTAAATACTACTCTTAGCTCAAAATATTTCATACCGTGAGTTGAAACACATTGGTTGGAGTCATGAAATCAATTTCATATGTTATAGTCAGTAATTTTTAAAAGCTGAAATAGGAATAGAAAATATCAGAGTGCATTGGGACATAGTAAGGAGAAGTACTATTTAGGAAACACTTTTGCACTTAGTAATGATGTAAAATGTATTGGCTATTATGGGTAATGTTTAAAAATATTTGGAAACCATTGCCTTAATACAGTCTGTAGCCTCCAGATATATCGTTGGGATGGTGACGGTGATAGTGTTTACATTAGCCTGTGTAAGATTCCCAGCCTGCTGGATAAAATTAACATTCATAAAATCTTTCAAGTTACTGCTGAATCTTATAATCTCTCTTTAAAAATCATCTATGATAGTACTCTCAAAAGGGAGATAAGACTGCCCTTTTGGGTGGTAGTAAAAGAGTTCCTCTGGGGGGGCTTTTGCAAACTACGCAGACCTACTTTCCACCATCGTTGCAATAGTGGGGTTTTCTTTAGTGCTAGCAGTGATTTGTACTCAGAACTCCATCTAGATACTAGAACATTTTCAGCAGTGGATGGATGCCCTTACATTCACTTGCCACTCACTCATTGACCTACCCAGAGCAACTTCTAGTCCTGCAAGCTCCATGGATGGTAAAAAATACTGTATAAAAGGTTAAACATGCTACTTCTCTATAGGATACTTACCATGTGTTCTTTTTCAGCTTCTGCTTAATCTTTTCTATTAATTGGAAAAAACATAACCTCACAAAGCAGATTCAGAATGATGTATTGAACTCCTTCAAATTGGTAATTTTCAACCCTTAGTCTCGGTCTTGCTTTCTATAATGACACAGACTAATTCTAATTCCTCTTCTACCTGATAATCCTTCAGTTATTTAAGGATGGTTTTTTTCGCCTTCTGAAATGTCTCTTCCATTTCCTGTTGTGTTAGTAAAGCAATATAGCTAAGTTGTGGGCTCCAGAGCTGGATTGCCTGGGTTTGAATCTGGCCTTGAAGTTTACTATTGTATGTGATTCTGAGCAAGTTACTTAATTTGTGCCTTGGTTCTTCTGGAAAATGGGGACAATTAACACATAGTATCTACATCATAGAGTTATTGAAATAATTAAATTAGCTAATATAACTAATATATTTAGAACAGTTCCTGGCATATTTACCATAAATATTAGTTATTTTTTATGGAACAAACTTTTTAGTTCTTTCATGATCATAGTTATTTCCCCCTAGAAATGCATCAGTTTTTCATTGTTTATTTTTAAATTGTGGTAACAAGCTACTGTCTTGTGTTACTTAATGTTGGGAATATATTCTGAGAAATGCATTATTAGGCAATTTTGTCATTGTTGTGAGCATCATAGAATGTACTTACGCAAACCTAGATGGTATAGCCTACTACACACCTAGACTATATGGTATAGCCTATTGCTCCTAGGCTACAAACCTGTACAGCATGTTACTGTTCTGAATACTATAGGCAAATGTAACACAATGGTATTTGTGTATCTAAACATAGAAAAGGGACAATAAAAGTATAGTATAAAACATTAAAAATGGTACTTCTGTATAGGATACCTACCATGAATGGAGCTTGCAGAACTAGAAGTGGTTCTAGGTGAGTCAACGAGTGAGTGGTGAATGAATGTGAAGGCCTGCTACATTACTGTACACTACTGTAAGGTTTATAAAACACTGTACACTTAAGCTATACTAAATTTATTAAAAATATTTTTCTTCAATAAGAATTAATCTTAGCTTAGTATAACATTTTTACTTTATAAACTTTTAATTTTCTTAAACTTTTTGACTCTTTTGTAATAACACTTAGCTTGAAATAAAAATAGATGTACAGCTGTACAAAATATTTCCTTTTTATATTCTTATTGTATAAGCTTTTAAAATTATTTATATTTTACTTTTTAAACTTTTTTTTAAAAGCTAAGACACAAACACATACATTAGACTAGGCCTATTCAGGATCAAGATAATCAGTTTCACTGTCTTCCCCCTCAACATCTTTTCCCACTGGAAGGTCTTCAGGGACAACAACACACATGGAGCTGTCATCTCCTATGATAACAATGCCTTCTTCTGGAATGCCTTCTGAAAGACCTCCCTGAGGCTGTTTTACAGTTAACTTTTAAAAATAAGTAGATGGGGTACACTATAAATCAATGATAAAAAGTATAATATAATAAATACATAAACTAGTAACAGTCATTTATTATTATCAAGTATTATGTACTATATGTAATTGTATGTGCTATGTACTTTTATATGCATGGCAGTACCGTAGGTTTGTTTCCACCAGCATCACCACAAACATGTGAGTAATGCCTTGTGCTACATTGTTGCAGTGACTGTGATGTCACCAGGGGATAGGAATTTTTCAGTTCCATTATAATTTTATTGGACCACCTTTGTGTATGTGGTCCATCATTGACTGAAACATTGTTGTGTGGTACATGGCTGTATAATATTCTAAGTGTGATATAGCTAGGCCTCTTGTCTCATATTCTGCACCCTCTACTTCTTTTGATAAATAGATGTAGGATTTTTTTTGTAACTAAGTCACACTGATGATCACATTGATTGCATCTACTAATCTTGTTTTTAAATAATCTGCTGTTTATCTAGGTTTCTTCCCTACTCTGAACATGAAACAGTTGTTCTTTTTTTCTAAACAGTTTATTTTTTAACCTAGATGGTGACTTTACATTTATACCTTGTGGTTGGCTCCAGAAGATACCCAGCCCTACTCCCTGGAACCTGTGAATGTTACCTTATATAGTAGAAGGGACTCTGCAGGTGTCCCTTTTAAGTCAAGGATCTTGAGATGGGGAGATTTTCCTTAGACAATCTGAGTGGGCCCTGTTACAATTTGGATATGTAGTCCTACCTGTATCTCATACTGAATTGTAATCCCCAGTATTGGAGGTGAGGCCTGGTGGAAGTGATTGGATCATGGAAGCAGATTTTTTATGAATGTTTTAGCACTATCCCTTTGTTGCTGTCCTTGCGTTAGTGAGTTTTCATGAGATCTGGTTGTTTAAAAAGTGTATGGCATCCCCCTGCGTCTCTCTCTTGCTCCTGATTTTGCCATGTGATGTGGCTTCTCCCATTTCACACCATGATTATAAGCTTTCTGAGGCTTTCCCAGAATCACATGCCTCTCTGCTTCTTGTACAACCTGCACAACTGTGAGCCGATGAAACCTATTTTCTTTATAAATTATCCACTCTCAGGTATTTCTTTATAGCAATGCAAGAATGGACTAATACAGCTCTATTGGTGTCATACATGTCCTTATAAGAGGGAGACAGAAGGAGATGTGTGATCAAAGACGAAGGCAATGTGGTGACTAAAACAAGATATGATACTGATGGCTTTGAAGATGGAGGAAGGGGCAAAGGAATGCAAGGAATGCAGCTCTAGAAGCCAGAAAAGTCAAGAGTATTTGGAAAGAGTGTGGCCCTATTGACACGTTGATTTTGGCCAAGTGAAACTGATTTTCAATTTCTGACTTCCAGAACAGCAGGAGAATAAGTGTTTGTTGTTTCATGCCACCAAGTTTATGGTAATTTGTTTCAGCAGCCATAGAAAACTAATACATACCTATTATGCTTCATTTTGTTATTTTTAGCCTATTATTCTAGCCTGTCAAGTTTATTTGGTTGTTTTTTAAATAAACCTTTTGTATTTTTAGATGTTGAGTACTAGCTATGGACAAGGTGTGATGTAACATGTTACTTAGAGTATCTCTACTACTCTTGATGATACTTTATGTGAATATTATTAACCTCATTTTGTAGATGAGAAAACTGAGGTTCAGAGTAAGTGGTTTGTCCAAGATCATACAAAAAAAACATCTTAGCAGTGTTCAAATACCGGTTTGTAGTTAGGAAGGTTGTGCATATGTGCATACAAGGGTTATATGGGAATTATCTGTATGTTCTGTTCAATTTTGCTATGAACCTAAAACTGCTCAAGAATTAAAGTTTATTAATTCAAATAAAACAGGGTGATATGGTTTGGATCTGTGTCCCCACCCAAATCTAATGTTCAAATGTAATCCCCAGTGTTGGAAGTGGGGCCTGGTGGGATGTGATTAGATCATGGGGGTGAATCCTTTATAATTGGTTCAGCGCCATCCCTTTGGTGCCATTATCATGATAGAGCTTTCATGAGATCTTGTTTAAAAGTGTGTAGCACCTCCTTTCTCACTTTCTCTTCATCCTGCTCTGGTCTTGTGAGGTGCCAGCTCCCCCTTTGCCTTCCATCATGATTTTAAGTTTCTTGAGATTTCCTGAGAAGCGAGCAGATGCCAGCATTATGCTTCCTGTACAGCCTGTGGAACCATGAGCTAATTAAATATCTTTTCTTTATAAATTACCCAGTGTCAGGCATTTCTTTATATGAATGAGATAATGGACTAATACAGAAAATTGGCACAGAGAAGTGGGGCATTGTTATGGAGATACCAGAAAATGTGGAAGCAATTTTGGAACCTGGTAATGGGCAAAGGTTGGAAGCATATGGAGGGCTCAGAAGAAGATAGGAAGATGAGGGAAAATTTGGAAATCCCTAAAGATTGGTTAAATGGTTGTATTCACAATGCTGACAGTGAAGGCCAGGCTCAGGAGGTCTCACCTGGAAATGAGGAACTTATTGGAAACTGAAGCAAAGGTCACTTTTGTCATGTATTAGCAAAGAGGAAGGCTGCATCATGCACAGATGTAGGGATCTGTGGAAATTTGAGCTTGGGAATGATGATTTAAAGTATCTGGCAGAAGGAATTTCTAAGCAGCAAGACATTTAAGATGTTGACAGGCTGCTTCTAACAGCCTATGCTCATATGTGTGAGCAAACAAATGACATAAAACTGGAACTTATATTTAAAAGGGAAGCAGAGTGTAAAAGTTTGGAAAATGTGCAGCCTGACCATGTGATAAAAAAGGAAAACACATTTTCTGGGGAGGAGTTCATGGCAGCTGCAGAAATTTGCATAAGTGAAAATGAGGCAATTGCTGATAACCAAGACGGTGGGAAAAAGGCCTCCAAGGCTTCAGAGACCTTTGTGGCAGCCCCTTCCTTCATAGGCCCAGAGACCTAGGAGGGAAGAATGGTTTCATGAGCCAGGCCCAGTGCCCTTCTGCCCTGCACAGCTTTGGGACACTGCTCTCTGCATCCCAGAAGCTCTAGCTCCAGCTGTGTCTCAAAAGGGCCCAGGTGCAGCTTGGGTCACTGCTCACTAGCTTGTAAGCTGTAATTGTTGGTGGCTTTCATGTGATGTTAAACCTGTGGGTGCACAGAATCCGAGTTGAGGCTTGGAAGCCCCCACCTAGATTTCAGAAGATGTATGGAAAAGCTTGGATGTCTAGGTGGAAGCCTGATGCAGGAACAAAGCCCTCATGGAGAACCTCTGCTAGGGCAGTGCAGAGGAGAAATGTGAGGTTGGAGCACCTATACAGAGTTCCCACTGGGTCACTGCCTGGTGAAGCTATGAGAAGAGGGCCACTGTCCTCCAGACTCCAGAATGGTAGATCCACCAACGGTTGCACCTTGTGCCTGGAAAAGCTACAGACACTCAACACCAACCCTTGAGAGCCGCTGTGTGGACTGAAGCCTGCAAAGCCACAGGGGCAGGGCTGTGCAAGGCCTTGAGAGCCCACCCCTTACATCAGCATGCCCTGGGTGTAAGACATGGATTCAAAGTAGATTATTTTGGAGCTTTAAAATTTAATGACTGCCCTGCTGGGTTTTGGACTTGCATGTGGCTGTAGCCCCGCCTTTTTTTGGCTGATTTATTTCTTTTGGAATAGGGATATATTTACCTAATGCTTATACCCCCATAGTATCTTTGAAATAACTAATTTGCTTTTGATTTTACAGACTCCTAGGTGGAAGGGACTAGCCTTTTGTCTCAGATGAGACTTTGGATTTTGGACTTTTGAGTTAATGCTTGAATGAGTTAATACTTTGTTGACTGTTGATAAGGGATGATTGTGTTTTGCAATGTGAGCACAGGTGATTTGGGAGGGGCCTGGGGTGGAATGGTATGGTTTGGACCTGTATCCCCACCCAAATATCATGTTGAATTTTAATCCCCAATGTTGGAGGTGGGGCCTGGTGAGAGGTGATTGGATCATGGGAGTGGATTGTTAGCACCATTCCTTTGGTGCTGTTCTCATGACAGAGTTCTCATGAGATCTGGTTGTTTGTTTAAAAATATGTGGCACCTCCCCTCTTACTCTTTCTCCTGCTCCAGCCATGAGAGGTGCCCACTCCCCCTTTGCCTTCCACCATGATTGTAACTTTCCTGAGGCCTCCCAAGAAGCTGAGCAGATGTCAGTATTATGCTTCCTGTGCGGCCTGTGGAACCATGAGCCAATTAAGCCTCTTTTTTTTTTTTTTTAATAAATTACCAAGTGTCAGGCATTTCTTTATAGCAATTCGAGTACTGACTAATACATTGGGGATGAAGATAATGAAAAATGAAACAAGTTTATACAACTGCAAAACCTATAGAGGAAGCAGTGGTTAACTCCAAGTTTGATTACAAAACCCATTATTCTTCTCAGTGTACAAATGGCTCTCAGAGTGTGGTCCAAGGACCCCCAGGAGTTCATGAGACTTCCAGGGTCCCCATGAGATCAAAACTATTTTGAATATAGGGCCTACTAAGTTATGATTTGGATTTTTAAAAAATGTTTTGATATTTCCACTCTTGGGGAAAAAACAACTGTATCTGAGCACAAATTATGGCAGTGGTACTAAACTGTACTAGCAGTTACTGTATTCTTCAATACCACACACTCACAGTAAAATTAAAAAGTCAGTTTCCATTAAAAATGTCCTTGATGAAACAATTAAAATTGTTGTAATTGTATTATATTTTGACCTGGAGTACATAGTCATTTAATATTCTTTGTGAGAAAATGGGAAGTACACATAAAGCATGTCTGCAGCATGAAGACATATGGTGGTTGCCTTGAGGAAAAAACACTTGTGTGTTTGAGTTGCAAGCCAATGTAGCCATTTTACTTATGGAATTGAACCTAAAGGAACAATTAACAGATAAACTAGTTATGCAGACTTAGGCATTTTGCAGGCATTTTTTTCTCAAAAATGAATGAAGTGAGCTTTTCATGTCAAGACAAACTGAGAATATTTATTACCAGTGATAAAATTTGAGCTTTTAAATGAAAATTACAATTTTGGGAAACTTTAATCTATCACTATGAGCTTGACAGCTTCTAAATACTTAAAAGCTGTTCTGATGAAATCAATGGTGATGTTAAGTCAAATGTTTTTATTTTGTTAGATTACAAAATGGATCTGTATTAGGAAAATCTGCATAGCTCAGTGGATCAATACAGATGACCAAACCATGATGTTACAGAATCATGAGTTTAAAAGATGCATTCAAAGTGTAAGACAAACACTTCTGATTTATGGTCTGGCATGTAAAGAGCTTGGAAGTTGTAATTTGATCCTGACAATAGATAAAAAGCTGAACAGACTGAAAAACAACAACTCTTCATAGATCTGTCAGATAATTGAGGTCTTGAGGCAAATTACTGGCCCCAAATTGGAAAGAGAGAGAGGCAAATTCAGAGGATCATGTCTTACCAGTACAGAAACCCACAAGCAGAAACCTCTGTAGGAACCAGTACTGGGTGAGGAAAACCTGAACAAAGAACTCTGCTTGGTTCTTACAATGAAGATCAAAGAGAAATACCTGTGTGCTTCTAGCAGTGGGAGGAGAAAAGTAGGTAGCCCTTTGGAAATATGTCAGAGCATTCTGTTATTCTTAACAAGTGTTCTGAAGAGCAACTGTTTTACCAGAGCCTAACTTATTGGGGTTTTATGAGTTTAACTGGAGGGAAGGACATTACCCAATTCCAGTGCCTTCTAGCCATCCTGTTTCACCTAAGGGGAGGATGAAATTGTGCAGCATTTGCAAAGTTCACAGTGCAGGGGGCCATGCTCATTAAAAGACTGAGCTCTAAATCATAGGACTGTAGAATTCTTCCCCTTCCCCTACAACTTACAACCACATCACTAAAGGCCTATTTACTGCAGTTTCTTTTAAACTGTGCATTATGTCCACCTTTCAACAAAAGATTACAAGGCATATTAAAAGACAAAAAAAATACAGTTTGAAGAGACAAAGCAAGCATCAGCACCATAGTTAGATATGGCAGAAATATTATAATTATCAGACCAGCAATTAAAAATAACTGTGATTGTGAATAGTGTTGCAATAAACATACACGTGCATGTATCTTTGTAATCGAATTATATATATTACTTGGGCACAGGGAGGGAAACAACACACACTGGGGCCTGTCGGGAGATGGGGTGGGGGGAGGGAGAGCATTAGAAAAATAGCTAATGCATGCTGGGCTTAATACTTAGGTGATGGGTTAATGATGCAGCTAACCACTATGGCACACGTTTACCTATGTAACAAACCTGCACGTCCTGCACATGTACCCCAGAACTAAAAATAAAAACAAATTAAAAAACGATGATTAATATGCTAAGGATTCTAATGGAAAAATAGACAACATGTAAGAATAGATTAGTAATGTAAGCAGAGACATGGAAATTCTAAGAATCAAAAAGAAAGGCTGGATAGAAATGAAGAATGCTTTTAATGGGCCTGTTAATAGACTGGGTATTGTTGAGAAAAGACATTCTGAGCTTGAGGATATATCAGTAGAAAACTGCAAAACTGAAAAGCAAAAAGAAGAAACATTGAAGAAAATGGGGCAGAGAATCATTTTTTGGCCTTTTGGCTAAGAAAGATCAAGTTAAAATGGAATAGAGTATCCAAGAATTTTGCCACAACTACACAAGTGAGACATTGAAGAGATTTGTAAAAGTGTAAAACAGTACCACTTTTCTCTCTAAATTTTTTTTGTAAAAAATAATCGTTTTTATATTAACATGTAAAGGGCTTATTGTTATTGAAAATATATTAATAACTAAAAATTGATCCATTATAATATGGTTACTATTGGTAGAATTCACATAAACAAAAGTTCTGTGGAGTCCTATAAACTTTTCAAGAGTGTAAGGGGATCCTGAGACCAAAAAGATTGAGAACTATTATACTATACCATGTTGCCTTATGCATCCTACTAGCCATCCAACCCAGATTTGGCAATCATGCCTCCTTTGTCCATAAGTTGTTAAAATTTTTTAGAAGAAAAGGACAAAAGTGGAGCCTTTACTGGTTTGTTCCTAGATACATTTCTCCAAGTTGACATGAATTCATTAATCCTATCCTTTCTTTGTAACCTACTAATTACAAATTCATCTAACTTTGGGGCATCTTGAAAAATATGTCAAATCTTTAACTGAACAAGATAGAGCGTATCTCTGGTGTGTGTTAGCTCTTTCAGTCTAATCAACCAAAAGAGGTTAATTTGGCATTACTAGTTTTATTGGGTTCATGCTGGCTACTACCAATTTCCTTTCTAGGTTATTCATGAATCATCTATAATAGTAATTTATTCTAGAATTTTTCTGGGCCTTCATGTTACTTTTGACATTCTATAGTTTATATAGTTGTTGGTTTTTCCCTTTCCTCCATTTTAGAAAAGGCAGAAAATGTTATATACAGTGTTCAGGTATCTCTTCTACTTTCAAAGTCCTATCAGCCATTTTATGTGTCCAAGTTTGTAATGTATCTGGTCCTGGAAATTATATTATTTTAGAATAGCTGAATATTCCTTTACTCTCTCCTCATATATCATAATGTACTTCAGTTCTCTCATAACCATATTTGTTCACACTTTCTAGTTTGATAACCATTTTTGTAGAGAAAATGAAACAAATAGAGGTTGAATAGTCCTGCTTTTTCATCTAATAACATGATAGTGTATTTTAAAAAGAGTGAGCCCATTACTTATATGGGACTTTTTGATCTGATTCTACTTTTAATAAGTCATTTTGTATTGTTATTAGCATCTTTGTAACCCTTATGTCACTCTGGGCTTTAGCCTTAATACAATTCTTAGAGTTACTGCACTGTGACTTTTGTGTTCTCATCCTTTGTCAAAAGTCCCTTCTTCCATTTTTATATATCTTTCTTTTAAATATGACTTCATTAAAGAGCTGCTTAAGGGCTGTTTGATGGGTCATATGTCTTGTTAAAACACCATTTTGTTTTTTATCAGGATCCTTTAAAATTATTTTGGGAAAATTTTGCTTTTGAAAAATGCCTTTCTTAAACTAACTCTTAGAATGTGTGTGCATCTCATTTATTAAGTACCTGATATGAATGAGGGAGAAATTTCAAACTTTTAAACTGTGACCCATAGTTATAAATGCATTTTACAGTCATGTCTTAGTACACACACACACACACACACACACACACACACACAACTGGAACAGAAGTTTAGAAAATAATGTTATTGTGTCAAATAACAATCAAGAGATATTAATAGGAACCACAAAGTAATTTGAACACAGAAAGTTATTATAAGGAATTAACAACTATAACAAAAGACTGTAGTAGTGGGAGACTGACTGATAGGGGATAAAGAGAATTCCAAAGAATACAAGAACAGGGGGATCTGGCAAGGTGGTGGAACAGGAACTGTCCAGTCTGCAGCTCCCACGAAACCAATGCAGGAGGCAGGTAATTTCTGCATTTCCAACTGACGTACCCTGTTCATCTCATTGGGACTGGTTAGGCAGTGGCTTCAGCCCACAGAGGGCAAGCAGAAGCAGGGTGGGGTGTCACCTCACCTGGGAAGTGCAAGGGGCCAGGGACCTCCCTTCTTCAGCCAAGGGAAGCCATGAGGGACTGTGCTATCTGGCCCAGATAATACACTTCTCCCACAGTTTTTGCAATCCGCAGACCAGGAGATTTCCTCATGTGCCTACATCACCAGGGCCCTGGGTTTCAAGCACAAAATGGGGCAGCTGTTTGGGCAGACACAGAGCTAGCTGCAGTTTTTTTTTTCCTACCCCAGTGGTGCCTGGAACCCCAGCAAGACAGAATTGTTCACTCCTCCGAAAAGGGGGCTGAAGCCAGGGAGCTACATGGTCTCACTCAGCAGGTCCCACTCCCAAAGAGCCCAGCAAGCTAAGAACCACTGGCTTGAAATTCTCACTGTCGGCAGAGCAGTCTGAAGTCCACCTGGGATGATTGAGCATGGTGGGGGAGGGGTGTCTGCCATTACTGAGACTTGAGTAGGTGGCTTTGCCATGACCTTGCTAAGGACTGGGTGGAACTAAACACAGTGAGGCAAAGCGACTGTGGCCAGACTGCCTCATTAGATTCCTCTTGACTGGGCAGGACATCTCTGAAAGAAAGGCAGCAACCTCAGTCAGGGGCTTATAAATAACACTCTCATCTCACTGGTACAGAGCACCTGGGGGAAGGGGTGGCTGTGGGTGCAGCTTCAGCGGACTTAAATGTTCCTGCCTGCCAGCTCTGAAAAGAGCAGCAGATCCTGACAAGGGGAGTTCTCCAACCACAGTGCTCAAGCTCTGCTAAGGGACAGACTGCATTCTCAAGTGGGTCCCTGACCACCGTACCTCCTGACTGGGAGAAACCTCCCAATGGGTTGACAGACACCTCATACAGGAGAGCTCTGGCTGGCACCAGGCCAGTGCCACTCTGGGACAAAGCTTCCAGAGGAAGGAGTAGGCAGCAGTCTTTGCTGTTCTGTAGCCTCTGCTTGTGATACTCAGGCAAATAGGGTCTGGTGTTGCCCTCCAGCATACTGCAGCAGAACTGCAGAAGAGATTCCTGGCTGTTGAAAGAAAAACTAACCAACAGAAAACAATTTCAACATCAACAAAAAGGACCCCCCACACACACACAGAAACCCCATCCAAAGGTCATCAGCCTCAAAGATAAAAGGTAGATAAATCCATGAAGATGAGGAAAAACCGGCCCAAAAATGCTGAAAATTCCAAAAACAAGAAAGCCTCATCTCCTCCAAATGATTGCAACTCATCTCCAGCAAGGGTGCAAACTGGACAGAGAATGAGTTTGACAAATTGACAGAAGTAGGCTTCAGAAAGTGGGTAATAACAAACTCCTCTGAGCAAAAGGAGGATGTTCTAACCCAATGCAAGGAAGCTAAGAACCTTCACAAAAGGTTACAGAAACTGTTAACTAGAATAACCAGTTTAGAGAAGAACATAAATGAACTGATGATGGAGCTGAAAAACACAGTACGAGAACTTCGTGAAGGATACAGAAGTATCAATAGCCGAATTGATGAAGTGGAAGAAAGGATATCAGAGATTGAAGTCAGCTTAATGAAATAAAGCATGAAGACAAGATTAGAGAAAAAAGAATGAAAAGGAATGAACAAAGCCTCCAAGAAATATGGGACTATGTGAAAAGACCAAACCTATGATTGATTGGGGTCACTGAAAGTGATGGGGAGAATGGAACCAAGTTGTTAAATACACTTCAGGATATTATTTGGGAGAACTTCCACAACCTAGCAAGACAGGCCAACATTCAAATTCAGGAAATACAGAAGACACCACTAAGATACTCCTCAAGAAGAGCTGATTGCCCCAATTAAAAGACACAGAGTGGCAAGTTGGATAAAGAGTCAAGACCCATCAGTGTGCTGTATTCAGGAGACCCATTTCACATGCAGAGACATACATAGGCTCAAAATAAAGGGATGGAGGAATATTTACCAAGCAAAGATAAAGCAAAAAAAAAAAAAAAAAAAAAAAAAAAACAGGGGTTACAATCTTAGTCTCTGATAAAACAGACTAAACCACAAAGATGAAAAAGACAAGGACATTACATGATGGTAAATGGATCAATGCAACAAGAAGAGCTAACTATCCTAAATATATATGCACCCAATACAGGAGCACCCAGATTCATAAAACAAGTTCATAGAGACCTACAAAGAGACTTAGACTCCCACACAATAATAATGGGAGACTATAACACCCCACTGTCAACATTGGATCAACGAGACAAAATTAACAAGGCTATTCAGGACTTGAACTCAGCTCTGGACTAAGCAGACCTAGTAGACATCTACATAACTCTCCACCCCAAATCAGCAGAATATACATTCTTCTCAGAACCACATAGCAGTTACTCTAAAATCGACCTCATAGTTGGAAGTAAAACACTCCTCAGCAAATTCAAAAGAATGGAAATTATAACAAACAGTCTCTCAGACCACAGAGCAACAAAATTAGGACTCAGGATTAAGAAACTCACTCAAAATGGCACATCTACATGGAAACTGAATAACCTGCTTCTGAATGACTACTGGGCACATAATGAAATTAACGCAGAAATAAAGATGTTATTTGAAGCCAATGAGAACAAAGATACAATGTACCAGAATCTCTGGGATACAGCTAAAGCAGTGTTTAGAGGGAAATTTATAGCACTAAATGCCCACATCAGAAAGCGGGAAAAATCTAAACTCAACATCCTAACATCACATTAAAATAACTAGAGAAGCAAGAGCAAACAAATTCAAAAGCTAGCAGAAGACAATAAATAAGATCAGAGCAGAACTGAAGGAGATAGAGACAATAAAAACCATTCAAAAAAATCAATGAATCGAGGAGCTGGTTTTTTGAAAAGATTAACAAAATAAATAAACCACTAGCTAGACTAATAAAGAAGAAAAGAGAGAAGAATCAAATAGACACAATAAAAATGTTAAAGGGGACATCACCACTGATCTCACAGAAATACAAACTACCATCAGAGAATACTATAAACACCTCTACACAAATAAGCTAGAAAATCTAGAAGAAATAGATGAATTCCTGGACACATACACCCTCCCAAGACTAAACCAAAAAGAAGTCAAATCCCTGAATAGACCAATAACAAGTTCTGAAATTGAGGCAGTAATTAACAACCTACCAACCAAAAAAGCCAGGACCACATGGATGCACAGCCTAATTCTTCCAGAAGTACTAATAGGAGCCATTCCTTCTGATACTATTCCAATCAATAGAAAAAGAGGGACTTCTCCCTAACTCATTTTATGAGGCCAGCATCATCCTGATTCCAAAACCTGGCAGAGACACAACAAGAAAAGAAAAGTTTTAGGCCAATATCCCTGATGAACATCGAGGCAAATATCTTCAATAAAATACTGGCAAACCGAACGCAGCAGCACATCAAAAAGCTTATTCACTACGGTCAAGTTGGCTTCATCCCTGGGATGCAAGGCTGGTTCAGCCTATGCAAATCAATAAATGTAATCCATCACATAAACAGAACCAATGAGAAAAACCACATGATTAGCTCAATAGGTGAAAAAAAGGCCTTTGATAAAATTCAACACGCCTTCAAGCTAAAAACTCTCCATAAACTAGGTATTGATGGTATATATCTCAAAATAATAAGAGCTATTTATGACAAACCCATAGCCAATATCATACCAAATGGGCAAAGGCTGGAAGCATTACCTTTGAAAACCGGCACAAGACAAGGATACCCTCTCTCCCCACTCCTATTCATCACAGTATTGGAAGTTCTGGCCAGAGCAATCAGGCAAGAGAAAGAAATAAAAGGTATTCAGATAGAAGGAGAGGAAGTCAAATTGTCTCTGTTTGCAGATGACATGATTGTATATTTAAGAAAGCCTGTCGTCTCAGCCCAAATACTCCTTAAGCAGATAAGCAACGTCAGCAAAGTCTCAGGATACAGAAATCAATGTGCAAAAATTACAAGCATTTCTATACACTAATAATAGACAAACAGAGAGCTAAATCATGAGTGAACTCCCATTCACAATTGCTACAAAGAGAGTAAAATACCTAGGAATACAACTTACAAGGCACGTGAAGGACTTCTTCAAGGAGAACAAAAACCACTTCTCAAGTATCAGGGGAACCCGTCCCCGATAATTCAACGTAAAAATAAAGGGAAAGAGTACAAAAGAGAGAAATTTTAAAGCTGGGTGTCCAGGGGAGACATCACATGTCGGCAGGTTCCGTGATGCCCCCTGAACCGCAAACCCAGCAAGTTTTTATTATGGATTTCAAAAGGGTTGGGGTGTACGAATAGGGTGTGGGTCACAGAGATCACATGCTTCAAGGGCAATAAAATATCACAAGGCAGATGGGGGCAGAGCAAGATCACAGGAGCGGGGTGAAATTAGAATTGCTAATGAAGTTTCAGGCACACATTGTCATTGATAACATCTTATCAGGAGACAGGGTTTGAGAGTAGAAAACTGGTCTGACTGAAATTTACTAGGCAGGAATTTCCTCGTCCTAATAGGCCTGGGAGCACTATGGGAGACCGGGGCTTATTTCGTCCCTTATCTGCAACTGTATAAGACAGACATTCCCAGAGTGGCCATTTCAGAGACCTCCCCCTAGGAAAGCATTCTCTTTCTCAGGGCTGTTCCTTGCTGAGAAAAAGAATTCATCAATATTTCTCCTATTTGCTTTTGTAAGAAGAGAAATATGGCTCTGTTCCGCCCGGCTCTCAGGCAGTCAGACCTGATGGTCAGCTCCCTTGTTTCCTGAACATTACTGTTATCCTGTTCTTTTTTCAAGGTGCCCAGATTTCATATTGTTTAAACACACATGCTTTACAAACAATTTGTGCAGTTAACGCAATCATCACAGGGTGCTGAGGCGACATACATTCTCAGCTTACTAAGATGACAGGATTAAGAGATTAAAGTAAAGACAGGCCTAGGAAATCACAAGAGTATTGATTATGGAAGTGATAATGTCCGTGAAATCTGCACAATTTATGTTCAGAGATTGCAGTAAAGACAGGCGTAAGAAATTATAAAAGTGGGGAACTGATAAATGTCCATGAAATCTTCAAAATTTATGTTCTTCTGCCATGGCTTCAGCCAGTCCCTCTGTTTGGGGTCCCTGACTTCCCGCAACACTCAACGAAATAAGAGAGGACACAAACAAATGGAAAAGCATTCCATTTTCATGGATAGGAAGAATCAGTATTGTGAAAATGGCCATACTGCCCAAAGTATTTGTAGATTCAATACTATTATCATCAAGCTACCATTGACTTTCTTCACAGAATTAGAAAAAACTACTTTAAATTTCATATGGAACCATAAAAGAGCCTGCATAGCCAAGACAATCCTAAGCAAAAAGAACAAAGCTGGAGGTATCATGCTACCTGACTTCAAACTATACTACAAGTCTACAGTAACCAAAACAGCATGATACTGGTACCAAAACAGATATATAGACCAATGGAACAGAACAGAGGCCTCAGAAATAACACCACACGTCTACAACCATCTGATTGTTGACAAACCTCACAAAAACAAGAAATGAGGAACTGATTTCCTATTTAATAAATGGTGCTGGGAAAACTGACTAGCCATATGCTGAAAACAGAAACTGGACCCCTTCCTTACACCTTATGCAAAAATTAATGCAAGATGGATTATAGACTTAAAACCTAAAACCATGAAAACCCTAGAAGAAAATCTAGGCAATACCATTCAGGACATAGGCATGGGCAAAGACTTCATGACTAAAACACCAAAAGCAATGGCAACAAAAGCCAAAATTGACAAATGGGATCTAATTAAATGAAAGAGCTTCTGCTCAGCAAAAGAAACTATCATCAGAGTGACCAGACAACCTACAGAATGGGAGAAAATTTTTGCAATCTAACCGTTTGCAAAGGTTTGATATCCAAAATCTACAAGGAGCTCAAATTTACAAGAAAAAAATCAAACCCATCAAACAGTGGATGAAGGATATGAGCAAACACTTCTCAAAAGAAGACATTTATGTGGCCAACAAACATATGAAAAAAAGCTCATTATCACTGGTCATTAGAGAAATGAAAATCAAACTAAAAGGAGATACCATCTCACACCATTTAGAATGGTGATCATTAAAAGTCTGGAAACAACAGATGCTGGGGAAGATGTAGAGAAATAGGAATGGTTGTACACTATTGGTGGGAGTGTAAATTAGTTCAACCATTGTGGAAAACAGTGTGGTGAGTCCTCAGGGATCTAGAACCGGAAATACCATTTGACCCAGCAATCCCATTACTGTGTATATACCCAAAGGATTATAAATCATTCTACTATAAAGACACATGCACACGTATATTTATTGTAGCACTTTTTACAATAGGAAAGACTTGGAGCCAACCCAAATGCCCATCAATGATAGACTGGATAAAGAAAATGTGGCACATATACACCATGGAATACTATGCAGCCATAAAAAGAATGAGTTCCTGTCCTTTGCAGGGATATGGATGAAGCTGGAAACCATCATCCTCAGCAAACTAACACTGGAACAGAAAACCAAACACCACAAATTTTTACTCATAGGTGGGAGTTGAACAATGAGAACACATGGACACCGCAAGGGGAACATCACACATCAGGGCCTGTCGGGGGGTGGGGGACAAGAAGAGGGAGGGCATTAGGACAAATATCTAGTGCATGTGGGGCTTAAAACCTAAATGACTGTTTGATAGGTGCAGCAAACCACCATGGCACATGTAAATCTATGTAACCAACCTGCACATTCAGCAGATATATCCCAGAACTTAAAGTAAAATTTAAAAAAAGAATACAGGAATAGCGGACATAGGGAGCAGCTACTACTCTTAGTGCTGGGATAGAGTGCCCAGGGAAGGAATAAAACTAGAAGACCATCTTTCCCATGGCCCAGGACTGAGATCTAGACCTTGCTGGAAAGGGCGTGGTCATGGCTCACTGGTTGGTAGAGAAATTAGCTGAGATGCTACACTGAAATGACTCACAGAGAATCTGGGGAAATTTGTTTTCTGGAATCCTATGGGGAATTATTCATGAACAGGTACCCTGCCTTGGAGCCTACTTCAAAGCTGCCTGAGGAGGTAGTAGGGGTAGCCATTCATGTGGTGTCATGTGAGCAGCATTTTTTGGGAAACTGCTTGGGTGGTGATAGGGAAGCATTTTATGGGAAGAAGCCACACTGATGGCACTGTATGCCTAAAGGGTTGCCAGAGAGAATCTTCCCATGGGGTGACACTGCATGCTGCTGTTCACCATTTACTGGATGAGTCTGCTGAGAAGAGCTCTTGGAACTGAAGTGAATAAATTGATAACTGGCATTTTATTCTTATTATGTGCAGTGCTCTCTGATATCCGTTATTCTGTTTTATTTTTTAAAACAATGCTAGTGTGACACACTTAATTCATTTAATTGGTTGTGGCCTGTAGTTTAGAAACTAATGAGGTAAAATATATAGAGAGATGTAAGCAATGGTCCTTGACTTTGGGGAGCATTAAAACCCAATACTTCAAGAGAATATTTTCATAAAGAAATGAACTGTAAGGTAATATAGATTGAGGGTTGCACAAATGCTATGGTCTCATGGGCATCCACTAATCATTAATAGCATTTAAAGGTATAAATTAGATGAGTAGATAAATTGGCAGATATAGTAATGAATTAGATAAGTAGAGAGGAGCGTGGAGGGCATTGTGCTTGGACTTAAGCAAGTGTATGGATTGCTATTACAGAATTGTAAATATGGACATGACTTGGTCAGACTTGCATTTCATGTATTTGTTTTAATTTATCTTTTATGTACATTGCTCTGTGGGTAGTTTAGAGGATGGATTTGAAGAAGACAAGATCAGAGGAAGGGAGATTGTGTAGGAGGTATTATAGTTCTTAAAGGAAATGAATGCCTAAAATCGAGTATAGGTAATAGTGATAGAGAAAAAAGACTAAGAATAATATGGGTAAAACCATTTCGTATTGGTTCTTGATTTAATAAGAAGAAAGGGAAGGAGGTAGTTAAGAGTCCCAAGTTTTTGGTTGCAGAGCCTGGAGAGATAACAAGGAAAAAACACATGGGAAGGACCAAGTAAGACAGGAAGATGATACGTTCAGTTTGGTGAATAATAGTAATTATAATTTAAGCTAACATGAACTGAGCACTTACCACACTACAGTCAGTGTCTTAAGCAATTTACATGTATTAATTTAATTCTCATAACAATCCTATGAGGTAGGTACAATTATTAGTATTCCAATTTTCATATAAGATTATGTAACTTTTCCAGGGTCACACAGCACAAGTTGAAGCCGAGATTCAAACTCAATCTGGTTCCAGAGCCTGTGAAGTACCTATGAAAGATATTCACGTGGAGATGGATACTCACATGAATGTAGGTTGAGATTGGAGATCTAGATATGGAAGCCATTAGTAACTTAGTTGATAGTTTAAAAAAGAAGAGGTGAATGAGATCACCTGGGGAGTATGTTAAAGAGTGCAAAAGTTAGGAGGTGGTCAGATTAGGAAGGACCTTGAATGACAAACTTTGCATGTTTAGCTCTTGAGAGTGGAGTGCTACTAGAACTTTTTAACTCAAAAGGAGATGAGGCAGGGATGTGCAAATATGGCTGTAAATGTAGGCAAAAGCTTTGTGGGGCAGAGAATAAAAGGAAAAAGACCAATTAGTAGATTTTGGTCATCAGTTATGAGACAATAAAGACCTAGGTCAGTGTTAACAAAGAGGCTACCGAAAAAAGGGGTGTCTAGTCATCAGGTGGGCACCATTGGAGTACAGTCATGTATCACTTAACTGTAGGGATTCTTTCTGAGAAATGGATTGTTAGGCAATTTTGTCATTATGTGAGTATCATAGAGTATACTTACACAAACCTAGATGATATACCTCGATATGGTTTAGCTCTGTGTCCCCACCTAAATCTCACCTTGAATTGTAGTTCCCATATCCCCATGTGTCATGGGATGGACCCGGTGGAAGGTAATTTAATCATGGGAGCAGTTACCCTCATGCTATTCTCGTGATATTGAGTGAGTTCTCACGAGATCTGATGGTTTTATAAGGGGCTTTCCCCCTACGGCTCGGCACTTTTCCCTTTTGCTGCCATGTGAAGGACATGTTTGCCTCCTTTTCCACCATGATTGTAAGTTTCCTGAGGTCTCCCAAGCCCTGCGAAACTGTGAGTCAAACCTCTTTCTTAGTCTCGGGCAGTTCTTTATAGCAGCATTAGAATGGACTAATACAAGTCTATTACACAACTAGACTATATGGTATAGCCTCGTGCTCCTAGGCTGCAAACTTCTCCAGCTGTTACTATAGTAAATACTGCAGGCAGTTGTAACCCAAAGACAAGTGTTTGTGTCTCTAAACATAGAAAATGGACAGTAAAAATATGGTATAAAAGATTAAAAATGGTACACCTGTATTTGACACTTATGGTGAATGGAGCTTGCAGAACTGGAAGTTGCTCTGGGTATGTCAGTGAGTGAGTGGCGATTGAATGTGAAAACCTAGGACATTGCTATACATACTGTAGACTTTATAAACACTGTATGCTTAGGCTACAGAAAATTTATTTTTAAATTTTTAATAATAAATTAACCTTTGCTTACTATAACTTTTAACTTCGTGAATTTTAAAAACATTTTAATTTTTTAATTTATTTATAGTAACACTTAGCTTAAAACGCAAACACATTGTATAGCTATACAATATATATTCTTTATATCCTTAGTCTATAAGCTTTTCAATTTTAATTTAATTTAATTTTTTTTAACTTTTAAAACTTTTTGTCAAAATGAAGACACACACACATTAGCGTAGGCCAACGCAGGGCCAGGATCATCAATATCACTCTCTTCTACTTCCACATCTTGTGCCACTAGAAGATCTTCAGGGGCGATAACATGCATGAAGCTGTCACCTACTATGATAACAATGCCTTCTGGAATACCTCCTGGAGGACTTGCCTGAGGCTGTTTTACAGTTAACTTAAAAAAAAAAAAACTAAGTAGAAAGTGTATACTCTAACAATAAAAAGTATAGTGAAGTAAATACAGAAACCAGTAACATAGTTGTTTATTATCATTGTCAAATATTATTTACTGTATATAATTGCATATGCTCTACATTTGTATGACTGGCAGCATAGTATGTTTGTTTACACCAGCATCACCATGAACATATGAGTAATGTCTTATGCTACAATGTTATAATGGTTGCAGAGTCACTAGATGATGGGAATTTTTCAGCTCTATCATAATTTTATGGGACCACCATCGTATATGTGATCCATTGTTGACCAAAACATGATTATGTAATGCTGACTATACATATCTCCAAGGTTTTCTGGGTTTGCCCCAGCTTTTGCCTGAAACGTCCAGTTTTACCATGGTGCCAGTACTTCAGGGTTAATTCAGGTACTAGTACAATTCAACATAAGCAACCTCCTTCAGTATATTCCTAGAGTACATAATGACTAAAATACTCTTATTAGCCACCAGATTATTGTTGCCTTCATCATTTTATTTTACTTTGGGGACACCTTTACTGAGATATAATTTATACATCATACAATGCACCTGCTTAAAGTGTACAATTTGATGGCTTTTAGTATTTTCAAAGTTATGATTCCATTACAATTCATGTTAGAACATTTTCATTACCCCAAAAATAAATCCTGCATCTCTTAGCCATCATCCCCTAATCAACGCATTTCCTCCAGCCCAAGGCAACCACTAATCTACTTTCTGTTTTAACAGCTTTGTCTATTCTGAGCATTTCATCTAAATGTAATCATAACATTTGTGGTCTTTTGTGACTAGTTTCTTCCACTTCGTATGTTTTCTAGGTCTATGCATGTGGTAGCCTGTATCAGTACTTCATTCATTTTAATGCCCAAACAATATTCCATTTATAGATGTACTACATGTAGTTTATCCATTCACTAGTTAATGAACATTTGGGTTGTTTCTATCTTTTGGTTGTTATGAATAATGCTGCTATGAACATTTTTGTACAAGTCTTTTTGGTGACACATTGTTTCAGTTCTCATGAGTGTACACCCAGGGAGTGGAATTGCCGGGTCATGTGCTAACTTTATATTTAATTTACTGAGAAACTGTTAGACTGTTTTGCAAAATAGACGTACCATTTTATATTCCCTCCAGCAAATGTATAAGGGTTCTAATTTCTCCACATCTTCATAAACACTTGTTATTATCATTTTGTTAATAGCCATCCTAGTGGGCATGAAGTGTATCTCATGGTTTTGGTTTGCATTTCCCTAATGAGCAATGATGCTGAGCATCTTTTCCTGTGCTTATTGGACTACTTTGTATTTTAGCCCATCTGACAGGTGTGCAGTGATATCTCATTTGTGTTTTTAATTTGCATTTCCTTAGTGGCTAGTGATGTTGATCATCTTTTTATGTGCGTGTTTGCCATCTGTATATCCTCTTTGCTAAAATGTATTTTCATGCCTTTTACTTACTTTCTAATTTGATTTATTTTTACTCTTGAGTTTTGAGACTACATTCTAGATACTGGTCCTTTATTGGATATGCAGTTAAATATTTTCTCCTAGCCTGTAGTTTGTCTTTCATCTTCTTAACAGGGTATTTTGCAGAACAAAAATTTTATATTTGATAAAATTCAGTCTATCAATTTTTCTTTTATGCATTGTGCTTTTGGTGTTAAGTCTAAAAATTCTGCCTAGCCCTAGATCCTATGTATTTTCTTCTGCTTTTTTTTTTTTTGCTAAAAGTTTTATAGTTTGTTGTATTACATTTAAGTCTCTGATCCATTTTGAGTAACTTTGGTATAAGACATAAGAATCAGATAGAGGTTTATTACCTATGGATGCACAATTGCTCCAGCATTCCATTTTTGAAAAGGCAACTTGAATTTGCACCTCTGTCAAAAATTAGGCATATTTATGTGGGTCTATTTCTGTTCCACTAGCCTGTCTATTCCAGCATTAATTCCACACAATCTTGATTACTGTTCGAATCAGGAAGAATGTTTCTTTCCACTTTCTTCTTTTCAAAATTGTTTTAACTGTTTTAGTTTCTTTATCTTTCCATATACATTTTAGAATAATCTTGTCTATATCTACCAAATATCTTGCTAGGATTTTTGTAGGAATTGTGTTAAGTCTGTATATTTATTTAGGGAAAATTGACATATTTCTATTTTAAGTATTCCAATCCATGAATTCATATCTCTGCATCTATTTAGATCTCCCCTAATACTTTTTCATCAGCATTGTGTAGTTTTCAGCATACAGATCCTCTCTATATTTTGTTATATTTATACCTAAGTATTTCAGCCTTTTGGCCAAATGTAAATTATAAATGGTATTGTATTTTTAATTTTGTTGTTCACATGGTCATTGCTCATATTTAGAGATACATTTGATTTTATGTTGATCTTGTATCCTGAGACCTTGCTGAATTCACTTACTAGTTCTGGGAGTGTTTTGTGGGCGCCTTGGGATTTTCTACATAGACGGTATATCATCTGCTAATAGGGATACTATTATTTCTTCCTTTCCAATTTGTATACTGTTATATCCTTATCTTGCCTTATTGCGGTGTCTGGAATGACTAGAACTATATCGATTAGGAGTAGTAAGAGCATACATCCTTGCCTTGTGCCTAATTGTAGGGAGAAAACATTCAGCTTTTCACAATCAAGTATAATGCTAGCTGTAGGCATTTTGTAGATGTTATCAAGTTGAGGAAGTTCCCATGTATTCCTGGTTTTCAGAGAGTCTTTATCATGTACATGTGTTGAATTTTAGCAAATGCTTTTTCTGCACTGAAGGATATATATATACTTTGTCTTATTGTGCTTCACTTTATTGCAATTTGCAAGTATTGCAATTTTTATTTTTTTATTTTTTTATTATTTTTTTTTTTACAAATTGAAGGGTTTTGGCAACTCTATGTCAAGCAAGTCTATGGGTGCCATTTTTCCAAAAGCATGTGTTGCATTTTGATAATTCTCACAATATTTCAACCTTTTTCATTGTCATTATATCTATTATGGTGATTTGTGATCAGTTATCTTTGATGCTATATTCTAATTGTTTTGAGGTGCCACAAACCATGCCCATATAAGATGACAAACTAAATCAATAAATGTGTGTGTTCTGATTACTCCATGGACTGGCCATTAACCCCCTTCCCCTCCCATTTCCTGTCTCTTTCCCTCTCGTCTTGTCTCCCTATTTTCTGAGACACAATGGCCTCTAAATGTTCAAGTGAAAAGAAGAGTAGCATATTTCTCACTTTAGATCAAAGGCCAGAAATGATTACACTTAGTGAAGAGGGCATTTTGAAAGCCAAGATAGTCTGAAAACAGGTTGCTTGCACCAAACAGCCAAGTTGTGTAAAGTAAAAGTTCTTTAAAGAAATTAAAAGTGCTACTCCAGTAAACACATAAATGACACGAAAGTAAAACTGTCTTATTGGTGGTAGGAAGAAACTTCTAATGGCCTGGATAGAAGATCAAATAAGCCACAAAATTCCCTTAAGCCATAGCCTAATTCAGAGCAAGGCCCTAACTGTCTTCAATTATATGAGGGCTGAGAGAGGTGAAGAAACTGCGGAATAAAAATTGGAAGCTACCAGAAGTTGGTTCATGAGGTTTAAGGAAAGAAGCTGTCTTCATAACATAAAAATACAAGGTGAAGCAGCAAGTGCTGATGGAAAAGCTGCAGCAAGTACTCCACAAGAACTAGCTAAGATAGTTGAGGAAGGTGGTTACAATAGACAGCAGATTTTGAATGTTGTTAAAACCCTTCTATTGGAAGGAGCTGCCATCTAGGAGAAGTCAATGTCTGGCTTCAAAGCACAGGCTGACTCTCTTGTTAGGGGCTAATGCAGATGGTGACTTTAAGTTGAAGCCAATGCTCATTTACCATTCTAAAATCCTAGGACCATTAAAAATTATGCTAAATCTACTAAGTCTAAGCTCTATAGATGGAACTATAAAGCCTGGATGACAGCATACCTGTTTACAGCATGGTGTACTGAATATTTTAAGCCCACTGTTGAGACCTACTGCTCAGAAGGACTCCTCTTAAAATATTACTGCTTATTGACAATGCATCTAGTCACTGAAGAGCTCTGATGGAGATGTACAAACAGATTAATGTTGTTTTCATGCTTGATAACAGAATATCCCTTCTACAGCCTGTGGATCAATGAGTAATTCTGACTTTCAAGTCTTATTTAAGAAATACATTTCATAAGGCTCTAGCTGCCAGAGATAATGATTCTTCTGATGGATCTTGGAAAAATAAATTGAAAACCTTCTGGAAATGATTCAGTGTTATAGATGCCATTAAGGACATTTGTACTTCAGGGGAGGAAGTCAAAATATCAACATTAACAGGAATTTGGAATATGTTGATTCCAACCCTTATGGATGACATTGAGGGGTTAAAGGCTTCCGTGGAGGAAGCCACTGTTGATGTGATGGAGATAGCAAGACAAGTAGAATTAGAAGTGGAGCCTGAAGATGTGACAGAATTGCTGCAATTTCATGATACAACTATAACGGATGAAGAGTTGCTTCTTATGGCTCAGCAAAAAAGTGGTTTCTTGAGAGGAATCTGCTCCTGGTGAAGATGCTATGAACATTGTTGAAATGACAACAAAAGATTTAGAATATTATGTAAACCTAGTTGATTAAGCAGTGGCAGGATTTGAGAGGATTGACTCCAGTTTTGAGAGAAGTTCTAATGTGGGTAAAATGCTATCAGGCAAGGTGTGTGGGCTCATGCCTGTAATCCCAGTGATTTGGGAGACCAAGGTGGGAGGATCACTTGAGGCCAGGAGTTTGAGGTTGCAGTGAGCCATGATTACACCACTGCATTCCAACCTGGGTGAGAGAATGAGACCTTGTTTTATAAAAAAAAAAAATGCTATCTAAAAGCATTGCATGCTAGAGAGAAATCTTGCATGAGAATCCATTGATGTTGCAAACTTCATTGTTGTCTTATTTTAAGAAAACGCCACAGCACTCCAACCTTCAGGAACCACCACGCTGATCAGTCAGCAGCTGTCAACATCGAGGAAAGACCTCCCACTAGCAAAAACATTCCAACTCAATGAAGGCTCAGATAGCATTTTTAACAATGAAGTATTTTTAAATTAAGGTATGTACATTTCTAGACATAATGCTATTGCACACTTAAGAGACTGAAGTATAGTATAAAAATAACTTCTGTATGCACTGGGAAACAGAAAAATTTATGTGACTCACTTTATTGCGATACTTGCTTTAGGCAGTTGTGTGGAACTGAAACCGCAATATCTGAGATATGCTTGTATATATATATATATATATATATATATATATATATATATATTCATCTTTAGCCTGTTAATATGGTGAAGTACATTGATTTTTGTATGTTTGAATATTGAGCAAGTCTTATACCACTGGAATGAAGCCCAGTAGGTCATGATACATATTAAAATTTTCTGCAGAAGTTTATTTGCCAGTAGTCTGCTAAAGATTTTTGTATTTTGTTCATGAGGGATATTGGTCTGCAGTTTTCTTGTACTGTTTTTTTGTTCTAAATTTGATATCAGTGAAATAGTAGCTTCATAAAATGAATTGGAAAGAGTTCTTTACATTCTGGAAAAGATTATAAACAATTGGTTATAATTCTTTTAATACTTGGTAGACTTGGTGAAACCATCTGTGATTGGAGTTTTCTTTTTGGGAGTTTTAAAATTATGAATTCAATTTTCTCTAGAGTTCTAGAGCTATTCTAATAATATATTTCATATTGAATTTCTTGTGAGAGTTTCTATTTTTTAATAAACAGTTTATTTTACCTAAGTTGTCAGATGTCTGTGTGAAGAGCTCATCATAGTATTACCATATTATTCTTTTCATGTGTGCAGGTTTTATAGTCACATCCCGTTTCATTCTTGGTACTAATAAATTGTGTTTTTTACCTTTTTCTTTGTCCATCTTGATTGAGATTTACTAATTTTATTGATATTTTCAGAGAACCAGATATTTGTTTAATTGATTTTTCTCTAATATTAAAATAATTTATTCAAGTTCATTGATTTATCTGATTTTATTTACTATTTCCTTTCTTTCACTTGTTTTGGGATTATGTTCTGTTTCTAGGTTCTTGAGGTGGGAGCTCAGATTATGAACTTGAGACTTTTATTCTTTTTTGACTTATTCAGTTAGTGCTATTAATTTCTCTTTCAGCACTGCGTTAGTTGTGTCTCAGGATTTTTTTTTTTTTTTTTTTTTTTTTTTTACTTTCCACAAATGTTTACAATGTATTTTTTACGTTAAAAAGTTTTAAAATTTTTGTGGGTACATAATAGGTTTATATATTTAGGGGGCACATGAAATTTTTATTTTTTTTTATTTTTCTGTTTCCATAGGTTTTATGGAACAGGTGGTATGTGATTACATGAATAAGTTCTTTAGTAGTGATTTCTGAGATTTTGGTGCACCCATCATCCAAGCCGGGTAAACTGTACCCAATGTGTAGACTTTTATCCCTCGCCACCCCCCACCCTTTTACCCGAGTCCCCAAAGTCCAATGTACTATTCTTATGCCTTTGCATCCTCATAGCTTAGCTCCAACATATGAGTGAAAACATGATGATATTTGGTTTTCCATTCCTGAGTTACTTCACTTAAAATAATAGTCTGCACTTCCATGCAGGTTGCTGTGAATGCCATTATTTCATTCATTTTTTTTTTGCTAAATACTATTCAATGGTATATATTTACCACATTTTCTTTATCTACTCATTGATTGTTGGGCATTTGGACTGGTTCCATATTTTTGCAATTGCAAATTGTGCTGCTATAAACATGCATGTGCAAGTATCTTTTTCGTATAATGCCTTGTTTTCCTCTGGGTAGATACCTAGTAGTGGGATTGCTGAATCAAACAGTAGACCTACTTTTAGTACTTTAGGGAATCTCCCCCACTGTTTTCCGTAGTGGTTCTACCAGTTTACATTCCCACCTACAGTATAAAAGCCTTCCCTTTTCACTACATTGATGCCAGCATGTATTTTTTTAATTTTTTGATAATGACCATTCCTGCAAGAGTTAGATGATATCACATTGTGATTTCGATTTGCATCTCCCTGATCATTAGTGATGCTGAGCATTTTTCCATATGCTTTTTGGCCATTTGTATGTCTTCTTTTGAGAACTGTCTCTTCATGTCCTTTCCTTACTTTTTTGATGGGATTGTTTTTTTCTTGTTCATTTGAGTTCCTTTTAGATTCTTGATATTAGTCCTTTGTCAGATGTATCAACTGTGAAGATTTTCTCCCAGTCTGTGGGTTGTGTGTTAACTCTGCTGATTATTTATTTTACTGTGCAGAAGCTTTTTAGTTTAAGTAGGTCCCATCTATTTATCTTTGTTTCTGTTGCATTTGCTTTTGGGTTCTTGGTCATGAAGTCGTTGCCTAAGCCGATTTCCAGAAGGGTTTTTCTGATGTTATATTCTAGAATATTTACAGTTTCAGGTCTTAGATTTAAGTCTTTGAGCCATCTTGAGTTGATTTTTGTATAAGGTAAGAGATGAGATCCACTTGGATTCTTCAACATATAGCTTGCCAATTATCCCAGCACCATTTGTTGAATAGGATGTCCTTTCTTCACTTTACGTTTCTGTTTGCTTTGTCTAACATCAGTTGGATGTAAGTATTTGGGTTTATTTATGGGTTCTCTATTCTGTTCCATTGGTCTATGTGCCTATTTTTATACCAATACCATGTTGTTTTGGTGACTATGGCCTTATAATATAGTTTGAAGTCAGATAATGTGTTGCTTCCAGATTTGTTCTTTTTGCTAAGACTTGCTTTGGGTATGCACGCTCTTTTCTGGTTCCATTTCAATTTTAGGATTTTTTTTCTTTTTTTTATTATACTTTAAGTTCTAGGGTACATGTGTACAACATGCAGGTTTGTTACATGTGTATACATGTGCCATGTTGGTGTGCTACACCTGTTAACTCGTCATTTACATTAGGTATATCTCCTAATGCTATCCTTCCCCCCTCCCCCCAAACCACAACAGGCCTCAGTGTGTGATGTTCCCCACCCTGTGTCCAAGTGTTCTCATTGTTCAATTCCAACCTATGGGAACATGCAGTGTTTGGTTTTCTGTTCTTGTGATACTTTGCTCAGAATGATGGTATCCAGCTTCATCCATGTCTCTGCAAGGGACATACTCATCCTTTTTTATGACTGCATAGTATTCCATGGTGTATATGTGCCACATTTTCTTAATCCAGTTGATCATTGTTGGACATTTGGGTTGGTTCCAAGTCTTTGCTATTGTGAATAGTGCCACAATAAACATACATGTGCATGTGTCTTTACAGCAGCATGATTTGGAATCCTTTGGGTATATACCCAGGAATGGGATGGCTGGGTCAAATGGTATGTCTAGTTCTAGATCCTTGAGGAATTGCCACACTGTCTTCCACAATGGTTGAACTAGTTTACAGTCCCATGAACAATGTAAAAGTATTCCTATATCTCCACATCTTCTCCCGCACCTGTTGTTTCCTGACTTTTTAATGATCGCCATTCTAACTGGTGTGAGATGGTATCTCATTGTGGTTTGGATTTGCATTTCTCTGATGGCCAGTGATGATGAACATTTTTTCATGTCTCTGTTGGCTGCATAAAGGTCTTCTTTTGAGAATTGTCTGTTCATATCCTTCGCCCACTTTTTGATGGGGTTGTTTGATTTTTTCTCATAAATTTGTTTAAGTTTTTTTGTAGAATATGGATATTAGACCTTTGTCAGATGGGTAGATTGTAAAAATTTTCTCCCATTCTGTAGGTTTCCTGTTCACTCTGATGGTAGTTTGTTTTCCTGAGCAGAAGCTCTTTAGTTTAATTAGATCCCATGTGTCAATTTTGTCTTTTGTTGCCATTGGTTTTGGTGTTTTAGTCATGAAGTCCTTCCCCATGCCTATGTCCTGAATGGTATTGCCTAGGTTTTCTTCTAGGGTTTTTATGCTTTTAGGTCTAACATTTAAGTCTTTAATCCATCTTGAATTAATTTTTGTATAACGTATAAGGAAGGGATCCATTTTCAGCTTTCTACATATGGCTATCCAGTTTTCCCAGCACCATTTATTAAACAGGGAATCCTTTCCCCATTGCTTGTTTTTCTCAGGTTTGTCAAAGATCAGATGGTTCTAGATGTATGGTATTATTTCTGGAGGGTGTGTTCTGTTCCATTGGTTTATATCTTTGTTTTTGTACCAGTACCATGCTGTTTTGGTTACTGTAGCCTTGTAGTATAGTTTGAAGTCAGGTAGCATGATGCCTCCAGCTTTGTTCTTTTAGCTTAGGATTGTCTTGGCAATGTGGGCTCTTTTTTGGTTCCATATGAGCTTTAAAGTAGTTTTTTCCAATTCTGCGAAGAAAGTCATTGGTAGCGTGATGGGGATGGCATTGAATCTATAAATTACCTTGGGCAATATGGCCATTTTCATGATATTGATTCTTCCTAAACAGGAGCATGGAATGTTCTTCCATTTGTTTGTGTCCTCTTTGATTTCCTTGAGCAGTGGTTTGTAGTTCTCCTTGAAGAGGTCCTTGACATCGCACGTAAGTTGGATTCTTAGGTATTTTATTCTCTTTGAAGCAATTGTGAATGGGAGTTCACTCATGATTTGGCTCTCTGTTTGTCTGTTATTGGTGTAGAGGAATGCTTGTGATTTTTGCACATTGATTTTGTATCCTGAGACTTTCCTGAAGTTGCTTATCAGCTTAAGGAGATTTTGGGCTGAGAAGATGGGGTTTTCTAAATATTTAGAAATGTCATCTGCAAACAGGGACAATTTGACTTCCTCTTTTCCTAATTGAATACCCTTTATTTCTTTCTCCTGCCTGATTGCCTCGTCCAGAACTTCCAACACTATGTTGAATAAGAGTGGTGAGAGAGGACATACCTGTCTTGTGACAGTTTTCTTTTTTTTTGTTTTTTATTATACTTTAAGCTTTATGGTACATGTGCACAACCTGCAGGTTTGTTACATATGTATACATTTGCCATGTTGGTGTGCTGCACCCATTAACTTCTCATTTAACATTAGGTATATGTCCTAATGCTATCCCTCCCCACCCCCCACCCCACAACAGGCCCCGGTGTGTGATGTTCCCCTTCCTGTGTCCATGTGTTCTCATTGTTCAATTCTCACCTATGAGTGAGAACATGCGGTGTTTGGTTTTCTGTCCTTGCGATAGTTTCCTCAGAATGATGGTTTCCAGCTTCATCCATGTCCCTACAAAGGACATGAACTCATCCTTTTTTAGGGCTGCATAGTATTCCATGGTGTATATGTGCCACATTTTCTTAATCCAATCTATCATTGTTGGACATTTGGGTTGGTTCCAAGTCTTTGCTATTGTGAATAGTGCTGCAGTAAACATACGTGTGCATGTGTCTTTCTAGCAGCATGATTTATAATCCTTTGGGTGTATACCCAGTAATCGGATGGCTGGGTCAAATGGTATTTCTAGTTCTAGATCCCTGAGGAATCGCCACACTGACTTCCACAAGAGTTGAACTAGTTTACAGTCCCACCAACAGTGTAAAAGTGTTCCTATTTCTCCACATCCTCTCCAGCACCTGTTGTTTCCTGACTTTTTAATGATCACCATTCTAACTGTTGTGAGATGGTATCTCATTGTGGTTTTGATTTGCATTTCTCTGATGGCCAGTGATGATGAGCATTTTTTCATGTCTCTGTTGGCTGCATAAATGTCTTCTTTTGAGAAGTGTCCGTTCATATCCTTCATTCACTTTTTGATGCAGTTGTTTTTTTCTTGTAAATTTGTTTGAGTTCATTGTAGATTCTGGATATTAGCCCTTTGTCAGATGAGTAGGTTGTGAAAATTTTCTCCCATTCTGTAGGTTGCCTGCTCACCCTGATGATAGTTTCTTTTGCAGTGCACAATCTCTTTAGTTTAATTAGATCCCATTTGTCAATTTTGGCTTCTGTTGCCATTGCTTTTGGTGTTTTAGACATGAAGTCCTTGCCCATGCCTATGTCCTGAATGGTATTGCCTAGGTTTTCTTCTAGGATTTTTATGGTTTTAGGTCTAATATTTAAGTCTTTAATCCATCCTGAATTAATTTTTGTATAAGGTGTAAGGAAGGGATCCAGTTTCAGCTTTCTACATATGGCTAGCCAGTTTTCCTAGCACCATTTATTAAATAGGGAACCCTTTCCCCATTTCTGGTTTTTGTCAGGTTTGTCAAAGATCAGATGGTTGTAGATAAGTGGCATTATTTCTGAGGGCTCTGTTCAGTTCCATTGGTCTATATGTCTGTTTTGGTACCAGTACCATGCTGTTTTGGTTACTGTAGCCTTGTAGTATAGTTTGAAGTCAGGTAGCGTGATGCCTCTAGCTTTGTTCTTTTGACTTAGGATTAACTTGGCAGTGCAGGCTCTTTTTTGATTCCATGTGAACTTTAAATTAGTTTTTTCCAATTCTGTGAAGAAAGTCATTGGTAGCTTAATGGGGATTGCATTGAATCTATAAATTACCTTGGGCAGTATGGCCATTTTCACGATATTGATTCTTGCTATCCATGAGCATCGAATGTTCTTCCATTTGTTTGTATCCTCTTTTATTTCATTGAGCAGAGGTTTGTAGTTCTCCTTGAAGAGGTTTTTCACATCACTTGTAAGTTGGATTCCTAGGTATTTTATTCTCTTTGAAGCAATTGTGAATGGGAGTTCACTCATGATTTGGCTCTCTGTTTGTCTGTTATTGGTGTGTAATAATGCTTCTGATTTTTTGCATGTTGATTTTGTATCCTGAGACTTTGCTGAAGTTGCCTATCAGCTTAAGGAGATTTTAGGCTGAGACGATGGGGTTTTCTAGATATACAGTCATGTCATCTGCAAACAGGGACAATTTGACTTCCTTTTTTCCTAATTGAATACCCTTTATTTCCTTCCCCTGCCTGATTGTCCTGGCCAGAACTTCCAACACTATGTTGAATAGGAGTGGTGACAGAGGGCATCCCTGTCTTGTGCCAGTTTTCAAAGGGAATGCTTCCAGTTTTTGCCCTTTCAGTATGATATTCACTGTGGGTTTGTCATAGATACCTCTTATTATTTTGAGATACGTCTCATCAATACCAAATTTATCGAGAGTTTTTTAGCATGAAGAGTTGTTGAATTTTGTGAAAGGCCTTTTCTACATTTATTGAGATAATCATGTGGTTTTTGTCATTGGTTCTATTTATATGCTGGATTATGTTTATTGATTTGCATATGTTGAACCAGTCTTTCATCCCAGGGATGAAGCCCACTTGATCATGGTGGATAAGCTTTTTGATGTACTGCAGGATTCTTTTTGCCAGTATTTTATTGAGGATTTTTGCATCAATGTTCATCAGGGATATTGGTCTAAAATTCTCTTTTTTGGTTGTGTCTCTGCCCGGCTTTGGTATCAGGATGATGCTGGCCTCATAAAATGAGTTAGGGAGGATACCCTCTTTTTCCATTGATTGGAATAATTTCAGAAGGAATGGTACCAGCTCCTCCTTTTACCTCTGGTGGAATTCGGCTGTGAATCCGTCTGGTCCTGGAGTTTTTTTGGTTGGTAAGGTATTAATTATTGCCTCAATTTCAGAGCCTGTTATTGGTCTATTCAGAGAATCAGCTTCTTCCTGGTTTAGTCTTGGGAGGGTGCATGTGTCAAGGAATTTATCCATTTCTTCTCGATTTTCTAGTTTATTTGCCTAGAGGTGTTTATAGTATTCTCTGATGGTAGTTTGTATTTCCATGGGATCGGTGGTGATATCCACTTTATTATTTTTTATTCCGTCTATTTGATTCTTCTCTCTTTTCTTCTTTATTAGTCTTGCTAGCAGTCTATCAATTTTGTTGATCTTTTCAAAAAACCAGCTCCTGGATTCATTGATTTTTTGAAGGGTTTTTGTGTCTCTATTTCCTTCATTTCTGCTGTGATCTTAGTTATTTCTTGCCTTCTGCTAGCTTTTGAATGTGTTTGCTCTTGCTTCTCTAGTTCTTTTAATTGTGATGTTAAGGTGTCAATTTTAGATCTTTTCTGCTTTCTTTTGTGGGCATTTAGTATTTCCCTCTACTCACTGCTTTGAATGTGTCCCAGAGATTCTAGTATGTTGTGTCTTTCTTTGTTCTCGTTGGTTTCGAAGAACATCTTTATTTCTGCCTTCATTTCCTTATGTAGTCAGTAGTCATTCAGGAGCAGGTTGTTCAGTTTCCATGTAGTTGAGCGGTTTTGAATGAGTTTCTTAATCCTGAGTTCTAGTTTTATTGCACTGTGGTCTGAGAGACAGTTTGTTATAATTTCTGTTCTTTTGCATTTGCTGAGGAGTGCTTTACTTCCAACTGTGTGGTCAGTTTTGGAATAAGTGTGGTGTGGTGCTGAGAAGAATGTATATCCTGTTGATTTGGGGTGGAGAGTTTTGTAGATGTCTATTAGGTCTGCTTGGTGCAGAGCTGAGTTCAATTCAAGAAAGTCTACAAGCTAGAAGAGAGTGGGGGCCAATATTCAACATTCTTAAATAAAAGAATTTTCAACCCAGAATTTCATACCCAGCCAAACTAAGCCTCATAAATGAAGGAGAAATAAAATCCTTTACAGACAAGCAAATGCTGAGAGATTTTGTCACCACCAGGCCTGCCCTGAAAGAGCTCCTGAAGGAAGCACTAACATGGAAAGGAACAACCAGTACCAGCCACTGCAAAAACATGCCAAATTGTAAAGACCATCGAGGCTAGGAGGAAACTGCATCAACTGACAAGCAAAATAACCAGCTAACATCTTAATGACAGGATCAAATTCACACATAACATTATTAACCTTAAATGTATATGGACTAAGTTCTCCAATTAAAAGAGACAGACTGGCAAATTGGATAAAGAGTCAAGACCCGTCAGTATGCTGTATTCAGGAAACCCATCTCACGTGCAGAGACACACATAGGCTCAAAATAAAGGGATGGAGGAAGATCTACCAAGCAAATGGACAACAAAAAAAGGCAGGGGTTGCAATCCTAGTCTGTGATAAAACAGACTTTATACCAGCAAAGATCAAAAGAGACAAAGAAGGCCATTACATAATGGTAAAGGGATCAATTCAACAGGAAGAGCTAACTATCCTAAATATATATGCATCCAATACAGGAGCACCCAGATTCATAAAGTGAGTCCTTAGAGACCTACAAAGAGACTTAGACTCCCACACAATAATAATGGGAGACTTTAACACCCAACTGTCAACATTAGACAGATCAACAAGACAGAAAGTTAACAAGTCTTGTGCCAGTTTTCAAAGGGAATGCTTTCAGTTTTTGCCCATTCAGTATGATATTGGCTGTGGGTTTGTCATAAATAGCTCTTTTTATTTTGAGATACATCCCATCAATGCCTAGTTTATTGAGAGTTTTTAGCATGAAATGCTGTTGAATTTTGTCCTAGGCCTTTTCTGGATCTGTTGACAAAATCATGTGGTTTTTGTCTTGGTTCTGTTTATTTGATGGATTACATTTATTGATTTGCGTATGTTGAACCAGCCTTGCATCCCAGGGATGAAGCTGACTTGATCATAGTGGATAAGCTTTTTGATGTGCTGCTGGATTCGGTTTGCCAGTGTTTTATTGAGGATTTTTACATCAATGTTCATCAAGGATATTGTTCTAAAATTCTCTTTTTGTGTGTGTGTGTCTCTGCCAGGCTTTGGTATCAGGATGATGCTGGCCTCATAAAATGAGTTAAGGAGGATTCCCCCTTCTTCTATTCATTTGAATACCATGTTTTTTTTCTAGTTCTGTGATGAATGATGGTGGTATTTTGATTCGAATTGCATTGAATTTGTAGAATGCTTTTGGCAGTATGGTCATTTTCACAATATTGATTCTACCCATCCATGAGCATAGGATGTGTTTCTATTGTTTTGTCATCTATGATTTCTTTCAGCAGTGTAATATAGTTTTCTTGTAGAGTCCTTTCATGTTCTTGGGTAGGTAGATTCCTAAGTTGTTGTTGTTTCTTTTTTTTTTTTTTTTGCAACTCTTGTGAAAGGGGTTGAGTTATAGATTTGATTTTCAGTTTGTTCACTGTTGGTGTATAGCAGAGCTACTGATTTGTGTAAATTAATTTTTTATACTGAATCTTCACTGAGTTCATTCACCAGAGCTAGGAGCTTTTTGGATGAGTCTTTAGGGTTTTCTAAGTGTATGATTATATCATCAGCAAGCAGTGACAGTTTGACTTCCTCGTTACTGATTTGGATACCCTTTATTTCTTTCTCTTGTCTGAGTTCTCTGGCTAGACTTCCAGTACTATGTTGAATAGAAGTGGTTAAAGTGGGAATCATGTCTTGTTCCAGTTCTGAGTGGCTATGCTTTCAAAGTTTTCCCTGTTCATTATAATGTTGGCTGTAGGTTTGTCATAGATGGCTTTTATTACATTAAGTTATGTCCATGCTATGCCAATTTTGCTGGAAGTTTTCTATGTAAAGGGATGCTGGATTTTTTTAATGCCTTCTTTGTGTCTATTGAGATCATTATGTTATTTCTGTTTTTGATTCTGTTTATTGGATGTATCACATTTATTGACTTACATATGTTAAACCATCTCTGCATCCCTGGTATGAAACCCACTTGATTATGGTAGATTATCTTTTTGATATGCTGTTGGACTCAGTTTGCTGGTATTTTTTTGAGGATTCTGCATCTATGTTTTTCAGGGATATTGGTCTGTAGTTTTCTTTTTTTATGTTATTTCCTGATTTTGGCATTAGGGTGATACTGGCTTCCTAGAATGATTTAGGGAGGATTCCCTCTTTCTCTGTGTTTTGGAATAGTGTCAATAAGATTGTTATCAGTTCTCCATTGAATATCTCATAGAATTCAGCTCTGAATTTGTCTGGTCCTGGACTTTTTTTTCTTGGCAATTTTTAAATTACCATTTCAATCTTGCTGCTTGTTATTGGCTTGTTTAGAGATTCTATACCTTCTTAGTTTAATCTAGGAGGGTTGTGTATTTTCAGAAATTTATCCATATCCTCTGGATTTTCTAGTATTTGCATGTAAAGGTGTTAATAGTAGCCTTCAAAAATCTTTTATATTTCTGTTGTATCAGTTTTAATATCTCCCATTTCATATCTTATTGACCTTATTTGGATTTTCTCTCCTCTTTTCTTGGTTAATCTCATTAATGGTCTATCAATTTTTTTATCTTATCAAAGAACCAGCTTTTTGTTTCATTTATCTTTTGTAATTTTTTTGTTTTAATTTCATTTATTTCTGCTCTGATCTTCATTATTTCTTTTCTTCTGCTGGCTTTGGGTTTGGATTTTTCTTGTTTCTCCAATTTTTTGAGGTGTGACCTTAGATTGTTTGTTTGTGCTCTTTCAGACTTTTTGATGTAGGCATTTAATGCTATGAACTTTCCTCATAGCACCACTTTTGCTGTAACCCAGAGGTTTTGGTAAGTTGTGACACTATTATCATTCAGTTCAAAGAATTTTAAAATTTTTGTCTTGATTTCATTGTTAAACCAATGATTGTTCAGAAGCAGGTTATTTAATTTCCATGTATTTGCTTTATTTGCATGGTTTTGGAAGTTCCTTTTGGAGTTGATTTTCAATTTTATTCCACTGTGTTCTAAGAGAGTTCTTGATATTACTTTGATTTTCTTAATGTACTGAGACTTGTTTATGGACTATCTTATATCTTGAAGAATGTTCCATGTGCTGATGAATAGAATGTATATTTGGGTAGAATGTTCTGTAATTATCTGTTAAGTCCATTTGTTGTAGAGTATAGTTTGAATTCATTGTTTTTTGTTAACTTTCTTTCTTGATGACTTGTCTAGTGCTGCCAATTGAATATTAAAGTCCCCCATTATTATTGTGTTGCCATCTATCTCATTTCTTAGGTATAATAGTAATTGTTTTATGAATTTGGGAGCTCCAGTGGTAAGTGCATATATAATTAGAATTTTTCTGTTGGATGAGGCCTTTTTATCATTATATAATTTCCTTCTTTGTCTATTAAACTGCTGTTGCTTTAAAGTTTGTTTTGTCTGATATAAGAATAGATACTCCTGCTCATTTTTGGTGTCCATTTGCGTGGAATATCTTTTTCCACCCCTTTATCTTAAGTTTATGTGAATTCTTACAGGTTAGGGGAGTTTCCTGAAAGTAGCATAAACTTGGTTGGTGAATTGTTATCTGTTCCTCCATTCTATGTATTTTAAATGGAACATTTAGGCCGTTTACTTTCAAAGTTAGTATTGAGATATGAGGTACTATTCTATTAATTGTGCTATTTGTTGCCTGAATACCTTGTGTGTTTGTGTGTGTGTTTTTTTTTTTTTCATTCAGAACCTTTAAGGAGGTTCTGTTTTGGTATATTTTGAGTGTATTTGGTATATTTTGAGTCAATTTATTTCAAGATCTAGAGCTCCTTTTAGCAGTTCTTGTAGTGCTGGCTTGGTAGTGGCATATTCTCTCAGCATTTGTGTATCTGGAAAATACGGTATCTTTCCTTCATTTATGAGGTTTAGTTTTGCTGGATACAGAATTCTTGGCTGATAATTGTTTTGTTCCAGGAGGCTAAAGATAGGATCCAAATCCCTTCTAGTTTGTATGATTTCTGCTGAGAAATCTGCTACTAATCTGATAGGTTCTCTTTAATAGGTTACCTGTTGCTTTTGCCTCACATCTCTTGAGATTCTTTCCTTCATCTTGACTTTAGATAACCTGATGTCTGTGTGCCTAGGCAATTATCTTTTTGTGAGGAATTTCCCAGGTGTTCTTTGAGATTCTTGTATTTGGATGTCTAGATCTCTAGCAAGGATGTGGAAGTTTTCCTTGATTATTCCCTCAAATATTTTTTTCAAAACTTTTTGAGTTCTCTTCTTTCTTGGGTACACCAATTATTTTTAGGTTTGAACGTTTAACATAGTCCAAAGCTTCCGGAGGTTTTGTTCAATTTTTTTTTTTTTTACTTTTTTTTTCTTTGGTTTGATGGATTAGGTTAGTTCAAAAGCCTTGTCTTCAAGCTCTGGAGCTCTTTCTTCTGCTTGTTCAATTCTATTGCTGAGACTTTCCAACATATTTTATATTTAATCAAAGTGTGTCCTTGATTTCCAGAAATCAAGATTGTGATTGTTTTTTTATTTATGATATCTATTTCACTGAAGAATTTTCCTTTTATATTTTGTGTAATGCTTTTATTTAAGTTGGACTTCACCTTTTTCTGGTGTTTTCTTGATTAGCTTAATATTCGACCTGCTGAATTCTTTTTCTGGCAATTCAGAGATTTAATCTTGTTTTGGATCCATTGCTGGTGAGGTGGTATGATCTTTTGGGGATGTTAAAGAAGCTTGCTATGTCATATTAATCAGAATTGATTTTCTGGTCCCTTCTGATTTGGGTAGACTATGTCAGAGGGAAGATCTGGGATTCAAGGGCTGCTGTTCAGATTCTTTTTCCCACAGGGTGCTCCCTTGGTGTGGTGTTCTCCCCCTTCCCCTAGGAAAGGGGCTTCCTTAGAACTGAATTGTAGTGATTGCTTTTGCTCTTCTAGGTCTAGCCATGCAGCAGAGCTGCCAGACTCCAGGCTAGCACTGGGAAATGTCTGCAAAGAAAGCTGTAACATGATTCATCATCAGGTCTTGCAGCTGTGGATACCAGCACCTGCTCTAGTGGAGGTAGCAGGAGAGTGAAATGGACTCTAGGATGGTTCTTGGTTGTGTTTTTGCTTAGTGCATTGGTTTTGTGTTGGTTGACCTCCAGCCAGGAGGTGGCAGTCCTATAGGGAGGATGCAAACTTGCCCTAGGGACACCTGGTTAAGTATTCAGGTTTTTCAGGTGGTGGGTAGGGCCACAGAGCTCCTAAGAGATTATGATCTTTGTCTTTGGCTACCAGGGTAGGTAGAGAAAGACCACCTGGTTGTGGCAGGGATAGGTATGTCTCAGCTCAGCCTCTTCTTGGGCATGGCTTTCTGTGGCTGCTGCGGAGGATGGGGATATGGTTCTCAATCCACTGAAGTTATATTCCCAGGGAGATTATGGCTGCCTCTGCTAAGTCATACAGTTGTCAGGAAGTAGGGGAAAGCTGGCAGTCACAGGCCTCACCCCCCTCCCACACAGTTTACATTCCCAAAGGGCAGTCTCACTTTCATCGTTTTCCCCACCAATAGCACCAGTCTATTTCCAGGCAGCCAGCTACCAAGACTGAGAACTTGTCCCAGACCACGAGCCTCCTCGTTGAAAAAGCAAGCAGACTCACAGTTTTTCTGGCATTTTAGGGAGCCTGTAGCAGTGACCTAGTTCCTTCAAAGGGTCTGTGGTTTCTTGGCTTTCCTGTTATGCTTCTGTGGTAGTTCTTGGATGAAAGTTCACAATGTCAGTCTCCACATGCTGCTTTGTCTATCCAAGTAGGAGCTGCAAGCTAGTTCTGCCACCTATCTGCCATCTTAATCCAAGTCCAGAGATGTTTTGATACAGGCATGCAGTGTGTAATAATCACATCATGGAGAATGGGGTAGTATCTTAGGAATTTTGATGTTATATTTTTGTTTTTCTCAGTTCAATATATTTTATTTCTCCTGAGATTTTCTTCTTGACCTATGGAATATGAAGATTGTTGTTTAACGTCAAAGTGTTTGTAGATTTTCCTATTAACTTTCTGTTATCAATTTCTAGATTGATTTCATTGTGGTTGGAAAACACCCTTGGTATGATTTCAGTTCTTTTAAATATTTTGAATTTTGTTTGTGGTCCAGATATGGTCTATATTGACATGTTTTGTTGGTGCATTGAAAGAATGTGTATTCTGTTTTGGAGTGGATTATTCTAAATAAATATTGATTAATTCCTGTTGGTTTGTAGTGTTCTTGCATTCTTCTATATCCTTATTTTATAATTGTTCTATCACTTGTTAAGAGAGGTTTGTTGAAGTCTCCAACTAAAATTATAAGATTTGTCTATTTTTCTTTTCAATTCTCCTAGTGTTCACTTCACACATTCTAAAGCTCTATTATTTAGTGCATTCACAATTACGGTTGCTGAGACTTACTGGTGAATTGGCCTTTTATAATATAATTTTCTCCTTTGTCTCTCATATTTTCTTTACTCTGATATCTACTTCAGCTAATATCAACAGAGGCACTCCTGCTTTCCATTGGTTAAGGTTTGCTTGTTGTATCTTTTTCTGTCTTTCTATATTCAACTGGTTTATTATATTTGAAGTGATTATCCTGTAGGTGGCATATTGTTAGGTCATGTTTTTTAATCTACTCTATCACTCTCTCTTTTAGCTGGTGTATTTATTTTATTTCCATTTAATGTAATTATTGATGTGTTAGGGCTTATAAGTCTGCCGTTTTATTGTTTGCTTCAGAATATTCTTTGTTTCTTTTTTTTGTTCACCCTTTCTTGCCTTCTTGTGTGGTACTTGAACATTTTTTAGAGTTTCATTTTGATATATCTATAGTGTTTTTTGAGTGTATCTCTTTGTATATCAATTTTAATGGCTCTATTATATATGTATGTGTGTATATATGTATATATATATATATACATATATACACACACTAGAATATATATGTCATATGCATCCGTGTGAAGAGACCACCAAACAGGCTTTGTGTGAGCAACAAGGCTGTTTATTTCACCTGGGTGCAGGTGGGCTGAGCCTGAAAAAAGAGTCAGCAAAGGGAGTTAGGGGTGGGGCAGTTTTATAGGATTTGGGTAGGTAATGGAAAATTACAGTCAAAGGGGTTGTTCTCTGGCGGGCAGGGGCGGGGGTCACAAGGTGCTCAGTGGGGGAGCTTCTGAGCCAGGAGAAGAAATTTCACAAGGTAATGTCGTCAGTTAAGGCAAGAACCAGCCATTTTTACTTCTTTTGTGTTTCTTCACTTGCTTCAGGCCATCTGGATGTATATGCACAGGTCACAGAGTATATGATGGCTTAGCTTGGTCTCAGAGGCCTGACATTCCTGTCTTCTTGTATTAATAAGAAAAATAACATAAAATAGTGTTGAAGTGTTGGGGCAGCAAAAATTTTGGGGGGATGGTATGAGAGATAATGGGCAATGTTTCTCAGGGCTACTTTGAGTGGGATTAGGGGCGGCATGGGAACCTAGAGTGGGAGAGATTAAGCTGAAGGAAGATTTTGTGGTAAGGGGTGATATTGTGGGGTTGTTAGAAGGATCATTTGTCATGTAGAATTATTGGTGATGGTCTGGATATGGTTTTGTATGAATTGAGAAACTAAACAGAAGACACAAGGTCCAAATAAGAGAAGGAGAGAAACAGATATTAAAGGACTAAGAATTGGGAGGACCCAGGACATTTAATTAGAGAGTGCTCAAGGGGGTTTAGTGTGATTATTTGCTTGGTTGGCAAGTTTTTGGGCTCTATCGTTGACAGAGTCCTCTTTTTTAAGTTGGAGGCTGAGCTTGGTGAGGTCTGGTTTTAAAAGACCATTAGTCAGTTTTACCTTTCCTGAAGATTGAAGACAGTAAGGGGTATGAAGGTTTTACTGAATACCAAGAGCCTGAGAAACTGCTTGGGTGATTTGACTATTAAAAGTGGGCCCGTTATTGGACTATATAGAGGTGGGAAGGCCAAACCTAGGAATTACATCTGACAGAAGGGAAGAAATGACTGTGGTGACCTTTTTAGACCCTGTGGGAAAGGCCTCTACCCATCCAGTGAAAGTGTCTACCTGGACCAAGGGGTATTTTAGTTTCCTGACTCGGGGCATGTGAGTAAAGTCAATTTGCCAGTCCTGGGCAGGGGCAAATCCCTGAGCTTGATGTGTAGGGAAGGGAGGGGGCCTGAACAATCCCTGAGGAGTAGTAGAATAGCAGATGGAAGACTGAGAAGTGACTTCCTTGAGGATATATTTCTACAATGGAAAGGAAATGAGAGGTTCTAAGAGGTTGGCTAGTGGCTTGTAACCTACATGGAAGACGTTATGAAATGATGACAGAATAGAATGGGCCTGTGAGGCTGGAAGGAGATATTTTCCTTGGTCCAAGAACCATTTGCCTTGTTTGGAAAGAGATTGATAGGTGGAAGTTTCAGTGGGGGAGTAGGTGGGAGGGACCAATGAGAAGGAGAAAAACTGCCATGAGGGATAGAAGTTGGAATGCTAGCTGCTTTTTTAGCTACCTTATCAGCATAGTTGTTGTCCTGAGCGATGGGATCTGATGCCTTTTGATGGCCCTTGCAGTGAATGACTCCAGCTTCCTTTGGAAGTAAAGTGGTCTTGAGAAGAGCTTTTATTAAAGAGGCATTAATGATGGTGGACCCTTGCATAGTGAGGAAACCTCTTTCAGCCCATATAACAGCACAGTGGTGCAGGATATGGAAGGCATATTTAGAGTCAGTATAAATATTGACCTGTAATCCTTTTGTAAGAGTGTGGACTCGAGTTAAGGCAAAGAGTTTGGCTTGCTGAGAGGTATTGGAGTGGGGCAGAGTGGTAGCCTCAATGATAGATATGGAAGATACTATAGCATAGCCTGCCTTTGCTGGTGAGGGGTGATTAGGTGTGGTGGAACTGCCATCAATAAACTAAATGTGATCAGTGTGAGGAACAGGAAAGAAGGAAATATGGGGAAATGGAGTGAATGCCAGGTGGATCAGAAAGATACAGTCATGGGGGTGGAGGCCAGCCCAAAACAGTAAGGTTAAGTTGTTTGGACAGAAAGGCTACAGGGTGCGGTCCCAGCTCTTGTGTAAGAATTTTGACTGCACTGCCCTGCACTTTGGCTCTGTGTAATGAAAAGGGTTGGGATGAGTTAGGGAGAGTTAGTGTGGGAGCAGCTTCTAGGGCCGTTTTTACAGAACAGAAAGAGGAGTGGCGAAAAGATTTAGGATCTGTGGGGTCAGCTAGGTTTGCTTTTGTGAGTTTATGTAATGGTTTAGTCAGGATGGTAAAACTAGGTGTCCAAAGGCAGAAGTCCCTAACCATGCGTAGGAAGGAAAGGAATTGTTGTTTTGTAGAAGGTGTTGGGGTTTGGGAGATTAGCTGGACATGATCAGCAGGGAGAGCACATGTGCTTTCATGAAGAATTATGTGAAGGTAGGTAACGGATGGAGAAGAAATTTGAGCTTTGGAGGGGGATACCCGATATCCCTTGGAGAATAAATGTTGAAGGAGCAGGAGGGTGTCTTGTTGAGAAGATTCAAAGGAGGGTCTATAAAGTAGAAGGTCATCGATATATTGAATAAGGTGAGAAGCGAAGGGGTGGAAAGAAAGTAAATCATGAGAAAGAGCTTGGCTGAAGTAATGAGGGCTGTCCCTGAAGTCTTGTGGCAGTACAGCCCAGGTAAGCTGCTGGGACTGATGGGTGTCAGGGTCAGTCCAGGTAAAAGCAAAGAGAGGCTGGGATGAGGGGTGTAGGGGAATAGTGAAAAAAGCATCTTTAAGATCAAGAACGGAATAGTGAGTTGTGGAGGAAGGTATTGAGGACAAAAGAGTGTACGGGTTGGGCAACACAGGGTGGATAGGCAAAACAATTTGGTTGATAAGGTGCAGATCCTGAACTAACCTGTAAGACTTGTCCGGTTTTTGAACAGGTAAAATGGGAGAATTGTAAGGAGAGTTTATAGGTTTTAGAAGCCCATGCTGTAGCAGGTGAGTGATAACAGGCTTTAATCCCCTTAAAGCCTGTTGTGGGATGGGATACTGGCATTGAGCGGAGTAAGGGTGATTAGGTTTTAATAGGATGGTAAGGGGTGCATGGTCGGCACTAAGGAGGGAGTAGGGGTGTCCCATACTTGTGGATTGAGGTGGGGAGATACAAGGGGAGGATGTGAAGGAGGCTTTGAACTGGGGAAAAAGGGCAGCAATGAGGTGTGGCTGTAGCCTAGGAATAGTCAGGGAAGCAGATAATTTAGTTAAAATGTCTCTACCTAATAAGGGAGCTGGACAGGTGGGGATAACTAAGAAGGAGTGCATAAAACAATGTTGTCCAAGTTCGCATCAGAGTTGGGGAGGTTTAGAAGCCTGGCTGTCAATACCCACAACAGTTATGGAGGCAAGGGAAACAGGCCCTTGAAAAGAAGGTAATGTGGAGTGGATAGCCTCCGTAGTGATTAAGAAGGGGACGGACTTACCCTCCACTGTAAGAGTTACCCAAAGTGTCTGTGATGGTCTAGGAGGCTTCCGAGGTGATTGGGCAGCGTCAGTCTTCAGCCGTTAAGCTGAGAAGATCTGGGAAGGAGTCAGAGAGCCTTGGGCCAGAGTTCCAGGGGCTCTGGGAGTGGCTGCCGGGTGAGTTGGACAGTCCGATTTCCAGTGGGGTCCTGTACAGATGGGACATGGCTTAGGAAGAATTCCAGGCTGTAGGCATTCCTTGTCCCAGTGCCAGATTTCTGGCACTTGAAGCAAGATCCTCGGGCAGGCAGTCCTGGAGGAATGCGTGGCCACTGTGGTTCAGGCGTTTGGAAGTTCTTGTGTGCTGGAGATGTGGCTGGGGTTTGTCTCACAGTGGAGGCAAGGAATTGCAACTCAGAAATACATTGCTACTTGGCTGCCTCTACTCTATTATTGTACACCTTGAAGGTGAGGCTAATTAAGTCCTGTTGTGGGGTTTGAGGGCCGGAATTTAATTTTTGGAGCTTTTTCTAATGTCGGGAGTGGATTGGGTAATAAAATGCACACCGAGAATAAGATGGCCTTCTGGCCCTTCTGGGTCTAGGGTGGTAAAGCGTCTAAGGGTTGTTGCCAAATGGGCCATGAACTGGGTTGAGTTTTTATATTTGATGAAAAAGAGCCTGAACACTATCTGATTTGGGAGAGGTCGGATAAAGAAAAAGGGACATCGACCTTGGCTATGCCTTCAGCTCCAGCCACATCTTTAAGAAGAAATTGTTGGGCAGGTGGGGGACAGCTAGTTTCGGAAAGAAACTAAGCCGGACTGGGTGTGAAGAGGGGAGGTGATAAAAGGATTATAGGGTGGGAGAGCGGAGGCTGAGGAAGAATTGAGACATGGCTTGGCCTAGGGAGGAGCAGCCTGGGGAAGAGGGGAGTGGTCAGATTGGTCTGTAGAAAAGGAGGATTCAAAGGACTCAGAGGTTGGGGTGGAGACTGAAGGAACAGACAGGAGAGAAAGAAGAAAGATTTGCGATGAGTCACACTGGGAGTAGAGATGAGGGAGGGACCAATGTGTAAAAGAATGCCTGGCAGTCAGGCACCTCAGACCCATTTGCCCATTTTTTCGACAAAAATCATCCAGGTCTTGTAAAATGGAGAAATCAAAAGTGCCATTTTCTGGCTATTTAGAACCATTATCGAGTTTGTATTGGTGCCAAGCAGTGTTGCAGAAGAAAATAAGATGCTTAGGTTTTAGGTCAGGCGAGAGTTGAAGAGATTTTAACTTTTGGAGAACACAGGCTAAGGGAGAAGAAGGGGGAATGGAGGGTGGAAGGTTGCCCATAGTGAAGGAGGCAAGCCCAGAGAAAAGAGAGGGTAGAGACACAGAGAAGAGGGGTGGTGAGCAGCCCTGGGCTGCAATGTGTGTGAGCAGCCAAAGCAAGCATCCCAGCAATTGACTTGCCACCAAGAGAACGTGGGTGAATGACCAAGGCAGCTATCCCCTCAGTGATCAGACACCAATGGAGTGTGGGTGAAGAATCAGGCAGGCGTCCCTGCAGTGATTAAACACCAACAGAACACTGTCTTCCCTAGTCCGTGACCAGCACTGGAGTTTTGGGTCCATGGATAAAATGTGTCTCCTTTGTCTCTACTAGAGAGGAAAAAGAACTGGAATTGGAAGGACAGGGAGATTGAAGGGTAGCAAAAGAGGGAGATTGAAGGATAGCAAGAGAGGCTGGAGAAGAGAGTGAAAAGACCACTTACCCAATTTGAAATTCATGAGATGTTCCTTGGGCTGGTTGGTCTGAGGACCCAAGGTCGTAGGGGGATCTCCTCACAGAGTGAGGGTGAGGACAGAGGACCGGTCTCCTGAAGGAGTCCTCCTGTCCCGAGTCTTCGGCACCAAATGTCACGTGCGTCCGTGTGAAGAGACCACCAAACAGGCTTTGTGTGAGCAACAAGGCTGTTTATTTCACCTGGGTGCTGGCGGGCTGAGTCTGAAAAGAGTCAGCAAAGGGAGTTAGGGGTGGGGCAGTTTTGTAGGATTTGGGTAGGTAAGGGAAAATTACAGTCAAAGGGGTTGTTCTCTGGCAGGCAGGGGCGGGAATCACAAGGTGCTCAGTGGGGGAGCTTCTGAGACAGGAGAAGAAATTTCATAAGGTAATGTCGTCAGTTAAGGCAGGAACCAGCCATTTTTACTTCTTTTGTGATTCTTCACTTGCTTTAGACACCTGATATGCGCAGGTCACAGGGTATATGATGGCTTAGCTTGGGCTCAGAGGCCTGACAATATATATAATGAAGTATATATACACACACATATGCAAAAACTGTCTACCAGTGTTATTTTTTTCCTAGTGAAGTGTATAAAGCCTACCAACTTTTATGTTACTTAACTTTCCCACATTTATACTTTTCTTCCCTCTATGTAAATTTAGAAGCACATCACACAATGTTGTATTTTTGCTTAAACTCTCAAACATAATTTGGAAAACTCAAGAGGAGAAGGGAAACCTATTTACTCATATTTTTTGTTACTAGGTTGTTGTTTTTTTTTTCCTGAAAGTCCAAATTTTATTTTTTTAAATTTCTTTTCTGTTTAGAGACTTCCTTCATTCATTCTTTTGGACTTACCTTAAATAAGGTGTTCTTTTTCTTTGGTTGTTTTCAGGATTTTTTGTCTTAATTTTCACATGTTTAATTATAATATATATTATAATGGATATATTTGAGCTTATTTTTTCTGGGTTTTCCTCACATTCTTGAATCTGTAATTTTGTAACGCAGGCTAAATTTGGGATGTTTACAGCCAGTTATTTCTTGTAGTACTTTTTCAGACCCAGCCTTTTTCTTCTCTCCTTTTGGGACTTCAGTTATACAAGTGTTGGTTAGATATTTTTTTTTTTTAGCCACACATGTCTCTGATGCTCTATTTGTTTGTTTTCTTTTTTTTTTTTTTTTGAGTAATTTTTTCTGCCTTCCAGTTTACTGATTTTTTTTATTTCATCATCCTCTTCATTCTGTTGAGCACATCCATTGGCCTTATTTCAGTTATTTTTCAGTTCTAAAATCTCCATTTGGTTCTTCATTATATCTTCTGTTTCTTTGCTGAAGTTCTCTATTTTCATTTGTTTCAAGTGTTTTCATAGTTGTTTACTGAAGCATTTCTATTATATCAGCTTTCAAACATTTGTCAGATTATTGCAATTTCTCTATTTTCTGAGTGTTGTCATCTATTAATTGTATTTTAAAATTCTGGTTGAGACCTTTCTGGTCTTAATATGATGAATGATTTTCAATTGAAACCTCAGAATTTTTGCTTTATGTGATGAGACTTTGGGCCTTGGTTAAGTGTTCTGTTTTTAAACTGGCCTTCACTGATACTACAACAGCTAATGGGAGAACTACCTCATTACTTCTAGGTGGAGGTAATAGTCCAGGTTTCTCACTGAGCCTCTGTTGACAGAGGACCAATGGGGAGGGCCATTCATGACTCCTGGGTAGGGGTGAGAGTTTTTTATCCCCATATGGCCTTTACTGACACTGTGTGTGTTTGGTGGGAGAGGTTTATTACTGGCTGATGAGATGAAAGTCTTGGCTCCCTACTTGGCCTTCTGAGACACTGTCTTGGTAGGAGTGTTGAGGCTACTTGTTATAGCCTTGCTAGAGTGGCTATCTAGGCCCCCCTTTCAATTTTTGCTTGCATGGTTTGGGGTAATCTCACAGTTTTTTCTGTGGTGTTTTGCTAAAAGATTTTTGTCCTGCTAGACTGCCCCTTCTATGGTCCTTTGGCTAGAGAGAGCAGGCTTTTGTTGAGACTTTTATTGTCTGTCCCAATGGCATTTCTGGAATGCTGGCTTCTTCATTTCCAAGTCTGGGATATAACAGACAAAATGAGAACCCAGGGGAACTCATTGCTGTGTTGTCTCTCAACTCGTGAAGTCCCTAGTTAGGCTGCCTTATTTTCTTTACCTTTCAGTCTTCTTATTTTTGTTTTATATATAATGTTCAAGAGTTTCATTTGTACTTAGCAGGAGAAATAGGGAAAAGAATGTCTATTTCATCTTCCTGAAAGCAGAAAGTGGACCATGTGATTTAAAGATTCATTATCTCTCTAAAGTTCTATATTAGAAAATCTAAAGTGCATGTGATTGTCTTTATAGCCTCACAGCTGATATTTTATAAATTCCTCTGGAAAAAATACTACTTAAAAACTCAGTTTAAGGAAATATAATTTAATAAAACAACTTTACATTATTTACCATTTAGATTATTTCCGCTGAAAGACTATTTCAAATTTAGCAAACCTTTATTTAATTATACCTTCTACTAATATAAATTAAAAGTATTTTAGAAGCCTTTATAATGTAAAAAAAATCAGTTTTTATATAAGATTTTGAAATTTAAAATCTTAGCATATCTGTTTAAGAAAGACACAAATAATTTATTTTGATTTTAAATTTAGAGATGCCAATATTCACTTCTGTGTCAAAGCAATATTTAAGCTTTGTGAAAACAGTTTGGATTATGAGTAAAGGGAAAAATTAATAAAATTTCAGTGTTGCTTGTTTGAGAGACACTTTCTAATGCTTAAATTTGCTATCTCTGACCTTGATACTGTTTTGAATAGTTCGTTATGATGAAATTCTATTTTTGAGGCTGAGAATATAGAAACAAGTAACCTAGAATAAAATATAACTCTCTGTTTAATGCAATTTAAGCCACTCATAAGTAAACTGTAGATAATTTAATTTTATATCACATCAGGAAAAATTATAAAAACAATGGATCAAAATCTGAATTATCTTTTTTGTTTCCAAATGTAAAAATTTGTTTGAACTAGATTTGTGACATTTTTCGGTGTTATATTTATTTTTAAATTAAAAGTGGATTCTCACATTTAAATATTTTGGGGTTAGTTTTTAATTTAAGAAAAAAATATATGAAATAATTTTAAGTATCTGAAACTTCAAAACAGTAAGATTTATTTTTCCTATTTAATATTTATTGACCATAGTCACATAATTTTTTGTTTCTTTTTGAGACGGAGTCTCGCTCTATTGCCCAGGCTGTAGGGCAGTGGCATGATCTCGGCCCACTGCAACCTTCACCTCGTGGGTTCAAGTGATTGTCCTGCCTCAGTCCCCCGAGTAGCTGGGATTGCAGGCGTGCACCACCATGCCCAGCTAGTTTTTGTATTTTTTAGTAGAGACAGAGTTTCACCATGTTGGCCATGCTGGTCTTGAACTCCTGACCTCAGGCAATCCTCCCGCCTCTGCCTCCCAAAGTCCTAGGACTACTGGCATGAGCCACCATTTTTAAGAATACAACACATTGCTGCTAACTATAGTCACCAAGTTGTATAATAGATCTCTTGAACATATTTCTATCTAACTGAAATTTGATATCCTTTGACTACATCTCTTCACTCCCTTTCCCCTCCACCCCTAACCCTTTCCAACCACCATTTTACTCTCTAATTTTATGAGTTCAACTTTTTTAGATTCCACCTGTGAGACTGTGTGGAATTCATCTTTTTTGCCTGGCTTATTTTATTTAACATTGTGTCCTCCAGGTTCATTCGTATTGCCACAAATGACAGGATTTTCTACTTTTAAAAGGCTGAATACAATTTTATTGTGTATATATAGCACATTTTCTTATTCCACCCATCCATTGATGAACACTTGTGTTTATTTCATATTTATACTATTTTGAATAATACTGCATGAACATGGGAGTGTAGAAACTCTTTGAGATACTGATTTTATTTATTTTTATTTTATTCACATATACCCAGCAGTAGGATTGCTAAATTATATGGTCATTTTATTTTTAATTTTTCGAAGAACCTCCATACAGTTTTTCATGATGGCTGCATTAATTTGTTTCTCCCCAACAGTGCACAAAGATTTCCTTTTTTTTCTGCATACTTTCTAACACTTGATATCTGTAATCTTTTTGATAATAGCCATTGTAACAGGTGTGAGATGATATTTCATTATGGTTTTAATTTGCCTTTCCTGACAATTAGTGATGTAGATCACCTCTTCATGTACCTGTTGGCCATCTGAATGCCTTCCTTTGAGAAATGTCTACTGAGATGCTTTGCCCATTTTTAAATTGGATTGTTTGTTTGTTTTACCATTGAGTAGTTTGAGTTTCTTATATATTTTGGATATTATCCTCTCATCAGGTCTATGGTTTACAAATGTTTTATCCCATTTCATAGGTTGTCTCTTCACTGTGTTGATTGTTTACTCAGCTGTGCAGAAGCTTTTTAGTTTGACATAGTTTCATTTGTCTACTTTGTTTTTGTTGGCTGTGCTTTTGGTATTACATTCAAGTAATCATTGCCAACACCAATGTCAAGAAACTAGTCTTCTATGTTATCTTCCATTACTTTTAGAGTCTCCTGTCTTATCTTTAAATCTTTAATCCATTCGAGTTGATTTCTTCATATTGTGTGAAATAAGAGTGTAGTTTTATCCTTCTGTGTATGGATATGCAATTTTGCCCACACCATTTATGGAGGAGATTTTCCTTTTTCCATTTTGCATTCCTGGTACCTTTATGGGAAACTATTTGACTATAAATGTGTGGATTTATTTCTAGTCTATTTTTCTGTATTGGCCTATATGTCTGTTTTAATGCCAGTAGCATGCTGTTTTGTTGCTATAGCTATGTGGTATATTTTGAAGTCAGGTAGTGTGATGTCTCCAGCTTTGTAATTTTTGCTTAACATTCGTTTGGGTGTTGGCACCTTTTGTGGTCCCTTATGGATTTTAGGATTCCTTTTAATATTTCTATGAAAAAAGTCATTGAAATTTTCATAGGGATTACATTGAATATATAGATTGCTTTGAGTAGTATGGACATTTTAACAATATTAATGATTTCAATCTATGAATACAGGATAGCTTTTCATTTATTCATTTGTATCATTCTCAGTTTGTTATCAATGTTTTATAGTTACTAGTATAGAGGTATTTGACCTTCTTGGTTACATTTATTCCTAAGCATTTTACTTTTTGTGTAGCTATTATAAATTGGAATGTTTTCTAGATTTATTTTTCCTGATAGTTTGTTGTTAGTATATAGGAATGCAGTTAACTTTTGAACATTTATTTTGTATCCTGCAAATTTACTGAATCCTTATATTAGTTCTAAAAGTTTTTTTTTTGTTGGAATCTTTAGGTTTCTCTCTCTATAAGACCATGTTGTCTATAAACAGGGACAGTTTAGCTTCTTTCTTTCCAATTTGGATGCTTTTTATTTATTTTTCTTGCTTAATTGCTCTGACAAGGAATGCCAGTACTATGTTGAATAAAAGTGTTGACAGTAGGCATTCTTGTCTTGTTTTTGATCTTAGAAGAAAAGCTTTCATCGTTTTACTGTTGAGTAGAGTATGATGTTAGCTGTAGGTTTTTCATATATGGCCTTTATTGTCTTGTGGTACCTCCCTTCTATACCTAAATTGATGAGAGTTTTTATTACGAAGGGATGTTGAATTTTGTTGAATGCCTTTTCTGATCTATTTAGATGATCAACTGGTTTTTGTCTTTTTGTCTGTCAATGTGGCATATCAAATTTATAAATTTGTATATATTGAACTATCCTTGCAGTTCTGTGATAAATCACACTTGATCTTGATGAATAAACCTTCTAATGGGCTGCTGGATTCATTTTGCTAGTATTTCATGGAGGACTTTTTACATCTATGTTCATCAGAGATTTTGGCCATAATTTTCTTTTCTATTCTTTTCTTCTGTCCACTGTAGTGTCCACTGGCTTTGGTATTACGTCTTCAATTTTTTGGAAAAGTTTGAGAAGGATTAATATTAGTTTCTCTCTAAATATCTGGTAGAATTCAGCAGTAAAGCCATCAGTTCTTGGGCTTTCCTTTGATTGGATAATTTTTATTAGTGATTTAATCTCCTTACTTGTTATTGATCTGTTCAGATTTTATGTTTCTTCCTTATTCAGACTTGTTAGGTTGTATGCATCTAGGAATTTTCCTGTGTTTCCAGGTTGTCTAATTTGTTGGTACATAGTTGTTCTTAGTGGTCACTTATGATCCTTTGCAGTTTTATCATATTGTTTGCAATGTCTTCTCTTCCATTTCTGATTTCGAGGCTTCTCTTTGTTTATTTGTTAGTTTAACTAAAAGTTGTTGATTCTGTTTTATGTTTTCAAAAACCCAAGTCTTACATTGATTTTTTTCTTTTACTGTTTTCTAGTCTCTTTTTCATTTGTTTCTTTTCTAATCTTTATTATTTATCTCCTTCTACAATGGGTTTTTTAAATCTTCTTCTAGCTCCTTGAGGTAAAGTTATGTTGTTTATTTAAGATCTTTCTTCCTTTTAATGTAGGCATTAATTACTAAAAGCTTTTCTCTTAGAACCGTTTTTGCTGAATTTCGTAAGTTTTGGTATGTTGCATGTCAATTTTCATTTGTCTCAAGATTTTAAAAAAATTCCCTTTTAATTTATTCTTTGATGCATTTTTGTTCAGGAGCATGTTGTTTACTTTTTAAATTTAATTTATAATAATTTATTAATATAAATCACAATAGCATTTTGAAGGCATACTACACATACGTGGGCTCTTTAATTTAACCCTCATAATAGTGTTATTATAATAAGGGTTCTATTTATTTCCCTTCAGTAGCTACATATGCCCTCTGTTTCTTTTTTCTATTATTATTATTATTAATTTAATTTTTTATTTCCATAGGTTATTGGGGAACAAGTGGTGTTTGGTTTCATGAGTAAGTTCTTTAGTGATGATTTGTGAGATTTTGGTGCACCCATCACCTGAACAGTATACACTGCACCCTATTTGTAGCCTTTTTCCCCCTTCCCACTCTTTTCCCCTAAGTCCCCAACATCCACTGTGTCATTCTTATGCCTTTACATCCTCATAGCTTAACTCCCACATATGAATGAGAACATACGATGTTTGGTTTTCCATTCCTGAGTTACTTCACTTAGAATAATAGTCCCCAATCTCATCCAGGTCGCTGTGAATGCCATTAATTTATTCATTTTCATGGCCAAGTAGTAGTCCACTGTATATATACACCACAGTTTCTTTATCCACTTGATTGATGGGGATTTGGGTTGGATTCACGTTTTTGCAATTGTGAATTGTGCTGCTATAAACATGCACGTGCAACCAACTTTTATTGCATAATGACTTCTTTTCCTCTGGGCAGATACCCAGTAGTGGGATTGCTGAATCAAGTGGTAGTTCTACTTTTAGTTTTTTAAGGAATCTCTACAATTTTCCATAGTGGTTGTACTAGTTTACATTCCCACCAGCAGTGTAGAAGTATTCCCTGTTCACCACATCCATGCCAAAATCTACTATTTTTTGATTATAGCCATTCTTGCAGGAGTAAGGTGGTATCACATGCTGGTTTTGATTTGCATTTCCATGATCATTAGTGATGTTGAACATTTTTTAAATATACTTGGTGGCTATTTGTACATCTTATTTTGAGAATTGTCTAGACATGTCCTTAGCCCACTTTTTTATGGGATTGTTTGTTTTTCTTGTTAATTTGTTTGAGTTCATGGTAGATTCTGGATATCATTTCTTTGTCAGATGTATGGATTGTTAAAGAATTTTTCCCACTCTACAGGTTGTCTGTTTACTTTGCTGACTGTTCCTTTTTCTGTGCAAAAGTTCTTTAACTAATTCCCAGCAATTTATCTTTGTTTTTATTACATTTGCTTTTGGTTTCTTGGTCATGAAATTCTTGCCTAAACCAATGTCTTGAAGGGTTTTTCCAATGCTATCTTCCAGAATTTTTACAGTTTGAGGTCTTAGATTTAAGTCCTTAATCCATCTTGAGTTGATTTATGTATAAGGTGAGAGATGAGGATCCAGTTTCATTCTCTTACATGTGGTTAGCCAATTATCCCAGCAACATTTGTTGAAAAGGGTGTTCCTTTCCCACTTGGGTGTTTGTTCACTTTGTCAAAGATCTGTTGGCTGTAACTATTTGGCTTTATTTCTGGGTTCTATATTCTGTTTCATTGGTCTGTGTGCCTATTTTTATACCAGTACCATACTGTTTTGGTGACTATGGCCATATAGTATAGTTTGAAATCAGGTAATGTGGTGCCTCCAGATTTTTTCTTTTTTACTTAGTCTTGCTTTGACTACATGGGCTCTTTTTTTGTTCCATAAAAATTTTAGAATTTTTTTTTTTCTAATTCTGTGAAGAATAATGGTGGTATTTTGATGGGAATTGTGTTGAATTTGTAGCTTGCTTTTGGCAGTATGGATATTTTCACAATATTAATTCTACCTATCTATGAGCATGGGATGTGTTTCTATTTGTTTGTGTCATCCGTGATTTCTTTCAGTAGTGTTTTGTAGCTTTCCTTGTAGAGCTCTTTCACGTTCTTGGTTAGGTATATTCTTAAGGTTTTTTTGTTTCTTTGTTTGTTTTTGCAGCTATTGTAAAGGGGGTTGAGTTCTTTTCCCCATTCAGTATGATCTTGGCTGTGGATTTGTCATAGATGGCTTTTATTATATTGAGGTATGTTCCTTGCATGCCGATATTGTTGAGAGTTTTAATCATAAAGGGATGCTGGATTTTGTCAAACCCTTTTTCTGCCTCTATTGAGATGATCAAGTGATTTTTTTTAATATTGTTTATGTGGTGTATCACATTTATTGACTTGTGTATGTTAAACCATCCCTGCATCTCTGGTGTGAAACCCACTTGATCATGGTGAATTATCTTTTTTTTTTTTTTAATGGAGATGGAGTCTCCCTCTGTTGCCCAGGTTGGAGTGCTCTGGTGTGATCATGGCTCACTGCAACTTCCACCTCCCGGGTTCAAGTGATTCTTCTGCCTCACCCTCCTGAATAGCTGGGACTAGAGGTGAGCACCACCATGCCCAGCTAATTTTTTTTTTTTAATTTTTAATAGCGGTGGGGTTTTGCCATGTTGTCCATGCTGGTCTGGAACTCCTGACGTTGGGTAATCTGCATGTCTTGGCCTCCCAAAGTGCTGGGATTACAAGCGTGAGCCACTGGACCTGGCCTTGAGTTACCTGTTTTATATGTTTTTGGATTTGGTTAGCTAGTATTTGTTAAGGATTTTAGCATCTATGTTCATCTGGCATATTGGTCTTTAGTTCTTTTTTGGGTTATGTCCTTTTCTGGTTTTCATATTAGGGTGATACAGGCTTAATGGAATCATTTGGGGAAGGTTCCCTCTTCATTTTGTGGAATTGTGTCAGTAGGATTGGTTCCAATTTTTCTTTGAATGTCTGGTAGAATTCTGCTGTGAATCAATCTAGTCTTGGGATTTTTTTGTTGGTAATGTTTTAATTACAATTTCAATCTCACTGCTTTTTATTGGTCTGTTCAAGGTATCTGATTCTTCCTGGTTTAAGCTAGGATTTATCCATCTCTTCTAGGTTTTCTAGTTTATCTACATAAAGGTGTTCATAGTAGCCTTCTTTTGTATTTCCATGGTGTCACATGTAATATCTCCTGTTTCGTTGCTTATTGAGCTTATTTCAATTTTCTCTCTTCTTTTCATGGTTAATCTTGCTAATGGTCTACCAATGTTATTTATCTTTTCAAAGAACGAGGTTTTTGTTTTATTTATCTTTTGTATTTTTTTGTTTCAATTTTATTTACTCCTGCTCCGATCTTGGTTATTTCCTTTCTTTTGCTGGTTTTGGGTTTGGTGTGTTCTTGTTTCTCTAGTTCCTTGAGGTGTGAACTTAGATTATCTGTTTGTGCTCTTTGAGACTTTTGGATGTAGGTGTTCTGGGCTATGAACTTTTCTCTTAGCACTGCCTTTGCTGTGCCCCAGAAGTTTTGATAGGTTGTGTCACTATGGTCATTCAGTTGAAGAATTTTTTTTTAATTTTCATCTTGATTTCATTTTTGACCCAATGATCATTCAGGAGCAGGTTATTTAATTTCCATGTATTTGTATGGTTTTGGAGGTTCCTTTTGGAGTTTCCAGTTTTATTCCACTGTGGTCTGAGAGAGTGCTTGATATAATTTTGATTTTCTTAAGTGTATTCAGGTTTGTTTTGTGGCCTATCATTTGGTCTATCTTGGAGAAAGTTCCATGCGCTGTTGAATAGAATGTATATTCTGCAGTTGTTGAATACAATGTTCTGTATTTGTCAGTAAAGTCCATTTGTTCCAGAGTATAGTTTAAATCCACTGTTTCTTTGTTGACTTTTTTTCTTGATGACCTCTCTAGTGCTGTCAGTGGAGTATTGATGTCCCTCACTATTATTATGTTGCTGTCTAATTTCTTAGGTCTACTATTAATCGTTTTATAAATGTGGGAGCACCAGTGTTAGGTGCATATATAGTTAGGATTAGGATTGTGGTATTTTCCTGTTGGACAAGGCCTTTTATCATTATATAATGTCCCTCTTCGTTTTCTTTTTTTTTTTTTAACTGCTGTTGCTTTAAAGTTTGTTGTGTCTGATATTCCTGCTCACTTTTGATGTCCTCTTGCATGATGTCTTTTTCCACCCCTTTACCTTAAGTTTGTGTGAGTCCATATGTGTTAGATGAGTCTCTTGAAGGCAGCATATAATTGGTTGGTGAATTGTTATCCATTCTGCAATTCTGTATCTTTTAAGTTGAGCATTTAGGCCATTTACATTGCATGTTAGTATTGAGATGTGAAGTACCATTTTATTCTTCGTGCTATTTGCTGCCTGTATACCTTCTTTTTTGTTGCTTTTTGTTTTTGTTTTTTAAACTGTATTTTTGTTTTATAGGTCCTGTGAGATTTATGCTTTAAAGAAGTTCTGTTTTGATGTGTTTCCAGGATTGACTTCAAGATTTAAAGCAGTTCTTGTAGTGCTGGTTTGGTAGTGCTGAATTCTCTTAGCATTTGTTTGTCTGAAGAAGAATGTATATTTCCTTCATTTATGAAGCTTAGTTTTGCTGGGTACAAAATCCTTGGCTGATAATTGTTTTGCTTGAGGAGGCTGAAGAGAGGGTCCCAATGCCTCTTAGCTTGTAAGGTTTCTGCTGATAAATCTGATGTTAATCACATAGGTTTTCCTTTATAGGTTACCTCGTGCTTTTGTCCCATAGCTCTTAGGATTCTTTCCTTCATCTTAACTTTTGATAACCTGATGACAATGCCTAGGTGATTATCTTCTTGCAATGAATTTCCCAGGTGTTCTTTGTGCTTCTTGTATTTTGATGTCTAGGTCTCTAGCAAGTCCAGGGAAGTTTTCCTCGATTATTCCCCCAAATATGTTTTCCAAACTTTTAGATTTCTCTTTTTCCTCAGGAACATCAATTATTTTTAGGTTTGGTCATTTAACATAATCCCAGGGTTTTGGGGGTCTTTGTTCATATTTTCTTATTCATTTTTCTTTGTCTTTGTTGGATTTGGTTAATTCAAAGACCTTGTCTTCAAGCTCTGAAGTGCTTTATTTTACAGGTATAATTCTATTGCTGAGACTTTCCAGAGCATTTTGCATTTCTATGTGTGTCCATTGTTTCCTGATATTTTGTTTTTTATTTATGCTATTTCCTTGAATATTTCTCCCTTCACTTGGATTTTCTTACATTGGGCTTCACCTTTGTCTGATGCCTCCCTGATTCACTTAATAACTAACCTTCTGAATTCTTTTTCAAGTAAATCTGGGATTTCTTCTTGGTTTGGGTCCATTGCTGATGAGCTAGTGTGATTTTTGGGGGGTGTTAAAGAACCTCCTTTTGTCATATTACCTGAGTTGGTTTTCTGGTTTCTTCTCATTTAGGTAGTCTCTGTCAGAGGGAAGGTCTAGGGCCGAAGGCTGTTATTCAGATTCTTTTGTCTCATGGGGTGTTCCTTTTATGAAGTACTCTCCCCCTTTTTGTATTGATGTGGCTTCCTGGGAGCCAAGCTGTAGTGATTATTATCTCTCCCCTGGATCTAGCTACCCAGCAAGTCTGCCAGGCTCCAGGCTGGTATTGGGGACTTTCTTCACAGAGTCCTATGATGTGAACCATCTGTGAGTCTGTCAACCATAGATACAAGCACAATATTTGGGATGTCTCTCAGGTCCTGCAGGAGCAATTTGCTTCCTTCAGCAGGGGTCTGTGGGTCCTCTCAGGTTTTCTGATTTATTCTTGCAGCTGTTCTGGAGCAAAAGTTCATGATGCAAGCCTCCACATGCCACTCTGTCCATCCGAGTTGAAGCTGAAATCTAGTCCTGTCTCTCATCCACAATGATCCCTCCTTTCACATGTTGTTTACTTTTTATGTATTTGTAAACTTTCCAATATTCCTCCTTTTATGGAATTTGAGTTTTATACTCTCGTGGTTGGAAAAGGTGCTTGATATGATCTGCACTTTTGAAGAAGTGGCGTCTTATTCCAGTTTTTACATACTGACTTTGGGAAAGCCCTTCACCAGTCAGCTCATCGAGAGATTCTGGGCAGGCTGTCTGGTACAGTCTGCTGGAAGGCTTGCTGCTGCAGTCCTCAGGAAGGCTGATCTGGTACCTTGGTCAGAAGTTGGATGGGCCCAGTGCCTGAGTATGTGGAATTGGATCTTGAGCCTGAATCTATTAGGATGTACCTGTTGATTGGGTGTGTGTGGTTGGGCTCAGAGCTTGGGTCTTTGAGGGTGGGCCTGGAGCCTGTGTCCTTAGGAGCCAGCCTGAAGCCTGGGTCTATAGGGGCTGACCTGATTCTTTGATGGTCCTTGAGCATGAGTCTGCAAAAATAAGGTAGGTCTTGGGATTGACCTGGCCCCTAGGTCCACTGGGACAGGCCTGGAGCTTGAATCCATGTTTGTTGGCCTAGTTCTAGGGTAGGTCTAAAGCCTGAGTCCATGGAGGCAATGCTGGGTTTTGTGTCTGTGGGAATTGGCCTAGAGCCTGAGTCATCAGGGATGATCCTGGACCCTGGATCTACTGGAGTATCCCTGAACCCAACGTCTACTGGAGTCTGGGGCCATGGAGTTCATCCTGGAGCCTGGAGCTTGCGTGGTGCTGGGGAAAGCATGGATCCTGGGTCTGTGGGGGCTTATCTGGAGCCTGGGTTCATGGGCTGGCCTTGAGCATGGGGCTATGGGGACTGGCCTGGAGCCTGAGTTTCCTGGGGGGAGCTTGCCAGTTGGGTATGTGAGTACTTCCCTGGAGGCTAGATTTTCAAGGCCTTGGTAATGAAGCCATGTAGGCTGGCCTGGAACCTGGGTCTCTGGAGGCTGGTCAAGCACTGGGGTCTAATGGGATGAGCCTGGACCCTAAGTCTGTTGGAGAATGGGGCTACAGGGGCCAGCCTGGAGGATAGGGCCACAGGGACTGGCCTGGCATTGGGCAGTCCGGGGACTTATATCCACAGGTGCCAGCCTGGTTCCTGAGGCCAGGAGTGCCAATCTGATGCTAAGGTGGGCCTGAAGTGTGAGGCTATGTCGGCTGACCTGGCTCTTTGCTGATCTGAAATCTTGGACGGGCCTGGAGCCTGGGACTGTGAGGGATGGCATAATGCTCCGTGGGCTTGGAGACTGTAATTGCAGAGCTAGCCTGGTGGCTGGGTTCATGGAGGCTGGCCTGAAGCCTGGGGCTGTGGGATCAGCCTAGTACTGCTGGTGGTCCAGAGCCCAAAGCTGCTGGGGCCAGTCTGGTCCTGGGGCATGCCTAGACCCTGAGTCTTTGGAGGCAAGCCTAGTGTTGACATGCGTCTGGAGACCAGGTTGGGCTTGGAGGCTCAGTATATGGGTACCAGTCTGGAGTCTGAGTAGTCTAGCCTGCACAGCACTGGGCTTTGTTAGGACAGACCCAGTTCTGGGGTCCACGGCGAAGTCTAGTGCTCCTTTCCCTCTTCTTCTCCCAAGCAGAGGGCATCTCTCCCTGTGCGCTATGCTGCCTGGGGTTTGGGGAGGGATTACATGGATAATGCATAACTGTCTTTACTGCCCTTTTATTGCATCTTTTCTTATTTCTGTGCTACACCCAGATGTTCTAATGTCTCATCTGGTGTCTTTAGTTCTTGTGAAGATGTTTTCTTGTATGTATAGTTACTCAAATTGATGTTACTCTGTGGGGATAAGCACTGGAAAATTTTATTCCACCATCTCCCTGATGTCTGGACCTGTCAGTGCTCTTTTTCTTCTTCTTCATGTCTCCTCTCTCTCTCTTTTTTTATTTTGTCTCCTTTTATGTTTCCACAAATCCATACTAGTGTTAACTGGTTAATAGAAGTTTTAGTTGTTTGGGTTTAAACTGTGTTTCTCTGTGTTTTTTTGGTTAGGACTTGTGAAGGAGAGACTACCTGGCCACATTGCTCTGATTTCCCACACTATCCAACCTGTCTCAGGCCCCCAGGGTATCTAAAATCTCAGAAGCCTTAAGCTTGGAGGAAAGATGCATCAAGTGTTCCCTATGAGACATCTACCTGTGCTTTACCAAGCCCACATAATCTCCAGTCCTGTGAGAAAGCACCTGCTTTTCTGAGCACCAGCTGGGCTGCATCCTCACCTGGTCTCTGCCTCTAAAGAATGTGTGAACTTGAGTTACTTGATTTTTCTGTGCGCAGATTTCTTTGTCAGTTATATAAAAATGTGAATAACACTTTTCTAGCTCTTGAGGTTGTTATTAGGTTAAAATTACATAGCAGATAGTTATTTAACATTCCTTTAGGATAAAAGCACTTTTAAAAGTAAAGTATTATGTGCCGGGTGCAGTGGCTCATGCCTGTAAACCCAGCACTTTGGGAGGCCAAGATGGGAGGATCCCGAGGTCAGATCAAGACCATCCTGGCTAACACAGTGAAACCTCGTCTCTACTAAAAATACAAAAAAAATTAACTGGGCATGATGGCGGGCACCTGTATTCCCAGCTACTCAGGAGGCTGAGGCAGGAGAATGGCGTGAACCCTGGAGGCGAAGTTTGCAGTGAGCCGAGATCACACCACTGCACTGCAGCCTGGGCCACAGAGTGAGACTTAATCTCAAATAATAATAATAATAATAATAATAATAATAATAATAATAATAATAATAATAAATAAAAGTAAAGTATTATGGGCATCTGCAGTAACTACCCTTGTATAATGCTACTTATAGTAATGTTTAGATCTTACTTATGAAACCACTTAACAATATACCACACATTGTCCAAGTAAAAATCAACAGAAAGCCAGTAAACTGATTGAGTTCCTTAAGTACCTGACTTTATTAAAAACTATTACCATAACAACTTAAATATCCATGAGCATATTCTTTCTTCATTTGAAACCCCAGTGTCGTGTTTTATTTTTATTTTACTCCACTACATCTAATTAGTTGAGAAGTCCTTTGAATTTTAACTTTGTCATATCTCTTTTCCCCTTCCTTTCCTATTGCTACGGTTTTACTATATATTATTATTACTTATTTTTTTGCACTATGGCTACTGAACATAAAGGTGGCAGGAATCTTCAAGGAGATTTCATAATGAAGCAATATGAACATTACTCATTTATTGCTAGAAATAAATATTTTTTCAGCACCTACATCAAATGAACCCACTCCTTCTGGACCTTCATATTTGCTGAGACAAAGACTGAATATTTCAGTTTTTTTTTTAATTCTACTTTAAGTTCTGGGATACATATACAGAACATTCAGGTTTGTTACATATTCGTGTGCCATGGTGATTTGCTGCACCTATTGACCCATCCTCTAAGTTCCTTCCCTGCCCCCGACCCCCCAACAGGCCCTGGTGTGTGTTGTTTCCCTCCTTGTGTCCATGTATTCTGATTGTTCAACTCCCACTTATGAGTGAGAACATGTGGTGTTTGGTTTTCTGTTCTTGTGTTAGTTTGTTGAAGATGATGACTTCCAGCTTCATCCATGTCCCTGCAAAGGACATGATCTCATTCCTTTTCATGGCTGCATAGTCTGAATATTTTAGTTTTGTAAAACCACACAGGCTTTTTTATTTTTTATATCCAGTGCCATTTGTCTTATCTTCCTACTTCCCCTTTCTTCTTTGCAGATGAGATTTTGCTTGCTTGCTTTTACTAATGAAACCTATCACTACTTTTTCTGTCTTTTGGCATTCTAGTCTCCATAAATCTGGCTGCAAAGTGGCTATGTACTCTTCCCTGCCTCCCCTTCCTAGTTGTTTCTAATGATAAGCACACAATCCCATTTTATTATGAGGTTTTATTCTGATCTCTCTGGAGGACAGAGAATTGAAAAATAACATGTATAATAATTCATTTATTCAAGCATTTGTTATTGAATGTTTTTTGACATCAAAATTTAGTCATTTATAATTTTGTTTTTATAACTATGAAGAAATTTAAGTTATGCAGTTAATTTTTGTTCAAGATTTCTATGTCTTCTAAAAACAACATCAGTAAAAAATATAACAGACTTCTTTTTCAGTAGAATATTTCAAAATTAGGGTTACATTTCTTCCTACAAATACAATCACAAACCAAGAAAAAATTTTTCCATTCAAAATCTTAGTGCAATTTAAAAAATGATAAAAGTACAAATAAAGGCTTAAAACATTGTTCAACGGAAAATATCTGTCACTCGAAAATGTGGAGACTTCCTTGTTAATAAGGTATTTGGAATAAACCAAGTTCAGAGAAAAAATTGACATGTAGGATATGTTCATCCTCTCAAAATTATTGTATGTGACATCATCAAATTGTGTTGTACCCACTAATAGCAAGAAATAAGTTTGTTTAATGGAAATGAAGCTTTCCCTGTAAATTTTGAATTTTTAATTACTCAGATTACCAAGGAATCTAGCAATTCCCCTAATCTTTAAAGGTGTGACTTCAGATATAAACTCCTAAAAGGTATAACTTTGTGGTTTTTTTCTTCAATTTTCAACAGTGAATACAAACGAGGGACTTGTACCATTCCTTCTGAAACTATTCCAATCAATACAAAAAGAAGGAATCCTCCCTAACTCATTTATGAGGCCAGCATCATCCTGATACCAAAGCCGGGCACAGACACAACCAAAAAAGAGAATTTTTGACCAATATCCTTGATGAACATTGATGCAAAAATCCTCAATAAAATACTGGCAAACTGAATTCAACAGCACATCAAACAGCTTATCCACCATGATCAAGTGGGCTTCATCCCTGGGAGGCAAGGCTGGTTCAATATACGCAAATCAATAACTGTAATCCAGCATATAAACAGAACCAATGACAAAAAACACATGATTATCTCAATAGATACAGAAAAGGCCTTTGACAAAATTCAACAGCCCTTCATGCTAAAAACTCTCAATAAATTAGGTATTGATGGGATGTATCTGCAAATAATAAGAGCTATCTATGACAAACCCACAGCCAATATCATACTGAATGGGCAAAAACTGGAAGCATTCCCTTTGAAAACTGGCACAAGACAGGGATGCCCTCTCTCACCACTCCTACTCAACATAGTGTTGGAAGTTCTGGCCAGGGCAATTAGGCAGGAGAAGGAAATAAAGGGTATTCAACTAGGAAAAGAGGAAGTCAAATTGTCCCTTTTTGCAGATGACATGATTGTATATCTAGAAAACCCCAATGTCTCAGCCCAAAATCTCCTTAAGCTGATAAGCAACTTCAGCAAAGTCTCAGGATACAAAATCAATGTACAAAAATCACAAGCATTCTTATACACCAATAACAGACAGAGAGCCAAATCATGAGTGAACTCCCATTCACAACTTTATTCTCTTTGAAGAGAATAAAATATCTAGGAATCCAACTTACAAGGGACGTGAAGGACCTCTTCAAGGAGAACTACAAACCACTGCTCAATGAAATAAAAGAGGATACAAACAAATGGAAGAACATTCCATGCTCATGGGTAGGAAGAATCAATATCGTGAAAATGGCCATACCGCTCAAGGTAATTTATAGATTCAATGCCATCCCCATCAAGCTACCAGACTTTCTTCACAGAATTGGAAAAAACTACTTTAAAGTTCATATGGAACCAAAAAAGAGCCCGCATTGCCAAGTCAATCCTAAGCCAAAGGAACAAAGCTGGAGACATCACGCTACCTGACTTCAAACTATACTACAAGGCTATAGTAACCAAAACAGCATGGTACTGGTACCAAAACAGAGATATAGATAAATGGAACAGAACAGAGCCCTCAGAAGTAATGCCACATATCTACAACTATCTGATCTTTGACAAACCTGAGAAACACAAGCAATGGGGAAAGGATTCCCTATTTAATAAATGGTGCTGTGAAAACTGGCTAGCCATATGTAGAAAGCTGAAACTGGATCCCTTCCTTACACCTTATACAAAAATTAATTCAAGATGGATGAAACACTTAAATGATAGGCCTAAAACCATAAAAACCCTAGAAGAAAACTTAGGCATTACCATTCAGGACATAGGCATGGGCAAGGACTTAATGTCTAAAACACCAAAAGCAATGGCAACAAAAGCCAAAATTGACAAATGGGATCTAATTAAACTAAAGAGCTTCTGCATAGCAAAAGAAACTATCATCAGAGTGAACAGGCAACCTACAGAATGGGAGAAAATTTTTGCAACCTACTCATCTGACAAAGGGCTAATATCCAGAATCTACAATGAACTCAAACAAATTTACAAGAAAAAAACAACCCCATCAAAAAGTGGGCGAAAGACATGAACAGACATTTCTCAAAAGAAGACATTTATGCAGCCAAAAAACACATGAAAAAATGCTCACCATCACTGGCCATCAGAGAAATGCAAATCAAAACCACAATGAGATACCATCTCACACCATTTAGAATGGCAATTATTAAAAAGTCAGGAAACAACAGGTGCTGGAGAGGATGTGGAGAAATAGGAACACTTTTACACTGTTGGTGGGACTGTAAACTAGTTCAACCATTGTGGAAGTCAATGTGGTGATTCCTCAGGGATCTACAACTAGAAATACCATTTGACCCATCCATCCCATTACTGGGTATATACCCAAAGGACTATAAATCATGCTGCTATAAAGACACATGCACATGTATGTTTATTGTGGCACTATTCACAATAGCAAAGACTTGGAACCAACCCAAATGTCCAACAATGATAGACTGGATTAAGAAAATGTGGCACATATACACCATGGAATACTATGCAGCCATAAAAAATGATGAGTTCATGTCCTTTGTAGGGACATGGATGAAATTGGAAATCATCATTCTCAGTAAACTATTGCAAGGACAAAAAACCAAACACCGCATATTCTCACTCATAGGTGGGAATTGAACAACGAGAACACATGGACACAGGAAGGGGAATATCACACTCTGGGGACTGTTGTGGGGTGGGAGGAGGGGGCAGGGATAACATTAGGAGATATACCTAATGTTAAATGACGAGTTAATGGGTTCAGCACACCAACATGTCACATGTATACATATGTAACTAACCTGCACATTGTGCACATGCACCCTAAAACTTAAAGTACAATAATAATAAAATTTAAAAAAATAAATTAAAAAAAATTTTCTCATGCCGTACACAAACATCGTATACATCTTTTGTTAAATTTTTTCCTACTACCTTTGCATTTATTACCACATTTGTAAATTATCTTTTAAAAATTATGTTTTCTGTTTTGCACTGAGATTGAGAAGTGTGTTACAGTTTAGGCATTAATTTTCCCCCCTTCCATCTTGTTACAAAATAACTTACTGATTATAATAATTTGTCAATAATTTGGGGGATTTTCTACATGGACATTTATCTCTGTGTCTATAATAACAGTTTTGTTTATTTCTTGCTTTTCTCTGATAGTAATGTGAACACTTTTAAGATTTCACCATTGGCCGTGTGGCGGTTCATTTGGGAGGCAAAGGCTGGAGGATTGCTTGAGCCCAGGAGTAAGAGACCAGCCTGGGCAATGATGTGAGACCCCCATCTCTACAAAAATAAAAGAATTAGCTGGGTGTGTTGCATACCTGTGATTCCAGCTATGAAGGAGGCTGAGGCAGAAGATCATTTCAGCCTAGAAGGTTGAGGCTGCAGTGAGCTGTGTTTACCACTGCACTCCATCCTGGGCAACAGAGCAAGACCCTGTCTAATAAATTAATTAAAAATAGAAATAAAAATATTTCACCATTAAGTAATGATATTGCTTGTAGGGTTTTTAAATGGTTATTATCTATTAGCTCAAGGAAGTTCCCTTCTATTTCTAGTTTGCTAAGGTTTTTTTTTTTTTTGACTGTGTCTTGCTCCCAGGTGGGAGTACAGTGGCACAATCTCAGCTCACTGAAACATCTGCCTCCTAAGCTCAAGCCATCCTCCCACCTCAGCATCCCAAGTAGCTGGGACTACAGACATGCAACCACCAAACCTGGCCACTTTTTTGTATTTTTTATAGAGACAGGGTTTCACCATGTTGCCCAGACTGGTCTTGAACTCTTGAACTCAAGCCATCTGCCCACCTTGGCCTCCCAAAATGCTAGGATTACAGGCATGATCCACTGAGTCTGGCCTGCTACTTTTTTTTTTTAGTCACCATGAAAGAATGTTGAATTTTATTATATGCTTTCTCTGTATCTCTTAGAGCGATCACATAGTTTATCCCCGTGCTTTGATCTGCTAATGTGAAATACATTACCAGATTTTTCAAAGTAACACTATTCCTGCATTCCTGGGCTAAACCCACTTTGATCTTTTCTTTTGTCATATATTGCTGGATTGTTGCATTCGTATTCAAAAGTTAAATGATCCGTGGGTTTTCCTTTGTCATTTAGTTATTGTTCGGTTTTGTACCAAGTTTAAGCTAGTCTCATAAAAACAGCTGGGAGCCAGGCATGATGGCTTATGCCTGTAATCCCAGCACTTTGGGAGGCCCAAGGCAGGAGGATCCATTGAGCCCAGGAGTTTGAGACCAGCCAAGGCAACATGGTGAAACCTCGTCTGTACAGAAAATAAAAATAAAAAAATTAGCCAGGCGTGGTGGCAGGTGCCTGAAGTACCAGCTAGTTGGGAGGTTGATGTGGGAAGATCACTTCAGCTTGGGAGTACTAGGCTACAGAGAGCATGATCACATCACTGCACTCCAGTCTAGGTGACAGAGCGAGGCCTTTTCTAAAAAAAAAAAAGTTGGAAATTATTCCCACTTTTCCTGTATTCTAGAAGAGTATTTATAAGGTTGGAATTATCAGTTTTTCAAATTGCCTTTAAACTATCTCTGCCTAATGTCTATTAAGGATGTTTTTTCCACTACTAGATCATTTTAAAAATTATTGAATAATTAGTCAAGGTTTTAATTTCTCTGTGAATCACTTTTGGCAAGTTGGGTCTTTATAGAAAAAAAAATGTTTATATTGTTTATAGTATCCTCTTAGTATCTTTATAACCTCTGCAGACCTTGTAGGCATGTACCTTTTCTTATTTTTAATATTGTGCTTTCTCTCTCCTGCTCTTTTTATTTTTTCTTTTAAGACAGGGTCTTGCTGTGTCACCCAGGCTGGAGTGGCTGAAGTGCAGTAGTGAGATCATGGCTCACTGCATCCTCAAATTCCCAGGCTAAACTGATCCTCCCATCTCAGCCTCTCGAGCAGCTGGTACTATCAGCACATGCTGCCACAACCTGCTAAATTTTTTAAACTTTTTGTTGTTGTTGTTTTGGAGACAGAGTCTTGCTCCATCGCCCATGCTGGAGTGCAATGGCGCAATCTCGTCTCACTGCAACCTCCACCTCTGGGGCTCAAGTGATTCTACTGCCTCAGCCTCCAGAGTACCTGGGATTACAGGCGTCTGTCACCACGCCTGGCTAATTTTTGTATTTTTAGTAGAGACGGGGTTTCACCATGTTGGCCAGGCTTGACTTGAACTCTCGACCCCAGGTAATCCACCTGCCTCGGCCTCCCAAAGTGCTGGGATTACAGGCATGAGCCACCGCACAAGGCCAATTTTTAAACTTTTTGTAGAGACAGGATCTCTCCATGTTGCCCAGGCTGATCTCTAACTCCTGGGCTCAAGCAATCCTCCCACCTCAAACTCCCAGAATGTTGAGCTCTTAGGCATGCGTCATCCTGCCAAGCCATGTTTTGTTGTCGTTGTTGTTTTGCTTTTTTATTGAGAATACTTGCCAGGGGTTTACTAACATTTTTAGCACATCATCTTTTGGCTCAGTTAATATTCTTTGACATATATTTATTTTCTATTTCACTTGTGATTACTGACATTTTTCTTTCTTTCTTTCTTCCTTTAATTTTTATTAATTTTCAGACAGTGTCTTACTCTTTTGCCCAGGCTGGAGTGCAGTGGCACAATCACAGCTCACTGCAGCTTTGACCTCCTTGGGCTTAGGCAATCCTCCTACCTCAGCCTCCCAAGTAGCTGAGACTAAAGTGGGCTCCAACACACCTGGCTGATTTTTGTATTTTTTGTAGAGACAGAGTTTTGCCATGTTCCCCAGGCTGGTCTCAGACTTCTGTGCTCAAGGTATCTGCCCGCCTATGCCTTCCAATATGCTGAGATTACAGGCATGAGCCACCACTCATTCTTTTTATTATCCTTGCTTTAATGCCATTGGTCTTTTTTGATTTAATAAGATATGCTCAACATCTTAATTTTCAGCCTTCCTTACTTTCTAATATAAATATTTAAAACTGTGTTATTACATACATATAGAATTGTTGTGTCTTCAAAGTAAATTAAATCTATTACAATTATGTAGTGGTGTTATTTCTAGTAATGCTTTTTGCCTTGGTCTATTTGGTTTGCCATTAATATAGCTACACCAGCTTTCTGTCAGCTAGTATTTACCTAGTACATTTTTCCCCACTGTTTTTACTATAGCCATTCTCTCTATATTACTATGTTTAAATATGTCCTTTGTAACAGAATATAGATAGATTTTTCCATTTTGAACAAACTGTCTTTTACCTGGATAATTTAGTACACTTGTTGTTACTAATATATTTGAATTTATTTTTACCATCTTATTTGGGAATTTCTCTTTAACCCACTTTTTCTACCTTTCCCTTTTCTTTTTTTTATTTTATTATTATTATACTTTAAATTTTAGGGGACATGTGCACAATATGCAGGTTAGTTACATATGTATACATGTGCCATGCTGGTGTGCTGCACCCATTAACTCGTCATTTAGCATTAGGTATATCTCCTAATGCTATCCCTCCCCCCTCCCCCCACCCCACAACAGGCCCCAGAGTGTGATGTTCCCCTTCCTGTGGCCATGTGTTCTCATTGTTCAATTCCCACCTATGAGTGAGAACATGCTGTGTTTGGTTTTTTGCCCTTGCGAAAGTTTACTGAGAATGATGATTTCCAATTTCATCCATGTCCCTACAAAGGACATGAACTCATCATTTTTTATGGCTGCATAGTATTCCATGGTGTATATGTGCCACATTTTCTTAATCCAGTCTATCATTGTTGGACATTTCGGTTGGTTCCAAGTCTTTGCTATTGTGAATAGTGCCGCAATAAACATACGTGTGTATGTGTCTTTATAGCAGCATGATTTACAGTTCTTTGGGTATATAGCCAGTAATGGAATGGCTGAGTCAAATGGTATTTCTAGTTGTAGATCCCTGAGGAATCGCCACACTGACTTCCACAATGGTTGAACTAGTTTACAGTCCCACCAACAGTGTAAAAGTGTTCCTATTTCTCCACATCCTCTCCAGCACCTGTTGTTTCCTGACTTTTAATGATTGTCATTCTAACTGGTGTGAGATGGTATGTCATTGTGGTTTTGATTTGCATTTCTCTGATGGCCAGTGATGGTGAGCATTTTTTCATGTGTTTATTGGCTGCATAAATGTCTTCTTTTGAGAAGTGTCTGTTCGTGTCCTTCACCCACTTTTTGATGGGGTTGTTTGTTTTTTTCTTGTAAATTTGTTTGAGTTCATTGTAGATTCTGGATATTAGCCCTTTGTCAGATGAGTAGGTTACGAAAATTTTCTCCCATTTTATGCATTGCCTGTTCACTCTGATGGTAGTTTCTTTTGCTGTGCAGAAGCTCTTTAGTTTAATTAGATCCCATTTGTCAATTTTGGCTTTTGTTGCCATTGCTTTTGGTGTTTTAGACATAAAGTCCTTGCCCATGCCTGTGTCCTGAATGGTAATGCCTAAGTTTTCTTCTAGGGTTTTTATGGTTTTAGGTCTAACATTTAAGTCTTTAATCCATCTTGAATAAATTTTTGTATAAGGTGTAAGGAAGGGATCCAGTTTCACCTTTCTACATATGGCTAGCCAGTTTTCCCAGCACCATTTATTAAATAGGGAATCCTTTCCCCATTGCTTGTTTTTCTCAGGTTTGTCAAAGCTCAAATGGTTGTAGATATGCGGCATTATTTCTGAGGTCTCTGTTCTGTTCCATTGGTCTATGTCTCTGTTTTGGTACCAGTACCATGCTGTTTTGGTTACTGTAGCCTCGTAGTATAATTTGAAGTCAGGTAGCATGATGCCTCCAGCTTTGTTCTTTTGGCTTAGCATTGACTTGGCGATGCGGGCTCTTCTTTGGTTCCATATGAACTTTAGTTTTTTCCAATTCTGTGAAGAAAGTCATTGGTAGCTTGATGGGGATGTCATTGAATCTATAAATTACCTTGGGCAGTATGGCCGTTTTCATGGTATTGATTCTTCCTACCCATGAGCATGGAATGTTCTTCCATTTGTTTGTATCCTCTTATTTCATTGAGCAGTGGTCTGTAGTTCTCCTTCAGGAGGTCCTTCACATCCCTTGTAAGTTGGATTCCTAGGTATTTTATTCTCTTTGAAGCAATTGTGAATGGGAGTTCACTCATGATTTGGCTCTCTGTCTGTTATTGGTGTGTAAGAATGCTTGTGATATATGTACATTGATTTTGTATCATGAGACTTTGCTGAAGTTGCTTATCAGCTTAAGGAGATTTTCGGCTGAGACAATGGAGTTTTCTAGATATACAATCATGTCATCTGCAAAAAGGGACAATTTGACTCCCTCTTTTCCTAATTGAATAACCTTTATTTCCTTCTCTTGCCTGATTGCCCTGGCCAGAACTTCCAACACTATGTGGAAGAGGAGTGGTGAGAGAGGGCATCCCTGTCTTGTGCCAGTTTTCAAAGGGAATGCTTCCAGTTTTTGCCCATTCAGTATGATATTGGCTGTGGGTTTGTCATAGATAGCTCTCATTATTTTGAGATACGTCCCATCAATACCTAATTTATTGAGAAATTTTAGCATGAAGGGCTGTTGAATTTTGTCAAAGGCCTTTTCTGCATCTATTGAGATAATCATGTGGTTTTTGTCTTTGGTTCGGATTATATGTTGGATTACATTTATTGATTTGTGTATATTGAACCAGCCTTGCATCCCAGGGATGAAACCCACTTGATCATGGTGGATAAGGTTTTTGATGTGCTGCTGGATTCGATTTGCCAGTATTTTATTGAGGATTTTTGCATCAATGTTCATCAAGGATATTGGTCCAAAATTCTCCTTTCGGTTGTGTCTCTACCCGGCTTTGGTATCAGGATGATGCTGGCCTCATAAAATGAGTTAGGGAGGATTCCTTCTTTTGTATTGATTGGAATAGTTTCAGAAGGAATGGTACCAGTTCCTCCTTGTACCTCTGGTAGAATTCGGCTGTGAATCCATCTGGTCCTGGACTCTTTTTGGTTGGTAAGCTATTGATTATTGCCACAGCTTCAGAGCCTGTTATTGGTCTATTCAGAGATTCAACTTCTTTGTGGTTTAGTCTTGGGAGGTTGTATGTGTCGAGGAATTTATCCATTTCTTCTAGATTTTCTAGTTTATTTGCGTAGAGGTGTTTGTAGTATTCTCTGATGGTAGTTTGTATTTCTGTGGGATTGGTGGTGATATCCCCTTTATCATTTTTTTTGTGTCTATTTGATTTGTCTCTATTTTCTTCTTTATTAGTCTTGCTAATGGTGTATCAATTTTGTTGATCCTTTCAAAAAACCAGTGCCTGGATTAATTAATTTTTTGAAGGGTTTTTTGTGTCTCTATTTCCTTCAGTTCTGCTCTGATTTTAGTTATTTCTTGCCTTCTGCTAGCTTTTGAATGTGTTTGCTCTTGCTTTTCTAGTTCTTTTAATTGTGATGTTAAAGTGTCAATTTTGGATCGTTCCTGCTTTCTCTTGTGGGCATTTAGTGCTATAAATTTCCCTCTACACAGTGCTTTGAATGTGTCCCAGAGATTCTTGTATGTTGTGTCTTTGTTCTCGTTGGTTTCAAAGAACATCTTTATTTCTGCCTTCATTTTGTTATGTACCCAGTAGTCATTCAGGAGCAGGTTGTTCAGTTTCCATGTAGTTGAGCAGTTTTTAGTGAGTTTCTTAATCCTGAGTTCTAGTTTGATTGCACTGTGGTCTGAGAGACACTTTGTTATAATTTCTGTTCTTTTACATTTGCTGAGGAGAGCTTTACTTCCAACTATGTGGTCAATTTTGGAATAGGTATGGTGTGATGCTGAAAAAAAATGTATATTCTGTTGATTTGGGGTGGAGAGTTCTGTAGATATCTATTAGGTCCGCTTGGTGCAGAGCTGAATTCAATTCCTGGGGATCTTTGTTAACTTTCTGTCTCGTTGATCTGTCTGTTGTTGACAGTGGGGTGTTAAAATCTCCCATTATTATTGTGTGGGATTCTAAGTCTCTTTGTAGGTCACTCAGGACTTGCTTTATGAATCTGGGTGCTCCTGTATTGGGTGCATATATATTAATGATAGTTAGCTCTTCTTGTTGAATTGATCCCTTTACCATTATGTAATGGCCTTCTTTGTCTCTTTTGATCTTTGTTGGTTTAAAGTCTGTTTTATCAGAGACTAGGATTGCAACCCCTGCCTTTTTTTGTTTTCCATTTGCTTGGTAGCTCTTCCTGCATCCTTTTATTTTGAGTCTATGTGTGTCTCTGTAAGTGAGATGCGTTTCCTGAATACAGCACACTGCTGGGTCTTGACTCTTTATCCAATTTGCCAGTCAGTGTCTTTTAATTGGAGCATTTAGTCCATTTACATTTAAGGTTAATATTGTTTTGTGTGAACTTGATCTTGTCATTATGGTGTTAGTTAGCTGGTTATTTTGCTCACTAGTTGATGCAGTTTCTTCCTAGCCTCGATGGTCTTTAGAATTTGTCATGATTTTGCAGTGGCTGGTACTGGTTGTTCCTTTCCATGTTTAGTGCTTCCTTCAGGAGTTCTTTTAGGGCAGGCCTGGTGGTGACAAAATCTCTCAGCATTTACTTGTCTGTAAAGTGTTTTATTTCTCCTTCACTTATGAAGCTTAGTTTGGCTGGATATGAAATTCTGGGTTGAAAATTCTTTTCTTTAAGAATGTTGAGTATTGGCCCCCACTCTCTTCTGGCTTGTAGAGTTTCTGCCACGAGATCAGCTGTTAGTCTGATGGGCTTCCCTTTGTGGGTAACCTGACCTTTCTCTCTGGCTGCCCTTAACATTTTTTCCTTCATTTCATCTTTGGTGAATCTGACAATTATGTGTCTTGGAGTTGCTCTTCTCGAGGAGTATTTTTGTGGTGTTCTCTGTATTTCCTGAATCTGAATGCTGGCCTGCCTTGCTAGATTGGGCAAGTTCTCCTGGATAATATCCTGCGGAGTGTTTTCCAACTTCGTTCCGTTCTCCCCATCACTTTCAGTTACACCAATCAGACGTAGATTTGGTCTTTTCACAAAGTCCCTTATTTCCTGGAGGCTTTGTTCATTGCTTTTTATTCTTTTTTCTCTAAACTTCCCTTCTCACTTCATTTCATTCATTTCATCTTTCATGACTGATACCCTTTCTTCCAGTTGATCACATCGGCTCCTGAGGCTTCTGCATTCTTCACGTAGTTCTCGAGTCTTGGCTTTCAGCTCCATCAGCTCCTTTAAGCACTTCTCTGTATTGGTTATTCTAGTTATACATTCGTCTAAATTTTTTTCAAAGTTTTTAACTTCTTTGCCTTTGGTTTGAATTTCCTCCTGTAGCTCAGAGTAGTTTGATCGTCTGAAGCCTTCTTCTCTCACCTCGTCAAAGTCATTCTCTGTCCAGCTTTGCTCCTTTGCTGGTGAGGAACTGCGTTCCTTTGGAGGAGAAGAGACGCTCTTCTTTTTAGAGTTTCCAGTTTTTCTGCTCTGTTTTTTCCCCATCTGTGTGGTTTTATCTACTTTTGTTCTTTGATGATGGTGATGCACACATGGGTTTTTGGTGTGGATGTCCTTTCTGTTTGTTAGCTTTCCTTGTAACAGACAAGACCTTCAGCTGCAGGTCTGTTGGAGTTTGCTGGAGGTCCACTCCAGACCCTGTTTGCCTGGGAGTCAGCAGTGGTGGCTGCAGAACAGCGGATTTTTGTGAACCGTGAATGCTGCTGTCTGATCGTTCCTCTGGAAGTTTTGTCTCAGAGGAATACCTGGGCGTGTGAGGTGTCAGTCTGCCCCTACTGGGGGGTGCCTCCCAGTTAGGTTGCTCGGGGGTCAGGGGTCAGGGACCCACTTGAGGAGGCAGTCTTCCCATTCTCAGATCTCCAGCTGCGTGATGGGAGAACCACTGCTGTCTTCAACGCTGTCAGACAGGGACATTTAAGTCTGCAGAGGTTACTGCTGTCTTTTTGTTTGTCTGTGCCCTGCCCCCAGAAGTGGAGCCTACAGAAGCAGGCAGGCCTCCTTGAGCTGTGGTGGGCTCCACCCAGTTCGAGCTTCCTGGCTGCTTTGTTTACCTAAGCAAGCCTGAGCAATGACATGCACCCCTCCCCCAGCCTCGCTGCCACCTTGCAGTTTGATCTCATACTGCTGTGCTTGCAATCAGTGAGACTCCGTGGGCGTAGGACCCTCTGAGCTATGTGCGGGATATAATCTCCTGGTGCGCCGTTTTTTAAGCCCGTCAGAAAAGCGCAGTATTAGGGTGGGAGTGACCTGATTTTCCAGGTGCCATCTGTCACCCCTTTCTTTGACTAGGAAAGGGAACTCCCCAACCCCTTGTGCTTCCCGAGTGAGGCAATGCCTCGCCCTGCTTCAGCTCACGCATGTTGCACTGCACTCACTCTCCTGCACCCACTGTCTGGCACTCCCTAGTGAGATGAACCCGGTACCTCAGATGGAAATTCAGAAATCACGCATCTTCTGCGTCACTCACGCTGGGAGATGTAGACCGTCGCTGTTCCTATTCAGCCATCTTGGCTCCCCCCCTCTGCTGGCAGAGTTTTAATGTAAGCAAATATTTTATTTTATTTGATTATTAAATCTATCCTGGCTTCTTAAAAACTACCTGTCGTTATAGCCTGATGATTTCTCTTTGCTCACTGCCCTGAAAAATCAATACACTGAAAACCACAGGTGTTGCAACAAAGAAATAGTTTAATAATTGCAAGGTAGTGAAGTGAGAGGATGGGAGATATTTCTCAAATCCACTTCTCCAAGAAGTTGGAGGCTAGGGTTTTTCAAGGACATTTTGGTGGCCAGGGACTAGGGAATAGAGAATGCTGATTGGTTGGGTTGGGAATGAAATCACAGGGGGTCAAAGATGTCTTTTTGCACTGAGTCAGTTACTGGGTGTGGGTTATAGAACCAGTTGAATCAGTTTTTTGGTGTGGTTAATGGGCTGGGTGGTATCAGCTGATCCATCAGAATGCAAGATCTGAAAAATACCTCAAACACCGCTCAGGTTTTATAATAATGATAATATCTATAGGAGCAATTAGGGAGGATATAACTCTTGTGACCTCTGGCTACATGACTCCTGAAGCATGATTCTAACTTTTTTGCCCATTTTTTCATTTACAAAGGTGGTTTCAGTCCCTGAGAAAGGAAGGAGGTTAGTTTTGGGAAGAGATTAATATCTTTGTTTCAAAGTTGAACAAATTAAATGCCTCTTGTAGTTAGCTTGGTTTTGTCCAGGAATGAGCAAGGACCGCTTATAAGGTTAGAAGCAAGGTGGAGTCAGCTATGTTAGATTTCTTTTACTGTCATAATTTTTGAAAAGACACTTTCATCAACATCTATCATAAAGAGTTTTCAGATTGTTGGTCTGGCTTATGTACTCTGAAAAAAGAGGTACTGGCAATTTCCCCTCAAAAGTAGCCCTGTGTGAATACTGATGTGCCCATAATATGTTTAAAGAATGTTAGAGCACAGGATAAGGAAGCTTTCTTGAAAATATTAACAAGAGTCTTATAGCAAAGTTTCTCACATAAATCAGAAAATAAAATCAATCATACTATTTTTCCTCAGGCATTATACAGTTTAGTTGGGGAGGGAGATGAGAAAACTTAAAAGAAAAACTTAGAGAACATAGAGAAAATGAAGTGCTTTAAACGAAGTTATATTTCGATGTTACAACAGTAGATATTTGTTGTAGAAATTTTCAAACAAATAAAAAGGAGAAAATCAATAAATCATTAGTAACTGCCCCCAAACTCCTGAAATAAATACTGTTATTATTTCAGTGAATTTACTTCCTTCTTTTATATTGCTCCACATTAATTGAGATTATATTGCTAAAAATGTTATTCTCCAGTTTTACTTTTTAAATTTATTTTATTTATTTTACTTTAAGTTCTCAGATACATGTACAGAACGTACAGGTTTGATACATAGGTATACATGTGCCATGGTGGTTGACTGCACCTATCAGCCTGTCATCTAGGTTTTAAGCCCTGCATGCATTAGGTATTTGTCCTAATGCTCACACTTCATTTGCCCCACACTGCCGAAAGGCCCCGGTGTGGGATGTTCCCTTCCCTGTGCCCATGTGTTCTCATTGTTCAGCTCCCAATTTTGAGTGAGAATATGCAGTGCTTGGTTTTCTGTTCCTGTGTTAGTTTGTTTGTTAGTTTGTTAAGAATGATGGTTTCCATCCAGCTTCATCCATCTCCCTACAAATGACATGAACTCATTCATTTTCATGGCTGCATAGTAGTCCATGGGGTATATGTGCCAAATTTTCTTTATCCAGTCTATCATTGATCAACATTTGAGTTGGTTCCAAGTCTTTGTTATTGAAAATAGTGCTGCAATAAACATAAATGTGCATGTGTCTTTATAGTAGAATGATTTATAATCTTTTGGGTGTATACCCAATAATGGGATTGCTTGGTCAAATGGTATTTCTGGTTCTAGATCCTTCAGGAATGGCCACACTGTCCTCCACAAAGGTTGATCTAATTTACACTTTCACCAACATTGTAAGAGTATTTCTATTTCTCCATATTCTTACCAGCATCTGCTATTTCCTGACTTTTTAATAATCGCTATTCTAACTGGCATGAGATGGTATCTTATTATGGTTTTGATTTGTATTTCTTTTTCTTTCTTTCTTTCTTTTTTATTATACTTTAAGTTCTAGGGTACATGTGCACAATGCGCAGGTTTGTTACATAGTTATACATGTGCCATGTTGGTGTGCTACACCCATTAACTCATCATTTACATTAGGTATATCTCCTAATGCTATCCCTCCCCCTCTTCCCACCCCACGACAGGCCCCAGTGTGTGATGTTCCCCACCCTGTGTCCAAGTGTACTCATTGGTTAATTCCAACCTATGAGTGAGAACATGCAGTGTTTGGTTTTCTGTCCTTGCGATAGTTTCCTCAGAATGATGGTTTCCAGCTTCATCCATGTCCCTACAAAGGACATGAACTCATCGTTTTTTATGGCTGCATAGTATTCCATGGTGTATATGTGCCACATTTTCTTAATCCAGTCTATCATTGATGGACATTTGGGTTCGTTCCAAGTCTTTGCTATTGTGAATAGTGCTGCAATAAACATTCGTGTGCATGTGTGTTTATAGCAGCATCATTTATAATCCTTTCAGTATATAAGCAGTAATGGGATGGCTGGGTCAAATGGTATTTCTAGTTCTAGATCCTTGACGAATCACCACACCGTCTTCCACAATGGTTGAACTAGTTTACAGTCCCACCAACAATGTAAAAGTGTTCCTGTTTCTCCACATCCTCTCCTGCACCTGGTGTTTCTTGACTTTTTAATGATCGCCATTCTAACTGGTGTGAGATGGTATCTCATTGTGGTTTTGATTTGCATTTCTCTGATGGCCAGTGGTGAGGCTTTTTTCACATGTCTGTTGGCTGCATAAAGGTCTTCTTTTGAGAAGTGTCTGTTCATGTCTTTCGCCCACTTTTTGATGCAGTTATTTGATTTTTTCTTGTAAATTTGTTTAAGTTCTTTGTAGATTCTTGATATTAGCCCTTTGTCAGATGGGTAGATTGTAAAAATTTTCTCCCATTGTATAGGTTGCCTGTTCACTCTGGTCGTAGTTTATTTTGCTGTACAGAAGCCCTTTATTTTAATTAGATTGCATTTGTCACTTCTGGCTTTTGTTGCCGTTGCCTTTGGTGTTTTAGTCATGAAGTACTTGCCCATGCCTATGTCCTGAATGGTATTGCCTAGGTTTTCTTCTAGGGTTTTTATGGTTTTAGGTCTAACATTTAAGTCTTTAATCCATCTTGAATTAGTTTTTGTATAAGGTGTAAGGAAGGGATCCAGTTTCAGCTTTCTACATATGGCTAGCCAGTTTTCCCAGCACCATTTATTAAATAGGGAATCCTTTCCCCATTTCTGGTTTTTGTCAGGTTTGTCAAAGATCAGATGTTTGTAGATGTGTGGTATTATTTCTGAGGGCTCTGTTCTGTTCTATTGGTCTATATCTCTGTTTTGGCACCGGTACCATGCTGTTTTGGTTACTGTAGCCTTGTAGTGTAGTTTGAAGTCAGGTAGCGTGATGCCTCCAGCTTTGTTCTTTTAGCTTAGGATTGTCTTGGGTATGTGGGCTCTTCTTTGGTTCCATGTTAAATTTAAAGTAGTTTTTGCTAATTCTGTGTAGAAAGTCATTGGTAGCTTTATGGGGATTGCATTGAATCTATAAATTACCTTGGGCAGTACGGCTGTTTTCATGATATTGATTCTTACTATCCATGAGCATGGGATGTTCTTCCATTTGTTTGTGTCCTCTTTTATTTCAGCAGTGGTTTGTAGTTCTCCTTGAAGAGGTCCTTCACATCCCTTGTAAGTTAGATTCCTAGGTATTTTATTCTCTTTGAAGCAATTGTGAATGTGAGTTCACTCATGATTTGGCTCTCTATTTGTTATTGGTGTATAAGAATGCTTGTGATTTTTACACATTAGTTCTGTATCCTGAGACTTTCCTGAAGTTGCTTATCAGCTTAAGGAGATTTTGGGCTCAGATGATGGGGTTTTCGAAATATACAGTCATGTCATCTGCAACAAGGGACAATTTGACTTCCTTTTTTCCTAATTGAATACCCTTTGTTTCTTCCTCCTGCCTGATTTCCCTGGCCAGAACTTCCAACACTATGTTGAATAGGAGTAGTGAGAGAGGACATCCCTGTCTTGTGCCACTTTTCAAAGGGAATGCTTCCAGTTTTTGCCCATTTAGTATGATATTGGCTGTGGGTCTGTCATAAATAGCTCTCATTATTTTGAGATACGTCCCATCCATATCAAATTTATTGAGAGTTCATAGCATGAAGGGCTGTTGAATTTTTTCCATGGCCTTTTCTACAGCTATTGATATAATCATATGGTTTTTATCTTTGGTTCGGTTTATATGCTTGATTACATTTATTGATTTGCATATGTTGAACCAGCCTTGCATCCCAGGGATGAAGCCCACTTGATCATGGTGGATAAGCTTTTTGATATGCTGCTGGACTCAGTTTGCCAGTATTTTATTGAGGAGTTTTGCATCTATGTTCATTAGGGATATTGGTCTAAAATTCTCTTTTTTTTTTTGTTGCGTCTCTGCCAGGCTTTGGTATCAGGATGATGTGGGCCACATAAAATGAGTTAGGGAAGATTCCCTCTTTTTCTATTGTTTGGAACAGTTTCAGAAGGAATGGTACCAGCTCCTCCTTGTATCTCTGGTAGAATTCGGCTGTGAATCCATCTGGTCCTGGACTTTTTTTGATTGGTAGGCTATTAATTATTGCCTCAATTTCAGAGCCTGTTACTGGTCTATTCAGCAATTCAACTTCTTCGTGGTTTAGTCTTTGGAGGGTGTGTGTGTCCAGGAATTTATCCATTTATTCTAGATTTTCTAGTTTGTTTTGTAGAGGTGTTTATACTATTCTCTGATGGTAGTTTGTATTTCTGTGGAATTGATGGTGATATCCCCTTTATCATTTTTTATTGCATCTATTTGATTCTTCTCTCTTTTTTCTTTATTAGTCTTGCTAGTGGTCTATTTTGTTGATCTTTTCAAAAAAACAAATCCTGGAGTCATTGATTTTTAAAGGGTTTTTTGTGTCTCTGTCTCCTTCAGTTCTGCTCTGATCTTAGTTATTTCTTGCCTTCTGCTAGCTTTTGAATGTGTTTGCTCTTGCTTCTCTGGTTCTTTTAATTGTGATGTTAGGGTGTCAATTTTTGATCTTTCCTGCTTTCTCTCGTGGTCATTTAGTGCTATAAATTTTCTTCTACACATTGCTTTAAATGTGTCCCAGAGATTCTGGTATGTTGTGTCTTTGTACTCATTGGTTTCAAAGAACATCTTTATTTCTGCCTTCATTTGATTATGTACCCCGTAGTCATTCAGGAGCAGGTTGTTCAGTTTCCATGTAGTTGAGCAGTTTTTAGTGAGTTTCTTAATCCTGAGTTCTAGTTTGATTGCACTGTGGTCTGAGAGACAGTTTGTTATAATTTCTGTTATTTTACATTTGCTGAGGAGTGCTTTACTTCCAACTATATGGTCAATTTTGGAATAAGTGCAATATGGTGCTGAGAAGAATGTATATTCTGTTGATTTGGGGTGGAGAGTTCTGTAGATGTCTATTAGATCTGCTTAGTGCACAGCTGAGTTCAATTCCTGGATATCCTTTTTAACTTTCTGTCTTATTGATCTGTCTAATGTTGACAGTGGGGTGTTAAAGTCTCCCATTTTTACTGTGTGATAGTCTAAGTCTCTTTGTAAGTCTATATGGACTTACTTTATGAATCTGGGTGTTCCTGTATTGGGTGCATATATATTAAGCATAGTTAGCTCTTCTTGTTGAATTAATTCTTTTACCATTATGTAATGGCCTTCTTTGTCTCTTTTGATCTTTGTTGGTTTAAAGTCTGTTTCATCAGAGACTAGCATTGCAATCTCTGCTTTTTTTGTTTTCCATTTGCTTGGCAGATCTTCCTCCATCCCTTTATTTTGAGCCTATGTGTGTCTCTGCACACGAGACGGGTCTCCTGAATACAGCATACTGATGGGTCTTGACTCTTTATCCAATTTGCCAGTCTGTGTCTTTTAATTGGAGCATTTAGCCGATTTACATGTAAGGTTAATATTGTTATGTGTGAATTTGATCCTGTCATTATGATGTTAGCTGGTTATTTTGCTCGTTAGTTGCTGCAGTTTCTTCCTAGCACCAATGATCTTTACAATTTGGCATGTTTTTGCCGTGGCTGGTACCAATTGTTCCTTTCCATGGTTAGTGCTTTTTTCATGAGCTCTTGTAAGGCAGGCCCGGTGGTGACAAAATCTCTCAGCACTTGTTTGTCTGTAAAGTATTTTATTTCTCCTTCACTTATGAAGCTTAATTTGGCTGGATATGAAATTCTGGGTTGAAAATTATTTTATTTAAGATTGTTGAATATTTGCCCCCACTGTCTTCTGGCTTTTAGAGTTTCTGCCGAGAGATCTGCTGTTAGTCTGATGGGCTTCCCTTTGTAGGTAACCCGACCTTTCTCTCTGGCTGCCCTTAACATTTTTCCCTTCTTTTCAACTTTGGTGAATCTGACAATTATTTGTCTTGGAATTGCTCTTCTCTAGGAGTATCTTTGTGGCATTCTCTGTATTTCCTGAATTTGAATGTTGGCCTGCCTTTCTAGGTTGGGGAAGTTCTCCTGGATAATATCCTGAAGAGTGTTTTCCATCTTGGTTCCATTCTCCCTGTCACTTTCAGGTACACCAATGAGACGTAGGTTTGGTCTTTTCACATAGTCCCATATTTCTTGGAGGCTTTGTTCATTTCTTTTCACTCCTTTTTCTCTAAACTTCTCTTCTCACTTCATTTCATTCATTTGATCTTCAATCACTGATATCCTTGCTTCCTGTTGATCAAATCAGCTACTGAAGCTTGTGCATGCGTCACCTAGTTCTCGTACCATGGTTTTCAGCTCCATCAGGTCATTTAAGTTCTTCTCTATACTGTTTATTCTAGTTAGCCATTCGTCTAATATTTTTTCAAGGTTTTTAGCTTATTTGTGATGGGTTAGAACATCCTCCTTTAGCTCAGAGAAGTTTGTTATTACCGATTGTGTGAAGCCTTCTTCTCTCAACTTGTCAGAGTCATTCTCCATCCAGCTTTGTTCCATTGCTAGAGAGGAGCTGTGTTTTTTTGGAGGAGAAGAGGCACTCTGATTTTTAGAATTTTCAGCTTTTCTGCTTGGTTTCTCCTCATCTTTGTGGTTTTATCCACCTTTTGTCTTTGATGATGGTGAAGTACAGGTCGGGTTTCGGTGTGGATGTCCTTTCTGTTTGTTAGTTTTCCTTCTAACAGTCAGGACCTTCAGCTGCAGGTCTGTTGGAGTTTGCTGCAAGTCCACTCCAGACCCTGTTTTCCTGGGTATCACCAGCAGAGGCTGCAGAATAGCAAATATTGCAGAACGGCAAATAGTGCTGCCTGATCCTTCCTCTGGAAGCTTCATCTCAGAGGTGCACCCAGCTGTATGAGGTGTCAGTCGGCCCGTATTGGGAGGTGTCTATAAGTTAGGCTACTCGGGGGTCCGAGACCCACTTGAGGAGGCAGTCTGACCATTCTCAGATCTCAAATTCCTTGCTGTGAGAAGCACTACTCTCTTCAAAGCTGTCAGGCAGGGACGTTTAAGTCTGCAGAAGTTTCTGCTGCCTTTTGTTCAGCTATGCTGTGCCCCCAGAGGTGGAGTCTACAGAGGTAGGCAGGCCTCCTTGATCTGTGGTTGGCTCCACCGAGTTTGAGTTTCCCAGCTGCTTTGTTTAACTACTCAAGCCTCAGCAATGGTGGACGCCCCTCCCCCAGTCTTGCTTCCACCTTTCAGTTCGATCTCAGACTGCTGTGCTAGCAACGAGTGAGGCTCCATGGGCATGGGACCCTCCGAGACAAGTGTGGGATATAATCTCCTGGTGTGCCGTTTGCTAAGACCATTGGAAATGCACAGTATTAGGGTGGGAATATCCCAATTTTCGAGGTACCATCTGTCACGGCTTCTCTTGGCTAGGAAAGGGAATTCCCCGACCCCTTGCACTTCCTGGGTGAGGCGATATCCCGCCCTGCTCTGTGGGCTTCACCCACTGTCCGACAAGCCCCAGTGAGATGAACCCAGTACCTCAGTTGGAAATGCAGAAATCACTCGTCTTCTGTGTCACTGACACTGGGAGATGTAGACTGGAGCTGTTCCTATTTGGCCATCTTGGAACCTCTTGATTTGCATTTCTATAATGACCAGTGATGACGATCTTTTTTTCATATGTTTATTGGCTACATAAATGTTTTCTTTTAAGAAGTGTCTGTTCATATCCTTTGCCTACTTTTTGATGGAGTTGTTTGTTTTTTCCTTGTAAATTTGTTTAAGTTCCCTGTAGATTCTAGATATTAGACCTTTTTCTGGTGGGTAAAAAATTTTTCCATTCTATATGTTGCCTGTTCACTCTGATGATAGTTTCCTTTGCTGAGGAGAAGTGCTTTAGTTTAATTAGATCCCATTTGTCAATTTTGGCATTTGTTGCAACTGCTTTTGGTGTTTTTGTCATGAAGACTTTGCCCATACCTATGTCCTGTATGGTATTAAGTTTTCTTCTAGGATTTTTATGGTTTTGGGTTTTACACTTAAGTTTTTAATCCATCTTGAGTTAATTTTTCTATAAGGTGTAAGGAAGTGGTCCAGTTTCTGTTTTCTGCATATGGCTTGCCAGTTTTTCCAGCACCATTTATTACATAGGGAATCCTTTCTACATTGTTTGTTTCTGTCAGGTTTGTCAAAGATCAGATTGTTCTAGATGTGTGGCATTATATCTGAGTCCTCTGTTCTGTTCCATTGTTCTATATAATTGTTTTGGTACGAGTAGCATGCTGTTTTTATTACTGTAGCCTTGTAGTATACTTTAAAATCAGGTAGTGTGATGCCTCCAGCTTTGTTCTTTTTGCTTAGGATTGTCTTGGCTATATGGGCTCATTTTTTATTCCATTTAAAATTTAAAGTAGTTTTTTCTAATTCTGCTTACAAAGTCAATGGTAGTTTGATGGTAATAGCATTGAATCTATAAATTACTTTGGGCAGTATGGCCAATTTCACATTATTGATTCTTCCTGTCCATGAGCATAGAATGTTTCTCCATTTGTGTCCTCTCTCATTTCCTTGAGCAGAGATTTGTAGTTCTCTTTGAAGACGTCCTTCCTGTGCCTTGTAAGTTGTATTCCTAGGTATTTGATTCTTTTTGTAGCAATTCTGAATGGGAGTTCACTCATGATTTGTCTGTCTGCTTATCTATTGTTGGTGTATAGGAATGCTTGTGGGTTTTGCACATTGATTTTGTATCCTGACACTTTGCTGAAGTTGCTTATCAGCTTAAGGAGTTTTAGGGCTGAGATGATGGTGTTTTCTAAATATAACATCATGTCTTCTGCAAACAAAGACAGTTTGTCTTTCTCTCTTACTGTTTGAGTATGCTTTATTTTTTTCTCTTGCCTGATTGTGCTAGTCAGAACTTTCAATACTATGTTGAATGGGAGTGGTTAGAGAGGGCGTCCTTGTCTTGTGCCAGTTTTCAAAGTGAATGCTTCCAACTTTTGGCCATTCAGTATGATATTGGCTATGGGTTTGTCATAAACAGCTCTTATTATTTTGAGATATGTTCCATCAATATATAGTTTATTGAGAGTTAATAGCATGAAGGGATGTTGAATTTTATCAAAGGCCTTTTGTGCATCTATTGAGATAATCATGTGATTTTTGTCATTTGTTCTGTTTTTGTGATCAATTACATTTATTGATTTTTGTATGTTGAACCAGCCTTACATCCCAGGGATGAAGCCAGCTTGATTGTGGTGGATAAGCTTTTTGATGTGCTGCTGGTGTTTTATTGAGGATTTTTGCATTGACGTTCATCAGGGATATTGGCCTGAAGTTTTTATTTTTTGTTATGTCTCTGATTTTTGAGACTGATGACCTTTGGATGGGGTTCTTATGTGGGGGTCCTTTTTTTTGATGTTGATGTTATTGCTTTCTGTTTGTTAGTTTTTCTTCTAGCTGTCAGGCCTCTCTTCTGCATGTCTGCTGCAGTTTGCTGGAGGTTCACTCCAGAAACTGTTTGCCTGGGTAACACCAGTGGAGGCTACAGAATAGCAAAGATTGTTGCCTGCTCCATCCTCTGGAATCTTCATCCCAGAGGGGCACCAGCCTAATGCCAACCAGAGCTCTCCTGTATGAGGTGTCTGTTGACCCCTGCTGGGAGGTGTCTCCCAGTCAGGGGGCACAGGATCAGGGATGCACTTGGACATCAGGGATGCAGTCTGTCCCTTAGCAGAGCTCAAGTACTGTGTTGGAAGAATACTCCTTGTTTTTCAAAAGTGACGTTGTGTAAAAATGGACTTTTATCCATCCAAGGATTGAAACTTTTATCTAAATTTCCACTTCCTTTTGGCAGAATAACAGTAGCTGCTCTGAAGATGTGCCAAGATCTGCTTCTCTCTTCAGAGCCAGCAAGCAGGAATGTTTAAGTCCACTGAAGCTGCGCCCACATCCACCCCTTCCCCAGGTGCTCTGTCCCAGGGAGATGGGAGTTTTATCTATAATCCCCTGTCAGGGGCTGCTGCCTTTCTTTCAGAGATGCCCTGCCAGCGAGGAGGAATCTAGAGAGGCACTGTGGTCACAGCCGCTTGCTGCGCTGTGGTGAGTTCTGCCCAATCTGAAGTTCCCGGCCTTCTTAGCACTGTCAGGGGAAAACCGCCTACTCTAACCTTAGTAATGGTGGACACTTCTCTTCCCACCAAGCTCAATTGTTCCAAGTTGACTTCAGACTGCTGTGCTCGCAGTGAGAATTTCAAGCCAGTGGTTCTTAGCTTGCTGGGCTCCATGAAAGTGGGACCTGCTGAATGAGACCACTTGGCTCCCTGCCTTCAGCCTCATTTCCAGGGGAGTTTACAGTTCTGTATTGCGGGGGTTCCAGGTGCCAATGGAGGAAAAAAAAACAAAAAACAAACAAAAAAAAAAAACTCCTGCACCTAGCTTGCTTTCTGCTCCAAAAACCACCCGGGTTTGTGCTTGAAACCCAGGCCCCTTCAGTGTAGGTGCATGAGGGAATCTTCTGGTCTTGGGTTTGCAAAAACTGTGGGAAAAGCACAGTATCTGGGCCAGATAGCACAGTTCCTTGCGGCTTCCCTTGGATGGGGGACAGAGGTCCCTGGCTCCTTGCACTTCCCAGGTGAGGTGACACCCCACCCTGCTTCTGCTTACCCTCCGTGGGCTGCACCCACTGCCTAACCAGTCCCAGTGAGATGAACTGTGTACCTCATTTGGAGATGTAGAAATTACCCCCCTCTGCATTGGTCTTTCTGGTAGCTGCAGAGCAGAGCTGTTCCTTTGGCCTTCTTGCCAGATCTCTCTCCGTTTTGCATGTAACATTTTTTTTTTTACTTAAAAATTTCCCCCATGTCATGAAATTTATTTGTAAACATTTTTGATTGCTACATAGGAACCAATGTAATGACTATCCAGCTCAAGAATTTCTAATTTGAAAATATAAAGATTGAAATGTTCCAAAATCAAAAACTTTTTTGAGCAAGTGAAATATTCCATACCTGAACTCATGTGATGGGTTACAGTCAAAATGCAGTCAAACTGGTAGCTGGCAAGATGGCCGAATAGGAACAGCTCTGGTCTGCAGCTCTCAGTGAGATTAATGCAGAAGGTGGGTGATTTTTCCATTTCGAACTGAGGTACCTGGGTCATCTCATTGGGACTGGTTGCACAGTGAGTGCAGCTCACAAAGGATGAGCCAAAAACTCATGAAGCACGGTGGGGCGTTGCCTCACCTGGGAAGCTCAAGGGGTTGGGAAACTCCCTCTCCTAGCCAAGGGAAGCTGTGAAAAACTGTGCCATGAGAGACGCTGCATTCCAGTGAAGATACTACGCTTTACCCACAGTCTTTGTAACCACAGACCAGGAGATTCCCACAGGTGCCTACACCACTGGGGCCCTGGGTTTCAAGCACAAAAGTGGGTGGCCATTTGGGCAGACACCAAACTAGCTGCAGGCATTTTTTTTCATGCCCCAGTGGCGCCTGGAACACCAGTGAGACAGAACCATTCACTACCCTGGAAAGGAGGCTGAAGCCAGGGAGCCAAGTGGTCTAGCTCAGCAGATCCCACACCCACGGAGCCCAGCAAGCTAAGATCCACTGGCTTGAAATTCTAGCTGCCAGGACAGCAGTCTGAAGTCAACCTGGGATGCTCGGGCTTGGTGGGGGGAGGGGATCCCACCATTACTGAGGCTTGAGTAGGCAGTTTTCTCCTCACAGTGTAAAGAAAGCCACCAGGAAGATCGAACTGGGTGGAGCACACCACAGCTCCAGAAAGCCTCTATAGCCAGACTGCCTCTCTAGATTCCTCCTCTCTGGGTAGGGCATCTCTGAAAGGCAGGAGCCCCAATCAGGGGCTTATAGATAAAACTAACATCTCCCTAGAACAGAGCACCTGGGTGAATGGGCAGTTGTGGGCGCAACTTCTGCAGATTTAAGTGTTCCTGCCTGGCAGCTCTGAAGAGAGCAACAGATCTCCCAGCACAGCACTGGAGCTCTGCTAAGGGACAGACTGCTTTCTTAAGTGGGTCCCTGACATAATAAAAACTGATGGAGGGGATAACACCGCTGATCCCACAGAAATACCAACTACCATCAGAGAATACTATAAACACCTTTATGCACACAAACTAGAAAATCTAAAAGAAATGGATAAATTCCCGGACACATGCGCCCTCCCAAGACTAAACCAGGAAGAGGTCAAATCCCTGAACAGACCAATAACAAGTTCTGAAATTGAGGCAGGAGCTAATAGCCTACCAACCAAAAAAAGCCCAGGATGAGACGGATTCACAGTCAAATTCTACCAGAGGCACAAAGAGGAGCTGGTACCATTTCTTCTGAAACTACTCCAAACAACAGAAAAGGAGGGACTCCTCCATAACTCATTGTATGAGGCCAGTGTCATCCTGATAGCAAAATCTGGCAAAGAAACAACAACAACAAAAATTTCAGGCCAATATCCTTGATCAACATTGTTGTGAAGATCCTCAATAAAATACAGGCAAACCAAATCCAGCAGCACATTGAAAAGCTTATCCACCATGATCAAGTCGGCTTTATTGCTGGGACACAAGGATGGTTCAACATACACAAAGCATTAAACATAATCCATCACATAAACAGAAGCAATGACAAAAACTTCATGAGTATCTCAATAGATGCAGGAAAGGCCTTCAATAATATTGAGCACCTCTTTATGCTAACAGCTCTCCAGAAACTAGTTGTTGATGGTACATATCTCAAAATAATAAGAGCTATTTATGCAAACCCACAGCCAATATCATACTGAACGGGCAAAAGCTGGAAGCATTCCCTTTGAAAACAGGCAAAAGACAAGTGTACCATCTCTCACAACTCCTATTCAACATAGTATTGGAAGTTCTGGCCAGGGCAATCAGGCAAGTGAAAGAAAGAAAAGGGTATTCAAGTAGGAAGAGAAGAAGTCAAATTGTCTCTGTTTGCAGATGACATGAATGTATTTTTAGAAAACCCCATCGTCTCAGTCCAAAAACCCCTTAAGCTGATAAGCAACTACAGCAAAGTCTCAGGATACAAAATCAATGTGCAAAAATCACCAGCATTCCTATACACCAGTAATAGACAAATAGCCAAATCATGAGTGAATGCCAATCACAATTGTGACAAACTGAATAAAATACCTAGGAATACAACTTAAAAGGGATATGAAGGACCTCTTCAAGGAGAACTACAAACCACTGCTCAAGGAAATAAGAGAGGACACAAACAATTGGAAAAACATTCCATGCTCATGGATAGGAAGAATCAATATCGTGAAAATGGCCATAGTGCCAAAAGTAATTTATAGATTCATTGCTGTCCCCATCAAACAACCATTGACTTTCTTCACAGAAAAAACTAAGTTTTATATGGAACCAAAAATAGCCTGTATACCCAAGACTATCCTAAGCAAAAAGAACAAAGCTGGGGACATCATGCTACCTGACTTCAAACTATACTACAGGGCTACAGTAACCAAAACAGCATGGTACTGGTACAAAAGCAGATACATAGACAAATAAAACAGAACAGAGGCCTCAGAAATAATGCCACACATCTACAACCATCTGATCTTTGACAAACCTGAGAAACACAAGCAATGGGGAAAGTATTCCCTATTTAATAAACAGTGTTGGAAAAACTGGCTAGCCATATGCAGCAAACTGAAACTGGATGCCTTCCTTATACCTTATACAAAGATTAACTCAAGATGGATTAAAGACCTAAATGTAAGACGTAAAACCATAAATACCCTAGGGGAAAACCTAGACAATACCATTCAGGACATACGTATGGGCAAAGACTTCATGACGAAAACACCAAAAGCAATGACAACAAAAGCCAAAATTGACAAATGGGATCTAATTAAACTAAAGAGCTTCTGCACAGCAAAACAAACTATCATCAGATTGAACAGGCAACCTGCAGAATGTGAAAATATAATTGCAATCTATCCATCTGACAAAGGGCTAATATCCAGAATCTACAAGGAACTTAAACAAATTTAGAAGAAAAAAACAACCTTATCAAAAAAGTGGGCGAAGGATGTGAACAGACACTTCTCAAAATAAGACATTTATGCTGCCAAGAAACATATGAAGAAAAGCTCACCAACACTAGTCATTAGAGAATGGCAAATCAAAACTGCAATGAGATACAATCTCATGCCAGTTAGAATGGTGATCATTAAAAAGTCAGGAAACAACAGATGCTGGAGAGGATGTGGAGAAATAGGAACACTTTTACACTGTTGGTGGGAGTGTAAATTAGTTCAACCATTGTGGAAGAGAGTGTGCAATTCCTCAAGGATCTAGAACCAGAAGTACCTTTGACCAGCAATCCCATTACTGGGTATATACCCAAAGGATTGTAACTTATTCTGCCATAAAGACACATGCACATGTACGTTTATTGCAGCACTATTTTCAATAGCAAAGACTTGGAACCAATGCAAATGCCCATCAATGATAGACTGGATAAAGAAAATATGGTACATATACACCATGGAATACTATGCAGCCATAAAAATGATGAGTTCCTGCCCTTTGAATGGACATCGATGAAGCTGGAAACCATCATTCTCAGCAGACTAACACAGCAACAAAAAACCAAACACCACACGTTCTCACTCATAAGTGGGAGTTGAACAATGAGAACACATGGACACAGGGAGGGGAACATCACAGAGTGGGGCCTGTCGGGGTGTTGGGGGTAAGGGGAGGGATAGCATTAGAAGAGATACGTAATGTAGATGACGGGTTGATGGTTGCAGCACACCACCATGGCATGTGTATACCTATGTAACAAACCTGCATGTTCTGCACATGTATCTCATAACTTAAAGTTATTTAAAAAAAAAAAAGATCTAAAAAAGGGCTAGAGAAGCAAGGGCAAACAAATTCAAAAGCTAGCAGAAGACATGAAATAACTAAGATCAAAGCTGAACTGAAGGAGATAGAGACACAAAAAACCCTTCAAAAAATGAATGAATCTAGGAGCTGGGTTTTTTAAAAGACTAACAAAATAGATAGACCACCAGCCAGACTAATAAAGAAGAAAAGGGAGAAGAGTGAAATGGACACAATAAAAATGATAGGATGTCACCACTGATCCAACAGAAATACAAACTATCATCAGAGAATACTATAAAAAACCTCTATGCAAATAAACTCTATGCGAATTGCTACAAAGAAAATCTAGGAGAAATGGATAAATATCTGGACATATACTCACTCTCAAGACTAAACTAAGGAAGAAGTCAATTCTCTGAATAGACCAATAACAATTTCTGAAATTGAGAAATTAATTGTCTGTCCACCAAAAAAATCCCAGGACCAGATAACTTCACAGGTGTATTCTTCAAGAGGTATAAAGAGGAGCTGGTACCATTCATTCTGAGACTATTTTAAACAATAGAAAAAGAGGGACTTCTCCCTAACTTATTTTATGAGGCCGGCATCGTCCTGATACCAAAACCTGGCAGAGACACAACAAAAAATGAAAATTTCAGGCCAATATCCCTGCTTAACTTTGATGCCAAAATCCTCAATAAAATACTGGCAAACCAAATCTAGCAGCACATCAAAAAGCTTATCCATCATGATTAAGTTGGCTTCATCTCTGGCATGCAATGCTGGTTCAACATACGCAAATCATTAAACATAATCTGTCTCATAAACAGAACCAATGACAAAAACCACATAATTATCTCAATAGATGTAGAAAAAGCGTTTGATAAATTTCAACATCTCTTTATGCTAAAAACTCTCAATAAACTAGGTATTGATGGAACATATCTCAAAATAATAAGAGGTATTTATGTCAAATCCATAGCCAATATCATACTGAATGGACAAAACCTGGAAGCATTTCTTTTGAAAACTGGCACAAGACAATAGGAAGAGAGGAATTCAAATTGTCTCTGTTTGAAGATGACATGATTGTATATTTAGAAAACCCCATCATCTCAGCCGAAAATCTCCTTAAGCTGATAAGAAACTTCAGCAAAGTCTCAGGATACAGAATCAATGTGCAAAAATCACAAGCATTTCTATACACCAATAATAGACAAACAGAGAGCCAAATCATGAGTAAACTGCCATTCAGAATTGCTACAAACAGCATAAAATACTAGGAATACAACTTAGAAGTTACGTGTAGGACCTCTTCAAGCAGAACTACAAAACACTGCTCAAGGAAATAAGAGAGGACCCAAAGAAGTTGAAAAAAAATTTAGGAAGAATCAAGATCATGAAAATGGACATAGTAATCAAAGTAATTTATAGATTCAATGCTGTTTCCATCAAGCTACCATTGACTTTCTTCACAGAATTACCAGAAACTACTTCAAATTTCATATGGAACCAAAAAACGAGTCCATGGAGCCAAGACAATCTCAAGCTAAAAGAACAAAACTGGAGGCACCACGCTACCTGACTTCAAACTATACTACAAACCTACAGTAACCAAAACAGCATGGTACTGGTACCAAAACAGACACATAGGCCAATGGAACATAACAGAGGCCTCAGAAATAACACCACACATCTACAATGATTTGGTCTTCGAAAAACCTGACAAAAACAAGCAATGGGAAAAGGATTTTCTATTTAATTAATGGTGCTGGGAAAACTGGCTAGCTATATGCAGAAAACTGAAACTGGACCCCCTTTTTATACCTTATGCAAAAAATTAACTCAAGATGATTTAAATAGTTAAATATAAATCCTAAAATTATAAAATCCCTAGAAGAAAACCTAGGCAATACCATTCAGGACATAAGAATGTGCAAAGACTTCATGACTAAAACACCAAAAGCAATTGAAACAAAAGCCAAAATTGACAAATGGGATCTAATTAAACTAAAGAGCTTCTGCACAGCAAAACAAACTATCATCAGAGTGAACAGGTAACCTACAGAATGGGAGAAATTTTTTGCAATCTATCCATCTGAAAAAGGTCTAATATCCAGTATCTACAATAATAGTAAACAAATTTACAAGAAAAAAAATAACCTCATCAGAAAGTGGGCAAAGGATATGAACAGACACTTCTCAAAGGAAGACATTTATGCTGCCAACAAACATATGAAAAAAAGCTCACCATCACTGGTCATTAGAGAAATGCAAATCAAAACCACAATGAGATACCATCTCAGACCAGTTAGAATGGTGATCATTCAAAAGTTAGGAAACAACAGATGCTGGAGAGGATGTGAAGAAATAGTAATGCTTTTACACTGTTAGTGGGAGTGTAAATTACTTCAACCATTGTGGAAGACAGTGTGGCGATTCCTCAAGGATCTAGAACCAGAAATACCATATGACCCAGCAATCTCATTACTGTGTATATACCCAAAGGATTATAAATCGTTCTACTATAATGAAATATGTGCACGTATGTCTATTGCAGCACTGTGTACAATAGCAAAGACTTGGAACCAACCCAAATGCCCATCTATGATAGACTGGATAAAGAAAATGTGGCACATGTAAACCATGGAATACTGTGCAACCATCAAAAAGAATGAGTTCATGTCTTTTGCCTGGACATGGATGAAGCTGGAAGTCATTATTCTCAACAAAGTAAAACAGGAACAGAAAGCCAAACACTGCTCAGTCTCACTCATTAGTGGGAGTTGAACAATGAGAACACATGGACACAGGGAGGGAAACATCACACACTAGTGCCTGTTGGGAGGTGGGGGCAAGGGGAGGGAGAGCATTAGGACAAATACCTAATGCATGCGTGGCTTAAAACCTAGATGATGGGTTGATAGGTGTAGCAAACCACCATAGCACATGTTTACCTATGTAACAAACCTGCACGTTCTGCACATGTATCCCAGAACTTAAAGTGAATTAATTAAAAAATAAATAAATAAATAAAAATAAAATGGCGGTGCTTGTCCAAGGTCATGATGCTCCTGCTCTGTCAGTACCATTCTGTACATAGGCCATGGCAAAGATTTCATGATGAAGACACCAAAAGCAATTGTAACAAAAAAATTAAGAAATATGATCCAATTAAACTAAAGAGCTTCTGCACAGCAAAGAAGCTATCAATAGATAGACAACCTACAGAATTGAAGAAAATATTTGCAATGTGTGCATTCACAAGGGTCTAATATCCAGAATCTTTAAGGAACTTTGTCAGTTTCACAAACAAAAAAAAAAACAAAAAACCCTATTTAAAAGTTTGCAAATGACGTGGACAGACACATTTTAAAAGGAAACATAAATGCAGCCAACAAGCATATGAAAAATTGCTCAATATTACTAATTATTAGAGAAATGCAAATCAAAAGCACAATGAGATATCATCTCATACCAGCCAGAATGGCTATTATTAAGAAGTCAAAATGAACAGTTGCTGGCTAGGTTGTGAAAAAAAAGGCAACACTTATATACTGCTGATGGGAGTTTACATTAGTTGAGCCATTGTGGCATGCAGTTTGGCAATTTCTCAAAGAACTTAAAACAGAATTGCCATTTGCCCCAGAGATTCCATTACTGTGTTTGTACCCAAAGGAATGTAAATCAGTCTACTCTAAAGACACATGCACACATATGTTCATCACAGTACTATTCACAATAGCAAAGACATATAATCAATCTAGATGCCCATCAATGGTAGACTGAATAAAGAAAATAAAGAAAATGGAATTTTATGCGGCCATAAAAAAAGAATGAGATCATGTATTTTTCATCAACATGGATGGAGTTGGGTACTATTATCCTAAGCAAACTAACGCAGGAACAGAAAAGCAAATACCACGTGTTCTAACTTACATGTGAAAACTAAACATTTAGTACATATGGACACAAAGAAGATAACAGACACTGGGGTCTATTTGAGGTTGGAGGGTGGGAGGGGGTGAGGATCGAAAAACTACTTAATTGGGTACTATACTCATCATCTGAGTACACCAAACCCCAGTTGCACGCAATTTACCTACATAACAAACCTACACATGTACCTTTGATCCTGAAATAAAAGTTAAGAAAATTATACATATATGAAGAAAACAGTCTTATGGTTGTGGAATCAACGTTACACTTGGAGAAGTTATTTTTATTGGTGAGATACTTATCTTTTCCTGATGGAAATAAAGGTAGTAAAGATGAATATATTTTTATAGTTACAGGTTTGGTTGTTTGTTATCTGTCTTCCCAAATAGAATATGTAAGGTACTTATCCCTATTGTTCATTGTTGAGTCCTTGGTGTCTGGATCATACCTAATATATAGTAAATGCAGTCAAGTAAATGGTTCAAGGAATATTTATAGATAAGTTGGAAATTAGGAAATAATTTGGGGAAGTTTTTACCTGATGCCCTTTTTTATGTTGGCAAAGTAGAAAAGAGGCATTCTATGGGTAAATGAGGGTGGTGTGTGGGATAATTTTAAATTCAACTCTGAGAAGAATTGAAATAGGAAGTAAATGGACTGCCCAGCATATTTGGAATTCCAGGTGAGGTTGAACTTGTTCAGTTTTGAACTCCTATTGATATTATATATGTAAAGCACACAACACATTAACATATAGTAAGTATCAGATAAATGTTAGTTGCCTTCCTCTTCCTTTTCCTGACACCATGAGGCATTTTAGAATTTAACTTGTTTGAGGTATGTTATCTTGATATTTCTACATTGTTTATATCTTGATAGCAGAGACCATGTCTTATATTTTTTTTGTTTTCTCAACCCCCTTTCCCCTTTTGACAGAATAATGATTACAATAGCAACATTAGCAAACTCATGTATAGTATACCATGTTATATTTTACAGAGTCCTTTTGAAGATCATCTCATTTGATCTTTAGAGCAACATTGCTGTGGGTTTCACAGCAAGCAGATGGATGAGCAGAACTCCCCATCCTGCTAGATAATAGATCTCAATACTTACCAACTGACTGAATCTGTGAGATATTGCAGAAGGTGGATTTTGTGATGGATGGAATTTGTAAACTAGTAAAAAGGGCAGTCAGAGATTGGTGGATACTAGGACCTTTTAAACAGTAACGTGTAAATTGAGAACAGAAACCTTTGGGAAAGGGATTAGAGAGGGGTTATTAAAGGTATGTATAGTTTGGAACTGTTGAAGTGTACTTGAGATGTAAAAAGTGTTGCACTACAAATCACATCTAAAAAGAGATCTTACTAGAGAAACATGGTATACATGTATACAACATGGTACAGAAAACTACTTCATTAGTAATATGTAAAACTGAAAGTCTAAGGAGTATAATCCTGAACTGTAGCCCATCAGCAATAGATTTTGACATAATATTCATTTTTATGTTCTACTTTGTTTTTAATTGACACCTAATAATTATACATATTTATGAGGTACTGAGTGATGTTTTCATACATATATGCATTGTATATATTACTTTCTTCATTTATATAGAAAATGTCTCAATTAAGCTTAATGAAATCTACATAGACTTTTTCTCAGGTTTTGAAGACCTTCAATTTTGTCCAGATCTCCATGCTCTTCACTGTACTAAGATTTTTTTTCTAGTTTCAGCTAGTTTCTCAACAGCTGTAAAGCATAACTAGGACAATCACAATATGTTTTAAACTTCAAAGGTTTTTTAGTGGTTCCATCATGCAACAATGGATATGGACGGTATACAATCTGTTCACCTATTTCTTCACTTGTATAAATAGTGACTAACCGTACAGCTTGTTTGTGTATCTTCAAATCTGCCTTTAAGACAAGATCAAAATAGCCAACAAATAATGACTAGAGGAAAGCAAAAAGAATGGAACTTGTATGTGGTCCTGACAGATAGCTGTGATTTTTGATATTGTTCTTGCAGCTTTCTTCAAAATATTAGTTTTTGCTTTAGTAAGCAGGCTAGGGAAAACTGAAAGTGCATCTACAACCTGATTCTGTTGGTCTGTTCTAGTGACAGTATTTCCTATGTCTCTTTAGACTAGTTGCATAGTTGGTAATTCAGTAGCTCCTAAAACCTTTATGAGCTATGGCAAAACTCTTGTTTTTAAAACAATTTAAGTTGGTTCATTTGCACCATCAGTGAGGTAGGAAATAGTCTCCAAATATCCATAAATACCTCAAGATCAATATGATGCAGAAGATAAACTAAAGTAGAGAGAATTTGCTTAGCAGCATCTAATAGTAGAGTTGGATTTTTTATGACAACAGAAGTTGGAAAGTAAAATTATATAAATAACCACACAACAAAGATGACATATCAGGAACTTCAAGCAGAATTAATAAAGTATCTATTGCACCATTCTTGATAACCAAATCTTGAAAGATTTCCTAAAGCTCATATAGCTTATTTACTGATGTGTGAATGGTAAGATGCCAACAGAGCAATGAATGCGCTTCATCTACCACAGCTTGTCTATTGTGATTTCCCAAAATCTATATTAGCAAGTGCACCTAAACAAATTAAAGTTTAACAGTACTACAATCAGAGAAAGGCACGCATTTTGGAATCAAACCAGTCTGGATTATATTGTTTATGGAGAGTTTTCCATAGAAAATAATTTTCTGACACCTTGGGTAGCTTGGAGTTGGAGTACCAAATTATTACTCTTTGTGTCTTTCACAGTGACATCAACAGAACAATTTACAAAGCCCTAGTTGCTATGGTTTTCCTGTGATAGAAAAGTAGCAGGTGCTGGGTGCAGTGGCTCACACCTGTAATCCAGCACTTTGGGAGGCCGAGGTGGGTGGATCACTTGAGGTTAGGAGTTCAAGACCAGCCTGGCCAACATGGTGAAACCCCATCTCTACAAAAAAACACAAAATTAGTCGGGCATGGTGGAGGGCGCCTGTAATCCCAGCTCCTCAGGAGGTAGAGGCAGAAGAATCCCTTGAACCCAGGAGGCCAGAGTTGCAGTGAGCCAAGATCTCACCACTGTACTCCAGCCTGGGCCACAGAGTAAGACTCTGTGTCAAAAAAAAAAAAAAAAGTGTCAGGAAAATAGCTTATATTTCTTTTTTTTTTTTAATTTCAATACGTTTTTGTGGAACAGGTGGTGTTTGGTTACATGAATAAGTTCTTTATTGTTGATTTCTGAGAATTTGGTGCACCCATCACCCAAACAGTGTACACTGTACCCAATGTGTAGCCTTTTACCCCTCACCACCCTCTACCCTTTTTCCCAAGTCCCTGAAGTCCAGTGTATTATTCTTATGCCTTTGCGTCCTCATAGCTTAGCTCCCACATATGAGTGAGAACATAAAATATTTGGTTTTTCATTCCTGAGTTGCTTCACTTGGAATAATAGTCTCCAATTCAATGCAGGTTGCTGCGAATGCCATTATTTCATTCCTTTATATTGCTGAGTAGTATTCCATGGTATATATATACCACATTTTCTTTATCCACTCATTGATTGGTGGGCATTTGGGCTGGTTCCATATTTTTGCACCTGCAAATTGTGCTGCTATAAACGTGTGTGCAAGTATCTTTTTCGTATAATGCCTTCTTTTTCTCTGGGTAGATACCTAGGAGTGGGATTGCTGGATCAAACGGTCAATCTTCTTTTAGTTCTTTAAGGAATCTCCCCACTGTTTTTCAGTTTTTAGCATCCCACCTATCTTTCTTAGCTTTCCTCAGTTTCATATTAACTTCTATGCACTATTGTATCATTTCTCTTCTTTCTCTTTGTTCTTGCACCTGTTAAGGTGGACAGCTGGTGAATTGCCCTTCACATTGGTGGATGTATTTTTAGACCACTGGGAAAAAGTTAGAAGATAGTGTGGATCTGGCTCAGGTTCTATGGGTAAAAGGGTCAAGGCTCACAGGCCTCAGGTCAGCACTTTCTGGATGGCTGAAAACAATTATGCTTTAAAATTCTAAACTATAAAGGCTTTCAGAGCTAATGTTTTGATTTTCTAATGATGTACAGAAAATGGTAAGAGACTCTACCATGATAGGAAAATACATTTCTAATTCAGAGGAGATTACCAAAGAGAGAAAAATATCTACCAAATGGAAAAAGTGATTTGGACAGTATTTAGTCAAGTCTATGGTAGAATGACTTTATAATTATTAATGGCAAAAACCGCAATTACTTTTGCACCAGCCCAACCTAAATATTTTTATTGATTTTACTTTTTTTTTTTTTTTACTTTTTTCTGGTACGTAGTAGGTATACATATATGGAGCACATGAGATGTTTTGATACAGGTATACAATGCATAATAATCACATTAGAATACATGGGGTATCTGTGATCTCAAGCATTCATTCATTCTTTGTGTTATAAACCATCTAATTATATTTTTAGTTATTTTAAAATATAAACTGTTGTTGACTGTAGCCACCTTGTTGTGCTATCCAATACTAGATGTTACTCATTTTATCTAATTATAATTTTGCATGCATTAATCATCCCTAACCTTACCCTCCAACCACTATCTTTCTCAGCCTTTGGTAACCATCATTCTACTCTTGATCTACATGAGTTCAATTGTTTTAATTTTTAGCACTCAGTAATATGTGAGAACATGCATAGTTTGTCTTTTGGTACCTGGCTTTTTTCACTTAACATAATGACCTCCAATTCCAGCCATATTGTTGCAGATGATAAGATCTCATTCATTTTTATGGCTGAATATTATTCCATTGTGTATATGAAACACATTTTTAAAAATCTATTCATCTGTTGATGGACACTTAGGTTGCTTCCACATTTTGGCTATTGTGAATAGTGTTGCAATAAACACAGGAGTGCAGCTATCTTTTCAATATACTGATTTCCTTTCTTTGGTCTATATACCTAGCAGTGACATTGCTGGATCATGTGGTTGCTCTATTTTTTTTTTTTTTTTTTTTGAGAAGCCTTCAAACTATTATTCATAGCGGTTTTACTAATTTACATTCTCACTAACAGTGTACAACGTTTCCCTTTCCTCCATATTGTTGCTGGTATTTGTTATTGCCTGTCTTTTGAATATAGGCCATTTTAACTGGGGTGAGATTATGTCTTATTACAGTTTGGATTTGCATTTCTTTGATGATCAATGATATTCAGCACCTTTTCATATGCCTGTTTGCCATTTGCATGTCTTCTTGTGAGAAATGTCAGTTACATTTATTCTTAGGTATCTTATTTTATTTGTAGCTATGGTAAATGAAATTATTTCTTGGTTTCTTTTTTAGATTGTTGTTGGCATGTAGAAATACTACTGATTTTTGTATATTGATTTCATATGCTGCAGTGTTGCTGAATTTTTATATTAGTTCTAAAGTCTTTAAGTTTTTTTTTTTTATTTAAGTTTTAGGGTACATGTGCACATTGTGCAGGTTAGATACATATGTATACCTGTGCCATGCTGGTGCACTGCACCCACTAACTCGTCATCTAACATTAGGTATATCTCCCAATGCTATCCCTCCCCCCTCCCCCCACCCCACCACAGTCCCCAGAGTGTGATATTCCCCTTCCTGTGTCCATGTGATCTCATTGTTCAATTCTCACCTATGAGTGAGAATATGCGGTGTTTGGTTTTTTGTTCTTGCGATAGTTTACTGAGAATGATGATTTCCAATTTCATCCATGTCCCTACAAAGGACATGAACTCATCATTTTTTATGACTGCATAGTATTCCATGGTGTATATGTGCCACATTTTCTTAATCCAGTCTATCATTGTTGGACATGTGGGTTGGTTCCAAGTCTTTGCTATTGTGAATAATGCCGCAATAAACATACGTGTGCATGTGTCTTTATAGCAGCATGATTTATAGTCGTTTGGGTATATACCCAGTAATGGAATGGCTGGGTCAAATGGTATTTCTAGTTCTAGATCCCTGAGGAATTGCCACACTGACTTCCACAATGGTTGAACTAGTTTACAGTCCCACCAACAGTGTAAAAGTGTTCCTATTTCTCCACATCCTCTCCAGCACCTGTTGTTTCCTGACTTTTTAATGATTGCCATTCTAAATGGTGTGAGATGGTATCTCATAGTGGTTTTGATTTGCATTTCTCTGATGACCAGTGATGATGAGCATTTTTTCATGTGTTTTTTGGCTGCATAAATGTCTTCTTTTGAGAAGTGTCTGTTCATGTCCTTCGCCCACTTTTTGATGGGGTTGTTTGTTTTTTTCTTGTAAATTTGTTTGAGTTCATTGTAGATTCTGGATATTAGCCCTTTGTCAGATGAGTAGGTTGCGAAAATTTTCTCCCATTTTGTAAGTTGCCTGTTCACTCTGATGGTAGTTGCTTTTGCTATGCAGAAGCTCTTTTGTTTAATTAGATCCCATTTGTCAATTTTGCCTTCTGTTGCCATTGCTTTTGGTGTTTTGGACATGAAGTCCTTGCCCATGCCTATGTCCTGAATGGTAATGCCTAGATTTTCTTCTAGGGTTTTTATGGTTTTAGGTCTAACGTTTAAATCTTTAATCCATCTTGAATTGATTTTTGTATAAGGTGTAAGGAAGGGATCCAGTTTCAGCTTCCTACATATGGCTATCCAGTTTCCCCAGCACCATTTATTAAATAGGGAATCCTTTCCCCATTGCTTGTTTTTCTCAGGTTTGTCAAAGATCAGATAGTTGTGGGTATGCGGCATTATTTCTGAGGGCTGTGTTCTGTTCCATTGATCTATATCTCTGTTTTGGTACCAGTACCATGCTGTTTTGGTTACTGTAGCCTTGTAGTATAGTTTGAAGTCAGGTAGTGTGATGCCTCCAGCTTTGTTCTTTTGGCTTAGGATTGACTTGGCAATGCGGGCTCTTTTTTGGTTCCATATGAACTTTAAAGTATTTTTTTCTAATTCTGTGAAGAAAGTCATTGGTAGCTTGATGGGGATGGCATTGAATCTGTAAATTACCTTGGGCAGTATGGCCATTTTCACGATATTGATTCTTCTTACCCATGAGCATGGAATGTTCTTCCATTTGTTTGTATCCTCTTTTATTTCCTTGAGGAGTGTTTTGTAGTTCTCCTTGAAGAGGTCCTTCACATCCCTTGTAAGTTGGATTCCTAGGTATTTTATTCTCTTTGAAGCAATTGTGAATGGGAGTTCACTCATGATTTGGCTCTCTGTTTGTCTGTTGTTGGTGTATAAGAATGCTTGTGATTTTTGTACATTGATTTTGTATCCTGAGACTTTGCTGAAGTTGCTTATCATCTTCAGGAGATTTTGGGCTGAGACAATGGGGTTTTCTAGATATACAATCATGTCATCTGCAAACAGGGACAATTTGACTTCCTCTTTTCCTAATTGAATACCCTTTATTTCCTTCTCCTGCCTAATTGCCCTGGCCAGAACTTCCAACACTATGTTGAATAGGAGTGGTGAGAGAGGGCACCCCTGTCTTGTGCCAGTTTTCAAAGGGAATGCTTCCAGTTTTTTCCCATTCAGTATGATATTGGCTGTGGGTTTGTCATAGATAGCTCTTATTATTTTGAAATATGTCCCATCAATACCTAATTTATTGAGAGTTTTTAGCATGAAGGGTTGTTGAATTTTGTCAAAGGCTTTTTCTGCATCTATTGAGATAATCATGTGGTTTTTGTCTTTGGCTCTGTTTATATGCTGGACTACATTTATTGATTTGCGTATATTGAACCAGCCTTGCATCCCAGGGATGAAGCCCACTTGATCATGGTGGATAAGCTTTTTGATGTGCTGCTGGATTCGGTTTGCCAGTATTTTATTGAGGATTTTTGCATCAATGTTCATCAAGGATATTGGTCTAAAATTCTCTTTTTTGGTTGTGTCTCTGCCCGGCTTTGGTATCAGAATGATGCTGGCCTCATAAAATGAGTTAGGGAGGATTCCCTCTTTTTCTATTGATTGGAATAGTTTCAGAAGGAATGGTACCAGTTCTTCCTTGTACCTCTGGTAGAATTCGGCTGTGAATCCATCTGGTCCTGGACTCTTTTTGGTTGGTAAACTATTGATTATTGCCAGAATTTCAGCTCCTGTTATTGGTCTATTCAGAGATTCAACTTCTTCCTGGTTTAGTCTTGGGAGAGTGTATGTGTCGAGTAATTTATCCATTTCTTCTAGATTTTCTAGTTTATTTGCATAGAGGTGTTTGTAGTATTCTCTGATGGTAGTTTGTATTTCTGTGGGATCAGTGGTGATATCCCCTTTATAATTTTTTTTTTGTGTCTATTTGATTCTTCTCTCTTTTTTTCTTTATTAGTCTTGCTAGCGGTCTATCAATTTTGTTGATCCTTTCAAAAAACCAGCTCCTGGATTCATTGGTTTTTTGAAGGGTTTTTTATGTCTCTATTTCCTTCAGTTCTGCTCTGATTTTAGTTATTTCTTGCCTTCTGCTAGCTTTTGAATGTGTTTGCTCTTGCTTTTCTAGTTCTTTTAATTGTGATGTTAGGGTGTCAATTTTGGATCTTTCCTGCTTTCTCTTGTGGGCATTTAGTGCTATAAATTTCCCTCTACACACTGCCTTGAATGCGTCCCAGAGATTCTGGTATGTTGTGTCTTTGTTCTCGTTGGTTTCAAAGAACATCTTTATTTCTGCCTTCATTTCATTATGTACCCAGTAGTCATTGAGGAGCAGGTTGTTCAGTTTCCATGTAGTTGAGCGGCTTTGAGTGAGATTCTTAATCCTGAGTTCTAGTTTGATTACACTGTGGTCTGAGAGATAGTTTGTTATAATTTCTGTTCTTTTACATTTGCTGAGGAGAGCTTTACTTCCAACTATGTGGTCAATTTTGGAATAGGTGTGGTGTGGTGCTGAAAAAAATGTATATTTTGTTGATTTGGGGTGGATCAAACAAGGATAATTTGACTTCTTCCATTCCAATTTGGATACCCTTTTTTTCTTTTTGTTGTCTGATTGCTCTAATTGGGACATTCAGTACCATTTTGAATAACAGTGGTGTTAAGTGGGAATCTTTGTCATGTTTTAGATCTTAGATAAAAGGCTTGCAGTTTTTCCTCAGTATGATAGTAGCTGTGGGTCAGTGGTATATGGCTTTTATTTTATTGAGGTATGTTTATTCTGTACCCAGTTTTTTGGTAGGTTTATTTAGGAGGATGTTGAATATTATCAAATGCTTTATCAGCATCAGTTGAATTTATCATATGATTTTTGTCCTTCATTCTTTTGATACGATGGATTACATTGGCTGACTTGCATATGTTGAACTATTCCTCCCTCCCTAGGATAAATCCCACTTGGTCATGATGAATGATATTTTTATGTTGTTTAATTTGTTTTGCTAATATTTTATTGGGGATTTTCCCAGATAGATAGATAGATAGATAGATAGATAGATAGATTGTTTTTGAGATGGAGTCTCGCTCTATTGCTGGGCTGGAGTGCAGTGGCACAATCTCGACTAGTTTCAAGCGATTTTCCTGCCTCAGCCTCCTGAGTAGTTGGGACTACAGGTGCGTGCCACCACCCCCAGCTAATTTTTGTATTTTTAGTAGAGACAAGGTTTCACCATGTTGGCCAGGATGGTGTCGAGCTCTTGACCTCGTGATCCACTCGCCTCAGCCTCCCAATGTGCTGGGATTATAGTTGTGAGCCACCACCCCTAGCCTTTTGCATCAATATTAATCAGTGATATTGGCCTGAAGGTTTTTTTTTTTTTTTCTTTTAATGTGTCTTTATCTGGTTTTGTTATCAGGGTAGTTCTGGCCTCATAGAATGAGTATGGAAGTCTTCCTTCCTCCTCAATTTTTTGGAATAGTTTAAGGAGGGTTGACATTAGTTCTTTAAATGTTTGGTGAGATTCAGCAGTGAAGCCAATTTGCTGGAAGATGTTTTATCTTGTCTTCGATCTCATTACTTGTTAGTCTGTTCAGTTTTGAATTTTTTCATGGTTCAATCTTAGTTGGTTGTATGTGTCTAGGAATTTATCCCTTGCTTCTAAATTTTCCAATTTATTGGCACATAGTTGCTCATTGTAGCCTCTAATAATCCTTTTACTTTCTGAAGTATTGGTTGTAATGTTTCCTTTTTATCTCTAATTTTATTTATTTGGGTTTTCTCTCTTTTTTCTTATTCTAGCTAAAGGTATGTCAATTTTGTCTTTTCAGAAAACCAACTTTTCCTGTCATCGATCTTTTGTGTTGTTGATTTTTTTATCTTAATTTCATTTATTTCTGCTCTGATTTTTATTATTTCTTCTACTAATTTGTGGTTTCAATTGTTCTTGCTTTTCTAGTTTTTTAAGATGAATCATTAAGTGGTTTATTTGAAATTTTTCTACTTTTTGGTGTAGGAATTTTTACCTATAAGTTTTCCTCTTAGTGTTGCTTTCTCTATATCTCATTGTATTAGTCTGTTCTCACATTGCTGTAGATAAATACCTGAGAATGGGAAATTTATAAAGAAAAGAAGTTTAATTGGCTCATGGCTCCACAGGGTGTACAAGAACCATAGTGGCTTCTGCTTCTGAGGCAGCCTCAGGGAGCTTTCAATCATGGCAGAAGGCAAATGGGGAGCCAACACTTCATGTGGCTGGAGCAAGAGGAAGAAGGGTGGAGTTGTCACATACTTTTAAACAACCAGATATCACGAGAGCAGTGGCACGGGGGTAATGCAGCCCCATGATCCTATCAACTCCCACCAGGCCCCAACCTCCAACACTGGGAATTACAATTTGACATGAGATTTGGGCAGAGACAGAGATCCAAATCATATCACCCATGGATTTTGATGTGTCACATTTCCCTTATAATTTGTTTCAAAAAATTTAATTATCTTCTTTGGGGTGGGGGGAGGGGGGAGGGATAGCATTAGGAGATATACCTAATGCTAAGTGATGAGTTAATGGGTGCAGCACTCCAGCATGGCACATGTATACATATGTAACTAACCTGCACATTGTGCACATGTACCCTAAAACTTAAAGTATAATAATAATAAAATAAAAAAATAAAAATTTATTTATTGACTCACTGATCATTCAGGGAAATATTTTGCTTAATTTCTGTGTCTGCATAGTTTCCAAACTCTTCTAGTAATTGATTTCTAGTTTTATTCCTTTGTGGTCACATAAGATAGTTGATGTAATTTTAAATTTTGTGAATGTTTTAAGACTTGGTTTTGACCTAATATATGGTCTATCCTTAAGAATTATCCATGTGCTGAGGACAATCATGTCTATTCTGCAGCCTTTGAATGAAATGTTCTGTAAATATTTGTTAGGTCTTTTTAGTCGATAGTGCAGATTAACTACAATGTTCGTTGATTTTCTGTCTGAATGATCTGTCCAGTGCTGAACTTCGGTTGTTGAAGTCTCCAGTTATTATTGTATTGTTGCCTGTCACTTTAGCCCTAATAATTTATTGCTTTATATATCTGGGTACTCCAGTGTTGGATGCATATATATTTAAAATTGTGATATCTTCTTCCTCAACGAATCCTTCATCATTATATAGTGACCGTCTTTATCTTTTTTGTAGTTTTTGTCTTGAAATTTATTTTATCTTCAATAATTGTAGCTACTCTTGCTCTTTTTTTGTTTCTATTTGTATGGAATATCTTTTTCCTTTATTTTCAGTCTAGTGTGCCTTTAAAGATGCAGTGTATTTGTTGTAGTGAACAGATCATTGGGTCTTTTTTTTTTTAATGCATTCAGCCACTCTGTCTTTTTAATGGAGAGTTTAATCAAGTTCCATTTGATGTTATTATTGATGAGTAAGGGTTTACTTCTGCTATTTTGTTATTTGTTTTCTGGTTGATTTGTGGTCTTCTTTCTTTTCTTTCTTCCTACCTGTCTCCTTTTCAGTGGAGGTGATTTTCTGTGGTGTTATGCTTTAATTTCTTACTTTTTACATTTTGCATATCTTTGTGGGTTTTTTGATTTGAGGTAACCATGAAGCTTGCAAATACCTGTAACCCATTATTTTAAATTGATGACAAATTGGCACTGATTGTATAAACCAACAAACAAGCGAAGAGAACACTAATAAAAACTCTACACTTTAACTTCATACCCTGCTTTTTAACTTTTTGTTGTTTCTATGTATATCTTATTGTACTATCTATGTATATCTTATTGTACTATCTATGTCTTGAAAAGATATTGTATTTTGTTAGGATTCCATCAGGCTGGTGGAAAAAATATTAAAGATAGTTATAGTAATAGTCAAAAGCTCTCTTGGAATGCCTGAGAGTTTGCATAGCTTCAGATTGCTTGGCTGAAAGCAGCCAGGGTCTGTTTGCAGGAGCCAGAAAGATTAGGTTGCAAGTACAAAGGAATGTGGGAAGTCTACCTTACTAACATGTTTACTTATATGGGCTTAAGACTAACACCTTTGTCCTACTGAGTTACTTTACTGCCTCCTACTCAGGGAGTTGGCAGAAGTTTATTGCCCCCAAATGCTGTTTGCTTTAGGCCTGGAACCTGGCCTTTAATCTTTACTCTCTAGTGGTGTTTACTCACAACTTTTGTTAATTAGTCTTACTGAATAAATGCAAGCCTCACTTTTTGATGAGGGCCAAGTCGAACTGTTTACAGAACTCAGCTTGGAGCCTGTAAGTGGCTCAGACCCTCAGCTAGACTGGCAGAGCAGAATATCTGTGTGTCAGCGGACTTTACTCATCCGTCGCTGAATCAAGGGCCTGCAGGAACAGCCCCTTCCCCCCACCCCCCGCAGCTAGTGCCCCCTCGAAAGGTGCGCTGCCTCAGCTGGTGCCCCATGTGAGGACAGCCAGGGGTCTGCAGAAACAGTCCCCCTGCAGTTGGAGCCCCTCGTGAGGCAAGCTGGGAAGGAAGTGTGAGGACCGCCCTCATGAGGAAAGCTATGAAGGAAGCGTGAAGGAAATGCGACTCCCCAAAAAATGAGGGTGAAAAAAGGAACTGCGGGGTCAAGTCAGTGAGTAATCAGTAAGTCATTGGTGCCCACTCGAGGTTACCAAATTCCGGGGGGGATTTTGGGTCAAGCTGAGGTTTTATCATGGGACAACAGTTATTAGCGCAACAGAAACAGTATATAAAAGTGTTGAAGCAGTTGCTTAAGGCTAGCAGAGCATCAGTTTCACAGGCTCAATTATAATGCCAGCTGTTGTAACCCAAAGCCCATGGTTCCCAGAAGAAGGACCACCAGACGTAGAACTCTGGGACCAATGGGGAGAAATCTTAAACAACATCAGGCACAAAGGCAACAGGTCCCAGTAACAGCTTTAATGTTATGGGCTTTAATTGGAGCAGCCCTAGCTCCGTTACACACACAAGAGCCTAAAAAGGGAGATGAGGAGAAAATGTCACCTGCCATATCACCTCCTCTTCCCTCAGCCCTAATATCACCAGGCCAAAATAACAAAGAGGAAACGGAGGTTTTACCGGAGCCTCCTCCTCCAATAGACAGGAAAAAAGACAGAGGATATGCTACAACTATCAGTCCCTGTCTTAAGCAGGCTGAATTAAAAGGATAGCTCTTAGCCTGCCCAGTAATGCAAGAATGGCAAAGCGATCAGGTACCTAAAGGGTTAAGAAAAGGCATTAGAAGCCAAAGCCAAGGCAGAGCAAGCAGTAAGTAAAAAAGAAAGGCTTGGCAGCAGGGAATTTCACAGAAATGGAGCCAGCAAGTGCCCCCAGGAACTCCACCCACAGGGCAGCAGCTGCAACAAAGAGCCTACTGGGGAAAGGCAAAAGGCGCGAGACAAAGTCCACCCCAGCAGAGGCGTGCACTACAGCGTCCGCCCTGGCCGGCAACAGCCACCTGGCGGCTGGGGGAGGGAGCCAGCACAGGCAAAAAATGGCACAGGAAAAAAGCTGCGCCTTTACAAACCTAAAGCAGCCGCCGCCCAGGGACCCGCCTGCTCAGCTCTCTAGCTCTGCAGGCAACCCAAGGCAAAATCTCCTGTGCTCCTTGTTTACAAGCGACATCCCAGATTATAAATATCTGCTAAAATTTAAGTAAAATGTAAGAATTTGAAAGACCTCTTTCTAATAATGGCCACTGTTGTTATCTGTCTCCAAATTCAATTTAAGTAAAACAACCTCTAAAGGGAGAGACATTACAAAAGGCCAATGAGTTAATTAAGGACTAATTAAAAGCAAACTTTGCTCCCCAGTGAGAAAAGTTTCCTAATTACAGGGTTATTCATTTTATGGGTGATATTCTACTAACAGCCCTTGGAATTTACCTATTTATGTCATTCCCCAAAAGTCTAGTAAATGTTTTACCTACAAAAATAGTTTACTCTCCCATACCTAATGTGTTAACACTGTTTACTGATGGGTCTGGTAAACATGGAAAAGCCGCAGTCTGGTGGAGACCACACAATTCAATCACTCGATCTAGGTTTACTAGCACTCAGAGAGCTGAAACTGGGGCTCTGATTCTGGTCTTGGGAACTTTTTCCACTCAGCCCATAAATATGGCTAGTGACTCTGCATATTCTGTTTATTTACTACAAAACCTTGAGACAGCACTGATTTAGTCCAGTCTGGAGCCAGCCCTGTTCACTCTTTTTCTCCAACTTCAGCAATTGCTAGATCAACGTACACATCCGTTTTTATTACACACATTCGATCCCGCAGCTCTCTGCCTGGACATTGGCTTATGGCAATGATTAAGCCGACCTTCAGGTTATGACATCACTGCTAGACCAAGCCACCCAATCGCATCAATTTTTCCACCAAAATTGGAGAAACTTATCTAAATAATTTCAACTTACCAAGAGGCTGGCAAAACAAATTATCCTACGATGCCCAGATTGCCAGCTCACATTATTATTTTTTATTGGATTATCTGACTTCCGACTCAAGACATGAATAGTTTACACATTATATTTACAGTTTTATAGCATTCTGTGTTTTTCTGTGTACTTACTATTATCAACAAGTTTTTGTACCTTCAGATGATATCTTTATTGCTGATTAACATCATTTTCCTTCAGATTGAAGAATTCCCTTTAATATTTCTTGTAGGATAGGTCCAGTGTTGATGAAATTCCTCAACGTTTTTGAGTGTGGGAAAGTCTCCATTTCTTCTTCTTGTTTGAAGAATATTTTTGGTGCATATACTATTCTGAGATAAAAGTTTTTTTCGACAGATTTTTAAATATATCATGCCACTGTCTCCTGGCCTTTAAGGTTTCTACTGAAAAGTCTGTTGCCAGATGTGCTTTTGGGATCCTTTCTTTATGTTTGACCTCCATGAGTTTGAAAATCAAATGTCTTGAGGTTGTCTTCTTTGGATTAAATTTGCTTGCTGTTCTATAACCTTCTGGAACTTGGATATTGATTTCTTTCTCTAGGTTTGGGAAGTTCTCTGTTATTATCCCTTTTAATAAAGTTTCTACACCAATCTCTCTCTCTGCCTCCTCTTCAAGACCAATAACTTTGTTTTTTCTTTTTGAGACAGTTTCACTCTGTTGCCCACACTGGAGTGCGATGGCATGATCTCAGCTCACTACAAGATCAGCCATCCAGGTTCAAACGATTCTTATGCCTCAGCCTCCTGAGTATCTGAGATTACAAGCATGCATCGTCACCTCACCCAGATAATTTTTGTATTTTTAGTAGAGATGCGGTTTGGCCATGTTGACCAGGCTGGTCTCAAACTTTTGGCCTCATGTCATCTGCCCACGTTGGCCCCCCAAAGATAAGACCAATAACTTTTAGATTTGCCCTTAAAAGGCTATTTTCTAGATCTCGTAGGCATACTTAATTGTTTTTTATTATTTTTTTTTCTTGTGTCTCCTCTGACTGTGTATTTTCAAGTAGACTGTCTTCAAGTTCAGTAATTCTTTCTTCTGCTTGATCAGTTCTGCTGTTAAGAGACTATGATGCATTCTTCAGTATTTCAACTGCATTTTTCTTCTACAGAATTTCTCTTTGATTCTTTTAAATATTTCAATCTCTTCATTAAATTTATCTGATAGAATTCTGAATTCCTTTTCTGTGTTATCTTGAATTTCATTGAGTTTCCTCAAGGCAGCTATTTATTTTTCTTCACTTTTATATTAAGTTCAGGGGTACATGAGCAGGATGTGCAGGTTTGTTACATAGGTAGACGTGTGCCATGCTGGTTTGCTGCACAGATCATCCCATCACCTAAGCATTAAGTCCATCATCCATTAGATATTCTTTCTGATGCTCTCCCTAACCCCACCTCCCCCAACAGGTCCCAGTCTGTGTTGTTCTCCACTATGTGTCCATGTGTTCTCATCATTCAGCTCCCACATATAAGTGGGAACATGCAGTGTCTGGTTTTCTGTAACTGCATTTGTTTGCTGATGATAATGGTTTCCAACTCCAACCATGTCTCCGCAAAAACATGATCTCATTTTTTTTTTTTTTTTGTAGCTGCAGTATACCATGGTGTATATGAACCACATTTGCTTTATCCAATCTATCATTGATGGACATTTAGGTTGATTCCATGTCTTTGCTATTGTGAATAGTGCTGCAATGAACATATGTGTGTGTATATCTTTATAATGGAGTGATTTATATTTCTCTGGGTATATACCCAGTAATGGCATTTCTGGGTTAAATTTCAAATGATATTTCTGCCTCTAGGTCTTCGAGGAATCACCACACTGCCTTCTACAATGGTTGAACTAATTTACACTCCCACCAATGGTGTAAAAGCATTACTTTCTCCACAACCTCTCTGGTATCTGTTATTTTTTGACTTTTTAATAGCCATTCTGACTGGTGTGAGATGGTATCTCATTGTGGTTTTGATTTCCATTTCTCTAATGATCAGTGATGTTGAGGTTCTTTTCCATATGTTTATTGGCCGCATGTATGTCTTCTTTTGAGAAGTGTCTGTGCATATCCTTTGCCCACATCTCAATGGGGTTTTTTTCTTCTTGTACATTTGTTTAAGTTCCTTGTAGACTGGATATTACACCTTTGTCAAATATACAGATTGCAAAAATTTTCTCTTATTCTGTAGGTTGTCTGTTCACTCTGATGATAGTTTCCTCTTTTTTTTTTTTTTTTTTTTTTTTGACACAGAGTATCACTGAGTTGCCCAGGCTGGAGTGTAGTGGCATCATCTCAGCTCACTGCAACCTCCACCTCCTAGGTTCAAGCGATTCTCCTACCTCAGCCTCCTGAGTAGCTGGGACTACAGGTGCACACCACCACACCAGGCTAATTTTTTTTGTATATTTAGTAGAGATGAGGATTCACCATATTGGCCAGTCTAGTCTAGAACACCTGGTCTCAGTGTATCTGCCCACCTCAGCCTCCCAAAGTGCTGTGTTTACAGGCATGAGCCACCTTGCCTGGCCTCTTATTATAGTTTCTTCTGCTGTGCAGAAGCTCTTTCATTTAATTAGATCCCATTTTTCAATTTTTGTTTTTGTTGCAATTGCTTTCGGCATTACTGTCATGGAATCTTTGATATGTGTGTATTGAACCAACCTTGCATCAAGAGGATGAAGCGGACTTGATCGTGGTGGCTAAGCATTTTGATGTGATGCTGGATTCGGTTTGCCAGTATTTTATTGAGGATTTTTGCATCGATGTTCATCAAGGATGTTGGACTTAAGTTTCTCTTTTTGTTGTATGTCTGCCAGGTTTTGGTATCAGGATGATCCTGGCTTCATAGAATGAGTAAGGGGGGAGTCCCTTTGTTTCAATTTTTTTGGAATAGTTTCAGAAGAAATAGTGCCAGCTCTTCTTCGTACCTCTGGAAAAGTTCAGCTATGAATCCTTGTGGTCCTGGGCTATTTTATTTTTTTCAGTTGGTAGGCTATTTACTACCACCTCAATTTCTGAACTCAGTATTGGTCTATTTAGGGATTCAATCTGTTCCTTGTTCAGTCTTGAGAAGGTGGGTGTGTCTAGGAATTTATCCATTTCTTCTAGATTTTCTAGTTTATGTGTATAGAGATGTCTATAATATTCTCTGATGGTTGTTTGTTTTTCCGTGTGGTCAGTGGTGCTATCCCCCTTATCATTTTTGTTTGTGTTTATTTGATACTTTTTTCTTTTATTCTTTATTAGTCTAGCTAGTGGTCTATTTTATTAATTTTTTCTTAAAAACAGCTTCTTTATTCATTGATTATTTGAAGGGATTTTTTGTGCCTCTATCTTTTTCAGTTCAGTTCTGATCTTGGTTATTTTTTTGTCTTCTGCTAGCTTTGGGGTTTGTTTAAACAGCTATTTTGAATTCTCTGTCTGAAAGATCACCTCTCTCTCTCTCTCTCTCTCTCTCTCTCTCTCTCTCTCTCCAGGATTGGTCCCTGGTGCCTTAGTTTGTTTGTTAAGGTCCTTGATATGGTTTAGCTCTGTCCCCGCCACAAATCTCATCTTGAATTGTAGTTCCCATAATCTCCACATGTTGTGGGAGGGGTCCAGTGACAGGTAATTGAATCATAGGGTTGGTTTTCTCCATGCTGTTCTCGTGACATCAAGTTCTCAGGAGATCTGATGCTTTCATAAGGGGCTTCTCCCTTCGCTCAGCTCTTATTCTTCTCCTTTTGCTGCCCTGTGAAGAGGTGCCTTCCACCATGATTGCAAGTTTCCTGAGGCCTCCTTAGCCATGCAGAACTCTGAGTCAATTAAACCTCTTTCCTTTATAAATTACTTTATAATATAATATATATTATATGTAATATATATATTACATATAATATATGTAATATATATATTTTATATAATATATATTATATGTAATATATATATTTTATATAATATGAAATATATATTATATATAATATATATTATATGTAATATATATTATATATAATATATAATATTACAGTCTTGGGTATGACTTTATTAACAGTGTGAAAACAGACGAATATAGTCTTTTTATCCCGGATAGTCTTGAAGCTTGTGAATGTTCATCAGTCTCTGGGCTTTGAAGAGTTAGAAATTTATTTTAGTTTTCACTGTCTAGTATTGTTTGTACCTGTCCTTCTTGGGAAGGCTTTTCTAGAATTCAAAGGCACTTGGTTGTTGTGATCTAAGGTTTTGGTCATTGCAGCATAAGTGGGCACTCAAATCCCAGTAATGCTGTGGCTTTGCATACTCAGATTACAGCCTTGGTGGTCTTGGATAACAACCAGAAGATGTGTCTGGGTTACCAGGCAGATACTCTTGTTCTCTTCCCTTTCTTTAAAAACAAACAAACAAACAAAAAATGGAGTCTACGTCTTTGTTCTGAGCTTCCTGGCGCTTGGGCAAGGGTGGCACAAGCACTCCTGTAGTCACTACCACTGAGACTGCGCTGGTTCAGACCTGAAGCCAGCACAGCATTGGATCTTACCTAAGACCTGTGGTAACCACTGCCTGGCTACTGCCTATATTCATGCAAGGCCCTAGGACTCTACAATCAGAAGTTGGTGAAGCCAGCTAGCCTTGTGTCCTTCCTTTCCAGGTGGCAAGTTCCCCCCAACCCTGGGAAGGTCTAGAGCTGTAGTCCAGGAGTTTGGGCCTGGAGTTAAAAACCTTAGGAATCTACCTGGTTCTCTGTTCTACTGTGGCTGAGCAGGCACCCAAGCCACAAAACAAAGTCCTTCCCACTCTCCCCTGTTTTTCAATCAGAAGAGTCTCTGTGGCCACCACTGCCCCAGGACCATGACAAGTTCTGTCTGGCTACTGCCAATGTTCACTCAAGGCCCTAGTGCTCTTCAGTCAGCTTTTGTTGAAAGCTGCCAAGCCTTGAACTTTCTCTTCAGGGCAGTGAGCCCCTCTCTGCCTCAGGGCATGCCAGAAATGCCATACAGGAGCCAAGGCTTAAAACTGAGGACTCCAGGAGCTGCTTACAGCTCTTCCACCTCTGGTACCTAAGGCGTGAGACAAAGTCCCGTTTACTTTTTCCTCTCCTTTTCTAAAGCAGAAGGAGTCTCTTTCCATAGCCACCACAGCTCAAAATGTTCTGTGTTACACCTGAAGCCAACACAACTTAAGTTACAGCCAAGGCCCATGCAAGTACTGCCTGGTTATTACTGCTGATCGTTCAGGGCCCAAGGGCTCTTCAGTCAGCAGGTAATGAATTCTGCCAGGACTGGGTCCTTTTCTTCAAGGTGGCACATTCCTTTCTGGCCCAGAGTGGGTCTAGAAGTGTCATCTAGGATTTGGGGCCTGGAATGGGAGCCTCAAGTCTCTACCTGCTTCCCTATCCTACTGTAGCTGAGCTGGTATCCAAGTTGCAAGACAAAGTCCTCTTTACTGTCCCTTCCCCTCCTCTCAAGCAGAAGGAAGGATTACCTCCTGGAGCTGCATACTGCACTGCCTGGAGCTGCGGGATTGGTGTGGCAAGCACTGTCTTGGTCACCCTGGCTAGTGTTTTACTAGGTCACATGCCCTGCAAGTGCGCTGGCACTAAGCCCAGCACAGCACCAGGACTTGCCCAGGAATTCCAGTCCTTATGGTCTAGGCTGCCTTTCACATATGTTGAGGACCATAGAGCACTGTAGCCTGTCACGGTGGGGCTTTCCTGAACTGAGGTTCCAAATGCTGGGATGAGTGATGCTCCTCTAGCTAGAGATGTTATAAATGGTTCCTCCGTGTGTTCTAGCTTTGTTATGTCTCATGTTGCTTTCCACTGTTACAGGACAACACTGAGTTTGAATGCAGAGTCCCACAATCATTGTGTTCTCTCTCCCTCAAATGCACATTCTCTCTCTATCCCCTGTGGCTGCTGCCAGGATATGGAGGAGGAGCAGTGTTGTCAATTCAAAACTGTATTTTCTACCCTCTTCAGTGCCTTTTTAAGGAATATGAAGCTAAAAACAGGTATTGCATTTATTCATCTGATTTTTGGTTCTCATGAAGTTGCTTTTCTATGTGGATACTTGTTCAATTTTGTGTTCCTGATGGGAAGCTGATCGGTGGATCCTTCTATTCAGCCATCTAGCTCTGCCTCTTTCATCTGAATTATTCTATTCTTAAATGGGTAAATTAGAGGTTTGGGGAGAGCGAGTTTAGATTTAACTAGAATTATGTGCTTTATTTTTTGCTCCTTCCAAAATGCCTGTCATTTTTCAAAAGTATAGTATTATCAATGATTAGTATCTATTATAAAATAATCATAATTATTGACAGAGAAAATCACATTTTCATTCTTCCTAGACTTTAGCTTAAAATACCTACAAATACACAACACAAACTCATATCAGCAAACTGTGGATGTTCTTTTCCCTGGCTTGTAAACAAAGTGAAAATTAAGATGGGTAGACAACATGTAATTAAGATTTATTTACAAAGTGGTAGCCTTACCTTTTGAGAGGTATTTTCCTGGTTATAAAGGTAGCTCGATTTCTAAACTGAACATGCATCATCAATGTTAACAAAATTAGCTCTTAAAAACCTCACATATTTTGGAAATAACTCTTTTCTTTCTTTATTTCTTAATTGTGTTTCAATGGATTTTCTATATATTTGAATTTGAGAAACTGTCAGTAAGCTGTTATCTGCTGCTCATTTCCTACTTCTTTTCTCTGCAGCTTTTATATGAAAGCTTTGGGAAGGAGCAAGATCTTATTTTTAAGACAATTTAGTGTTAGTATTTCACAGTTGTTATTCAAAACTACTATTCTTCCAGCCTTGGAACTGTAGTAATCCATTATCTGCCTAGCTTAATTGTAGAATAACTTGTTACATGTAAATATATGTATTGTAGGAATGGTAGCTTTTCACTTCATGGGAGAAAATATTTTCAGTTTTGATGAGTACTTATAGAATCTTTGATTTCACAATAGAAAATACCAAATGTATTTTGACTTTTTTTTGTTCAACCGGATTATCATTAACATTCTTTAACGCTATTTTCCAGTTTCTCCCTTCTTTCATAGCTGTCACTTGTCATTGTCATTAAACCCAATTCTAGTTTGTTTAACTAAATCTAGCACTTACCAGCAAAAGAAGTAACCAAAATTTTAAAGAGTTGTATGTTAATATAAGTGAATAGACTTGAATGACAGTCAAAGGGCTCCTTGGTACACAACATAAATAGAATTAAAAACAAAAATCTCATGATCATCTCAATAGATGAAGGAAAGGCATTTGACAAAATCCAGTATCCTTTATGATTAAAACCTTCAGCAAAATCAGCATAGAATAGACATACCTTGATGTAATAAAAGCCATATATGACAAATCCACAGCCAACATGCTACTGAATGGGAAAAGTTGAAAGCATTCCCCCTGAAAACTGGAACAAGACAAGGATGCCTACTCTCACCACTCCTCTTCAACATAGTACTGGAAGTTCTAGCCAGAGCAAGTGAAAGTAATGAAGACCATCCAAGTTGGTAAGGAGGAAGTCAAACTGTCACTGTTTGCTGGTAATATAATTATATACCTAGAAAACCCTAAAGACTCATCCAAAAAGCTCCTAGAACTGATAAATGAATTCAGCAAAGTTTCTGCATACAAAATTAATGTACGCACATCAGTAGCTCTGCTCTACACCAACAGCAACCAAGCTGAGAATCAAATCAAGAACTCAACCCCTTTCACAATAGCTGCAAAAAAAGTAAAATACTTAGGAATATACCTAAGGACTTGAAAGACCTTTACAAGGAAAACTACAAAACACTGCTGAAAGAAATCATAGACAACACAAACAAATGGAAACACCATGCTCATGGATGGCTAGAATCAATGTTGAGAAAATAACCATACTGCCAAAAGCAGTCTACAAATTCAATGCAATTTGAAGCAAGATACAACCATTATTCTTCACACAGCTAGAAAATAATCATCCTAAAATTCATGTGGAACCAAAAAAGAACCCGCATAGCCAAAGCAAGACTAAGTAAAAAGAACAAATCTGGAGGTATCACAGTACCTGACTTTAAGCTGTAGTATAAGGTCATAGTCACCAAAACAGCAAGGTACTGGCATAAAAATAGGCACATAAAACAATGGAACAGAATAGAGAACACAGAAATAAAGCCAAACACTTACAGCCAACTGATCTTTGACAAAGCAACAAAAACATAAAGTAGGGAAAGGACACCCTATTCAACAAATGGTGCTTGGATAATTGGCAAGCCACATGTAGAAGAATGAAACGGATCCTCATCTCTCACCTTATACAAAAAATCAATTCAAGATGGATTAAGGATTTAAATGTAAGACCTGAAACTATAAAGATTCTAGAAGGTAACATCAGAAAAATCCTTCTGGACATTGGCTTAGGCAAAGACTTCATGACCAAGAACCCAAAATCAAACACAACAAAAATAAAATAAATAGATAGGACTTAATTAAACTAAAAAGCTTCTGCACAGCAACAGAAACAATCAGCAGAGTTAACAGACAACCCGCAGAGTGGGAAAAAATCTTTGCAATCTGTACATCTGACAAAGGACTAATATCTACAATCTACAAGGAACTCAAAGAAATTAACAAGAAAAACAATCCCATCAAAAAGTGGGCTAAGGACATGAAGAGACAATTTGCAAAAGAAGATATAGCAGTGGCCAACAAATACATGAAGAAATACTCAACAACACTAATTATCAGGGAAATGCAAATCAAAACCACAGTATGATACCACCTTACTCCCGCAAGAATGGCCATAATCAAAAAATCAAAAAAAAAAATAATATTGGTGTGGATGTGGTGAAAAGGGAACACTTTTACACTGCTGGTGGGAATGAGAACTAATACAGCCATTATGGAAATCAGTATGGGGATTCCTTCAAGAACTAAAAGTAGAACTATCATTTGATCCAGCAATCTCACTACTGGGTTTCTACTTAGAAAAAAAGAAGTCATTATACAAAAAAGGTACTTGCACACACATGTTTATAGGAGCACATATATGTGTGTGTGTGTGTATATATACACACACACACACACACACACATACACACACCGTGGTCTACTACTCACCCATAAAAAGGAATAAAATAATGGCATTTGAAGCCACCCGGATGGAATTGGAGACTATTATTCTAAGTGAAGTAACTCTGAAATGGAAAACCAAACATCATATGTTCTCAGTGATATGTGGCAGCTAAGCTATGAGGATGCAAAAGCATAAGAATGATGACAATGCACTTAAAGGGCTGAAGGAAAATGGTGGGAAGGGAGTGAGGGATAAAAGACTATACATTGGGTACAGTGTACACTGCTGGGGTGATGGGTGCACCAAAATCTTAGAAATTAACCACTAAAGAACTTTTGAGAAGTCAGGTAGTGTGATGCCTCCAGCTTTGTTCTTTTGGCTTAGGATTGACTTGGCAATGCGGGCTCTTTTTTGGTTCCATATGAACTTTAAAGTAGTTTTTTCCAATTCTGTGAAGAAAGTCATTGGTAGCTTGATGGGGATGGCATTGAATCTGTAAATTACCTTGGGCAGTATGGCCATTTTCACGATATTGATTCTTCCTACCCATGAGCATGGAATGTTCTTCCATTTGTTTGTGTCCTCTTTTATTTCCTTGAGCAGTGGTTTGTAGTTCTCCTTGAAGAGGTCCTTCACATCCCTTGTAAGTTGGATTCCTAGGTATTTTATTCTCTTTGAAGCAATTGTGAATGGGAGTTCACCCATGATTTGGCTCTCTGTTTGTCTGTTGTTGGTGTATAAGAATGCTTGTGATTTTTGTACATTGATTTTGTATCCTGAGACTTTGCTGAAGTTGCTTATCAGCTTAAGGAGATTTTGGGCTGAGACGATGGGGTTTTCTAGATAAACAATCATGTCGTCTGCAAACAGGGACAATTTGACTTCCTCTTTTCCTAATTGAATACCCTTTATTTCCTTCTCCTGCCTGATTGCCCTGGCCAGAACTTCCAACACTATGTTGAATAGGAGCGGTGAGAGAGGGCATCCCTGTCTTGTGCCAGTTTTCAAAGGGAATGCTTCCAGTTTTTGCCCATTCAGTATGATATTGGCTGTGGGTTTGTCATAGATAGCTCTTATTATTTTGAAATACGTCCCATCAATACCTAATTTATTGAGAGTTTTTAGCATGAAGGGTTGTTGAATTTTGTCAAAGGCTTTTTCTGCATCTATTGAGATAATCATGTGGTTTTTGTCTTTGGCTCTGTTTATATGCTGGATTACATTTATTGATTTGCGTATATTGAACCAGCCTTGCATCCCAGGGATGAAGCCCACTTGATCATGGTGGATAAGCTTTTTGATGTGCTGCTGGATTCGTTTTGCCAGTATTTTATTGAGGATTTTTGCATCAATGTTCATCAAGGATATTGGTCTAAAATTCTCTTTTTTGGTTGTGTCTCTGCCCGGCTTTGGTATCAGAATGATGCTGGCCTCATAAAATGAGTTAGGGAGGATTCCCTCTTTTTCTATTGATTGGAATAGTTTCAGAAGGAATGGTACCAGTTCCTCCTTGTACCTCTGGTAGAATTCGGCTGTGAATCCATCTGGTCCTGGACTCTTTTTGGTTGGTAAACTATTGATTATTGCCACAATTTCAGAGCCTGTTATTGGTCTATTCAGAGATTCAACTTCTTCCTGGTTTAGTCTTGGGAGAGTGTATGTGTCGAGGAATGTATCCATTTCTTCTAGATTTTCTAGTTTATTTGCGTAGAGGTGTTTGTAGTATTCTCTGATGGTAGTTTGTATTTCTGTGGGATCGGTGGTGATATCCCCTTTATCATTTTTTATTGTGTCTATTTGATTCTTCTCTCTTTTTTTCTTTATTAGTCTTGCTAGCGGTCTATCAATTTTGTTGATCCTTTCAAAAAACCAGCTCCTGGATTCATTGATTTTTTGAAGGGTTTTTTGTGTCTCTATTTCCTTCAGTTCTGCTCTGATTTTAGTTATTTCTTGCCTTCTGCTAGCTTTTGAATGTGTTTGCTCTTGCTTTTCTAGTTCTTTTAATTGTGATGTTAGGGTGTCAATTTTGGATCTTTCCTGCTTTCTCTTGTAGGCATTTAGTGCTATAAATTTCCCTCTACACACTGCTTTGAATGCGTCCCACAGATTCTGGTATGTGGTGTCTTTGTTCTCGTTGGTTTCAAAGAACATCTTTATTTCTGCCTTCATTTCGTTATGTACCCAGTAGTCATTCAGGAGCAGGTTGTTCAGTTTCCATGTAGTTGAGCGGCTTTGAGTGAGATTCTTAATCCTGAGTTCTAGTTTGATTGCACTGTGGTCTGAGAGATAGTTTGCTATAATTTCTGTTCTTTTACATTTGCTGAGGAGAGCTTTACTTCCAACTATGTGGTCAATTTTGGAATAGGTGTGGTGTGGTGCTGAAAAAAATGTATATTCTGTTGATTTGGGGTGGAGAGTTCGCTACAGTAACCAAAACAGCATGGTACTGGTACCAAAACAGAGATATAGATCAATGGAACAGAACAGAGCCCTCAGAAATAATGCCACATATCTACAACTATCTGATCTTTGACAAACCTGAGAAAAACAAGCAATGGGGAAAGGATTCCCTATTTAATAAATGGTGCTGGGAAAACTGGCTAGCCATATGTAGGAAGCTGAAACTGGATCCCTTCCTTACACCTTATACAAAAATCAATTCAAGATGGATTAAAGATTTAAACATTAGACCTAAAACCATAAAAACCCTAGAAGAAAACCTAGGCATTACCATTCAAGACATAGGCGTGGGCAAGGACTTCATGTCCAAAACACCAAAAGCAATGGCAACAAAAGCCAAAATTGACAAATGGGATCTAATTAAACTAAAGAGCTTCTGCACAGCAAAAGAAACTACCATCAGAGTGAACAGGCAACCTACAACATGGGAGAAAATTTTCGCAACCTACTCATCTGACAAAGGGCTAATATCCAGAATCTACAATGAACTCAAACAAATTTACAAGAAAAAAACAAACAACCCCATCAAAAAGTGGGCGAAGGACATGAACAGACACTTCTCAAAAGAAGACATTTATGCAGCCAAAAAACACATGAAGAAATGCTCATCATCACTGGCCATCAGAGAAATGCAAATCAAAACCACTATGAGATATCATCTCACACCAGTTAGAATGGCAATCATTAAAAAGTCAGGAAACAACAGGTGCTGGAGAGGATGTGGAGAAATAGGAACACTTTTACACTGTTGGTGGGACTGTAAACTAGTTCAACCATTGTGGAAGTCAGTGTGGCGATTCCTCAGGGATCTAGAACTAGAAATACCATTTGACCCAGCCATCCCATTACTGGGTATATACCCAAAGGACTATAAATCATGCTGCTATAAAGACACATGCACACGTATGTTTATTGCGGCACTATTCACAATAGCAAAGACTTGGAACCAACCCAAATGTCCAACAATGATAGACTGGATTAAGAAAATGTGGCACATATACACCATGGAATACTATGCAGCCATAAAAAATGATGAGTTCATATCCTTTGTAGGGACGTGGATGAAATTGGAAACCATCATTCTCAGTAAACTATCGCAAGAACAAAAAACCAAACACCGCATATTCTCACTCATAGGTGGGAATTGAACAATGAGATCACATGGACACAGGAAGGGGAATATCACACTCTGGGGACTGTGGTGGGGTCGGGGGGAGGGGGGAGGGATAGCATTGGGAGATATACCTAATGCTAGATGACACATTAGTGGGTGCAGTGCACCAGCATGGCACATGTATACATATGTAACTAACCTGCACAATGTGCACATGTACCCTAAAACTTAGAGTATAATAAAAAAAAAAAAAGAAAGAAAAAAAAAAAAAAAAGAACTTTTGAGAAGTGTCTGTTCATATCCTTTGCCCACTTTTTGATGGGGTTGTTTGTTTCTTTTCTTGTAAATTTGTTTCTTTGTAGATTCTGGATATTAGCCCTTTGTCAGATGGATAGATTGCGAAAATTTTCTCCCATTCTGTAGGTTGCCTGTTCACTCAGATGATAGTTTCTTTTGCTGTAAGAATTTATTCTTGTAACCAAAAACCACCTGTTTTCCAAAAATCTGTGGGAATAAAAATTAACAATAATAAAATAACATAAAAAACCAAAGAGTTCCTTGGTAATAATAATAATAGTTGCCATTTACTGAACACTTAGTATGTTCTAGGCACCATGCTAAATTCTTTAATATGCATTATATTGTTTAATCTTCACAACAACCTTATCAGTTAGGTGGTACTATTTCCATCTTAGAAACAGAGAAACTAAACTCCAGCAAGGTTAATTAACTTGCTCAAAGTCATACATCTAGTAATTGATAGAGTTGGATGCCAAACACAGATTGGCCTAACAACTTAAAATTATAATTATGCCTGTAATTATATATACATAATATATATTATATAATTATATATATAATATTATATAATATATAATATATATTATATATTTTTATGTAATAATATATATATTATATAATATATTATATATAATGTATGTTATATAATATATTATAAATATTATGTATACTATATAATATATAATATATATTATGTATACTATATAATATATAATATATGTTATGTATACTATATAATATATAATATATGTTATGTATACTATATAATATATATGTTATGTATACTATATAATATATAATATATGTTATGTATACTATATAATATATAATATATGTTATGTATACTATATAATATATAATATATGTTATGTATACTATATAATATATAATATATATGTTATGTATAATGTATAATATATAATATATATGTTATGTATAATATATAGTATATATTGTATAATATATAGTATATATTGTATAATATATAGTATATAATATACTATATATTATATTAACATTATATTAGTATATAATATATAATATTATATATTATATATTATATAATATAATTATTATATAATATATTATATATTATATTATATAGTATAATTATTATATAATATATAATATATTATATAATATATAATATAATTATAATATATTATATAATATATAATATAATTATTATATTTATATTATATAATATATAATATAAATATAATTATTATATTTATATTACATATTGTATAATATGTAATATAATTATATTTATATTTATATTATATATGTAATATAATTATTATATATTATATTATATATTATATAATATGTAATATAATTATATAAATAATATATATTATATAATATACATATTATATACAATATTTTTATTATATTACATATAATGTATATTTATATATTATATTATATGTTATATATAATTATACAGTATATATTATATATAATATATAATTACATATATGATATATAATATATATAAATATATATGATTATATATCATATATTATATATAAATATATATGATTTATATATCATATATAAATATATATGATTTATATATCATATATATATCATATATAAATATATATATATGTTTCTCTTAACGTTTTTCTGTCTCCCTTAGTTAGACTATTAGCTCTATGAGAACATCGACTATATCTGGTTTGCTCAACATTGTATCTCCAGCATCTAGCACAGTGCCTGGAATGTACTGGATAGTCTGTAAATATTTTATGAACTAATAAATGATAATAAAGTCCAACCAGTTTGTTCACTTAATTATTCTTAGTTCATGGCACTTACCATCATTGGTCTGTGTAATGCCATTATTTGTTTTTGTTTTTCTTGGTTTTTGAATTTTTTTCACTTCTTTATTTTTTATCCATTCCCTACTCTCTTCTCCACCTCCCCATATTATACTATTCTGATATATACTGTATTCTTATGTGTGAATCCTTGTAAATTGTTTATTTTTTCTGTGCATATATTATAAAATTTATATTAATGATATTATATATCTAATTGTTGCTTTTTATTCAGCACTTAAAAAAATCTATCAGTGTGCCCACGAGTATACCAAGTCTATTGTTTGGCTTGCTCCCTAATATTTTTTATACTCTATCTACCACATTTTATTTATTCACTCCTTTAGTGATGGGCACCTAATTTGCTTCTAACACTCCAACACCACAAATATTATTGCAAGTGAAATTATCTTATGTGTCCCAATACTCTGTGAAAATTTCTCATAACGGGATCACTTGGCTCATAGGGTATACAGGTTGAGTATGTCTTATCTAAAATGCTTGGGACAAGAAGTGTTTCAGATTTCAGATTTTGAGGATTTTGAAATATTTGCGCTATACATGGTTGATATAGTTTGAATGTTTGTCCCCTCCAAATCTCATGTTGAAATGTGATCTCAGTGTTGGAGATGGAGTCTGATGGGAGGCTCCACCTTTCTAGTTTTTTCTAGTCAGATAACTATGAAGTGGTTACTTTGTTTTTGTGTATATTTCTCAAATTACTGATGAATTTCAGCATGTTGTCATGTTTTTTGTTTTAATGACTACTTATTTTTTGAAATACCTGTAGCTCTTCATCTTTATTACTGATTTGTAGGCATTCATTAAATATACAGGCATACCTTAGGGATATTGCAGGTTTGGTTTCAGACCACTGTATTAAAGCTAAGGTCACTATAAAGTAAATCATTTGAAGGCAACGTAAAAAAAAAATATATATATACATATATATACACACACACATATATGTACACACACACACACACACATATATAACAAGTCACATGAATATTGTGATTTTCCAATACAAATAAAAGTTATGTTTACACAATATGGTGTTCTCTTAGTGTGAAATAGCATTGTGTCTAAAAAATGTACATATCTTATTTCAAAGGTACTTTATTGCTAAAAATGCTAATGATCATCTCAGTCTTCAGTGAGTTGTAATATTTTTACTGGTGGTGGGTCCATCCTCAGTGTTAATGGCTGCTGACTGATCAGGGTGACTGATAAGGGTGGCGGTTGCTCAACATTAGGGTGGCTGTAGCAATTTCTTTAAATAAAACAACAATTAAATTTGCCACATCAATGGACTTTTCTTTTCATGTAAAATTTATCTGTAGCATGTGATGCTGTTTGATAGCAGTTTATCCACAGTCAAACTTCTTTCAAAATTAGAGTCAATCCTCTAAAATTTTGCTGCTTCTTTATGAACTGAGTTTCTGTTGTATAAATTTCTGTAATATTCTAAATATGTTGTGTCATTTCCACAATGTTCACATCATTTTTACCAGGAGTAGATTCCACTTCAAAAACTTCTTCATTTTCTCAGTTATAGGAAACAAATGTTCATCCGTTTTACCATGAGACTGCAGCAATTCAGTCACATCTTCAGTCTCCACTTCTAATTCCAGTTCTCTTGCTATTTCTACCACATCTTCAGTGACTTCCTCCACTGAAGTCTTGAACACCTCAAAGTCATCCATAAAGTTTGGAATAAACTCACCTAAATCTCTGTTAATGTTGTCATTTTTACCTCTTCTCATGAATCATGAATGTTCTTTATGGCATTTGGGATGGTGATTTTTTTCCAGAGGGTTTCAGTTTAATTTATCAAGGTGCATCAGAGGAATCACTGTCTCTGACAGCTATAGCTGTGCAAAATATATATCTTAAATAATAATACTTGAAAGTTAAAAATACTTCTTGATTCATGAGTTGCAGAATGGATGTTGTGTTAATATCACACACACCATGAAAACAACATTAACCTCCTCATAGCTGTCCATCAGAGTTATTGAGTGTCTAGGTGCATTGTCAATGAGCAGTAATATTTCCAAAAGAATTCTTTTTTCTAATGAGTAGGTCCCAAAAACGGGCTTAATATGTTCAGTAAACAATGCTATAAACAGATGTACTCTCATCCAGGCTTCGTTTGTCCATTTACAAAGCACATGTGGAGTAAATTTGGCATAATTCTTAATGGCTTTAGAGCTTTTGGAATGGTAAATGAGCATTAGCTTCACCTTAAAGTCATCAACTGCATTAGCCCCTAACAAGAGTCATCCTGAAGCTTCAAAGCTTTAAAGTCAGGCATTGACTTCTGTCTAGCTGTGAAAGTCGTCGATGGCAGCTTATTCAAATAGAAGACAGTTTTGTCTACACTTTCAGTGTAGCCACCATCATCTATTATCTTATCTAGATCTGGGAAACTTGCAGCTTCTCCATTAGCATGTGCTGCTTTACCTTGCACTTTAATCTTATGGAGACGGCTGCTTTACTTCAACTTCATGAATCAACTTCTGCTTGCTTTTAACTTTTCTTCCTCACCTCTCTCAGCCTTCATAGAGTTGGAGAGAGTTGCAGCCTTGCCCTGTATTGGGTTTTGGCTTAAGGGAATTTTGTTGCTCGTTTGATCTTCAATCCAGACCACTAAAACTTTCTCACTAACATCAATAAGGCTGTTTCAATTTTTTATCATCTGCATGTTCACTGGAGTAACACTTTAATTTATTTCAATGTCTTTTGTTTTGCATTCACAACTGCTAACTGTTTGGCAGAAGAGGCCTAGCTTTCAGCCTATCTAAGCTTTCGACATGCCTTCTTCACCAAGTGTAATCGTCTCTAGCCTTTGATTTAAAGTGAGAGATGTGCTATTCTGTCCCTTACTTGAACACTTAGAGGCTGTTATAGGGTTATCAATTATGTTAATTACAATATATTTTTGTCTCAGGGAATAGGGAAGCCTGATGAGAGGAAGAGAGATGTGGAAGTGGCAGGTCATTATAACCCAACAATTAATGATTAAGTTTGCCACATATGGGTGTGGTTTGTAGCACCCATATAATTGTTACATCATCAAAGAACACTGATCAAGAAGAAGGCAGAGCAGCATGGTCAAATAAAATCCTCCAGCCGTTGTCTCCCCACAGGAACATTGAATTAAACAACTATATATGCAAAAGAAAGCACCTTCATATGAACCCAAAGCCAGACAAGTGGTCACAGTATCTGGTTTCAACACAACAACAAGGAAAGGGTTATTGGAAAGGGTAGGAAGGACAGTTTTACATTGACTATACCACCTTTTCCCCAATCCTAGGCAGTCAAGCACTGAGAGAGTATATGTGTGCTTGAGGGAGAGAGAGCGTAGTGAGTGTGGGACTTCACACTGGAACTCAGCATAGCCCTGTCACAGAGCTCAACACTGGGCAGAACTTTGCTGGTGTCCATGGAGGGAGCATTTATAACAGCCCTGGGGCAGAGGGGAACCTTCCACCCCAGAGGAAGGAATTTGAGTCCTAATACCACTGGCTGACTAAAGTGTCCTGGGGCTCTAAATAAGTTTGAGTGTCAGTCAGGCTACAGAGAATGTTGTCCTTGGAAAAGCCCTGGTACGGCATTGGTCTCTGAGGCAGTGGGCTTGAGATACAACCCAGTGCAACACCTGCTGCAGTAATCACAGGAGTGTTCACTTCACTCTTTCCCCACCACCAGGCAGTGCAGTGCAGGGAGAGACTCCTTCAGCCTGAGGAAAGGAGAAGGAAGAGATCAGAAGACTTTTTTCTTACAACATGAGTACTAGCTGAGCCATGCTAAAAATATCAGAGGGATTCCTTAATCCCCATATTCCAGGTCTTTTCCTTTGTATGGTATTTCTAGACCCACCCCAGGCCATAAGAGAATATGTTGCCTTGGTGGGATGGATATAGTTCAGGGAGTATTTACCATGTGCCGACTAAAATGGCTTTGGGGCTTGAATTAGTGGCAGTTAGGCAGTAGCAGCCACAGGCCTTAGACTGGTGCCCCTACTGGGCTGGTCCAGGAGGTCATAGGCTTCAGGAGCAACCCAGAGCAGTACCAACTGTTGAGGCCAGAGGAGTGCTTTTATTGCTTCTCCCCCAACTCCAGGCAGCTCAGCACTGAGAGAGACTCCTGCTTGGGGGAAGGGATGGAAAAAAGCAAAACTTTGTCTGGGAACCCAGGGAATTCTTTATCATTTCCAAATCCAGCAAGCGTGCGTATCCAGGAATCTGCATGAGTCGCAGTGTTTCAGGGTTCAGGAGGGTTCTCCTAGTGCTGAAATGGCTGCAGGAACCACAGGCGTAGGTTAACAATACTCATTGTCCTTTGAATTTTTGGAAAGCCCTCTCAAGAAGTACGGCTACAAAGAAGCCCAAACTGTGAAGACTGGAATAAATGCCCAACTCTTCATTGCCCAGACATCTATGTACATCCACAAGAACCAAGAATATACAGGAAAAAGACCTCAACAAACAGACTAATTAAGGCACTAGTGACCAATCCTGTAGTTATGGAGATATGTGACTTCTCGGACATGGAATCTGAAATAGTTTTCTTCAGGAAGCTTGACAAACATCAAGATAACACAGACAAGGAAATCAGAATTCAATCAGATAAATTTAACAAAGATATTAAAATAATTTTAACAAGTAGAAATTCTGAAGCTGTAAAATTCAACTAAACTGAAAAATGCATCATTGTCTTCCAACAGCAAAGTTAATCAAAAGATGAAATAATTACTGAGCTGTAAGATGGGCTGTATGAAAATGCACAGAAAGAAAAGAAAAATGGAAATAGAAAGAATAAAGCATGCCTACAAGATCTAGAAAAAGCCCAAATGGGAAAAATTAAGAGCTATTGGCCTTAAAGAGGATATGGAGAATGGATGGGGGTAGAAACTTTATTCAAATAAATAATAACAGAGAAATTCCCAAAGCTAGAGAAACGTATGAAGACCCAGATACCAGAAAGTCAAGAAACACCAAGAAGATTCAACACAAATAAGACTAACTCAAGACTATATCAAATGTTCAATGTAATAATCAAGCTCTCAAAGATAAAATAACTAATTCTAAAAGCAGCAAAAGAAAAGCAAGTAACATATAAAGGGACTCTGTTACATCTTACTTCTCACCAGAAACCTAATGTGCCAGGAGGGAATGATGTGATGTATTCTAAGTACTGAAGGAAAAGAAGGAAGAAAGTGGCAGATAAGAGGCAGGGCTAACTTGCAGCTCCCTCTTAGATGGACAGAGCAGCATGTGGAGATCTACATCATGAACTTTTGCTCCAAGAATTACCACACAAACATACAAGGAAAGCCAAGAGAATTCACAGACCCTTTGAAGGAAGTGGATTGCCACTGCAGGCTACATGGGACAGCCGAGGAACTGTGAATCAGCTTGCTTTCTCAGCTAGGAGGCTTGTAGCCTGGTGAAAGTTCTCAGCCCTGCTCACTGGCTGCTGGGAAATAAACTTGGTGCTGTTCGTGGGGTAGGGTGGGAGTGAGACAGGACTTTTGGGCTATAGGCTGCATGGGAGCTGGGTGAGGCCTGTGGCTGCTGGCTTTCCCCATTTTCTCTAGGGACCTTTGTGACACAGCAGAGGCAGACATAATCTTCCTGGAAACATAACTTCATTGCCCCAGGAACCACACCCCCATCCCCCACAGCAGCCGCAACAAGCCCTGCCCAAGCAGAGTCTGATCTGAGACTCACCTAACCCTGCTCCCACCTGATGGTCTTTCTCTACCCACCCTGGTAGCAAAAGAAAAAGGACATATCTCTTGGGAGCTCTATGGCCCCACCTGCCACATGATTCTTTCTATACTACTGCAGCTGATGCACTCTTGAAAGTGCCCCCTCCTGGCTGGAAGACAACCAACACAAAAACAGTGCACTTAACAAAAAATGAAACCAAGGACCCTCACAGAGTCCACTTCACTCCATTGCTACCTCCAACAGAGCAGGTGCTGGTATCCATGGCTTTAAGACTTGAAGACAGATCATATTACAAGACTCTTTGCAGATGCTTTCCAGTAGCAGCCTGGAGACTAGTAGCTCCACTGGGTGGCTAGATCCAGAAGAGAAATAGCAGTCGCTGCAGTTTGGCTCTCAAGAAGCTCCATCTCTAGGGGAAAAGGTAAAGCACCATATCAAGGGAGCATGCCATGAGACAAAAGAATCTGAACAGTAGCACTTGAGCCCCAGATCTTCCCTCTGACATAGTCTACCCAAATGAGAAGAAACCAGAAAAACAGTTCTGGTAATATGACAAAACAAGGTTCTTTAACTCCCTCAAAAGATTACACTAGCTCACCAGCAATGTGTCCAAACCGAATTGCCAAAAAAAGAATTCAGAAGGTCAACTATTAAGCTAATCAAAGAGGCACCAAAGAAAAGTGAAGTCCAACTTAAATCAAAAAAATGATACAGGATATGAATGGGGAAAAGTCCAGTGAAATAGATAACATAAATTTAAAAAATCACAACTTCTGGAAATGAAGGACACACATAGAGAATTGTGAAATGCACTGTAAAGTCTCAGAAGTATAATTGAACAAGTAGAAGAAGGAACTTCAGAGCTCAAAGACAAGGCTTTTGAATTAACCCAGTCCAACAAAGACAAAAAGAATTGTAAAAAATGTAAAAAGCCTCCAAGAAGTTGGAGATTTTGTTAAATGACAAAGCTAAGAATAATTGGTGTTCCAGAGGAAGAAAATAAGTGTAAAAGTTTGGAAAATGTATTTGAGGAAATAATAAAGGAAAACTTCTGCAGCATTGCTAGTGATCTAGACATCCAAATACAAGAAGCATACATACACACACATACACACACACACACACACACACACACACACACACACACACACAAAACACCTGGGAAATTTTTTGCAAAAAGATCATCACATAGGCACATAGTCATCAGCTTATCTAAATTCAAGATGAAGGAAAGAATTTTAACAGTTGTGAGGCAAATGTGTCAGATAAACTATACAGAAAAACCTATAAAATTAACCACAGATTTCTCAGCAGAAACCCTACAAGCTGAAAGGGATAGGGGTCCGATCTTTAGCCTCCTCAAACAAAACAATTATTAGCCAAGAATTTTGTATCCAGCAAAACTAAACTTCATAAATGAAGGAAAGATACAGTCCTTTTCAAAAAATGCTGACAGAATTCACCATTATGAAGCCAGCACTGCAGAACCTGCTAAAAGGAGCTCTAAATTTGGAAACAAATCATCAAAATACACCAAAACAGAATTTCCCTAAAGCATAAATTTCACAGTACCTATAAAACAACTACACAATGAAAAAAACCCAAGGTGCTGAGACAGCAAATAGCATAATGAATAGAATAAGACCTCACATCTCAATACTAACATTGAATGTAAATGGCCTAAATGCTTCACTTAAAAGATACAGAATGGCCGAATGGATAAGAACCCACAAACCAAATATCTGCTGTCTTCAAGAGACTCACCTGACACATAAGGACTCACATAAATTTAAAGAGGTGGAAAAGATATTTTATGCAAATGGACACCAAAAGGGAGCAGGAGTAGCTATTCTTATATCAGACAAAACAAAGTTTTAAGCAACAGCAGATAAAAAAGACATAGAGGGACATTATGTATTGATAAAAGGACTAGTTCAGCAGGAAACTATCACAATCCTAAATATATATGCACCTAACGCTGGAACTCCCAAGTTTATAAAACAATTACTACTAGACATAAGAAATGTGATAGACAACAACAAAATAATAGTGTGGGTCTTCAGTATGCCACTGATAGCAGTAGACAGGTTATCAAGACAGAAAGTAAACAAAGGAACAATAGACTTAAATTATACCCTAGAAAAAATGGACTAAACAGATAGTGCAGAACATTCTACCCAACAACTGCAGAATATACATTCTAATCATCAGCACATGGAACATTCTCCAAGACAGACCATATGATAGGCCACAAAACAAGTTTCAGTACATTTAAGGAAAATGAAATTATATCAAGTACTCTTTCAGACCACAGTGGAATAAAATTGAAAATCAATTCCAAAAGGAACCCTCAATACCATGCAAATACATGGAAATTAAATAACCTACCCTTGAATGATCCTTGGGTCAACAATAAAATCAAGATGGAAATTTAAAAAACTATTTGAACTGAATTATAATAGTGACACAACCTATCAAAACCTCTTGGATACAGCAAAAGGTGGTGCTAACAGGAAAGTTCATAGCATTAAATGCCTACATCAAAAAATCTGAAAAAGCAGAAATAGACAATCTCAGGTCACGTTTCAAGGAGCTAGAGAAACAAACCCAAATCTAGCAGAAGAAAATAAATAGTTAAGATTAGAGCCGAACTAAGTGAAATCGAAACAAACAAAAAACTATACCAAAGATAAATAAAACAAAAAGCTGGTTCTTAGAAAAGATAAAATTGACAGACCATTCACAAAATTAACCAAGAAAAGAAGAGAGAAGTTCCAAATAAGCTCAATTAAATACAAAATGGGAGATAATACAACCAATATCACAGAATTATGAAAGATCATTCTAGGCTACTGTGAACACCTTTATGCACACAAACTAGAAAACCTAGAGGAAATGGATAAATTTGTGGAAATATGCAACCCTCCTAAATTTAACCAAGAAGAAATAGAAACTCTGAACAGATCAATAACAAGGAGCAAGATTGAAATTTTAATTAAAAAAAAATTACCAACAAAAAAAAATCCAGGACTAGATGGATTCACAGCTGAATTCTGTCAGGCATTCAAAGAAGAATTGGTGCAAGTCCTGTTGACAATATTCCACAAGATATAAAAAAAAGGAAATCCTTTCTAAATCATTCTATGAAACCAGTATCACCCTGATACCAAAACCAGGAAATGACATAACAAAAGAAAAAAAAAATTACAGACCAATATTCCTGATGAACATAGATAGAAAAATCTTTCAACAAAATACAAGCTAACCAAAGCTACTAGCATACCAAAAAGATAATCCACCATGATCAAGTGGGTTTTATATCAGGGACACAGGAGTAGTTTAATATCTGCAAGTCAATAAATGTAATACACCACATAAACAGAATTAAAAACAAAACTCACATGATCATCTCAATAGATGCAGAAAAAGCATTTTACAAAATCCAGCATCACTTTATGATTAAAACCCTCAGCAGCAGCAGCATAGAAGGGGCATACCTTATTGTAATAAAAGCCATCTATGACAAATCCACAGTTAACATGATTCTGAACAAGGTAAAGTTCAAAGCATTGCCTCTGAGAACCAGAACAAGACAAGGATGTTCACTTTTGCCACTTCTATTCAACACAGTAGTAGAAGTCCTAGACAGAGCAATCAGAAAAGAGAAAGAAATCAATGGCATCCAAATCAGTAAATAGGAAGTCAAACTGTGACTATTTGCTGATGACATGTATTTAAAAATTCTAAAGACTTATCCAAAAAGCTTCTAAAGCTGATAAATGAATTCAGCAAAGTTTTTCGATACAAAATTAATGTACACAAATCAGTAGACATGGTGTACACCAATAGCAACTAAGCTGAGAATAAATTCAAGAATTCAACCCCTTTTACAATAGCTGCAAAATAATAATAATAATAATAATAATAATAATAATAATAATAATAATAATAAAACACTTAGGAAATTACATAACCAAGGCTGTGAAAGACCTCTACATGGAAAAACTAAAAACACTATTGAAAGAAATCATAGATGACACAAAGAAATGGAAACATCCCATGCTCATGGATGGCTAGAATCAATATTGTGAAAATGACCATACTGCCAAAGGCAGTCTACAAATTCAGTGCAATTCACATCAAAATGCCAGCATCATTCTTTACAGAACTAGAAAAAAAAATCATCCTAAAATCCATATGGAACCAAAAAAGAGCCCACATAGCCAAAGCAAGACTAAGCAAAAAGAACAAATCTGGAGGCATCACATTACCTGACTTCAAACTATAGTATAAGGTTATAGTCACCAAAACAGCATGGTACTGGTATAAAAATAGGCACATAGACCAATGGAACAGAATAGAGAACCCAGAAATAAAGCCAAATACTTACAGCCAACTGATCTTTGACAAAGCAAACATAAACATAAAGTAGGGAAAGGACACCCTATTCAACAAATGGTATTGGGTAATTGGCAAGCCACAGGTAGAAGAATGAAACTGAATCCTAATCTCTCAATTTATACAAAAATCAACTTGGCCAGGCATTATGGATCACTGCAGATCACTGCACTCCAGCCTATGTGATAGAGGGAGACGCCGTCTTAAAAAAAAAAAAAATCAACTCAACACGGCTGAAGGAATTAAATCTAAGATCTGAAACTGTAAAAATTCTGGGAGATAACATCAGAAAAACCATTTTAGGCATTGGCTTAGGCAAAGACTTCATGACCAAGAACCCAAAAGTAAATGCAACAAAGACAGATAAATAGATGGGACTTAATTAAATTGAAAAGCTTCAGCACAGCAAAAGAAATAATCAGCAAAGTTAATAGACAACCCACAGAGTGGGAGAAAGTTTTTGTAGTCTATACATCTAACAATCAATGCTCAGACTCTACAAAGAACTCAAACAAATTAGCAAGAAGTAAACAAACAATACTATCAAAAAGTGGGCTAAAGACATGAAGAGACAGTTTTCAAAAGAAGATATAGAAATGGCCAACAAACATATGAAGAAATGCTCAACATCACTAATGATCAGGGAAATGCAAATCAAAACCACAATGTGATACCATCCTATTCCTTCAAGATCGGCCATAATCACAAAATCAAAAAGTACTAGATGTTATTGTGACATGGATATGATGATGAGGGAATGTAAACTCATACAACCACTATGGAAAACAGAGTGGAAATTCCTTAAAGAACTAAAAGTAGATCTACCATTTGATCCAGCAATCCCACTCCTGGGTATCGACCGAGAGGAAAAGAAGTCATTATATGAAAAAGATATTTGCACATGCATATTTATAGCAGCACAATTCACAATTGCAAAAATATGGAACCAGACCAAATGCCCATCAGTCAATGAAGGTGTAAAGAAACTGTGGTATTTATATACAATGGAATATTACTCTGCCATAAAAAGGAATGAAAGAGTGGAATTCACAGCATCCTGGATGGAATTGCAGATTATTATTTTAAGTGAAGTAAATCAAGAATGGAAAACCAAACATCATATGTTCTCATAAGGGAGAGCTAAGCTATGAGGATGCAAAGACATAGGAATGATACAATTGCCTTTGAGTACTCGGGAAAGGGTCTGAAGATAGGGATAAAAAACTATGAGTTGGGTACAGTCTACACTGCTTGGGTGATGGGTTCCCCAAAATCTCTGAAATCGGGGGAGGGAGCCAAGATGGCCGAATAGGAACAGGTCTGGTCTACAGCTCCCAGCATGAGCAACGCAGAAGATGTGTGACTTCTGCATTTCCATCTGAAGTACCGGGTTCATCTCACTAGGGAGTGCCAGACAGTGGGCGCAGGACAGTGGGTGCAGTGCACCGTGCATGAGCCAAAGCAGGGCGAGGCATTGCCTCACTCGGGAAGCACAAGGGGTCGGGGAGTTCCCTTTCCTAGTCAAAGAAAGGGGTGACAGATGGCACCTGGAAAATCGGGTCACTCCCACCCTGATACTGCACTTTTCCGACGGGCTTAAAAAACGGCACACCAGGAGATTATATCCCGCACATGACTCAGAGGGTCCTAGGCCCATGGAGTCTCGCTGATTGCTAGCACAACAGTCTGAGATCAAACTACAAGGTGGCAGCGAGGCTGGGGGAAGGGTGCCCGCCATTGCCAAGGCTTGCTTAGGTAAACAAAGCAGCCGGGAAGCTCAAACTGGGTGGAGCCCACCACAGCTCAAGGAGGCCTGCCTGCCTCTGTAGGCTCCAACTCTGGGGGAGGGCACAGACAAACAAAAAGACAGCAGTAACCTCTGCAGACTTAAATGTCCCTGTCTGACAGAGTTGAAGACAGCAGTGGTTCTCCCATCATGCAGCTGGAGATCTGAGAATGGGTAGACTGCCTCCTCAAGTGGGTCCCTGACCCCTGACCCCCGAGCAGCCTAACTGGGAGGCACCCCCCAGTAGGGGCAGACTGACAACTCACACGACCAGGTACTCCTCTGAGACAAAACTTCCAGAGGAATGATCAGACAGCAGCATTCGCGGTTCACGAAAATCTGCTGTTCTGCAGCCACTGCTGCTGACACCCAGGCAAACAGGGTCTGGAGTGGACCTCCAGCAAACTCCAACAGACCTGCAGCTGAGGGTCCTGTCTGTTAAAAGGAAAACTAACAAACAGAAAAGACATCCACACCAAAAACCATGTGTACATCACCATCATCAAAGACCAACAGTAGATAAAACCACAAAGACGGGGAAAAAACAGAGCAGAAAAACTGGAAACTCTAAAAAGCAGAGCGTCTCTCCTCCTCCAAAGGAACGCAGTTCCTCACCAGCAATGGAGCAAAGCTGGACGGAGAATGACTTTGACGAGTTGAGAGAAGAAGGCTTCAGACGATCAAACTACTCCAAGCTACAGAAGGAAATTCAAACCAAAGGCAAAGAAGTTAAAAACTTTGAAAAAAATTTAGACAAATGTATAACTAGAATAACCAATACAGAGAAGTCCTTAAAGGAGGTGATGGAGCTGAAAGCCAAGGCTCGAGAACTACATGAAGAATGCAGAAGCCTCAGGAGCCGATGTGATCAACTGGAAGAAAGGGTATCAGTCATGGAAGATGAAATGAATGAAATGAAGTGAGAAGGGAAGTTTAGAGAAAAAAGAACAAAAAGAAACGAACAAAGCCTCCAAGAAATATGGGACTTTGTGAAAAGACCAAATCTACGTCTGATTGGTGTAACTGAAAGTGACGGGTAGAATGGAACCAAGTTGGAAAACACTCTGCAGGATATTATCCAGGAGAACTTCCCCAATCTAGCAAGGAAGGCCAACATTCAGATTCAGGAAATACAGAGAACGCCACAAAGATGCTCCTCAAGAAGAGCAACTCCAAGACACATAATTGTCAGATTCACCAAAGATGAAATGAAGGAAAAAATGTTAAGGGCAGCCAGAGAGAAAGGTCGGGTTACCCACAAAGGGAAGCCCATCAGACTAAGAGGAGATCTCTCGGCAGAAAATCTACAAGCCAGAAGAGAGTGGGGGCCAATATTCAACATTCTTAAAAGAATTTTCAACCCAGAATTTCATATCCAGCCAAACTAAGCTTCATAAGTGAAGGAGAAATAAAATCCTTTACAGACAAGCAAATGCTGAGAGATTTTGTCACCACCAGGCCTGCCCTAAAAGAGCGCCTGAAGGAAGCAATAAACATGGAAAGGAACAACCGGTACCAGCCACTGCAAAATCATGCCAAATTGTAAAGACCGTCAAGGCTAGGAAGAAACTGCGTCAACCTGCGTCAACTAATGAGCAAAATAACCAGCTAACATCATAATGACAGTATCAAATTCACACATAACAATATTAACTTTAAATGTAAATGGACTAAATGCTCCAATTAAAAGACACAGACTGGCAAATTGGATAAAGAGTCAAGACCCATCAGTGTGCTGTATTCAGGAAACCCATCTCACGTGCAGAGACACACATAGACTCAAAATAAAAGGATGGAGAAAGAGCTACCAAGCAAATGGAAAACAAAAAAAGGCAGGGGTTGCAATCCTAGTCTCTGATAAAACAGACTTTAAAACAACAAAGATCAAAAGAGACAAAGAAGACCATTACATAATGGTAAAGGGATCAATGCAACCAGAAGAGCTAACTATCCTAAATATATATGCACCCAAAACAGGAGCATCCAGATTCATAAAGCAAGTCCTCAGTGACCTACAAAGAGACTTAGACTCCCACACAATAATAATGGGAGACTTTAACACCCCACTCTCAACATTACACAGATCAACGAGACAGAAAGTTAGCAAGGATACCCAGGAATTGAACTCAACTCTGCACCAAGCGGACCTAATAGACGTCTACAGAACTCTCCACCCCAAATCAACATAATATACATTTTTTTCAGCACCACACCACACCTATTCCAAAATTGACCACATAGTTGGAAGTAAAGCTCTCCTCAGCAAATGTAAAATAACAGAAATTATAACAAAGTGTCTCTCAGACCACAGTGCAATCAAACTAGAACTCAGGATTAAGAAACTCACTCAAAACCGCTCAACTACATGGAAACTGAACAACCTGCTCCTGAATGACTACTGGGTACATAACGAAATGAAGGCAGAAATAAAGATGTTCTTTGAAACCAATGACAACAAAGACACAACATACCAGAATCTCTAGGACACATTCAAAGCAGTGTGTACAGGGAAATTTATAACACTAAATGCCCACAAGAGAAAGCAGGAAAGATCCAAAATTGACACCCTAACATCACAATTAAAAGAACTAGAAAAGCAAGAGCAAACACATTCAAAAGCTAGCAGAAGGCAAGAAATAACTAAAATCAGAGCAGAACTGAAGGAAATGGAGACACAAAAAACCCTTCAAAAAATTAATGAATCCAGTAGCTGGTTTTTTGAAAGGATCAACAAAATTGATACACTGCTAGCAAGACTAATAAAGAAGAAAAGAGAGAAGAATCAAATAAACACAATAAAAAATGATAAAGGGGATATCACCACCGATCCCACAGAAATACAAACTACCATCAGAGAATACTACAAACACCTCTACGCAAATAAACTAGAAAATCTAGAAGAAATGGATAAATTCCTCGACACATACACCCTCCCAAGACTAAACCAGGAAGAAGTTGAATCTCTGAATACACCAATAAGAGGCTCTGAAATTGTGGCAATAATCAATAGCTTACCAACAAAAAAGAGACCAGGACCAGATGGATTCACAGCCGAATTCTACCAGAGGTACAAGGAGGAACTGGTACCATTCCTTCTGAAACTATTCCAATCAAAAGAAAAAGAGGGAATCCTCCCTAACTCATTTTATGAGGCCAGCATCATCTTGATACTAAAGCCTGGCAGAGACACAACCAAAAAAGAGAATTTTTGACCAATATCCTTGATGAACATTGATGCAAAAATCCTCAATAAAATACTGGCAAACCGAATCCAGCAACACATCAAAAAGCTTATCCACCATGATCAAGTAGGCTTCATCCCTGGGATGCAAGGCTGGTTCAATATACACAAATCAATAAATATAATCCAGCATATAAACAGAAACAAAGACAAAAACCACCTGGTTATCTCAATAGATGCAGAAAAGGCCTTTGACAAAATTCAACAACACTTCATACTAAAAACTCTCAATAAATTAGGTATTGATGGGACGTATCTCAAAATAATAAGAGCTATCTATGAAAAACCCACAGCCAATATCATACTGAATGGACAAAAACTGGAAGCATTCCCTTTGAAAACTGGCACAAGACAGGGATGCCCTCTCTCACCACTCCTATTCAACATAGTGTTGGAAGTTCTGGCCAGGGCAATTAGGCAGGAGAAGGAAATAAAGGGTATTCAATTAGGAAAAGAGGAAGTCAAATTGTCCCTGTTTGCAGATGACATGATTGTATATCTAGAAAACCCGATTGTCTCAGCCCAAAATCTGCTTAAGCTGATAACAACTTCAGCAAAGTATCAGGATACAAAATCAATGTACAAAAATCACAAGCATTCTTATACACCAATAACAGACAAACAGAGAGAAAAATCATAAGTGAACTCCCATTCACAATTGCTTCAAAGAGAATAAAATACCTAGGAATCCAACTTACAACAGACGTGAAGGACCTCTTCAAGGAGAACTACAAACCACTGCTCAAGGAAATAAAAGAGCATACAAACAAATGGAAGAACATTCCATGCTCATGGGTGGGAAGAATAAGTATCATGAAAATGGCCATACTGCCTAAGGTAATTTGTAGATTCCATGCCATCCCCATCAAGCTACCAATGACTTTCTTCACAGAATTGGAAAAAACTACTTTAAAGTTCATATGGAACCAAAAAAGAGCCCACATCGCCAAGTCAATCCTAAGCCAAAAGAACAAAGCTGGAGGCATCACACTACCTGACTTCAAACTATACTACAAGGCTACAGTAACCAAAACAGCATGGTACTGGTACCAAAACAGAGATATAGATCAATGGAACACAACAGAGCCCTCAGAAATAACACCTCATATCTACAACTATCTGATCTTTGACAAACCTGAGTAAAACAAGCAATGGGGAAAGGATTCCCGATTTACTAAATGGTGCTGGGAAAACTGGCTAGTCACATGTAGAAAGCTGAAACTGGATCCCTTCCTTACACCTTATACAAAAATCAATTCAAGATGGATTAAAGACTTAAACGTTAGACCTAAAACCATAAAAACCCTAGAAGAAAACCTAGGCATTACCATTCAGGACATAGGCATGGGCAAGGACTTCATGTCTAAAACACCAAAAGCAATGGCAACAAAAGCCAAAATTGACAAGTGGGATCCAATTAAACTAAAGAACTTCTGCACAGCAAAAGAAACTTCCGTCAGAGTGAACAGGCAACCTACAAAATGGGAGAAAATTTTCGCAACCTACTCATCTGACAAAGGGCTAATATCCAGAATCTACAATGAACTCAAAGAAATTTACAAGAAAAAAACAAACAACCCCATCAAAAAGTGGGTGAAGGACATGAACAGACACTTCTCAAAAGAAGACATTTATGCAGCCAAAAAACACATGAAAAAATGCTCATCATCACTGGCCATCAGAGAAATGCAAATCAAAACCACAATGAGATACCATCTCACACCAGTTAGAATGGCAGTCCTTAAAAAGTCAGGAAACAACAGGTGCTGGAGAGGATGTGGAGAAATAGGAACACTTTTACACTGTTGGTGGGACAGTAAACTAGTTCAACCATTGTGGAAGTCAGTGTGGTGATTCCTCTGGGATCTAGAACTAGAAATACCATTTGACCCAGCCATCCCATTACTGGGTATATACCCAAAGGACTATAAATCTTGCTGCTATAAAGACACATGCACACGTATGTTTATTGCGGCACTATTCACAATAGCAAAGACTTGGAACCAACCCAAATGTCCAACAATGATAGACTGGATTAAGAAAATGTGGCTCATATACACCATGGAATACTATGTAGCCATAAAAAATGATGAGTTCATGTCCTTTGTAGGGACATGGATGAAATTGGAAATCATCATTCTCAGTAAACTATTGCAAGAACGAGAAACCAAACATGCATTTTCTCACTCATCGGTGGGAATTGAACAATGAGCTCACATGGACGCAGGAAGGGGAACATCACACTCTGGGGACTGTTGTGGGATGGGGGGAAGGGGGAGGGATAGCATTAGGAGATATACCTAATGCTAAATGACGAGTTAATGGGTGCAGCACACCAGCATGGCACATGTATACATTTGTAACTAACCTGCACATTGTGCACATGTACCCTAAAACTTAAAGTATGATATTAATTAAAAAAAATATACGAAATCACCAGTAAAGGACTTATTCATATAAACAAACATCACCTTTCCCCCAGCGCCAAAAAAAAAAAAAAACGAATTGAAATTTTAAAAAGCATAGAAAAAAATTCTAGCCTAAATATTATATTCAGCGTTTTTCTTCAAACATGAAAGAGAAGTAATGATTTCCCCAGACAAACAAAACCTATGGATTTGTATCAACATCAGACCTTTATTATAGGAAAATGCTTAAGGGAATTCTGGAGTCTGAAAGAAAAGGATGCTAATGAACATCAAAAATTTTTCTGAAGGTATAAACTCATTATCAAAAGTAACTACACAGTCCAAGATAGACTACTTTAACGCTGTAATTTTGGTGTGTCAACCACTTCTATCTTTAGTATGAAGACTTAAGGATAAACCTATTTGAGATAATAACTTTAACAATTTGTTAAAAGGTAAGCAATTATTGGGGGAACCAGCCCCCAGTATTTCACCATAGGTCCTTTCTATTTTCCCTAATTGTTGGCCGGTCTGAGAAATAAAAAGAAAGAGTACAAAGAGAGAAATTTTACAACTGGGCCTCCGGAGGTGCCATCACATATTGGTAGGACCATGATGACAACCCCGAGCCACAAAACCAGCAAGTTTTTATTAGGGATTTCAAAAGGGGAGGGGGTGTACGAATAGGGAGTGGGTCACAGAGATCACATGCTTCAAAGGGCAATAAAAGATCACAAGGCAAAGGGTAGAGCAAGATCACAAGGCAAGGGCAAAATTAGAATTACTGATGAGGGTCCATGTCTCACTGGGCATGCATTATCTTGATAAACATCTTAACAGGAAACAGGGTTCGAGAGCAGACAACCAATATGAGTAGAATTTACCAGGCTGGAATTTCCTAGTCCTAGTAAGCCTGAGGGTACTTCAGGAGACCAGGGCGTATCTCAATCCTTATCTTAACCGCGTATCTCAATCCTTATCTTAACCACATAAAACAGATACTCCCAGAGCGGCTATTCATAGAACTACCCCCAGGAATGCATTCCTTCTCCAGGGTCTCAATTATTAATATTCCTTGCTGGGAAAAGAATTCAGTGATATCTCTCCTACTTGCACATCCATCTATAGGTTTTCTGCAAGAAGAAAAATATGGCTCTATTCTGCCCGACCCCGCAGGCAGTCAGACCTTATGGTTATCTTTCCTTGTTCCCTGAAAATTGCTGTTATTCTGTTCTTTTTCAGAGTTCACTGATTTCATATTGTTCAAACACCCATGTTTTACAATCAGATTTCATATTGTTCGAACACACATGTTTTACAAAAAATTTGTACAGTTAACGCAATCATCACAGGGTCGTAAGGTGACATACATCCTCAGCTTACGAAGTTGATGTGATTAAGAGATTAAAGTAAGACAGGAGGTCGAGTGTGGTAGCTCATGCCTGTAATCCCAGCACTTTGGGAGGCTGAGGCGGGCAGAACACAAGGTCAGGAGATCGAAACCATCCTGGCTAACATGGTGAAACCCCGTCTCTACTAACAATACAAAAAAAAAAAATTAGCCAAGCATGGTGGCAGGTGCCTGTAGTCCCAGCTACTTGGGAGGCTGAGGCAGGAGAATGCTGTGAACCCAGAAGGCAGTGCTTGCAGTGAGCTGAGATCGCACCACTGCACTCCAGCCTGGGTGACAGAGTAAGACTCTGTCTCAAAAAAATAATAAAATAAAATAACGTAGGACAGGTGTGAGAAATTATAAAAGTATTGATTCTGGGAACTAATAAATGGCCATGAAATCTTAACAATTTATGTTCTTCTGCCATGGCTTCAGCTGGTCCCTCCGTTCGGGGTCCCTGACTTCCCGCAACATGCAATATAAAAAGATGAAAAAAGAACAAAAAGTCAGAAGGTGGTACGGATGGAATTAAAGTGAAGGGTTTTTAGTATTTTCATTACTTGTTATTTTGCTTTTCATTGTGATCAAAGTTATCCTCGGTTTAAAATAATTGCTTATAACGTGTTATTTGCAAGCCTCATGGTATTCACAAAGCAAAAATTATAATAAATTCACAGAAAACAAAAAGCAAGAAATTAAAACATACTACCAGAGAAAATCACTTATACATAAAGGAGGACAAGAAGGAAGGAAGAGAGTGCTAACAAAGCTACACTAAAACAAATAACAAAATAGTGGTAGTAAGTCCTTACATATCAATATTAACATTGAATGTAAATGGACTAAATTATCCAACAAAAAGACATAGAGTGGCTGAATGGATGGAAAAAAAAAAGACTCGACTATATGCTGTCTAGAAGAAACTTACTTCACCTGTAAAGATGTATATAGTCTGAAAATTAAGGATGGAAAAACATATTCCCTGCAAATAGAAACCAGAAATGAGGAGGAGCAGCTATACTTACATCAGAAAAAAATAGTTTTTATGCCAAAAATATTAAAAAAGACAAGGATGTGATTTATATAATGATAAGGGGGTCAAGTTAGCAAGAAGATATAACAATTGTAAATATTTATGTGCCCAACACTGGAGCACACAGATGTTTAAAGCAAATATTATCTATGCTAAAGAGAGAGATATATACCACAATACAATTACAGTGGGGGACATTGAATCCCCTCTTTCAGCACTGGATAGATCATGTAGACAAAAAATTAGCAAAGAAACATTGGACTTAATCTGGAGTATAGACCAAATGGGCCAAATAGACATTTACGGAACATTTTATCCAACAGCTACAGAATACACACTTGTCTCTTCAGTATATGAAACATTCTCAAGGATAGGCTATATGTTAGGCCACAAAGCAAGTCTTAAGTAATTCAAAAAAATTGAAATCATATTAAATATCTTTTGTGACTACAATGGAATAAAACTACAAATCAATAATAAGAAGAACTTTGGAAATTATACAGATATTTGGAAATTAAACAAATGTGCTCCTGAATGACCATTGGGCCAATGAAGAAATTAAGAAGAAAATTAAAAAAAAAAAAATCAACAATGAAAATTAAAACAAAACATACCAAAACTTATGGGATATGGAAAAAGCAGTACTAAGACGGACATTTATAACAATAAACATCTACATATTAAAATGTAAACTTCAAATAAACAACCTAGTAGTGCATTTTAAAGAACTAGAAAAAGGAGAGCAAAGCAAACCCAAAGTTAGTAGAAGAAATAATAACATCAAAAAAGAAATAAAGGAAATTGAGACAAAAAATAGGATAAATGGAATGAAAACTTGTTTTCTCAAAAGATAAACAAATTGATAAAATTTTCACCAGACTATGAAAAACAGGGAAGACAAAAATAAAACGAGAGACAAAAAAAGAGACATTACAGCGGATACCACAGAAATTGAAAGCATCATGAGAGAGTATTATCAACCCAATTATTTAAAGAAGAACTAATATCAATCCTTTTCAGACTATTCTGAGAAGGGACTAATTCTAAATTCATTCTTCAAGTACAGTATTACCCTGATGCTAAGACCGGACAAAAACAACACAAACAAACAAACAAAACTGCAGGCCAAGATCTCTGATGAATATGCATACAAAAATACTAGCAAACTCAACTCAAACCACATGAAAAAGATTATCCATCATCATGTAGTGGAATTCATTTCAGGGATTCAAAGATGGTTCAGCATATGCAAATCAATAAGTGTGATGCATCACATCAACAGAATAAGGGACAAAAAACATATGGTCATTCCAATATATGCCAAATAAATACTTGATAAAATTCAACATTTCTTCATGATAAAAACTCTTTAAAGAACTTGGTACAGAAGGAACATACCACCATATGATAAACTCAATATATAACAAACCCACAACTAGTATCATACCGAATGGGGAAAAACTGAAAGCCTTTTCTTTAAGATCTGGAGCAAGACAAGGATCCCCACTTTCACCACTATTATTCAACATAGTATTGAAAGTCCTAGCCACAGCAGTTAGGCAAGAGAAATAAACACAAGGTATTTAATTTGGAAAGCAGGACGTCAAATTATTTTTGTTTTCAGATAGTATGATTTCATATTTAGAAAAATCTAAGGACTCTACCAAAAGAATAATAAAAAAAGAAGTCTATTAGAACTGACAAAACCAGTAAAGTTGCAGTATACAAAATCAGTAGCATTTATTAAGTTCCAGGATACATGTGCAGGATGTGCAGGTGTGTTACATAGGTAAATGTGTGCCATGGTGGTTTGCAGCACAGATCAACCCATCATCTTGGTATTAAGGCCAGTATCCATTAGCTATTTTTTTCTGATGCTCTTTCTCCCCCCACCACTTCTCCAGAAAGGCCCCAGTGTGTCTTGTTTCCTCCCTATGTGTTCTGATCATTCAGCTTCCACGTATAACTGAGAACATACAGTGTTTTGTTTTCTGTTACTGCTGTTAGTTTGCTGAGGATAATGGCTTCCAGCTCCATCCATGTCCCTGCAAAGGACATGGCCTTGTTCATTCTTTTTGGCTACATAGTATTTTTTTGATGTATATGTATTTCATTTTCTTTATCCAGTCTCTTATTGATAGCTATTTGGGTTGATTTCATGTCTTTGTTTTTGTGAATAGTGCTGCAATGAACATATGCATGCATGTATCTTTATACTAGAATAAATTATATTTCTTTGGGTATATACCCAGTAATGGGATTGCTGGGTCAAATGGTATTTCTGCCTCTAGATCTTTAAGGAATTACCATTTTGTCTTCCACAGTGGTTGAATTAATTTACACTCCAACCAACAGTGTAAACACATTCCTTTTTCTCCACAACCTCACCAGCATCTGTTGTTTTTTGACTTTTTAATAATTGCTATTTTTACTGGCATGAGATCCTACCTCATTGTGGTTTTGCTTTGCACTTCTCTAATGATCATGTTACAAGATTCCTTTGGTGCAATTTCACCAGCTGGAAATCTCTCCAGCCACTGCCATCTCTGCCTGGGCCTCCCTCAGGGCCTGCTGGGCTCACTTTGCCCACTCAGCCTGGCAGGCTGAGTTCAGCTTGCATCCCAGCCTGGATTGCTTGCCTGCTGTGGCTCTGCACTCAGCCCACAGCTAGCCTGGTCAGGCTGCAAGCAGATTCCAACTTGGGCGCCTGTATCTATATCAGGGAAACATGGTGGTGCCCCAAAACTCGAAGATGCCAGCAATCACGGTGCTTCAAGGGGTGTTACAGCTCTTGATCAGGGAATCCTGAGGTCTGAGCTTCCAAGACATGTCACAGCTCTTTACTTCCATAGCTCAGCAAGTGGTACCGTGTTACCTCAGTTTTTACTTCCATGTTTTGGCATGTTCTGGGTTCTTGTTTCATGACCAAGTGGAATAAAGTACATGGACACCAGAGACTTAGTAACACAGAGCAGAATTTTATTGAGCAACAGAAGGAAAGCTCTCAGCTCTGAGAGTGGACCTGAAAGCATGCAGTAGTCTTTGAAGGTGAGTCTAGCATTTTTATGGGTTTAGAATGGAGGAATGCCTGCTGATTGGTTTATGGTTGGACTTTGGAAAAAACACCATTTTATTTTGTAAAAGGTATCTATCAGAAGGAAATAAACAAGAGAGAGAGGCTAAGACAGGGATAGAAGTTTTCACTCTGATTGTGGGCTCTATCTGGAACAGGCAGCTCAGATTTCAGGCTTTCAACTCTCTTTGATTTGAAGGTCAAGTTTCACGAGGGACCTGTTCCTGTCTGCCTCAGAATTTCTCTGTTTCCTGTGGCTATCAGTCACTGATGTTTAGCTTTTTTTTCATATGTTTCTTAGCCACATGAATGTTTTATTTTGAGAAGGGTTTGTCCATGTTTTTTACCCACTTTTAAATGGGGTTGTTTTTTTCTTTTATATTTGTTTAAATTCCTTTTAGAATCTAGATATTAGACTGTTGTCAGATGGACAGATAGCAAAAATTTTCTCTTTCTCTGTAGGTTGTCTATTCACTCTGATGATAGTTTCTTTTGCTGTGCAGAAGCTCTTTCACTTAACTAGGTCCCATTTGTCAATTTTTGCTTTTATTGCAATTGCTTTTGGCATTTTTATAATGAAATCTTTGCCCATGCCTATTTCCTGAATGGTATTTCCTAGATTTTCTTCTGGATTTTTATAGTTTTGGGTTTTACATTTAAGTCTTTACTCCATCTTGAGTTAATTTTTGTATAAGATGTTAGGAAGGCTTACAATTTCAATTTTCTGCATATGGCTAGCCAATTCTCCCAACACTATTTATTAAATAGGGGATTGTCTTCCCATTGCTCATTTTCGTCAGGTTTGTCATAGATCAGATGGTTGTAGGTGTGTTGTTTTATTTCTGAGTTCTCTATTATCTTCCATTAGTCTATGTGTCTGTTTTTGTACCAGTACCATGTTGTTTTGCTTACTGTAGCCTTGGAGTATAGTTTGATTTTGGGTAGCATGATGTGTCTGGCTTTGTTCTTTTTGCTTAGAATTGCTGTGGCTGTTTGGGCTCTTTTGTGGTTCAGTATGAATTTTGAAGTAGTTTCTTCTAATTCTGTGAAGAATGTCAATGGTATTTTAGTGGGAATAGCATTGGATGTATAAATTACTTTGTGCAATATGGCCATTTTCATAATATCAATTATTCCTATCCATGAGCATGGAATGTTCTTCCATTTGTTTGTGTCCTCTCTGATTTCCTTCAGCAGTGGTTTGTAGTTTGTTTGTTTGTTTGTTTGTTTGTTTTGAAGAGGTCCTTCACCTCCCCTGTTAGCTGTATTTCTAGGTAATTGATTTTTTTGTAGCATTTATGAATGGGAGTTCATTTGTGGTTTCACTCTCTGCTTGCATGTTGGTATGTAGAAATGCTAGCAATTTTTGCACATTCATTTTGTATTCTGAGACTTTGCTGAAGTTGCTTATTAGCTTAAGATGCTTTGGGGCTGAGATGATGGGATTTATTAGATATAGGATTATGTCATCTGCAAACAGGGATAGTTTGACTTCCTGTTTTTCTAGTTGAATGCCTTTTTTTTTTTCTCTTGCCTGATTTTCCTGTCCAGAACTTGCAATTCTGTATCGAATACGAGTTGTGAGATAGGGCATACTTGTCTTGTGCCAGTTTTTAAGGGGAATGCATTTAGCTTTTGTCCATTCAGTATGATATTGGCTGTGGGTTTCTCATATATGGCTGTTATTATTTTGAGGAATGTTTCTTTAGTACCTAGTTTATTGAGAGTTTTTAACATGAAGTGATGTTGAATTTTATTGAAGGCCTTTTCTGTATCTATTGAGATAATCTTGTGTTTTTTGGTTTTATTTCTGTTTATGTGATGAATTACATTTGTTAATTAATGTATGTTGAACCAACCTTGCATACTGGGGATGAAGCCAACTTGATTGTGGAGGATAAGCATTTTGATGTGCTGCTTGATTCAGTTTGCCAGCATTTTATTGAGGATTTTTGCATTGATGTTTATCAGGAATGTTGGCCTGAAGTTTTCTTTTATCTCTTTCAGGTTTTGATATCAGGATGATGTTAGCCTCATAAAATGAGGAAGAGTCCCTCCTCAATTTTTTGGAATAGATTTAGTAGAAAATATGGAAGAGTCCCTCCTCGATTTTTTGGAATAAATTCAGTAGAAAAGTTGCCAGCTCTTCTTTGTACCTCTGGAACAATTTAGCTGTAAATCTGTCTGATCCTTAGCTTTTTTGTTGGTTGGTAGGCTACTTATTACTTTCTCAATTTCAGAACTTGTTATTGGTTTATTTAGGGATTCAACGTCTTTCTCATTCAGTCTTGGGAGGTGTATGTGTCCAGAAATTTATCCATTTATTCTACATTTTCTATGTTATGTGTATAGAGGTGTTCGTGGTATTCTCTGATGGTTGTTTGTATTTCTGTGGAGTCAGTGGTGATATCTCCTTTATCATTTTTGCTTGTGGCTATTTGATTCTTCTCTCTTTTCTTCTTTATTAGTCTAGATAACATATCAATATTTTTTTCAAAATACAGCACTGGGATTCACTGAGTTTTGTGAAGTTTTGTTTGTGTCTCTATCTCCTTCAATTCCACTCTGATCTTGGTTATGTTTTGTCTTCTGCTACCTTTGGGGTTTGTTTGCTCTTAATTTTCTAGTTCTTTTAGTTGTAATGTTAGGTTATTAATTTGAGATTCTATAGCTTTGTAATGTGGGCATTCAGTGCTATAAATTTCCCTCTTAACACTGCTTTAGCTGCATCTCAGATTCTGGTGCATTGTCTCTTTGTTCTCACTAGTTTCAAAGAACTTCTTGATATCTGCCTTAATTTCATTACTTACCCAGGAGTGATTCAGGAGCAGATTTTTCAATCTTCATGTAGTTGTTTGGTTTTCCATGAATTTCTTGATCTTGAGGTCTAATTTGATTGTGCTGTGGTCTGAAAGACTTTCTTATGATGTCAGGGGTTTTTTTATTTGCTGAGGAGTGTTTTATTTCCGATTATGTTATCAATTTTAGATTAAGTGCCATGTGGCAATGAGAAGAATGTGCATTCTGTTGTTTTTGGGTAGAGAGTTCTGTAGATGGTTCTGCTTGATCCAGAGGTGAGTTCAGATCCTGAATATCTTTGTTAATTTTCTTTTTCAGTGGTCTAATATTGTTAGTGGGGTGTTTAAGTCTCTCATTATTATTGTGTGTGCGTCTAAGTCTCTTTGTAGGTCTCTAAAAACTTGCTTTATGAATCTTGGTCCTCCCATATTGGGTGCATATGTATTTAGGATAGTTAGCTCTTGTTTAATTGACCCCATTTACCATTATGTAATGCCCTTCTCTGTCTTTTTTGTTCTCTCTTGGTTTAAAGTCTGTTTTTTCAGCAACTAGGATTGCAACACCTGCTCTTTTTTTTTTTCCATTTGCTTGATATTTTTTCCTCCATCCCTTTATTTTGAGTTTATTTGCACATGTGTTTATTTGCACATGTGATGGGTCTTTTGAAGACAGCATACTGATGGGTCTTGACTCTTTATCCAGCTTGCCATTCTATGTTATTTAATTAGGGCATTTCTCCCATTTACATTTAAGGTTAATATTTTTATGTGTGAATTTGATCATGTTATGATGGTAGCTGTTTATTTTGCACACTTGTTTATGTGGTTTCTTGATAGTGTCACCAGTCTGTGTACTTCAGTGTGTTTTTGTGGTGGTTGATAGCAATTTTTCTTTTTCTTATTTAGTGTTTTATTTGGCACCCTTGCAGGCTTGCCTGGTAGTGACAAGTTTTCTTTGCATTTGCTTGTCTTCAAGGGATCTTATTTCTCTCTCACTTGTGAAGCTTAGTTTGGGCCAATATAAATTTCTGGGTTGGAATTTTTTTTTCTTTAAGAATGTTGAATATTGGCCCCCCATCTCTTCTTGCTTGCAGGGTTTCCACTGAGAGCTCTGCTGTTATTCTGATGGGTTTCCCTTTGCAGGTGACCTGGCATTTCTCTCACTTCCCTTAACATCCTCTATTTCATTTCAATCTTGAAGAATCTGATGATTATGTGTCTTGGGGTTGATTTTCTTGTGGAGTTTCTGACTGGGGTTCTCTCAATTTCCTAAATTTGAATGTTGGCACCTCTTGTTAGGTTTTGGAAGTTTTCCTGGATGATATCCTGTAGTATGATTTCCAAGTTTGTTCCATTCTTCCCATCTCTTTCATGTACCACAATCAGTGATAGGTTCAGTCTTTTTACATAGTCCCATATTTTTTGGAGGTTTAGTTTGTTTTTTAATTTTTTTTCCCTTTTTGTTTTGTCTGTCCGATTTCAGAAAGATAGTCTTCAAGCTCTGAGATTATTTTCTTTGCTTGGTCTATTCTGCTTTTGATACTTGTGATAGCATTGTCAATTTCTCATATGTTTTAAGGCTCCATCAGGTCTTTTATATGCCTGTGTAAAGTTGCTATTCTGGTTTTCAGCTCCTGTATATTTTTCATGATTCTTAGTGTTTTTGCATTGGGCTAGAACATGCTTCTTTAGCTCAGCAGTTTGTTATTACTTACCTTCTGAATCCTACTTCTGTTAATTCAGCCACCTCAGCCTCAGCCCCAGCTGTGAGCCCTTGCTTGAGAGCTGTTGTGGTCATTTGGAGGAGAAGAGGCACTCTGGATTTTTTCATTTTTCAGCATTTTCACACTGATTCGTTTTCATCCTTGTAGGCTTATTTATCTTCGGTTTTTGGTACTGCTGACCTATGAATGGGATATTTGTAGCGGTTTTTGTTAATAATATTTTTGTTGTTGCTTTCATTTGTTTGTTTTTCTTTTAACAAGCCACTTTCCTATAGGGCTCTTGTGTTTTGTAAGGTGATCATTCCAGACCCTAGTTGCCTAGGTTTTCCCCTTACCTGGAGTTATCACCAGTGAAGGGTGCTTCTTTCTCTAGGAGCTCTGACCCAGGGGAGGTACTGACCTATTGTTGCCCAGACGCTCCTGTAGGAGGTGTCTGGAGACCCCTGTTGGGAGCTCTCACCCAGTCAGGAGAGACAGAATTAGAGGCCCACTTAAGGAAGCAGACTGGCTGGTTTTGGGTAGAGCAGGTGTGCTGCATTGGGTGTAACTCTTCCTTGTCCAGACCTGCTGGACTCTCCAGAGCCAGCAGTCTGGAAAGGCTGAGTTGACTGAACTGCAGAGGTGTCAGCCACCCCTCCTCCTGGGGGCTTTTGTTTAGGAAGAGATCAAAGTTCTGTTTGTATAACCCTGGCTGGAGTTGCTGAAATTCCCACAGGGAGGCCCTGCCCAGTGAGGAGGGATGGATTGGGGTCCTACTTAAAGAAGCAATCTAGTCACAATTTGGAACAGCAGCTGTGCTGCATTGTGGGGGGACTCCTCATGAGGACCACCTGGACTCCCTGGAGCCGGCAGGCTAGAACTGCCTAGTTGACTGAACCACAAAAATGGCAGCTTCCCCTCCTGGGGGCTTCATCCCTGGAAGAGATCAGAGTTCTGTTTGTATAATCCTGGCTGGAGTTGCTGAAATTCCCACAGGGAGGTCGCCCCTGAGTGAGGAGGAATTGATTGGAGTTCCACGTTAAAAAGTAGTCTGGCCATGATCTGGCACAGCAGCTGTGCTGCATTGTGTGGAATTTGTTTTCAGGCAGACTGCCTGGACCCACTGGATTCAGCAGGCTAGAATGGCTGATTCAACCTAACCACAGGAATGGCAGCCGCCCTTCTCACCAGAAATTCATTTGTGTCAGGCAATCTCCAGCCTGTTTTCCAATCTAGTGGTTCTTAACTTGTGAGGTACCATGGAGGTGGGGCCTACAAAACAACACTGCTTGGCTCCCTGGATTCAGCCCTTTTTTCGGTAGAGTGTACTGATGGATCTCCTACCTTGCTGGCATTCCTGAAGCTAGAGTCAGAAAAACTCCTGGGTTTCTGTGAGCCTGAACTACTGTTCTGCCAAGACTCTGCACACTTTTTTGTATTGGACCCAAGGCTTGATGGAATGGGTTCACGAAGGGATCTCCTTATCCGTGGGTTGCAAAAATCTGTGGAAGAAGTGTGGTTTCCCGAGTAAGGTTACACAATCACTCACCACTTTCCTTGGCTAGGGGTGGGGGTTACTTTGGGTCGGTGCCACTCCCGGGTGGGCTATCACCCCACCCTGCTTTTTTTCATTCTCTGTGGGTTTAGCCATTCACCTAGTCACCAGGTCCAAATGCGAGGACCTGGATATTTCAGTCGAAAGTGCTAAATTCACTTGAAGTTTTCATTCTTCTCTGTGAGAGCTGCGGACGGCAATTGCTTCTAATTTGCCATTTTGGCTTGTTTCCCCAAGTCAGTAGCATTTCATAAACCAATAGTGAACAGTCAGAAAAACCAAGAAATTAATTTCATTTACAATAGCCACAAATAAAATAAAGTACCTAGAAATAAACGTAATCAAAGAAATGAGAGATCTCTATAATGAAAAGTATAAAACAATGAACAAAATTAAAGAGGACATAAAAATGGAAATATTCTGTGTTAACAGATTGGAAGTATCAATGTTGTTAATATGTCCATACCATCCAAAGTGATCTACAAATTTAATGCAGTTTCTGTCAAAATACCAATGACATTTTTTGCAAATATTAAAAGATCCTGAAATTTATATGGAATCACAGGGACCCAAAATATCCAGACCAATCCTGAGCAAAAAGAACAAAGCTGGAAGCATCATATTACCTAACTTCAAATTATACTACAAAGGTATAGTACCCAAAACATCATGATGCTGTCATAAAAGCATACACATAGACTAATGGAATAGTTTATACAAACCCAGAAATAAATCCACACATTTGCAGTCAACTCATTTTTGCCAAAGGTTTCAAGAACATATTTGAGAAAGGACCATTTCTTCAATACATGTTTCTGGGAAACTTAGATGTCCACATGCAGAAGAAAGAAAATAGTCTCCCGTCTCTTGCCATATATGAAAATCAAATCACAATGGATAAAAGACTTAAATGTAAAACCAGGAACTATAAAACTAGAAGAAAACACTGGGGCAATTCCCCAGTATGTCAGTCTGGGCAAAGATGTTTTGAGTAAGACCCAAAAAGCACAGGCAATCAAATTATAAATGGACAATTGGTACCACATCAAGGTATTAAGCTTCTGCACAGCAATGGAAACAATCAACGAACTGAAGAGATAAAACAGAATTGGAGAAAATATATGCACACTATAAAACTGACAATGGATTAATAACCAGAATATGTAAGAAACTCAATAGGAAGAACAATAAATGTTCTGTTTTACAAATGGGTGAAAGATCTGAATACACATTTGTCAAAAGAAGACATAGAAATGACCAAGAAGTATATGAAAAATGTTCAACATCACTATTTATCACAGAAATGCAAATGAAACCCACAATGATATATTATCTTACTCCAGTTAGAATGTTTTTTATCAAGAAGACAAAAAAATAACAAGAGATGCTGGCAAGGATGCAGAGAAATGGGGAACTGTGTACATTCTTTGTGGGAATGTAAATTAGTATAGCCACTGTGGAAAAGAGTATAGAAGGTCATCAAAAAACTAAAAATAGAATTATCATATCATTCAGCAATCCTACAATTGGGAATATATTCAAAAGGATGAAAATCAGTATATTCAAGAGATATCTGCACTTCTATGTTTATTGCAGCACTTTTCACAATATCCAAGATACGGAATCAACCTAAGTGTCTATCAATGGATAAATGGATAAAGAAAATGTGTCAAAAATACACAATGGAATATTATTCAGCAATAAATATAATGAAGTTTTTTTTTATTTTCAGCAACATGGATGGAATTAGAGGACATTATATTAAACAAAGTTAGCCAGGAACAGAAAGTCAGATACTACTTATTGTTGCTCATATGTTGGAGCTAATACAAAATTAAACTCATTGAGACAGAGAGCAGAATGATGCCTACCATAGGCTGGAAATAGCAGCAGGAAGGAGTTATAAAGAAAAATTTGTTAATGAGTACAAAAATATAGTTAGAGGGTAAAAGACCTAGTGTCCAATAGCACAATAGCATGACTATAGTTAACAGTAATTTATTACCTATTTCAAAATAACTGGAAGAGTGGAATGGTACTATCCCTAACACAAAGAAATGATATATGTTTAAGATGATAGCTATCCCAGTTACCCTGATTTGGTCATTATACGTTGTATACTTGTATCAAAATATCAAATATACCCCCAAAATATTTATGGCTATTATGTATCCATAACAGTTAAAAAAAATTAAAAATACAAATAATGGTAATCAAAGATCACCATAACAGATGTAATGATAATGAAAAAATATCGTGAGAATTACCGAAACATAACACAGAAACATGAAGTGAGCATATGCTCTTGGAAAAATGGATCCAATAGACTTGCTCATCACAGAGTTGCCACAATACTTAATTCATTAAAAAAAAGTGCTAGGTGTGGTGGCTCACAACTGTAATCCCAGTACCTTGGGAGGCTGAGGCAGAAGGATCGCTTGAGCTCTGGAGTTTGAGACCAGCCCGGGTAACATAGGTTCTGTTTGTACAAGAAAACAAAATAGCCAGGTGTGGTGGTGTGCACCTGTGGTCTCGAGAGGCTGAAGCAGGAGAATTGCTTGAGCCTGGGAAATTGAGGCTGCAGTGGACCATGACTGCACTGCTGCACACCAGACTCTGTGACAGAACAATACCTTGCCAAAAAAAAAAAAAAAAAAAAAAAAGAAAACGCAAATTGTTTGAAGTGCTATAAAGCAAATTATGATAAAACAAGGTATGTCTGTATTGTAGATTATAGTTTGTAATACTTATTATGTATGTTCGATTAAGAAATGACAACAAAGTGCAAACTTTTCAGTGTTTTACCATGATACCTGATACGGTTACAAAGCTCAGTCTTTAGGATAGCTATCTTAGGGTCTTCATTTGAAGTCTTTTATCTCTTTCCTATTGGTTACAGTTGCCTGAAATATGACATATTGATACGTAGAGAAGATTCAGATCATCACAATCGGAAATGACAAGAGGGATGTTAATACTGACCCTCCCTCAAAATACATACAATCATCAGACAATATTATGAACCCCTCTATCTACATAAACTCGACAATCTAGAAGAAATGGATAAATTCCTGAATACATACAACCTCCCAAGACTAAACCAGGGAGAAATTGAGTCCCTGAACAGACCAATAAGAAGTTCTGAAATTGAGGCAGTAAAAAATAGCCTACCAACCAAAAGAAGCCCAGGACCATTCCTACTGAAACTATTCCAAGAAAGTAAGGAGGAGGGATTCCTCCCTAACTCATTCTATGAGGCAAATATCATCCTGATACCAAAATCTGGCAGAGATACAATAACAGAAAAGCTGCAGGCCAATATCCTTGATGAACATAAATGCAAAAATCCTTTAAAAAATAACTGGCAAACAGAATCCAGCAGCATATCAAAAAGCTTATTCACCACAACCAAGTAGGCTTCATTCCTGGAAGGCAAGGTTGGGTCTACATATGCAAATCAGTAAGTTTGGTTCATCATACAAACAAAACTAAAGGCAAAAACCACATGATTATCTCGATAGATGCGGAAAAGGCTTTTGATAAAATTCAACATCCATTCATGTTAAAAAAAATTCTCAATAAATTAAGCATCAAAGGACCATACCTCAAAATAGTAAGACCTATGTATGACCAACCCCTAGTCAACATCATACTGAATGGGCAAAATCTGGAAGCAGTCCCCTTGAAAACGGGCACAAGACAATGATGCCTTCTCTCACCACTCCTATTCAACATACTATTGGAAGTTCTGGCCAGGGCAATCAGGCAAGAGACATGTATACATATGTAACAAACCTGCACGTTGTGCACATGTACCCTAGAACTTAAAATATTTAAAAAAAAAAAAGAAAGGGCATCCAAATAGGAAAAGAGGAAATCAAACTATCCCTGTTTGCAGGAGACATGATTCTATATTTAGAAAACTTCATAGCTTTCTCCCAAAAGGTACTTAAGCTGATAAAAACTTTAGCAAAATCTCAGGATACCAAATCAATGTGCAAAAATCACTAGCATTCCTATACACCAACAATAGTCAACCCAAGATCCAAATCATGAATGAACTTCCATTCATAATTGCCACAAAAAGAATGAAATACCTAGGAATACAGGTAACTAGGGAGGTGAAAGGTCTCTATGGGAGAACCAAAACCATTGCTGAAGGAAATCATACATGGCACAAAAAAATAGAAAAATGTCTAATGCTCATAGATAGGAATAATCAATATTATTAAAATGGCTATGCTTCCCAAAGCAATTCATTGATTCAATGCTATTTTTATTAAACCACCATTGACATTCTTCACAGCACTAGAGAAAAGTAATTTAAAATTCATATGAAACCAAAAGAGAACCTGAATAGCCAAGGCAATTCTAAGCAAAAAGAATAAAGCTGGAGGCATAATGCTACCTGACTTCAATCTATACTACAATGCTACAGCAACCAAAACAGCCTGGTACTGGTACAAAAAAAGACATGCAGACCAATGGAACAGAATAGAGAACCCAGAAATAAGATTGCACACCTGCAACTATTCAGTCTTCAATAAACCTGACAAAAGCAATGGGGAAAAGATTCCTTGTTCAATAAATAGTGCTGGGGAACTGGCTAGCAATATGCAGAAGATTGAAACTGAACCCCTTCCTTACACCATATACAAAAATTAACTTAAGATGGATTGAAGACATAAATGTAAAACCCAAAACTGTAGCAATCCTGAAAGACAATCTAGGCAATATCATTCAGGACATAGACACCGGCAAAGATTTCATGACGAAGACACAAAAAGCAATTGCAACAAAAACAAAAATTGACAAATGGGACCTAGTTAAACTAAAGAGCTTCTGCACAGCAAAATAAACTATCAACAGAGTGAACAGACAACCTACAGAATGGGAGAAAATGTTTGCAAATTATGCATTTGACAAAGATCAGCATCTATAAGGAACTTAAACAAATTTACAAGCAAATAACAAACAACCCCGTTATAAAGTGGGCAAAGAACACCAACAGACACTTCAATACATGCGACCATCAATCATATGAGAAAAAGCTCAACATCACTGATTATTAGAGAAATGCAAATCAAAACCGCAATGAAGGCCATGTAACAATAATCAGAATGACTATTATTAAAAAGTCAAACAATCACAGAGGCTGGTGAGGTTGTGGAGAAAGAGGAATGCTTATACACTGTTGGCGGGAGTGTAAATTAGTTCTGCAATTCTGGAAGACAGTGTGGTGATTTTTCAAAGACATAAAGACAGAAATACCATTTGACTCAGCAATTCCATTACTGGGTATATACCCAAAGGAATATAAATCAGTCTGCTATAAAGACACATGCATACATATGTTCATTGCAGCACTATTTACAATAGCAAAGACATGGGATCAACCTAAATGCCTATCAATGTGATACTGGATTAAGAATACGTGGTTCATATTCACAGTGGAACACTATGAAGCTGTAAAAAAGAATGAGATAATTTCCTTTTCAGGAAAATGGATGGATTTGGAAGCCATTATTTTCAACAAACTAATGAAGGGACAGAAAAGCAAACACTGCATGTTCTCACTTATAAGTGGGGGCAGAATTATGAGAACACATGGTTGGGAACAACACACACTGGGGACTGTTGGTGGGGAGGAGAGAGAGCGAGCGAGCATCAGGAAGAATAGCTGATGAATGCTAGGCTCAGTATCTAGGTGATGGGATGATCCGTGCAGCAAACCTGCATGACACAGGTTTACCTGTGTAACAGATCTGTACTTGTAGCCTTGAAATTATAATAAACGTTTAAAAAGTGTTTAGTGTACTTTTATTTTTGCCTATTTGAAATTGCTAACATGCCTTAAAAACTTATAATAAAAGGCAAGTTTGAAAATATGTTTGAAAATTGACAAAATTGTTTTGAAATTCTGTTTGGAAGATCAAATAGGCAAGATTAGCCACGAAAAAAATTTTTTTTTTGTGGTGGAGTCTCGCTCTGTCACCCAGTCTGGAGTGCAGTGGCGTGATCTCGGCTCACTGCAACCTCTCGATTTCGAGCGATTCTCCTGCCTCAGCCTCCTGAGTAGCTGAGACCACAGGACCGCCACCACGCCCAGCTAATTTTTGTATTTCTTTAAGTAGTGATGGGGTTTGGCCATGTTGTCCTGGCTGGTCTTGAACTCCTGATTTCAGGTGACCTTAGCCTCCCAAAGTGCTGGGATTACAGCTGTGAGCCACCGCACCAAGCCAGAACATTTTTTAGAAAGGAGTATTTGGGAAAGCTTCCTTCATCAGGTATTAAAGTGACGTTTCAGGCTAAAATACTCAAAAAATGTAGTCTTGGAATAAGAACTGATGTATTACTCAATGGATACAATATTTAGCCCGGATAGAAACCCTAGCATATTAAATCAGCAAATATTTATTCAGTGCTTATGATACTGGCACTATTTAAAAGGCACTAGGGACACAGCAGTGAGTATAACAAGATCTCTGCTCTCATGGAGACTACATCTCATGGCATGTCAAACTATCAAATAGTAGTTCTACTTTTAGTTCTTTAAGGAATCTTCACGCTGTTTTCCATAGTGGTTTTACTAGTTTACATTCTCACCAACAGTGTAGAAGTGTTCCCTGTTCACCGCACCCATGCCAACATCTACTATTTTTTTGATTTTTTGATTATGGCCATTCGTGCAGGACTAAGGTGGTATCGCATTGTGGTTTTGATTTACATTTCCCTGATCATTAGTGATGTTAAGCATTCTTTTATGTTTGTTGGTCATTTGTATATATTCTTTTGAAAATTGCCTATTCATATCATTAGCTGACTTTTTGATGGGATTGTTTGTTTTGTTCTTGTTGATTTGTTTGATTTCATTGTAGATTCTGGATATTAGTTTTTCTCAGATGGATAGATCGTGAAGGTTTTTTACTCACTCTGTGGGTTTTCTGTTTACTCTGCTGACTGTTCCTTTTGCAGTGCAAAAGCTCTTTAGATTAATTAAGTCCTAGCAATTCATCTTTGTGTTTATTGCATTTGCTTTTGGATTCCTGATTATAAAATCCTTGCCTAAACCAACATCTAGAAGGGGTTTTTCAATGTTATCTTCTAGAATTTTTATAGTTTCATGTCTTATATTAAAGTCTTTAAGCCATCTTGATTTCTGTGTAAGGTGAGAGATGAGGATCCAGTTTTATTCTACATGCGGCTAGCCAATTATCCCAGCACTATTTGTTGAAAATGGTATCCTATCCCTACTTTATGTTTTTGTTTGCTTTGTCAAAGATCAGTTGGCTTTACTTTTGGGTTCTCCACTTTGTTCCATTGGTCTAATTGGTACTTTTATACCAGTAACATGCTGTTTTGGTGACTATGGCCTTATAGTATACTTTGAAATCAGGTTATGTGATGCCTCCAGTTTTGTTCTTTCTGCTTAGTCTTGCTTTGGCTATGTGGGCTTACTTTTGGTTCCATATTCATTTTATAATTTTTTCTAAGTCTGTGAAGAATGACGGTGATATTTTGATGGGAATTGTGTTGAATTTGTTGATTGCTTTTGGCAGTATGATCATTTTCACAATATTCATTCTAGCCATCCACGAGCATGGGATATGTTTCATTTCTTTGTGTTGTCTATGATTTCTTTCATCAGTGTTTTATAGTTTTCCTTGTAGAGGTCTTTCAAGTTCTTGGTTAGGTATATTCCTAAGTATTTTTTTTTTTTTTTTTTTTTTTGCAGCTATTGTAAACGGGTTTCAGTTCTTGACTTGATTCTCCACTTGGTTGTTGTTGGTGTATAGAAGAGCTACTTTTGTGTACATTAGTCTGATCTTTGTATGAAGAAACTTTGCTGAATTCTTTTTTTTATTATACCTTAAGTTCTAGGGTACATGTGCACAACGTGCAGGTTTGTTACATATGTATACATGTGCCATGCTGGTGTGCTGCATTCATTATCTCATCATTTACATTAGGTATATCTCCTAATGCTATCCCTCCCCCTCCCCCTATCCTACAACAGGCCCCAGTGTGTGATGTTCCCCTTCCTGTGTCCAAATGTTCTCATTGTTCAATTCCCACCTATGAGTGAGAACATGCAGTGTTTGGTTTTTTGTCCTTGCGATAGTTTGCTGAGAATGATGGTTTCCAGCTTCATCCATGTCCCTACAAAGGAAATGAACTCATCCTTTTTTATGGCTGCATAGTATTCCATTGTGTATATGTGCCACATTTGCTTAATCCAGTCAATCATTGATGGATATTTGGGTTGGTTCCAAATCTTTGCTATTGTGAATAGTGCCACAATAAACATACATGTGCATGGGTCTTTATAGCAGCATGATTTATAATCCTTTGGGTATATACTCAATAATGGGATGTCTGGGTCAAATGGCATTTCTATTTCTAGATCCTTGAGGAATTGCCACACTGCCTTCCACAATGGCTGAACTAGTTTACAGTCCTACCAATGGCATAAAAGTGTTCCTATTTCTCCACATCCTCTCCAGCACCTGTTTTTTCCTGACTTTTTAATGATCACCATTCTAACTGGCATGAGATGGTATCTCATTGTGGTTTTGATTTGCATTTCTCTGATGGCCAGTGATGATGAGCATTTTTTCATGTGTCTTTTGGCTGCATAAATGTCTTCTTTTGAGAAGTGTCTGTTGATATCCTTTGCCCACTTGTTGATGGGGTTGTTTGTTTTTTTCTTGTAAATTTGTTTGAGTTCTTTGTGGATTCTGGATATTAGCCCTTTGTCAGATGAGCAGATTGCAAAAATTTTCTCCCATTCTGTAGGTTGCCTGTTCACTCTGATGGTAGTTTCTTTTGCTGTGCAGAAGCTCTTTAGTTTAATTAGATCCCATTTGTCAATTTTGGCTTTTGTTGCCATTGCTTTTGGTGTTTTAGACATTAAGTCCTTGCCTATGCCGATGTCCTGAATGGTATTGCCTAGGTTTTCTTCTAGGGTTTTTATGGTTTTAGGTCTAACATTTAATCCTTTAATATATCTTGAATTAATTTTAGTATAAGGTGTAAGGAAGGGATCCAGTTTCAGCTTTCTACATATGGCTAGCCAGTTTTCCCAGGACCATTTATTAAATAGGGAATCGTTTCCCCATTTCTTGTTTTTGTCAGGTTTGTCAAAGATCAGATGGTTGTAGATGTGTGGCGTTATTTCTGAGGGCTCTGTTCTGTTCCATTGGTCTATATCTCTGTTTTGGTACCAGTACCATGCTGTTTTGGTTACTGTAGCCTTGTAGTATAGTTTGAAATCAGGTAGCGTGATGCCTCCAGCTTTGTTCTTTTGGCTTAGGATTGACTTGGCAATGCGGGCTCTTTCTTGGTTCCATATGAACTTTATAGTAGTTTTTTTCCAATTCTGTGAAGAAAGTCATTGGTAGCTTGATGGGGATGGCATTGAATCTATAAATTACCTTGGACCGTATGGCCATTTTCACGATATTGATTCTTCCTACCCATGATCATGGAATGTTTTTCCATTTGTTTGTGTCCTCTTTTATTTCGTTGAGCAGTGGTTTATAGTTCTCCTTGAAAAGGTCCTTCACATCCCTTGTAAGTTGGATTCCTAGGTATTTTATTCCCTTTGAAGCAATTGTGAATGGGAGTTCACTCATGATTTGGCTGTTTGTCTGTTATTGGTGTATAAGAATGCTTGTGATTTTTGCACATTGATTTTGTATCCTGAGACTTTGCTGAAGTTGCTTATCAGCTTAAGGAAATTTTGGGCTGAGATGATGGGGTTTTCTAGATATACAATCATGTCATCTGCAAACAGGGACAATTTGACTTCCTCTTTTCCTAATTGAATACCCTTTATTACTTTCTCCTTCCTGATTGCCCTGGCCAGAACTTCCAACACTATGTTGAATAGGAGTGGTGAGAGAGGGCATCCCTGTCTTATGCCAGTTTTCAAAGGGAATACTTCCAGTTTTTGCCCATTCAGTATGATATTGGCTGTGGGTTTGTCATAAATAGATCTTATTATTTTGAGATACTTCCCATCAGTTCCTAATTTATTGAGAGTTGTTAGCATGAAGGGCTGTTGAATTTTGTCAAAGGCCTTTTCTGCATCTATTGAGATAATCATGTGGTTTTTGTCTTTGGTTCTGTTTATATGCTGGATTACATTTATTGATTTGTGTATGTTGAACCAGCCTTGCATCCCAGGGATGAAGCCCACTTGATCATGGTGGATAAGCTTTTTGATGTGCTGCTGGATTTGGTTTGCCAGTATTTTATTGAGGATTTTTGCATCAATGTTCATCAGGGATATTGTTCTAAAATTCTCTCTTTTTGTTGTGTCTCTGCCAGGGCCAGGCACTATTCTAAGCATTTTATCTGTATTAAAAAATTAATACACACAAAATCCCTGTGATGTAAATACTATTATTACCCCCTTTTTACAGATGAGGAAACCAAAGCACAGAAAACTTAAGGGAATTTCCAAAGGTCAAACATCAAGCAAGTGGTAGGGCTGCATAGTGAACTCAGACTGTTTCTGGAGTTTGCCCTTGTCTCTATTGTAGCCTTTCACCTCTCCATTTAGCCTCTCAATATAATACCAGTCAATTTTTAAATTGGCCATTTACATTGATCTAATACAGATCTTTTTGGTCGCTGTCTTCTCATTATTATACGTTGTCAGTGATTTAAAGTACCCTGTAGCATTATGTGTTTGTGTTTTAGGAGAAAGTTCAGAAAAGTACTGTGAGTATATGATCATTTACATAAATTCCCATGATAAATTTCCTCAAGAATAAATAAAATTATATTGTGGTTGACATTATTCTTCCATTAGACCTTATTTGCTTTGCCTTTAAATTATACGTTTTTTGGGATTATGTTAGAAGTTAGGTGAACATGTAGAGCAGCAATAAATTAGTAAATTGATTTGGAAATTTTAATTTTTGTAGCAAGAAACTAATGAAGTATTTATTATAGCCAATTTATCCCCTCACATAAAAGTAAAATTCATTCTTGAGGGAAGTAGTCTGACTAAATGCAGCCAGGAGGAACATCTGCCACCGAGGGACCAGGACATCGGGAAGGCTCGTGAACTCAAACCAGATCTTCAGAGAGGAGTCATTGAGAATGGAGAGAGGGAGAACACAGATGCTGGGCTGAAGGAGAAGGAAGCAGGGAACCCTGCATAAGTCTCTCATGCACTGGGATTCATTCCTGGTCCCCAACAACTCCTGGGGAAAAAGGAAGTTGAGCAGACGGGGAGCAACCTTCTCTCACCACAGACCTGTAGAATACTGGCAGCAGGAGAACCCACGACCCCCACAGACAAGTGGCAAGGAAAGCTGCTTAGACAGTTGATAGGGGCAGAACTCCAGCTGGCGCAGAGACCAGAGGGCTTGGTGCAGGAACAACATCCGTGGTGAAGCACAGCCAGGGGCTCCCATAGCCCCAAGGTTTTCCATGCTCCCCTAGGACACTTTAGCATTAGGGGAATTGTCTGACCTGAACAGAACAAGGGAATCTTCCTGATGAGATGTGACCCCTTCTACCTGATAGCCCCCCTGTCTGCTGGCCTCTTATGGGGCCCCAGCTTGGCCACGCCTGCTTGCAGTACAGTCTTTGATGCCCAAATGGGGTGCCTGCCAAGGGCCCGCATCATAGCTTTGTGCTGGAAGACCATGCCTGACCATGAAAGAGCTCCAGCAGAGTGGCCCACACAGATGTGCACCAGCACACTGGCATCTTTCTCCCACTGCAGCCTCCCCGAAGCTGTTTTGCTGGCACACACCCACAGCCAGGCCCCAGATCATTTTGGCAGTGCACCGTGAGCAGAGGCAGACATTGACTCCACTTTCCTGCCAGTTCAGGTCTTCATGTGCACCCCACCATGCCGCTGCTGCTAGTGTGAGTGCACCCTGCCCTACCCCACTCCACCCTGCTGCACCACCACTGCCTGTGGAAATGCTCACAAGGAGACCAGCGGCCCCAGCTCCACCGTGCACTGCCATTGCTGCCAGTGTGGGCACACGAATGGAGACCTCCATCTCAGTGCTTGCCAGCACTCCACCCCCCCACTGCCACTGCTGCCAGCACAAATGTGCACAGACACCAGTGGCCCCATGCCACCATGCCACTGCCACTGCTGGAAACACCTGAATGGACACTAACACCCTTGCACCTGCTAGTATCCCGCCCCAGGTGACAAGGAGCATATTGACTGTCACCAGCCATTGCACTGTTGTGGCCAGTGGTCTGGAAACATGTCAACCCTTCCATCACAGCAGGTTTCTAATCTTAAGGAGCTAGAGAACTAAGTTCGAGGCCAACACTAGCCTTGCAGAATTACAGCATGCAGCACAACAGTGTTGAGCTGAGCCTTGATCTGATAAACACTTCCAGAAACCAAGCCAGTCGACTGAACCCATCTTATAATACAATAAAACCACGAAGGACATCAAAGAAGATAAAAGCAAAAGGAAAAACACATTCAAAAGATAGCAACTTCAAAGATTGAAGGAACATCAGCCTATACAGAGAAAGAAGCAGCACAAGAACCCTAGTAACTCAAAAAGCCAGAGTATCTTCACACTTCCAAAAGAATGCACAAGATGCTGAGCAATGACTCTTAACCAGGCTGAAATGGCTGAAATGACAGAAATCGAATTCAGAATATGGATAGGAATGAAGATCACCAAGATTCTGGAAAAAGTCAAAACCAAATCCAGGAATTCTAAGAAATACAATAAAATGATACAGGAGATAAAAGATGAAATGACCGTTTTAGGAAAAAACCAAGCTGACCTGATAGAGCAGAAAAAAATCACTTCAAGAATTTCAGAATACAATCACAAGTATTAACAGCAGAATCAACCAAGCTGAGGAAAGAATCTCAGCTTGAAGAAAAGTTCTCTGACATAACTCAGACCAAAAAATAAAAATAAAAAATAAATAAAGAAGAATAATAAACACCTCTGAGAAATATGGAATTATATAAATAGACCAAATCTGTGATTCATCAACGTCCCTGAAGAGAGAGAGAGAAATCACACAACTTGGAAGACATATTTCAGGATATCATCTAATAAAATTTTCCCAACTTCACTAAAGAGGCCAACATTGGAAATGGAGAAAACCCCTGTGAGGTACTATACAAGATGACTATTCCCAAGACACATAGTCATTAGCTTCTCCCAGGTCAAATTGAAAGAAAAAACGTTAAGTCAGCTAGAGAGAAGAGGCTGGTCACCAGCAAAGGGGAAAGTATCAGGCTACCAGTGGAACCTTCAATAAAAACCCTACAGGCCAGAAGAAATTGAGGGCCTATAAGCAATATTTGTAAAGAAAAGAATTCATATCCTGCCAGACTAAGCTTCATAAATGCAGAAGAAATAAGGTTCTTTTGAGAAAAGCAAATACTAATGGAATTTGTTACCACCTGGACTGCCTTAAATAAAGTCCTTAAGGGAGTGCTAAATATGGAAATGAAAGACCCTTACCAGCCACCACAAAAATACACTTATTTACATAGACCATTAACACTATAAAGCAACCATACAAAAAGTCTGCATAATAACCAACTAGCAACATGATAGAATCACACCCATACCTGTCAGTACTAACTTTAGAATGTAAACAGGCTAAATGTCACAATTAAAAGGCACAAAGTGGAAAGTTGGATAAAGAAGCAAGACCCAACAGTAAGCTGTCTTAAAGAGACCCATTTCACATGCAATAGCACACACAGGTTGAAAGTAAAAGGATGGAGAAAAATCTATGAAATGAATGGAAAACAGAAAAAATCAGGGGTTGCTATTCTAATTTCAGACAAAACTGACTTTAAACCAACAATAATCAAAAAAGTCAAAGAAGGCCAATTCATAATAGTAAAGGGCACAATTTAACAAGAAGACATAGCTATTTTAAATACATATGTGCCCAACACAGTAGCACACAATTCATGAAACAAGTTCTCAGAATCCTATGAAGATATATACATAACCACACAATAATAGCAGGAGACTTCAACACCTCATTGAAAATATTAGACAGATAATTGAGGCAGAAAACTAACAAAGATATTTGGGACCTGATCTTGACACTTGAACAAATGGGCCTGACAGACATCTACAGAGCTCTCCATCCTAAAACAACAAAATATACATTTTTCTCATCTGCATATGGCACATAGTCTAAAATTAACTACACAGTTGGACATAAAACCATTTCCAGCAAATTAAATACAAAACTGTAATTATACCAAACACATTCCAGGACCACAGCACAATAAAAATAGAAATCAATAATAAGAAAATCAATCAAAGTCATATAATTACATTGACATTAAACAACCTGCTCCTGAATGACTTTCAGATAAATAATTAAATCAAAGCAGAAAATAAGAAATTCTTTGAAACTAATTGGAACAAAGATACAACATACCAGAATCTCTGGGACACAGCTAAAGGGGTGCTAAGAGGAAAGTTTATAGCTGTAAATGCTCACATTAAAATTTAGAAACATCTTGAATTAACAACATAACATTTCACCTAGAGGACCTAGGGAAACAAGAGCCAACCAACCCCCAAGCTAGCAGAAGACAAAAAATAACTAACATCAGAGCTGAAATGAAGGATATTGAGACATGAAAAACCACACAAAAGATTCAAGAATCCAGACGTTGGTTTGTTGAAAGAATTAGTAAGATAGACTGCCAGCAAGGATATGAACAGACACTTCTCAAAAGAAGACATTTATGCAGCCAACAGACACAAGAAAAAAATGCTCATCATCACTGGCCATCAGAGAAATGCAAATCAAAACCACAATGAGATACCATCTCACACCAGTTAGAATGGCGATCATGAAAAAGTCAGGAAACAGCAGGTGCTGGAGAGGATGTGGAGAAATAGGAACACTTTTACACTGTTGGTGGGACTGTAAACTAGTTCAACAATTGTGGAAGACAGTGTGGTGATTCCTCAGGGATCTAGAACTAGAAATACCATTTGATCCAGCCATCCCATTACTGGGTATATACCCAAAGGATTATAAACCATGCTGCCATAAAGACACATGCTCACGTATGTTTATTGCAGCACTATTCACAACAGCAAAGACTTGGAACCAACCCAAATGTCCATCAATGATATACTGGATTAAGAAAATGTGGCACATATACACCATGGAATACTATGCAGCCATAAAAAAGGATGAGTTCATGTCCTTTGCAGGGACATGGATGAAGCTGGAAACCATCATTCTGAGCATACTATCGCAAGGACAGAAAACCAAACACCGCATGTTCTCACTCATAGGTGGGAATTGAACAGTGAGAACACTTGGACACAGGGCAGAGAACATCACACTCCAGGGCCTGTGGGGGGTGGGGACCTGGGGGAGGGATAGCATTAGGAGAAATACCTAATGTGAATGACGAGTTGATGGGTGCAGCACACCAACATGGCACATGTATACCTATGTAACAAACCTGCACATTGTGCACATGTACTCTAGAACTTAAAGTATAATAATAAAAAAAGAGAACCTTTAAAAAAAAATAGACTGCCAGATAGACTAATAAATAAAAAAGAGAGGTTGAAATAATCATAAATGACTAAGGGGATGTTACCCCACAGAACTACAAAAAACAAACAAAAAAACCTCAGAGACTACTAAAACACTCCTATGCACACAAACTAGAAAACCTAGAAGAAATGGGTAAATTTCTGGAAACATACAACCACCGAAGATTGAACCAGGAAGAGATTAAAGCCCTGAACAGACTAATAATGAGTTTCAAAATTGAATCAGTAATAAAAAGACTACCAACTGGAAGAAGCCCAAGAGCAGGCAAATTCACAGCTGAATCCCACCAGATATGTATAGAAAAAAGAGTTGGTACCATTCCTACTTGTAACTATTCCAAAAACTTGAGGAGGAGAAACTCCTCCCTAACTCATTTTGTGAGGCCAGTGTCATCCTGATACCAAAACCTGGCAGACACACACACAAAAAGGAAAACTTCAGGCCAGTTTCCATGATGAACATAGATGCAAAATCCTCAACAAAATACTAGCAAACCAAATCCAACAGCACATCAAAAAGTTAATCCACTACAATCAAGCACATCAAAAAGCTAATCCACCACAATCAAGCAGGCTTTTTGTCCCTGAGATGCAAGCCTGGTTTGATATACTCAACTCAGTAAATGATTCATCACATAAACAGAACTGAAAACATAAATCACATGATTATCTCAATAGATGTAAAAAAGGCTTTTGATAAAATTCAACATTCCTTCATGTTGAAAACCCTCAACAAAGTAGACATTAAAGGAACATACTTCTAAATAATAAGAGCCACCTATGACAAACCCACAGCCAACATCATACTAAATGGCCAAAAGCTATAAGCATTCTCCTTGAAAACTGGAAGAAGACAAGGATGTGCTTTCTCAACACTTCCATTCCACATAGTACTGGAAGCCTTAGCCACAGCAATCAGGCAAGAGAAAGAAATAAAGGCTCTTAAATAGGAAGAGAGGAAGTCAAACTATTTCTGCTTGCAGACTATGTGATTCTATACTAAGAAAAACTCATAGTCTCTTTCTTAAATCTCTTCAATCTTATAAACAACTTCAGCAAAGTTTCAGGATACCAAATTGATGTACAAAAATCAGTAGCATTCCTATACACCAACAATATGCAAGATGAGAATCAAATTAAGAACACAATTCCATTCGCAATAGCCACAAAAAGAATAAAATACCTAGGAATACAGCTAACCAGGGAGGTGAAAGAACTCTACAAGGAAAATTACAAAACATTGCTCAAAGAGATCAGAATTAACACAAATCAATGGAGAAGCATTCCGTGCTCATGGATAGGAAGAATCTATATCATTAAAATGCCCATACTGCTCAAAGCAATTTACAGATTCAATGTTATTCCTATCAAACTACTAGTGACATTCTTTACAGAATTAGAAAAAAATTAAAAATTCATGTGGAACTAAAACGAAGCTTGATAGTCAAGGCAATCCTAAGCAGAAAGAACAAAACTGTGGGCATCACAGTGCCCAATGTCAAACTTTACTACAAGGCAACAATAATCAAAACATCATAGTACTGGTACAAAAACAGACACATAAACTAATGGATCAGAATAGAGAGCACAGAAATAATGCTGCACACCTACAACCATCCAAACTTCTATAAAGCCAATGAAAACAAGCAATGAGGAAAAAATTCTCTATTCAATAATTGTGCTGAGATAACTGTATAGCCATATGCAGAAGATTGAAACTAGATTTCCTCTTTACACCTTATATGAAAATCAACTCAAGATGGATTAAAGACTTAAATGTAAAACCTAAAACTATAAAACCCTGGGAGATAACCTAGGGAATACCACTCTGGATATAGGACCTACCAAAGAATTCATGATGAAGATGCCAAAACCAAGTGCAAGTGAAATAAAATTGACAAATGGGACCTAATTAAACAGAAGGGCTTCTGCACAGCAATGGAAATACTTTTACACTGTTGATGGGAATGTAAAATAGTATAACCATTATGGAAAACAGTGTAGAGATTCCTTTAAAGAACTAAAAGTAGATCTACTGTTTTATCTAGCAATCCCACTAGCAGGTATCTACCCAAAGGAAAAGAAGTCATTATACGAAAAAGATGCTTGCACACACGTGTTTATAGCAGCACAATTTTCAATTGCAAAACCATGGAACCAGCCCAAATGCCCATCAATCAATGAGTAGAAAAAGAAAATGTGGTATATATACACAATGGAGCACTACTCAGCCATAAAAGGAAATGAAATAATGGCATTTGCAGCAACCTGGATGGAATCGGAGACCATTATTCTAAGTGAAATAACTCGGGAATGGAAAACTAAATATCATATGTTCTCACTCATATGTAGGCGTTGAGCTGTGAGGATGCAAAGGCATAAGAATGATACACTGGACTTTGGGAACTCGTGGGAAAGGGTAGGAAGTGGCGAGGGATAAAAAAACTAGACATTGGGTACAGTGTAGATGGCTCAGGTGATGGGTGCACCAAAATCTCAGAAATCACTACTAGAGAACTTATTAATATAATAAAACACCACCTGTTCCCAAAAACCTATTGAAATAAAAAAATTTTTAAGCAGTAGCATTCATTTACACCAAGAATGTGCAAGATGAGAACTAAATTAAGAACACAATAGCCACCAAAAAAAAAATAAAATACCTAGGAATACAGCTAACCAGGAAGGTCAAAAGAACTCTACAATGAAAATTAGAATGGGGTTGTATTCTTATTTAGTAGACACTAGGGACTACTTGAGGGTGTAGGGTGGGAAGAAGGTTAAGGATCAAAAAACTACCTATAGATTACTATGCTTATTACCTGGCTGTCAAAATAACCTGCACATCAAATCTTTGTTAAATGCAATTTACCTATATAGTAAACCTGTAAATGTACCCTGAACCTAAAATAAATGTTTAAAAAGACAAAGAATAACAGATATTGGTGAGGATGTGGAGAAAAGAGAATGCTCATACACTGTTTGTGGAAATGTAAACTAGTACAACATCTATAGATAACTGTGGGGAGATTTTTAAAAATTAAATAAAAGTAAAATTTCTTCTCCTTAAATCCTTTTGTTAATGTTCTACCTTTTTACATGGAGGTTAGTATAATATACTGAAAAGAAATTCACCTTTGCATTCAGAGGCTGGGATAAATTCACAACTGTGTCACTTATTAGCTGTTTGACTTTGGACAAATTAGAAAATTACCTGAATCTCAGACTGCTTATCTATAGAGTTAAGAAAATAGTATGTGCCTTGTAGAATTATTAAGCAATGAATGAGATAACTAATGTAAAGCCATAGCACAGTGCCTGTTATATATTATAAGCATTCAGTAATATTTTCTTTCTCTGCTTTTCATCACCTTTTCTTACAAGAATGATTTTAAGTGCTTAAAATAAAACATATAAAGTAAATTCATTAAATCAAATTATAAAAACCACATTATGCTAACCATAGAGATTAACATAGTTGCTAAGACTGAGCATCAGAGGTGTTGTAGAGCTTCTTAGCAACCAAGGTAAATAAAAAATGTATAGTAACAGAGCTTTCATTATAAAAGAGAACAGAGATAACCAAGTGTTTTCTGACACTAAATTTGAAAGTAAAGTTTTCATTTGGGACCTTGCACAGATATTAAACAAGATAATCAGCAACGTCTTTAACCCTTTCACAACAATTTCAATTTGTATGTCTAGTCATTTTATATGATTGTTTCTAGAAATAGCCTTCCATAATGTTATGGCAGCGTAGCATCAAAGTACACCTTCCACTGATGATTCTGTAAGACATTGACTTAATATGGGCAAAGTATATAGACTTTCAGTGATCTCTCTTAATCTGAGGCAGTGTTTCCCAGAGTGTGGTATACATCCATACCACTGCTGGCACCTGAGATGATTTGAAGTAATACTTAGATGGATTTATTTTATTTTACCTGTAATAGTTATGTGTTTAATATTTATTAGGAAAAATTATCTACCTATCACATCAAACCCATAATTTCATGAATGAAATTAACAAAAGGCTAAGCAAAAGATTTAAGAAAGGTATTTTAAGGAAAGTTTAAGAAAAGTTTAAATAAAAGTGAGTCAACTGAAAAAAAATTATAATACATGTAATACCCAGATATTATAATGCAGGTAGTAAATATCTAGATATGTCAAAACTTGTGAAGGTGGTTTGAAAAAAACTGAAACATAGGAGTCATTTATCTAAAGAGAAAAGTGCCTAAATATGCAGATGCTTAGCACATATCTTAGGTTTCACTCCCTAAATATAATTTAGTATAGCTCATTTTTTTGGTCTGTCAGTCTTTGAAGAGTTCATGTACCCTTAGTAAATTTTATAGTATTCATTTCTACTGGCACCCTCTTTCATTATAGGCTCCTTTTTATAGGGTCTTTAAAGTCTGTGGTTAGAAGTAGACTTATTTGAAAGGAAGTACTTTCACACTATCTCTTTCCCAAATATAACCTACTATATAATCAATTTAGTATTTTAATTGTTTTAAAACGCAAAGTTTTCTGATAACCAGGAAACTAACTGTTTTTCAAGTCATTCATTTGACCTCAATTATATGGAGTTGGTACCTACCTATAGATCTTAATTGGTATTAAGTTAGGTTACTAAGTTGAGTGAAAAACCTTCAGTAGTGACCATCTGGAAGGAAGTCGATATTGTCTTCTGAGGAATCATTCATGTTCCCAAATAAATAAGCAGATTCTGCCAGCAGCAGCCTCTGGAAGACTAGTTATGATTTCAATGGTTCTCTATTTTCTGAGCCTGCAATGTTTGAAATTTAATCATTTTTGTCAATTTGGGTGATGTTGTGTAACTTGTTTGATAGTTTTATCGTGGTAAGGATAAAAACATAATAAGTTCCATCTCCCTACTATAAAAACAAATTGCTGTCAATATCATGATAGAGAATGGAAAAATAAACTATGTAGGTTTTTTTAATTATTTTATCTAATTCTCACAACATTGGAATATAAATAGTAGCTATGTTTTAAGACTTGAAGACACAAACTCCAAGAGGTGACACAATGTGTCCAAGATCACAATGCTAGTAAAGCAAGGTCATTTTCTCCCTCATCAAACAGTCTATTGTATTCATTAATTTTCATGCATTGTTATTTTTATTCAGTCAGTAAATATATTAAATATCTGCTGTTTGCTAGATTCTCTTTCTCTCCCTCTCCACCCCCTCTTACTCACTGTGCCTCACTCCCTCCCCTCCTTATAATATATGTTATAGGGATACAACTAAGACATGGTCTACATAGTTTGTAAAATATTACATAGTGGTTGAGAGTACCATTTTTGAAGTCATATAAACCTGAGTTCACGTCCTAGAGCTTACTAACTGTATGACTTTGGGCAAATTCATTAGTTTCACTAAGCTTTTTTTCTCTCACCTTTAAAATGGGATAATATTCTTTCTCATAAGACTTTTATGTGCCTAAAAATAAATAATATGCATGAGGTTCATTTGTACAATGGTTGGCAGATAATCACTTGATAAATAGTCATGCTATTATCAATAAAAAAATTTTGGAGCAATTCACAGACTAACAGAAGCAACACATATATAATTATAATACATTGTGATAGGGCTTTGATAGGTATCTTTTTAAAACTGCTTTGGGATCATAAAAGAGGGATGGTTAATTGTGCTTAGTAGGGAGAGTAAATGTCTCGTAGAGAAATTACGTATTATCTGGGACTTAATGGATGAGTGTGCAGGCAAAAGAGCATCCTAGGTAGAGCAAACAGCATGAAAAAAGTCTTCAAATTATAAAAATGCATGGGATGAATTAATGGAACCATGGTTACATGAGAAATAGTCCAGGAAACTGGAACATTTACTCTGTAAAGTAAAAGAGTAATTGTAATGAGGGAACTAGAAGGATAGGAGATTATGGCCTAAAAATGGAATATAAGATAGTAATATCAGAATATCAAGATTTTTAATATGCAGGTAATCTGAGTGATAGCAAGATATTACAGGGATATGGCCTTAAAAGTGGATGTTTCCTGCTGTTGGGAATGTAAGTTAGTACAACTTCTATAGAAAACATTGTGCAGATTCCTTAAAGAACTTAAAGTAGATCTATTATTCAATCCAGAAATCTTACTACTAGCTATCTAACAAAGGAAAATAAATCAATATATCAAAAGGACACCTGCACACATATGTTTATCACAGTACAATTCACAATTGCAAAGATATGGAATCAACCTAAGTGCCCATCAACCAATGAGCAGAAAAAGAAAGTGTACTCTGTATAAACCATGGAATACTGCTCAGCCATAAAAAAAGAATGAAATAATGTATTTTGCACAACTTGAAGGGAGCTGGGAGGCCATTATTCTAAGTGAAGTAACTCAGGAAAGAAAAGCCAAATACCTTGTCACTTATAAATGGGAGCTAAGCTATGGATACTCAAAGGCATCCAGAGTGGTATAATGAATATTGGCAACTCAGAAACAGGGAGAGTGGGATGAAAGTGAGGAATAAAAGATGACATATTTGGTACAATGTCCACTACTCAAGTGATGAGTGCACTGAAATTTCAGACTTCACCGCTATACAGTTCATCCATGTGAACAAAAAGCACTTATACCCAAAAGCTATTGAAGCAAAAAAAAATTGAGTGTTTTAAGTGTAATGGAAATGAAGACAAGTGCATACAATTCATTCAGTCAATTTCAAGTTCAAATTTTATTTTGCTTACTGTGAATTTGTCATTGCTTTAAATTTTTACAAAACATTTATGTACTCAGTTTGTTATTTACCTAATTTTTATCTATACAGAATTGACCCATATCTCATTTCCATACCAAGAGGGAAGTGGCAGACATAGATAAAAAAATTATTTTAAATAACCAATAATATTCATTAAACATCTTATAGCTCATTGCCTATGTTTGTATTCATTGTATCATTTGGTCCTGCCAACTACTTGTGAAGAAGACAGAGATTATTATTATTTTCATTTTACAGATGAAAAAACTGAAGTCCAGAAAAGTGACACTTGCTGGAGGTCATACATGATTAAATAGTAAAAGCAAGTCTTGTGCCCACATTTTCTAAGTCAAAATGTCTGTGTACTTTCCACCATAGTACAGGTCTGCTGGTAGAATTAGTTGTGATCAGGTTAGGATCATTGTCGTGTGTATAAATGTTTCTTCTCATTCATATTAGTCAAGGAGACCCCCAAATAAATAGAATCATAGAATGTACAAGTTGAATACAGCATCAGACCATTTAGTGTATGGATAGGAAACTGCGATTTAGGGAGGAGAAATAGTCACACAGCAAAACAGTGGTAGAGCGAAGACTAGAATTCGGGACTGCAGACTTCCTCTCTGCGATTAAGACAGCCTTAGGCAAAACCTTCCGGAGGCATAATAATTACGATCTCTAACATAATCAGTGTCAAGTACTATTTTATGTAGATATGTACATTTTATCTTCTGACGTAAGTAATATTATCTTCTTCCCTGTTCAGAGAAACCTGATGCTCAGAGAAGTTAATTAGCTTGTACAAGAATAAAAGTAGGCAGGTAATCAAGATTTAAACATAGGAGCCTAATTCCAAATTTACAGACTAATGAAATAACGAATATCTGATACAGTGGGTCTAAGAAAATAGGGATTATTGGCAACTGGAGTGTGCATGGTCCACCAAAAGACATTGAAATTCAAGTTTTTAAATTAGTGTACTGGTCAAACAAAATTAATTAGTGAGCCATATCCAGCCTACTGGCAGCCAGGTGGCAGCCTTTATACTACTTCTCAGTAGGAATTTTAGTGAAAATTGAATGTCTGGATTATGGCAACCATTAGAGGTCTCATCTCATGAGAAAGGGAAAGGCTTATAAACATTTCCTAATGTATGAAAATAGGTCTATAGACCATTTACATCATTACCACCATTCCACATACTGTAGCTGTATTTCTTCCAGTTTTTTTAACCTTCTGAAGTCCTAATCAATTTATTTTAATGTCGAAGATATTAAGTGAGCACATCATTTGTTGTGGTTGTTGTTATTGTTTCTGTTGTTTGTAACTTTCTGCTTCTGGCCATGACAAAGTAATTGGAGTTCAACTTGCCTTGTTGACATAAATAATAAGAAAACCAGCAGGGAGAGGGGAATAAATGAAACCTGTTATCAGATATTGGACAACCAGCAGCACAAGACCATAATCCCTGAGAAAAGGGAAACAAATAAGGTGAGCCCAATGTTCACCCTAACTTTCTACATGAAGGCAGTTTCCAGACTGTGGCATAGTGGGTGGTAACACAACTAGAGCACAGTGGTCTCCCTGAGTTGAGAAGCTAGATCAGAATTTGAGGAGGCTGAAATGGCTGGGAATTTTGCAGGAGAGTATTAGAGAGGCCATAACTATAGAGAGAAAAAGCTCCAGAAAATTGGTTAAAAATTCTCTTGAGTGTTTGGTCAAATAAAAAGCTGCATATACATATAATGAAATTCAGCAATGCCTGGTAAAGACAACTACCAGGGACTGTAATCTATTTCTCAGAACTCACACAGAGGTACATGGAACTAAAATTCCAATTAGACAGATTAGAAATATCCTTGTTACATTCTCAGGCATTCAGGAGAGTGAGATCCCCAAAGAATCAAGTCTTAATTGTAGTACCAAACTATCCCTAGAATGAAAGCCACTCCAGATCTGCCCTGGCAAAGCTTTAAAACAAACCTAGAAGGGGCTGACATCACTGGAAATAGCAAATTAGGAAACTCGAGGGCTCTATTACTCCACAAAAGCAACTGATGAGCTGAAGATAACCATCAGAATCAACTTTTGCAAAATTAGGGAATTTAGGAAAAAACTTAAAACAACCAAAAAGAGGCTTGAATAAATAAGCTGTTGTTTTGCAGTAAAGGAGCGCTATGGAATGTTGAATTGCTACCTACCATACCCCACACCTTAGATTAGTAGTGGCCGTGAGGGCAAAAGCTTATGTTCCTGATGCAAGTTGCTACTGCCAGAGGGAGCACAACAAACCCTATTCTCAAAGAATTGTGTTTATGGGTTTTCCACCTCTCTGGCAACTACTTGACCAGTGCAAGGGTTTGCCTTTGTTTCCTCTCAATCAGAATTTTAATGGTTGAGGTGGCTTCATGGGCAGCTTTTGTTGAAAAGATTTAAAGGTACAAATATTGGTCACAGCACACCAGGGCAAGGGACAATAGTCAGGACAAGCAAAAGACTGAAAAGCCTGGAAGGAAGAGTCTGTGAGAGGCAACACATAGAGGAATAAGGACGTTTTAAAGCTCCCTGGGAAATTAAGAAGTCCACATGCATCCTCAGAGCTTGACACATGCTCAGAAAAGGCCTGAGAAGACACTAAGCTTTCACCTCTGGCTGACATTTGGGCTCCACACAAGCAGGATATGATAACTAAAGCAGGGTTGTAAAAAGCCTGCCTAAGTTTTGAAGGAGTACCCCAAAACAGGCCAATCTGCAAAGAGTGAGAGTATTTTTTTTCTTTCTTTCTTTTTTTTTTTTTTTGGCTTTAGTTGTTTAAGAAAACTATGTTTAAAACACTAGCTGGCTGCTAAGCTGACAAAACACAGTATTCACTGGCTACACAAGAAAAAGAATTCAGAATTTACAAACTTAGTTTAGAAAAGTCACTAAACAGGCTAATACCAACCCACAAAAAGCAGCAACAACAAACTCTGTAGAAGGGAGTGAACCTAAGTTCCAGGGTTACCACATTACAATATGCAAAAATTTCAGGTTTCAACAAAAAATGAAGAAGTATGCAAAAAAAAAATATGGTCTATACACAGGGGAAAAAAGGAAAAAAAATGTCTGTAAGGAAGCTCAGATATTGGACTCATTCGAAAAAAAATTAAATCATCTGTGCTAAATATGCCTAAAGATCTGAAAGGAACAGTATACAAAACTCTAAATATAACCACCAGAACAATGTCTCACTAAATATAGAATATCTCTCCTGTACAACCAGTAAGTCAAAGAAGAAATCAAAAGGGGAATTTTTAAGTATCTTGAGAAAAGTGACAGTGGAAACACAACATATCAAAATCTATGTGATTCAAGAAAAGCAGTTCTAAGAAAGAAGTTTATAGCAATAAATGCCTAATTTTTTAAAGGATATTAAAAATAAATAAGCTACCCTTATATCTCAAGGAGATAGGAAAAGAAGAACAAACTAAACCTAAAGTTAGCAGAAGGAAGGAAATAATAAAGATCAGAACAGAGCAAAAAATCATGTAGCAGGAAAACCATAGGAAAAAATGATAATCCTGTGAGTTGGTTCTTTGAAAAACTAAAATCGGAGGCCCTAGCTAGAATAACAAAGAAAAAAAGACATGAGACTCAAATAAATAAAACCAGAGATGAAAATGGAGACATTACAACAGATACCTCAGAAATAAAAAGGAATATAAGGGAGTATTATGAACAGTTATATTTCAACAAATTGGATAACCTAGAGGAAACAAATAAATTTCTAGAAAAATATAACCTACCATGATTGAATCAGGAAGAATTAGAAAGCTCAAACATGTCAATAACGAAGAGACTGAAGAAGTAATTTTAAACCTTTCAAAGAAAAGCCCAGGGACATATTATTTTATGGCTGAATTCTACCAAATGTTCAAAGAAGAATTGTTACCAATAATAGTTTTTAAACTCTTTCAAAAAAGAGAGCTACAGGGAACACTTTCAAGCACATTTTATGAGGCCAACATCACCTTGATACCTAAACCAAAAAAAGACACCAAAAGAAAACAAAACTGCAAGCCAATATATTTAATGAACATTGATGCAAAAATTCTCAATGAAATATTAGCAAATCAAATTCAATATATAAAAAACATTATACATTGTGATTATTTGAGGCTTATGTCTAGCATGCAAGGCTGCATTAACATATGCAAATCAATGTGATACATTACATTCACCAAATATAAAACTCACATTATCATCTCAATTGATACAGAAAAATAATTTGACAAAATTCAGCATCCTTTCTTGATGAAAACTTTTAACAATTTAGGTATAGAAGGAAAATCCTTCAACATAATAAAGGCCATATATGAAAAACCTACTATAATCAATGGGAAACAACTGGAAAGTTTTTCACTAGGATATAATACAAGGCAAAAATGCCCACTCTCACTACTTCTATTTATCATAGTATTAGTAAGAGCAATCAGACAAGAAAATGCAAAAAGGCATTCAAATTAGAAAGAAATGAAAGTATATCTGTTTGCAGATTACATGACTTTAAATTTAGAAAATCATAAAGATAAAAAAGCCTGTTAGAATTAATAAATAAATTCGGTAACATTGCAGATACAAAATCAACATAGAAAAATCAATATTATCTCAGCCAGGCACAGTGGCTCATGCCTGTAATCCCAGCACTTTGGGAGGCTGAGGTGGGTGGATCACAAGGTCAAGAGATCAAGACTATCCTGGCCAACATGGTGAAACCCCATCTCTACTAAAAATACAAAAATTAGCTGCACGTGGTGGTAAACGCCTGTAGTCCCAGTGACTCAAGAGGCTGAGGCAGGAAAATCTCTTGAAACCGGGAGGTGGAGGTTGCAGTGAACGAAGATTGCACCACTGCACTCCAGCCTGGCGACAGAGCAAGACTCTGTCTCAAAAACAAAAACAAAACAAAACAAAAAAAAAAAGGAAAGAAAGAAAAATCACTATTATCTCTATACACAAATAATGGCCTAGCAGAAAAATAAATCAAGAGTGCAATCCTATTTACAATAGCATCAAAAAATTAAAATACTGAGGAATAAATTTTATTTTTATTATTATTTTTTTTGACAGGGTTTTACTCTGTCACTCAGGCTGGAGTGCAGTGATGTGATTATGACTTACTGTAACCTCAACTTTCTGGCCACAAGCAAGCCTCCTGCCTCAGCCTCCTGAGTAGGTGGGACTACAGGAATGCACCATCACACCTGGCTTTTTTTTTCTTCTTTTGTAGAGACAAGGTTTTGCTATGTTGCCCAGGCTGGTCTTGAACTCCTGGCCTCAAGCAGTTCTCCTGTCTCAGCCTCCCAAAGGGCTGGGCTTAAAGGAATAAGCCACCATACCCACCATAGGAATAATTTTTTTAAAAAAAAGGAAGTGAAAGATTTATACACCTAAAACTATAAAACTAATATTGTTGAAATAAAATAAAGAAGGCATGAATAAATGGAAAGATATCTCATGTTCATGGATAGTAAGAATGAATATTATTAAAATGTTCATATTACCCAAATCAATATGTAGATTTAAGGTAGTTTCTATCAAATCTCCATGTTGTTTTTCATAGAAATAGAACAAAATTCTAAAATTTGCATGGTACCATAAAAATCCCTGAATAACCAAGAGAATTCTGAGAAAGAAAATCTAAGTAGGAGGCATCATAATTTCTGATTTAAAATTATATTGCAAAACTATAGTAACTAAAATAGTATGGTACTGGCATAAAAACAGAAATATAGACCAAGTGAATCAGAATAGAGAGCCCAGAAATAAATCCAAACACATATGATCAACTAATTTTTGATAAGAGCACCAAGAGGACACAATGAGGAAAGGAGAGTGTTTTCAATAAATGGTGTTGGGAAAACTAAATTTCAACATGCAAAAGCAAGAAATTGGGCCCTTAACTTACAACATACACAAAAACGATTCAAAATGGATAAAAGACCTAAATGTAAGACCTGAAATTATAAAATTTCTAGAAGAGAACATAAGGAGAATAGTCCTTGACACTGGCATTGGCAATCATATTTTGGATATCATACCAAAAGCTCAGACTTCTGGTGCAAAAATAAATAAATGGGACTACCTCAAACTAAAAAGCTTCTGTGTAGTAAAGAGAATAATCAACACAATAAAAAGCTAACCTACAGCCTGGGAAAATATTATTTGCAAACCACATAACTGATAGAGGGTTAAAACTGTACAACTCAATAGAAAAAAAAAATGCATGAACAAAGTGAGAATTTTAACAAAGAGATAGAAAATATTAAAAAATACAAAACATTCTCCTCTTGGCATTGGCACTGACTTCTGGAAGAGTCATGAAGGCAATAGAATTATACCACTATTTTATGGCTGGCTGGAATCCATGTCCATCTATCCTTTCCAAGCCCATGAAGACCCAGCCAAGTTTGTCAGGCCTCAGACCATGGCATCCTGGAGCGCCATCCCCACCAGGACTGCTGGAGGCTACAGGAAATGTTCCTATAAAGACTGAAAAGTCATTTCAGATCAATTTGGGAAACATCTACATGGCAAAAGAGGTTGCTAATGCTCTTAGAACAAGCTTGCAACCAAAAGGAAAGGATAAAAAAGTAAAAATAGAAAAGGTGATATGACCATTACATATGATGCTGTTACCATTGTGAAACAAATGTAAGGGTTACATCCAGCAGCCAGAATCCTAGCGGTGCTGTCTAAGGCTCCAAGATATAGAAGCCGGAGATGACCACATCAGTGGTCATTATTGCTGGATCTCTCTTATATTCTTATAATAAGCTTCTTCAGAAAAGAATTCATCTAGCCATCATCTCTGAGTCATTCTAGAAGGCTTTGGGAAATGGTATTAAAATTATAACTGACATGTCTTAACATATGGAAGTAAATGACAAAGAAACATTTTAAAATAGTACAACCAATTTATTGAACTCAATGCTTATTATTCAGCATTCCAGTTTAATTTCTCCAATGAGTGTAAATACAGTGATTAAAAAGGGTGGCATTCTTCACATTTTAGAAGAAATTATTGCCCAACCTCTGTTGGTTTCAATTGTTGATCTGACTTTGGCAGCTGAAAGTCTCTCAGGCATTCTGAAACTGGATGATATGGTAAACATTTAACATTCTGGATAACACTGGCTGACTGTTCTGTTGTGGCCACTAACAGTGTGACTTCAGTGGAAGAAGAGTATCTTGGTTATCCTTGATTTTGACTTTACAGATGATATGGATCTAGCCACAGCTACCACTGTGGATCTTAGGGATATTAAAATAGTTAAGTAACTTGGCAGGACAATTGATTGCAGTGAGTTAGTGAAAGGGATTATCACCCAAAAGGTGGAAAATTCTGGGATAGCCAGAGTTGAAAAGGCTAAAATTGGGCTTATTCAGTTTTGCTTCTCTGCTCCCAGAAGAGATGGATAATCAAATAGTTTCAGACTTACCCACGTGGAACAAGTGCTGTGAAAAGAAAGAGCCTAGGCCGGGTGCGGTGGCTCCTGCCTGTAATCCCAGCATTTTGGGAGGCCAAGGCGGGCAGATCACAAGGTCAGGAGATCGAGACCATCCTGGCTAACACGGTGAAATCCCGTCTCTACTAAAAATACAAAAAACTAGCCGGGCATGGTGGCGGGTGCCTGTAGTCCCAGCTACTCAGGAGGCTGAGGCAGGAGAATGGTGCGAACATGGGAGGTGGAGCTTGCCATGAGCCGAGATCCCGCCACTGCACTCCAGCCTGGGCAACAGAGTGAGACTGTCTCAAAAACAAAATAAAAATTAAAAATTAAAAAAAAAGAAAGAGCCTAATACTAAATTTAGTAAAAAAAAAAAAAAACTGGAGATAACATCCTGCTCACACAGAAGTCTCTTCTAATTGGTGCTCTTAGTGATCTTGAATTACACTTTCTAAACAAAATGAAGATTATGGTGATTAAGGATATTGAAAAAGAAGGCATTGAATTTATTTGTAAAACAATTGGAAACAAGCCAGTTGCTTATATTGACTAATTCACTACTAACATGCTGGGAGCTGCTCCTTTAGCCAAAGGGGTCAATTTAAATAGTTCTGGCAAATTGCTTAAGACTGCAGGCTGTGCAGGCCCTGGAAAAGCAGTTATAGTTGTTGTTCATGATTCTAATAAACTGATGATTGGAAAGCTAAATGCTCCATTTATGATGCCCTCTGTTTTATTTCCTATTTAGTGAAGAATAGAGCTCTTATTATAAGATATGGTGCTCCAGAAATCAGAGTAGCTCTAAAATTACCTGAATATTCCTGAATATTGAGAGGTATAGAATCCTACTGCATTTATGACTTTACAGATGATATGGAGGTAACTTCATTTACACTAGCTAAAAACACTGGCCTGAATCACATTTCTTCATTAGCAGAAATAGGAAATCAATATCTACAAGAAGTAAATACTGTAGGCATTACTGTCCAAAAGGGTGACATTCTTAACATTTTAGAAGAAATTATTGCCCAACCTCTGTTGGTTTCAATTGGTGTTCTGACTTTAGCAACTGAAAGTCTCTGAGGCATTCTAAAACTGGATGATATGGCAAACACTTAACATTCTGGATAACACTGGCTGACTGTTCTGTTATGGCCACTAACAGTGTGACTTCAGTGGAAGAAGAGTATCTTGGTTATCCTTGATTTTTGGAATGATATTTTCTCTATGAATTTCCAGGATTGGTCTTCCAGTTAGCACTTACTTGAAATTATATTGACACAATCTAAAGAAAAGATTAAGTGTTTAGTTCCAAAATTTTAAAAGAAATGTAGCAAACAGTTCCAAAGTTTTAAAAAGAAATGTATCAGATAGACATCTGGGAGCTGAAGCATACAATAACTGAACTGAAAAATTCACTAGAGAGTTTCAACAGTGGACTAGATCAAACAGAAGAAATGCCAGTGTAGTAGAAGACAGATCATTGGAAATTATCCTGTCTGAATAGAAAAAAAAAGGAAAAGAGTAAAGAAGCTTAAGGGACTTGTGGCACATGATCAAACAAGCAAATATATGCATAATGGAGTCCCAGAAAGAGAAGAGAAAGAGAAAGGAGTAAAATTTTTATTTAAAGGCATAATGGATAAAAACTTCCCAAGTCTGGAGAAACAAATGGCCAGTCAAGTCCAGGAAACTCACTGTGTCCGATATGAGATGAACCCAAAGACATCCACAGTAAGACACATTATAATCAAATTGTCAAGTTAGAAACAAAGAATTTTGAAAGCAGCAAGACAAAAATGACTTGTGACAAAAAAGAAAACCCATAAGATAATCAGGGAATTTCTAAGCAGAAACATTGCAAAACATAAGGGAGTGGAATGATAGATTCAAAATACTGAAAGGAAAAAAAACTTGCCAAATATGGATACAATGCCTGCCAAAACTAAACTTCAGAAATTAAAAACAGGAGTAACATCTTCAAGATGGCTGACTAGAGATGCCTTGTATTCATCTTCCTTACCCAAGAAGGGAACACAGCAATTAATAAACAGCTAAGATTTTACTGCAGTGTCAAAGGAGATTGTTGGAGTGTAGCAGGAGAGTGGAGATGCAGCTGTGGTTATTGGAAGTATAGGAGGGCAGAATGGCATCACCCAGTCTCTGCAGCTTTGTCTCCCCCACTCAGACTGGATCTTCCTGGAGTCAGGAGGGACTCCCCATTGTGGGGAAAAAGTAAGCAGAAGATCCTCATTACTCCCCATTTCTACTGCAAACACCTACAGTCCTTACAATAGGGGAATTCCACAGTCCTTGCATGTCCTGGGCCAAGTTTGCAGAGTTGCTGAGAATTCATGCAGCTGCATTGCCCCAGATTAGGAGCCCAGGATGTGCACTTCCCATGCTCTGTGAGCTAAGCTGCAGCAGCTCAGCACCATTTTGAGACCAGAGCCTAAGTGTAGCCTGCTCTAGGGGCCAGTAGCTACTGCATATCTCCAGCACTGAGGCTCCATCTTTATTACTCCAAGCCCACATGGGTAACTGAATGTCACAACCCCAGCTGTGTGGAGCCTGAGTCCAAAATAGGCTTTGACTCTGGTTCTACACAGCAAGAAAACCAACCCCCATTGCCACACTTCTATCAAGAGCTGCAGTCCCACACATAATGAACCCACTCTTGAGCCAGACACACAGCTGCCTACCTAACCCCAAGCAGAAGAGACTTCTGAACCTCCAAGAAGCTGATATGCCCGTGGACCAGTGAAGTGGCTATGTGCTCCCACTCAGAACCTGATAAACAGCCCCACAGCCCCACAGCACCCTCCCCACTCAGACACACTCCTATCCTGTCCAATGGCCATGTGCCCCCAATAAGGGCCTGAAAAACAGTCCTACAGGTTACCTCTTGCAGGAAGTCCCCCAGTCTGGCCAAACATCCAATAACCTATGTCCTGGACCTAAGAAACAGCCCCGAGGGACTGTTGGCAGACAAGCTCCAGGCCAATCAAGCAGCCTACCACCTACATCCAAGACCTGAGAAATAGATCCTTGGGCCATCCCTGGTAGACACACCCACAGGCTGGCCAGCAGCAGTGTATCCATATTCCATGACTGAGAAACAATCCTAGAGGCTGCCTGTGGTGGACACATCCTCAGATTACTCAGGCAGCTCTGTGTCCACATCCAAGGACTATAAGATGGCCCTGTGGACTACCTTCTATAGAAATGCCCCACTGGCCAGCTAAGCAGCTGTGCAACTGTGTCATGGGTCTGAGAAAAACAACCCTCTGTTCACTTCAGGCAGACATGCCTTCAGGCTGGCTATGTAGTCTTGAACCCATGTTCCAAGCCAGAGAAACAGCACGATAAGCCACCACTGGCCTATAAGCCCCCAGGCCAGCCAAACAGCCTTCAGTCCAAGTGCCAGAACTGAGAAACAGCCCTGCAGGCTGCTCCTGGCAGTCATGTCTCTAGGTAGGTCAAGCAACTGTGTGCCTATGCACCCAATCAGAGTAATAGCACCATGTCCCAAGTGCAGTGAAACAGGCTAAAGTTGACTGACCCACTATCTTCATGCATGTATTCCTTACCTGAGAAATAGTTTAGCAAGCTTATGCCTAGCAAGCTGCCCAACTTCCACCACAAACTCAGCCTAAGCAACTGAGAAACTCACAGATGCTAGTAGTTTGAATTACAGCTGAAGAAATTACAGAGGCCACACTACTGTGTCCACCTGGAAGAAAGGTGAGTGCACTTCGCAAAACCAACACCTCAAGACCCATTTATACAAATCTCTTTTCCTACAAAATGTACTCCATAAAATTGGAAGAGACAACTTTTACACCAGATGCGTGAAAATCAACATAGGGATACATCAAACATGAAGAAGCCAAATAATATGAAACGTCCAAAGGAAAAGAATAATTCTACAGACTCCAATCATTGGAAAATATACACGATTTCAGAAAAAGTATTCAAAATAATAATCTCAAGGAAACTCAATGAAATACAATAGAATGCAGTGAGACAATTCAATAAAATCAGGAAAACAATCCATGATTTTAATGAAAAATTCAACCAAGAGATAGATGTAGAGAAAACCCAAATAGCAATTCCTCAGTGATTAATTCAATGAATTAAGTAACAAATACAGTTAAGAGCTTCAACAACAGACTAGACCAAGCAGAATAAAGGTTTTCTGAACTTGTAGATAGGTCTTTTGAAATAACACAGGCAGACAAAAAAGCAAGAAAAATGAATAAAAAAGAATTAAGAAAGCCTACAGGATTTATAAATTACCATTAAGTGAACAAATATTTGTATTATGGGTGTTTCAGAAAGAGAAGGGAAAAGCTGAGGAAAACATATTGAATGAAATAATAGGAGAAAACTTTCCAAATCTTAGGACAGATATGAACATCTATGTCCAGGAAGCTCAAACAACCCCAAATAGATTGAACCCAGACAGGTCCTCTGCAAGACACATTAGAGTCAAATTGTCAAACATTAAAGAAAAAGAAAGAATTATAAAACCAGCAAGAGAAAAGCATCAAGTCACATATAAGGGAATCTCCATTAGACTAACAGTGGATTTCTCATCAGAAACTTTACAGGCCAGGATAAAGTGAGATGATATATTTAAAGTGTCTGGCAGAAAAAAAAACTATAAGCCAAGGATTTTATTTCCAGAAAAGCTATCCTTTGGAAATGAAGGAGAAATAAAATATTCCATAGACAAGCAAAAACTAAGGAAAGTCATCACTACTAGACTAGTTTTAAAAGAAATGCTCAAGTGAGTCTTACATCTGGAAACTATAAAACTCACTGGTAGAGCTGAACACAAAGGATAAAGGAAAAGGAATCAAACCTTATCACTACAGAAAGAAACCCAACTTCAAAAATAAATAATAGGAGAGTGAGTAAAGAGCAAAAGGTGAGACCACAATCAATAAAATGACAAGCACAAGTCCTCATCTATCAATAATAACCTTGAATGTACATTTCTCATTGAAAAGATATACATTGGCTGAATGGATGAAAAAACAAGACCCAACTATATTCTGACAAGAAACTCACCTCATCTGTAAAGACACACGTAGACTGAAAGGGAAGAAATGGAAAAAGGTACTACATGCAAACAGAAACAAAAAGCGAGCAGAGTAGCTATAATTATATCAGACAAAATTTATGTCAAGAAGATTTAAAAAGAGACAAAAAATGAGTTATATAATAATAAAGAGATCGATTAAGAAAGAGAAAATAACAGTTGTAAATATATGTGTATCAACACTGGAGCCCTTAAGTATATAAAGCTAATATTACTAAATCTAAAGAGAGAGATAGACTGTAATACGGTAATAGTTGGGGAGTTCAACACCCTAATGTCAGCATTGGACAGACCATTTAGACAGCAAATCAACTAAGATACATCAGATTTAAACTGTAACATACACCAAATGGACCTAAGAGACATTTACAAAATATTTCACCCAATAGCTGTAGAATACACATTATTTTAATCAGCAAATGGAACAATCTACAGGATTGGCCATATGTTAGGACAGAGACAAGTTTCAAAAAAAATTTAAAAAATCAAAATCATGTCAAATATATAATCTAATAACAATAAAATAAAACTAGTTATCAATAACAAGAGGAACATGTGAAATGATACAAGTGAATGGCAGTTAAACAACATGCTTTTCAATAAGCAATGAGTGAAGGAAGACATTAACAAATATAAAAATTTTTTGAAACAAATGAAAATAGAAACACAAGATACTAAAACCTATGAAAAATAGTAAAAGCAATATTAAGAGGCAAGTTTATGGCAATAAATTCTCACATCAAAAAACTGGAAAGATTACAAATGAACCATTTAATAATACACTTCCAGTAAATAGAAAAACAAAAGTAAACAAAATCCAAAATTAGTAGAAGGAAGGAGCTAATACAGATTACAGCAGAAATAAATGAAATTGACAATAAAGAATATAAGAGATCAATGAAAGGAAAGTTGTTATTTGGAAAAGGTAAACAAAATTGACAAACGTTATTTATAGAATAAATAAGAAAAAAAATGAAAGAAGACCTAAATAAAATCACAAGCTAAAAGAAGGCAACCCAACTTCAAAAATAAATAATATCCATCACAATAGATAACATTGTGTTATCAACATTGTGTGTGATCCATCACAATGGATAACATGAAAATACAAAAGAGTATTGAAGACTAATATAAACAAATACATGCCAATAAATTTGAAAAACTAGAGGAAATGGATAAACTCCTGGACACGTACAACACATTCAGTGACCTCTGGTTGTCCTCGTGGCTCATTATATGCTAATTATAATGCATTAGCATGCTAAAAGACACTTCCACCTGTGCCACGACAGTTTACAACTGCCATGGCAACATCAAGAAGTTACCCTATATGGTCTAAAAAGGGGAGTAACCCACAGTTCCGGGAATTGCACACCCCTTTCCCAGAAAACTTATGAATAATCTCCCTGTTTAGCATAGAATCAAGAAATAATAATAAGTATCCTTAGTTGAGCAGCTCAAGCCATTGCTCTGCCTATGGAATAGCCATTTTTTATTCCTTTACTTTTTTGATAATCTTGCTTTCACTTAAAAAATAATTGAACTAAGATGAAATAGAAAACCTAAACAGACAATAAAAATAAAACTGAATCAGTAATACAGTCTTTCAACAAGTAAAGTCCAGGATCATGTGGCTTTTATTTTAATGTTTATTTTAGCTTCAGGGATTCATGTGAAAGTTTGTTACATAGGTACACAGGTGTCACTGGGGTTTGTTCAGATTATTTTATCATCCAGGTATTAAGCCCAGTACTCAATAGTTATCTTTTCTGCTCCTCTCCCTCCCCCTACCCTCCCCCCTCAAGTAGACCCCAGTGTCTATTGTTTCCTTCTTTGTGTTCATAAGCGCTTATTTAGCTCCCACTTATAAGTGAAAACATGCAGTATTTGGTTTTCTATTTCTGCATTAGTTTGCTAAGGATAATAGCCTCCAGCTCCATCCATGTTCCCGCAAAAGACATGATCTTCTTCTTTTTTATGGCTGCATAGTATTCTATGGTGTGTATTACATTTTTTTAATTTAATCTATCATTGATGGGCATTTAGATTGATTCCATTCCTTTGGTATTGTGATTAATGAACATTTGTGTGTGTGAGTCTTTATGGTAGAATGTTTTCTATTCATCTGCATATATACTCAGTAATGGGATTGCTGGGTCGAATGGTACTTCTGCTTTTAGCTCTTGAAGAAAACTTGCCAAACTGCTTTCCAAAGTGGTTGAAAAGTAATTTCCACTCTCACCAATGGTGTGTAAGTGTTCCCTTCTCTCCGCAACCTTACCAGCATTTTTTTTTTTTTTTTTGCTTTTTAACAATAGCCATTCTGAGTGTTGTGAGATGGTATTAATTTTGGTTTGATTTGCATTTCTCTCATAATTGGTGATATTGAGCTTTTTTCATATGATTGTTGGCCACATGTATGTCTTTGACAAAGCTGACAAAAACAAGCAATTGGGAAAAGACTCTCTATTCCATAAATGTTGTTGGGATAACTGGCTAGCCATATGCAGAAGATTTAAGCTGGACCCCATCCTTAACACCATATACAAAGGTCAACTCAAGATGGATTAAAGACTTAAACGTAAAACCCAAAACTATAAAAACTCTGGAAGACAACCTAACCAATACCATCCTGGACATAGGAACAAGCAAAGATTTCATGGCAAAGACACTGAAAGCAATTGCAACAAAAGCAAAAATAGACATGTGGAATCTAATTGAACTTAAGACCTTCTGCACAGCAAAACAAACTATCAACAGACTGAACAGACAACCTACAGAATGGGAGAAAATATTTGCAAACTATGCATCTTACAAAGGTCTACTATCCAGCATCTATAAGGAACTTATACAAATTTACAAGAGAAAAACAAACAACCCCAATAAAAAGTGGGCCAAGGACATGAAAAGACACTTCTAAAAAGAAATCGTATGGCTTAACTGCTGAATTCTACCAAACACTTAACAAAAAATTAATGCCAGTTGTTCTGAAAATATTCCAAAAAACTGAAGCAGAGAGAAATCTTTTTAACTCATTTTATGAAGCCAGCATAACTCTGAAACCAAAAGCAAGCAAGGACACAACAAAAAAGGAAAACCACATGTCAATACCCCTGACAAATATACACACAAAAATCCTCAAAATATTACTATGAAACTGAATTCAACCACACATTGGAGATTACACCATGACCAAATGGGATTTATCCCAGGACTTCAAATATGGTTTAAAACATGCAAATCAATAAACATCATGCATCACAGCAATAGAATTATGAACAAAAATCATATGATCATCTCAATAGATGCATAAAAAGCTTTTGGTAAAATTCATTATCACTTTATGATAAAAACTCTTAATAAATTAGGTACAGAAGGCAAATAACATGATGAAGATTATAAACGACAAACCCACAGCTGACATCTTACTGAATGGGGAAAACCTGAAAGCTTTTTCTCTAAGAACTAGAACAAGACAAAGATACCCACTCTCACCATTTTTATTCAACATAGTACTGAAAGCCCATTAGGCAACAAAAAGAATTAAAGGGTATCCAAATTGTAAAGAAGGTAGTAAAATTGTCCCTGTTTGCAGACAACATGGTCACATATACAGAAAAACCTAAAGACTGACTACCAGAAAATTGTTAGAATTGATAAACAAATTCAGGAGATTTGCAGGTTACAAAGTTAATAGACAAAAATCAGTGGCATTGCTGTACACGAACAACAAACTAGGTGAAAAAGAAATCAAGAAGGCAATCTCATTTACAATAGCTACCAAAAAAATAAAATACCTAGGAATAAATTTAACCAAGGAGGTGAAAGACTACATGGACAACTATAAAACTTGGAAAAAAGAAATCAAAGATTATACAAACAAATGGAAAGACATTTTATGCTCATGGATCTGGAAGAATATTGTTAAAATGGCAATACAACCCAAAGCAATCTACAGATTCAATGCAATTTCCATCAAAATACAATGACATTTCTTACAAAATATAAAAAAGTAATTGCAAAATTTGTATGGAACCACAAATAGCCAAAGTAATTCTGATTAAAAAGAATAAAGCTAAGGTATCACACTACCAGACCTCAAAATATACTAAACAGCTGTAATAACCAAAACAACATGGTACTGGCATTAAAAAAGACATATAAACCAATGAAATAGTATGAAGAACCTAGAAATTAATCCACATACCTATAGCCAAACTTTTTTTTTTTTTTTTTTTGAGTCAGAGTCTTGCTCTTTCACCCCCAGGGTAGAGTGCAGAGGAGCGATTTCGGCTCACTGCAACCTCCGCCTCCCAGGTTCAAGCGATTCTCATGCCTCAGTCTCCTGAGCAGCTGGGATTACAGGTGTGATCTGGCTGATTTTTGTATTTTTAGACAGGGTTACGTCATGTAAGCCAGGCTGGATTGGTTTTGAACTCCTGGCCTCAAGCATTCCACCTGCCTCGGCTTCCCAAAGTGCTAGGACTACAGGCATGAGCCACTGCACCTGGCTGTATAGGCAATTGGTCTTTGACAAATGTTTCACAAACACTCCTTAGGGAAAGGACAGTGTCTTTGGTAAAAGATGCTGGAAAAACTGCATTCATATGCAGCAGAACGAAACTAGACTCCCACCTCTTACGTTATACAAAAATCAACTCAAAATTGACCAAACACCTAAATGTCATAGCTGAAATGTAAAACTGCTAGAAAGAAACACAGGGTAAACACTTCAGGATATTGGTCTGCGAAAATATTTGACAGATAAGACCTTAAAAACACAGGCAACAAAATCAAAGATGAACAAGTAGGATTAATATAAATGGAAAAGTTTCTGCACAGCAAAGGAGACAATCAGCAGAGTGGAAAGACAACCTACAGAATGTTAAGAAAGTTCAACAATCAAATGATATTTATCCCTAGGACGCAAGGACGGTTAAACATAGGGAAACCAATAAATGTGATGCACCACATTAAAGAATGATTTAAAAATATATTGTCTCAAAAGATTCCAAAAAAGCTGTTGAGAAAATTCATCACTCTTTTATGATAAAAAAAGAAAAACTGTTAATGCAGAAGGAAATTAACATAATAAAGGCTATATATGAAAAGCCCACAATTAATATTATACTCAGTACTTAGAAAGCAAAATCTTAGCCAGGCACAGTGGTTCACACTTGTAATCTCAATGCTTTTAGAAGGTGAGGTGGGATGATTGCTTCAGGCCAGTAGTTCAAAGACAGCCTGGGCAACACAGCAAGATCTCATCTCTCAAAAAAAAGAAACCAACAAAAAAAAGAAAACCAAAAACAACAACAACAACAAAAAATTAAGTGAAATCTCTAAAATCATAAAGATGGAAAGGATTTTCCGTTATGTCACTTGAATTTAACGGTACTGGAAGTCCTAGCCAGAGCAATAAGGCAACGTAGAAAAATAAAAGGCATCTAAGTCAAAAAGGAAGAAGTAAAATTATTACTTTTTGAGACTCAAAAAAATCCTTCAAAAAAGCAATGAATCAAGGAGCTGGTTTTTTGAAAACATCAACAGAATTCGTAGACAGCAAGACTAATAAAGAAAAAAAGAGAGAAGAATCAAATAGAGGCAATAAACAATGATAAAGGGGATATCACCACCGATCCCAGAGAAATACAAACTACCATCAGAGAATGCTATAAACACCTCTACAAAAATAAACTAGAAAATGTATAAGAAATGGATAAATTCTGGGACACCTACACCCTCCCAAGACTAAACCAGGAAGAAGTTGATTTGCAGAATAGACCAATATCAGGCTCTGAAATTGAGGCAATAACTAATAGCCTGCCAACAAAAACAAGTCCAGGACCTGACGGATTCACAGCCGAATTCTACCAGAGGTACAAAGAGGAGCTGATACTATTCCTTCTGAAACTATTCCAATCAATAGAAAAAGAGGGAATCCTCCCTAACTCATTTTATGAGGCCAGCATCATCCTGATACCAAAGCCTGACAGAGACACAACAAAAAAAGAGAATTTTAGACCAATATCACTGATGAACATCGATGCAAAAATCCTCAATAAAATTCTCGCAAACCGAATCCAGCATCACATCGAAAAGCTTATCCACCAAGATCAAGCTGGCTTCATCCCTGGGATGCGAGGCTGGTTCAACATATGAAAATCAATAAACGTAATCCATCACATAAACAGAACCAAAGACAAAAACCACGGGATTATCTCAATAGATGCAGAAAAGGCCTTCGACAAAATTCAACAGCCCTTCATGCTGAAAACTCTCAGTAAACTAGGTATTGATGGAACATATCTCAAAATAATAAGAGCTATTTATGACAAACCCACAGCCATTATCATACTGAATGGGCAAAAACTGGAAGCATTCTCTTTGAAAACTGGCACAAGACAGGGATGCCCTCTCTCACCACTCCTATTCAACATAGTGTTGGAAGTTCTGGCCAGGGCAATCAGGCAAGAGAAAGAAATAAAGGGTAATAAATTAGGAAAAGAGGAAGTCAAATTGTTCCTCTTTGCAGATGACATGATTATATATTTAGAAAACCCCATCATCTCAGTCCAAAATCTCCTTAAGCTGATAAGCGACTTCAGCAAAGTCTCAGGAGGCTGCCGGGAAGCCTTGGGACAGAACTGCTCCAGGAAGGGAGCTAGCACTAGATTCCACACCCTTTCTGACACAGAAGCCGCTAAAGAAAGGTGTCATTTTCAAAAGTAGCCAGTGGCAACTGTACACTGTCATGCTACCCAGTGACACTGGGACTGGAGCATTATGGAAATTTGGGCTGTTGCTACTAGGATGGGGAGCAAACTGGGAGCAATTCTACAGCCAGGGTCAGGAAGTGGGTGAAGCCTGGGTGGCAGTTCCCAGTGTCAATAATTGAACACTGTGCTGCTGATATTTGATACAAGGATGTGAGTGGTGTTCGAGTTACTACTTGGACTTGGTTCTCAACTGAGTGTGGGCTCTTTCAGCCAGGATGGGGGATCGATCCCCAGCAGGACTGAGGAGTGAGGGGGATGTGCACTTTTCATCTTATAGCCAAATAAATTATACAGAGAGTATGCTATTATTTGCACCTAGAATCAAAGACAAAGTACCTAACCCAGCCATTACCATAGATTCATTTTCATGATAGTCCTCCTCTATGAAAGTAAATTCAAAAATAGGAAGTAATTATTATACCAGATGTACAGATATCAATGTAAGGACACACACACACACAAAAAAAAAAAAAAACACGAAAAAGCAAGGAAATATGAAACCTTTCCAAGAAATGTAACAATTCTCCAGTAATAGATCTTAATCAGAAGAAATTTTTGGAATCCCAGATAAGGAATTTAAAAGACTGGTTTTAAACAATCTCAGTGAGATAGAGGGAATTTTGAAAAACAATATAAAGAAATCAGAAAAACAATTCAGGATATGAATAAGAAATTTAACCAGAGACAAGGCCGGGCACGGTGGCTCATGCCTGTAATCTCAGCACTTTGGGAGGCTGAGGCAGGCAGATCACCTGAGGTCAGGTGTTCCAGAACAGCCTGGCCAACATGGTGAAACCCTGTCTCTACTAAAAATACAAAATTATCTGGGCGTGGTTGTATGTGCCTGTAATCCCATCTACTTGGGAGGCTGAGGCAGGAGAATCACTTGAACGTGGGAGGAAGAGGTTGCAGTGAGCTGAGATTGTGCCATTGCACTCCAGCCTAAACAAAAAGAGTGAAACTCCATCTCAAAAAAAAAAAGAAATTTACTAGAGACAGATATTTTTAAAAGAACCAAATAGAAATTATGAAACTGCAGAATTCATTGAAAGAAATAAAAACTATATTTGAAAGCTGCAATAATGGATGAAACCATGTAGAAGAAAGAATCTTAGAACTTGAAGGTCTTTTGAAATACTCCAATTAAATAAAAATAAATGAAAATGAATGAGCAAATCTTTCATGACTTTTGGGAAAACATACAGTGACCAAATTTACAAATTATTGCTATCACCTAGGTCAAAGAAACAAAGAAACGATTAGAAAACCTATTTAATAAAATAATAGAAGAAAACTTTCCAAGTCTAGCAAGAGAATAATTATTATTATTATTATTATTATTTCAATAGTTTTTGGGAGACAGGTGGTGTTTGGTTACATGGATAAGTTCTTTAGCAGTGATTTCTGAGATTTTGGTACACCCTTCACTTGAGTAATGTACACAGTACCTAATGTATAGTATTTTATCCCTTACCCTTCTCCCACCCTTTCCCTTGAGTGCCCAAAGTCCATGGTATCATTCTCATGCCTTCTAGCAAGAGATTTAGACATTCAGATACGGGAGCCTCAGGGAACCCCAGGCATAGAACTTCAAGTGCACAAAAGTCTTCCCCACACCATATGATAATCAAGCTGTCTAAAGTAAAAGTTTAAAAAGAAAATTCTAAAAACAGCAAGATAAAAGTATCTAGTCACCAAAAAAGTAAACCCCATCAGACTAACAGTGGATTTCTCAGCAGAGACCTTATAGGCCAGAAGATAATGGGATGATATATTCACAGTGCTGACAAAAAAATACTGCCACCCAACAACAAAATTATTTTTCAGAAACAAAAGAAAAATAAAGCATTTCCAAGTAACAAATGCTGAGCGAATTTGTTACCACTACACTAGTACTACAACAGATGTTCAAGGGAGTCTTAAACCTAGAAGTGATAGGACAGCATTCACCATTATGTAATCACATTAAGTATAAAATTTATTAGGAAAGCAAGCAAGAAAAGGAAGAACAAAAAGGACCCAAATGGCACCGCTATGGAAATTTACCAATCCACAATGGCAATAAGAGAAAAAGAAAGGAACACAGAATATAGAAAACAACCAAAAATATTAAGAATATGACAGAATAAAGCCTCACATATTAATAACAACCTTGAATGTAAATGGGTTCAATTTTCCTTTTAAAAGATAGCCACTATAGAAAGCAGTTTGGAGATTCCTCAAAGAACTTAAAACGGAACTACCATTCAATCCAGAAATCCCATTACTTGATATATACCCAAAGAAAAATACATTATTCTACCAAAAAGACACATGCACTCATATGTTAAACATATGAATATTCACAATAGCAAAGACATGGAATCAACCTAGATGCCCATCAACAATGAACTGGATAAAGCAAGTGTGGTACAAATAAACCATGGAATACTATGTAGCCATAAAAACATAATGAAACTGTGTCCTTTGCAGCAACATGGATGCAGCTGGAAGCCATTCTCCTAAGTAAAGTAACACAGAAACAGAAAACCAAATACCACATGTTCTCACTGATTATTGGGAGCTAAACATTGGGTACACATAAAGATGGGAACAACAGACACTGGAGAATATGAGAGCAGGGAGCTTGGAGGGAAGGAAGGGTTGCAAACTACCTATCAAGTACTATGCCTACTACCTGGGTGATGGGATAATTTACATAGCAAATATCAGTGATGCACAATTTACCCATGTAACAAACCTGCACATGTACCCTTTGAACCTAAAATAAAAGTTGAGAAAAAAATATAGAATATCTGGATGTGTGTGTATATACACACACACACGTATATAATACATACCTATACATATATTCTTCAGAAATGAAGGAAAAATAAAGCATTTCCAAGAATCAAATGCATATACATATATATTTTATACTTATATACATAGGTGTATATATGTATAAAATATATTTATTTTAAGACATGATTCAATAATATGCTGCTCACAAAAAAACTGTCCTTACCAGCACACACACATGTATACACATGTGAAAGTAAAGGGATGGAAAAAGTTATCCCACGCAAATGGAAACCGACAGCAAGTAGTTGTAGCTATATTCATATCAGGAAAAACAAATTTTAAGTCAAAACAGTAAACAAAAAAGACAAAATCATTATATAATGATAAATGAATCAATCAAGCAAGAGGATATAACAATTATAAATATGTAAGTACCCAACACCGGTGCACTCAGATTCATAAAGCAAATGTTACTAGATCTAGAGAGATTAACTGCAATACAGTAACAGTGTGGGACTCCCAACACCCCACTCCCAGAATTAGACAGATTATCTAGACAGAACATCAATAAGAAAAAAATCAGATTTAAACTGCACTTTTGGCCAAGTGAACCTAACAAACATTTACAGATCATTCTATTCAACAACTGCAGAATATACTTTATGTTTATCAGCACATGGAACATTCTTTAGGGTAGATAATATTTGGGGCACAAAACAAGTCTCAACATATTTTAAAAATTTGAAATTACATCAAATATCTTTTCAGACCACAATGGAATAAAACTGGAAATTCATACCAAGAGAAATTGGGAAGCTATACAAGCACAGGGAAATTAAATGTGCTTGAGTATAACTATTGAGAAAGAAATGAAGATAGAAATTAAGAAATTCCTTGAGGCCAGGTGTGGTGGCTCACACCTGTAATCCCAGCACTTTGGGGGGCCGAGGCAGGTCTAGGATGTTGCTTGTGTCTAGGAGTTTGAGATCAGCCTGCTCAACATAGTGAGACCCCATCTTTACAAAAAGAAATTCCTTGAAACAAATGAAAATGGAAATATTTCAAAATCTGTGAGATACATCGAAAGCAGTGGCAAGAGGAAAGTTAATAGAAATAAATGCCTACATTTAAAAACTGCAAAAAAATGCAAATTAACAATGTAACAATGCACCTCAAGGAACTAGACAAAACCTAACCAAGATTAGTAGAAGAAAAGAGATAATAAGTATCAGAGCAGAATTAATGATGGCTAAAAAATACAAAGTAGCAATGAAGCAAAGAGTTGGTTCTTCAAAAAGATAAACAAAATTGACAATCCACTAGCTAGACTAACCAAGATGAGAGAGGACCCTAATAAGCAAAATCAGAAGTGAAAAAGAGACATTACAGCTGATACCACTGAAATTTTATATACATATATATATATATATATATCACCAGAGACTATTATGAACAGCTACATGCTGACAACTTTGCACACCTTGAGGAAATGGATAAATTCCTGGAAACATACAACCTCCCAATATTTAACGAGGAAGATACCGAAAATATGAACAGACCAATAACAAGTAGTGAGATTTACTTAATAATAAAATGTCTTCCAACAAAGAAAAGCCAAGTACCAGGTGGATTCACTTAATTCTACCAAAATGTACAAAGAACTTATACCAATCCTCCTGAAGCTATTTCAAAAAAGTGAAGAGAAGGGAATTCTCCATAACTCATTCAATAAGGCCAGCAATTACCCTGAGGCAAAAACCAGACAAGGACACAAGAAAAAAAGAAAACTGCAGGCCAATATCCCTGATGAATAAAGATGCTAAAATTCTGAGTAAAGTACTAGCAGACCAAATAAAACAGTGCATGAAAAAGTAATACACCAAAATCAGATTGGATTTATGCAAGGGATGCAGTTATGGTTTAACGTGTATAAAAGAATAAATGTGATACGTCACATGACAGAATAAAGGACAAAAACAATATGACTGTCTCAATAGATGCAGAAAAAGCACTTAATAAATTTCAACAAAAAGCCATATATGATAAATCCACAGCTAATGTGATACTGAGTGGGGAAAAGTTGAAAGCCTTTCCTCTTATATCTCGAATAAGACAAGGATGCCCACTTTCACCACTTCTATTCAGCACAGTACTAGAAGTCCTAGCTAGAGCAATCAGGCAAGGGAAAAAAGTAAAAAGTATCCAAATTCGAAAAAAGAAAGTCAAATTGTCTCTCTTGGCTTATGATGTTGTCTTATATTTAGAAAATCTGAAGACTTCACAAAAGAACACTTAGATTTAATAAATAAATTTAGTAATGTTACAAGATACAAAATCAACATACAAATATTAGCATTTTTATACATTAAAAATGTTCTAGCTGAGAAGGAAATGAAGAAGACAATCCCATTTACAATAGCTACAAAAAGAAAAAAATACTTAAGAATAAATTTAATATAGGAGGTAAAATATCTGTGCAAGGAAAACTACAAAATACAGATGAAAGAAACTGAATATGACATAATCAAATGAAAAAATATCCCATGTTTATGGGTCAGAAAAGTTAATGTTATTAAAGTGACCATATTGCCCAAGCTATCTACAAGTTCAATGTAATCCCAATCAAAATAACAGTGGCATTATTCACAACGTTAGAAAAAAGAAAATTTAAAAATTCACATGGAACACAAACAGAGCCTGAATAGCCAAAGCAATCCTGAGAAAAGTGAACAAAAATGCAAACATCATATTATCTAACCTGAAAATATATTACAGGTTGGGAGGAGGGCGAGGGTTGAACAACTACCTATCAGATACTATACCCACTTCCTGGATGATGAGATTATTCATAACCAAGCCTCGGTGACATGCAATTTACCCATGTAACAAACCTGCACATGTTTAAATTATTTCAAATTTCATTTTAGGTTCAGGGAGTACATGTATATATTATTATGTATATATTTTATGTTATATAATTATAAATATTTTATATTCATAATATCTAATTTGATATTATATATAAAAGCTATAGTAACCAAAACAGCATGGTATTGGTAAAAAATAGAGACATTGATCCATGGAACAGAATAGAGAATCAAGAAATAAATTCATACAGCCAACTATTCTTAGACAAAGCTGACAAGAATTTGCATTAGGGAAAAGGACACTCTTCAATAAATGGTGCTGGGAATGTTGGACAGTCATATGCAAAAGAATGAAACTTGACTTCTATCTCACACTATGTGCATAAATCAACCCAAAATGTTTAAGTTTAAACATAACACCCAAAACTATAATACTATTAGAAGAAAACAGATAAAATTGTCCTGGACATTGTCGTAAGCAAGGGATTTATTATCCATCCTCAAGAGTATAGTCAGCAAAAGCAAAAATAGAGAAATGGGGCTTAAACTAAAAAGCTTCTATGTAGTAAAAAATAATAATAATAATAACAGAATGAAGAGATAACCTATTGAATGGCAGAAAATATTTCCAACCTATTTATCTGACAGGGGACCAATATCCAGAATATAAAACAAACTCAAACAAATCAACAGGAAAACACAAATAATTCCATTTAATGTGGGCAAAGAACATGAATAGATATTTCTTAAAAGGTGATATGCAAAATGGTTAACAGATATATGAAAAATGCTGAACATCACTAATCACCAGAAAAATGAATATCAAACCTAATAAGATGTTATCTTATGCCAGGCAGAGTGGCTATTTAAAAAAACACAAAACAAAAACAAAAAACACATTTTGGCAAAGATGTGGGGAAAAAGAATTGCTTATATACTGTTGGAGGGAATGTAAACTGATACAAACACTATGGAAAACAATGTTGAGACTTCCGAAAAAAGTAAATAAATAAAAAAAACCTATATGTAGAATTACCATTCACTTAAGCAATCCTACTACTGGGTATCTACCCAAAGGAAAAGATATCAATATATCAAAGGAATACCTGCACTCATGTTAATTGGAGCATTATTCACAATACCAAAGATATGGATTCAACCCAAGTATTCCTCAATAGATGAATGGGCAAAGAAAATATACATATACACAATGGAATAGTTTTATCCATTAAAAAATAATGAAATCACGTCATTTTCAGCAACATGGATGGAACTAGAGGTCATCATCTTAAGTGAAATAAGCCAGGCACAAAAAGACAAATGCCACATATTCTCACTTACATGTAGGAGTAAAAAAATTTGAACACAAGGAGGTAGAGTGTGGAAAAATATATAATACAGACTGGAAAGGTGAATGGGGGGATATGGAAGGATGAAGAGAAGTGTGTTAAAGGGTACAAACATAAAGTAAGATAAAAGGAATAAATTCAATGTTTGATAGCAGAGTAAGATGACTATAAAAATGTATTTGATTTTGGTGATGGACATGCTAAATACCGTGACTTGATCACTATGCCTTAAATACATGTAAAAAAATTCTTATGTAGTCTCTGAATTTGAACAAATTAAAATATAAATAAGAAAAAACAAAATGAGATATCACTTCACATCTTTTGTGATGGCCATTATAAAGCAAACAAAAATAAGTGTTGGCTAGAATGTGGAGAAATTGAGTCCCTGTACAGTGCTTATTGAACTGTAAAATTGTGCAACCACTATGTAAACAGTATGGAAATTCCCCGACACAGTAAAATAGAAATATTAAGAAATAATATTTAAAAATTTACTTCTTGGTATTTATTCAAAAGAATTAAAATGGTGATTTTAACGAGATATTTTCACTATCATGTGAATTGCAGTACTATTGAAAATACCAAGATGTGGAAACTTTTAAATGTTCATCAGTGGATGTATAGATAAACAAAATGTAGTATGTACACACAATGGAATATTATTCAGTCTTCAAAAAGCAGGAATGCTGCCATATGTGACAACATAAATGAACCTTGAGGAAATTATTCCAAGTGAAATAGTCCAGTCACAGAATGACAATTACTATATGCTTCTACTTATATAAGGCATGTAAAATATTGAGACACATAGAACCAGAGTGTAAAATGGTGGTTGCTAAGGAGTGGGTGCTGGTGAGAATGGGTAGTTGTTATTCTGTGGGTATAATTTTTTAATTAGTGATGATAATTAAATTCTAGATATCTACAATATTATGTCTATAGTTAATACTGTACACTATACTTTAAAATTTGTTAAAGGGTAGATTTCAAGTTAAGTACTTTTACCAAAATAATAGTTTTTAAACAACAGATGGAGAAATATATACAATGCTAACACTAATTAAAAGAACATTACCTGCGTTAATTTCAGACTTAGCAGATTTTACAGTAAGGGAAATTATCAGGGATAAAAGGGAGCATTAAATAATGATGAAGGGATTAATTCTCTAAAGACATAACAATCCTGAATATGTATGAAACTAACAATAAGATGTCAAAATATGTGAGGTGACAACTTATTATGAGAAATACAAGAAGAAACAGATGAATCTGCTATTACATATGAAGACTTTAAAAGTTCTATATTATAAATGGAAAGATGAGGCAGAAATCAGTAAAGACATAATTTAACTGGACTACCAAATCAGTCGGTTTGATGTAATTAACATCTATGGACTACTAGTCACAACAGAACACAATTCTTTATCTCACATGGAAAATTCAAGAAAAATCACATTCTGGGCCATAAAACAAATTAAATAGTTTAAGAGAATAAACAGCATGCAAAAAAGAATGAGATCATGTCCTTTACAGGGACATGGATGGAGCTGGAGGCCATAATCCTTTGCAAACTAACACAGGAAAAGAAAACCAAATACGGCATGTTCTCACTATAAGTGGGAGCCAAATGATGAGAACACATGGATACATAGAGGGAAGCAACATACACTGGGGCTTACTGGAGGGTGGAGGGTTGGAAGAGAGAGAGGATCTAATGGATGCTGGGCTGAATATCTGGGTGATGGGATGATCTGTGCAACAAGCAAACTACTCTGGCACATATTTACCTATGTAACAAACCTGCACATGTACCTCTGAACTTAAAATAGAAGTTTTTTTTTTTTTAAAGCATACAATATATATTCTCAGTTTACTATTGAGAATAACTGGAAATCAGTAATGGAAAGAGGCCAGGCATGGTGGCTTATTCCTGTTATCCCAGAACTTTCAGAGGCCAAGGTAGGAGGATTGCTTGAGCCCAGGAGTTTGAGACCAGCCTGAGCAACATAGCAAGACTTTGTCTCTACAGATAATAAAAAATTAGCTGGGCATAGTGGTACTTGCCTGTGGTCTTAGATACTCAGGAGGCTGAGGTAGGAGGATCACTTAAACCTGAACAGTCAAAACTGTAATGAGCCATGACTGTGCCACTGCACTCAAGCATGGGCAACAGAGCAAGACCCTGTCTCAAAAAATACAATAAAATAACAGAAAGCTGAAACATCATTCAAATACTTTGACATGAAGCAACATTCCTGTAAATAATTCATAGGTCAAAGAAGAATTCTCAAGAGAAATTACATGATCATCTAAATAAACACAGAAAAAGCAGGTGATGGTATCGACAGCTGAGAAACTGGAAGATGGATCACACCACAGGACTCTTTCCAGATATTTCTCAGTACCACCCTGGAGTCTGGTAGCTCTGCTGGGTGCCTAGACCCAAAAGAGAAATAACAATCACTGTGGTTCAGTTCTCAGGAAACTTCAATACTAGGGGAAGGGAAAGAGCACAACATCAAGGGATCACACCTTGGGACAAAAAAAAATCTGAACAACAGCTCTTGAGCCCCAGATCTTCGCTCTGACATAGTGTACCCAAATGAGAAGAAACCAGAGAAGCAATTCTGGCAATGTGACAAAATAAGTGTATTTAACACACCCCGAGAGATCACAGTAGATTACCAGCAATGGATCCAAACCAAGAATAAATTTCTGAATTGCCAGAAAAAGAATTCAGAAGGTCAGTTATTAAGCTACTCATGGAGGGACCAGAGAAAGGTGAATACCAACTTAAAGAAATAAAAAAAAAAGATACAGGGAATGAACAGAAAAATTTCCCGAGAAATACATAGCATAAATAAAAAATCACAAATTCTGGAAATCAAGGATACACTTAGGGAAATGCAAAATCCACTGAAAAGTCTCAGCAATAGAATCAAACAAGTAGAAGAAAGAACATCAGAGTTCGAAGACAAGGCTTTTGAATTAACCCAATCCAAGAAAGACAAAGAACAAAGAATTTAAAAAATGAACAAAGCCTCCAAGAAGTTTGAAATTATGTTGAATGACCAAACCTAAGAATAATTGGTGTTCCCAAGGGAAAAAAGAAAGATAACAGTTTGGAAAACATATTTGAGGGAATAATTGAGGAAAACTTCCCAGGCATAGCTAGAGATCTAGACATCTAAGTACAAGAAGCTCAAAGAACGCCCAGGAAATTTATTGCCAAAAGATCATCAACTAGCCACATAATCATGAGATTCTCTAAAGTCAAGATGAAGGAAAGAATCTTAAGAGCCCTGAGGTGAAAGCATCATGTAACCTATAAAGGAAAACCTATCAGATGAACAGCAGATTTCTCAGCAAAAATTTTGCAAGCTAGAAAACATTGAGGTCCTATCTTTAGCATCTTTAAACAAGAAAATTATCAGCCAAGAATTTTGTATTCGGCAAAACTAAGCTACATAAATAAAGGAAAGATATAGTCCCTTTCAGAAAACAAATGCTGAAAGAATTCACCACTACCAAGCCAGCACTACAAGAAGTGATAAAAGGAGCTCTAAATCTTGAAACAAATCCTTGAAATACATCAAAATAGGACCTCATAAAGGCATAAATCTTACAGGACCTGTAAAACAATAACATAATGACAAAAAAGAACAAGGTATTCAGGCAACAACTAAAACAATGAATAGAATAGTAACTCACTTCTCAATACTAATGTTGAATGCCCTAAATGCTCCACCTAAAGGAAACAGAATGGAGGAATGGAGAAGAATTCACCAACTATCTGCTATCTTCAGAAGACTCACCTAACACATAAGGACTCACATAAAGTTAAGGTAAAGGGGTGGGAAAAGATATTCCATGCAAATGTACACTAAAAGTGAGCAGGAGTAGCTATTTTTATATCAGAGAAAACAGACTGTAAAGCAACAATAGTCAAAAAGAACAAAGAGGGACATTATATGATGATAAAAGGACTTGTCCAACAGGAAAATATCACAATCCTAAATATATATGCAGCTAACACAGGAGCTTTCAAATCTACAAAACTATAAGTACTAGACCTAAGAAATGAGATAGACAGCAACACAGTGATAAAGGGGGACTTCATTACTCAACTGACAGCACTAGACAGGTCATAAAGACAGAAAGTCAACAAAGAAACAATGAACTTAACCTATATCCTAGAAAAAAAAAAGGACTAAACTGATATTTACAGAACATTCTACCCAAAAACTGCAGAATATACATTCTATTCATCAGCACATGAAAATTTATCCAAGATAGATCATAGGTTAGGCCACAAAACAAGTCTCAGTAAATTTAAGAAAATTGAAATGATATTAAGTATTGTCAGACTACAGTGGAATAAAATTTAAGAAAATTGAAATTATATTAAGTATTCTCAGGCTATAGTGGAATAAAATTGGAAATCAACTCCAAAATGAACCTTAAAAACCATGCAAATACATGGAAATTAAATAACCTGCTCCTGAGTGATTATTGGGTCAACAATAAAATCAAGATGGAAATTTAAAAAATTATTTGAACTGAACGCTAATAGTGACACAACTTATCAAAACCTCTGGAATACAGGAAAAGCAGTGCTAAGAGGAACGTTCAGAGCATTGAATGTCCATCTCAAAAAGTCTGAAAGAACACAAATAGACAAAGTAAGGTCACACCTCAAGGGACTAGAGAAATGGGAACAAACCAAATCCAAACCCAACAGAAGAAGAGTCATAACACAGATCAGAGCAGAACTAAATTACGTTGAAACAAACAAAAAAAGGACAAAAGATAAAACAAAAAGCTGGTTCTTTGAAAAGATAAACAAAATTAGGAGAATATTAGTGATATTAACTAAGAAAAGAATAGAGAAGATCCAAATAAGCTAAATTAGAAATGAAATGAGAGAAATTACCACTAAAACCACAGAAATACAAAAGATTATTTAAGGCTACTATGAACACCTTTACACGCACAAACTAGAAACCTTGCAGAGATAGATAAATTCCTGGAAATATACAGCCCTCCTACATTAAACCAGGAAGAAATAGAATCTCTTAACAGACCAATAAGAAGTAGCGGGATTGAAACAGTAATAAAAAAAAATGCCAGCAAAAATATATCCAGAAAGGGTGTGGAGATCCTTTAAAGAACTAAAAGTACATCTATTGTTTAATCCAGCAATCCTACTACTAGGTATCTTCCCAGAGGAAAAAAAGTCATTATACGAAAAAGATACCTGCACATGCATGATTATAGCAGCACAATTTGCAATTACAAAAATAGGGAGCCAACTCTATTGCCCATCAGTCAACGAATGAATAAATAAATGCAGTATATGTATACCATGGAATACTACTCAGGCATAAAAATGAATGAAATAATGGCATTTGCAGCAACCTGTATAGAATTGGAGACTCATTTTAAGTGAAGTAACTCAGGAATGGAAAACCAGATATCTTATGTTCTCACGCAGATGTGGGAACTAAGCTATGAGGAAGCAAAGACATAAGGATACATTGGAATTTGGGGACTCGGGGAAAGGGCAGAGACTGGCGAGGGATAAAAGACTACACATTTGGGTACAGTATACACTGCTCAGGTGATGGGTGCACCAAAATCTCAAAAATTACCACTAAAGAACTATTCGTGTAATGAAACACCATATGTTCCCAAAAAACTTATTGAAATAAATAATAATAATAATCAGACACACACACAGTCCAGGACCAGAGAGATTCACAGCTGAATTCTATCAGACATTCAAATGAAAACTGGTAGCAATTCTATTGACACTATTCCAAAAGATAAAGAAAGAGAGAATCCTCCCTAAATCATTCTATGAAGTCAGTATCACCTTAATACCAAAACCAGGGAAGGACATAACAAAAAAAGGAAAATACAGACCAATATCCCTGATGAAGATAGATGTAGAAAGTCTCAACAAAATACTAGCTAACTGAATCCAACAGCATATCAAAAAGATAATCCACCATGATCAAGTGGGTTTCATACCAGAGATCCAGGAATGATTTAACATATACAGGTCAATAAATGTGATACACTGCATAAACATAATTAAAAAAAATTATGTGATTGTCTCAATAGCTGCAGAAAAAGAAGACAAAATCTAACAACTCTTTATGAGCAAAACCCTCAGCAATGACATCATATAAGGGACATAGTTAAGGTAATAAAAGCCATCTATGACAAACAAAGAGCCAACATTATACAGCATGGGAAAAAGTTGAAAGCATTCCACCTGAGAACTGGAACAAGAGAAGGATGCCCACTTTCACCTCTTTATTCAACATAGTACTGGAAGTCCTAGCCAGAGCAATCAGACAAGAGGTAGAAATCAGGGTAATCTAAATTAGTAAAGAGAAAGTCAAACTGTCACTTTTCGCCAATAATATAATCATATCTTTAGAAGACCCTAAAGACTCATCCAAAAGGCTTGTAGAACTCAAAAATGAATTCAGTAAATTTTCAGGGTACAAAATCAATGTACCTGAATCAGTAGCATTGCTGTACACCAAGAGCGACCAAGAGGAATCAAATCAAGAACTCAACTCCTTTTACAATAGCTGCAAAATAAAATAAAATATTTAGGAATATACCTAACCAAGGAGGTGAAAGACCTCTACAAGGAAAACTACAAAACACTACTGAAAGAAATTATATATGACACAAACAAATAGAAATACATCCCATGCTGATGGATGGCTAGAATCAATATTGTGAAAATGACCATACTGCCAAAAGCAATCTACAAACTTAATGCAATTCTCATCAAAATACCACTATCATTCCTCATAGAACTAGAAAAAAAATCCTAAAATTTACATGGAACCAAAAAAGACCCCACAAATCCAAAGCAAGACTAAACAAAAGGAACAAATCTGGAGGCATCGCATTACCTGACTTCAAACTGTACTATAAGGCTATAGTCACCAAAACAGCATGGTACTGGCATAAAAATAGGCACATAGACCAATGGCACAGAATAGAGAACCTAGAAATAAACCCAAATGCTTGCAGCCAACTGATCTGCAACAAAGCAAACAAAAAGATAAACTGAGGAAAGGACACCCTATTCAGCAAAGGGTGCTGGGATAATTGGCAAGCCACATGTAGAAGAATGAAACTGGATCATCATCTCTCACCTTATATAAAAATCAACCCGAGATGGATCAAAGATTTTAATCTTCTAAGACTGGGAACCATAAAAATTCTAGAAGATAATATGGGAAAATCCCGTCTAGACATTGGCTTAGGCAAAGACTTTATGACCAAAACCCAAAAGCAAATGCAACAAAAACAAAGATAAATAGGTGGGACTTAATTAAACTAAAAAGCTTCTGCACAGCAAAAGAAACAATAAGCGGAGTAAACAGACAACCCACAGAGTGAGAAAATCTTCACAATCTGTGTATCTGACAAAGGACTAATATCCAGAATCTACAAGGAATTCAAACAAATTACCAAGAAAAAAGAATCCCATCAAGAGAATTTAAAAAATAATTTTAACTAGACAAAAATGAAAATACTAATTATTAAAATTTGTGGGATGCAGTAAAAGAAGTGATTAGAGGGAAATTCATAGCATTGAATGCATATGTTATACAACAATAAAGATCTAAAATTGAGGATCTGAGCTTCTTCTACCAGAGGATACTAGGAAAAGACTAGCAAATTAAATTCAAGCCATTATGGAATATCGTATGGAGGTTCCTCAATATGTTAAAAATGGAACTACCATATGACCCAGAAATTCCTCTTCTGGGTATATACCCAAAGGAAATGAAATCAGGACCTCACAGAAAAATCTGCACTCCTATGCTCATTGTTCATTCATAATAGCCAAAATATGGAAACAAACTAAGATTTGTTGACTGGTGTATTAGTCAGTTTTCATACTGCTATAAAGAACTGCCTGAGACTGGGTAATTTATAAAAGAAAGAGGTTTATTTGACTCACAGTTCAACATAGCTGCGGAAACCTCAGAAAAGTTACAATCATGGTGGAAGGCAAAGGGAAAGCAAGGCACCATCTTCACAAGGCAGCAGGAAAGAGATGTGCCAAGCAAAGGGGGAATAGCCCCTTATAAAGCCGTCAGATCTCATGAGAACTCACTCACTGTCACAATAATAGCATGGTGGAAGCTGCACCCATGATTCAATTACCTCTACCTGGTCTCTCCCTTGACACGTGGGGATAATGGGGATTATGGGAATTATAATTCAAGGTGAGATTTGGGTGGGGACACAAAGCCTAACCATATCAACAGGTGACTGTAAATGAATAGTGATATACAGTCGTGAACTACATAATGACATTTCAAAATAGAAAGCATGAAGTTCAGATGGGTTGACTAGTGAATTTTCCCAAATATTTAAGGAAGAAATTGTGTGAATTCTCCACAGTGTTTTTTAGATTTTGCAAGAGAAAGGAATATTTTTTAATTCATTTTGTGAGGCCGTCATTACTATAAGGCCTACACCACAGAAAAACACAATAAAGGAAAACTACTGACCAATGTCTCTCATAAACAGATGTAAAAATTCTCAACAGAATATTAGCAGATGATGTCCAACTATATATAAAAAATAATTATTTAGCACAAGTGGTATTTATTCCAGGCATGCAAGGCTGATTTAACATTCAAAAGTCATTAATGTGAGATTACAAAGGAACTGGAAAGCCTGAATAGACAGAAAGAGGGGAGGTTCCTGAACCGACAAATAATAATATAAGCATCAAAGATGGATTGCCCTAGGTCTAAGAGCTCAAATTCTGCATTTAAATTAAATTAAACATTAGGAGAAAAATGGCAGCTAACAGGCAGGACTAAATTGCAGCTTCCACTCAGACAGACAGAGCAGTGTGTGGAGGCTCCCAGTGTGAAATTTTGCTCCAAGAACTACTTCGGGAAAAGGAAAGCTGAGAGAATCCTCAGACCCTTTGAAGAAAGCAGCTTGCTGCTAGAGGCTCCATGAGATAGCTAAAAAACTGTGAGTGCCCAAAGTGTGAGAGGGGGAACGTCTACTCCCAAACACACATCCTTACTGGGGAACCTGAGGTTCCAGATTATGGGAGAAGGATTTGACCTTACATAGAGCTGGGATGAATTTAGAGAGTCAAGTGAAATATAGGAGTAGAGGGAAGCAGCAGGATGAGCCCTGTGGGCACTCTTGGTCCCCAGAGAAGTCATTCCTGAGTTTGTCTCACAAGGGTGTTTGGGTAGGGCTGCCAATAGAATTGGAGAAAGAGCACAGGGAGAAGGAAACTTCCAGATGAACTTTGTAACAATTTCAACTGAACACGAAGTTTCCTGGACAGAATATGGGGGAAGGGTGAATGGGGCATGCAGATACCAGCACAGAAACCACAGCAGGAGGGCAGTCAAGAAACCTGAAAGCCCTGCTTGCTTTCTCAGCTGGAGGGCTTGTAGCCTGGGGCAAGTTCCCCTGTTCACCAGCTGCCTGGATATAAACTTGGTGCTGTTGAGGGGGCAGGGTGGTAGTAAGACTTGCCTTTTGTGCTGCGTGGGAGCTGGGTGAGGCCTCTCCTGGCTTTCTCCCACTCATCTGACGACCTGTATGACATAACAGAGACAGCCATAATCCTTCTGGGAATGCAATTTCATCAGCCTGAGAAAAAGACCCCCATCCCCCACAGCAGCTAAAGCAAGCCCGGCCCAAGGAGAGTCTGAGCTCAGATAGCCTAACCCTGCCCCCACCTGGTGGTCTTTCTCTACCCACCCTGGTAGCCAAAGATAAATGACATAATCTCTTGGGAAGACTATGGCCCTGCCCATCACAGGAGGAACCTGAGTACTTATCCAGATAATCCTAGGGCAAGCTTGTATCCTCCCTATACCACCGCAGCTGATGCTGTCTTGAAAGCGCCATCTTCTGACTAAACCAACACAAAACCACCAAAGGCCAACCAACACAAAACTACCGAACTAAACAAAATTAGAACCATACCCTCACAGAGTCCACTTCACTCCCCTGCTACTTTTTAAATTAAACTAAAAAGCTTATACACAGTGAAAGAATCAACAGAGTAAACAGACAACCTACAGAATGAGAGAAAAACTTTGCGAACCATGCATCTGACAAAGGACTAATATCCAGAATCTACAAGAAACTCAAACAAATCAGCAAGAAAAAAAAAAAAATACCATCAAAAAGTGGGCTAAGGACATGAACAGACAATTCTCAAAAGAAGATATACAAATGGCCAACAAACATATTTTAAAAAATGCCCAACATCACTATTGATCAGGAAAATACAAATCAAAACCACAATGCAATACCTCGTTACTCCTTCAAGAATGGCCATAATAAAAATTTAAAAAAAAAATACATGTTGGTGTGGATGTGGTGAAAAAGCAACACTTTTACACTGCTGGTGGGAATGTAAACTAGTACAACCACTATGGAAAGTTGTATGGAGATTTAGTAAGGAACAAACAGTAGATCTATTTCATACAGCAATCCCACTACTAGGTATTTACTCAGAGGAAAAGAAGTCATTATACAGAAAAGATACTTGCACATTCATGTTTATAGCAGCACAATTTGCAATTGCAAAAATATGGAACCAGCTCAAATGCCCATCAATCAACAAATGGATAAAGAAAATTATATATATATACACATACACGTATACATACACACTGTGGAATACTATTCAGCCAAAAAAAAAAAGGAATGAAATAATGGCATTTGCAGAAACCTGGAATAGTATTGGAGACAATTATTCTAAGTCAAGTAACTCAGGAATGGAAAATCAAACATCATATGTTCTCACTCATAAGTGGGAGCTAAGCTATGAGGATGCAAAGGCATAAGAATGATACCATGGACTTGAGAAACTTGGGGTAAAAGGTGGGATGGGTGGGGGAAAAAGACTACACACTGGGTACAGTGTACATCGCTCTGGTGATGGGTGCACCAAAATCTCACAAATCACTGCTAAAGAACTTATCCATTTAACCAAACACCACCTGTTTTCCCAAAACCTATTGAAATAACAAATGTTTTAAAAATCATTAATGTAACCTGTTACATTATCAGACTAAAGAAGAAAAATGCCATATTCATATACATAGCTTTAAACGATCCTTTCTCAAAATCCACGTTCCATTTATGATTTAAAAAAAAAAACTTTTTAGCAAACCAGGAATAGAGAACTTCCTCAACTTGCTTTCTGAAAAATGTACAAGAAACCTATACCTAACAATATACTTAATGGGAAGAAACTAGAAGCTTTCTTACTAAGATAAGAAATAAGACAAGAATGTCCTTGGTAACCACTACTCTTCAATGTTATACTGGATGTCCTAGGTTATGCAACATGACATGAAAAGAAAATAGATTATATACATATTGGGAAGAAAAAACTGCTTTTTTTTTTTACAGGTGGCATAATTGTCTATACAGAAAATTTGAGTTGACCAAAAAAACTTTTGAACTAAAAAGCAATTATAGCAAAGTTTCAGGATACAAGATTAATATACAAAAGTCAATTGCTTTCCTACATCTCATGAATAAGTGGAATTTGAAACTAAAAACACAATTCCATTTACATTAGCACCCAATAAATAAAATGCTTGGGTACAGATAAAACAAAATAGGTACATGATATAGGAGTAAAACTATGAAACTCTGATGAAAAAAATTAAAGAAGAACTAAATAAATGGGAAGTCATTTTATGTTTATGGATAGTAAGAAAATATTTTGAAGATGTCACTTCATTGCAAATTATTCTATAGGTTCAGTGCAATCCCAATAAAAATCCCAGGAAGTTGTTTTATGAATATTGACAAACTGATTCTGAAGTTTATATGAGAAGGCAAAAGACCCAGAATAGCCAACTTAGAACTGAAGAACAAGAAAGTCAGAGGCCTGACATTACCTGCATTCAAGTCTTACTATAAAGCTACAGTAATCAAGGCAGTACGATACTGTCTAGAAAATACACAAATAATTTAGTGGAACAGAATGGAAAACCTGTAAATAAACTCACATAAATACAGTAAACTGATCTTTGAAAATGGAGCAAAAGGTAATACAATGATTCAAATAACATTTTAAATAAATGGTACTTGAATAACTGGATCTCTGCATGCAACACAAAAAAATCTAAACACAGACCTCACACTATTGAAAAAAATACATTTAAAATGGATCACAAACCTAAAGGTTAAATGTGAAGGTATAAAACTCCTAAAAATAACACTGAAAAAATCTAAGTTAATTTGAGTATTGTGATGGTTTTAAAAATACCAAAGACACAGTGTATGAAAGAAATAACTGATAAGCTGGACTTCATTTAAATTAAAAACTTTAAGTTTTTTTCAAGAACTTAAAGTCAGGGCTTACTTGAGGGTAAAGGACGGGAGGAAGGAGAGGAGCAAAAAGAACTATTGATTATCAGGCTTAGTACCTGGATGATAAAATAATCTGTACAACAAAACCCTGTGACATGAATTTACCTATATAACAAACCTGCATGTGTACCGCCGAACCTAAAATAAAAGTTTTTAAAATAATATAGTTTAACATTTGAAAAATTAAACAATGTTATTTGCTATATTAACAGGTTAAAGAAAAACCATCTGATCATTCCAGTAGATGCAGAAAATGCATTTGACAAAATCCATCATCCATTTTTAATAAAATATCTCAGTAATCTAGGCATAGAAGGAAACTTTCTTTACCTTCTTTGAAAATTATATAGCTAGTACAAAACTTAATGTTGGAAGACTGAATGCTATCCTGCTTAGGTCTGCAATAAAATAAGAATTCCATTTGAACACTTTTATTTAACATTGTACTGTAACTTCTAGTCAGTACAATCAAACGTGAAAGTTTGAAGGACACTAAGTAAATTTACAAAATTCAAACATATTTCTATATACCAGCAATAAACCTTGAGAATTTTAAAAGTCAATACTGTTTACAATAGCATAAAAATTACCAAATACATAGAGATGATCTGATAAAAAATGTGCAAGACCTGTACACTGAAAATTGTGAAACATTGCTGACAGTAAGTAAAGAAGACCACATAAAATAGAGAGATCTGTAATACTCTTGGATTAGAAGACTCAATTTTGTTAAAGTGTCAGTTTTACCCAAGTAGAGATACAGATTGAATGAAATCTCAAACTTTCAAACAGGTTTTTAAAAAGAAATTCACAAACCAATTTTAAAATTCATTTGAAATTACACAATATCTAGAGGAGCCAAAACGTTATGTGGAAAATAGTGTAAAGTTATAGGACTTACAATGTCATCAAGACTTAGAAATCTAACTTATTTAAGACAGTGTGGTATTGACAATATAGATGAATAAATCAAAGGAAGTGAGTTCAGAAATAGGCTTACATACATACATATCAATTTTCAACCAAACCTGAAATTTCATGGAGAAAGTATAGTTTCTTTAACTAATGGTGGTAGAATAATTGAGTAACCATATGCAAAAAAAAAGAACATTTACCCGACCGGGTGCGGTGGCTCACGCCTGTAATCCTAGCACTTTGGGAGGCCAAGACGAGTGGATCACGAGGTCAGGAGATCGAGACCATTCTGGCTAACACGGTGAAACCTCGTCTCTACTAAAAATACAAAAAAATAGCCGGGCGTGGTGGCGGGTGCCTGTAGTCCCGGCTACTCGGGAGGCTGAGGCAGGAGAATGGCGTGAACCCGGGAGGCGGAGCTTGCAGTGAGCCAAGATCGCTCCACTGCACTCCAGCCTGGGGGACAGAGCGACACTCCGTCTCAAAAAAAAAAAAAACAAAAAACAAAAACATTTACCCATATCTCACAGTGTACAATAATTAAATCCAACCCAGTCATTAACCTAAATGTAAAACCAAAAATAAAAAAGTACACTTTTAGAAGAAAAAAATGGGGAATAATTTTTGTGTTAATTAGGTTAGACAAAAATTTATTAGGTGCGACACCATAGAATGATCAATAAAGAAAAATAATAAATTGGACTTCATCAAAATTAATTTTTCTGCTATTTGAAAGACATTTTAAAAATATTGTAAAGACAAGCTATAGACGTGGAGAAAATATTTACATTGTACAAGTGTAATAAATATTTTAATCTCAATAAGAAGTAATAAAAAAACCAAATAAATAATGGACACAAGCTTTGAACAGGTATTTTATCAATGAAGATATGGAGATGGCAAATAAACACAAGAAACAATGATAAATATTATTTCTCATTAAAGAAATGCAATTAAAGTCACAATGATATATCACCACACATCTATTACACTGTCTTAGCTTTAAAAAGTTGATTATACTTTAAGTTCTGGAATACATAATAACCCTAGGGATTAAGTACTATTTAGTTAAACTTTAAATCTCAGAGAAATGGGGAACTACAATTTAATCACCAAACTTCATACAAATATTAAACAGAGCAGGGCTTGAACTCCAGGTCTGTCTCACTCCACAATCCTTTCCCAATCTGCAACATTTAAAAAAAAAAGAAGATATTACCATTCACTTAATATATTGGAGGTAGCATAGGCAGTTGAAACTAAGCAAATAGTGGTTTTATTTTTATTTAGTGTTGGAATCAGACTCATTAAGAGATAGCGATCTATCAGTCTAAAGTATCCCTTGGGATCGTTAGTTATTTGGTAACACTATCAAGGTTTCCCTCTTATCTAGAAAGCATTTCTCCCCTTCTCTGCCTGATAAACTCCCACTCTTCTTTTTCCTTTCCTCACTCTTTCTTTTAATCCTTTCAGTAATTCATTGCACCTATTGTGTTTTCTTTGCAGTTTGTATCTATAAGAAATTTGTTATGTTATTATTTGTTATTTAAATGTTCATTTTCCCAATTGGATTTTGAGTTCCTGGAGGAACTCCTCAGTGCCCTTCACAATTGTAGCTCATGGTCAGTGGGTTAATAAATGGGTGATATCGCTCATTTATGCAGATTAAAGGGACAGTGTGTTATAATGGCAAGAACACTATAACTACATGAGTCATTTAACCGAACCTGTTTTCTGTTCTGTAAATGGTGGATGTTGGGCTAGATAGCTTCCAATATTATTTCTAAATCTACTGTTGTCTGATTTACCCAAGTGCTGTTTTTACTGCCAGTAAAAAGCATACATAGAAATCACTGAGAAATGACCTTTTGTTATATTTATTTGTTTCTTCTATTTCTACTGTGCCAAGCAATATAAGAACTCATACCTTCTCTATCATGATAAAAATCAAATGTCTACAGATGTAGCATAAGGAAAGAAGTAATTTTCTGCATGCAGTTCTTATTTTCTTTTGCCTGTGATAATTGCAAATCCGTCAATAGAAATGAACTTTTTGTTACAAATATATTTTTTAAAAGTTGATTATAAGAAATGTTGGCTAGGTTATGGAACAACTAGAGCTCTCATACACTGTTAGTGGGATTGTAAATTGTCCAACATTTTGAGGAAAAGTTTGACATTACTAAAATGTTAAATGTACACTGATATAGATTCAGCCATTCCACTCTTAGATTTATTTATGTATTATTTTTTTCTTAGAGATGGATTCTTGCTCTGTCGTCCAGTCTGGAGTGCAGTGGTGTGATCTCGGCTCACTACAACCTCTGCCTCCTGGGTTCTAGCAATTCTCCTGCTTCAGCCTCCCGAGTAGCTGGGACTACAGGCACACGCTGCCACGCCCAGCTAATTTTTTGTGTGTTTTAATAGAGACGGGGTTGCACTGTGTTGCCCAGGCTGCTCTCGAACTCCTGAGCTCAGGCAATCCACCCGCCTCGGCCTCCCAAAGTGCTAGGATTACAGGCATGAGCCACTGCGCCCCGCTCAATCTTAAATATTTAACTAAGAGAAATGAAAGCATAGGTGCATACAGAGATTGTTATACACATATTTATAGCAGCTCCAAAAAGGAAAATAACCCAAAAGTCTATTAACAGGTGAGTGAATAAGAAAGGTGTTGTATATTCCTTCAGTAGAATACCACTCAGCAATAAAAAGGAATTACTATTGATACATGCCACAAATTAGATAAATCTCAAGTAATTATGCTAAGTGAAAGAGCCTGACAAATTAGAATATTTTGTGTGATTTTATTCATATGAAATTATAGAAAATGCAAACTAATCTACCATGACAGAAAGCAGATAAGTGGGTATGGTGAGAGGCTGGAAGAATTAACTATATTGAAGCATGAGAAAATTGTTAAGGATAGTAGATATACTCATCTTCTTGCTTGTGGTGATAGTATTCTAGGCATACACATATGTGAAAACTTATAAAATTGTAGAGTGTAAATATTTAGTTTATTGTTATGTACTTATATCTTAGTAAAGGTGTTTAGAGTTTTGACAGTCTTTAAAGTAATATAGCAATATCCAGATATTCAACAATGTAAATACAGTGTCTAGTATCCAGTCAAAAATTACTATAACTCAAAAAGCAGAGATATGTGTCCATGAATTAGAATAAAAATCAGTCAATAGAAAAGCACCCTCAAATGCCTAAGGTTTAGAATTCTTGAAGACTTTGAAACATTGAATTTAAGTATAATCTAGGATATAAGATAAAATATAAACGTTATGTACAGATAAATGAGCAATGGAAAAGGAACCTAATGGGACTTTTCAAACTAAGAAATACAATGTGAGAAATCAAAAGTCTTGAAGAGTTTTACAGCCTATTAGTGAAAATAAACAACCAGTTAATTGGAAACATAGGAAAACAAATTTTCCACAATAAACTGCAGAATAAAATGATCCTGGGGAAAAAAATGACCAGACCCTTAATTATCTGTGAGACAGTATCAAGTAGTCTAATATATATGTGTAGTCCAAAAAAAGGTACAGATTTTTTTGAATAAATTATTGTTCACAGAATCAAGAAGCTAAACAAACCTATAGTAGAATACACAAAGCCACTCGCTGAAGCATACCATAAGCAAATTGTTGGAATCAGTGATAAACACAAACATTTAAAGTTGTCACCAGAAAGAAAACACATTTCTGTATGGGACAAAGATAAAATTTTACTCTGATTTCTTGTAAGAAGCAGTGAAAGCCAAAAGACAATAGAATGCAACCTTTAATAAAATACTGAAATAAAGCAAAACTGGCATGTTAAGTTTATTATATTCAGCAAAAATATTCTTCAAAAACAAATGTGAAGTAAACACATTTTTAGTCAAACAAACGCTGTGGAAATTCCTCATAAGAAGACCTGTACTACAAGATACATGTTTTTACATCAGTACATGGAACATTCTCGAAGATAGACCATATGATAGGCCACAAAACAAGTCTCAGTAAATTTAAGAAAATCAAAATTATATTAAGTACTCTATCAGAGCACATTGGAATAAAATTAGAAAACAACTCTAAAAGGAACCCTCAAAACCATAAAAATATGTGCAGAGACACACATAGGCTCAAAATAAAGGGATGAAGGAAGATCTACCAAGCAGATGGAAAGCAAAAAAAAGCAGGGGTTGCAAGCCTGGGCTCTGATAAAACAGACTTTAAACCAACAAAGATCAAAAGAGACAAGACCATTACATAATGGTAAAGGGATCAATTAAACAAGAAGAGCTAACTATCCTAAGTATATATGCAACCAATTCAGGAACACCCAGATTCATAAAGCAACTCCTTAGAGACCTACAAAGAGACTTAGACTCCCACACAATAATAATGGGAGACTTTAGCACCCCACTGTCAGTATGAGACAGATCAATGAGAAACAAGGTTAACAAGGATATCCAGGACTTGAACTCAGCTCTGCACCAAGTGGACCTCATAGACGTCTACACAACTCTCCACCCCAAATCAACAGAATATACATTCTTCGCAGCACCACATCACACTTATTCCAAAATTGACCACATCGGTGGAAGTAAAGCACTCCTCAGCAAATGTAAAATAACAGAAATCGCAACAAACTGTCTCTCAGACCACAGAACAATCAAATTAGAACTCAGAATTAAGAAACTCACTCAAAACTGCACAGCTACATGGAAACTGAACAACCTGCTTCTGAATGACTACTGGGTAAATAACAAAATGAAGGCAGAAATAAAGATGTTCTTTGAAACCAATGAGAACAAACATACAACGTACCAGAATCTCTGGGACACATTTAAAGCAGTGTGTAGAGGGAAATTTATAGCACTAAATGCCCACAAGAGAAAGCAGGAAAGATCTAAAATCAACACCCTAACATCACAATTAAAAGAACTAGAGAAGCAAGAGCAAACAAATTCAAAAGCTAGCAGAAGGCAAGAAATAACTAAGATCAGAGCAGAACTGAAGGAGCTAGAAACACAAAAAAAAAAACCCTTCAAAAAAATCAATGAATCCAGGAGCTGTTTTTTTTGAAAAGATCAACAAAATTGATAGACTGCTAGCAAGATTAAAAAAGAAGAAAAGAGAGACAACTCAAATAGACACAGTAAAAACTGATAAAGGGGATATCACCACTGATCCCACAGAAATACAAATTACTATCAGAGAATATTATAAACACATCTACGCAAATAAACTAGAAAATCTAGAAGAAATGGATAAATTCCTGGACACATACACCCTCCCAAGACTAAACCAGGAAGAAGTTGAATCTCTGAATAGACCAATAACAGGCTCTGAAATTCAGGCAATAATTAATAGCCTACCAATCAAAAAAATTCCAGGACCAGATGGATTCACAGCTGAATTCTACCAGAGGTACGAAGAGGAGCTGGTACCATTCCTTCTGAAACTTCCAATCAATAGAAAAAGACAGAATCCTCTCTAACTCATTTTATGATGCCAGCATCATTCTGATACCAAAGCCTAGCAGAGACACAACGAAAAAGAGAATTGTAGATGAATATCCCTGATGAATATTGATGTGAAAGTGAAAATCCTCAGTAAAATACTGGCAAACAGAATCCAGCATCAGGTCAAAAACATTATCCACCACGATCAACTCGACTTCATCCCTGGGATACAAACCTGGTTCAACATAAGCAAATCAATAAACATAATCCATCACATAAACAGAACCAAAGACAAAAACCACATAATTATCTCAATAGATGCAGAAAAGGCCTTTGACAAAATTCAACAGCCCTTCATGCTAAAAACTCTCAATAAACTAGGTAGTGATGGAATATATCTCAAAATAATAAGAGCTATTTATGACAGACTCACAGCCAATATCATACTGAATGGGCAAAACCTGGAAGCATTCTCTTTGAAAACTGGCACAAGACATGGATGCCCTCTCTCACCACTCCTATTCAACATAGTGTTGGAAGTTCGGGCCAGGGCAATCAGGCAAGAGAAAGAAATAAAGTGTATTCATTTAGGAAAAGAGGAAGTCAAATTGTCCCTGTGTGCAGATGATGTGATTGTATAATTTAGAAAACCCCATCGTCTCAGCCCAAAATCTCCTGAAACTGATAAGCAACTTCAGCAAAGTCTCAGGATACAAAATCAATGTGCAAAAATCACAAGCATTCCTATACACCAATAACAGACAAACGGAGAGCCAAATCATGAGTGAACTCCCATTCACAATCGCCATAAAGAGAATAAAATACCTAGGAATCCAACTTACAAGGGACGTGAAGGACCTCTTCAAGGAGAACTACAAACAACTGCTCAACGGAATAAAAGACAAACAAATGGAAGAACATTCTATGCTCATGGATAAGAAGAATCAGTATCGTGAAAATGGCCATACTGCCCAAGGTGATTTATAGATTCAGTGCTATCCCCATCAAGCTACCAATGACTTTCTTCACAGAATTGGAAAAAACTACTTTAAAGTTCATATGGAGCCAAAAGAGAGACCACATAGCCAAGACAATCCTAAGCCAAAAGAACAAAGCTGGAGGCATCATGCTACCTGACTTCAAACTATACTACAAGGCTACAGTAACCAAAACAGCATGGTACTGGTACCAAAACCAATATATAGACCAATGGAACAGAACAGGGGCCTCAGAAATAACACCACATATCTACAACCATCTGATCTTTGACAAACTTGACAAAAACAAGAAATGGGGAAAGATTCCCTATTTAATAAATGATGCTGGGAAAACTGGCTAGCCATATGTAGAAAGCTGAAACTGGATCCCTTCCTTACAATTTATACAAAAATTAATTCAAGATGGATTAAAGACTTAAATGTTAGACCTAAAACCGTAAAAACTCTAGAAGAAAATCTAGGCAATACTATTCAGGACATAGGCATGGGCAAGGACTTCATGTCTAAAACACCAAAAGCAATGGCAACAAAGGCCAAAATAGACAAGTGGGATCTAATTAAACTAAAGAGCTTCTGCATGGCAAAAGAAACTACCATTAGAGTGAACAGGCAACCTACAGAACTGGAGAAAATTTTTGCAATCCACCCCTCTGACAAAGGGCTAATATCCAGAATCTAAAAAGAACTTAAACAAATTTACAAGAAAAAAACAACCCCATCAAAAAGTGGGCAAAGGATATGAACAGACACTTTTCAAAAGAAGACATTGATGCAGCCAACAGACACATGAAAAAAATGCTCGTTATCACTGGTCATCAGAGAAATGCAAATCAAAACCACAATGAGATACCATTTCACACTGGTTAGAATGGCGATCATTAAAATGTCAGGAAACAACAGGTGCTGGAGAGAATCTGGAGAAATAAGAATGCTTTTACACTGTTGGTGGGACTGTAAACTAGTTCAACCATTGTGGAAGACAATGTGGTGATTCCTCAAGGATCTAGAACTAGAAATACCATTTGACCCAGCGATCCCATTACTGTATATATACCCAAAGGATTATAAATCATGCTACTATAAAGACACATGCACACGTATGTTTTTTGTGGCCCTATTCACAATAGCAAAGACTTGGAACCAACCCAAATGTCCATCAATGATAGACTGGATTAAGGAAATGTGGCACATATACACCATGGAATACTATGCAGCCATAAAAAAGGATGAGTTCATGTCCTTTGCAGGGACATGGATGCAGCTGGAAACCATCATTCTCAGCAAACTATCACAAAATTAGAAAACCAAACACCACATGTTCTCACTCATAGGTGGGAATTGAACAATGAGAACACTTGGACACAGGGTGGGGAACATCACACCCCAGGGCCTGTCTGGGAGTAGGGGGCAGGGGGAGGGATAGCATTAGGAAAAATACCTAATGTAAATGACGAGTTAATAGGTGCAGCAAACCAACATGGCATATGTATATCTATTTAACAAACCTGTACATTGTGCACCTGTATCCTAGAACTTAAGGTATAATAAAAAAAGAAAAGTAACTAATAGCTGGCATATTGGAGAGTGAAATAAAACTTGAAGAACAACCAATATAGTAGCAGTATGTTTCTTGGTTTTCTCCCTCTACTATCCCATAAATGTAATCTGAAGACAGGCTGGAATGGTGAGTTGCATAAAGGGAACAGACAATACCTCTGGGAGAAACCCATCTTCCTGGTCAGAGCATTGAGAACAGTGGCCTCTGTGGGTTGGATAGTGTGAAAGGAATCACCGAGGTTCTATTTTTTTTTTTCAGCCCTTCTCCAATGCCTGCCACAGTAATGAATCTGCACCTCTGTGCTGGCAGCACAAGCACCAAAAACTGTGAGGAAAAACCCATCTCTTTGGATAAAGGAGCCAAAAAAAAAAATGGGCCCCTCTTGTGAAAGGTTGGGAAATCACAATTATTATTTGTCTTATCCCTCTCAGGCTGCTATAAGAAAATACCATAAACTAGGTAGTTTATAAGGAACAAAAATTTATGTCACAGTTCTGGAGAATGGGATGTCCAAGGTTAAGGTGCCAGTAGATTGAATATATAGTGAGGTCTCATTTCCCAGTTTAAAATGATGTCTTCATTCTGTGTCCTCACCTGGTGGAAGGGAAAAGCAGCTCTCTGGGACATCTATTTGTAAGGACACTTATCCCTCTCCTGAGAGCTCCACCCTCATGACCTAATCACCTCTTACATTGCTTATTGGTTTTTTGTTTGTTTGTTTTTTGTTTTTTTTGTTTGTTTTTTGAGACAGATTCTCATTCTGTGGCCCAGGCTGGAGTGCAGTGGTGCAATCTCAGCTCACTGCAACCTCCGCCCTCTGGGTTCAAGTGATTCTCCTGCCTCAGTCTCTTGAGTAGCTGGGACTGCAGGCAGATGCAAACACACCTGGCTCATTTTTGTATTTTTGGTAGAGGTGGGGTTTCACCATGCTAGCCAGGCTGGTCTTGAACTTTTGATCCCAAGTGATTCGCTCATCTTGGCGTCCCAAAGGGCGGGATTACAGGCATGAGCCACCATGCCCTGCCTGGTTGTTAAGTTTTTAACATGAATTTTGAGGGGGGCACAAACATTCAACCCATATAATTATTTTTCTGTATTTTCTCTTACTACATTACACTAATGATGGTTTCTATTTTAAGTGTGGAGTGTAAAATTATGGGAGAATTTTATTTTTAAGTCAAATATCAGGAAAATGACTCTTGCTATTCACATAATTTGGGAAAAATTCTGGAGAAGAGAGAGCTGAAGAGTTGATCTCTTAATTTTGTGTGTGACCCTATACAACTTCAGATTCATCTTCTATTTGTGGGTGCACATAATATGTCCAGAGAAGCATAGCAAAGGCTTTAAGAACTGAACTATAATGTAAACTAATGCCTAAGTTGCAGACAAATCTATGATTCGCACTTACAAAGGGCAGGCCCAAACAGCTTACCAAAGGTTTTGAAAACTTAAATGACATTTTAACAAGCACAGAAAGTGAGACAGAATTTGTGATCCAAATATAACCAGGTTAACTGCCTGCTAAAACAAACACAAATTAAGTTTTTTTCCGAATTTTAATACCATACTTAATAGTATAATATTGAAAATTTTAAGAATACAACCCAAAATTACTTTGCATAGAAAGAACCAGTAAAATTTGACAGATTCTCAAGTGAAACAACAATCAACAGATGCCAACTCTGAAATGACTCAGATGATGGAATTAAAAGACAAAGACTTTAAATCAGATATTATAACCATGCTCTGTGAGGCCAAGGTGAATACTCTTGAAATGAATTGAAACAGCAGTCCTAAGCTAAGAAATACAAACTATTTTTGAAAGATGAGAATCTTAGAATTTAAGAAATACAGAATCTGATATTTTAGAAAAACTACTGGATGAAATCAATAGCAGAATTGGGATGATAGAAGGAACTACCTTGGATTTTGAAAATAGAGCAGTAGAACTAATGCATTCAGAAGAACACAGAGAAAAAAAAATTAAATCTAGATACTCAGGGACATGTGGAACAATATCACAAGGTCTAATGTTGGTATTAATTGAGTTCCTGGCAGAGAGAAGAAAGAGAGGAGTACAAAAAAAAATTTGAAGAAATAAAAGCTGAAATTTACCCCAAATTGGTGAAATATGTAAATTTACACATTTAAGAAGCTTAGGAGAAATACAAAGAAAATCACACCCGGACACATTACAATGAAAATGCTGCAAAATCAAAGATAAATGAAACATGTTGAAGGCAGACCGAGAAAAATGACACATTAAGTACAGCGGACAGTGATTTAAATTACTACTGATTTTTCACCAGAAATCATGAAGATCAGAAGATGGAAACAACATTGTTAAAGTGCTGAATAAATGAACTATCCATCCAGAATTTTATATCCAGAGAAAATATTCTTCAGGAATGAAAGTGAAACAGAAAACATTCTCAGAGAAAGGAAATCTAAAAGAATTTGCTTCCAGCACACCTTCCATAAAAGATATGTCAAAAATAATTTTTTTAGGTTGAAGGGAAATGATACCAGAAGAAAACTGATAATTCAGAAATGAAGAGCAACAGAAATGGTACATTTCTGGGAAAACCTTGTAGAGTAATTTCCTTAGTGTATATATATATAACTATCTATTGAAAGTAAAATATAATTTGGGAAAATTTTTGTGTATGTAGACATAAGATATATATCAACTTTAATATAAAAGAGAATAAAGGAAACTGTATGGTAACAAGACTTTTATATTTTTATTTTAGGGGTAAAATATTAACTCTAAATTAACTGTAAGGAGTTAAGTATGTGTATTATAATCTTGAGAACAATCATTAAAATGGTAGAGATATAGCAAAAAATCTAATTAATTGAAATTGAATACTAAAAATTATTTTAAAATCCAAAAGAAGTTCTTAAAACAGGGAATAGAGGAACAAATAACACAAGGAGAAAACATAAATATAATAAATGGCAGCTCTAAATTCAGATACAATTAATTTTTATTTAATTTGTACAATTAAATATCTCAACTATATGTGGTATACAATAAACCCACTTTAAATATTATGATATGGATTGATTAAAAGTAGAAGTATGATAAAATAACTGATTTTTCTAAATAAGTAGAAAAAATAATTTATGGTTTTTAGCATATGTAGAAGTAAAATATATGACAACAGCACAGAAGAATGGGAGAAGAAAAATGGAAGTATACAGTTTTAGGTTTGTTGCATTATATTTGAAATGATAAAGTACCATTTGAAAATACATTTGAGAAGCAAAAGAAGGATACTGTAAATGTTGTGACAATCACTAACCTAACCTCCAGGTGCCAGAGAAAAAAGCCAGGGGCCTAGTAGCAGCCCCCCAGAGCTGGAGCACCCAGATCAGGAGTGCTGAGCTGAGCCTAGGCCCCGTAAAATCATCCAGAAATGAAGCCATTTGAATGAACCCATCTTATGTCACAATCAAACCCCAAAGACATCAGAAAACGTAAAACCAAAAGAAAAAAATCCATCCAAAGGAGAGCATCGTCAAAGATTGAAGGAACATCAGGCCACACAGATGAGAAAGAACCAGCACAAGAACTATGGCAACTTAAACAGCCTGAGTGTCTTCTTACCTCCAAACAACCACACCAGTTCTACAGCAATGGCTCTTAACAAGGTTGAAATGGCTGAAATGACAGAAATGGAATTCTGAATATAGATAGGAGTGAAGATCATCCACATCCAGTAAAAAGTCAAAACCCAATCCAATGAACTTAAGGAGTAAAATAAGATCATACAGGAGCTGAAAAATGGTATGGTCATTTTTAAGAAAGAACCAAACTGATCTGATAGAGCTGAAAAACTGGCTTCAAGAATTTAATAATATAATTGCAAGTAATAACAGCAGAATTGACCAAGCTGAGTAAAGAATCTCAGAGCTTTAAGACCAATACTCTGAAACTACTCAGTCAGACAAAAATAAAAAAAGGAAAAGCAATAAAGAAGAATGGACAAGACCTCCAAAAAAGATGGGATTATGTAAACAGACCAAAGCTACAACATATCAGCATTGAAATAGAGAGAGATAAATCAAGCAACTTGGAAAACATGTTTGAGGATAGTGTACATGAAAACTTTCCCAATCTCACTAAAGAGGCCAGCATTTAAAGTCAGGAAAGGAAGAGAACCTCTGTGAGGTACTATAAAATAGTCATCGGATTCTGCAAAGTTGAAATGAAAGCAAAATTTTAAAGGCACCTAGAGGGTTGAGAAAGGTGACCTAAAAGTTTACAGCATTAGGCTAACAGTGGACCTTTCAACAGAAACCTAATAAGCCAGAAGAGATTGGGGCCTATATTAAGCATTTGTAACAAAAAATTTCAACTAAGAATTTCATATCCAGCCAAACTAAGCTTCATAAGTGAAGGAAAAAAAGGTTATTTTGAGAGAAGTATATACTAATGAAATTCATAACCACCAGGACTGCCTTAAATAAAGTCCTTGAGAGTGCTAAACATGGAAATTAAAGACTGTTACCAACCACCACAAAAATACACTTAATTACATAGACCATTGATGCTATAAAGCAAGTACACAATAAAATCTGCATGACAATCAGGTAACAACACAATGACAGAATCAAATCCACATATATCAATAATAACTTTGAAAGTAAAAGGGCTAAATAACTGAATTAAAAGGCACAGTGTGGAAAGTAGGATAAAGAATCAAGACCCAAGGTTATACTGTCTTCAAGAGATCCATCTCACATGCAATGAAACCCACAGGCTCAAAGTAATGGGATGGAGAAAAATCTACAGAGCAAATGGAAAACAGAAAATTGCAGGGGTTGCTATTCTAAGTTCAGACAAAGCCGACTTTAAACCAACAACAATCAAAAAAGACAAAGAATGGCATTATATAATGGTAAGGGGGTAAATTAAACAAGAAAACCGAACTATCCTAAATATATGTACCCATCACAGGAGCACCCAGATTTATATAGCAAGCTTTTAGAGACATACGAAGAGACTTAGCCACAAAATAGTAGTAGAGCACATGGCATATACTCTAAAATTGACCAAAAAATCAGACATCAAACAATCCTCAACCAATTAAAAAAAAAAAACAAATCATAGCAACCACGGTCTTGGGCAGGAGTGCAATAAAAATTTAAATCAATACTAAGATAATTGCTGAACTGCATACAATTACATGGAAATTACACAACCTACTCTTTTAAATTTTTTTATTTCCATAGGTTTTGGGGAAACAGGTGGTCTTTGGTTACAAGAGTAAGTTCTTTAGCTGTGATTTGTGAGATTTTGGTGCACCCATCATCGAGCTGTATACACTGAATCCAATTTGTAGTATTTTATCCCATACCCCTTTCCCACCCTTTCCTTATGAGTCCTCAAAGTCCATTGTATTATTCTTATGCCGTTGCATCCTCATAGCTTAGCTCCCACTTATGAGTGAGAACATACGATGTTTGGGTTTCCATTCCTGAGTTATTTCATTTAGAATAATAGTCTCCAATTCCATCCAGGTTGCTGCCAATGCTATTATTTCATTCCTTTTTTATAGTTGAGTAGTATCCTATTTTGTGTGTGTGTGTATACACACACACACTATATATATATATATAAATATACACACACACATATACACACACTATATATATATACACACTGTATATATACACGCACACACTATATATATATATATATACATATATATACATATATGTATATATATAACAGTTTATTTATCCACTGATTGATTGATGGTCATTTGGGCTGGTTCCACATTTTTGCAATTGTGAGTTTTGCTGCTATAAACATGCATGTGCAAGTATCTTTTTTGTATAATGACTTCTTTTCCTCTGGGCAGATATCCGGTAGTGGGATTGCTGTATCAAATTGTAGTTCTACTTTTGTTTCTTTAAGGAATCTCCACACTGTTTACATAGTAGTAGTACTAGTTTAAATTCCCACCAGCAGGCTAGAAGTGTTCCCTTTTAACTGTATCCATGCCAACATGTATTTTTTTTTTTTTGATGTTTTGATTATGGCCATTCTTGCAGGAGTAATGTGGTATCGCATTGTGGTTTTGATTTGCATTTCCCTGGTCATTCGTGATGTTGAGCACTTTTTCATATATTTGCTGGCCGTTTGTATTTCTTCTTCCTTTTTTCTTCTTCTTTCTTCCTTCTTCCTTCTTTCTTCCTTCTTCCTTCTTTTTCCTTCTTCTTCCTTCTTCTTCTTCTTTCTTCTTTCTCCTTTTTTTTTTTGAGACAGAGTTTCACTCCTGTTGCCTAGGCTGGAGTGTGGTGGTGTGATCTCAGCTCAGCCCACTGCAACCTCTGTCTCCTGGGTTCAAGTGATTCTCCTGCCTCAGCCTCCCAAGTAGCTAGGATTACAGGCACATGCCACCACACCCGACTAATTTTTGTACTTTTAGTACAGATGGGGTTTCACCATGTTGACCAGGCTCGTCTTGAACTCCTGACCTAAGGTGATCCACCCACCTCAGCCTCCCAACGTGCTGGGATTACAGGCGTGAACCACCGCATCCAGCCCATTTTTATATCTTCTTTTGAGAATTGTCTATTCATGTCCTTAGCCCACTTTTTGTTGGGATTTTTTTTTTCTTGCTAATTTAAATAACCTACTCTTGAGTGACTTCTGGGTGGACAATGAAATTAAGGCAGAAATCAAGAAATTATTTTCAACTAATTAGAACAAAAATACAACATACCAGAATCTCTGGGACACAGCTAAAGTATGGTTAAGATGGAATAGTATAGCACTAAATGCTGGCATCGAAAAGTTAAAAATATATCAAATGAACAACCTAACATTACACCTAGAGGACCTAGAGAAACAAGAGAAAACATACCCCAGAGCTAGCAGAGCAGAGGACAAGAAATAACCAAAATCAGAGTGGAACTCAAGGAAATTGAGTTGTGAAAAACCATACAAAGGTCAAAGAATGCTGGAGTAGGTTCTTTGAAAGAATAAGTTAGACAAACTGCTAGCTAGATTAATAAAGGGAAAAAAGAGGAAGATCCAAATAAACACAATCAGAAATGACAAAGGGGATATTACCACTGAACCCACAAAAATACAAAAAATTATCAGATACTACTATAAACACCCTATGCACACCAACTAGAAAACCTGGAAGAAATAGATAAATTTCTGGAAACATACAACCTCCCAAGATTGAACCAGCAAGAGATTGACTTCTTGAACAGACAAATAACGAGTTCCAAATTGAATTGGTAATAAAAAAGCCTCCTATCCAGAAAAAAACACAGGCCTAGATGGCTTAACAGCCAAATTTTACCAGATGTATAAATAAGAGCTGGTACCATTTCTACTGAAACTATTCCAAAAATTGAGGAGAGACTCCTCCTTAACTCATTCTATGAAGCCAGCATTATCCTGATACCAAAACCTGGCAGAGACACACACAAAAAAAGGAAACATCAGGCCAATATCCTAGATGAATAAAGACACAGAAATCCTCAACAAAATACTAGTAAACCGAATCTAGCAGCACATCAAAAAGCTAATCCACCTTGACCAAGTGTGCCTTATCCCTGGGATACAAATTAGGAACAACATACACAAATCAGTAGAGGTGATTCATTACATAAACAGAACTAAAAAAAACACCACATGATCATATCAGATGCAAAAAGAGCTTTTGATAAAATTTAACATCTCTTCGTGTTAAATAAAAACCCTCAGTAAACTAGGCATTGAAGGAAATACCTCAAAATAATAAGAACCATTTGTGGCAAACCCACATCCAATATCATATTGAATGGACAAAAGCTGGCACAAGACAAGGGTGCCCTCTCTCACCACTCCTATTAAATATAGTATTGGAAATCCTGCCCAGAGCAATCAGGCAAGAGAAAGACATAGCACACAAATAAGAAGAGAGGAAGTAAAACTACCCCTGTTGGCAGACGACATGATCCTATGTCTAGAAAAACCTCAAAGTCTCACCCCAAGAGCTCCTTAAGCTGATAAACAATATCAGAAAAGTCTCAGGATACAAAGATCAGTGTACAAAAATTACTGGGATTCCGTTACACCAACAACAGTCAAGCCAAGAACCAAATCAACACAATTCCATTCACAACTTCCACAAAAAGATTAAAATACCTAGGAATACAGCTAACCAGGAAGGTTAAAAATATATACAATGAGAAATACAAAACACTGTTCAAAGGAATCAGAGATGACACAAATAAATGGAGACACATTCCATGCTCATGGATAGGGAGAATCAATATCATTACAATGGACATACTGCCAAAAGCAATTTGTGGTTTCAGTGCTATTCCAATTAAACTTACAATGATATTCTCCAAAGAAATAGGAAAAAAAACTATTTCAAAATTTGTGTGGAACCAAAAAAAGTCTGAATAGCCAAGGCAATTTTAAGCAAAAGAACAAAGCTGGAAGCATCATGCTACCTGTCTTCAAGCTATACTACAGCATTACAATAACCTAAACAGCATAGTACTGGTAAAAAAGCACACACATAGACCAATGGAACAGAATAGAGAGCCCAGAAATAAGGCTGCACACCTACAACTATCTGGTCTTTGACAAGGCTGACAAAAACAAGTAATGGGGAAGGGAGTTTCTTTTCAATAAATGGTGCTGGGATAACTGGTCAGCCAAATGCAGAAAACTGAAACTGGACCCCTTCCTTACATCATATACAAAAATAAACTCAAGATGAATTAAAGACTTAAATGTAAAACCAAAAACTATGAAAACTCTAGAAGACAACTTAGGCAATACCATTTTGAAAACAGGACCTGGTAAAAATTTTATGACAAAGATGCAAAAGCAGTCACAACAAAAGCAAAAATTGATGAATGGGATCTAAACTAAAGAGCTTCTGCACCACCAAATAAACTATCAACAGAGTAAACAGACAACCTACAGAATGGAAGAAAATTTTTGCATGTTATGCATCTGACAGAGATCTAATAACCAGCATCTATAAAGAACTTAAACGGATGTACAACAAAAAAAACTCAATTAAAAAGTGGACAAAGGACACAACAGTCACTTAAAAAAAAGAAAGAAAGAAAGACACACATTCGGCCAAGAAACAAATGAAAACGAAAAATCTCAGCATCACTGATTATTAGAGAAATGCAAATCAAAACCACAATGAGATACTGTCTCACACCAGTCAGACTGGCTGTTATTTAAAAGTCAAAATTAACAGGTGCTGGCAAGGTTACAGAGGAAAAGGAATGCTTGTACACTGTTGGTGTGAGTGTACGTGAGTTCAGCCATTGCAGTAAACAGTGTGGCGATTTCTCAAAGACCTATAAACAGAACTATCATTTGACCCAGTAATCCCATTACTGTGTATATGCCCCCAAAATATAAATAATTCTGTTATAAAGACACATGCACATGTATGTTCATTGCAGAACTTTTCACAATAGCAGAGACGTGGAATCAACCTAAATGCTCATCAATGGTAGACTGGATAAAAAAAAAAAAACAGTACATATACACCATGCAGCCGTAGAAGAGAGTGAGAACATGTCCTTTGCAGGGACATGGATGGAGCTGTATGCCATTATCCTTAAAAACTAATGCAGAAACAGAAAAACAAATGTCACATGTTCTCACTTTTAAGTGGGAGCTAAATGATGAGAACACATGGACACAAAGAAGGGAGCAATATCACCGGAGGCTACTTAGGGGTGTAGGGAGGGAGGAAGGAGAGAGGTGAAAGATTACCTATCAGGTACCATGTTTAATACCTGGGTGATTAGATAATCTATACAACAAACTTCCATGACATGCTATTTCCCTATATAACAAACCTGCACATGTACCCGTAAACCTAAAATAAAATCAAAAACAGCAACAACAAGCAGCATGTCACCAACATCTTTTTCTTGTGAGTACTTCAGGCTGCTTCCAGTCATGTTCGAACTTGAAGGGGATCTGTCATGCAAGGATCACATGGTGAGAGAGCAAGCAATAGAGATGGGAGGGAAGTGCCAGCTTCTCTTAAACAAACAGCTCTCACAGGAACTAATACAGCAAGAACTCACCCACCATCCCCCACCTTTCAAGAATGGCATTAATCTATTCATTAGGAATCTGCCCCCATGACTGGAACAGCTTCCATTAGGCCTCAACTCCAATATTGGAAATTAAATTTCCACATGAGTTTTTGAGGAGTTAAACAGACAAAACTATAGCAAGTTGATTTTTGTGTGTGGTGTGACACAAGCTACTAATTTCATTCTTCTGCATGTGTGGATGTTCACATTCCTAAACAACATTTATTGAGGGGACTGCTCATTTTTCATTTTGTGTTCTTCACATCTTTGTTGAAAATCAGTTAACCATAAATGTATGGATTTACTTATTGGTTTTATATCCTTTTCCATTTGTCTCCGTGTCTGTTTTTATGCCAGTACCATGTTGTTTCGATTACTGTATTTTCGTCGTAGATTTTGAAATCAGGTAGTATGATTTCACCAGCTTTGTTCTTTCACTCAAGATTGCTTTGGCTATTTAGGGTTCTTCTTGGTTCCACGCAAAGTTTAGAATTTTTTTTTCTGTTTCTGTTTACAAATAATGAAATTTTGATCAGAATAGCATTGAATATGGAGGTGACCTTAAGTTTTATGAACATTTTAATATTAATTCTTCCAATCCATAAACACAGAATAATTTTTCCAATTATTTTTTACTTCTTCAACTTTTTATTAATGTTTTATGGTTTTCAGTGTTAAATTTATTTCTAAGTATTATATTTTTTGTGTTAGTGATTTTAATGGAATTATTATAAAGTTCATTTTTGGTACATAGAAACACTACTGATTTTTGTGTGGTGATTTTGTATTTGGTATTTTGTATTCTTATTTTGGATTATGTTGTCAACAAACAGCAACTATTTAACTTCTTTTTTTCCTATATGGATACATTTTATTTCTCTCTGTTGCTGATAACTCTGGCAAGGACTTCCAATACTGTGTTGAATTTAAGTGGTGAGAGTTGGCATCCCTGTGTTGTTCTGGATCTTAGATAAAAGGGTTTTAATTTCTCAACATTGAGTATAATGTTGTTGCCTTATCATATACAGTTATTATTGTGTTGAGTGATGGGGTGATCAGACCCAACCCAGGACATGGGGGGCCCCCACATCCCCCGACAGGCCCTGGTGTGTGATGTTCCCCTCCCTGTGTCCATGTGTTCTCATTGTTCAACTCCCACTTATGAGTGAGAACATGTGGTGTTTGGTTTTCTGATCCTGTGTTAGTTTGCTGAGAATGATGGTTTCCAGCTTCATCCATGTTCCTGCAAAGGACATTAACTCATTCTTTTTCATGGCTGCATAGTATTCCATGGTATATATGTGCCACATTTTCATTATCCAGTCTACCATTGAGGTGCATTTGGGTTGGTTTCAAGTCTTTGCTATTGTAAATAGTGCTGCAGTAAACACATGTGTGCATGTGTCTTTATAGTAGAATGATTTATTATCCCTTGGGTATATACCCAGTAATGGGATTGCTGGGTCAAATGGTATTTCTAGTTCTAGATCCTGGAGGAATTGCCACACTGTCTTCCACAATGGTTGAACTAATTTACACTCCCACCAACAGTGTAAAAGTGTTCCCATTTCTTCTATTCCTCTCCAGCATCTGTTGTTTCCTGACTTTTTAATGATTGCCATTTTAACTAGCATGAGATGGTATCTCATTGTGGTTTTGATTTGCATTTCTCTAATGACCAGTGATGATGAGCTTTTCTTCATATGTTTCTTGGCCGCATAGATGTTGTCTTTTGAGAAGGGTCTCTTCATATACTTTGCCCACTTTTTGATAAGGTTGTTTGTTTTTTTCTTGTAAATTTGTTTAAGTTCCCTGTAGATTCTGGATATTAGACCTTTGTCAGATGGATAGATTGCAAAAATATTCTCCCATTCTGTAGGTTGCCTGTTCACTCTGATGATAGTTTCTTTTGCTGTGCAGAAGCTCTCTAAGTTAATTAGATTTCATTTGTCAATTTTGGCTTTGGTTGTAATTGCTTTTGGTGTTTTAGTCATGAAGTCTTTGCCCATGCCTATGTCCTAAATGGTACTGCCTAGGTTTTCTTCTAGGGTTTTTATGGTTTCAGGTTTTGCATTTAAGTCTTTAATCCATCTTGAGTTTCTTCTTTTTTTCTATTCCATTGAGGCATAATGTTAGGTTGTTTATTTGAGACCTTTCTTTTTTCATGTGAGCATTTATTATAATACACTTTTCTCTTAGAATTGTTGTTGCTGCATTCCATAAGTTTGGTATAATATGTTTTCATTTTTGTCTCAAGATGTTTTTCAATTTCCTTTTAATTTTTTTTATTGACTCCTTGGTTGCCCATGAACATATTTAATTTCCATGTATTTGTGAATTTTTAAAAATTTCTTCTGTTATTGATTTCTGGTTTTACACCATTGTCATCTGAAAAGTTACTTCGTATGATTTAAGTTTTCTTAAAATTGCTATGACTCCTCTTGTGGCTTAACCTATGGTCTATCCTGGAGAATGTTTCATGGGTACTTGAGAAGAGTGTGTATTCTAGTCCTGCTTGATGGACTATTCTCTGTATGTCTTTTGTTTCCATTTGATCAAAACTGTTGTTTGAGTCTTCTGTTTTGTATTAATTTTCTGTTTGAATATCTGATAATTATAGAAAGTAGGGTATTTAAGTACCCTACTCTTATTGTATTGCAATCTATCTCTTCAGATTCTTTAGTATTAATATTTAGGTGCTCCAGTATTGGGTACATGTAAATTTGCAATTTTGTATATATTCTTTTAACAAATTGATCTTTTTGTTATTATGTAATGTTTCTGTGTCTCTTTTTGCAGTTGTTTATACATAAAGTTTATTTTATCTTATATAAATATTTCTACCCCAAATCTCTTTTGGTTTTCATTGCATGGAATACCTTTTTCTATTCTTTGACTTTCACTCTACATGCATCCTAATATCCAGAATAATAGAAAAATGCCCACTTTTGCCACTTCCACTCAACATAGTATTGAAAGTACTTGTCAGAGAAATAAGGCTAGAGAGGAGATAAAAGGCATCTAAATGAGAAAGAAAGATGTAAAACTATTGCTAACTGCAGATGTCATGATCTTATGTGGAAAAAATTCTAAATATTTCACTAAAAAGCTAAAACTGGTAAACAAATTTAGTAAAGTTTCAGGCTACAAAATCAAGAAACAAAAATCAATAGATTTTCTTTACATTAACCATGAACTATCTGAAAAATAAATCGAGATAAATTCCATTTACAATAACTATTCCAAAAAATAAATTAATGAATTACTTAGGAGTAAATTTAACCAAAGCAAATGATCTATATAATGAAAACTATAAAAACATTTATGAAAGAAATTGAAAAAAATAAGTAAATAAAAAGTTAGCCCATGTTTATGGATTTGAAGAATTATTTTTTCAAATGTTTATACCACTCAAAGTGATCTACAAATTCAGCACTATTCCAATGTCATTTTTCTTAAAAATATAAAAAAATCCTAAAATATCCAATTTTTAAGACAATTATGAGCAAAAGAATCGAACTGATTTCAAACTATCCTACAACATGCTAGTAATTCAAACAGCATGGAACTGGAATAAAAATAGATGCATCAAAAAATTGAACAGACTATACAGCCCAGAAATAAATAAATAAACACACACATATATGGTCTATTGACTTTCAACAAAGGTTTCGAGTATGTACAATGAGAAAAGGACAATCTCTTCAATAAATGGTGTTGGGGAAACCAAATATCCATATACAAAACAATAAAATTTGACCCTTGTCTGACACATTATAAAAAATTAACTCAAAATAAAGACTTAAACATGAGACCTGAAACTACAAAACCCATTAGAAGAAAGCATAGGGGCCTGAGCAATGTTATTTAATACTTGATTCCAAAAGCAAAAATAGACATATGGGATTACATTGAAATAAAAAGTTTCTGTGCAACAAAGGAAACAAATGGTACAGTGAAGAGACAACCTACTCATATGGAGAAAATATTTGAAAGCCATATATTTGATAAGCAGTTAATGACCAAAATCTATAAAGAACCCAATGAACTCCGTAGAAAGAAAACAAACAATTCAATTAAGAAATTGGCCAAAAACATGGATGAGACTGGAGGTCATTACTGTTGAGTGAAATAAGCCAAGCACAGAAAGACAAATCCTGCATGTTCTCACTTATACATGGAAGATAAAAAGGTGGAACTCATGAAGATAGAGAGCAGATAAGGGGTGACCACAGGCCAGGAATAGTATAGGGTAGGGACGATAAAGAGAAGTTGATTAATAGGTACAAATATATGCTTGGATAGAAAAAAAAAAGACCTAGTGTTAGATAGATTGTCAGCATGACCATAGTTTTCAATAATCTAGTGTATTACTCTAAAATAGCTAGAAGAAAGAATTTGAATGGTTCTAACATAAAGAAAACACAACTTTTTTAGAGTGATAGATATACCAAGCACACTGATTACATCTTTACAAATTATATGAATGTATTAAATAATCACATTAACTTCAAATAATAAAATAAAATTTAACTCAATTTTTAAAAAGAAATGGGCTAGAAACCTGACTTTTAATAGAAGACATACAGATGGCCCACAGATATATGAAAAAGCCCTCACAATCACTAATCATTAAGGACATGCAAATTAAAACAACAGTGATATATCACCTCACTTCTCTTACAATGGCTATTATCAAAAAGACAAAGATTAAGTTTTGGCAGGGATGGAGAGAAAAGGGAAACCTTGTACATTGTTGGGAGAAATATAAATTAGTACAGTCATTATGAAAAACAGTGTGGAGACTCCTCAAGAAGCTAAAAATAAAATTACTATATGATCCAGCAATCCCACTTCTAGGAATTTACCCAAAAGATTTAAAATCAGTATTTCAAAGATGTCATTGCAGCACTGTTCACAATAGCCAAGTTATGGAATCAACCTGTGTCCATCAACACATGAATGGATGAAGAAAATGTGATATATATAGATATATACAAATATACATAGATCTATATCTGTATCTACATATCGATATATAGATATACATACAGTGTAATACTGTTTAGCTTTTTGGGAATTTTTTAAAAATTTTATCGAAGATTTTTAAAACAATTCCTAAAAGATTGATTCTTCCAGAAAACTAGGTATACATACATTGTGTCTATTATGTTAAAATTTGCATTAGACACAAATACAAAAACCACGAAACAAGCCACCATTCTCCAACAATCTGAGCAAAGATAAAATCTCTAAAGAAAAACATGGATGACTTGCAAAGGATGAGCTCTTTATGCACCATAAAAAAAGAAGCACAAATGATTGAGTATGTTCAGTTGTTACAATGAATTGAACCTTTGGTATTAGGAATGAGAGCATTTTGTCATATAGGATTACCAGGTATTATAAAAGGGCATAGTGTCAAAGGAATAGAAACAACAGCATTCAAAAACAGCTTCATAAACTGGGCAATAAAACACTCTATATCATGTTTCTCTGTCGTCCATCACTGAATACACCACTAGCAACTTTGAAATTTTAAAAAGGTAAGAAAAGAAAAAACGAGCTATAACCCCTTTTATTTTCTCTGTTTAAAATCAAACAGAAAACAAACATCAATTCTGTTATGCACTAACTTCTTCAAAGTACATCGTTCATACAAGAGAAAGACTAACAACAAAAATATGTTTACATAGATCCAAACATAACTGAGTGATAGTGCCTCTCACACAGCTTTACAGTGGTACTCAGGAGGAGCCACTTGATAATTGCTGGTACTAAACAAAGTTGCAGAATTCTTTGCCAGGTACTTTAGGAAATAAGGAAGATAATTCAGTAATAAAGCAAGGCTTTTCTCATCCAGCGGTGTCTAGGCCAACATTGCTCCAATTTATACAAATAATCTCAGTAGATATGGCACTTTATACACTTGGAACATGGCTGCATCAGGGTGATCTGCAAGAATTTCAGCATACTATGCTCTCAAATTTGTAGGGTAGGTGGGTGCCCAACATTAAGTTGAAGTATTCTTTTATCCCTGGCATAACTTCATTAACGGCATAGTCATTATCTGTGTTTCCATGAGATTTCTTGTAATTTGCATGATCCTTTATAATGAAACCCACATTCTTCTTGGAAGAAAGATAAAAGAGCTGTTTTTGCTGGTAATTAAGTCCCAGTCACCAACTAGCCATAGTTTTAGCTCTTCAGGAATCTTTACTTTATCTTCAACTCTGTTCATAAATGTTTCCTCATTTTCTTTTTTTTTTATATGTATCACATTGTCTTTATTTGTCTTTTTTTTTATTATACTTTAAGTTTTAGGGTACATGTGCACCATGTGCAGGTTTGTTACATATGTATACATGTTTGTGTGCTGCACCCATTAACTCCTCATTTAGCATTAGGTATATATCCTAATGCTATCCCTCCCCCCTCCCCCCACCCCACAACAGTCCCCAGTGTGTGATGTTCCCCTTCCTGTGTCCATGTGTTCTCATTGTACAATTCCCACATATGAGTGAGAAAATGCGGTGTTTGGTTTTTTGTCCTTGCGATAGTTTGCTGAGAATGATGGTTTCCAGCTTCATCCATGTCCCTACAAAGGACAGGATTTCATCATTTTTTATGGCTACATAGTATTCCATGGTGTATATGTGCCACATTTCCTTAATCCAATCTATCATTGTTGGACATTTGGGTTGGTTCCAAGTCTTTGCTATTGTGAATAGTGCTGCAATAAACATACATGTGCATGTGTCTTTATAGCAGCATGATTTATAATCCTTTGAGTATACACCCAGTAATGGGATGGCTGGGTCAAATGGTATTTCTAGTTCTAGATCCCTGAGGAATCGCCACACTGTCTTCCACAATGGGTGAACTAGTTTACAGTCCCACCAACAGTGTAAAAGTGTTCCTATTTCTCCACATCCTCTCCAGCACCTGTTCTTTCCTGACGTTTTAATGATTGCCATTCTAAATGGTGTGAAATGGCATCTCATTGTGGTTTTGATTTGCATTTCTCTGATGGCCAGTGATGATGAGCATTTTTTCATGTGTCTGTTGGCTGCATAAATGTCTTCTTTTGAGAAGTGTCTGTTCATATCCTTCACCCACTTTTTGATGGGGTTGTTTGTTTTTTTCTTGTAAATGTGTTTGAGTTCATTGTAGATTCTGGATATTAGCCCTTTGTCAGATGAGTAGGTTGCGAAAATTTTCTCCCATTTTGTAGGTTGCCTGTTCACTCTGACGGAAGTTTCTTTTGCTGTGCAGAAGCTCTTTAGTTTAATTAGATCTCATTTGTCAATTTTGTCTTTTGTTGCCATTGCTTTTGGTGTTTTAGACATGAAGTCCTTGCCCATGCCTATGTCCTGAATGGTATTGCCTAGGTTTTCTTCTAGGGTTTTTATGGTTTAAGGTCTAACATTTAAGTCTTTAATCCATCTTGAATTAATTTTTTTATAAGGTGTAAGGAAGGGATCCAGTTTCAGCTTTCTACATATGGCTAGCCAGTTTTCCCAGCACCATTTAGTAATAGGGAATCCTTTCCCCATTGCTTGTTTTTGTCAGGTTTGTCAAAGATCAGATAGTTGTAGATATGTGGCATTATTTCTGAGGGCTCTGTTCTGTTCCATTGGTCTATATCTCTGTTTTGGTACCAGTACCATGCTGTTTTGGTTACTGTAGACTTGTAGTATAGTTTGAAGTCAGGTAACATGATGCCTCCAGCTTTGTTCTTTTAGCTTAAGATTGACTTGGCAATGCGGGCTCTTTTTTGGTTCCATATGAACTTTAAAGTAGTTTTTTCCAATTCTGTGAAGAAAGTCATTAGTAACTTGATGGGGATGGCATGGAATCTATAAATTACCTTGGGCAGTATGGCCATTTTCATGATATTGATTCTTCCTACCCAAGTTCACTCATGATTTGGCTTTCTGTTTGTCTGTTATTGGTGTATAAGAATGCTTGTGATTTTTGCACATTAATTTTGTATCCTGAAACTTTGATGAAGTTGCTTATCAGCTTAAGGAGACTTTGGGCTGAGACAGTGGGGTTTTCTAGATATACAATCATGTCATCTGCAAACAGAGACAATTTGACTTCCTCTTTTCCTAATTGAATGCCCTTTATTTCCTTCTCCTGCCTGATTGCCCTGGCCAGAACTTCCAACACTATGTTGAATAGGAGTGGTGAGAGAGTGCGTCCCTGTCTTGTGCCAATTTTCAAAGGGAATGCTTCCAGTTTTTGTCCATTCAGTATGATATGGGCTGTGGGTTTGTCATAGATAGCTCTTATTATTTTGAGATATGTCCCATGAATACCTAATTTATTGAGAGTTTTTGGGATGAAGCATTGTTGAATTTTGTCAAAGGCCTTTTCTGCATCTATTGAGATAATCATGTGGTTTTTGTCTTTGGTTCTGTTTATGTGATGGATTACGTTTATTGATTTTTGTATGTTGAACAAGCCTTGCATCCCAGGGATGAAGCCCACTTGATCATGGTGGATAGCTTTTTGATGTGTTGCTGGATTCGGTTTGCCAGTATTTTATCTACCCAGGCCCTTTTCTTCCAAAAATGCTGCAGAATCTCACTGTTACTGCCACCATCTCCATTTCCAGGTTTTTTCTCTTTCTTCTTTTGTTGTTTTCACTTCAACATGTTTCTGTTACACACAAGATGTCTTCTTTCCTGGGGCAGCCCCTCTCATCTTTCCCTCTGCATATTGTTCCTGAATGACTTTTTGACGTTCTGTTTCTGCATATTGGTGTCCACGTATTTGAGTACTCTGTTCTCTGGAATGATTCAACCCTATTTTTATTCCACCAATTGTAATGTACAAAGTATTTCACTTGTTTGTCCTTTATGGCAACCTCTACACACTTTTCTTCATAAAAAAGGGGTCCAAGAGAGCGCAGCACTCACCCACCCTCCTGGAGTTTAGGCTTTGGCTCCTCCTTTGGCATCATTTATAAGTGATTCACTACCTCCTCCTTCTTTCAGCACCCCTGACTACCACCCCCTACTTGCTCCTATTCAGCTTTTTAAAAGGAATAATTTTTTTTTATTTTCAACAAGGATGAAATTGGAGAGCATTGAGATAAGTGAAATAAGCCAAATGCAGGAAGACAAATGTTGTATATTCTCATTTATACATGGAATCTAAAATGATTTAACTTATAGAAGCAGAGAGTAGAATGCTGGTTACCAGAGGCTAGAGGTAGACAGAATGGAAAGATAGTAGTCTAAGGGTACAAAGCCTGTGAGACAGGAAAAATAAGTTTAATGTTTATTTATTTATTTATTTATTTATTTATTTATTTATTTTTACAGTAAAGTGAAAGCAAGTTTATTAGGAAAGTAAAGGAATAAAAGAATGGCTACTCTATAAGCAGAGCAGTGGCTTGAGCTGTTCAACTGAAGATATTTATTATTACTTCTTGATTATATGCTAAGCAAGGGGTGTATTATTCATGAGTTTTCTGGGAAACGGGTGAGCAATCCCCAAAACTGAGTGTTTCTTCCATTTTTAGAACATATAGGGTAACTTCCTGATGTTGCCACGGCATTTGTAAACTGTTACAGCATTGGTGGAAGTGTCTTTTTGCATGCTAATGCATTATCATTAGTGTATAATGAGCAGTAAGGATGACCAGAGGTCACTCTTGTTGCCGTCTTAATTTTGGTGGGTTTTAGCTGGCTTCTTTGCTGTAGCCTGTTTTATCAGCAAGGTCTTTATGACCTGTATCTTATGCCAACCTTCTATCTCATCCTGTGACTAAGAATGCCTTATCCTGGGAATGCAGCCCAGTAGGTCTCAGCCTTATTTTACCCAGCCCCTATTCAAGATGGAGTTGCTCTGGTTCGAATACCTCTTACATATTTCTCCCCTCCCTTTTATAAGAGAACCCTTAATCTTAAGGGTTGTAGAGGGATGAAAATTTGTCTTCTGTAACTTCTTCAGGCTGAACAGGGGCAATAATATTCCTCCCTAATTATTAAGGTCTCTCATATTTGGGATAGAGAGGAGCTCAGTCAGAAAGCATCGGTATGTCCAGGGGCATGCTTAACTCTGAGTTCCAATAAAAGGTGATATCTGGAAGATTAATAAATGTTCAATTTAAGAAAACATTCAGTAAGCTTATCTTGTGTTCCTACACAAAGAGTGCAACTGCACTATATTCTACAACAATAAAGCAAAATAAGCAAAATCATCCAAAGTAAACTAAATAAGAAGACATTCCATGAACTGTGCAACTGTTGGAACCAAGCTGATATGGGGTTGCTAGATGAGTCCAGTATGTGTTTAGAATTAGAATACTGATACTGATCCGGATTTTTATATTACCTATCCCTCTTGTTTCTTCTGGGATGCAGCCAGAGATGACTGGTTGGTTCACAGAAATAAGCAATCAGTCTAAATTGCAGAAAAAAGAAACTCAAAAACAACTGATGAGATTAGAATCTAATAACAGGTTTTTGAAACCTGTTATTAGATAACAGATAACATAATATCTGTTATTAGATAACATAGTATCTGTTATTAGATAACATAGTTTTTGAAACATAGTTTTTCTCTCTCCAGTCTCCCATTTGTACTAAAGATAAATCATGGTAAGACCAATTTGGCTTATGATACTTGGCCTGTTTATTTGTATAAGTGCAGCAAGAATAATTATTTGTCACATAAGCTCTTTTTAAATTGTCTTTAATGGAACTCTGTTCCATAAGGAATCTCAGATATGACTTTTTTTAAAAAGCTGAACCCAGCCATGGTTTTGTGCCATCAAATGCCTGTGAGTTGGGTAAATTCTTCTCCTCCTGAGGTCCTAATATAAACTTGGGGCTCCTGGGCCTGTCAGAAAGTGACAATCTTTACTTACTACAGGTAAGGAACTATGCACAGGTACTGTGTAGACAAGGTAGGGGGCCAGTTTTACCAAGGGGCTTTTATTGGCTCTATAAGTCAAGTATAATTTCTTAAAGAAAAGCACACCATTCCAGTCAAAGCTTGGTAAAATAACCAGTTTCTCCAACTGTGTCCTGTTGCAAAGGAAAATAGATTCTTATTGTACTTATGCAAATAACTATGTTGCCATAAGTTAAGTATAATCACAACTAGTTTCCAAATTCTGGAGAAATCAGGTAGAGAGAAAAAAATCCTCCAAATTTTGTTCACAGCAGTATAGTTTACTCAATTGTTAAAAGCTGTATATAGCTCTCCAAAAAAAGTTTTCTTGACTGAAAAACAAAACAAAGGATCAGCAATGTTTTAAGCAAAAAGCCAAAAAGATTAATTCAGTCTTCTATTAGTTCAGTCCATGCAGTTATCACCTGTCCTGCTTGATATTCATGAACATTTTGGCTCTCCATCAGAGTCCTGTAAGTTTTTTTCCTCTATTCTAATGTCACAATTTCCAAAGTTATCAGAAACCTGCATTTAAAAACACCTGTTAGAGTTCTATAGTTGATTATGAAACAACCTTCTAAAGAGGACCAAAACAAGTCAATTGTCTGTGTATGACAAAAAGTCTTAGGACAGCCACTATTAAAACCACAATTGATAAGGAAACTTTGGTTCCTTCTGTAGCATACAACAATTTTACACAACAATTATAACTATTAATAACATACAGTAAGTCATATCAGAATTATAGGAGTTTCTCACAAATTAGGAACACATACCAATATCATATTTACACAAATACAGTCCAAAGAAAGCCAAAAACCATTTCATTTTTGACAATGTTTCCTGTATGATTTTTATACCAAAAAAGGCATACTTCACCATTGCATTAGTGTACTATTGATGTCAAACCTAATTCTTAATAAAACCTTATAGACAAATGTATCCGATCTTAATCAGTATGACTGTAGTTAAGATTCTTATAAACTTTTATAACCCTTTACAATTTTTTATTAAAGATCAGGTCATTGCTCTCAGGAAACCCCGTTGTGCTTTTATTCCAATGTTCAATTTATGAAAAAACTGAATAATACTCCTTTAACTTTAGCTAATATGTTCACATGCAGAGTTTCTTTTACAAGATTAATTTTTCACAACCTTTCACTTGCTGAAACCTTCAGCTTTTTCCTCTCTAACTTAAAACAATCCTTTAACCCTTTAATATAGGCAGAAAAATCTACATTCCCATACCTTCTTATAATCTTTTACCAAAAACACATTTCACTTTCCTTGCACATCTTGCATGTAAAATTGTTTTTATTTTTCAAAGATTACTTAAGTCATGTAAACTAAAGAGCATTACATTTTTTGCTTTTCTGAAAAAAATATTTTTAAGCCAATTAATTGGAGCACCTTTATATATAAACATCACACACACAACACATATAAATGCAGAGAGAGACAGAAGAAGATCCAGTAGTTATAAGATTTTTCATTTGCCAATTTTTAATTGGATTACTGGCTTCAGGGTGGGGCTCTTGGAGGAAAAGTGCCAGTTTCTCTGACCTAATAAGCAGGCACAACTGGAAGGCAAAAACAGATCCCCCAAAATTAAGGGTCCCATTTTTATATCAAATCTTAGATCTCCAAAAAGAGAAATGCTATGAAACAAGACAAGGCAATGATTTTACCATGCATTTCATTACAAAGCAACCCAATCAGCCCATTCTGTAATTGCCCCATCCCCCATGGGAGTCTTATCTCTCAGTGGCAGTGTGGGGACACTTCCGTATCTTCCAGGTGGCTAAGAGCATGCTTCTCTGATCCGAACGTGCAGAGAGTGGAGTATTCCCTCATAACTGCCATAAGCTATCCCCAAAAGTATATTTCCTACCTAGTTATTATACATGAAAGCACTCTCATAATATGAAGTAATTTCTGATACCCCCAAAGTATTATACATCAGATAATGCAATGCAAACTAGAACAAAGCCTTAGATTTTGAGAAGGAGCTATCCACTTCTAATTCCCAGGGTTTCATAAGGAAGACAGAGGATTTTTTCAAAATGGGGTCTGTGGCACCTCCTCTTTTTTTCTGAAGGAGTCCCAGGCTGTTAGAGCTCGTATATCCACTTTTAATTAAGCTGACTTTTAACCATAGTGCTTAAAAAAGAAGGTCCTTTTAAATCTATTACCCAACTTTAGCCAGGCCAAACAGCCAATATTTCTGGCTTTTTAGCTTTACCAAAGTTAACCTCTCAAGTGAAACCAATAAGCCTTTACTAAGGTTATAACTTAACCACGAGTGTACAAGGTATTTTCAAAGAGGTGGTAAGAGTTTTTACAAAATCTAGACTCCTCAAAGGTAGCTCAGAGAAGGGAAAATTCAAGACGGTTCTTGGAGGGGAATAGAATCAACAAATTGTAAAGGTCATACAGATATCAAATGAGAAACGACTCATTCCCTAAGCTGAGAAAAGAACCCGGGTACCATTGTAAAATGGCAAAGCCTTAACTGCCAGACTACAGCATTGGGCAGCTTTCATTGCTCTTCCGAGAGAGAGCCTAGAGCAGGCCAATTTTGAGCTTGCAAAGGCTTTTAACTGCTCGAGATAGTTTTTAGGGCTAATTACGACATGAACCCCAAAATTCCTGTTCCCTGGATGGCAGAGACCAAGGGAAAGTACCACGAAATCATTTCAAGGTCAAGCTCCCAAGGACATGAAAAAAGATGAGAAGGAAACTTCATCCAGGTTTTTTGTTTGTTTATTTTTGTTTTTGTTTTTGTTTTCAGGGAAGTGTAGCATAGTTTGTAACTGACCAGTTTGCTAGGCCATCTTGAACAGCAGGCTTACAGGGGTCCTAGGCCCATGTTCTATCCTAAGGGACCCCTCTTTCTGACAGAAAGATACAGAAAGAAAAATTCATACCACAAAGTACAACATATTCACTACAGCTTAAGACTAGCCTCTTGAATCCTTTTTCTTATTAATTAAAACTGTACAGAGGAGATAAACAGTGATTTTTATCATTCCTTTAACCAGTTTGCACAAACAAAGAAGCTGGAAACCTGACTGATAAGAAATTCATACCCTTTTGCTGGCTTGCCAGGCTTCTGGGTTTTCCTTCCCTGAGCGACCCTGGCAACCCAGCCCGCTACACCATTGCCCTGGGGGCCAAGCCACAACACAAAGGAAAATCATGGAACCAAAAGCAAAACTCTCAGTTTTGCAAGTTGTCCCCCAGTGGACTGCCTGGGGAAGCTAGATTAACATTTTCCACTCCAGCCAGAGCAAAATACATGTGGCAAAACAGATATTAGCCACTCTGCTTAGCACCAATTATCGAACTGGCAAGACTTAAATTTGCCCCAGGTTGTGTCCTGTCATCTTTAATTTATTCGAAGTGGATTGAAGGAGTTTCAACATGTGTTCTCTGGGCAAGATGGTCACCCTGAGTAACAGAAAATATACAAAAGAGAAAGGAGAGGAAGGGAGAGAAGCATTGTCTGTGACAGAGTGGGAAAGGCAAGGAGCTCAGGGAGGCCAGAGAAAGGCCCACGTATTGCAGCAACACTGAATCAAAAGTCCAGGTTTGTCAGTAGCAAAGAGACCTCTTCCACCAGTTCCATTAGCTCTCAAGTTTCCCCCTTTGGGAAGAAGCAAAGCTCCCATGTCCCATGACCCTGTACATGCCAAATCCTGTCATCCACAGACATCAGCAAAGACTGCAAGGCAAATTAATCCAAAAAGAATAGGAGTTAACATCTCATACTGCCAAACCCACTCTTAGCCAAAAGGGACTTTACTGAGAAGGGGGGCCTCCACCCCACTAAATATTTGGAAGGACTATAATGTTCCTAAGTTGAGCCCTGAACCCAAGTTCGGTCAAGCATTTTTGCCTTTTATTAAGAGGGGTCTTTAACTCTCTCTCTGTCTTAGAAGAGACTCCAACTCCTCTAAGTTGAACCTCTAACCCAATCCCATTCTTTACCCAGGTACCCCACCACTTACCCAAAGTCAGCCAATTGGTGCTGCAGTCTATTTCCTTTCAGCCAAGGGTCTCCTCAGTATCGTCCCTTTGGGGTTCATCAGAAAGATGTTACCAGAATGGAGTCCCAATCTAGACCCCATGAGAGAGTTCTTGGATTTTGTGCAAGAAAGAATTTTAGGTGAATCCATACAGTAAAGTGAAAGCAAGTTTATTAAGAAAGTAAAGGAATAAAAGAATGGCTACTCCATAGACAGAATAGCCTGACTTTTTTAAGGCCTATTGTACAATGTGGTAGATATAGCTAATAATCGAGTACTACACATTTCAAAATCACTGAAAGTAACTTCAAATGTTTCCATTACTAAAATTGTTAGCGATTTGAGGTGATGGGCATGTTCATTCACTTGACTTAATTATTCCACGTTATATTTAAAAATCACAACATCACTTTCTATTCCACAAGTAGATACAATTATTGTTTTTCAATATATAATTTAAAATTAACTAGAAGGGTATTGATAGCGTGCATAATTCTCCAGTACAAAAGTGATTCTAAAGTTGGAGAAACAGATAAAAGATCTTTTTGAAAATTAATCAGAAACCATTTCTTACATAATTTGAAAATATCTATTAAGTTCCTTCTGGATACATAGTAATGTTCTAGCTTTCTGCCACCAGCTCACATTCTCTGTCTTCACAACAATCCTTAGTACTCACAAGGGGATATTTGGCATTCAAAAATGTTTTGGGTGTCATTACTTGTGAGATGGGTCTTTTAAAGACAGCAGATGAATCAGTCTTGTTTTTTATCTGACTTACCACTTTGTACCTTTTACGTGGGATATTTACACCATTTACACATTCAAGGTTAATATTGATATGTGAGGTTTTGATCCTATCCTGAAGTTGCTAGCTGATTGCTTTATAGTTTCTATTGTATTGTTGCTCTAATAGAGTCTTTGGACTGTGTAGTTAAGTGTTATTTTTTTTCTTGTAGCAGGTATTATTCTTTCATTTTCATGTTTAGAACTCCCATAAGGCTCTCTCATAAGGGTCGGCTAGCAGTAATTATGTACACAAACTGTGTACAAAATCTACAGGAAATGAATAAATTTCTGGAAACTCACAACCTTCCAAGATTGAATCAGGAAGAAATGGAAACTCTGAAGAGACCAATATTAAATTGGACAATTGAATCACTAATTTAAAAACCCACCAACCAAATGAAGTCCTGGAACAGATAGATTCACAGTTGAATTCCATTAGACATACAAAGAAGAGTTGGTACCAATTCTACTGAAACTATTCCAATAAATTGAAAAGGAGGGAACTCCCTTTTAACTCACTCTACAAAGCCAGAATTACACTGATGCCAAAATCGGGCAGAGACACAAGGAGAAAATAAAACTCTATGCCAATATCTCTGAAGAACATAAGGCAAAAGTGCTCAAGAAAATACTAGCAATCTGAATCTGGCAGCACATCAAAAACTTAATTTTCCATGCTCAAGTAGGCTTTATTCCTGGGATACAAGGTTGGTTCCACACATGCAAACCAATAAATACGATTCACCACATAAACAGAACTAATAACAAAAACCATAAAATCATCTCAATATATGCAGGAAAAATCTTTCAATAAAATCCAACATCTCTTTATGACAAAAACCCTCAACAAAATTGGCGTTGAAGGAAAATATCTCAAAATAATAAGAGCCTTCTATGACAAACCTACAGCCAGCATCATACTGAATGGACAAAAGTTGAAAGTATTCTTCATAAGAACTGGAACAAGACAAGAATGCCCGCACTTTTACTCAACATAGTACTGAAAGTCCTAGCCAGAGCAATAAGGCAAGAGAAAGAAATAAACGGCTTCCAAATAGTAAAAGAAGTCAAATCATCTTTCTTTCCTGACAAGGAATCTATACCTAAAGAAACCCCTAAAGACTACATTAAGAAGCAGGGAAAAGATGGCCAACTACACACAAACAGGAGCAACAATTGCCACCAAGAGACTAGGACTAGGATTACTAGCACACTTCTAACAGATCTCCAGAGGGAAGGCATAGAGAATGGACAGAGGGAAGACACTGAAGCTGGGCTGAAGTGGGAGGAAGCTGAGAACACTGCATGGGTCTACAGTGCACCAGGACTCATTTCTGGCCCCCAATGACTTTGGGGAAATGGGTGAATTGAACTGGGAAAAAGCAAGTTGCTCTCACCACAGGCCTCTGGAATTCTGGCAAGAGAAGACCCCTCAAACATCACAGACATTTGAGTTGGCAAAGAGAGCTGCTTAGAGAAGTGGTAAAGGCAGCATGTCAGTTGATATTGGTCCCAGAGTATTTGTTGCAGGAGCATCTGTAGCAGAGCATGGCCAGTGATGCCTATCCTCCTAGGCTCAATTTGCTCCCATAGGAGATTTTAGCCCTAGGGGAAATGTCAGACCTGAACTCTACAGGGTGATCTTGCTCATCAGACAAGGCCAGTCTGACCTGAGCACCCCTTGGTGTGCTGGGGTTTCCTGGGACCCCAGCCTGGATTTGCCTGTTTGCAGTGCTTTGGGGGCTCAGATCATAGCTCTTGCAATGATGAACCATGCCTGACTAGCAGAGAGCTCAAGTGGGGTGGCCCCCATGATCACACACAAGCCCACCCACTTCCTCTCTACACTACAGCTTCCCCCAGGCCCACGGCCACCCCCTGCATTGCTTTTCTGGCATGGTGGGGGGCTGGGTTTTGGCTTTAATGTTCTGATAGAGCATGTATGCACACACACCCTGACCTGTCACTACTGCTGGTGGGAGTGCACTTCACCCCCACAACCAACATACCACCATTGCAGTCAGAGCCTTGATGGGCACAGAGCCCACCAGCACCCCAAACCCCTACCAGTGACCCGTTCCTGCACCAACACTGCTGCCAGAGTGAAACAAGTGAAAGAGAACAGTGAACCTTCCCTCACGTGAGTGACCACCCTTACCTCCATGAATGCACAGAGGGATCTCACAGAATGGCACCTGCCAGCTCCTTGCTTCTGTGCTAACACCACCACCAGAACAACCACTTACACAGTTGCCAGTGGGGGCATCCTGATTACTTGAGCCATGCTGCCTCCACTACTGCTGTGAACACCCACACATACACATGTATCTCAGCACCTGATGGCACCCTGCCACAGCCAACAATCATGCACCACATTGTCCTAACACTGCCACTGCTGCTGACACATGCAAAATGGATCCTGCTGCCACTACCCTATGAAACACTCTGGCTAGGACCACCCATCAGAGTGTAGTTACCAGTGGTCTGGCAGCACCTCCATTCCCCAATGCAGTGGGTTTCTAACCTCAAGGAGCCAAAGAACAAAATTAGGGCCCAATACAGGTCTCCCAGATTTAGAGCAGGCAGTTCAGGAGTTAGGAGCTTAGCCATGGTTCCCTAAAATCTTCCAGAAATGAAACAAATCAACTGAACCTACCTTATATCACAATCACACCCTCAAGGTCACCAATTAGGATAAAAGAAAAAAACTCATCCAAAGGATAGCAACTTCAAGTATTGAAGGAACATCAACCCACAAAGATGAGAAAGAACCAGTGCAAGGACTGTGACAACTCAAAAAGCCAGAGTGCCTTCTTTCCTCAAATGACCAAACTACCTCTCCAGCAAGGGTTCTGAACAAGGCTGAAGTAGCTGAAATGACAGAAATAAAATTCAGAATATGAATAGGAACAAAGATCATTGAGATGCAGAATATGTTGAAACCCAATCTAAGGAAGCTAAAAATCAAAATAAAATGGCCCAGGAGCTTACAGACAAAATAGCCAGAATAGAAAAGAATGTAACCCACCTGATAGAGCTAAAAAAACACACTACAAGAATTTTATAATGCAATCAAAAGTATTAATAGCAGAATAGACCAAGCTGAGGAGAGAATCTCGGAGCTTGAAGACTGGCTTTCTGAAATAAGACAGTCAGACAAGAATAGAGAAAAAAGAATGAAAAGGAACAAATAAAACCTCTGAGAAATATAGAATTATGTAATAAGCCCAATACTATGACTCATTGGTGTCTCTGAATGAGATGGGGAAAATGGAAGAAACATGGAAAACATATTTCAGAATATCATCCATGAGAACTTTCCCAATGTAGATACAGAGGCCAACATTCAAATTAAAGAAATGTAGAAAACCCCAGTAACATACTTCACATGAAGATCATCCCCAAGACATATAACCATCAGATTTTCCAAGGTCAAAATGAAAGAAAAAATGTTAAAGTCAGCTATAGAGAAAGCTCAGGTCACCGACAAAGAGAAGCCTATCAGACTAAGAGTGGACCTCTCAGCTGAAATCATACAAGCCAGAAGAGACTAGGGCCCAATATTAAACATTTTTAAAGGAAAGAAATTTCATCCAAGAATTTCATGTCTGGCCAAACTAAACTTCATAAGCAAAGGTAGAATAAGAGCGTTTTCAAACAATCAAATACTGAGGGAATTAGTTACCACCAGACCTGCCTTACAACAACTCCTGAAAAAAGCACTAAATACGGAAAGGAAAGACTGTTACCAGCCACTACAAAAGCACACTTAAGTACACAGATCAGTGACCCTATAAAGCAACCACAAAAAAAAAAAAATCTGGATAATAACCAATGAACATCATGATGACAGGATCAAATCCACATATATCAGTACTAACTTTGAATGTAAACAAGATAAATTCCCCAATTAAATGGCACAGAGTGGCTACCTGAATGTATACAAGCTAAATTCCCCAATTAAATGTCACAGAGTGGCTACCTGGATAAAGAACCAAGACCCAATAATATGCTGTCTTCAACAGACCAGTCTCACATGGAATGACAAACACAGGCTAAAAATAAAGGTATAGAGAAAGATCTACCAAGCAAATGAAAGGCAGAAAAAAACAGGAGTTGCAGTCCTAATTTCAGAAAATGACAGACTTTAAACCAACAAAGATCAAAAAATGACAAAGAAGGGCATTACATGATGGTAAAGGGTTCAGTTCAACAAGGAGACCTAACCATCTTAAATATGTATGCACCCAACACAGGAGCACCTGGATTTAGAAAGCATATTCAGGACTTGAACTCAGCACTGGATCAAATGGGGCTGATAGACATCTACAGAACTCTTCACCCCAAAACAACAGAATGTAGATACATTATTCTCATCTCCACATGGCACATACTCTAAAATCGACCACGTAATTGGACATAAAACACTCTTTAGCAAATGAAAAAGAACTGAAATCATAACAACCACTCTCTTGGAACACAGCACAATATAATTAGAAGTCAAGACTAAGAAAATAGCTCAAAATCATAAAACTACATGGAAATTGAATAACCTGCCCCTGAATTACTTTTGAGTAAATAACAAAAGGCAGAAATCAACAAGTTCTTTGAAACTAATGAGAACACAGATACAACATAGTGGAATCTCTGGGACAAAGCTAAGGTAGCACTAAGAGGAAAATTTATAGCACTAAATGCCCACATCCAAAAATTAGAAAGATCTCAATTTAACAACCTAACATCACAACTAAAGGAACTAGAGAACAAAGAGCAGAGCAAACCAAACCCAAAGCTAACAGAAGACAAGAAATAATCAAAATCAGAGCTGAATTGCAGGAGACTGAGACAAAAAAAAAAAAAAAATTCAAAAGATCCAGGAATCCAAGAGTTTGTTTTTTAGAAAATTAATAAAATAGGTACATGACTAGCTAGACTAACAAAGAAGAAAAGGAAGACATTCCAAATGAATACAATTAGAAACAACAAAGGAGATACTACCACTTACCCCACAGAAATACAAATAACCATCAGAGAATATTATAAACACCTCTATGGAAACAAACTAGAAAATCTAGAAAAAATGGATAAATTCCTGGACACATACACCCTCCCAAAACTGAACCTGGGAGAAATTGAATCCCTCAAGAGACCAATAATAAGTTCTGAAGTTGGTTCAGTAATAAATGGCCTACAAACAAATTTTAAAAAAAATAAAGCCCAATACCATACTGACTCAGTCAAGCTCTGCCCAGATGTATAAAGAAGAGCTGGTACCATTCCTACCAAAACTATTCAAAATAATTAAGGAGGAGGGACTCTTTCCTAACTCATTCTATGAGGACAGCATCATCCTGATACCAAAACCTGTCAAAGATACAGCAACAACAATAAAAACTTCAGCCAATATCCTTGATGAACATTGATGCAAAAATCCACAACAAAATAGTGGCAAAGTGAATCTAGCAGGACATCAAAAAGCTTATCTGACACCATCAGGAAAGCCTTATCCCTGGAATAAACAGTTGGTTCACTACACACAAATCAAGAAATGTGATTCATCACCAAACAGAACTAAAGACAAAAGCCACATGACTATCTCAAAAGATGCAGAAAACGATTTTGATAACATTTAACACCGCTTCATTTTAAAAACTCATTATAAAGCATTTATTGAAAGAACATACATGAAAATAATGAGCCATTTATAATAAACCTACAGCCAACATCATACTTAAGGGGAAAAAGCTGGAAGCATTCCCCTTGAAAACCAGCACAAGACAAGGATGCCCTCTGTCATCACTCCTATTCAGCATAGTATTGGAGGTTCTCACCAGATCCATAAGGCAAGAGAAAGAAATTAAGGACATCCAAACAGGAAGAAAGAAAGTCAAATGATCCCTGTTTGGAGATGATATGGTTATACATCTACAACATCCCAATCCCATAGTCTTAGCCCAAAAGCTTTTTAAGCTGATGAACAAATTCAGTGAAACCTCAGGATAGAAAATTGATGTAAAAAATAACTAGAATTTTTATACACCAATGACGGTCAAGCCAAGAGCCACATCAGGAACACAGTTTCATTCACAATTGCCACAAAAAGAATAAAATATCTAGGAATACTGCTAACCAGGGAGTTGAAAGATTTCTGCAATGAGAACTGCAAAACAATGCTCAAAGAAATCAGAGATGATGCAAACAAATAGGAAAACATTCCATGCTCATGTTTAGGAAGAATTGATATCGTTAAAATGGCCACAGTGCCCAAAGCAATTTATAGATCCAATGCTATTCCTATCAAACTGCAATGACATTCTTCATAGAACTATAAAAAGCTAGGTTACAGTAACCAAAACAGAATGGTACTGGTACAAAAACAGACACATAGACCAATGGAACAGAATGGAGATCCCAGAAATAAGGCTGCACACCTAAGTCATATGATCTTCAGCAAAACTGATAAAAACAAGCTATGGGAAAAGGACTCCCTATTCACCAAATGGTACTTGGATAACTGGCAATCCATATGCAGAAGATTGAAACTAGAACCATTTCTTACACCATATACAAAATCAACTCAAGATTAATTAAAAACTTTAATGTAAAACCAAAACTATAAAAATTCTCAAAGACAGCCTCAGCATTACCATTCAGGACAAAAGAATGGGAAATGATTTCATGATGAAGACACCAAAAGTGAATGCAATGAAAGCAAAAACTGAAAACTGAGATATAAACTAAAGAGCTTCTGCAAAGCAAAAGAAACTGTCAACAGAGTAAACAGACAACCTACAAATGGGAGAACATTTTTGCAAACTATGCATCTGACAAAGTTCTAATATCCAGAATCTATCAGAAACATAAATTTACAAGGAAAAAACAACCTCATTAAAAGTGGACAAAGGACATGAACAGACACTTTTTAAAAGACATACATGAGGTCAACAAGCATATGAGGAAAAGCTCAACATCACTCATCATTAGAGAATGCAAATCAAAACCACAATGAGATACCATCTCACACCAGTCAAAATGGCTATTAAAAAGGCTAAAAATAACAGATGCTGCTGAGATTGCAGAGGAAAAGGAACAAGTGTACTGTTAGTGATAGAGTAAATTAGTTCAACCATTGTGGAAAGTGGTGTGTCATTTCCACGAAGAGCTAAAAACAGTAATACCATTCAACTTAGCAATCTCATTACTGGGTATATATACAAAGGAATGTAAGTCATTGTATCATAAAGACACATGCATGCATATGTACATTGCAGCACTATTCACAATAACAAAGACGTGGACTCAACCTAAGAGCTTGTCAGTGGTAGACTGGATCAAGCAAATGTGGTACATATACACCATGGAATGCTATGCAGCCATAAAAAAGAATGAGATCATGTCATTTGCAGAAACATGTATGGAGTTGGGGTCCATTATTTTTAGCAAACTTACACAGAAACAGAAAACCAAATATAGCTTGTTCTCACTTATAATTTGAGCTAAATGATAACACACGGGCAAATAGACGGAAACAACAGACAGTAAGGCCTACTGGAGGGTGGAGTGTGGGAGGAGGGAGAAGATCAGGAAAAATAACTAATGGGTACTAGGCTTAATACATGGGTGACAAAATAATCTGTACAACACATCCCCATGACATGAGTTTAGGTACATAAAAAATCTGCACATGTACTCTGACCTTAAAATAAAAAATAAATAAAGTTTAAGCAATAAAAAAGAAAGACTCCACCAAAAATCTCTTAGAACTGATAAATGATTCCATAAAACTTCATGATACAAAATTAATGTACAAAATTTGGTAACATTTCTTTACATCAACAGTGCTCAAGTGAGAGCCAAATCAAGAATGTGTTTCTATTTACAATAGTCACACAAAAATATTCCTAGGAATACATCTAATCAAAGAAGTGAATGATCTCTCCATGAAGAACTACAAAACACTGCTAAAAGAAATTATTGATGACAAAAACAAATGGAAAAACATTCCCTGTTCATGGACTGGAAAAAAAATCAATATTGTTAAAATGCTCATACAACCCAAAGCAATATACAGACTCAAACTATTCCTATCAAACTTTTAATGTCATTTTTCACAGAATAGAAAAAAATATTTTAAAATTCATATGGAACCAAAGAAACACCCAAATGGCCAAAGCAATGCTAAGCAAAAAGAACAAACCCAGAAGCACCTTGTTACCTGACTTCAAACTATACTATAAGGCTACAGTAACCAAAACAGAATGGTACTAGTAAAAAAAAAAAAAAAATACACATAGAATAATGGAACAGAATACATAAACCAGCAGTAAAACCACATTCCTACAACCATCTAATCTTTGACAAACTCAATAAAAGCAAGCAATGGGGAAAGGAATCCTATTCAATAAATTTTGCTGGAATACCTGGTTAGCAATATGCAGAAGAATGAAACTGCACCCCTATCTTTCACTATATACAAAAAGTAACTCAAGATGATTCAAAGATTTAAATGTAGACCTCAAATTATAAAAATCCTAGAAAAAAACCCCAAAATTATCATTTTTTACATTCTGTACAAAAAATTTATGACCAAGTCCTCAAAAGCAATTGTAACAAAACCAAAAATTGACAGGTGGGTCCTAATTAAACTAAAGAGCTTTTAGACAGCAAAATAAACTATCAACAGAGTAAATAGACAACCTACAGAAGTGGAGAAAAATTTCTCCACTGCAGCTCAGCAAGGCTGCTGTGGCCAGACTGCCAGATTTTCCTTCTCTCACCAGGGCATCTCTGAAAAAAAGGCAGCACCTCCAGTCAGGGACTTACAGATAAAAACCCTATATCCCTGGGACAGAGCACCTGGGGAATGGGGCGGCTGTGGGTGCAGCTTCAGCAGACTTAAACGTCCCTGCCTGATGACTCTGAAGAGAGCAGCGGACCTCCCAGCACAGCTTTTGAGCTCTGCTAAGGGTCAGACTGCCTCCTCAAGTGGGTACCTGACACCTGTGTATTCTGACTAGGAGATACCTCCCACTAGGGGCCGACAGACACATCGTACAGGAGAGCTCTGGCTGGCATCTGGCAAGTGCCCCTCTGGGACGTAGCTTCCAGAGGAAAGATCAGGCAGCAACCTTTACTGTTCTGTAGCCTCTGCTACTGATACCCACGCAAACAGGGTCTGGAGTGGACCTCAAGGAAATTCCAGCAGACTTGTGACAGAGGGGCCTGACTTTTAGAAGGAAAACTAACAAACAAACAGAAAGGAAGAGCACATCCACTCAGAGACCCCATCCGAAGGTCACCAACATCAGAGACCAAAGGTAGATAAAACCACAAAGATGGGGAGAAACCAGTGCAAAAAGGCTGAAAATTCCAAAAACCAGAACACCTCAAATTTACAAGAAAAAAACAAACAACCCCATCAAAAAGTGGGCAAAGGATATGAACAGACAGTTCTCAAAAGAAGACATTTATGCAGGCAACAGACACATGAAAAAATGCTCATCATCACTGGCCATCAGAGAAATGCAAATCAAAACCACAATGAGATACCATCTCACACCAGTTAGAATGGTGATCATTAAAAAGTCAGGAAACAGCAGGTGCTGGAGAGGATGTGGAGAAATAGGAACACTTTTACACTGTTGGTGGGACTGTAAACTAGTTCAACCATTGTGGAAGTCAGTGTGGCGATTCCTCAAGGATCTAGAACTAGAAATACCATTTGACCCAGGCATCCCATTACTGGGTGTATACCCAAAAGATTATAAATCATGCTGCTATAAAGACACATGCACACGTATGTTTATTGTGGCACTATTCACAATAGCAAAGACTTGGAACCAAGCCAAATGTCCATCAATGATAGACTGGATTAAGAAAATGTGGCACATGTACACCATGGAATACCATGCAGCCATAAAAAAACGATGAATTCATGTCCTTTGTAGGGACATGGATGAAGCTGGAAACCAACATTCTCAGCAAACTATCGCAAAGACCAAAAACCAAACACTGCGTGTTCTCATAGGTGGGAATTGAACAATGAGAACACTTGGACACAGGAAGGGGAATATCACACACCGGGGCCTGTGGTGGGGTGGGGGGAGTGGGGGGATAGCATTAGGAGATATACCTAATGTAAATGACGAGTCAATGGGTGCAGCACACCAACATGGCACATGTATACATATGTAACAAGCCTGCACGTTGTGCACTTGTACCCTAGAACTTAAAGTATAATTAAAAAATAATCAAAAATAAAATTTCTAGGCATAAAAAAATAAGCTAAGGAGAAATAAAATCTTTTACAGGGAAGCAAATGCTGAGCGATTTTGTCACCACCAGGCCTGCCTTACAAGATATCCTCAAGGTAGCACTAAACATGGAAAGGAACAGCCAGTACCAGCCACTCCAGAAACATACCAAATTGTGAAAACATTGACACTATGAAGAAACTGCATCAACTAATGGGCAAAATAACCAGCTAGCATCATAATGACAGGATAAAATTCAAACATAACAATATTAACCTTAAATGTAAATGAGATAAATGCCCCAATTAAAAGACACAGGCTGCCAAATAGGATAAAGAGTCAAGACCCATCAGTGTCCTGTATTCAGGAGACCCATCGACATGCAAAGACACACATAGGCTCAAAATAAAGGGATGGAGGAATATTTACCAAGCAAATGGCAAGCAAAAAAAAAAAAAAAGCTGGAGTTGAAACCCTAATCTCTGATAAAACAGACTTTAAACCAACAAAGATCAAAAGAGGAAAAAGAAGAGCATTATATAATGGTAAAGGGATCAATGCAGCGAGAAGAGCTAACTACCCTAAATATATATGCACCCAATACAGGAGCATCAAGATTCATAGAGCTAGTTCTTAGAGACCTACAAAGGGACTTAGACTACCACACCATAATAGTGGGAGACTTTAACACCCCACTGTCAATGTTAGACAGATCAACGAGACAGAAAATTGACAAGGATATTCAGGACTTGAACTCAGCTCTGGACCAAGTGGACCTAATATACATCTACAGAACTCTCCACCCCAAATCAACAGAATATACAATCTTCTCAGTACCACATCACACTTATTCTATAATTGACCACGTAATTGAAAGTAAAACGCTCCTCAGCAAATGCAAAAGAATGGAAATCATAACAGTCTCTCAGACCACAGTGCAGTCAAACTAGAACTCAGGATCAAGAAACTCACTCATAACCACACAACTACATGGAAACTGAACAACCTGCTGCTAAATGACTCCTGGGTAAATAACAAAATGAAGGCAGAAATAAAGATGTTCTTTGAAACCAATGAGAACGAAGACACAGTGTACCAGAATCTCAGACACATTTAAAGCACTGTGTAGAGGGAAGTTTATAGCACTAAATGCCCACAAGAGAAAGCAGAGAAGATGTAAATTTGACACGCTAACATCAAAATTTAAAGAACCAAAGAAGCAACAGCGAACAAATTCAAAATGTAGCAGAAGACAAGAAATAACTAAGACCAGAGCAGAACTGAAGGAGATAGAGGCACGAAAAACCCTTCAAAAAATCAATGAATCCAGGAGCTGTTTTTTGAAAAGATCAACAAAATAGATAGCCAGACTAATAAAAAAGAAAAGAGAGAATAATCAAATAGATCCAATAAAAAAATTATAGGGTATATCACCACTGATCCCACAGAAATACAAACTACTATCAAAGAATACTATAAACACCTCTATGCAAATAAACTAGAAAATCTAGAAGAAATGGAAAAATTCCTAGACACACACCCTCCCAAGTCTAAACCAAGAAGAAGTTGAATTCCTGAATAAACCAATAACAAGTTCTAAAATTGAGGCATTAATTCATAGCCTAACAACCAAAAAAAAGTCCAGGAACAACATATGGATTCACAATGAAATTCTACCAGAGTGACAAAGAGGAGCTGGTACCATTCCTTCTGAAACTATTCCAAACAATAGAAAAAGAGGGAATCCTCCCTAACTCATTTTATGAAGCCAGCATCATCCTGATACCAAAACCTGGCAGAGACACAACAAAAAAAGAAAATTTCAGGCCAATATCCCTGATGAACCTCAAGGTGAAAATCCTCAATACAATACTGGCAAACCGAGTCCAGCAGCATATCACAAAGCTTATCCAACGCCATCAAGTCAGCTTCATCCCTGGGATGCAAGGCTGGTTCAACATACACAAATCAATAAATGTAAACCATCACATAAACAGAAGCAATCACAAAAACCTCATGATTATCTCAATAGTCAAAATTCAACACCCCCCATGGTAAAAACTCTCAATAAAGTGGGTATTAATAGAATGTATCTCAAAATAATAAGAACTATTGATGACAAACCCACAGCTAATGGGCAAAAACTGGAAGCATTCTCTTAGAAAATCAGCAAAAGACAAGGATGCTCTCTCTCACACCTCCTATTCAACACAGTATTTGCAGGTCTGGCCAGGGCAATCAGGCAAGAGAAAGAAAAAAATTGTATTGAAATAGGAAGAGAGGAAGTCAAATTGTCTCTGTTTGCAGATGACATAATTTTATATTGAGAAAACTGCATCGTCTCAGCCCCAAATCTCCTTAAGCTGATAAGCAACTTCAGCAAAGTCTCAGGATACAAAATCAATATGCAAAAATTACAAGCATTTCTATACACCAATAACAGACAGCCAAATCGTGAGTGAACTCCCGTTCACATTTGCTACTAAGAATATAAAATACATAGGAATACAACTTACAAGGGATGTGAAGGACCTCTTAAAGGATAACTATAAACCACTGCTCAAGCATATAAGAGGGAACACAAACAAATGGAAAAACATTCCATGCTCAAGGATAGAAAGAATCAATATCATGAAAATGGCCATACTGCCTAAAGTAATTTATAGATTCAATGCTATCCCCATCAAGCTACCACTGACTTTCTTCACAGAATTGGAAAAAAATACTACTTTAAACTTTAAATGGAACCAAAAAAGAGCACGCATAAACAAGACAATCCTGGGCAAGAAGAAAAAAGCTGGAGGCATCATGCTACCTGACTTCAAAATATACTACAAAGCTACTGTAACCAAATAGCATGGTACTGGTACCAAAACAGATATATAGACAAATGGAACAGAACAGAGGCCTCAGAAATAACACCACACATCTACAACAATCTGATCTTTGACAAACCTGACAAAAACAAGCAATAGGGAAATCTTTCCCTATTTAATAAAAGGTGTTGGGAAAACTGGCTAGCCATATGCAGAAAACTGAAACTGGACCCCTTCCTTACACCTTATACAAAGATGAACTCAAGATGGAACAATGACTTAAAAGACCTAGGACTGTAAAATCCTAGAAGAAAGCCTGGGCAATACCATTCAGGACATAGGCATGGGCAAAGACTTCATGTCTAAAACACCAAAAGCAATGGCAACAAAAGCCAGAATTTACAAATGGGATCTAATTAAACTAAAGAGCTTCTGCACAGCAAAAGAAACTATCATCAGAGTGAACAGGCAACCTGCACAACGGGAGAAAAAATTTGCAATCTATCCATCTGACAAAGGGCTAATATCCAGAATCTACAAAGGACTTAAACAAATTTACAAGAAAAAACAAACAACCCCATCAAAAAGTGGGTGAAGGATATGAACAGATACTTCTCAAAAGAAGACATTTATGCAGCTAACAGACGTATGAAAAAATGCTCATCATCACCGGTCGTTAGAGAAATGCAAATCAAAACCACAATGAGATAGCATCTCACATGAGTTGGAATGGCAATCATTAAAAAGTTGGGAAACAACAGATGCTGGAGAGGATGTGGAGAAATAGGAACACTTTTACACAGTCAGTGGGAATTTAAATTAGATCAACCATTGTAGAAGACAGTGTGGTGATTCCTCAAGAATCTAGAACCAGAAATAACATTTGATCCAGCAGTCTCATTACTGGGTATATACCCAAATGATTATAAATTATTCTACTATAAAGACACATGCACAATTATGTTTATTGCAGCACTATTCACAATAGCAAAGACTTGGAACCAACCCAAATGTCCATCAATAATAGACTGGATAAAGAAAATGTGGCACATATACACCATGGAATACTATGCAGCCATAAAAAATGATGAGTTCATGTTTTTGCAGGGACATGGATGATGCTGGAAACCATCATTCTCAGCAAACTATCACAAGATCAGAAAACCAAACACTGCATGTTCTCATTCATAAGTGGGAGTTGAGCAATGAGAGCACATGGACACAGGGATGGGAACATCACACACCAGGGCCTGTCCCGGGGGTGGGAGGCTAGGGGAAGGATAACATTGGAGAAATACCTAATGTAGGTGACGTGTTGATTAGTGCAGCAAACCACCATGGCATGTGTATACCTATGTAACAAAACTGCACATTCTGCACACGTATCCCAGAACTTAAAGTATAATTTAAAAAAAAAAAAAGAAAAAGAAAAAGAAAATAAGGGAAGTGATAGCCCACGGGTATAGGTTTCTTTTCGGGGGTGATAAAATCTTTTTGGAATTAAATAGTGATAATAGTTTTACAATTCTCTATATACTAAAACTCACTAAGCTTTATACATGCATATGTTTTTACTGTGCTTCACTTCCTTATGTTTCCCAGATGCTGCCTTTTTTACAAATTGAAGGTTTGTAACAATCCTGTGTTGAGCAAGTCTATTGGCACCATTTTTCCAACAATGTATGCTCACTTCATGTCTCTGTGTCACATTTTGGTTATTCTCACAGTATTTGAAACTTTTTCACCATCATTGTATCTGTTATGGTGATCTGCGATAAGAGATCTTTGTTTTTATTTTTGTTTTCTGGGATAGGGTCTCGCTCTGTTACACAGGCTGGAATGCAGCGGCATGATCATGGCTCACTGCAGCCTTGACCTCCTAGGCTCAAGTGATCCTCCCACCTCAGCCTGCCAAGTAGCTGGGACTACAGGTGCGCGCCTCCACGCCCAGCTAATTTGTGTGTGTGTGTGTGTGTGTGTGCGTATGGGATTTCACCATGTTGCCCAGGCTGGTCTCAAATTCTTGAGCTCAAGCTATCTGCCCCCCCGGCCTCCTTCTTAGTGCTCAGATTACAGACATGATCCACTGTGTGTGGGCGATAAGTGATCTTTGATATTACAATTGCTATTGTTTTGGGATGCCATGGACTGCACCCATATACGACAGGGTACTTAATAAATGTGTGTGTTCTGAAACACACAACAAAAACAAAAACAGAGATCACTTCCTCTACTAACCAACTGTTCCCTCATATCTCCCCCTCTTTTTGGGCATCCCTATTCTCTGTGGCAAAACAGTGTTGATATTAGCTCAATTAATAATCCTACAATTAGTGTTCAAGTGAAAGGAAGAGTCAGTCGCACGTCTCTAACCTTAGAACAAACACTAGACATCATTAAACTTAATGAGGAAGGCATGTTGACAACCAAGATAGCAAGGCTCTTGCACCAAACATTCAGCCAAGTTGTGAATGCAAAGGAAAGATTTGAATATAATTAAAACTGCTAGTTTTTCTTCATACCCCAGTGACGCCTGGAATGCCAGTGAGACAGAACTGTTCACTCCCCTGGAAAGGGGTCTGAAGCCAGGGAGTCAAGTGGTCTAGATCAGCGGATCCCATCACCATGGAGCCAAGCAAGCTAAGATCCACTGGCTTGAAATTCTCACTGCCAGCACAGCAGTCTGAAGTCGACCTGGGACACTCGAGCTTGGTGTGGGGAGGGGTGTCCACCATTACTGAGGCTTGAGTAGGCAGTTTTCCCCTCACAGTGTAAACAAAGTCACCGGGAAGTTCAAACTGGGCAGAGCCCACCACAGTTTGGCAAAGCCACTGTAGCCAGACTGCCTCTCTAGATTCCTCCTCTCTGGGCAGGGCATCTCAGGAAGAATGGCAGCAGCCCCAGTCAGGGGCTTATAGATAAAACTCCCATCTCCCTGGGACAGAGCACCTAGGGGAAGGGGCGGTTGTGGGCGCAGCTTCAACAAACTTAAACGTTCCTACCTGTCGGCTTTGAAGGGAGAGCACCAGATCTCCCAGCACAGCGCTCGAGCTCTGCTAAGGGACAGGCTGTCTCCTCAAGTGGGTCCCTAACTCCTGTGTATCCTGATGAGGAGACACCTCCCAGCAGGGGTCGACAGACATCTTGTACAGGAGAGCTGGCATCTGGCCGGTGCCCCTTTAGTACAAAGCTTCCAAAGGAAGAAACAGGCAGCAATCTTTGCTGTTCTGCAACATCTGCTGGTGATACCCAGGCAAACAGTCTGGAGTGGACCTCCAGCAAACTCCAGCAGACCTGCAGCAGAGGGGCCTGACTTTTAGAAGGAAAACTAACAAACAGAAAGTAATAGCATCAACATCAACAAAAAGGACGTCCACACAGAAACACCATCCGAAGTTCACCAACATCAAAGACCAAAGGTAGATAAATCCATGAAAATGAGGAAAAACCAGCGCAAAAAGTCTGAAAATTCCAAAAAGCAGAATGCCTCTTCTCCCCCAAAGGATCACAACTCCTCACCAGCAAGGGAACAAAACTGGACGGAGAATGAGTTTGATGAATTGACAGAATTAGGCTTCAGAAGATGGGTAATAACAAACTCCTCTGAGCTAAAGGAGCCTGTTCTAACCCAATTCAAGGAAGCTAAGAACCTTGAAAAAAGGTTAGAGGTATTGCTAACTAGAATAACCAGTTTAGAGAAGAAAATAAATGACCTGATGGAGCTGAAAAACACAGCACAAGAATTTCATAAAGCATTCACATATATAAACAGCCAAATTGATAAAGTGGAAGAAAGGATATCAGAGATTGAAGACCAACTTAATGAAATAAAGCTTGAAGACAAGATTAGAGAAAAAAAATGAGAAGGAATGAACAAAGCCTCCAAGAAATATGGGACTATGGGAAACGACCAAACCTACATTTGATTTTTGTACCTGAAAGTGATGGGGAGAATGGAACCAAGTTGGAAAACACTCTTCAGGATGTTATTCAGGAGAACTTCCCCAACCTAGCAAGACAGGCCAACATTCAAATTCAGGAAATACAGAGGACACCACAAAGATAATCCTTGAGAAGAGCAACCCCAAGACACATGATCGTCAGATTCACCAAGGTTGAAATGAAGAAAAAAATGTTAAGGGCAGCCAGAGACAAAGGTTGGGTTACCTACAAAGGGAAGCCCATCAGACTAATAGTGGATCTCGCTGCAGAAACCCTACAAGCCAGAAGAGAGTGGGGGTCAATATTCAACATTCTTTTTCTAAAATAATTTAAATGAGAAATTTCATTTTTATTGAATAAAAACCTGGTTATACAAACAGGAAAGTATATTTAAATATTTTAATACATTAATTTTTTGTAACTTCATATGCTTCATATAAAAGCATTGAGTTCAAAGCAGTATTATACTTGCTAATAATTACCAAAATTCTGATTTTGCTACACTTTTTTCATCAGGAATTCTGGGACACTTCCCAACTAAACAGATTAAGATTCTAGAAAAATAAAAATGACAACAGTCTTCCAAATAAGAGCAATTTGGGGGTGAGAAATACCAGTTCTCTAGGAATGCACACTAAACCATAGTGTACATTTAAGTCATAAAGTTTTTAAAAATTTAAACAATTTTTGGTCAGGCATGGTGGAACATGCCTGTAATTCTAGCACTTTGGGAGGCTGAGGTCAGGAGCTCAAGACCAGCCTGGCCAACATGGTGAAACCCTGTCTCTACTAAAAATACAAAAAGTAGCCAGATGTAGTGGTAGGTGCCTGTAATCCCAGCTACTTGGGAGACTGAGACAGGAGAATCACTTGAACCCAGGAGGCAGAAGTTGCAGTGAGCTGAGATAGCACCATTGCACTCCACCCTGGGTGACAGAGCAAGATTCTGTCTCAAAAACAAATAAAGAAATAAAATAAAATTCTTATAGTCCCCTTTCAAAAAGCACACTAACCGTATTTTAAATACATATCTTAAATATCTAAAACAAATTTTTTCTCCATAGCTCCCCTAATTCCCAAAAATCCTAGTGAAATGGATAGCAAGTGTGTAGTGAGAAGGTGCTGTGGACACTGGTTATATGTGAGATGTTCAGATTGCCACACTTCCTCTGAGTAAAGCAATTAGGGTGGAAACATGGACTGCAACCTATATAATTTGCACTTTTGAAGGTTGTTTTGTGGGCATAAAATTGTCAGATAATGTTTAAAGAGCTTTTCCTGGCCCCACAATATTAATCATGCTCATTATAGAACAGTTGGGAAATGCAGAAAAGACATGTTAACACAGAGACACCTACTGGCAACATTTTGGTGTTTATTTCCTGTCTTTTTCCTAAGCACACAAAAATGTAAATATATACATATAAAAATGCAGTTATATTGTTGACAGAATTTAATATTTTGCTTTCTTCACTGAATACAATGGTCTTGTGTTGCTCTCCCTTCCCTTTATATATTCTTCATCAGAATTTGTATTAATTGCCAAAAAAATTCCTTCATTGACTGTATATACCATAATGTAAAATAATTTAAATGGTATTTATGATTTTATAATTTTTAAAGTTATATTTTGTATATTCATATATGTTATTTTGTATAAAATTTTAAAAGCTATAAAATGAAAGTAATGAAAGTATATATCACATTTTTGACAACTGATGCTTCTCAGCATGCAGCTCAACTGGTTCAAGGCCTCTTTATGCTTCCCTAAATCCTCAAAGGCTGGGAAGAGACAGCAGGTTAGACACTACACAGGGATATTACACCCCAGCATTGAAGGTCACATTCCAGGAGGTCCAGTCGAAAGTGAGATACCATGTTAACTCACACATGGATAATTGAAGATCTGTTTGTAAAGTTCACATGCTAAACTCCCACAGGCTGTAAAACAGAGTTGATAGGTTTGTGATCCAACATATTCCTCTCATGGTGTATAAAATGGATGTTGTTACCTGGACCTAAAATGAAAGTTCCACCTTGCTGAGCTGGGTCTCCTTGAAAATCAAAGAGAGGGCCAGTCACTGCCCACCACAAGCTCCAAAGGCTTCCTGAGAGTATATTTGACTTCACATGGGGGCTCTGTCCTGAGGAGGCCATTTCTTCACCTCTTTTCATTCCCAATCTTTTATAAATTTCCCTCTCAGGGTGAAATAGATTTCATGAGAATATCCAGGCAGTTTGCAAAAAGACTCAATAGGATGGTAGGATGACTGTTCAATCACTATAAGAGTGACATTTGCTTCTTGTAGGAAACTCTTCGGGATTTTGGGCAGATCCTCTACATATTCCTTGCAAATGTAAAACAGGAAATGTTGCACAAACACTACCATAGTGTGGCGCTCCCAGAGGAGAGCTCCAAATGGCACCCACTGCCCATGAGAGTCCAGCACTGGCAGCTCGGCTATGGCAGCTACCAGGGGCTGCCCATGTTCAGGGCCACTCAGGGCCTGGACAGGGACAACACCACCGCTGAACTTCAACATTCTTAAAGAAAATAATTTTCCACTCAGAATTTCATACCCAGCCAAACTAGCTTCATAAGCAAAGGAGAAATAAAATCCTTTACAGACAAGCAAATGCTGAGAGATTTTGTCACCACCAGGCCTGCCTTGCAAGAGCTCCTAAAGGAAGCACTAAATATGGAAAGGAAAAATTGGTACCAGTCACTGCAAAAACACATCAAATTGTAAAGGCCGTAAACACTATGAAGAAACTGCATCAACTAATGTGCAAAATAACCAGCTAGCATCATAATGACAGGGTCAAATTAACACATAACAATATTAACCTTAAGTGTAAATGAGCTAAATGCCCCAATTAAAAGATACAGTCTGGCAAATTGGATAAAAAGTCAAGACCCATTGGTGTGCAGTATTCAGGAGACCCATCTCATGTGCAAAGACACACATAGGCTCAAAATAAAGGAATGGATGAATATTAACAAAGCAAATGGAAAGTAAAAAAAAAAAAACAGCCCTTGCAATCCTAGTCTCTGATAAAGCAGATATTAAACCAACAAAGATCAAAAAAGACAAAGAAGGGCATTACATAATGGTAAAGGGATCAATGCAGTAAAAAGAGCTAACCATCCTAAATATATATGCACCCAATACAAGAGTACCCAGATTCATGAAGCAAGTTCTTAAGATCTACAAAAAGACTTAGACTCCCACACAATAATAGTGGGAGACTTTAACACTGCACTGTCAATATGAGACAGAAACTCAACAATGATATTCAGGACTTAAACTCGGCTCTGGACCAAGCAGACCTAATAGATATCTACAGAACTCTCCACCCAAAGTCAACAGAATATACATTCTTCTCAGCACCATATCGCACTTATTCTATAATTGACAACATAATTGGAAGTAAAACGCTCCTCAGCAAATGCAAAAGAACGGAAATCATAAAAAACAGTCTCTCGGACCACAGTGCAATCAAATCAGAACTCAGGATTAAGAAACTCACTCAAAACCGCACAACTACATGGAAACTGAACAACCTGCTCCTGAATGACAACTGGGTAAATAACGAAATTAAGGCAGAAATAAAGATGTTCTTTGAAACCAACGAGAACAAGGAAAAAACGTACCAGAATCTCTGGGGCACATTTAAAGCAGTGTGTAGAGGGAAACTTATAGCACTAAATGCCCACAAGAGAAAGCAGGAAATATCTAAAATCGACACCCTAACATCACAATTAAAAGAACTAGAAAAGCATGAGCAAACAAATTCAAAAGCTAGCAGAAGGCAAGCTTTTCAACAGATTTTCAATGTAGACGAAACAGCCCTGTACTGAAAGAAGCTGCCACCTAGGACTTATATACCTAGACAGGAGAAGTCATTTCCTGGCTTTAAAACTTCAAAGGACAGGCTGACTTCTTTGTTAGGAGATAATGCAGCTGGTGACTTTAATTTGAAGCCAGTGCTCATTTTCCATTTTGAAAATTTTAGTGCCCTTAAGAGTTATGCTAAATCTACTCTGCTTATTCTCTATAAATGGAACAACCAAGTCCATATAACAGCATATCTGTTTACAGCACTACAACATGGTTTATTGAACATTTTAGGCCTACTGTTGAGACTGCCTCAGAAAAAAAAAAATCCTTTCAAGATATTACTTCTATTGAAAATGCATCTAGTCACGCAAGAGCTCTGATGGAGATGTATAAGAAGATTGATGCTGCTTTCTTTCCTGCTATATGGCATTCATCCTGCAGCCTAGAGATCAAGGAGTAATATTGATTTTCAAGTCCTATTATTTAAGAAATACATTTCATAAGGCTATGGTTGCTAGAGATAATGATTCATCTGATGAACCTGGGAAAAAGTAAATTAAAAACCTTCTGGAAGTGATTCACCATTCTCGCCATTAAGAACTTGTGCACTTCATGGGAGGAGGACAAAATATCAACATTAACAGGAGTTTGGAATAAGTTGATTCCAACCCCATGGATGACTTTGAGGGGATCAAGACTTCACTGGAAAAAATAACTGCAGATTTGGTGGAAATAGCAAGAAAACTAGAATTAGAAGCTGAGCCAGAAGATGTAACAGAATTGCTGCAGTCTCATGATAAAACTTTTTAATAAATGAGGAATTGCTTTTTATGTATGAGCAAAGAAAGCAGTTTCTTGGAATGAAATCTACTCCTGGTGGAGATGCTGTGAGCATTGTTGAAATTACAACAAACGATTTAGAATATTACATAAACTTATTTGATAAAGTGGCGGTGGGGTTTGAGAACATAGACTTTAATTTTGAAAGAAGTACTGCTGTGGATAAAATGTTATCAACCAGAATCACATGCTGTAGAGAAATGGTATAAAAGAAAGAGCCAATGAATTTTGCAAACTTTATTGTTTTCTAAATTTAAGAAATTGCCACAGCTACCTCATTCTTCAGGCGCCACCACCCTGATCATTCAGCAGCCATAAACATCAAGGCAAGACCCTCCATCAGTAAAAAGATTACAACTCACTGAAGGTTCAGATGATTGTTAGCATTTTCAGGCAAGCAATAAAATATTTTCAAAAAAGTGTGCATTTTTTAGACATAATGCTATTGCACACTTCATACACTACAATAGAGTGTAAACATAACTTTTAAATGAAATAGAAAACTAAAAAATCATGTGAGTCACTTTATTGTGATATTTACGTTGTTACAATATTTGCTTTCTTGTAGTGGTCTGGAACTGAATATGCAATATTTTCAAGGTATTCTTGTACTTTAACTGGATGAATTGTATGTTATATGAATTAAACTTCAATAAACCTGTTTTGTGAAAATTCAACAATAAGAAAACAATTTTAAAAACACAAAATATTTGAATAGACACTTCACCATAAAAGAGATAGCAATAGCAAATAAATGCAGGAAAAGAAGCTCAGTATCATTAGCTATTGGGGGAATGCAAATTAAAACCACAATGAGATACTACCACTTACCTATTACAATGGCTTAAAAATGGACCATATAAAACAATAGCAAGGATATAGAGCAATTAGAACTCCTACAAACGCTGCAGATGGAAATATAAATTGATACAACTACTTTGGAAAACAGTTTGGCAGCTTCTTAAGTTAATCATACAACTACCATATGGATCAGTCATTTCATTCTTAGATATTTAATCAAGGCAAATAAAAGAATATATCTACACAAAGGCTTGTATACAAATAATGATAGCAACTTAATTTGTAAAACTGGAAATAACTCAAAGGTTCATCACAGTTGAATGAGTGAACAAATTGTGGTATATGCATTCTATCAGGCAGAAGAAAAATTGTACTAGAGATCAGAAGACCTGTATTTCAGTTCTGGAGTTTCATGAGTTAGAATAAATACAGTAACATTAAAATTTGTCACTGTTCTTATTTAGACAATGAAGGAAATAATATTTCCCTTTTTTATATGTTGGTTCTAAAACTCAAATGAGGTAAATATATGGAATTATTTGGTAAGCTATAATTTTATGACATTTTATTGGTTTTTAACTTCTTGATTTTTTTCTGATTGCACCTATGAAACTATATTTTCTGAAATTTTAATTTTTCTTTCTTCACATGTGTTATCATATTAAAGAAAGCCATAGCCTTAGAACTTTTTCTTTAAGTCCTTAGCTAATAACTGATACATTTTGACATTCTTGGAAGGTTCATTTGTGTTTGATAATTTACTTCCTGTGAAACACAGAAGGCTAGTATAAGGGGTGACAAGAATATCATCATGACTGATTGTTGATTTTTTTAGCACATTAACAAATATTCATACTCAGTCTTTGAATTATATTTTTTGGGTTCTTGCCCCCAATAAAAGATTTTGGGCACTCAAATATCCAGTCCATTTTTTACTCTTACATGGCCAAACTCGAATAATGCCTTCAAATTGGAACATATCTTTATTGTTAGAAAATATAATTACAAATAACACATGTAAGTAAGGCTCCAAAGTTCTGCAGGTTTCTTCTCTCTGGTTTACTGTTCCTCTTAAAAACATTTTTGTGTAAAAACATAAAACTGCAGTTAGCATTTAGACTCTTTTTCATCAAATATAAAAACCCAGCCCAGCTCATGTCCCATTTGGCAACAACCCTTAGACACTTTACTGTCCTAGACCCCAGAGGAAGGCCATCTTACTCTCAACATGCATTTTATTACCCAGCCCACTCCCAACATTAAAAAAAGCTCCAAAAATTAGATTCCAGCCCTCAAACCCCACAACAGGACTTAATTAACCTCGCCTTCAAGGTGTACAATAATACAGTAGAGGCAGCCAAGTAGCAACATATTTCTAAGTTGCAATTCCTTGCCTCCACTGCGAGACAAACCCCAGCCACATCTCCAGCACACAATAACTTCCAAACATCTGAACCGCAGCAGCCAGGCATTCCTCCAGGACTGCCTACCCTAGGATCTTGCTTCAAGTGCCAGAAATCTGGCCACTGGGCCAACAAATGCCCACAGCCCGGGATTCCTTTTGACCCATGTCCCATCAGTGTGGGAACCCACTGGAAATCGGACTGTCCAACCCAGCAGCCACTCCCAGAGTCCCTGGAACTCTGGCCCAAGGCTCTCTGACTGACTCCTTCCCAGATCTTCTCGGCTTAGTGGCTGAAGACTGACACTGCCCGATCGCCTCAAAAGCCTACAGACACTTTGAGTAACTCTTACAGTGGAGGGTAAGTCCGTCTCCTTTTTAATCAATACCTGGAGGCTACCCACTCCACATTACCTTCTTTTCAAGGGCCTGTTTCCCTTACCTCCCTAACTGTTGTGGGTATTGACGGCCAGGCTTCTAAACCTCTTAAAATTCCCCAACTCTGATGCCAACTTGGACAGTGTTCTTTTATACACTCCTTTTTAGTTATCCCCACTTGCCCAGTTCCCTTATTAGGTCGAGACATTTTGACTAAATTATCTGCTTCCCTGACTATTCCTAGGCTACAGCCACACCTCATTGCTGCCCTTTTCCCCAGTTCAAAGCCTCCTTCACATCTTCCTCTCATATCCCCCCACCTTAACCCACAAGTATAGGACATCTCTACTCCCTCCCTGGCAACCAATCACATTCCCATTACTATCCCATTAAAACATAATCACCCTTACCCTGCTCAACACCAATATCCCATCCCACAGCATGCTTTAAAAGGATTAAAGCCTGTTATCACTCGCCTGTTACAGCATGGCCTTTTAAAGCCTATAAACTCTCCTTACAATTCCCCCACTTTACCTTTCCAAAAACTAGACAAGCCTTAATCTTGGTTAGTTCAGGATCTGCACCTTATCAACCAAATTGTCTTGCCTATCCACCCCGTGGTGCCAAGCCCATATACTCTCCTATCCTCAATACATCCCTTCACAACCCCTCCATAACCCATTATTCCATTCTTGATCTCAAACATGCTTTCTTTACTATTCCTTTGCACCCTTCATCCCAGACTCTCTTCGCTTTCACTTGGACTGACCCTGACACCCATCAGTCCCAGCAACTTACCTGGGCTGTACTGCTGCAAGGCTTCAGGGACAGCCCTCATTACTTCAGCCAAGCTCTTTCTCGTGATTTACTTTCTTTCCACCCCTCTGCTTCTCACCTTATTCAATATATTGATAACCTTCTACTTTGTAGCCCCTCCTTTGAATCTTCTCAACAAGACACCCTCCTGCTCCTTCAACATTTATTCTCCAAAGGATATCGGGTATCCCCCTCCAAAGCTCAAATTTCTTCTCCATCCGTTACCTACCTCGGCATAATTCTTCATAAAAACACACCTGCTCTCCCTGCCGTTTGTGTCCGATTGATCTCTCAAACGCTGACCCCTTCTACAAAACAACAACTCCTTTCCTTCCTGGGCATGGTTGGATACTTTCACCTTTGGATACCTAACAAAACCATTTTTGTTTTTGCCATCCTAACAAAACCATTATATAAACTCACAAAAGGAAATCTAGCTGATCCCATAGATCCTAAATCCTTTCCCCACTCCTGTTTCCGTTCCTTGAAGACAGCTTTAGAGACTGCTCCCACACTAGCTCTCCCTGACTCATCCCAACCCTTTTCATTACACACAGCTGAAGTGCAGGGCTATGCAGTCAGAATTCTTACACAAGGACCGGGACTGCACCCTGTAGCCTTTTTGTCCAAACAACTTGACCTTACTGTTTTAGGCTGGCCATCATGTCTCCATGCAGCGGCCGCTCCCGCCCTAATACTTTTGGAGGCCCTCAAAATCACAAACTATGCTCAACTCACTCTCTACAGTTCTCATAACTTCCAAAATCTATTTTCTTCCTCACACCTGACACATATACTTTGTGCTCCCCAGTTCCTTCAGCTATACTCACTCTTTGTTGAGTCTCCCACAGTTACCATTGTTCCTGGCCCAGACTTCAATTCGGCCTCCCACATTATTCCTGATACCACACCTGACCCCCATGACTGTATCTCTCTGATACACCTGGCATTCACTCCATTTCCCCATATTTCCTTCTTTCCTATTCCTCACCCTGATCACACCTGGTTTATTGATGGCAGTTCCACCAGGCCTAATCGCTACACACCAGCAAAGGCAGGCTATGTTATAGTATATTCGAAATCTATCATTGAGGCTACCGCTCTGCCCCGCTCCACTACCTCTCAGCAAACCAAACTCATTGCCTTAACTCGAGCCCTCACTCTTGCAAAGGAACTACATGTCAATGTTTATACTGACTCTAAATATGCCTTCCATATCCTGTACCACCCTGCTGTTATATGGGCAAAAAGAGGTTTCCTCACTACACAAGGGTCCTCCATCATTAGTATCTCTTTAATAAAAACTCTTCTCAAGGTAGCTTTACTTCCAAAAAAAAAAAAAAAAACTAGAGTCATTCACTGCAAGGGCCATCAAAAGGCATCAGATCCCATCACTCAGGGCAGTGCTTATGCTGATAATGTAGCTAAAAAAGCAGCTAGTGTTCCAACTTCTATCCTTCATGGCAGTTTTTCTCCTTGGCACCGGTCACTTCCACCTATCAGTCTCTTCACACACAAGGCAAATGGTTCTTGGACCAAGGAAAATATCTCCTTCCAGCCTCACAGGCCCATTCTATTCTGTTGTCATTTCATAACGTCTTCCTTGTAGGTTACAAGCCACTAGCCCGCCTCTTAGAACCTCTCATTTCTTTTCCATCATGGAAATCTATCCTCAAGGAAATCACTTCTCAGTATTTCATCTGCTATTCTACTACTCCTCAGGGATTGTTCAGGCCCTGTGACCTCCCTTCCCTACACATCAAGCTCAGGGATTTGCCCCTGCCCAGGACTGGCAAACTGACTTTACTCACAAGCCCCAAGCTAGGAAACTAAAATACCTCTTGGTCTGGGTAGACACTTTCACTTCATGGGTAGAGGCCTTTCCCACAGGGTCTGAGAAGGCCACCACAGTCATTTCTTCCCTTCTGTCAGATATAATTCCTGGGTTTGGCCTTCCTACCTCTATACAGTCCAATAACGGACTGTCCTTTGTTAGTCAAATCACCCAAGCAGTTTCTCAGGCTCTTGGTATTCAGTGGAACCTTCATACCCCTTACCATCCTCAATCTTCAGGAAAGGTAGAACTGACTAATGGTCTTTTAAAAGCACACCTCACCAAGCTCAGCCTCCAACTTAAAAAGGAGGATTCTGTCAAGGATAGAGCCCAAAAACTCACCAACCAAGCAAGTAATTACACTGAACCCTCTTGAGTACTCTAATTGGATGTCCTGGGTCCTCCTAATTCTTAGTCCTTTAATACCTGTTTTTCTCCTTCTCTTATTTGGGCCTTGTGTCTTTCATTTAGTTTCCCAATTCATACAAAACCGCATCCAGGCTATCACCAATGAGTCTATACAACAAATGCTACTTCTAACAACCCCACAATATCACCCCTTACCACGAAATCTTCCTTCAGTTTAATATCTCCCATTGTAGGTTCCCATGCCACCCCTAATCCCGCTCAAAGTAGACCTGAAAAATATCGCCCATTATCTCTCCATACCATCCCCCAAAATTTTTGCCACCCCAACACTTCACCACTATTTTGTTTTGTTTTTCTTATTAATATAAGAAGACAGGAATGTCAGGCCTCTGAGCCCAAGCTAAGCCATCATATCCCCTGTGACTTGCACGTATACATCCAGATGGCCTGTTCCTGCCTTAACTGATGACATTACCTTGTGAAATTCCTTCTCCTGGCTCAGAAGCTCCCATACTGAGCACCTTGTGACCCCCACCCCTGTCCGCCAGAGAACAACCCCCTTTGACTGTAATTTTCCATTGCCTACCCAAATCCTATAAAACGACCCCACTGCGATCTCCCTTCATTGACTCTCTTTTTGGACTCAACCCTCCTGCACCCAGGGGAAATAAACAGCCTAGTTGAAAAACAAAAAACATAAAACTGAATGAAGCTAATTTCACCAAAGAATATATATATTTAAGTAAATCAAGCATTGGACTGTTACACAGCATTAGGCTACTTAATAGTCTCAATTTGGCTTTTATTGGCTTAAACTATATTGATGATTTGCTATACCTGAACTGTCTATCGCAGCAATATATTTCTTGGTAAATATAGAATGAAAGAAAAAAAAAGCCCAAGCAGAAGAAAGGTGGTTTTCCCCATCAGGGGAAAAATGGTTTCTGGTTTGTCAGTTCTACAAAAGAGAATGGTGCTTTTTTCCAAGTGGTGGAAGTAGGCTTATTTGGCTTCTTCTTTTAATAGAAGCTTGTTTCTTCTTCATGATGGTCATCTGTCCTGACAGATAGTCCTTTAACTTGCTTATGAATTTTAGAAAATTCTTTGGATCATGTTGTGTTTGTATATGTATTTGTTCTTTGTCATTGCTATGCCACATTTATTTTAGTTTACCTCCCTCTCTCTTTCTGTCTGTCTAGTCAGACAATCTTGAGGATTAATTTCTGAAAAGCTAGCAAAGGCTAATATTCTTTTTTAATCACTTTCACTACCTCTGTCTTCTATAAAGATTTAACTCCGAGGGGTTTATGTAATTAACAGTCACCAATTCTGCTTGTTTTTACCCCTCTACAAGGAAATAGACTAAATAGCCAAGTTGCAAGATACCACTGCTTCTTTTAAGAGTGATGGGTTTCCCAGGTGATACTTGAAAGAAGAGATAACGACCACCTATCTCCTTCATCCTGGTTACACAGGAAGGTAGGTGAGTAGAAGCTCCTCTAGGATACATATCTACATTTGCACTATTATGTGACTCACTTTATCTGCTTCTTCAAAACATTGCTTCTTATTATGTTTACCTATGTGATGACAGTCAACTCACAAAAATAGCTACTATTCAGTGATGAGTACATAATGAAAAACTTGGAAGATCAGGAAAATGCTTTCTCCCTTGAGGATCTTACAAGATATTTAGCAGATATTTATTGAGCATCTACTACATGTAAGGCTTAGCACAGGGCCTTAGAGATGAATAACACTCACCCTGTCCTCGTGAAGCTCAGTATAGCAGAATGAAAGCTAGTCAGAACTTTCTTCTTAGTGTCCTTCCTGACTGTGGAGGCAACTTGTGACCCTTTTCTTGGCTACCCACAAAGATATTGTTATTGCATCTATAAATCATTAAAACTGTAGAATCAGAAGGGGACTTCTCAGGAGCAGATATAGGTACACAAGACTGACTCTTTCATCATGATAGTTGTGGCAACAAGGAGCTGCAAATAACATGTTTGCTAGTATGGCCAGCTCAAATCTCAGTGCTTCATGGGAACAGATTTTTCCACAGGTTGATAATACAAAGTTGGACAGTAACCCTCAGATCCCTACAATATCAACTCTAGAAAAGCACCTCACTCTTGAACATGTCGCACATCTAATAGAGAGTTATGAGTATATTTACATAAAGCTACATACCATTTTTTTGAAATTTGCTTATGTATAAATGAACTGTGGAATATACTTTCTAATAATTTCAGATTAAATAAGATTTCCAGTTTCTTCTCGATTTTAACTGATTTTTTTTTTACCTATCCAGTAACCTTGATTCAGATGTTTTATTCACACAGTAAACAAATTTTCCAAGGCATTCTTAATTTCAAATATTCCCTTTCATTATCTTTCTAAACCTTCAGAATATCCCAAAACTTCTAATTTTTTTCTTTTGTTTTATCTATTTATTTTCTTGACACACCCTTAGGAGGTCTTAATTTCATGTGTCCTGAAATTCTAATTTTTTGATATCTAAATTACACCTCCTGGATTGCATCCGGCACCAAGAAACAACACAAAACCCTCATGTGTCAGAATTTATGGCCTGATTTGGAGTTTGGAAAACACAGTCACTATACTACTAAAAGTAATCTTTAAGGAATGGAAAAATTCCCAAAGCTGGGTAGTGGGAAGAATAATAAGACCCTCCACAAACCTTTGTTAGGCCATACTTTGCTTCTGGACCATAGTTTAATGATCTGACTTCTAGATAGAAAACATTTTTTGAACCACCTAAAATTATAAAATGTCAAGTGGTTATTAGTGTAACGATTAACATTTTAATTTTAATGTTCTCAAAATGACTTATTTTATTTTGGAGTGAGGTAGAAAGGGATGGCTATTCTTATTCAAGTGTTTTTTTGTTTGTATGTTTCTGTCAAGTTTGTAAACTGCAAATGTCTTTTCATTTAATTGGATCAGAAAATTCTCATGGTGAAAATGTGATGTATTTCAAGTAGTTAGGAATTCATGTTTATTCTAAATTGTGGTCTTTTAAGATTTATGATCTTATTTTGTTTTGCATAAAAGGTCAAAAAGAGGAAGTAGTCATACCTAATCTGTAAATCATAGGATATATATAAAAACATTTTGCTACTTAATAAAATTTAGATAATAGTTATTAAATTCACTGTTCATCCGTGGTTCTCTTTTTGAAAAATGGTATTATTTATAATTTATGTAAATATAGTTCAAAATTATACATGTAACTCAGCTATTATTCTTTTAGACTGAATCTTACAGTCACAAAATAAGTTTTCTTAGGCTTGTGGAATATTCTCAGGCTCAATATGTATAAAAGACTAAAAAAGTGCTACATCTTGGATTAGCACAATTATTGAATAATTAGCACAATTATCTCAGCCTTTGAGATCCAAATATCTTTCTGCCCAAATTATAATACTGAACTTTAAATGGGTAAAAGGTGTTTCAGTGGTCGATTTATCAAGTTCTCATCATAGGTTTGCCTTCTGCTCATTGAATCTATTTTACCCAAGGCTATGGACTCCTTTTGGCATTTCTGCCTCAGCAACAGAGGATAAAAGTCATGTTGTGATGGATAAGTCACAAAAGTAAAAAATACAGACGTGGACTACAGGCCTCCAAAGAAGAATTGAGCATGCTGAGGATCGATGCCAGACATTGGACATTTTTGAGGTGTTAAGAGGTGGGTACTTTAGTGGTTGTTGTTGTTGTTGTGTGTGTGTGTTTGAAAGAGTAAACTATAGTGAGATAATCTGTGTAATATGAAAAGTTAAGGCATTTTATTTATAAGAAAGTGAAGCTTCCTTCCAGAAAGATTGAGGCATCAAAGCGGTGGTGAAAATCTGAACAACTCAGTTAATAAAATTATCTTCTTAGGTTGAAAATATGTAGGCTTTTGGAATTAACAGGAAATCATCATAGGAAGGGGTGAGAGGAAAGGGAATATCACTTGTGGAACTTTACAAATCAAGTACCAAGAGCTTTACATGTGTTATCACATTTAATCCTCATAGCAATCCTATGGTGTAGGTATTATCATCTCCATTTTACAAATTAAAAAACTATCTTAAGCAGGTTATTTGACTTGCCTAAGATCATATAGATATTAAGTTTAGGGTTTTGTTTTATATCCAAATCTCTCTGACTTCTAACTCTGTGCTTAGAAAGATCTAAATATCTAAGAGAAAACTGTGACTATCATTTCATGCTTTTCTTATGAAGAATTCTACCTCTACTTCATTGTGCCCCTACTTTATTTAGTTTTTGGAGGAAAGTTTTTCACGTGGTATATTCAGAAAATACTTTACAACCACAATATATGCAACTTTAAAAAAATTGCACTAGAGAAAGAAGCATCCATTCTCAGGAATAAAGCATCTATGTTTTTTTTTCCTTCTGCATTTTTCCATATATTATTAATACATAAGTGAGAACCAAAATTTCCAGAATAAGTGTATCCTTTGTAAGTGTAGAATCAAGCCTTTCCAACTTTTGAGATCTGTTTGTTTAGCTAAATCAGCAATGCAAGGTTAATTCTGACTGATTCTAGACTTGTGTTGCATACTTTTGGACACTTGATCAGTCTAAGCAATTGAAGCCTCTTCTTATAATTTAGGAGTATTTAGGTACCTGGCCAGGCTTGGTGGCTGTCTGGGCATGGTGGCTTATGCCTGCAATCGCAGCATTTTGGGAGGCCTAAGCGAGAGGATCACTTGAGCTCAGGAGTTCAAGACCAGCCTGAGCAACATAGTGAGACCCTCGTCTATATTGAAAAAGAAAAAGAAGAGGAAGAAAAAAAGTATTCATATAGTTTCGAAGAAAGGTTAAGATATGTCTGTTTTTGTTTAGTTACAATCTTTAGAACTTCTTCCACATGGCATTTATTAATTTGTAGTCGCATCTTTAGTAATATTTTTCAGAATTCATTAAGTATGGCAAAATCATAGGCCATTATGGTATAGTGGAAAGATCCCTTCATTTGAGGTCAGAGAATCTAGGTTGAACTCTTAGTTCTCTTGTTTACTGTGTAAAGTTTGGCTATTAATTTACTCTCTCGGAGTCTCAGTTTTCTCATCTGTAACATGAGAATAATCCTTACCTCATATATTTGTTGTGAAAATAACTTGAAATAAAAAATATGAAAGTACTTTGTAGGCAATAACATTCTATCATAATGTGAGGAGAAATTGAATAAAATGAACACTAAAGGAATATTTACCATATGCTAGTCACTAACTTATTTTCTATTTGTTGCTCCAGCAAGACCAATATCTATATATCCCTAAGGAAAAAATAACATGACCTTCAGCCTTGGGTCACATTTTCTGGTTGTCCTACCTGTTGCCCCAGCAGCCATGCAATAGTTTACAATCTACTGGCAGGAAGGTAAAATGTGTGAAAGAATTGCCTTCTAGGTCATTCTCTTTGTGAAAAGTAATCTACCACCAAGGAGAAGCCTGCTTAACAGTTCATATTAAAATCTTGGCTCAAAGCAGTGAATGAAAAGTTAGAGGTGAACAGTAGTTTCATAACAAAGCCCAACAGGACCATTTAGGTAAGACATTGTAGTAGAGTAGGAAATACATTGAATGGGAAGAAAGGGGACCAGAGTTCCAATCCTGATTTTACCACTGCCTAATTGTATAACCTAAAAAAAGTTTATTTTTCCTCTTGGCCTCACTGTCCCCTTTTATACAGTAATGTGGGATGGACTAGATTATCTCTAAGGTCTATTCCAACATTGATATTCTAATATCCTATTCTTAATTTTAATAGAAAGATTTAAATTATATATTGAATTTTTAGGATGCTATTTTATACCTCAAAAGGAAAAAGAAAAAAATGCACAAATTATTTCTCTGTTGTGAATTATAATACACATTCACTTACATTAATAGCTTTATCGGAGGTAGAATTAGCATAATCCTTTACATTTTCAAAGTATTTTAAATATCCACCATCTCATTTGAGTCTCATAATAATGACAATATTTTATTATTTATCTTTACATACTAAATTAAGTAATTGAGCCTCAAGGATGTTAAAGGTCTGTACAGTCACATAGCCAGTACACGATGGATCCAGAAATCCAACTGTGGTCTATTTCTAAGCCCAGTTTTTTTTTCCACTACCACAAGCTGTACATTATTTTATCCAGGCTTAGAATAAATGGAACTCATCTGGAAAATGAATTAAAAAGGGAAGAGTCACTGTTATTTATGTATGCTAAAAGTATGAACAGGTAAGAATACTTAAGAATAAGGACAATGTTTTATATTCTTTTAAAAAATTCTTCAGACTTGAGACTGAAGCTCTGAACAAGATGCAAGCAAATGTACAAATAAAATATTAATGCATCTTTCAGAGCTCTAGACATTATGAAAGATTAAAGAAATAGTATTTGTAAAGCCCTTTAATATCATTTGAAGAAAGTGGTTATTTAAATATAATATTTGGAGCTGTAACACTCAGGCATACAACAGAAAGAGAAAGAATAAAGAACGGGATATAAGAAGATGTCAATTTTTCTAGGGGATTGTCTATCACAGTCCTTGTGTTAGTGTAGACTTTTTAGAAACTGCCAAAGAAGTGTACCTCACACTTCTTTCACTAACCTCCAACCAAAAGTAATTGCAAACTTTAAGGGATTTAAAGTGAGTTCTCTCTGTCAATGAGTGTACTGACTGCTTGTTATTCGTGTCATAGCAACAATAAAAGCCACCAATAGAGAGTTTGTGTTTAAAATTGGTATTAATAATGATTTCAGAAAATGTGTAGTTTCTGGGGAAGCCTATTCGTTAAAATCAAAGAAACTACATTTCCCTTTTTGACAAATAAATGATTTGTGAAGATGGAAGCCATTAACTTGCTTATTAGCATGTTGAAATTTTAATTAGATCCAGCAAAAGTATTTTAGATTCAAAGGCTCTGAAAGTTGATATTAGATGATGAGACTATATGTAGAAGCCTAGTGCTCCAAAAACATGCATTCCAAGCCTTCCAAGTCCAAGTAAATGTAGGTATCAAATATTATGAATTCAACTGTGTTGGGGAAGCAACAGAGGTTTAAGATAAGTGCACTGACATCATGGGGCTTTCAGCCTGATTGCGGACATATTTTAAGAAAGGAGGGAGGGAAGAAGAGAGGACAGGAGAGAGGAAGGGAGGAAGGGAAGGAAGGAAGGAAAGGAAGGAAGGAAGGAAGGAAGGAAGGAAGGAAGGAAGGAAGGAAAACATGTCAATTTGAATGCGGACATATTTTAAGAAAGGAAGGGAGGGAAGAAGAGTGGACAGGAGAGAGGGAGAGAGGAAGGGAGGAAGGGAGGAAGGAAGGAAGGAAAGGAAGGAAGGAAAACTTTCAATTTTCTTATTTGATAAACCAAACGATATTGAGAGGTAAGGATTGTTATCCACATTTCACAGATGGGGAAACTGAGGTTTGGAGAACTAGATAACCTGTATAAAATCACACAAGTATGCATCAAGGTCAGATAGGAATCAAATTCATTAAATGTAAAATCTATCCTTGTCTTTTTACATTGCTAAATTACAATACACAGGAAAAGACTGAAAAAGAAAAAATAGCATGTCAGTAGTAAAATACATAAAACTGACTTTACAGTAAGAATTCAGAGAAGAGTGAACTGAATTCAAGCTGGACATTAATCAGTCCATGATTTTCTTGTGAAAAATATAGTTCCTATGGTGGGCCTTGTAGATTTTCTAAATAGAGAAAAAGGAAGAAAGAATAATGTATCTGAGTCTGTTTCTTCAGGAATCCCTGTTCAACAGGGATTATGCCATTCACCCCACAGTACGATTGTAAGGATTGAAAGAGATAGCATATGTAAAACCATTTTGTAAACCACAATGAGATACCATCTCAAACCATTTAGAATGGCAATCATTAAAACGTCAGGAAACAGCAGGTGCTGGAGAGGATGTGGAGAAATAGGAATACTTTTATACTGTTGGTGGGACTGTAAACTAGTTCAACCATTGTGGAAGACAGTGTGGTGATTCCTCAGGGACCTAGAACTAGAAATACCATTTGATCCAGCCATCCCATTACTGGGTATATACCCAAAGGATTATAAATCATGCTGCTATAAAGACACATACACACGTATGTTTATTGCAGCACTATTCACAACAGCAAAGACTTGGAACCAAACCAAATGTCCATCAGTGATAGACTGGATTAAGAAAATGTGGCACATATACACCATGGAATACTATGCAGCCATAAAAAAGGATGAGTTCATGTCCTTTGTAGGGACATGGATGAAGCTGGAAACCATCATTCTCAGCAAACTATCGCAAGGACAGAAAACCAAACACTGAATGTTCTCACTCATAGGTGAGAATTGATCAATGAGGACACTTGGACACAGGAAGGGGAACATCACACACCGGGGCCTGTTGTGGGGTGGTGGGAGGGGGGAGGGATAGCATTAGGAGATATACCTAATGTAAATGACGAGTTAATGAGTGCAGCACACCAACAACATGGCACATGCATACATATATAACAAACCTACGCGTTCTGCACATGTACCCTAGAACTTAAAGTATAGTAATATATATATATAGTTATATATATATACTATATATATAGTATATATATATAGTTATATATATATACTGTATATATAGTATATATATATACTATATATATATAGTATATATATATAACTATATATACAGTATATATATAACTATATATACAGTATATATAACTATATATATACAGTATATATAACTATATATAGTATATATATAACTATATATAGGTTATATATAACTATATATAGTGTATATATAACTATATATACAGTGTATATATATAGTTATATATACACTATATATAGTATAGTAATATATATTATATATAGTTATATATGTACTCTATAGTATAGTAATATATATTATATATATAGTATAGTAATATATACTATATATATATATATATATATGAAAAGAAAAACTACCTATTGGTTGGGTGCTATGCTCACTACCTGGGTGACAGGATCAATCATACCGCAAGTCTCAGCATCATGTAACATACCCATGTAACAAACTTGCAAATATACCTCCTGAATCCAAAATAAAAGTTGAAATTTTTAAAGTAAAAAAAAAAATTACTAAGCATTAATTGATTACGGATGGAGTAAGATGGCCAAATAGAAGGCTCCACCAAGCATCCCTCCCACAGGAACACCAAATGTAATAACTATCTAAACAAAAATAGCACATTCATAAGAAGAAAAAATCAGGTGAGCACTCATAGTATTTGGTTTTAACTTTATATCACTGAAATAGGCACTGTATTAGTCCACTCTCGCACTGCTATAAAGAACTGCCCGATACTGGGTAATTTAGAAAGGAAAGAAGTTTAATTGACTTAGGTTCTGCAGGGCTCGGGAGGTCACAGGAAACTTACAATCACGGTGGAACGGGAAGCAATCATGTCCTTCTTCACATGGCAGCAGCAAGGAGACGTGTCCAGCAAAGGGGGAAAAGCCCCTTATAAAACCATCAGATCTTGTGAGAACTCACTCACTATCATGAGAAAAGCATGAGGGTAACTGCCCCCCATGATCCAATTACCTCCCATCAGGTCCTTCCCATGACACATGGGGAGTATGGGAACTACAATTCAAGATGAGATTTGAGAGGAGACACAGCCAAACCATATCAGGCACTGAAGTGGGTAAGAAAGTCTTGAATCTCTAATATCACTCCTTCTCCACTATCCTCTAGCAGTAGATGTGTGGTGTGAGAAAATAATCTGTGTTCTTGGGAAAGGGAGGGTACAGCGGTTGTGAAACCTTGCGTTGAACTCAATTTTCACAGTGAGATTTGAGTTTTGCTGCCCTGTCACAGCATAAAGCAAAACAGGACTGAACTCAGCTGATGCCCGCCAATGGAGGAGGCATTTAGACCAGCCCCAGCCAGAGGGGAATTATCCATCCCAGCAGTTGGAATTTGAGTTCACTGCAAACTAAAGTGTTTTGGGGTTCTAAATAAATTTTAAAGGCAGTGTAGGACACAAGGACCACAACTCCTAGCTGAGTCCTAGTGCTATGCTAAGCAAAGAGCCAGTACACATTGGGGGAATGTGACCTGCTGAGACACCAGCCATAGTGGCTAAGGGAGCACATGCCACATCGCGCCCAACCCTTGACAGCACAGCTCATGGCTGCGAAAGAGACACCTTTCTTCCACTTGTGGAAATGAGAGGGAAGAGTAAAGAGGACTTTGTCTTGCACCTTGAATACCAGCTCAGCCACAGTACGGTGGAGCACTGATCAAAGTTTTGAGTCCCCCATTGTAGGCCTTAGTTCCTGGATGACATTTCTAGATACATCCTGAGCCAGAAGGGAACCCACCACCTTGAAGGAAACGACCCAATCCAGGCAGGACCCATCACCTGCTGCCTAAAGATATATTGGCCCCTGAATAACCCACAGCAATGCCCAGGTAGTACACCATAGGCCTTGGGTGAGACTGGGACATGCTGGCTTCAGGTGAGATCCAGCATATTTTCAGCTGTGATAGCTACAGTGAGAGACTCCTCCTACTTGAGAAAAGCAGAGGAAAAAGTAAAGGGGACTTTGTCTTGCACCTTAGGTACCAGCTTGGCCACAGGAGGGTAGAGTACCAAGTGGGCTCTTGGGGTCTCTGATTCCAGACCATGGCTCTTAGACAGCATTTCTGGACGTGCCTTGGGCCAAAATGGAGCCCACTGCCCTAAAGGGTGAGTCTCAAGCCTGGCAACATTCACCACATGCTAAAGATCCATTGGGCATTAAGTGAACATCAGTGGTAGCTTGAAAATACTTCCAGTGGGCCTGTGGTGGTGGTGGTAATGGGCTGAGGCTCTGCTTCCTGTGGAGAGGATAGGGAAAGCATCTCATTGAGCACCAACTCAGCCATAGTACAATAGCACAGGTAGATTTCTAAGGTTTTTGACTCTAGTCTTTGGTGGCTGGACAGTATTTCTGGACTGCCCTGGTACTGGAGAAACTTGCTGCCCTGAAGGGAGAGATGCAATGCAGGCTGGCTTTATGACCGGCAAATTGTAGTGCCCTCTGGCCTTGAGTGAAAATAGGTGGTAGCCAGAGAGTGGTTACAATGGGCCTTGGGTGAAACCGAGTGTTTTGCTGGCCTCAGGTCTGACCCAGCACATATCCAGTGGTGGTACTCACTGGGCTGCTTAAGTCACACGACACCTAGCTCCAAGCAGCTCAGCAAAGAGAGATATTCTGTTTGTTTGGGAAAAGTAAGGAAAGAAAACAAGCGTTTCTGCCTTAATACATAGAATTCTTCCAGATCTTATCCAAGGCCACCAAAGTGATACCTTTTTGAGTTTACAGAAACCACAGTATTACTGGGCCTGGGTTGCCCTCTAATGCAGATACAGCTAACGTCACAACACTCAAGTCCTTTCAAATACCCAGAAAGCCTTCTCAAGATGGACTGAGTAAAAACAAACCCAGATTGTGAAGACTACAATAAATATGTAACTTTTCAATGCCCAGACACCAAAGAACATCTGAAAGCATCAAGACCATATAGGAAAACATGACTCCACCAAACTAAATAAGGCACCAGGAGCCAGTCCAAGAGAAACAGAGATATGTGACCTTTCAGATAGATAAGATAGCTGTTTCGAGAAAACTGAGAAATTCAAGATATCACAGAGAAGGAATTCAAAGTTCTATCAGATAAATTTAATAAAAAGATTCAAATAATTAAAAAGAATCAAGTAGAAATCCTGGAACTGAAAAATGCAATTGGCATACCGAAGAATGCACCAAAGTCTTTTAATAGAACTAATCAAGCAGAAGAACAAATTAGTGGACTTGAAGGTAGGCTATTTGAAAATATACAGTCCGAGGAGACAAAAAAAAAAGAATAAAAAACAATGAAGCACACTTAGAATATCTAGAAAACGGCCTCGTAAGAGCAAATTTAAGAGTTATTGGCCTTAAAGAGGAGGTAGAGAAAGAGATATGATTAGAGAGATTATTTAAAAGAATAATAACACAGAACTTACCAAACCTGGGGAAAAAAATCGATATCTAAGTACAAGAAGGTTACAGAACCCCAAGTAGATTTAACCCAAAGAAGCCTACCCCAAGGCACTTAATAATCAAACTTCCAAAGGTCAAGAGTAAAGAAAGGATCCTAAAAGCAACAAGACAAAAGAAACAAATAATATACAGTAGCGCCACAATACACCTGGCAGCAGACTTTTCAGTGGACACCTTGCAAGCAACAAAAGAGTGACATGACATACGTAAAGAGCTTTGGGGGAAAAAAAGAAATGGTTAACCAAAAAAAAATTCTTCAAACATAATGAAGAAATAAAGATTTTCCCAGACAAACAAAAGCTGAGGAATTTTACCAACACCACACTTACCCTACATCAAATGCTAAAGGAAGTACTTCAATCAGAAAGAAAGTACGTTAGTGAGCAATAAGAAATCATCTGGAGGTCAGTCACAGCAGCTCAGCCTGTAATCCCAGCACTTTGGGAGGCTGAGGTGGGCAGATCACGAGGTCAGGAGATCAAGACCATCCTGGCAAACACGGTGAAACCCCATCTCTACTAAAAATTCAAAAAAATTAACCGGGCATGGTGGCTGGTGCCAGTAGTCCCAGCTACTCGGGAGACTGAGGCAGGAGAATGGCATGAACCTGGGGGGTGAAGCTTGCAGTGAGTGGAGATTGTGCCACTGCACTCCCGCCTGGGTGACAGAGCGAGACTCCATCTCAAAAAAAAAAAGAAATCATCTGACCTTACAATACTCACTGATAATAATAAGCACAAAGGAAAATTCAAAATATTATAACACAATAAATGTGGCTTGTAAACTTCCCCATCTTAAATAGAAAGACTTAAAGATGAACCAATCAAAAAGAACTACAACTTTTCAAGTCAAAGACACTACAGTGAGATATAAATAGAAATTGAAAGATTAAAAAGACGAGATTAATTTAAGGTGTAGAGTGTTTTTTAGTTTACTTTATTCTTGTTTGTTTAGATAAAGAGTGTTAAGACTTTATCACTCTGAAAATAATGGGTTATAAGATAGTATTTGCAAGCCTCATGGTAACCTCAAATCAAAAAAATAAACAACAGATACAAAAAAAAATTAAGAAATTAAAGCATACCACCAGACAAAATTACCTTCACTAAAAGGAAGACGAGAAGGAAGGAAAGAAAAAAGACTACAAAACAACCAGGAAACACATCACAAAATGGCAGGAGTGGGGGAGGAGCCAAGATGGCCGAATAGGAACAGCTCCAGTCTACAGCTCCCAGTGTGAGTGACTCAGAAGGGTGATTTCTGCATCTCCATCTGAGGTACCAGGTTCATCTCACTAGGGAGTGCCAGACAGTGGGCACAGGTCAGTTGGTGCATGCACCGTGTGCCTGCCAAAGCAGGGTGAGGCATTGCCTCACTCGGGAAGTGCAAGGGGTCAGGGAGTTCCCTTTCCTAGTCAAAGAAAGTGGTGACAGACGGCACCTGGAAAATCGGGTCACTCCCACCCTAATACTGCGCTTTTCCGATGGGCATAAAAAATGGCGCACCAGGAGATTATATCCCCCACATGGTTCAGAGGGTCCTATGCCCACGGAGTCTCATTGATTGCTAGCACAGCAGTCTGCGATCAAACTGCAAGGCAGCAGCGAGGCTAGGGGAGGGGTGCCCGCAATTGCCCAGGCTTGCTTAGGTAAACAAAGCAGCCGGGAAGCTCGAACTGGGTGGAGCCTGCCACAGCTCAAGGAGGCCTGCCTGCCTCTGTAGGCTCCACCTCTGGGGGAGGGCACAGACAAACAAAAAGACAACAGTAACCTCCGCAGACTTAAATGTCCCTGTCTGACAGCTTTGAAGAGAGCAGTGGTTCTCCCAGCACGCAGCTGGAGATCCGAGAAAGGGCAGACTGCCTCCTCAAGTGAGTCCCTGACCTCTGACCCCCATGCAGCCTAACTGGGAGACACCCCCCAGCAAGGGCAGACGGACACCTCACACGGCCGGGTACTCCAACAGACCTGCAGCTGAGGGTCCTCTCTGTTAGAAGGAAAACTAACAAACAGAAAGGACATCCACACCAAAAACCCATCTGTACATCACCATCATCTAAGACCAAAAGTAGATAAAACCACAAAGATAGGGAAAAAACAGAGCAGAAAAACTGGAAACTCTAAAAAGCAGAGCGCCTCTCCTCCTCCAAAGGAACGCAGTTCCTCACCAGCAACGGAACAAAGCTGGACAGAGAATGACTTTGAAGAGCTGAGAGAAGAAGGCTTCAGATGATCAAATTAATCCAAGCTACGGGAGGACATTCAAACCAAACGCAAAGAAGTTGAAAACTTTGAAAAAAATTTAGACGAATGTATAACTAGAATAACCAATACAGCGAAGTGCTTAAAGGAGCTGATGGAGCTGAAAAACAAGGCTCAAGAACTACGTGAAGAATGCAGAAGCCTCAGGAGCCGATGTGATCAACTGGAAGAAAGGGTGTCAACGATGGAAGATGAAATGAATGAAATGAAGTGAGAAGGGAAATTTAGAGAAAAAAGAATAAAAAGAAATGAGCAAAGCCTCCAAGAAATATGGGACTATGTGAAAAGACCAAATCTACGTCTGATTGGTGTACCTGAAAGTCACGGGGAGAATGGAACCAAGTTGGAAAACACTCTGCAGGATATTATCCAAGAGAAATTCCCCAATCTAGCAAGGCAGGCCAACATTCAGATTCAGGAAATACAAAGAACGCCACAAAGATACTCCTTGAGAAGAGCAACACCAACAAACATAATTGTCAGATTCACCAAAGTTGAAGTGAAGGAAAAAATGTTAAGGGCAGCCAGAGAGAAAGGTAGGGTTATCCTCAAAGGGAAGCCCATCAGACTAACAGCAGATCTCTCAGCAGAAACTCTATAAGCCAGAAGAGAGTGGGGGCCAATATTCAACATTCTTAAAGAAAAGAATTTTCAACCGAGAATTTCATATCCAGCCAAACTAAGCTTCATAAGTGAAGGAGAAATAAAATACTTTACAGACAAGCAAATGCTGAGATATGTTCTCACCACCAGGCCCGCCCTAAAAGAGCTCCTGAAGGAAGCGCTAAACATGGAAAGGAACAACCGGTACCAGCCACTGCAAAATCATGCCAAAATGTAAAGACCATCAAGACTAAGAAGAAACTGCATCAACTAAGGAGAAAAATAACCAGGTAACATCATAATGACAGGATCAAATCCACACATAACAATATTAACTTTAAATGTAAATGGACTAAATGCTCCAATTAAAAGACACAGACTGGCAAACTGGATAAAGAGTCAAGACCCATCAGTGTGCTGTATTCAGGAAACCCATCTCACGGGCAGAGACACACATAGGCTCAAAATAAAAGGATGGAGGAAGATCTACCAAACAAATGGAAAACAAAGGCAGGGGTTGCAATCCTAGTCTCTGATAAAACAGACTTTAAACCAACAAAGATCAAAAGAGACTAAGAAGGCCATTACTTAATGGTAAAGGGATCAATTCAACAAGAAGAGCTAACTATCCTAAATATATATGCACCCAAAACAGGAGCACCCAGATTCATAAAGCAAGTCCTGAGTGACCTGCAAAGAGACTTAGACTCCCAAACATTAATAATGGGAGACTTTAACACCCCACTGTCAACATTGACAGATCAACAAGACAGAAAGTCAACAAAGATACCCAGGAATTGAACTCAGCTCTGCACCAAGCGGACCTAATAGACATCTACAGAACTCTCCACCCCAAATCAACAGAATATACATTTTTTTCAGCACCACACCACACCTAATCCAAAATTGACCGCATACGTGGAAGTAAAGCTCTCCTCAGCACACGTAAAAGAACAGAAATTATAACAAACTATCTCTCAGACCACAGTGCAATCAAACTAGAACTCAGGATTAAGAAACTCACTCAAAACCGCTCAACTACATGGAAACTAAACAACCTGCTCCTGAATTACTACTGGGTACATAACGAAATGAAGGCAGAAATAAAGATGTTCTTTGAAACCAACGAGAACAAAGACACAACATACCAGATTCTCTGAGACACATTCAAAGCAGTGTGTAGAGGGAAATTTATAGCACTAAATGTCCACAAGAGAAAGCAGGAAAGATCCAAAATTGACACCCTAACATCACAATTAAAAGAACTAGAAAAGCAAGAGCAAACACATTCAAAAGCTAGCAGAAGGCAAGAAATAACTAAAATCAGAGCAGAACTGAAGGAAATAGAGACACAAAAAAACCTTCAAAAAATCAATGAATCCAGGAGCTGGTTTTTTGAAAAGATCAACAAAATTGATAGACTGCTAGCAAGACTAAAAAAGAAGAAAAGAGAGTAGAATCAAACACATGCAATAAAAAATGATAAAGGGGATATCACCACCGATCCCACAGAAATACAAACCACCATCAGAGAATACTACAAACACCTCTACACAAATAAACTAGAAAATCTAGAAGAAATGGATAAATTCCTCGACACATACACTCTCCCAAGACTAAACCAGGAAGAAGTTGAATCTCTGAATAGACCAATAACAGGAGCTGAAACTGTGGCAATAATCAATACTTACCAACGATAAAGAGTCCAGGACCAGATGGATTCACAGCCGATTCTACCAGAGGTACAAGGAGGAACTGGTACCATTCCTTCTGAAACTATTCCAATCAATAGAAAAAGAGGGAATCCTCCCTAATTCGTTTTATGAGGCCAGCATCATCCTGATACCAAAGCCGGGCAGAGACACAACCAAAAAAGAGAATTTTAGACCAATATGCTTGATGAACATTGATGCAAAAATCCTCAATAAAATACTGGCAAACCGAATCCAGCAGCACATCAAAAAGCTTATCCACCATGATCAAGTGGGCTTCATCCCTGGGATGCAAGGCTGGTTCAATATACGCAAATCAATAAATGTAATCCAGCATATAAACCGAACCAAAGACAAAAACCACATGATTATCTCAATAGATGCAGAAAAGGCCTTTGACAAAATTCAACAACCCTTCATGCTAAAAACTCTCAATAAATTACGTATTGATGGGACGTATCTCAAAATAATAAGAGCTATTTATGACAAACCCACAGCCAATATCATACTGAATGGGCAAAAACTGGAAGCATTCCCTTTGAAAACTGGCACAAGACAGGTATACCCTCTCTCACCACTCCTATTCAGCATAGTATTGGAAGTTCTGGCTAGGGCAATCAGGCAGGAGAAGGAAATAAAGGGTATTCAATTAGGAAAAGAGGAAGTCAAATTGTCCGTGTTTGCAGATGACATGATTGTATATCTAGAAAACCCCATCATCTCAGCCAAAAATCTCCTTAAGCTGATAAGCAACTTCAGCAAAGTCTCAAAATATAAAATCAACGTACAAAAATCACAAGCATTCTTGTACACCAACAACAGACAAACAGAGAGCCAAATCATGAGTGAACTCCCATTCACAATTGCTTCCAAGAGAATAAAATACCTAGGAATCCAACTTACAAGGGATGTGAAGGACCTCTTCAAGGAGAACTACAAACCACTGCTCAAGAAAATAAAAGAGGATACAAACAAATGGAAGAACATTCCATGCTCATGGGTAGGAAGAACCAATATCGTGAAAATGACCATACTGCCCAAGGTAATTTACAGATTCAATGCCATCCCCATCAAGCTACCAATGACTTTCTTCACAGAATTGGAAAAATCTACTTTAAAGTTCATATGGAACCAAAAAAGAGCCTGCATTGCCAAGTCATCCTGAGCCAAAAGAACAGAGTTGGAGGCATCACCCTACCTGACTTCCAACAATACTACAAGGCTACAGTAACCAAAACAGCATGGTACTGGTACCAAAACAGAGATATAGATCAATGGAACAGAACAGAGACATCAGAATTAATGCCGCATATCTACAACTATCTGATCTTTGACAAACCTGGGAAAAACAAGCAATGGGGAAAGGATTCCCTATTTAATAAATGGTGCTGGGAAAACTGGCTAGCCATATGTAGAAAGCTGAAACTGGATCCCTTCCTTACACCTTATACAAAAATCAATTCAAGATGGATTAAAGACTTAAACGTTTGACCTAATACCATAAAAACCCTAGAAGTAAACCTAGGCATTACCATTCAGGACATAGGCTTGGGCAAGGACTTCATGTCTAAAACACCAAAAGCAATGGCAACAAAAGCCAAAATTGACAAATGGGATCTAATTAAACTAAAGAGCTTCTGCACAGCAAAAGAAACTACCATCAGAGTGAACAGGCCACCTACAAAATGGGAGAAAATTTTCACAACCTACTCATCTGACAAAGGGCTAATATCCAGAATCTACAATGAACTCAAACAAATTTACAAGAAAAAAAACAAACAACCCCATCACTGGCCATCAGAGAAATGCAAATCAAAACCACAATGAGACACCATTTCACACCAGTTAGAATGGCAATCATTAAAAAGTCAGGAAACAACAGGTGCTGGAGAGGATGTGGAGAAATAGGAACACTTTTACACTGTTGGTGGGACTGTAAACTAGTTCAACCATTGTGGAAGTCAGTGTGGCGATTCCTCAGGGATCTAGAACTAGAAATACCATTTGACCCAGCCATCCCATTACTGGGTATATACCCAAAGGACTATAAATCATGCTGCTATAAAGACACATGCACACGTATGTTTATTGCGGCATGATTCACAATAGCAAAGACTTGGAACCAACCCAAATGTCCAACAATGATAGACTGGATTAAGAAAATGTGGCACATATACACCATGGAATACTATGCAGCCATAAAAAATGATGAGTTCATGTCCTTTGTAGGGACATGGATGAAATTGGAAATCATCATTCTCAGTAAACTATCACAAGAACAAAAAACCAAACACCGCATATTCTCACTCATAGGTGGGAATTGAACAATAAGAACACATGGACACAGGAAGGAGAACATCACACTCCGGGGACTGTTGTGGGGTGTGGGGAGGGATAGCATTGGGAGATATACCTAATGCTAGATGACGAGTTAGTGGGTGCAGTGCACCAGCATGGCACATGTATACATATGTAACTAATCTGCATATTGTGCACATGTACCCTAAAACATAAAGTATAATAATAATAAATAAATTTTTTTTAAAAAGGAAAAAAAAGTTGGTATTCCTTAAAAGTTAACCTTTTATGGTTAATAAACTATTGCTATAGTTTAAAAAAAATGGCAGGAGTAATTCTTTGCTTATCATTGAATGTTACTAATTATTCAGTATTACCAATAACATCAAATGTAAATGGACTAAATTCTACAATCAAAAGACATAGAGTGGCTGAATTGATTTTAAAAAGACCCAATGATATGTTGTCTATGAGAAACAGACTTCCCTTGTAAAGACACAGACAGACTGAAGATACAGGGATGGAAAAAGATATTCTATGATATTTGAAACAAAGAAAGAACAGGAGTTGGAACATATGGCTAGCCAGTTTTCCCAGCACCATTTGTTAAATAGGGAATCCTTTCCCCATTTCTTGTGTTTGTCAGGTTTGTTAAAGATCAGATGGTTGTAGATGTGTGGTATCATATCTGAGGGCTCTGATCTGTTCCTTTTGTCTACATCTCTGTTTTGGTACCAGTACCATGCTGTTTTGGTTACTGTAGCCTTGTAGTATAGTTTGAAGTCAGGTAGCATGATGTCGCCAGCTTTGTTCTTTTGGATTAGGATTGTCTTGGCAATGCAGGCTCTTTTTCGGTTCTGTGTGAACTTTAAAGTAGTTTTTTCCAATTCTGTGAAGAAAGTCATTGGTAGCACGATGGGGATGGCATTGAATCTATAAATTACCTTGGGCAGTATGGCCATTTTCACGATTTTGATTCTTTCTATCCATGAGCATGGAATGTTCTTCCATTTGTTTGTGTCCTCTTTTATTTCTTTGAGCAGTGGTTTGTAGTTCTCCTTGAAGAGGTCCTTCACATCCCTTGTAACTTGGATTCCTAGGTATTTTATTCTCTTTGAAGCCATTGTGAATGGGAGTTCACTCATGATTTGGCTGTCTGTTTGCCTGTTATTGGTGTATAGGAATACTTGTGATTTTTGCACATTGATTTTGTATTATGAGAGTTTGCTGAAGTTGCATATCAGCTTAAGGAGATTTTGGGCTGAGATGATGGGGTTTTCTAAATATACAATATCATCTGCAAACAGGGACAATTTGACTTCCTCTTTTCCTAATTGAATACCCTTTTTTTTTATCCTGCATGATTGCTCTGGCCAGAAATTCCAACACTGTGTTGAATAGGAATGGTGAGAGAGGGAATCCCTGTCTTGTGCCAGTTTTCAAAGGGAATGCTTCCAGTTTTTGCCTATTCAGTATGACATTGGCTGTCGGTTTGTCATAAATAGCTCTTATTATTTTGAGCTATGTCCCATCAATACCTAATTTATTGAGAGTTTTTAGCATGAAGGGCTGCTGACTTTTGGCAAAGGCCTTTTCTGCATTTATTGAGATAATCATGTGGTTTTTGTCTTTGGTTCTGTTGATATGCTGGATTACATTTATTGATTTGCGTATGTTGAACCAGTCTTGCATCCCAGGGATGAAGCCCACTTGATCATGGTGGATAAGCTTTTTGATGTGCTGCTGAATTCGGTTTACCAGTATTTTATTGAAGATTTGTGCATTGATATTCATCAGGGGTATTGGTCTAAAATTCTCTTTTTTTGTTGTGTCTCTGCCAGACTTTGGTAATCAGGATGTTGCTGGCCTCATAAAATGAATTAGGGAGGATTCCCTCTTTTTCTATTGATTGGAATAGTTTCAGAAGGAATGGTACCAGCTCCTCTTTGTACCTCTGGAAGAATTTGGCTGTGAATCTGTCTGTTCCTGGACTTTTTTTGGTTGGTAGGCTATTAATTATTGCCTCATTTTCAGATCCTGTTATTGGTCTATTCAGGGATTCAACTTCTTCCTGGTTTAGTCTTGGCAGGGTGTATGTGTCCAGTAATTTATTCATTTCTTCTGGATTTTCTAGTTTGTTTGCGTAGAGGTGTTTATAGTATTCTCTGATGGTAGTTTGTATTTCTGTGGTATCAGTGGTGATATCCCCTTTATCATTTTTTATTGCATCTATTTGATTCTTCTCTCTTTTCTTCTTTTTTAGTCTTGCTAGCAGTCTATCAATTTTGTTGATCTTTTCAAAAACCAGCCCCTGGTTTCATTGATTTTTTGAAGGGTTTTTTGTGTCTCTATTTCCTTCAGTTCTGCTCTGACTGTAGTTATTTCTTGCCTTCTGCTACCTTTTGAACGTGTTTGCTCTTGCTTCTCTAGTTCTTTTAATTGTGATATTAGGGTGTCAATTTTGGATCTTTCCCGCTTTCTCTTGTGGGCATTTAGTGCTATAAATTTCCCTCTACACACTGCTTTGAATGTGTCCCAGAGATTCTGGTATGTTGTGTCTTTGTTCTCGTTGGTTTCAAACAACGTCTTTATTTCTGCCTTCATTTTGTTATGTACCCAGTAGTCATTCAGGAGCAGATTGTTCAGTTTCCATGTAGTTGAGCGATTTTGAGTGAGTTTCTTAATCCTGAGTTCTAGTTTGATTGCACTGTGGTCTGAGAGACAGTTTGTCATAATTTCTGTTCTTTTACATGTGCTGAGGAGTGCTTTACTTCCAACTATGTGGTCAATTTTGGAATAAGTGCAGTGTGGTGCTGAGAAGAATGTATATTCTGTTGATTTGGGGTGGAGAGTTCTGTAGATGTCTATTAGGTCCGCTTGGTGCAGAGCTGAGTCCAATTCCTGGATATCCCTGTTAACTTTCTGTCTTGTTGATCTAATGTTGACAGTGGGGTGTTAAAGTCTCCCATTATTATTGTGTGGGAGTCTAAGTCTGTTTCTAGGTATCTAAGGACTGTCTTTATGAATCTGGGTGCTCCTGTGTTGGGTGCATACATATTTAGGATAGTTAGATTTTCTTGTGGAACTGATCCCTTTACCATTATTTAATGGCCTCTTTGTCTCTTTTGATCTTTGTTGGTTGAAGTCTGTTTTATCAGAGACTAGGATTGTAACCCCTGCCTTTTTCTGTTTTCCATTTGCTTGGTAGATCTTCCTCCATCCCTTTATTTTGAGCCTATGTGTGTCTGTGCATGTGAGATGGGTTTCCTGAATACAGCACACTGACTGGTCTTGACTCTTTATCCAATTTGGCAGTCTGTGTCTTTTATTTGGAGCATTTAGTCCATTTACATTTATGGTTAATATTGTTATGTGTGAATTTGATCCTGTCATTATGATGTTAGCTGGTTATTTTGCTCCTTAGTTGATGCAGTTTCTTCCTAGCCTGGATGGTCTTTACAATTTGGCATGTTTTTGCAGTGGCTGGTACTGGTTGTTCCTTTTCATGTTTATTGCTTCCTTCAGGAGCTCCTGTAAGGCAGGCCTGGTGGTGACAAAATCTCTCAGCATTTGCTTGTCTGTAAAGGATTTTATTTCTCCTTCACTTATGAAGCTTAGTTTGGCTGGATATGAAATTCTGGGTTGAAAATTCTTTTCTATAAGGATGTTGAATATTGGCCCCCACTCTCTTCTGGCTTGTAGAGTTTCTGCCGAGATATCTGCTGTTAGTCTGATGGGCTTCCCTTTTTGGGTAACCTGACCTTTCTCTCTGGCTGCCCTTGCCATTTTTTCCTTCATTTCAACTTTGGTGAATCTGACAATTATGTGTCTTGGAGTTGCTCTTCTCGAGGAGTATCTTTGTGGCATTCTCTGTATTTCCTGAATTTGAATGTTGGCCTGCCTTGCTAGATTGGGGAACTTCTCCTGGATAATATCCTGCAGAGTGTTTTCCAACTTGGTTCCATTCTCCCCGTGACTTTCAGGTACACGAATCAGACATAGATTTGGTCTTTTCACATAGTCCCATATTTCTTGGAGGCTTTGTTCTTTTTTGTTTATCCTTTTTTCTCTAAACTTCTCTTCTTGCTTCATTTCATTCATTTGATCTCCCATCACTGATACTTTTTCTTCCAGTTGATCAAATCGGCTACTGAGGCTTGTGCATTCATCACGTAGTTCTCGTGCCTTGGTATTCAGCTCCATCATGTCCTTTAAGGACTTCTCTGCATTGGTTATTCTAGTTCGCCATTTGTCTAATTTTTTTTTCAAAGTTTTTAACTTCTTTGCCATGGGTTTGAACTTCCTCCTTTAGCTCAGAGTAGTTTGATTGTCTTAAGCCTTCTTCTCTCAACTCGTCAAAGTCATTCTCCATCCGGGTTTGTTCCATTGCTGGTGAGGAGCTGCATTCCTTTGGAGGAGGAGAGGTGCTCTGATTTTTAGAGTTTCCAGTTTTTCTGCTCTGTTTTTTCCCCATCTTTGTGGTTTTATCTACCTTTAGTCTTTGATGATGGTGACATACAGATGGGGTTTTGGTGTGGATGTCCTTTCTGTTAGTTTTCCTTCTAACAGACAGGACCCTCAGCTGCAGGTCTGTTGCAGTTTGGCAGAGGTCCACTCCAGATCCTGTTTCCTGGGTATCAGCAGTGGAGGCTGCAGAACAGCGGATATTGGTGAGCAGCAAATATTGCTGCCTGATCGTTCCTCTGGAAGTTTTGTCTCAGAGGAGTAAGCGGCTGGGTGAGGTGTCAGTCTTCCCCTACTGGGGTGTGCCTCCCAGTTAGGCTACTTGGGGTTCAGGGACCAATTTGAGGAGGCAGTCTGTCCGTTCTCGGATCTCCAGCTGTGTACTGGAGAACCACTATTCTCTTCAAAGCTGTCAGACAGGGACATTTAAGTCTGCAGAGGATTCTGCTGCCTTTTGTTTGGCTATGCCCTGCCCCCAGAGGTGGAGTCTACAGAGTCAGGCAGGCCTTCTTGAGCTGTGGTGGGCTCCACCCAGTTCGCGCTTCCCAGCTGCTTTGTTTACCTACTCAAGCCTCGGCAATGGCAGGCACCCGTCCCCCAGCCTCGCTGCCACCTTGCAGTTTAATCTCAGACTGCTGTGCTAGCAGTGAGCGGGGCTCCATGGGCGTAGGACTCTCCAAGCCAGGCACGGGATATAATCTCCTGGTGTACCATTTGCTAAGACCATTGGAAAAGCACAGTATTAGGGTGGGAGTGACCTAATTTTCCAGGTACCATCTGTCACCCATTTCTTTGACTAGGAAAGGGAATTCCCTGACCCGTTGTGCTTCCCAGGTGAGGCGATGCCTCGCCCTTCCGCTCATGCTTGGTGCACTGCACCCACAGTCCTGCACCCACTTTCCAACACTCCCCAGTGATATAAAACCAGTACCTCAATTGGAAATGCAGAAATCACCCGTCTTCTGCGTCGCTCATGCTGGGAGCTGTAGACTGGAGCTGTTCCTATTCGGCCATCTTGGCTCCACGCCCAATAGGAATGCTTTTACACTGTTGGTGGGACTGTAATCTAGTTCAACCATTGTGGAAGACAGTGTGGTGAATCCTCAAGGATCTAGAACTAGAAATAGCATTTGACCCAGCCATCTCATTACTGGGTATATACCCAAAGGATTATAAATCATGCTGCTATAAAGACACATGCACACGTATGTTTATTGTGGCACTATTCACAATAGCAAAGACTTGGAACCAACCCAGTGTCCATTAATGATAGACTGGGTTAAGAAATTGTGGCACATATACACCATGGAATGCTATGCAGCCATAAAAAAGGATGAGTTCATGTCCTTTGTAGGGACATGGATGAAGATGGAAACCATCATTTTGAGCAAACTATTGCCAAGGACAGAAAACCAAACACTGCATGTTCTCACTCATAGGTGGGAATTGAACAATGAGAACACTTGGACTCAGGAAGGGGAACATCACACACTGGGGCTGTCATAGGGTAGGGGGAGGGGGAGGGACAGCATTAGGAGATATACGTAATGTAAATGATGAGTTAATGGGTGTAGCCCACCAACATGGCACAAGTATACATATGTAACAAACCTGCATGTTGTGCACAGGTACCCTAGAACTTAAAGTATAATTTAAAAAAAAAGGATAGGAGTTGCTATACTCGAAATCAGATTGATTTCAAGACAAAACTTATAGGAAGAGGCAATGACCATAATTATATAACTATAAAGTGGTCAATTCAGCAGGAGATATAGCAATTGTAAATTTATAGGCACTTAACACTTGATCACCCAGATATATGAGGCACATATTCTTAGAGAATAAGAAAGAGATACAATAATGCCGGGAGACTTCAACCCCCACCCCCACCTTCAGCATGGGATGTATCTTCTAGACCATTAAAAATATATCAACAAACACCAGACATAATCGGCACTATGGATCAAATATACGTAAGAGATATTTACAGAACATTTCATTCAACAGCTGCAGAATACACATTATTTTCCTCAGCACATGGATCATTCTCAAGGATAGACCATATGTTAGGTCAAGAAGCAAGTCTTAAAGTATTCAACAAAATAGAAATAATATCAAGCATCTTCTCTGGCAAAACAGAATAAAACTAGGAATCAATAATAACAATAATTTTAAAATGTTGCTGTTGTATCATCGATGCAAAGAGACCAACAATAGAACTATAATACAATAAAATTCACAGAATATTATACACTGGGACAGACTGAGACATTTAGTTAATGGCAAGAACACAGTAAACACAAGCACCTGAAGATGTGCAAGTCAAGTAAAATGATATATGGATTATACAGTGAATTTTCTAAGCCCATCTGAGGACTTTGTACCTTTTCAAAAATATCCTATATACCCCTCCAAGTTACAGAACATCTGTCTTATCTGCTTACTTCATGGCTTTTCCAATATAAAAGGTTTACAAAATCTATTTATACCTTATTTCCCTTTTTATTTAATATACTGTGGGAAAAAAGATGGAGACAAATATAATTTTCTGACATAAAAAATTAAGTTATTACAGGCACATTTACTGTTTCATTCTAGAAACATCTCAGTTTCACAGGTTGATTATTCAGCAGCTGTGTGGTTTTTTAAAACATTCTTTGATTTTGAGAAAACTAAGATATCTCTTTTTGGGCAGATTTTGATTCATAACAATGGTGTGATTATGTGAATTATATTGTGATAATTCATGCAATGATGTCAGGTCCCTGGTTGACTGAGGCTATGAGCCAGTGGGGGATATGGGGCCCAACAGGATGGAGGGCAATTGTTTGCTGGTCCCTTGGGCCTGGAGAAACTGGTCTCTAGGTATGGGGCTAGTAGAGAACAAAGTAGTTGCTCCATGGACACTGAGTCCTGCAGTGATGATCCTTTCAATTGATGCTGAAAAAGCATTTGATAAAATTCAACATTCTCCCTCTCCCTCTCCCTCTCCCTCCTCCCGCTTTCCATGGTCTCCCCCTCTCCCTCATCTCCGTCTTCCACTTTCCATGGTCTCCCTCTGTTGCCAAGGCTGGACTGTAATGCCGCGATCTTGGCTCACTGCAACCTCCCTGCCTGATTCTCCTGCCTCAGCCTGCCAAGTGCCTGGGATTGCAGGTGCGCACCACCACGCCTGACTGGTTTTTGTATTTTTTGGTGGAGACGGGGTTTTGCCATGTTGGCCAGGCTGGTCTCCAGCTCCTGACCTCGAGTGATCTGCCTGCCTCAGCCTCCCGAGGTGCCGGGATTGCAGATGGAGTCTCGCTCACTCAGTGCTCAATGTTGCCCAGACTGGAGTGCAGTGGCATGATCTCGGCTCGCTACAACCCCCACCTCCCAGCCGCCTGCCTTGGCCTCCCAAAGTCCTGAGATTTCAGCCTCTGCCTGGCCGCCACCCCGTCTAGGAAGTGAGGAGCGTCTCTGCCTGTCCACCAATCATCTGGGATGTGAGGAGCCCCTCTGCCTGGCTGCCCAGTCTGGGAAATGAGGAGTGCCTCTTCCCGGCCGTCATCCCTTCTGTGAAGTGAGGAGCATCTCTGCCTGGCCGCCCATCTTCTGGGATGTGGGGAGCACCTCTGCCCGGCCGCAACCCCATCTGGGAACTGAGGAGCGCCTCTGTCCAGCTGCCCAGTCTGAGAAGTGAGGAGCCCCTCCGCCCGGCAGCCGTCCCGTCTGGGAAGTGAGGAGTGTCTCCAACCGGGCTGCCCCATCTGGGAGGTGAGGGGCGCCCCCGCCCGGTAGCCACCCCGTCTGGGAGGTGGGGGTCACCCCCGCTTGGCAGCCACCCCATCTGGGAGGTGGGTGGTGCCCCCGCCCAGCAGCCGCCCCGTCTGGGAGGTGGGGGGCGCCTCTGCCCGGCCTCCCCATCTGGGGGGTGGGGGGCCCCTCTGCCTGGCTGCCACGTCTGGGAAGTGAGGAGCCCCTCTGCCTGGCCACCACCCCGTCTGGGAGGTGTACCCAACAGCTCATTGAGAATGGGCCATGATGACGATGGCAGTTTTGTCGAATAGAAAAGGGGGAAATGTGGGGAAAAGAAAGAGAGATCGGATTGTTACTGTGTCTGTGTAGAACGAAGTAGACATAGGAGGCTCCATTTTGCTCTGTACTAAGAAAAATTCTTCTGCTTTGGGATGCTGTTAATGTATAACCTTACCCCAACCCCGTGCTCTCTGAAACATGTGCTATGTCAACTCAGGGTTAAATGGATTAAGGGCGGTGCAAGAAGATGTGCTTTGTTAAACAGATGCTTGAAGGCAGCATGCTCGTTAAGAGTCATCACCACTCCCTAATCTCAAGTACCCAGGGACACAAACACTGCGGAAGGCCACAGGGTCCTCTGCCTAGGAAAACCAGAGACCTTTGTTCACAAGTTTATCTGCTGACCTTCTCTCCACTATTGTCCTATGACCCTGCCAAATCCCCCTCTCTGAGAAACACCCAAGAATGATCAATAAATACTAAAAAAATTAAAAAAAAATTCAACATCCTTTCTTTTTTAATTTAATTTTATTTTAAGTTCTGGGATACATGTGCTTAACGTGCAGGTTTGTTACATAGGTATACATGTGCCATGGTGGTTTGCTGCACCTTTCAACCCGTCATCTAGGTTTTAAGCACCGCATGCATTAGGTATTTGTCCTAATGCTCTCCATCCCCTTGCCCCACAACCCCCGAAAGGCCCTAGTGTGTAATGTTCCCCTCCCTGTGTCCATGTGTTCTCATTGTTCAACTCCCACTTATGAGTGAGAACGTGCAGTGTTTGGTTTTGTTTCCAGCCTCATCCATACCCCTGCAAAGAACATGAACTCATCCTTTTTATGGCTGCATAATATTTCATGGTGTATAAGTACAACATATGCAATAAACACATGTGTACATGTGTCTTGATAGTAGAATGATTTATAATTCTTTGGGTATATACCCAGTAATGGGATTGCTGGGTCACATGGTATTTCTGGTTCTAGATGCTTGAGGAATCGCCACACTGTCTAACACAATGGTTGAACTAATTTACACTACCACCAAAAGTGTAAAAGCATTCCGATTTCTCTGCATCCTCTCCAGCATCTATTGTTTCCAGACTTTTTAATAATCTCTATTCTAACTAGTGTGAGATGGTGTTGCATTGTGGTTTTGATTTGCATTTCTCTAATGACCAGTGATGATGAGCTTTTTTTCATATGCTTGTTGGCTACCTAAATGTCTTCTTTTGAGAAGTGTCTGTTCATATCCTTCACCCAATTTTCAATGAGATTGTTTGGTTTTTTTCTTGTAAATTTGTTTAAGTTCCTTATCAATTCCAGATATTAGACCTTTGTCAGATTGATAGATTGCAAAAATTTTCTCCCATTCTGTAGGTTGCCTGTTCACTCTGAGATAGTTTCTTTTGCTGGGCAGAAGCTCTTTAATTTAATTAGATCCCATTTGACAATTTTGGCTTTTGTTGCCATTGCTTTTGGTGTTTTAGCCATGAAGTCTTTTTCCCTTGCCTATGTCTTGAATGGTATTGCCTAGGCTTTCTTCTAAGGTTTTTATGGTTTTAGGTTTTACATTTAAGTCTTTAATCCATCTTGAGCTAATTTTTGTATTAGGTGTAAGGAACGGCTCCAGTTTCTGTTTTCTGCATATGTCTAGCCAGTTTTCCCAACATCATTTATTAAATAGCGAATCTTTTCCCTATTGCTTGTTTTTGTCAGGTTTGTCAAAGATCAGATGGTTGTAGATGTGTGGTGTTATTTCTGAGGCCTGTGTCCGGTTCCATTGGTCTACATATCTGATTTGGTACCAGTATCATGCTGTTTTGGTTACTGTAGCCTTGTAGTATAGTTTGAAGTCAGGTAGCCTAATGCCTCTAGCTTTGTTCTTTTTACTTAGGATTGTCTTGGCTATACAGGCTCCTTTTTTGGTTCCATATTAAATTTAAAGTAGTTTTTTCTAGTTCTGTGAGGAAAGTCAATGGTAGCTTGATGGAAATAGAATTGAATCTATAAATTACTTTGGAGAGTATGGCCATTTTCAAGATATTGATTCTTCCTATCCATAAGCATGGAATGTTTTTCCATTTGTTTGTGTCCTCTCTTATTTCCTTGGGCAGTGGCTTGTAGTTCTCCTTGAAGAGGTCCTTCAGGTCCCTTCTAAGCTGTTAAGTGGTATTTCTAGGCATTTTATTCTTGTTGTAGTAATTGTGAATGGGAGTTCAATTATGACTTGGTTCTCTGTCTATTATTGGTGTATAGGAATGCTTGTGATTTTTGCACATTGAATTTCCTTCCTGTGACTTTGCTGAAGTTGCTTATCAACTTAAGGAGTTTTTGGGCTGAGATGATGAGGTTTTCTAAATATAAAATCATGTCATCTGTAAACAGAGACAATTTGACTTCCTCTCTTCCTATTTGAATACCCTTTATTTCTTTCTCTTGCCTGATTGCCCTGGCCAGAACTTCCAATACTGTGTCGAATAGGAGTGGTGAGAGAGGGCATCCTTGTTTGTGCCAGTTTTCAAAGGGAATTCTTCCAGGTTTTGCCCATTCAGTGTGATATGGGCTGTGGGTTTGTCACAAATAGCTCTTATTATTTTGAGATATGTTCCATCAGTGCCTAGTTTATTGAGAGTTTTTAGCATGAAGGGCTGTTGAATTTTGTCAAAGGCCTTTTCTGCATCTATTGAGATAATTATGTGGTTTTTGTCGCTGGCTTTGTTTATGTGATGGAGTACATTTATTGATTTGCATATGTTGGACTAGCCTTGCATCTCAGGGATGAAGCCAACTTCATTTGCTGCTGAATTTGGTTTGCCAGAATTTTATTGAGAATTTTCACATCAATGTTCATCAGGGATATTGGCCTGAGTTTTTTTTGTTGTTGTTGTGTCTTTGCCAGGTTTTGGAATCAGGATGATTCTGGCCTCATAAATTGAGTTAGGGAGAAGTCCCATTTTTTCTATCATTTGGAATAGTTTCAGAAGAAATGGTACCAGCTCCTCTTTGTACCTCTGGTAGAATTTGGCTGTGAATCTGTCTGGTCCTGGCCTTTCTTTTGGTTGGTAGGCTGTTAACTATTGCCTCAATTTTAGAACTTGTTATTGGTCTATTCAGGTATGCGACTTCTCTCACGTTTAGTATTGGGAGGGTATATGTGTCCAGGAATTTATTGATTTCTTCTAGGTTTCCTAGTTTATTTGTGTAGAGGTGTTTATAATATTCTCTGATGGTAGGTTGTATTTCTGTGGGATCAATGGTGATATCCCCTTTATCATTTTTATTGGGTCGATTTGATTCTTCTCTCTTTTCTTCTTTATTAATCTGGCTACTGGTCTATTTTGTTAATCTTTTCAAAAAACCATCTCCTGGATTCATGGATTTTTGAAGGGTTTTTCATGTCTCTATCTTCTTCAGTTCCACTCTGATCTTAGTTATTTCTTGTCTTCTGCTAGCTTTTGAATTTGTTTGCTCTTGCTTCTCTAGTTATTTTAACTGTGATGTCAGGGTGTTGATTTTAGATCTTTTCGGCTTTCTGATGTGGGCATTTAGTGCTACAAATTTTCCATTAAACGCTGCTTAACTGTGTTCCAGAGATTCTGGTACGTTGTGTCTTCATTCTCATTGGTTTCGAATAACTTATTTATTTCTGCCTTTATTTCTTTATTTACCCAGTAGTCATTCAGAAGCAGGTTGTTCAGTTTCCATATAGTTGTGTGGTTTTGAGTGAGTTTCTTAATCCTAAGTTCTAATTTGATTGCACTGTGGTCTGAGAGACAGTTTGTTATAATTTCAGGTTTTTTGTTTTTGTCTTTTTTTTTTTCGCATTTGCTGAGAAGTGTTTTACTTCCAATTATATGGTTGATTTTAGAGTAAGTGCTATGTGGTGCTGAGAAGAATGTATATTCTGTTGATTTGGGGTGGAGAGTTCTGTAGATGTCTATTAGGTCCACTTGGTCCAGAGCTGAGTTCAAGTACTGAATATTCTTGTTAATAACCTGTCTCATTGATCTGTCTAATATTTACAGTGGGGTGTTAAAGTCTCCCACTATTATTATGTGGGAGTCTAAGCCCCTTTGTAGGTCACCAAGAACTTGTTTTATGAATCTAGGTGCTTCTGTATTGGGTACATATATATTTAGGATAGTTAGCTCTTCTTGTTGCATTGATCCCTTTACCATTATGTAATGCCTTTCTTTGTCTTTTTTTATCTTTGTTGGTTTAAAGTCTGCTTTATCAGAGACTAGTATTGCAACCTCGGCTTTTTTTGCTTTTCACTTGCTTGGTAAATATTCCTCCATTCCTTTATTTTGAGCCTATATGTGTCTTTGCACGTGAGATGGGTCTCCTCAATACTGCACACCGATGAGTCTTGACTATCCAACTTGCCAGTCTGTGTCTTTTAATTTGGGCATTTAGCCCATTTACATTTAACATTAATATTGTTATATGTGAACTTGATCCTGTCATCATGATGCTAGCTGATTATTTTGCACATTAGTTGATTCAGTTTCTTCATGGTGTCACTGGTCTTTATATTTTGGTGTGTTTTTGCAGTGGTTGGTACCGATTTTTCTTTCCCATATTAGGGCTTCCTTCAGGAGTTCTTGTAAGGCAGGCCTGGTGGTACAGAATCCCTCAGCATTTGCTTGTCTGTAAACAATTTTATTTCTCCTTCATTTATGAAACTTAGTTTGGCTGGATATGAAATTTTGGGTTGAAAATTCTTTCTTTAAAAATATTGAATATTGGGCCCCACTGTCTTCTGGCTTGTAGGGTTTCTGCAGAGAGATCCATTGAATTCAACATCATTTCATAAAGAATAACACCCTCAAAAAGCTAGGTATACAAGAAACATATCTCAATATGATAAAAGGCATATACAATAGACCCATAGCTAGTATTATACTGAATGGGGAAAACCTGAAAGCCTTTCTTCTAAGATCAGGAATACAACAAGAATGCTCACTTTCACCACTGTTATTCAGCATAGTACTAGAAGTCCAAGCTAGACCAATCAGATAAGAGAAAGAAATGAAGAACATCCAAATTAAAATGAAAGAAGTCAAACTATTGTTTTTTGCAGATGATATCATTTTATACTTCACAAAACCCAGAGACTTTACCAAAAATCTATTAGAACTGATAAACAAATTTAATAAATTTGCAGGATACAAATTTAACATTAAAAATCAGTAGCATTTCTATATGCCCACATAGAATATTCTGAAAAAGAAATCATGAAGGTAATCCCATTTACAATAGCTACAAATAAAATAAAATACATAGAATTAACTTAACCAAAGAAGTGAATTTTTTTTTAAATTAAACATGGATGCAAGAAATTAAAAAGTACACCAAAATATGGAAAGGTATTCTCTGTTTGTGGATAGGAAGAATCCATATTTTTAAAATGTCCATTTTACCCAAAGCAATCTATAGATTTAATGCAATCCCTATCCAAATACCATTGATACTTTTTACAGAAATAGAAAAACAATTCTAAATTTTATGGGGAACCATAACAGACCCAGAATATCCAAAGCTATCCTGAGCAAAAAGAACAAAACTGGAGTAATCACATTACCTGATTCCATATTATACTACAGAACTATAGTGATATGGTTTGGCTGTGTCCCCACACAAATCTTGTTTCGAATTGTAATCCCCATGTGTCAGGGAAGGGACCTGGTGGGAGGTAATTAGATCATTGGGGTGGATTTTCCCCATGCAGTTCTCATGATAGTGAGTTCTTATGAGATCTGATGGCTTAAAAGTGTGACACTTACACCCTCACTCTCTCTCCTGTCCTGCCATTGTGAAGATGTGCATGCTTCCAACATTGTGAAGATGTGTGTGCTTTCCAGTCACCTTCCACCATGACTGTAAGTTTTCTGAGGCTGCCCAGTCATGCTTCCTGTTAAGCCTGCAGAACTGTGAGTCAATTTAACCTTTTTTCTTTGTAAATTACCCATTTTTAAGTTAGTTCTCTATAGCAGCATGAAAATGTACTAATACTTATAGTAACCAAAATACATGGTCCTGGCACAAAAACACACAAATAGACCAGTGGAACAGAATAGAGAACTCAGAGATAAGTCTGTTCACCTGCAGTGGACTCATTTTTGACAAAGGTGCCAAGAACACACTTTGGGGAAAGGACTGTCTCTTCAGTAAGTGGTGTTAAGAAAACCAGATATCCATATGCAGAAGAATGAAATTAGATCCCGGTCTCTCACCATATACAAAAGTCAAATCCAAACATATTAAAGACGCAAATATAAGACCTCAAATTGTGAAACTACTAAAAGCAAACACTGGAGAAATTCATCAGGACATTGGACTGGGTGAAGATTTCTTGAGTAATACACTATTAAGTGCTATTTATTGCACTGGCAACCAACACACAAATGGACAAATGTGATCACAAGTTTTGCACAGCAAAGAAAACAATCAACAAAATGCACAGACAACCTACAGAATTAGAGAAAATATTTGCAAACTATTCATATGACAATGGATTAGTAATCAGAATACACAGGAGCTAAAACACCTCTATAGGAAAGGAAAAATATAATAAGCAGATTTTAAAATGGGTGAAAGTCCTGAATAGGCATTTCTCAAAAGAGGACATACACATGGAAAACAGGTGTATGAAAAGGTGCTCAATATCATTGATCATCTGAGAAATGCACATCAAAACTGCAATAAAATATTATCTCACCTCAATTAAAATGACTTTTATTCAAAAGACAGGCAATAACAAATGCTGGCGAGAATGTGGAGAAAAAGGAAACCTCATACAGTGTTGGTGGTAATGTAAATTAGTACAACCACTATGAAAACAGTTTAGAAGTTCCTCAAAAAAAGAAAAATAGAACTACCATATGTTCCAGCAATCCCACTGTTAGATATATACCCAAAAGAAAGTAAATCAGTATATCAAAAATATATCTGCACTCCCATGTTTATTGTAGCCCTATGCACAATAGCCAAGATTTGGAAGCAACCAAAGTGTTGAACAGATGACTGGGTAAAGACAATGTAATACATGTAAACAATGGAGTACTACTCAGTCATAAAAGTAGAATGAGATTCTGTCATTTGCAACAACATGGATGGAACTGGGGGTCATTATGTTAAGTAAAATAAGCCAGGCAGAAAGACAAATATCCCATTTTCTCACTTATTTGTGGGATCTAAAAATAAAAACAAAAGAACCCATGGGAATAGAGAGTAGAAGAGTAGGTACAAGAGGCTGGGAATGGTAGTCGGGGGATAGGGAAAATGGGGATAGTTAGCGGGTACAAAAAAATAGAAAGAATAAATGACACCTAGTATTTGCTAGGACAACAGGGTGACTATAGTAAAAAGTAAACAATATTTTAAAATAAAAAATATTTAAAATAAAAAATACCAAAGCATCAATCGATGTTATCAATGTGGTTATTGTTATTTTGCCAAAATATGAAAGTGGGAATATATGTTATATATGCCCATAGAGCTGGCTATGAGAAACTGGCTTATGCATAGACAACTCAGAGAATTTTAGAAATCAGAGAATTTTAAAATTTCAGAGTAGGAAATAAACTCAAAGGTCATCAGATCTATGCCTCATCTGGTGCTTGTAAAAAGACTCTGGAATCTCTTAAGGGAACTTATCTATATCTTGTTATTGTCATTCTCTTCCCAAATTCTGTTATTTTTAGACAGTAATGCTACAGATTTTTCATCAGTCTAACAAATTGTATTGAATTCACCTTTTTTATGCTTGTAAAGATTTTAATAATGTTGATTGAAATCAAAGTGTTATAATTATTTCAATGCAGAATCTTCAAAAAATTTGCAAGGGGAAGGCGGGAAAGCAGTCTGCTTAGTTCTTCTGCTCATTGTTACTGAATTATACTCCTAAAAGTGAAGTCCACAGTCATTTTATTCCTCAATAAAAACCCTGACTCTTTGGGGAGATGTTCTAACACAAAGCACAGAAAATGAAAAGAAGATTCAACAGCTTCATTTTTCAATTTACCTAATCTGGATAATAATCTCTACCTGGTGATAATTCATCTCAGGGAAGAATTTACCACTATTTTGGATCAGATTGTACTTCATAGTAGGTAATCATTTCAAGGCAGTACTCAGTATAGGTGTTTAATCCAAAGGTAATGTTAGTTATTTTTCTGCAGCTGCAAACATATTTTCCAAGGAAACAATATTACAAAAGGCATTTTCAGAGAGGACCAAGATGGCAGAATAGAAGGCTCCACCAATTGTCACCCTCGCAAGGACATCAATTTAATTACTATCTACAGAGGAAAAAAAAAAAAAACACCTTCATTAGAACCAAAAATCAGATGAGCCCTCATAATACCTGGTTTTAACTCTATACTGCTGAAAGATGCACTGAAGAGATAGAAAAAACATTCCTGAATCTCAAATGCCACCCCTTCCGCACCCTTGGCAGCAGCAGTGTGGTACAGAGAGCTTCTTTGGATGCTGGGGGAAGGTGAGCACAGCAATTGTGAGGCATTAATCTCAGTGCTATCCTTTTAGAGCAGAGAGGAAAACCAGACCAAACTTACCTGATGCATGTCGAGCTAATGGAGGGAGCACTTAAAGAAACCTTAGCCAGAGGGTAGTCACCTAGCCTAGTGGTCTAAACTTGAGTTCCCTCACACATCACTACTGGGGGACAAAGTGCTCTGTATCTCTAAGTAAACCTGAAAAGCATTCTAGGTCATCAGGACTGCAACTGTTAGGCAAGTCATAGGGCTAAACTGAGCCCAGAGACAGTGGACTGGGAGGCCACATGATCTACTGAAACACCAGCCAGCACAGTTAAGGGAGATCTGAAATCACCACATTTCTAACCCCAGGCTGCACAGCTTGAGGCTCCAAAACAGATCCCTTCCTTCTGCTTTAGGAGAGTAATGGGAAAAGTGAGGAGGACTTTGCCTTGCATCTTAGATACCACCTCAGCCACAGCAGAATAGGGCAATGACCAGAGTTGTGAGGCCCCCATTTCAGGCTCTAGTTTCCTGACGACATCTCAAGACATGCCCTGAGCCAGAAAGGAACCCACTGCATTGAAGGGAAGGAGCCAGTCTTGGCAGCATTTATCACCTGATAACTGAAGAGGCCTTGAACCCTGAGCTACATCAAGGGCCTTGAGCAAGCCTCTGAAATTGCTGGCTTCAGATATCAGCATGACTATAGGAGGATATAACACCAAGTGGGCACTCTTGGAATCCTCAGTTTCAGGACTTCACTCTTGGATGGCATCTCTGGATCTGCCCTGGGCCAGAAGGGAACCCTGTTCTCTGAAGGGTAAGTTGCAGGCCAGGCAGCATTCACCAAAAGCTGATGTCAGAGCTCTTGGGCCTTAAGGGAACATTGGTAGTAGTCTGGCAGAACTCCTCATGGCCTAAGGTGGTGGTTGCTACAGAGTGAAGGTTCTCTTCCTTTGGAAAGGAGAAGGAAGAGTTGAAAGAACTGTGTGTCATGGTTTCAGTGCCAGCTCAGCCACAATACAATAGAACACAAGGTAGACTTCTAAGTTTTGTCACTCTATTTCCTGACTCCTAGATGACACCTAGGGACCCACCTGGGACCTGGGAGAACTCACTTCCCTGAAGGGAAGGACACAGGCCTGGCTGGCTTTGCCACCTGGTGATTATAGAGTCCCAGGGCCTTGAGTGAATATAAGCAGTAGCCAGGAAGTGGTTACAACAGGCCTTGAGTGAGACCCAGTGCTGTGCTGGCTTCAAGTCTGACCCAGCACGGTCCTAGTCCTAGTGGTGATGGCCACAGGGATGCTTGTGTACCTCCAACCCCAGGTTTAAGAGGCTTGGAACAGAGAACGAGACTCTATATGTTTAGGAGAAAATAAGGGGAAAGAGCAAGAGTCTCTGCCTGGTAATCCAGAAAATTCTCCCAAATCTCGTTTACGACCATCAAGGTGCAACTTCTATGAGTCTGCAAGAACTGCAGCATTACTGAGATTTGGGTGTTCCCTAAAGCAGATACAGCTTACATCAAAACACCCAAGTCCTTTTTAATTTCTGGAAAGCTTTTCAAATAAGGACGGGTATAAACAAATCCAGATTGTGAAAACTAAAATTCAATATCAATCACTTCAATGTCCAGACACCAAAGAATATTTACTAGCATCAACACCACCCAGGAAAGCATAACCTCACCAAATGAACTAAATAAGGCACCAGGGATCAATCTTGGAGAAACAGAGATATGTGACTTTTCAGACAGGGAATTCAAAATAGCTGTGTTGAGGAAACTCAAAGAAACTCAAGATAACACAGAGAAGAAATTCAGAATTTTATCAGATTAATTTTTCAGAGATTGAAATAATTTTAAAAATCAAGCAGAAATTCTGGATCTAAAAAGTACAACTGGCATGCTGAAGAATGCATCAGAGTCTCTTAATAGCAGAATTGATCAAGAAGAAAGAGTGAGCTTGACGACAGACTATTTGAAAATACACTGCTAGGGGAGACAAAAGAGAAAAGAATATAAAACAGTAAAGCATGCCTACAGGATCTAGAAAACAGCCTCAAAATGTCAAAGTTAAGAGTTATTGGCCTTAAAAATGAGATAGAGGAAGAGATAGGGGTACAAAGTTTATTCAACAGGATAATAAAAGAGATATTTTCAAACCTAGAGAAAGTTATTAACACTCAAATACAAGAAAGTTATATATCTCCAAGCATATTTAACTCAAAGACTACCTCAAGGCATTTAATAATCAAACTTTCAAAGACCAAGGATAAAAAAAGGATGCTTAAAGCAGCAAGAAAAAAGACACAAATACAATGGAGCTGCAATATGTCTGACAGCAGACTTTTCAGTGGAAACCTTACAGGCCAAGAGAGTGTGACATGACATATTTAAAGTGTTGAAGGGAAAAAACTGTTACCCTAGAATAGTATATATGGCAAAAATTCCCTTCAATCATGAAGGAGAAATAAAGACTTCCACAGACTAACAAAAGCTGAGGGATTTCATTCATAAGAGACCTGTCCTATGGGAAATGTTTAAGGGAGTACATCAATCAGAAAGAAAAAGACATTAATGAGAAACAAGAAATCATCTGAAGGTACAAAACTCATGGGTAATAGTAAGTGCACAGAAAAAAACACCGAATACTTCAGTGTTATAATACTGCAACTGTGATATGTAATCAACTAAAATGCTAGCTAGAAAAACTAAATGATGAACCAAACAAAAATAATAACTACAACAACTTCTTAAGACATAGACAGTACAATAAGATCTAAATAGAAACAAAAAAGTTAAAAAACTTGAAAATAAAGTTATGGCATAGAATTTTGTGTTAGTTTTCTTTTTGTTTCTTTATTTGTTTATGAAAACCGGGTTGAGTAGTTACCGGGTTATAAGATAGCAGGTGCAAGCCTCACAGTAACCTCAAACAAACAACAAAAAAAATTACAATGGAAACAGAAAAACAAAAAGCAAGATAAATCATATCACCAGGGAAAATCGCCTTCACTAAAGGAAGAAAATAAAGAAATAACGCCAAAAAACAAATAACAAAATGGCAGGAGTAAGTCTTTATCAATAATAATGTTGACTGTAAATGAACTAAAGTCTACAATCGAAATAAATAGAGTGGCTGAGTGTATTAAAAACAAGATTCTGTTGCCTACTAGAAACACACTTTACCTATAAAGACACAAATAGATTAAAAGAAAAGTGATGGAAAAGACATTCCATGCCAATGGAAACAATAAATGATCAGGAGTAGCTATACTTATATCAAACAAAATAGATTTCAGGACAAAAACTATAAGAAGAGACAAAGAAAGTTACTATATAATGATAAAGGGGTAAATTCAGTAAGAGGATATATCAATTTTAAATATATATGCACCCAACACTAGAGCCCCTAGATAAGTAAAGGAAACATTATTAGAGCTAAAGAGAGAGATAGTTCCCAATACAATAATATCTGGAGACTTCAACACCCCACTCCCAGCATTGGACAGATCGTCAAGACAGAAAATCAACAAAGAAACATCAGACTTGATCTGCAGTATAGATCAAATGAATCTAATAGATACTTACAGAACATTTTATCTGTTGGTGGCAGAATACACATTCTTTTCTTCAGCACATGGATTATTCTTTAAAATAGACCATATGATAGGTCAAAAAAGTCTGAAAACATTCAACAAAATTGAGATAACATCAAGCATCTTCTCTGACCACAATAAAATAAAATTAGAAATTAATGATAAGATAAATTTGGGAAACTATACAAACACATGGAAGTTAAACAATATGTTCCTGAATGACGAGTGGGTCGATGAAACAATTTTTGTAAACTTCTTAAAACAAAAGACAATGGAAACACAACATACCAAAATCTATGGGATACAGCAAAAGCAGTACTAAGAGGGAAGTTTATAGCTGTAAGTCCCTACATCAAAAAAGAGGAATAACTTCAAATAAACAATCTAATGATACATCTTAAAGAAATAGAAAAGCAAAAGCAAACCAAACCTAAAATTAGTAGGAGAAAAGAACTAATAGGCTGGGTGTGGTGGCTCACGCCTGTAGTCCCAGCACTTTGGGAGGCCGAGGCAGGCGGATCAATTCAAGTCAGGAGTTTGAGACCAGCCTGGCCAACGTGGTGAAACCCTGTCTCTACTAAAAATACAAAAATTAGCCAGGCGTGGTGACAGGTGCCTGTAATCCCAGCTACTCTGCAGGCTGAGGCAAGAGAATCACTCAAACCCAGGAGGCGGAGGCTGCCGTGAGCCAAGATAGCAGCACTGCACTCCCGCCTGGGTGACAGAAGGAGACTCCATCTCAGAAATAATAATAATAATAAAATAAAGATTAAAACAAATAAATGAATTTAAAATGAGGAAAATAATACAAAAGATCAATGAAACAAAAAGTTGGTTTTTTGAAAAGTAAAACAAAATTGACAAAACTTTAGCCAAACTTACTAATAAAAGGAGAGAAGATTCAAATAAAAGCATTAGAAATGAAAAAGGAGACATTACAACTGATACTGCAGAAATTCAAAGATCATTTGTGGCTATGATGAGCAAATATATGCCAATGAGTTGGAAAATCTAGAAGAAATGGACAAATTTCTAGGTACATACAACCTATCAAGATTGAACCAGAAAGAAATCCAAAACCTGAACAGACCAATAACAAGTAATAAGATCAAAGCCATATTAAGAAGTCTCTTAGTAAAGAAAAGCTAGGGACCCAGTGGCTTCACTGCTGATTTCCACAAACATTTAAAGAGAACTGGTACCCATCCTACTAAAACTATTGCGAAAAATAGAAGAACAGAAAATACTTCTAAATTCATTATATGAAGTCAGCATTACCCTGAAACCAAAACCAGACAAAGACACAACAAAAAAAGAAAACTACAGTTCAATATCTCTGATGAATATCGATGCAAAAATCCTCAACAAAATACTAGCAAAACCGAATTCAATGTTACATTAAAAAAAAAAAATTCATCATGACCAAGTGGGATTCATCCCTGGGATGCAAGGATGGTCCAACATATGCAAATCAATCAATGCGATACATCATAGCAACAGGAATGAAGCATAAAAACCATATGATTATTTCAACTGATGCCAAAAAGCTTTTGATAAAATTCAACATCCCTTCATGATTAAAAAAAAAAAAAAGCTCTCATAAAACAGGGGATAGAAAGAACATACCTCAACATAATAAAAGCTATATAGGGCTGCGGGCTAGCGTCCCCCGCCCGATCGGGGCTGAACGGGGCTGGGCGGGGCTGGGCGGGGCTGGGCGGGGCTGGGCGGGGCTGGGCGGGACTGGGCGGGGCCGGGCGGGGCCGGCGCTGGTTAGCTCCTGAGTGTGAAACCGCGTGTTAGTGTAACCCACGCCAGAGGCGCGGGCGGCGGCGGCGGCGGTAGGAGCGGCGGCTGCAGGAGCAGCAGCAGCAGAAGCAGCGGCGGGTACTCTGTGCTCTGCGTCCCGGAGGCAGCCGACTGCGCCACCCCACCCTCGCACGGCCGGGCGGGACCCGCGCCACCAGCCCGGACCTCCGTCGTCCCGCGGCGACCAAAATCTCCGCTGGCCGCACCGCTGTGACTACTCCGGACTCGCCGGCAGAGTTTGCCCGCCGGGGAGGGTGGCCGATTGGCGGAGCGCACTCCTGCTGTTTCTCCCACCATCTCGTGGATGTCGTCCCTCGGGTGGTGAGAGAACTTTGCAGTGGGCTGGAGCGCCCTTTGCGGAGAAGCACACGAAGGTGAAGGAAGGAAAGAAAGAAGACCGAGGAAGAAAAGAAAGAAGACCGAGGAAGAAAAGAAAGAAGACCGAGGAAGAAAAGAAAGAAGACTGAGGAAGAAAAGAAAGAAGACCGAGGAAGAAGGGGCTCGGAAGAAGGGTCCGGAGCGGCCGGGCCGGCCGTGCAGGGCGAGTGCGCGCGAGGCGCGGCGCCCTGATGCTCCCCGAGCTCGAGGAGCAGCGGCCATTTGCGGGACTGCTCTCGGTGGAGTAGCCCCGTCGGGCCCGGAGGTTTGTGCAACCGCGGAGAACACCGAGTGCTGGTCGCACGGGGCGTGCCGAGCCGCCTTCCGGCGCGCCCTCCGCACTTTCCCCGCCTAGTCATCCCTCGCTCCCCGGCCAGGAGCCTCCGCCGCGTCCTCAACCTCTCTCCCTTTTGCGTCCCGGGACCCTGCGAGCACCCGGGCCGAGGGCGCAGCCGAGTCTTGCGGGAGTCGCCCCGAAAGCGTCGGGTTTGTGTGGGGTTAGCGGGGGCCGCCGCGCCACCTGCGCCTCGCCCGCCGCCGCCTCGGGGAAAACCCGAAGAGGAGGCGGACCAGGAGAAGAGCAAAGAAAAGCAGCCCGTCTGGATTTGTTTGCCCAGGACTGGCGCCGCGCACGCGGATCCCCGAGGGGAGTGCGGTCGGAGTCACCGCGCCCCCGCCTCCCCGCCCGGGCGACTGAGGCCGGGGGGTTGGAGCACTGCCCCCGCGCACAGTCCCCGAACGCCCGACGTCTCCGCGCAGGTTATTGAAGCAGCTGGGCCTGGGGCGCCCACTAATGTGGCCCTGAGGGCCGGAGCCCGCACCGACGGGAGCGGGAGCCGGAGCAGCTGCGGGCGCCGAGTGGCCGGTACGCCCGGCCTAGCGCGCCTGCGTGCGTGGCCACCTCGCTCCCCGCTTCTGCCTGGCTTTCCGGCTTAATTTTCCTCGGCGGGATTAAAGTTGGAAATTGACCGGAGAATTGAGTTGCCGGGGAACAGAGCCCCGGCCGCCGCCAGCGCGATGTTCCCGCAGAGCCGGCACCCGACGCCGCACCAGGCTGCAGGCCAGCCCTTCAAGTTCAGTATCGCGGAGTCCCTGGACCGGATTAAAGAGGAATTCCAGTTCCTGCAGGCGCAGTATCACAGCCTTAAATTGGAATGTGAGTAACCGGCAAGTGAAAAGACAGAAATGCAGAGGCACTATGTGATGTATTACGAAATGCCATATGGATTAAACATTGAAATGCACAAACAGACTGAAATCGCCAAGAGATTGAATACGATTTGTGCACAAGTCATCCCATTTCTGTCTCAGGAACATCAACAACAGGTGGCCCAGGCTGTCGAACGTGCCAAACAGGTGACCATGGCAGAGTTGAATGCCATCATCGGGCAGCAGCAGTTGCAAGCTCAGCATCTTTCTTATGGCCACGGACCCCCAGTTCCCCTTACGCCTCACCCTTCGGGACTTCAGCCTCCTGGAATCCCGCCCCTCGGGGGCAGTGCCGGTCTTCTTGCACTGTCTAGTGCTCTGAGTGGGCAATCTCACTTGGCAATAAAAGATGACAAGAAGCATCAAGATGCAGAGCACCACAGAGATGAGAGGCCCGGCAAGCCAGATTAGGACTTTGTCCTCATACTCTTACAGTGCTGCAAAGTTGTGTGGATCGCTAAAGAGAGCCCCAACCTATACAGAAAGCAAACAATGAGATAAGAGGAACTGTCTCAAAGCTTTCCACTGAAACACAGGTCACCCTGGAAGTTTGCAGGGTTTGCTGTGGGCATCTGTAGATTTCTCGATCTCGTTAGATTGCAGGCATCTTGACATCTTGGCAACTGCCTAGTTAATGCCAGTGGCCTGTACCATATTATGGAAAACTGTTAACTGCTTAATTGGGTAATTTTCAAAGAAAGTAATGTTGTTAAATGGGGTGAAATAAGAAGTTAAATTTGAAAGTGAATGTGTTCAAATGAAAGGTTTGATAATTGCATCTGTTACTACTTAGTTTCATAGGCTTTAATTCTAGTATGCATTAAATATTGGGCAAAATTGCACTTGACTAATTTTTTGAAGAAAAGTAATTTATTCTGTCAAGAAATAAAAAAATAGGCTTTGTGTATGGTTAAACTAAATCTTATGTTTACAAAATACTGTAATTTTCAGGAAATCACTGTATTAGGAATGTGCAATGACTTATATAAATGAAAGCCATTTTTAAAACTGAAAAAAAAATAAAAAAAATAAAAGCCATATATGACAGCTCCACAGCAAGTATCATACTGAATGGGGAAAACCTGAAAGCCTTTTGTCTAAGATCTGGAACATTACTAGAATGCCCACTTTCACCACTGTTATTCAACATAGTAGCGGAAGTCCTAGCTAGAGCAATCAAACAAGAAAAAGAAATAAATGGCAACCAACTTGGAATGAAAGAAGTAGTATTATTTTTGTTTGCAGACAATATGATCATATATTTGGAAAAACCTAAAGACTCCACACACACACACACACACACACACACACACACACACACACAATTAGAACTGATAAATTCAGTAAGGTAGGAGGTTACAAAATTAACATACAAAAAAAATCAATTGCATTTCTACATCCCAACAGTGAGCAATCCTAAAAAGAAATTTAAAAAGTAATCCCATTTACAATAGCCACAAATAAAATTCAATACCTAGGAATTAAAGAAGCAAAAGATTTCTCAAAAATTATAAAACACTGATGAAAGAAATTGAAGAGGACACCAAAAAATGGAAAGACATTCCATGTTCATCTATTAGAAGAATCAATATTGGTAAAATATTCATACTACACAAAGCAATCTACAGATTCAATGTAATCCCTATCAAAATGCCAACAACATTATTCACAGAAATAGAAAAAAATGCTAAAATTTATATAGGCATACATAAGACCCAGAATAGCCAAAGTTATCCTATGCAATAAGAGCAAAATTGGAGAAATCACATCCAAATTCAAATTATATTACAGAGCTATAGTAATCAAATCAGCATGGTACTGGTATTAAATCAGAAAAAAAAAAAAAAAAAAACAATGGGACATAATAGAGAACCCAGAAACAAATTCACACACTTAAAGTGAACTCATTTTCAACAAAGGTGCCAACATACTTTGGGGAAAAGACAGTCTCTTTAATAAATGGTGCAGGAAAAACTAGATATCCATGTGCAGAAAGATGAAACTAGACCCCTGCGTCTCACCATGTACAAAAGTCAAATCCACATTGATTAAAGACTTAAATATAAGACCTCAAACTATGAAACTACTACGAGAAAACATTGGGGAAATTCTCCAGGACATTGGTCTAGGCAAGAATTTTTTGAACAATATCCCTTAAGCACAGGCAACCAAAGCAAAAATAGACAAATGAGATTACACCAAGCTAAAAAGCTTCTGCACAGCAAAGAAAACAATCAACAAAGTGAAGAGACAACCCACAGAATGGGAGAAGGATATTTGCACACCATGCATCAGACAAGGGATTAATAACCAGAATATATAAGGAGCTCAAAGAACTCTATAGGAAAACATAATAAACTGACAAAAAAAAATAGCAAAAGATTTGAATAATTTCTCAAAGTACACACAACCCAGAAACAGGCATATGAAAAGGTGCTCAACATAATTAATCATTAGAAAAATGCAAATCAAAGTACAATAAGATATCATCTCACCCCAGTGCAAATAGCTTATATCCAAACACAGGCAATAACAAGTGCTGACGAGGATGTAGAGAAAAGGGAATCTTTGTACACTGTTGGTGGAAATGTACAGTAGCACAACCACTATATTGTATAGTTGGAGACTACTACAAATACTAAAAATAGAGCTATTATATGACCCAGCAATCCCACTGCAGAATATGTAACTAAAAGAAAGGAAATCAGTATAACAAAGAGATATCTGCACTCCCATGTTTATGGCAGCACTGTTTACAATAGCTAAGATTTGGAAGCAACCTAAGTATCCATCAACAGATGAACAGATAAAGAAAATGTGGTGCATACACACAATGGAGTACTACTAAGCCATAAAAATGAGATCCTGTCATTTACAATAACATGTATGGAACTGGAGATTATTATGTTAAGTAAAATAAGCCAGGCACAGACTGAGAAATATCACATGTTCTCACTTTTGTGTGATATAAAAATTAAAACAATTAAACTCATGGACATAGAGAGTAGAAGGATGCTTACCAGAGGCTAAGAGGAGATAGGGATGGCTAATGGCTATGAAAATATAGTTAGAAAGAATGAATAAGGCATACTATTTGACCACACGGAAGGGTGACCTTAGTCAATAATAACTTAATCATACATTTTTAAATAAGTAAAATAATGTAATTGTGGCCAGGCATGGTGGCTCATGCCTGTAATCACAGCACTTTGGGAGGCCAAGGTGGGCAGATCATGAGGTCACGAGTTCGAGACCAGACTGACCAACATGGTGAAAACCCGTCTCTACTAAAAATACTAAAATTAGCTGGGCGTGGTGGCACACACCTGTAATCCCAGCTACTCAGGAGGCTGAGGCAGGAGAATCACTTGAACCCAGGAGGCAGAGGTTGCAGTGAGCCGAGTTCATGCCTCTACTCTCCAGCCTGGGCGACAGAGTGAGACTCCATCTCAAAATAAATAAATAAATAAATAAATAAATAAATAATAGTGTAATTGGATTGTTAGTAACACAAAGGATAAATGCTTGAGTGGATGGACGCCACATTTTTTATAATGTGATTATTTCACATTGCCTGCTTATATCAAAATATCTCATGTACCCCACAAATATAGACGCCCACAAAAATTTAAAATAAAATAAAATAAAATAAAATAAATAAAAACAATATTACAAATAATAATACATATATAATTTTTCAAAATTAACTTATTGAGGTGAAATCTAGATAATATAAAGTAACCATTTTAAAGCAAAAAATTCAGTGGCATTTAATGTATTCACAGTGTTGTGCAACCATTTCTATTCCCTTCATAAAACATTTTTATCACTCTAAAGTAAAACCCTTTACCCATTAAGCAGTTTCTTCAATTCCCCAATGCCCTTAGCCCCTGACAACCACCAATCTATGTTCTGTCGCTGTGTATTTATCTATTCTGAATGTTTCATGTATATGGAATTATACAATATGTGACCTTTTGTGCCTTGCTTCTTTCATTTACCATTATTTCAAGATTCTTTTGAAATATAGCATGTATCAGTACTTATAGCATGTGTCAGTACTTCATTCCTTTTTATGTCTGAGTAATATTCATTTGTTTAGCCATTCATCCTTTGATGAATATTTTGCCTATTGTGAATAATGCTGCAATGATCATGTGTACATGTATTTGTTTGAGTACATATTTTCAAGTTTTTTTTGGAACAGGGCACAGGGTTTCACTCGCCCTGTTCCCCAGGCTGGAATACAGTGGCACAATCACAGCTCACTGCAACCTTGACCTCCGGGGCTCAATTGATTCTCCCACTTCAGTCTCCCAAGTAGCTGGGACTGCGGGAATACACCACCACATCCAGCTAATTTTTGTATTTTTTGTAGAGACAGGGTTTCACCATGCTACCCAGGCTGGTCTTGAACTCCTGAGCTCAAGCCATCTGCTCACCTCAGCCTCCCAAAGTGCTGGAATTACAGGAGTAAGCCACTGCACCTGGTCTTACTTTCAGTTCTTTTCTATTATATACCTAGCCCTAGAATTGTGAGATTTTATGTAAATTCTGTTTTGTTTTGTTTTGTTTTGTTTTTTTTGAGGAAATGCAAAGCTGTTTTCTACAGTGTCTGAACCAATTCACATTTCCACCAGCAGTGTTTAAGGATTCCATTTTCTCCACATTCTCGCCAACAATTCTCTTATTATTTTCTCGGTTTTTTTTCCTAGTGAGAGTGAAGTTGTACTCTATTGTGGTTATGATTTGCATTTCCCTAATGACTAATGATGTTGAGCATCTTTTCATGTGCTTGTTTGCCTTTGTATATCTTTGTAGAGAAATATCTATTTCAAATCCTTTCCCCATTTTTTTTAAAAAATCGGGCTGTTTGTCCTTTTGTTGTTGAATTTTAAACATTTTTAAATATATTCTGGATACTAGTCTCTTATCAGACATGATTTGCAAATGGTTTCTCTCATTCTATGGGTTGCCTTTTCACTTTCTTGATCATGTTCGTTAAAGTACAAAAGGTTTTAATTTTTGTAAGGTCTAATTTATTTTTTTGTTGTTGCTTTTCTTTTGGTTTCATATTTAAGAATCCATTGCAAAATCCAAGGTTGTGAAATTTTACCCCTGTTTTCTTCTAAGAGTTTTATGGTTTTCACTCATATATGGGTCATTGAACCATTTAAGTTAATTTTTGTTTATGGTGTGAAGTAGGGGTCAAACTTTTCCATGTTTTTATCTAGTTGTTCTAACAGTATTTGTTAAAACTATTATTTTTTCTCTTCGAATAGTCTTGGCACCTGTGTCAAACATCAATTGACTATAGGTTTATGGACTTATTTCTGTACTCCCAATTCTGTTACATTGGTCTATATGCTTAGTTTTATATGGTACCACGCTGTTATGATTATTGTAGCTTTATAGTAAAGTTTGAAATCAGAAAGTGTGAGTCCTCCAACTTTTTTCTTACTTTTTAAAGATTTTTTTTGTGTGTGGCTATTTGAGGACCCTTGTGATTCCATATGAACTTGAGGTTTAGCTTTTCCACATCTGCAAAAGGCATCATTGTAAATTTGGTAGACATTCCATTGAATCTGTAGATCACTTTAGGTGAGTATTATTACCATCTTAACAATATTAATTCTTCCATTTTATGAACACAGTATGTCATTTCATTTATTTTGGTCTTCTTTAATTACCAGTTTTTAGTGTACAAGTCTTTTACCTCCTTGGTTACATTTATTTCTAGGCATTTCATTCATTTGGGTGCTATTGTAAATTGAATTGTTTTATTCTTTTTCAGATATTAATTGCTGGTGTGTAACCCTTTTATTATGCTATTGGATCTGATTTGCTAGAATTTTGATGAGGAATTTTTCATCTATAGAAATAAGGAATATTGTTGTGTACTTTTCTTATGATGTTGTCAGCAGGATTTGGAATCAGGATAATGCTGGCCTCATAGAATACATTGGGAAGTGTTCCCTCCTCTTCTATTTTTTTTTTGAGGGGGGGAAGGGTTTGAGAAGTATTGATATTAATTCTTCTTTAGATGTTTGTTACATTTCCCCAGAGAAGCCATCTGGTTCTGGGCTTTTCTTTGCTGGAAGTGTTCTATGTTTTTCTACTAGGTTTCTAGTTGGTTTATGGTGGTGTTCAAGTTCTCTATTGCCTTCTTGATTTTTTGTCTAATTTTTCTGTTTGTTATAAAATGTATAGAACTATCTATTTCTATCGATTCTGTCAAGGTGAAGGGGGAAGAAGATATATTGTAAGTTATGGCACACAGGAGCATTAGGGGAGTCCCTGTGGTTTCTTGGTTGGTCATTCCTCTGTAAGTGAGAGAAACTTCTCATGTTAATAAACTTTGGATGCCTGTCTTACAAGAAGCTCTACAAGGAGTATGGCCTTCAGAGACCCAGCAGAGTTGTCTATGTATCCAGATTCTCTACCTTCGCTTCTTTTTTCACTGTAAAGAAAGCAGAATGACATAGAGAGATGGAATCAGATAGATCTAAGTTCAAATCTGGGACCTGCCACTAGTTAGCTAGCTGTGTGATCTTCAGCAACATAGTAGGTGTATATACTTATGGCATACATAATGATTTGTTGACAAAGAGTCAAACTCGTAAAATGTTTGAAGAGATTTATTCTGAGCCAAATATGAGTGAACAATGGACTGTGACACAGCCTCAGGAAAACCTAAGAACATGTGCCCAACATGTGGTTGGGCTACAGCTTGTTTTATACATTTTGGGAAGGCATAAGACATCAATTAATACGTGTAGATATACATTGGTTTGCTCCAGAAAGGTGGGATAACTTGAAGTGGGAGCTTTCTGGTCATGGGTGGATTCAAATATTTTTCTGATTGGCAATTGGTTAAAATAGTTATTATCCAAAGACCTAGAATCAATAAAAAGGAATGTCTAGGTGAAGATAAGGGATTGTGAAGACAAAGGTTTTATCATGCCGATGAAGGCTCCAGGGAGCAGGCTTCAGAGCTCTCAGCAAACCTAAAAATTACCCAACTTTGTTAATTCTCTCCTGGATGGAGGAAAAGACATGGAAAGGAATGGAGATTCTCTACAGAATGTAGATTTTCTCCACAAGAGACAGCTTTGCAGTGCCATTTCAAAATATGACAAAGAAATATATTTTGGGGTAAAACACTTCTATTTATTTCAGGGCCTGCTATCTATTATGTGATACTCTAGTAAAGTTAGGTTGGAATTTTGTGTCTTATTGCTACAAACAGTCTGTTTCATCAGTCTTAAAATATCTGTTTTAATGTTAATGCTGGTCAGCTGTGCCTTAACTCCAAAGGGAGTAGGGTATAATGAGGCATGTCTGACCCTGACTTCCCATCATGGCCTGAACTAGTTTTTCAGGTTAACAATAGAATGCCCTTGGCTGAGAGGAGGGGTCCATTCAGTTGGTTGAGGGGCTTAGAATTTTATTTTTGTTTTACAAATTTAATTAACTTCTCTGAACCTTAGTTTAAATACTTATCCTCTATGAAATTGTGATAATATGTACTTCAATGTATTACTGTGGATATTACATGAAAAAATTAACTTGCTTTTGAATTTTCAGTTATCATTATTACTGTCTTTAGATCGCTTGAGATTCAGTTTCAAGTAATCCTCATTTATCCTGCATCATTTGAAATGGGGGCATGTTTTCCAAAAATAAATTTTTCAGACAATTTAAAAATTAGTGTTTAAAAATTGATCCTTGATGAAAATATTTCTAAAATATATTGTACAATTCTATACCTTCTTAAACAGTAGTCTGAACAGAATTAAACTTCTTCATGATGATTGGGGTTCAATATTAATTAACACCCATGACCACACATTTCTATTATATAAGATACGATCTTAGCCCCCAAGGACTGGAAGACTGGCAGTCATGGGAGAGGGGCAGGATTGAGACACAGAAGATTATTTGCATTTACACTCAATAGCCTCAGAAAAATATTTATTTCTTATGTCTCTTTTATATAGTTTCTGTTTTTCTCCCTCATTCTCAGCCTGTCAGAAGTTGCTTCTTGCTGTTACTGGTATACCTGCCTCTGGCTACTCCCCTTCTAATTCTTTCTGTTACTATAGACATGGAAACCCAGATAACCAAACTTATGAAAATTATGTCTAATTCAGTGATTCTCCTATTGTGATCCCCAGAACAGTAGCATCAACATCACCAAGACACTTATTAGAAATGCAAAATCGGGCCGGGTGCGGTGGCTCACGCCTGTAATCCCAGCACTTTGGGAGGCTGAGGTGGGCGGATGACGAGGTCAGGAGATCGAGACCATCCTAGCTAACACGGTGAAACCCCGTCTCTACTAAAAATACAAAAAAAAAAAAAAATTAGCCAAGTGTGGTGGTGGGCGCCTGTAGTTCCAGCTACTCGGGAGGCTGAGGCAGGAGAATGGTGTGAACCGGAAGGCGGAGCTTGCAGTGAGCCGAGATCCCGCCACTGCACTCCAGCCTGGGCAACAGAGCGAGACTCCGTCAAAAAAAAAAAAAAATGCAAAATCTTAGGCCCACTCCAGACTTACTGAATCAAAGAACTCTGGGGCAGAGCTCCACAATTTGCTAACAAGACCTTCAGTAGATTCTGATTATGATCAAGTTTGATATTTATTGCCTGACTATACTTGTTTATACTGAAAACTCTTAGGTCTCATTCCAAGAGATATGATTTAGTATATCTTGGGTAGAACTTAAGAGCCTTGATTTTTTAACCCATTCCCCAGATTATTCTGATGAAAGTATTCAAAAGGCACACTTGGAGAAATATTTCCCAAGCCTAGACCATTGCTTCTCAAACCTACCTGGGGATTTTTCTAAAATGCATATTCTGTTCGAATAGGTCTGGGGTTCAGCATTTTAATGGGCTCCTAGATAATACCTATGTACAGGGTGGTAAACCACACTCTGAGTAGTAATTTCCTAGAACTTTATATAGTAGGTATTTTGTAAGTGTTTTTATTTTATTTTGTTTTTTAATGTCTTTTATCCAGAATTTTTCCTTTGAGTGAAAACAGTATCAGCCTTTCTTGATTTTATAAAAGATGTCATTTTCTCCTAAATCAAACATGTTTATTTATACTTTTACATATAAAAATTGAATTAAAATTTAATTATATACCATGAGTTAGTTGGCTTTATAAGCAGAATGAAGGAGCTCTCCTATGAGTAAAGGTGTATGAGCTTTATTTCCTATACTCAATCATCTTAGGCTTCTCAGAGGCCTTCTATTTTGTCCTTCTGGATTTTAAGTGTACCTTCAGTAGGGAATGGGTAGGAAAGCTTCTGTACCAAAAGGGTCCACATTCTATGGCAGATTAAATTATTCTCTCTGGAGCTAATTGATTTCTGGCCTTTCTCTAGTCTAAGCACTCCTGTCAGCATTTATCTCCTCCCCTAAAGGATTTGATCAGTAATCCCAGCCTTTTTGCGTGGGCAAAGCCCTTTGTTCCCTCTGAATGAGCATCCTGAGCATTTCATTCTTTCAGGAGAGAATGGGACTCTGAGACAGACCTTGGTAGATAGTACTGTACCTTATTATTACCCAACCAACATTATTTTCTACTAATACAGAAGATACATACTATCCACTCCAAGTGGGTCTTCTCATTGTACAATCTAATGCTTTTTCTTATTGTATTCTCATGCTATTATCCATCTACTTCATGTCTTTCACCTATCCCAGTGAGTTTCAAATTGTGTTCAGATGGCAGAGACCTGAAGTCTTTTAGAATTTTATGAACTAGCTTAACAAAACATAAAGGGCTAAGTATATAATTATGAAGATGCATTACTATTTTATTTTATATTTTAATACAAAGAAGCTATAGCAAGTGTCAAAAGATTAAAAATATATACAGAAGGGGAATTTCAAGTTGAGAGAATGCTACCTTAATTGTTTTACAATTAATTAATTAATTGAGATAAGATTACTATTTTATTTAAATAATGGAATACCCTAGCTCATTGTGTACAATTCCAATGCTCTAATGGAGGAATTTGAGATACACTGGCCTATCATTCCAAAAGTTAGACATCCTGTAATGGATAATTTTAAATACAAAAATCTATTGTACTCCTATGCACTTTAAATGAGTATTCTTGAGCTCTGTCACTACTCTTCTCTGTAGGCCAGACCTTAAGAGTGGGAACTGCAGTAACTGAATGGTAAAACCTAAATGCAATAGGAGTAATTGGACCTGGGATGGCAGGAACCAAGTGATAACAGTCGACTTCCAAAGGCAAAGTGGGTGTGGTTACCTTAATGGACAACCAAGTCAAAGCAACAATCAGAATAGCCTGACTCATACAGACCTATGGCATTGATCATGGTATTAATAGAAGTGAAATAGATAAGAAGACTCCTAAAATCTTACTCGATCTGTATAAGCAGGATAGTTCTAGGTCAAGTGAACATAAGTTTCACCTGAATAGTGAAAACTAAGCGACATGGCCCCTAAGTCCATTTCAAGACTTGAACCAGTATACAGACCCAGAACCCCTAGAATGAAGGGAAGATGAGGGCTCCTTGGTGAAGAACCCTGGTATACTACTGAAAACCTGTACTGTTAATCTTTCTCCATCCTTCCCCAAAGGGACCTATGGCCTTTTACCAGGGTAACTGTGCAACATAGAAAAAATTACCAGACCTTCCAAGGATTACTGGACATTAGATCTGAACTTACTCTAATTCCAGGAGACCCAAAATGTAACTGTGGCCCCTCAGACAGAGTAGGGGCTTATGGAAGTCAGGTGATTAATGAAGTTCTAGCTCAGGTTCATCTCTTGGTGGGCCCGTGGGTCCCCAAAACCATCCTGTGATTATTTCTTCAGTTCCAGATTGTGTAATTGGAATAGACATACTCAGCAGCTGGTAGAATCCCCACATCAGTTCCCTGGCCTGTGGAATGAGGCCTAAATGGAAGCCATTAGAACTGCCTCTATCTAGGAAAATCATAAACCAAAAGCAATATTGCATTTCTGGAGAGATTGTAGAGATTAGTGCCACCATCACGGAATTAAAAGATGCAGGGGTGGTGATTCGCATTACATCCCAATTCAACTGGCCTGAATCTTGGAGAGTGACAGTGGATTCACACTTGTGGTCAGCAAATGGTATAATAGGACACTTCAGTGATTGTTCTTTTGAAGAAACATGGTAAGTCTAGGTAAGGGATTACAGCACCTGGGAGTGCATAGAAATAATAAAAGACAAATTGAATAGGGTAGGAAGGACAGTTTCACATTACACATATGACTGCTCCCCAAAGTCCAGGGAGCACAGCATTGAGAATGAAGTGAACAAGAGGCTTTGTCCCAACTCCAGCCCCAGGCCCACCACAGTGAAACACAGCACCATGGCAGCCCCCATGGCCCTAGAACCCTGGCCCACTCCCATAGACCCTGACCCCAGGCCAGTTTTTATGGCCCTAGGATCAAGATTGGCACCCATGGATCTAGCTTCCAGGATAGCCTCCATAGATCCAAGCACCAGGCCCGCACTCATGGGCCTAGGTTCCAGACTGCCCAATGTAGATCAAGACTCCAGCCCAGCCTCAAGCTTCAGGCCAGTCCCAGTAGTCTCAGGCTTCAGTGGACCCAGGATCCAGGCTCATTCTACCAGATACAAATTTCAGACTTATACCCCTGCATACTATGGTACCAGGCCAGCCCCTAAATACCCAGGGTCCAGGACTGCCCATGTGGACCAAGGCTCCAGGCCAGCCCCTATGGACTCAGGCATCAGGCCTACTCCAGTGCCAGGCCAGCTTTCATAGACTCAGTCTTCAAGCTCATTTGCATGGACCCAGACACAAGGCCTATCCCAGCATTAGGCCAGGCCCCAAAGCCTGCCCTGGCACCACATTTGAGTCTGCCCTGGCAGACCCAAAGCCTGCCCTGGCACCACATTGGCCCCTATGAACCCAGGCTTCATACCACCCCTCACAGACACAGGCTTCAGGCCTACACCCAAGGACCCTGTCAGCAGATCAACCCCAATGGGACCCAAAGCAACGCCAGCTGCCATGGGCCCAGGATCCAGGCTCACCCACCTGTTGATCCATACAATAGGCCAGCCCACCTGAGGACTCTAGCAGCAGGCTGCTTGTAGAACCTACCAGATAGTCCACCCAGAATCTGGATGGGCAGATTGGTGAAGGGATTTCTCTGCTAAAGCCAGTCTTTAAAGACTGGAATAGTCATCTACTTCTTCAAATGCACAAGTACCAACACACGGTTATAAGGATTACGAACAGTAAGGGACACATGACAACACCAAAAGGGACAAAATAAAACACCAGCAATCAACCCTAAAGAAACAGAGACCTACAGACTGCCTGTCAATTGAAGAAGATCAGTGAGCTCCAAAAGCACACAAATAGACAATTAGATGAAATCAGGAAAACAATACATGAACAAAATTAGAAGTTCCATAAATAAATAGAAACCATTAAAAAAAAAGCCAAACAAAAATTTGGAGGAATGACAAAGGATTATCATAAGCTTAACCAGGTGGTAATTTCAATTGCATTTACTGTACCAAATGTGGTTTCATTGCTTGAGCAAATTAACACATTCTCTAGTACCTGATATTCAGCTATTGATCAGGCAAAATTACTTTTTCTCCATTCTTGTCAATGAAGTCTACCAGAAGCAGTTTGCTTTCAGCTGAGAAAGCCAGCAATACACCTTGACTGTCCTATCTTAGGGGTATATCAACTTGCCAGCCCTATGCAATAATTTAATTCACAGGGATATTGATTGTTTTTCCCTCCATAAGATATCAGATTGGTTCATTACATTGATGACACTATGCTGACTGGACCTAGTGAAGAGGAAGTAGCAACAACACTAGACTTATTGGTAAGACATTTGTGTGTCAGACTGAGGGAAATAAATCTTACTAAAAGTCAAATTATCTGTTCTATGGATACCAGTCAGCCTCTTAACCACTTCTGTCACCACCTTATGAGATTATGAACAAAATGGTCATGATGGTAGGAGTAGAGGTTATGCATGGGCTCAGCAACATGGACTTCCATTCACCAAGGCCAACCTATGTACAGCCACCTCTACTCAATCTGCCAGCCATAGAGACCAACCCTGAGTCCTCAGTACAGCATTATTTATCGGCACGATCAGCCAAGCTACCTGATAGCAGGTTGATTACATTGGACTACTTTTACCAGGGAAGGAGCAGAATTTTGTTCTTACTGGAATAATCACAAACAGATTTGCCTTCCCTACACTCAATGCTACTGCCAAAACTACCATCCATGGGCTTACTGAATGCCTTGTCTCCACAATCATGGTATTTCACACAGCATTGCTTCTGATCAAGGAACTCACTTCACAGCAAAAGAAGTGCAGCAACGGGCCAGGTGCGGTGGCTCACGCCTGTAATCCCAGCACTTTGGGAGGCTGAGGCAGGCGGATCACGAGGTCAGGAGATCGAGACCACGGTGAAACCCTGTCTCTACTAAAAATACAAAAAATTAGCTGGGCGTGGTGGCGGGCATCTGTAGTCCCAGCACTCGGGAGGCTGAGGCAGGAGAATGGTGTGAACCGGGCAGGCGGAGCTTGCAGTGAGCCGAGATCGTGCCACTGCACTCCAGCCTGGGCGACAGAGCGAGACTCCATCTCAAAAAAAAAAAAAAAAGAAGTGCAGCAATGAGCTGATGTTCATAAAACTCACAGGTTTTACCATGTTCCACACCATTCTGAAGCAGCTAGTTTGATAGCATGGTGGAATGGCCTTTTGGAGTTGCAGTTACATTGTCAGCTAGGTGGGAATACTTTTCAGGGCTGGGGCAAGGTTCTCCATAGGACTATATATGCTCAGAATCAGCATTCAATATACGGTGCTCTTTCTCCCATAGCCAGGATTCATGGATCCAAGTATCAAAGGGTGGAAATGAGTGTGGCACCACTCACAATACCCCCTAGTGAACAGCTAGCAAAATTTTTGCCTCCTGTACCTGAGACCTTATGCTCTGCTGACAGAAAGGTCTTAATTCCCAAGAGGGGAATATTTCCATCAGGAGACACAATATCGATTAGTTGTTAGGTGAAATTCTGACCATTTGTTGGTCTATATTTGGAGATTAAGTATAGTTTAAAATGTATATGGGTCCCAAATTGACAAAGGTGTGGACCTGTGATGGTAAATTTTGAATCAACTTGACTGGGTCACAGGATGTTGAGATATTTGATTAAACATTTTTTGATGTTTTATTTTTTTTTTTATTATACTTTAAGCTCTGGGATACATGTGCAGAACGTGCAGGTTTGTTACATAGGTATACACGTGCCATGTGGTTTGCTGCATCCATCAACCCATCATCTACATGAGGTATTTCTCCTAATGCTATCCCTCCCTTTGCCCCTCACTCCTGACAGGCCCTGGTGTGTGATGTTCCCCTCCCTGTGTCCATGTGTTCTAATTGATCAACTGCCATTTATGAATGAGAACATGAGATGTTTGGTTTTCTGTTCCTGTGTTAGTTTTCTGAGAATGATGCTTTCCAGCTTCATCCATGTCACTGAAAAAACATAAACTCATCCTTTTTTGTGGCTGCATAGTATTCCATGGTGTATAAGTGCCACATTTTCTTTCTTTGCTTTTTTTTTTTTTTTTTTTTTTTTTGAGATGGATTCTCACTGTGTTGCCTAGGCTGGACTGCAGTGGTGCAATCTCAGCTCACTGCAAGCTCCACCTCCCAGGTTCACGCCATTCTCCTGCCTCAGCCTCCTGAGTAGCTGGGACTACAGGCACCTGCCACCACACCCAGCTAATTTTTGTATTTTTAGTAGAGATGGGGTTTCACCTTGTTAACCAGGATGGTCTTGATCTCCTGACCTTGTGATCCGCATGCCTCGGCCTCCCAAAGTGCTGGGATTACAGGCATGAGCCACCGTGCCTGGCCATGCCACATTTTCTTTATCCAGTCTATCACTGATGGGCATTTGGGTTGGTTCCAAGTCTTTGCTATTGTGAATAGTGCTGCAATAAACATACATGTGCATGTGTCTTTATAGTGGAATGATTTATAATCCTTTGGGTATATACCCAGTAATGGGATTGCTGGATCAAATGGTATTTCTAGTTCTAGATCATTGAGGAATCACCACACTGTCTTCCACAATGATTGAGCTAATTTACACATCCAACAGTGTAAAAGCATTTCTATTTCTCCACATCCTCTCCAGCATCTGTTGTTTCCAGACTTTTTAATGATCACCGTTCTAACTGGCATGAGATGATATCATATTATGGTTTTGATTTGCATTTCTCTAATGACCAGTGATAATGAGCTTTTTTTCATGTTTTATGGCCATATAAATGTCTTCTTTTGAGAAGTATGTGTTCATATCCTTTGCCCACTTTTTGATGGGGTTGTTTTTTTCTTGTAAATTTGTTTAAGTTCCTTGTAGATTCTGGATATTAGCCCTTTGCCAGATGGATAGATTGCAAAAATTTTCTCTCATTCTGTAGGTTGTCTGTTCACTCTGATGATAGTTCCTTTGGTTGTGCAGAAACTCTTTAGTTTAATTAGATCCCATTTGTCGATTCTGGCTTTTGTTGCAATTGCTTTTCGGGTTTTGTCATGAATAGCTCTTATTATTTTGAGATGTGTTCCATTGATACCTAGTTTGTTGAGTATTTTTAGTATGAAGGGTGTTGAATTTTATTGTAGGTCTTTTCTGCATCTATTGAGATAATCATGTGGTTTTTGTCATTGATTCTGTTTATGTGGATTGTATTTATTGATTTGCATCTGTTGAACCAACCCTGCATCCCAGGGATGAAGCCGACTTGATCATGGTGGATCAACTGTTTTAATAACAGCCATTCTGACTAATGTGAGATGGTATCTCATTGTGGTTTTGATTTGCATTTCTCTAATGATCTGTGATATTGAGGTATTTTTTAAATGTTTGTTAGCCGTACATACACCTTCTTTTGAGAAGTGTCTGCTCATGTGCTTTGCCTATTTTTTAATGGGGTTGTTTGTTCCATTCTTGTAAATTTTTTAAGTTCCTTGTATATGCTAGATGTTAGACTTTTGTGAGGTGAATAGGTTGCAAAATTTTTCTCCCACTCTGTAGGTTGTCTGCTCACTTTGGTGATAGCTTCTTTTGCTCTGCAGGAGCTATTTAGTTTAATTAGATCCCATTTGTCAATTTTTGCTTTTGTTGCAATTGCTTTTGGTGTCTTTGTCATGAAATATTTTCCTGTGTCTATATCCTGAATGGTATTGCCCAGATTTTCTTCTAGGGTTTTTATATTTTTGGATTTTACATTTAAGTATTTATTCCATCTTGAGTTGATTTTTGTATATGGTGTAAGGAGAGGGTCCTGTTTCAATTTTCTGCATATGGCTAGCCAGTTCTCCCAGAACAATTTTTTGTATAGGGAATCCTTTCCCCATTGCTTTTTTTGTCAGGTTTGTCAAAGATCAGATGGTTGTACGTGTGTGGTCTTATTTCTGGGTTCTCTATTCTGTTTCATTGATCTATGTGTCATTGTTGTACCAGTACCATGCTGTTTTGGTTACTGTAGCCTTGTAGTATAGTTTGAAGTTGGGTAGTGTGATGACCCCAGCTTTGTTCTTTTTTCTTATGATTGTCTTGTTTTTTTGGGCTCTATTTTGGTTCCATATGAATTTTAACATAGTTGTTTCTAATTCAGTGAAGAATGTCAATGGTAGTTTAATGGGAATAGCATTGACTCTATAAAATGCTTTGGGCAGTATTGCCATTTTCATGATATTGATTCTTTCTATTCATGAGCATAGAATGTTTTTTCCATTTGTTTCTGTCATCTCTGATTTCTTTGAGCAGTGGTTTCTAGCTCTCCTTGAAGAGATCCTTCACTTCCTTTGTTAGCTCTATTCCTAGGTATTTTATTCATTTTGTGGCATTTGTGAATGGGAATTCATTCATGATTTCGCTCTCTGCTTGCCTGTTGTTGATGTATATGAATGCTAGTGATTTTTGCACATTTATTTTGTATCCTGAAACTTTGCTGAAGTTTCTTCTCAGCTTAAGAAGCTTTTGGGCTGTGACTATGGGGTTTTCTAGATATAGGGTTATGTCATCTGCAAACAAAGACAATTTGATACCCTCTATTCCTTTTTGAATACTCTTTATTTTTTTTTCTCTTGCCCTGGCCAGAACTTCCAATACTATATTGAATAGGAATAGTGAAAGAGGACATCCTTGTCTTGTGCAAGTTTTCAAGGAGAATGCTTCCAGCTTTTGCCCATTCCGTATGATATTGGCTGTGGGTTTGTCATATATAGCTCTTATTATTTTGATGTATGTTCCTTCAATACCTAGTTTATTGAGAGTTTTTAACACGAAGGGATGTTGAATTTTATCAAAAGGCTTTTCTGCATCTATTGAGTTAATCATGTAGTTTTTGACTTTAGTTGTGTTTATGCAATGAATCACATTTATTGATTTGTGTATGTTGAAAAAACCTGGCATCCTGGGGATGAAGCCAACTTGATCATGGTGGATAAGCTTTTTGATATGCTACTGGATTTGCTTTGCCAGTGCTTTACTGAGGATTTTTGCATTGATGTTCATCAAGCATATGGCCTTAAGTTTCCTTTTTTTGTTGTATCTCTGCCAAGTTTGGTATCAGGATGATGTTGACCTCATAGAATAAGTTAGGTAGGAGTCCATCCTTTTTAATTTTTTGAAATAGTTTCAGTACAAATGGTACCAGCTCTTCTTTGTACCTCTGGTAGAATTCAGCTGTGAATATGTCTTATCCTGTTTTTTTTTTTTCTTGATAGGATATTTATTATTGCCTCAATTTCAGAACTCATTATTGGTCTGTTCTGGGATTCAGTTTCTTCCTGGTTCAGTCTTGAGAGGCTGTAGTGTCCAAGAATTTATCCATTTCTTCTAGATTTTCCAGTTTATTACCTAGAGGTGTTTATAGCATTCTCTGATGGTTGTTTGCATTTCTGTGGTGTCAGTGGTGATATCCCCCTTATCATTTCTGTTTATTTGATTCTTCTCTTTTCTTCTTTATTATTCTGGTTAGCAGTCTATCTATATTGTTAATTATTTCCAAAAAAAAAAAAAAAAAAAAAAAACACAGCTCCTGGATTTGCTGATTTTTTGAAAGGTTTTCAGTGTCACTATCTCCTTCAATTCAGCTTTGATCTTGGTTATTTCTTGTCTCCTGCTAGCTTTGGGGTTCATTTTCTCTTGGTTCTCTAGTTCTTTTAATTGAGATGTTAGGTTGTTAACGAGATCTTTCTAGATTTTTGATGTGGGCATTTAGTGCTATAAATTTCCCTCTTAACACTGACTTAGCTGCATCCCAGAGATTCTGGTATGTTGTATCTTTGTTCTCATTAATTTCAAAGAACTTCTTAATTTCTGTCTTAGTTTCACTTTTTACCCAAGAGTCATTCAGTAGAAGGTTGATCAATTTTCATGTAGTTGTATGGTTTTAGGTGAATTTCTTAATCTTGATTTTTAATTTGATTGCACTGTGGTCTGAGAGACTGTTATGATTTCAGTTATTTTGCATTTGCTAAGGATTGTTTTACTTCCAATTATGTGATCAAGAGGAAATACCATGTGGCAATGAGAATAATATATATTCTGTTGCTTTTGGGTGGAGAGTTATGTAGATATCTATCAGGTCTACTTGATCCAGAGCTAAGTTCAGGTCCTAAATATCTTTGTTAATTTTCTGTCTCGATGATCTGTCTAATATTGTCAGTGGGGTGTTAAAGTCTTCCACTATTATTGTGTGGGAGTCTAAGTCTCTTTGAAGGTCTCTAAGAACTTGTTTTATGAATGTATGCTCCATATTGGGTGCATATATATTTAGGATAGATAGCTCTTCTTGTTGAATTGAACTCTTTACCATTATGTAATGCCCTTCTTTGTCTTTTTTGATCTTTGTTGGTTTGAAGTCTTCTTTGTCAGAAACTAGGATTGCAAATCCTGTTTTTTTTCTGTTTTCCATTTGCAGAGTAGATTTCTCTCCATCCCTTTATTTTAATTTTTTTGAGAGGGTGTCTTGCTCTCTCACCCAGGCTGGAGAGTAGTGGTATAATCTTGTTTTACTTAAACCTCAGCCTCCTAGGTTCAAGAGATTCTTCCACCTCAGCCTCCCAAGTAGCTGGGACTACAGGTGCATGCCACCATGCCTGGCTAATTTTTCTATTTTTAGTAGAGATGGGGTTTTACCATGTTGACCAGGCTGGCCTCAAACTCCTGAGCTCATCTTATCCACCCACCTTGGCCTCCCAAAGTGCTGAGATTACAGATAAGAGCCACCACACCCAGCCCCATCCCTCTATTTTGAGCCTATGTGTGTCTTTGCATATGAGATTGGTCTCTTGAAGACAGCATACTGATGGGTCTTGGCCCTTTATGTAGCTTGTCATTCTGTGTCTTTTAATTGGGGCATTTAGTCCATTTCTATTTGAGGTTATTATTGTTATATGGGGATTTGATTCTGTCATCATGATTCTAGCTGGTTATTTTGCAGACTTGTTTATGTGGTTTCTTCATAGTGTCACTGGTTTTTGTACTTCAGTGTGTTTTTGTAGTGGCTGGTAATGTTTTTCCTCCCATATTGAGTGCTTCCTTCATGAGCTCTTGTAAGGCACATCTGCTGGTAGTGATTTCCCTCAGCATTCTTTGTCTTAAAGGATCTTATGTCTTCTTTGTTGATGAAGCTTAGTCTGGCTGGATATGAAATGCTAGGTTGAAAACCTTTTTCTTTAAGAATGTTGAATACTGGCCTACAATCTCTCCTGGCTTGTAGGTTTCCACTGAGAGATCCACTGTTAGTCTGATGGGCTTCCCTTTGTAGGTGGCCTGGCCTTTATGTCTGGCTGCTTTTAACAGTTTTCCTTTCATTTCAACCTTGGAAAATCTGACAATTATGTGTATTGGGATTGATCTTTTTGTGGAGTATCTTACTGAGGTTCTCTGCATTTCCTAAATTTGAATGTTTACCTGTATTGCTAGATAGGGGAAGTTTTCCTGGATGATATTTTGAAGTATGTTTTCCAACTTGGTTACATTCTCCCTGTCTCTGGTACCTCTATCAGTCTTAAGTTCAGTCTCTACATAATCCCATATTTCTTGGAGGTTTTGTTCATGTTTTAATTCCTTTTTCTCTATTCTTGTCTGCCTGTTTTATTTCAGAAAGATAGTCTTCAAACTCTGAGATTCTTTCCTCCATTTGGTCTATTCTGCTATTAACATTTATGATTGCATTGTGAAGTTCTTGTAGTTTGTTTCTTAGCACTAACAGGTCTGTTATATTCCTCTCTAACCTGGCTATTTTAGCTGTCAGCTCCTGTATTGTTTATCATGACTCTTAGCTTCCAGCATTGGGTTACAACATGTTCCTTTAGCTCAGTGATGTTTGTTATTACCCACCTTCTGAAGCCTACTTCTGTTATTTCAGCCATCTCAGCCTCAGCCCAGTTCTGAGCTCTTCCTGGAGAGGTCATTTGGAGGAGAAGGGGCACTCTGGCTTTTTAAGTTTTTGGCATTTTTGCATTAATTCTTTTTTATCCTTGTGGGCTTATCTACCTTTAATTTTTAAGGTTGCTGACCTTTGAATGGGGTTTTGGGCAGTCTTTTTGTTAATGCTGTTGTTGTTGTTATTTTCTGTTTGTTTTTGTTTTAGCAGTCAGGCCACTCTTCCGTAGTGCTGCTGCAGTTTGCTGGAGTTCCACTCCAGACCCTAGTTGCCTCGGTTTTTTTCCTACCTGGTGGTATCACCAGTGAAGGTTGTGAAATAGCAAAGATGGCAGCCTGCTCCTTCCTCTGGAAGTTCCATCCCAGGAGGTTACTGCCCTATTGCCAGCCTGAACATGCCTATAGGAGTGGTTGAAAACCTCTGTTGAAAGATCTCATACATTCAGGAGGAACAGGATGAGGGACCACTTAAAGAAGCAATCTGGCTGCTTTTGGGTAGAGCAGGCATGCTGTGTTGGTGATCTCTTCAGCCCCCAATTGATATGGGCTCTCCAGGGCCCACAGGCTAGATTGACAGAGAAGCTGGAACAGCCAAGGTGGCAGCCTGCCCCATCCCCCATGCACTCCATTCCAGAGAGAGATCAGAGCTCTGTCTGTAGAAAACTGGCTGTGATGGCTGAAGCCCTGTCTGGGAGGTTCCAACCGGTAAGGAGGAATAGATTGGGGTCCCACTTAAAGAAGCAGTCTGGCCAAAATCTGGCAAAGCAGCTGTGCTGCAATGAAGGGGGTGGGGGGCTTTCTCACCTGGACCATTTGGATTCTCCAAAGCTGGCAGGCTGGAGTGGCTGAGTCAACCAAACTGAAGAGACTGTTCACCATGAGACCACCCGTCTCTTTGGGGTCTCTGTCCCAGGGAGAGTTCAGAGCTCTGTCCATAGATAAATGGCTAGAGTGGCTGAAGCCCTGGCAGGGAGGTCCCATTCAGTGAAGAGGAATGGATCAGGTCCTGCTTAAAGAAGCAGTCTAGCCATAATCTCGTAAAGCAGCTCTGCTTCATTAGAGGGATCCCTTTCTCATTCAGACTACTTGGACTCTCCAAAGCCAGCAGTCTTGAATGGCTGAGTCAACTAGGCCACAGAGATGGTGGCCACCTCTCCCACCAGGAGCTCCCTCTAATCTCAGGCAGACTCCACCCAGTTGCCATTGGCTGGCTGAAATTCCAAGCCAGGGGTTCTTATCTTGTGAGGTGCCATGGAAAGGGGGCCTGCAGAATTATGCTGCTTGGCTCCCTGGATTCAGCCCCCTTCCTAGGGGTATGTACAAACCTCCCACCTTGCCTGTGTTGCACACACATTTGTTGGAAATCTTGGGGCCAGATTATGTAAAGCTCATGGGTCTCTGTGTGTGCCTGAGCAGCTGCTCTGCCAAGAGTCCACACAGATCTGTGTGTTGGAGCCAAGGCCCTCATAGTGTGGGCTCACAAGGGGATCTCCTGATCCACAGGTTGCAAAGATCCATGGGAGAAGCATGGTTTCCTGGCAGGGTTGCACAATCACTCACCACTTCTTTTTTTTTTTTTTTAAACTTTAAGTTCTAGGGTACATGTGCACAATGTGCAGGCTTGTTACATATGTATACATGTGTCATGTTGGTGTGCTGCACCCGTTAACTCGTCATTTACATTAGTTATATCTCCTAATGCTATCCCTCCCCCCTCCCCCCACCCCACAACAGGCCTCGGTGTGTGATGTTCCCCTTCCTGTGTCCAAGTGTTCTCATTGTTCAATTCCCACCTATGAGTGAGAACATGCGGTGTTTGGTTTTTTGTCCCTGCAATAGTTTGCTGAGAATGATGGTGTCCATCTTCATCCATGTCCCTACAAAGGACATGAACTCATCCTTTTTTATGGCTGCATAGTATTCCATGGTGTATATGTGCCACATTTTCTTAATTCAGTCTATCATTGATGGACATTTGGGTTGGTTCCAAGTCTTTGCTATTGCACTCATCACTTCTTTTGGCTGAGGATGGGGGTTCACTTGGCTCCATGTTACTCCCAGGTGGGCCATCACCCCATCCTGCTTTTCTTCATTCTCCATAGGTTGAGTTGTTTGCCTAATCAGTCCCAATGCAAGAATCAGGATATTTCAGTTGATGGTGCTGTATTCACTCACCCATTTTGTTCCTCTCCATGAGTGCCATGGACTGCAGCTGCTTCTAATTGGCCACTTTGGCCAACTCCCCCCATTCCTCTGTTTTATCAAGCCAGCTACTTCAAGATGGTAGGGAACATGGTAAGACATGCACAGTGAAAAGAAATATCTAAGCATGAGCTTATTACCTACTTCTTTTCTTGTGAAGTGGGTTCTTTGGTCAGAAGCATTGCTGTGTGGAATACCATGATGGTGATTAAGGCATTCTGTAAGTCCATGGATGGTAGTTCTGGCAGAAACATTGACTATATGGAAAGTAAATCCACATCCAGGGTAAGTGTCTATTCCAGTAAGGATGAAATACTGCTCCTTCCATGATAGAAGCAGTCAAGTGTATCAACTTGCCACCAAGTAGATGCCTGATTACTCTGGGAATGTTGTCATATCAGAGGTTTGTATTTGTTTTTGTTGCTGGCAGATTGGGGACTCAGTGGTGGCCTTAGCCAAGTTGGGCTTGGTGAGTTGCAGTTCATGTTGCTCACCTGATGCATAATCTTCATCCTTTTCACCAACACCAACTTTGTTTATGAGCCCAATGGGCAATTATAGGGGTGGCTGGTGAAAGATGCTGATGGATATTTACAAAATGAGTCATTCTATCTACTTGATTATTGAAATTATCCTCTAGTGAGATCACACTTTGATGAGCATTCACATGGGCCACATCTTCACATTCTTTGCCCATTCCGAGAGATTTATCTATGTAATTATTCCCCACATTTCTTTGTCACCAATTTCTCAATCATATGTCTTTCAAGTCCCTGATTATCTCACCAAACCATTGACTATAGCCCATGAATTGTTATGTAATCACACGTCTGGCCATTTCTCCTTTCAAGCAAAATTAACAACAAAGTACAGTGCTGTGTCTAAGTTTCTGCCCACTGGGAAGGTTTGTTTTTTACCACTGTCTTCCAGGAATGTTCCAGAAATGGGCTGTTATGCTGCAGCTGTTCACTTTTGAGTGGTGCATGTGTATCATGAAGAACCATCTGTAATCCATGCCTGAGTCTTCTCTTCTTTTGTCAATTGAACCTAGGTCACTCCCCATGAGGACACAGGTATAAGCTGAGAGAGAGAAGACAGGACAGCAGGAGTAGACACCATGGGTATTAGGGCCACTTTTTTATATAACTTACTTATGCCTTTAGAACCTGTTTGCAGCTGGTCACATATATGCCACTTCCATTTTATGATGGAGTACTGCTGTATATGTTCAACTCTGTGGCTTGGTGGGTAAGATAATACTCCATTCATGATAGGCAGCCCAGGTCGCATGGTAACTTGGTGACTTATGGTTGAGCATTTAGTTTCTCCTCAGACCCAGTAGCAGGCCAAGAGTGATCTCCCAAAAGAGAGTAGTTATTTGTGGATTATGGCAGTGACTTGCTCCAAAATTCTAAAGGCCTGCACAGCAAATCATGTATAACAGCCTGCCACATACTCCAAACAGCATCTCTATCTGCTACTGACACCTCAAGCACCTTTGCATCTGCCATATATTATGGCTCATGTGGAAGAGAAACTTGGAGGGCAACCTGATGATATTGGAGAACCTTCTCCTGTTCTGGGCCCCACTCAGAACTAGCAGGTTTTTGGGCCACCCCATAAATGAACCAGAATAAGACAACCAAATTTGGAATTTGTAACTTCTAAAATCCAGATGAGCCCCCTAGACATTATGCTTCTTTCTCAGTTGTAGAATGGGCCAGATGCAACAATGTATCCTTTACCTTAGAAGGAATATCTTGACATGCCTCACACCACTGGACCCCAAGAAATTTGACTTGGGTAGAAGGACAAATTCATTTACCACCCTCTGCATGCAAATGTCTTACCAATAAGTCTAGAGTCATTGCCACTTTTTGCTCCTATGTCCAATCAGTATAAGGTCATCAGTATAGTAGACCAGTGTGGTATCTAGTGGAAGAAGACAGAAATCAAGATCCCTGCAAACTAAATTAGGACATAGGATTGGAGAGTTGATATACCCCTGAAGTAGAACAGTAGAGTTGTATTACTGGCTTTGCCAGCTGAAAGCAAACTGCTTCTTGTGGGTCTTATGGAGAGATACGGAGAAAAAGGCATTTGCCAAGTTATTAGCTGCATACCAGGTACCAGGATATGTGTTCATTTGCTGTAGCAATAAAACCACATCTGGTACAGCAGCTTGAATTTGAGTTACCACTTGTTTTAAGTTTATAATAATCTTCTGTCATTCTCCTGGATTCGTCTGTCTTCTTCACTGGGCAAATAGGCCAGTTGAATAGTGATGCGATGAGAGTCACCACCCCTGCATCTTTCAAGTCTTTGATGATGGCACTAATCTCTGCAATACCACCTGAAATCCAGTAGTGCTTTTGGTTTACTATTATCATGGGTAGAGGCAGGTCTAATGGCTTCCATTTGGCCTTTCACACCATAATAAGCTTCACTTCACAGGTTAGAGAACTAATGTGGGGATTCTGCTAGATGCTAAGTATGTCTATTCCAGTTATGCATTCTGGAACTGGGGAACTAATCACAGGATGAGTTCAAAGATCCACTGGGCCCATTGTGAGATTAATCTAAGCTAAAACTCGATTGATTTCCTGACCTCTAAAGCTCCTAATCTTATAAACCACAATTTTAGTCTCCTAGAATTAGGATCACTTCAGATTTAATGTCTAGTAGTCGCTGGAAAGTCTGATTATTTTCTTTTACCCAATGTACAGTTTCCCTGGTAAATGGCCATAGGACCCTTTGGGGAAGGCTGGGAGAAAGACTAAAGGTATATATTTTTAGTAATGTATCTTGTGCTCTTCATCATGAGGAGCTGGCCTACCCTTCATTCAAGAGTTTCTGTTTCTGTAAGCTGTCTGAATTCTGAGAATTGATTGAAGGGTCATGATTCTCTGATTTTATGCTTTGAGTGAAACTTTTCTTTAATTGACATGGAAGTTTTCTCCTCGTATTGGTCAAGTAAGACTTTAGTAGGCTTTTTATCTATTTCACTTCCAGTAATACCATGATCGATGCCATAGATCCATGTAAGTCACGCTATCCTGATTCTTTTTCTGACTCTGATATCCATAATAGTAAGTATGCCAATCTTGTCTTTGGCAGTTGAGTGCTGCTACTTGGCTCCTGCCTCCTTGGGATCCTATTACTCCCATTACATTTAAGTTTTTCATTTGAGTGACTAAAGTTCACACTGTAAGGTCTGGCCTGCAGAGAAAAGAAACCACAGAGCTCATCAAGGTTCTGGGGTTCCCCTCACAAATATATTTCTCATAGTATTGGTAAAATATATGTTTTCTGGACCCTCCCAGTATAAATGATTAGGTTTTAAGTGACAAATCCACTGTAGCATTCCAATCTTCCTAAGCCTTTGAATCCCTTCCTCTATGTTAAAACAAGGGAGATTGGGCATCTCCAACTGGTTCATAGTGGACCATTTTTTAATGCACATTCAGTTAAACAAATAAACAAATTGTTAGAGCCCTTTCTAACTCCCTGAACTGCAGTATTAAATGCAAAATCACTGCTAAGTGGGCTTCTTACAGTAAATTTGGTCTGATCTAACTTTATGTTCCTTCCATCATTATCCCATACACTTAATTTCCATGTTATTACATTTTACCCAGATTTTCACTTGTATAAATTAGAAGACTCAAGTAGTTCTTTGCAGTGTGCTGAAACTACTCATGTGTCACACTTTGTACCTTGTCTATAGGGGCCTGCTAGAACTTGAGTCTAGTTATGGGTCTAGAAGAAAAGAAGGGTAGTGGGTGAGTCCTGAGGAGAATCATTGTCTGGCTTGATAACTGCCTCCCTGGAGGCCATTACTGTCTTTTCAGGCAGTGCAGTTAGATCCCTCAGGCAGAGGTGGTAAGGCCAATATCACTAGGAATGTGGAGGCTGCTGCTACTAGGAGTGGAGAAGGCACTTTCTCTGGAAAAAAGAAAAAAAGGGCTTATCAGAATGTAGAAGCTGTGCCCCAGCTTTATCTTCTCACACATCTCCTTCCCAACTTACAGAATCCTACTATTTCTCAATCAAAGCCCTCACTTTAACAGTAGACAGCCTACAAGGTTGGGGGTTCATCTTTCATTGTAATTCAACAATTTGCATGATGAGGAACTGTGTTTGATTTTTAACAGTTTTGCATGATGAGGAACTGTGTTCTGATTTTTAACAATAATAGGAGATAAGATTATCCTTCAGGGCACACCTAGAAGCTGTTAGATTATTTATACAGTGCTTGAGCTAGGAATTTAAATCCCTGAGCTAATCCTTTTATTTTATCACTTCATCCAGCAACATTAGGAGCAAACAACCATCATTATATCTCTTAGTTTTCCACAAATACTTGAAAGTATCATATACAGAGTCACTAAGTTTCTTGCCTCTTATAAGTGGTTGATTAGGAATATCAAAGGCAAATATTTTGTGTATCTTTATATACAGTTCATACAATGGACAATCAGTGCTTTCTGTACTATTGGAAATAGAGTCCTTAGCATTTTTAAGTGTGATGACATTAGAGAGCCAGTTCTAAAAATCTTCCAAAACCAATTTACAAAACTCATTCTTAAAATTTTATTTCTATAGAACCACTCCTGGTGCCAAACTCTATTAGTCAACGTTCTCCAGAGAAACAGAACCAATAGGATAGATAGATAGATAGATAGATAGATAGATAGATAGATAGATAGATAGATAGATAGACAGTCAGATAGATGAGAGGGGATTTATTATGAAAATGGGCTCACACTATTAAGGAGGCTAAGAAGTTCCACAGTATACTGTATGTGAGCTAGAGAACCAGAGAAGACAATAGGTTAGCCCAATTCAAATCTGAAAGTCAGAATCAGAAGAACCAATGGTGTAACTCTTCAATCAAAGGCTAAGTGTCTGAGAATATGGGGAGCCGCTCATGCAGGTCCCAGAGGCCAAAAGCAAGAGAACCTTGTGTTAGTCCATTCTCACATTGCTTCAAATAACTACCTGAGACTGAGTAATTTACAAAGAAACAGGTTAAATTGACTCATGGATACACAGGCTGTACAGGAAGCATGGTTGGGGAGGCCTCAGGAAACTTACAATCATGCCAGAAGCCAGAAGCCAAGGGGAAGCTAGCACGTCTTACGTGGCTGTAGCAGGAGGAAGAGAGAGTAAAGAGGGAAGTACCACACAGTTTTCAAACAACCAGATCTTGTGAGAATTCTGTCACAAGAACAGCAAGGGGGATGTCTGCCCCCATGATTCAATAACCTCCCACTAGGCCCCTCCTCCAACACTGGGAACCACAACTCAACATGGGATTTTGGTGGGGACACAAAGCCAAACCATATCAAACCACAAGGCCCAATGTCCAAAGGTAGGAGAAGATGAATGTCCCACCTCCAGATCAGAGAATAAATTCAACTTTGTTTTCTGTTCTATCTGGACTTTTTACCAATTGCATGGTGTCCACACATATTGGGTGAGGTGGATCTTCCTTCCTCAGCCCACCAATTTAAATGCCGACCTTTTTTGGAAACACCCTTACAGCTACAACCAGAAATAATTCTTTACCAGCTATCTTAGTATGCTTTTACACTGTCAAATTGACACCTGAAATTAACCATCAAATGGGAGCTCATATACGTGATAAGCGATTTTTCTCCTGCTGCTTTCAAGATTCTTGGCCCTTCACTTTTTAAAAAAACTTTTGATTTTTAAACTGTGTGGGTACATAGTAGGTGTATATATTTATGGGGTACCTAAGATATTTTCATACAGGACTACAATGTGTAATAATCACATTGGGGTAAATGGAGTATTCATCATATCAAGCATTTATCATTTCTTTGTGTTACGAACATTCCAATTATACTCTTTCAGTTATTTTAAAACGTACAACAAATGGTTATTGGCTTTAGTCATCCTGTTGTACTATCAAATACTAGATCTTATTCATTTTATTATTATTATTATTGTTATTATTATTATTTGAGATGGAGTCTTGCTCCATCACCCTGGCTGTAGTACAGTGGTGGGATCTTGGCTCACTGCAGCCTCCACCTTCTGGGTTCAAGCAATTCACCTGCCTCAGCCTCCCAAGTAGCTGGGATTACAGGTGTGCACCACCACGCCCAGCTAATTTTTGTATTTTTAGTAGAGACAGGGTTTCACCATGTGGGCCAGGCTGGTCTTGAAACCTGACCTATAGTGATCCACCGGCCTCGGCCTCCCAAAGTGCTGGGATTACAGGTGTGAGCCACCACATCCAACTCATTCTAATGATATTTTTGTACCCATTAACCATCCCCACTCCCCTGCTCTATACCCTTCCCAACCCCTGATAATAATTCTTCTACCCTCCATCTCCATGAATGTAACTGTTTTAAGTTTTAATTCCAACAAATAACTGCAAACATGCAATATTTGTCTTTCTATGCCTGGCTTAGGTGAAGTCATTCTGACTAGGGTGAGATGATATCGCATTGAAGTTTTAATTTACATTTCTCTGATCTTCAATAATGTCAAGCACATTTTCATATGTCTGTTTGGCATTTGTATGTCTTCTTTTAAGAAATGTCTATTCAAATCTTTTGCCTAATTTTTAATTATATTTTTAGATTTTTTTCTATTGAATTGTTTGAGCTCCTTATATATTCTGGTTATTAATCCCTTGTCAGATGAAGTTTTCAAATATTTTCTCTCATTCTATGGGTTGTCTCTTCACTTCGTTGACTCTTTCTTTTTTTTCTGTGTGGAAGCTTTTTAACTTGAAATAACCCCATTCATCCATTTTTGCTTTTATTGCCTATGCTTATGGGGTATTACTCAAGAAATCTTTGCCCAGACCAATGTCTTGGAGAGTTTCCTCAATGTTCTCTTTTAATAGTTTCATAGTTTGAGGTCTTATATTTAAGTCTTTAATCTTCCTTTTTGTATGCAGCAAGAGATAAGAGTCTAGTTTCATTCTTCTGCATATGGACATCCAGTTTTCCCAGTACCTCTTATTGAAGAGATTGTCCTTTCCCCATTATATGTTCTTGACACCTTTGTCAAATGTCTAGTTTTATTTCTGGTTTCTCTATTCTGTGTCATTGGTCTATGTGTCTGATTCTGTGGCAGTATTATGCTGTTTTTTTAAATATAGCTCTGTAGTATATTTTGAAGTCAGGCAATGTGATTCTTTCAGTTTCATTCTGTATGCTTAGGATAGCTTTGGCTATTCTGGGTCCTTTGTGTCTCCATATACATTTTTAAAGTATTTTTTTTTATTTCTGTGAAGAATGTCATTGATACTTTGATAGGGATTGCATTGAATCTGTACCTTACTTGATGTAGTATGGACATTTTCACAATATTCTTCCAATCCATGATATGGAATATCTTTCCTTTTTTTATGTCCTCTTCAATTTCTTGCATCAATGTTTTATAGTTTTCACTAAAAAGGTCCTTCATTTCTTTAACTTTATTCCTAATGCCAAGACCAGCTCAGTCGGGGAGACCCTAACCCAGAGGTGCTAGAGGAATTAAAGACACACACAGAAATATAGAGGTGTGAAGTGGGAAATCAGGGGTCTCATAGCCTTCAGAGCTGAAAGCCCCAAACAGAGATTTACCCACATATTTATTAACAGCAAACCAGTCATTAGCATTGTTTCTATAGATATTAAATTAACTAAAAGTATCCCTTAAGGGAAATGAAAGGATGGGCCAAATTAATTGCAGCAGGAACACGCCCTTAAGACACAGATCGCTCAGGATTTTGTTTGTGGCTTAAGAATGCCTTTAAGCGGTTTTCCGCCCTGGGCGGGCCAGGTGTTCCTTGCCCTCATCCCCATAAACCCACAACCTTCCAGCTTGGACATTATGGCCATTATGGACATGTTACATTGCTGCAGAGATTGTATTTATGGCCAGTTTTGGGGCCAGTTTATGGCCAGACTTTGGGAGGCTTGCTCCCAACATGTCTCCCTTCTTTGATTTGCAAAGAGATAAAAGCAAGGGCAGCTTTGTCATGGTGAGCTACTTTTCTCAGGAGTCGGGATCCACATCTGCAGACTATACAAAGACAAACAACAGAGATTAAAAGCACAGTCATTGAAATCACAGAGCTTCCAAGTGTTTTTATCCATTTTAATAGGTTACTAGCTGCTAATTTGTCTGCAGCTCCTTCAAGCACTCCAGTTCCTGGCATTAAGGTCAGTGTGCCTGGGATGCTTTAAATATTTGTTCTTTTAATTTTACATCCTTATGTTAAGCTCCTAGAGCCAGCCATATCATTTGAGGTTGAGGTGCCACTATACCACCATGGTTCTAGATAATAAGAACTTTTGCCATACTTCTTATTATACCTACCATCTTACCATTTTGTTCAGATCATCTGAACATAGTGTGGCAGTGGCACGCAGACTGAGAGGTGCAATTCAATCTAAACATCCCCTTATGGGACCAATTAATAATGATTCCATAGGAATCGTTTGTGCAGCACCTCTGCCTGTTCTGCAAAGCAATCTTCCTAAACAAGTACGTTCATTTTTTCTAACTGGGTCCAATCCTGTTTCCAAATAGGTTTTTGAGGGCAGTATGCCTCAATTATAGGAGCAGATTTATTATGGTAAATACTGAGATCAGAAAGCATGTGTTACTGTGTCATAGAATGATTGCATCCAGGCATTATTACCAGCCCTTATTGAAGGAATACTCATGGCAGTGGTGATAACTGCTATCATAGCTACCATTAAATTATTCATTGTGACTGGTTGTCCCGCTTTCCTCAGGTTTTCTTCTGCCATCTGTGACAGCTTCTTGATCTGTCCTTAGGTGGGTGGCTGTGTTCGACAGGTGTTCCTCCTGACAGTTGGGGTCCTCCTCAGTGTCAGTCTCAACATGGCTGCAACTGGGGATCCTTCCGGAGTCTCTTCCTTGGCATCTGGCTCATGATAAGGTTTCAGGTGTCTTGGTGGTATCCAAATCGGCTGTTGATTTTGGCCTGGAGAAATACAAGCATAAGCTCTACCCCAAGTTATTATTTTACCTATTTCCCAACTTTTTGTTATTGGATCTTTTCACCAAATAATGCTAGATTCAACTGTGTATGGGCTGTCCTGTAATCCCTATCTTTCCTCCTTTTTTGTTTTTGTCATCAGTTGTTCATCTATATGAAATCGTAACTAAAGCCTCCAGTTTTTCTTGTCTCTAGCATTAGATATTGCATTAGCAACTAGGCGATCAGCCATTTGATTCCCTTCAGTCAAAGGTCCTGGAAGAGGTGTATGAGCCCCAATGTGAGTGATGTAAAAAGGGTGCATTCTACTTCTAACTGCTGTTTGCAATTGGATAAATAAAGTCATCAGTTTTTCATCTGTATGAAATCGTAACTGAGCATTTTCAATTAACTGTGTGGAATGAACCATGTATGAAGAATCAGAAATCACGTTAATAGGCATATCAAAAGCAGTGAATACCTCAATTACAGCTACAAGCTCCACTCTTTGAGCTGAAGTATAGGATGTCTGGAAAACTTTACTTTTTGATCCAGAATAAGAAGCTTTACCATTACTAGACCCATCTATAAAACAATAAAAACGCTTAGCAGGCTGCAGGTTGTTTACTGCAGGAATTGTAAATGCAAACCGTTCACAGTCTTGCTCAGCCAAAGGGATAGTAAAGAAACAGTTTTTTAAATCTATGACTATTAAAGGCCAATTTTTTGGAATTATAGCAGGAGAAGGCAATCCTGGCTGTAATGCTCCCATAGGATGTGTAACTGAATTGATGGCTCTTAAGTCAGTTAACATTCTTCATTTACCTGATTTTTTCTTAATTACGAAAACTGGAGAATTCCAAGGAGAAAATGTTGGAGCTATGTGCCCATTTTCTAATTGTTCAGCAGCTAATTTCTCTAAAGCCTCCAGTTTTTCTTTACTTTGCTGCCATTGTTCTATCCAAATTGGCTTATCTGTTAACCATTTTAAAAGTATAGGTTCTGGAGGCTTAACAATGGCTGCCATCAAAATTTTTTTCCTAACCTTTGGCAGGAACTTTGTTTTTTTGCTTGAAGCAGTTCTTTCAAACCTTGCAAATTTTTTTCTAGTCCCATGCCAGGGACATACCTCAATTTCATGCATTGTATGTTGACTTTGTGGGCTATACAATTGTTCTGGAATTAGAACTTGTGCCTCCCATTGCGGTAATAAATCTCTTCCCTATAAATTTATAGGTACAGAAGTTATAATTGGTTGAATAGTCCCAGGTTGTCCATCAGGCCCCTCCCAATGCAAAATATAACTACTTTGATATGCTTCAGCGGCTTTACCAATTCCAACTATGTTAAATTGAGCGAGATGAATTGGCCATACAGACAGCCAGTGCTGTAGAGAAATGATTGAAATGTCTGCTCTTGTATCTACCAAACCTTTAAATTTCTTTCCTTGAATAGTTATTTCACAGGTAGGATGTTTATCAGTAATTTGATTTACCCAATAAGCTGCTTTGCCTTGTTTATTTGTGCTTCCAAATCCTCCTGTTCATTTAATTTCACTTCTTCCCATTCCCACATATGGCACAATCAGGAGCTGTGCTATGCGCTCTCCTGGCTCTGCTTTCCAGGAAACAGACGTAGATATAACAATTTGAATTTCCCCATTGTAATCTGAATCAATGACTCCTGTATGTATTTGTATGCCTTTTAAACTTGAACTAGACCTTCCTAAAAGTAATCGCATTGTCCCTGCTGGTAAGGGTCCACAGACTCCAGTTGGGACCTTTTGCAGGGGTTCCCCAGGCAGAAGGCTCACAGCTTTTGTGCAGCATAAGTCTACTGCGGCACTACCAGCTGTGGCGGAGGACAGACATTGTACAGGGGTGAGGGAATGGCCTGAGCCAGAAATGCCCCAGTTTAGAACGGGGCCCGGGACGGGCCCCTCATGGCGTTTCCCGAAATCGGATCCCCTTCTTTATCAAATTTAGAGTGACACTGATGAGCCCAGTGTTTTCCTTTTTTACATTTTGGACATATTTCAGGCTCAGCAGTTTTCTTTTTTCCCCTATCTAGTGGCCTGACTCACTGATTTTTTCTACATTCTTTTTTAGTATGACCATGCTTCCCACAGTTAAAACAAGCTCCAGGAAATGGAGTATTTCCTTTATCCACTTTTAGTCCTGCCATTGCCTGTGCCAACAAGGTAGCATTATACAGATTACCTCCGATACCATCACAGGCCTTGATATAATCAACTAAATGTGCTTTCCCTCTGATAGGTCGCAGAGCAGCCTGGCAATCGGGATTAGCATTGTCGAAAGCTAATAACTGCAACACTATATTCTGAGCAGCCGAATCTGAAATCATCTTTTTAAGAGACTCCTGTAACCGAGCTATAAAATCAACATATGGTTCTCTGGGTCCCTGTTTTATAGCACTAAAGGAAAGGTATTGTTCTCCACCTGAAGTGATTTTTTTTCCCAAGCTCTAATGCTCACTCCTCTAAGCCGTTCTATGGCATCATCCTGCATGACCAGTTGTGCATCTAAACCAGCCCAGCCGTCGACCCCCAAAAGCTGGTCTGCAGTTATATTAATCTGAGGTTGGGCCTGGGCATTGTGAGCAGCCTGAATGGAAGCTTCATCTGCCCACCAAGTTTTAAATTGTAAGAACTGAGCAGGAGTTAGACAAGCTCGAGTAAGAGTGTCCCAGTCAGTAGGAATTATCCGACTGGAAACAGTAACATTCTTTAACAGTCCCATTACAAAAGGAGAACCTGGTCCATACTCATTTATTGCTTGTTTTAATTTTTTGAGTAATTTAAAAGGAAAAGGCTCAAATGTAGCTGTAATATTTCCCTCTTGATCTGGGGGGTGTATTCTAACAGGGAACTGCCAAGCCTCTAAATCACCCTCTCGTCTAGCTTGCTGAATTCCTGCCTGGATAGAACTAAGAGCCATCGCTCGAGGCGCTGCTTGAACAGTCACTGGGGCAACTAGTTTTCACCCAGTGTCCTCTGGAAAAGAAAGATTTGGGGGGTCATTTTCCTCAAAATAATAAGGAGGGGGTGCAGAAGGGTAGGGATGAACCTCTCCTTCCTTTGCCACTTTAGCTTTAGCTGGCAAATAAACATGCTCTGTAACCTCTTCTGTTACTTCGCTATAATCGTTCCTCCTCATTATCAGTGTGAAAAAGTTCCAAGGTGAAACGAACCAGACCCCATATCTGTCCCATTGTTACCCTGACACTTCCGAGCTCCCCTTCTTACTCACCATGGGGATTACTTTAAGAGTACTCAGGTGTCCTCCTGCTAGTTTTCCATTCCAACCATCGCTCCGGTGCCCCTTCAACCTGGATTCGAGCCCCCACGAATGGACGCCACTTGCCGAGACCAGCTCGGCTGGGGAGACCCTAACCTAGAGGCCGACCCTAACCCAGAGGCGCTAGAGGAATTAAAGACACACACACAGAAATATAGAGGTGTGAAGTGGGAAATCAGGGGTCTCACAGCCTTCAGAGCTGAGAGCCCCAAACAGAGATTTACCCACATAATTATTAACAGCAAACCAGTCATTAGCATTGTTTCTATAGATATTAAATTAACTAAAAGTATCCCTTAAGGGAAATGAAAGGATGGGCCAAATTAATTGCAGCAGGAACATGCCCTTAAGACACAGATCACTCAGGCTTTTGTTTGTGGTTTAAGAATGCCTTTAAGCGGTTTTCCAGCCTGGGCGGGCCAGGTGTTCCTTGCCCTCATTCCTGTAAACCCACAACCTTCCAGTTTGGGTGTTATGGCCATTATGGACATATTACATTGCTGCAGAGATTGTATTTATGGCCAGTTTTGGGGCCAGTTTATGGCCAGACTTTGGGGGACTTGCTCCCAACACCTAGGTATCTATTTCCATCATTTTATTTTTAATCTATGTGTGTTCTTACAGGTAAAATGTGTTTCTTGCAGGCAGAAGATAGTTGGGACTTGTTTTTTAATCTATTGAGCCACTCTATGTATGTTGATTGAAGAGTTTGCTCTATTTATGTTCAATGTTATTATTGATAATTGAGAATTTACTGCTGTCATTTCGTTATTTGTTTTCTGCTCATTTAGTGGTCTTCTCTTTCTTCCTTCTTTCTTATCTACCTCTCTGTGAGAAAGATTTTCTCTTGTGTTACATTTTAATTTTTGCTTTCTGTTTTTGTGTATTTGTTGTCGGTTTATTTATTTGAGACTGCCATGAGGCTTGCAAATTACATCTTATAACCCATTATTTTAAACTCATAACAACTTCACACTGAGTTTAAAAGCAAAGAAGCAAGCTGATAGGTTTGGCTGTGTCCCCACCCAAATCTCATCTTGAATTCCCTATGTGTTGTGAAATGAACCTGGTGGGAGGTTATCGAATAATGGGGGCAGGTCTGTCCCATGCTGTTCTCATTGTAGTGAATAAGTCTCACAAGACCTGATGGTTTTAAAAACGGGCATTTCCCTGCACAAATTCTCTCTTCTCTTGTCTGCCAACATGTGAGACATGGCTTTCACTTTCCACCATGATTGTGGGAACTCCCTAGCCATGTGGAACTGTAAGTCCATTAAACCTCTTTCTTTTGTAAATTGCCCAGTCTCAGGTATATCTTTATCAGCAGCATGAAAATGGACTAATACAGTAAATTGGTACCGGTAGAGTGGGGTGTTACTGAAAAGACACCTGAAAATGTGAAAGCAACTTTGGAACTAGGTAACAGGCAGAGATTGGAACAGTTTGAAGGGCTCAGAAGAAGACAGGAAAATGTGGAAAAGTTTGGAACTTCCTAGAGACTGAATAAACTTTCTATGCTGATCTCTCTCCCTATCTCCTCTTTAAGGCCAATAACTTAGATTTGCCCTTTTGAGGCTATCTTCTATATCTTTTTGCCATACTTTGTTGTTTTTGTTAGTATTTTTATTTTATCTCCCCTGACTGTGTATACTCAAATAGCTTGTCTTCGAGCTCACTAATTCTTTTTTCCACTTTATCAATTCTGCTATTGAGAAACTGATGTATTCTTCAGTACACCAATTGAATTTTTCAGCTCCAAAATTTCCTCTTAGTTTTTAAAAATTATTTCTATTTCTTTGTTAAATTTATCTGATAGGATTCTGAATTCCTTCTCTGTGTTATTTTTAATTTCACTGAGCTTCCTCAAAATAACTATTTTGAATTCTCTCTTTGAAAGACCACATATCTGTATCTCTCTGAAATTGGTTGCTGGTGCCTTATTTAGCTCATTTGGTGAAGTCATGTTTCCTGGATTGTCTTGATGCTTGAGGATGTTCTTTGATGTCTGGGCATTGAAGACTTAGGCATTTATTGTAATCTTCAGCTTTGGTTTGTTTATTCTCATCTTTCTGGAGAAGGCTTTCAGGTATTCAAAGGGAATTGAGTGTTGTGATCTAAGTCTTTGGTCACTGTAGTCTTGGTTGTCTTGGGTACGATTCAAGAGAAATCCCTGGATTACCAGGCAGAGTCTCTTGTTCACTTCCTTTATTTTCCCCCAAACAAATGGAGTATCTCTTTCCATAATGAGCTCCCTGGAGTTAGAAGTGGATTTACACAAACATCTCTAAGGCCACTACCACTGGGACTGTACTGGGTCAGACCTGAAGTCAGCAAAGTAGTGGGTCTCACCCATGGTCTGTGGCAACTATTGTCTGGCTACCACTGATTTTGATTCAAGGCACAAGGGCTCTTTAGTTGGCAGTTGGTGAATCCAGCCAAGCTTATGTCTTTCCCTTGAGGATGGCATATTCTGTTAATGGCCCAGAATGGGTCTAGAAATGCTGTCTGGGAGCTGGGGCTAGGAGTCGGGAATTTTAGAAATCTACTTGTTGCTTTATTTTATTGTTGCTAAGCTCATACCCAAGTTGCAAGGTAAAGTGCTTTTTACTCTTTCCTCTTCTTTCCTAGAGCAGAAAGAGTGTTTTCCTATTGCCACCACAGCTAAGAATGTGCTGGGTCACACCTGAAGCCATCCCAGTACCAGGTTTCACCCAAGGCCCATGGTGAGTACTGCCTGGCTACTGCTGATGTTTATTCAAGGCCCAAAGGCTCTTTAGTCTGCAGGTGATGAATCCTGCCAGGACTGGGTTCTTTCCTTCAAGGCAGCAGGTTCCCTTCTGCCCAGATTGTGTCTAGCAATGTCATGTGGGAACTGGGGCCTGGAATGGGGGCCTGAGGACACTGCTTGGTGCTTTATTTTACTGGGGCTGAGCTGACATTCAAGTTGCAAGACAAAGTCATCTTTACCTTTTTCTCTCTTTCCTCAAGTGAAAGGAGTTTCTTCCAGAGCTGCAAGCTGAACTGCCTGGGGTTAAGAGAGAGGTGACACAAGCACTATCTTGGCTGTTCCCGCTGGTGTCTTACTGGGTCACATGCATCCAAAATCCACTGTATCTAAGCCCAGCACAGCACCAGGACTTCTCCAGGAATTCCAGTCCTCATGCCCTGAATTGCCTTTCAAATTTATTTAGGATCCCAAAACGCTTTAATGCTTGGTGGTGTGGCTAGCCAGAACTCAGGTTCCAATGGTTGGGTGGGATAGATGATTCCTTTCAGACTAGAGCTAATTTAAATGCTCCCTTCACAGGCACTGGATAAATTCTGTCCTGTGTTGCTTTCCGCTGTGACAGGATAGCACTGAGTTCCAATATACAGTTGCATAATCACTGTATTCACCCTCCCTCAAACTCAAAGTTTCATTCTCTGTGCCTCACAGACACTGCAGAGGAATGCAGAAGGGGTGGTGTCGCAATTCAAGATTTTCTTTCTTATCCTCTTTAGTGCCCCTTTCCTTCATATGATGTTAAAACCAGGTACTGTGACCATTCACCTGATTGGAGGTTCTTATGAAAGTGCTTTCTTGTGTCAATAGTTGTTCAGTTTGGTGTTGCTGTGTTGTGGAGACAATTACTGGGGGTTCTATTCAGCCATTTTACTCTGTCTTCTGCCTCTCACTTTTGACAATTTGATTATAATGCTTTTCAGTATGGACTTCCTTAGGACAACTTTTGTTGGAGTACTTTGGGCTTCTTAATTTAGATGTCTATTTGGTTCTTCAGAACCAATTCTTCAGATTTGGGCTGTTTCAGCAATCATTTCTTCAAATAAGCCCCCTTCCCAATCTAATCTCCCTCTTCTCCTTCTTGCACTTCTATAATATGTATATTAACCCACTTGATGGTGGTTCACAAATTCTGTAGACTGTCTTCACTCTTTTTCTTTTCTTTTTCCTTTTTATCTGACTAGATAATGTCAAATGACCTGTCTTTTAAATTTGCCATTATTTTTCTGTTTGATCAAGTCTGTTGTTTGTCTTTGTGATTTTTTTAATTTAAAAATTCAAGGACATCCCATTTTATAAATAATGCTGGCAAAACTGGATAGAGACATGTAGAAGAATGAAACCAGATCTCTATCTCTGAACATCTACAAAAATCAACTCAAGATAAATCCAAGACTTAAATCTAAGATCTGAAACTATAAAAATTCTAGAAGAAAACCTAGGAAAAACTCTTCTGAATGTTGGTGTAAGCAAAGAAGTTATGACTAAGACCCCAAAAGCAAATCCAACTATAACAAAAATGAATAAATGAAACCTAATTAAACTAAAAAGCTTCTTCACAGCAAAAGAAAGAATCATCAGAGTAAACAAACAACTCACAGAATGGGAGAAAATATTTGCAAACTATGCATCTGATGAAGGACTAATATCCAGAACTACAAGGAACTCACACAAATCAGCAAGAAAAAATAATAATAATTCCATCAAAAAGTGGACAAATGACATGAATAGACATTTCTCAAAAGAAAATGTACAAATGGCCAAAAAACATATGAAAAGTGCTCAACATCACTAATCATGAGGGAAATGCAAATTAAAACCACAATGAGATACCACACAATGAGATACCACCTTATCCCAGCCAGAATAACCATTATTGAAAAGTTAAAAGGGCCGGGCACGGTGGCTCACACCTGTAATCCCAGCACTTTGGGAGTCTGAGGCAGGTGGATCACGAGGTCAGGAGATCGAGACCATCCCGGCTAACACAGTGAAACCCCGTCTCTACTAAAAATACAAAAAAAAATTAGCCGGGTGTGGTGGTGGGCACCTGTAGTCCCAGCTACTCAGAAGACTGAGGCAGGAGAATGGCGTGAACCCAGGAGGCAGAGCTTGCAGTGAGCCAAGACCACACCACTGCACTCCAGCCTGGGTGACAGAGCAAGACTCTGTCTCAAAAAAAAAAGATGTTGGCATGGATGTGGTGAAAAGGCAAAGTTTATGCACTGCTGGTAGAAATGCAAATTATTATAACCTCTATGGAAAATGCTATGGAAATGTCTTAAATAATTAAAGGTAGACTATGATTCAATCCAGCAATCCCACTACAGGGTATCTACCCCTTCTTTAAAGGAAAAGAAGTCATATCAAAAAGAAACCTGCACGTGTATGTTTATCACAGCACAATTAACAATTGCAAAGATATAGAAAGAACCTAAGTGCCCATCAACAAATGTGTGGATAAAGAAGATGTGGGACCGGGCACTGTGGCTCATGCCTGTAATCTCAGCACTTTGTGAGGCCGACGTGGGTGGATCGCCTGAGGTCAGGATTTTAAGCCCAGCCTGGCCAACATGGTGAAACCCCATCTCTACTAAAAATATAAAAATTAGCTGGACGTGGTGGCACATGCCTGTAAGCCCAGCTACTCGGGAGGCTGAGGAAGGAGAATCGCTTGAACCCAGGAGGTGGAGGTTGCAGTGAACCAAGATTCACACCACTGCACTCCAGCCTGGGTGACAGAATGATACTCCAAAAAAAGAAGAAAAAGAAAGAAAGAGAGAAAGAGGAAGGAAAGAAGGGAGGAAGGGAGGGAGGGAAATAAATAAAGAAAGAAAGAGAGAGAGAAAGAGAGAAAGGAAGGAAGGAAAGAGAAGGAAAAGAAAGAAAGAAAGAAAAAGAAAGAAAGAAAGAAAGAAAGAGAAAGAAAGAAAGAGAGGAAAGAAAGAAAGAAAGGAAGGAAAGAAGGAAAGAAAGAAAGAAGGAAGGAAAGAAAGAAAGAAGGAAGGAAAGAAAGAAAGAAAGAGAAACAGAAAGAAAAGAAAATGTGTTATGGACACATGGTGGGGAACAACACACACTAGGACATATCAGAGAGGGTAGGGTGAGGAGAGGGAGAGCATCAGGAAGAATAATGGATGATAAGCTTAATACCTGGTGTGGGATGATTTGTGCAGCAAATCACCATGGCACACGTTTATCTATGTAACAAACCTGCACGTCCTGCACATATACCCCTGAACTTAAAATACATGTTGAAGAAAAAAAAGAAAATGTGGGCCAGGCATGGTGGTTCACGCCTGTAATCCTAGCACATTGGGAGGCCAAGGCGGGCGGATCACCTGAGGTCAGGGATTCAAGACCAGCCTGGACAACATGGCAAAACCCCCTCTGTAGTAATAATACAAAAATTAGCCAGGCATGATAGCACATGCCTGTAGTCCCAGCTACTCAGGAGGGTGAGGCAGGGCAATCTCTTGAACCCAGGAGGTGGAGGTTGCAGTGAACCAAGATCACACCACTCCACTTTAGCCTGGGTGACAGAATGAGACTCCATCTCAAAAGAATTAAAAAAAAAATTGATATGTCTACAACACGGAATACTACTCTGCCATAAATGAGAATGAAAAAATGTCTTTTGCAGCATCTTGGATGCAGCTGGAGGCCATTATTCTAAGAGAAGTAACTCAGGAATGAAAAGCCAAATACTGTATGTTCTCACTTATAAGTGGGAGCTAAGCTATGCATACACAAAGGCATATGGAGTGATATAATGGACTTTGGAGACTCAGAAGCATGAGGGTAAGAGGGGACTAACAGATAAAAAACTATATGTTGGGTTCAATTTACACTACTCAGGTGATCAGTGTGCTAAAATCTCAGATTTCACCACCATACAATTCATTCATGTAACCAAAAGCCACTTGTACCCCAAAAGCTATTGAAATAAAAAATATATATTTTTAGGCTGGGCGTGGTAACTCACGCCTGTAATCCCAACACTTTGGGAGGCTGAGGAGGGTAGATCGTGAGGTCAGGAGTTCAAGACCAGCCTGGCCAAGATGGCGAAACCCTGTCTCTACTAAAAATACAAAAATTAGCCGGGCGTGGTTGCAGACACCTGTAATCCCAGCTACTTGGGAGGCTGAGGCAGGAGAATTACTTGAACCGGGAGTTGGAGGTTGCAGTGAGCTGAAATCATGTCACTGCCTTCCAGCCTGGGCGACAGAGCAAGACTTCATCTCAAAAAAAAAATATATATATATATACATATATATGTATATATATGTGTATATATATGTGTGTATATACATATATATATTTATATGTGTATATATATGTATATATATGTGTGTATATACATATATATATTTATATGTGTATATATATACATATATGTATATATATGTGTATATATGTATATGTATACATATGTGTATATATGTATATGTATACATATGTGTATATATGTATATGTATACATATGTGTATATATGTATATGTATACATATGTGTATATATGTATATGTATACATATGTGTATATATGTATATGTATACATATGTGTATATATGTATATGTATACATATGTGTATATATGTATATGTATACATGTGTATATATGTATATGTATACATATGTGTATATATGTATATGTATACATATGTGTATATATGTATATATATATACATATGTGTATATATGTATATGTATACATATGTGTATATATGTATATATATACATATGTGTATATATGTATATATATACATATGTGTATATATGTATATATATACATATGTGTATATATGTATATATATACATATGTGTATATATGTATATATATACATATATACACACACACACATATATATATATACACATACATATATATGTGAAAAGCAATAGTATTAATTCAATTCTTTTGTTCATCCAGGCTGAAGTGCAGTGGTGCGATCTCACCTCACTGCAAGCTCCACCTCCTGGGTTCAAGCGATTCTTCTGCCTCAGCCTCGCAAACAACTGGAATTACAGGCGCATGCCACCATGCCTGGCTAATTTTTTTGTATTTATAGTAGAGATGGGGTTTCACCGTGTTAGCCAAGCTGGTCTTGAACTTCTGACCTCGAGTGAGCCACACACCTCGGTATCCCAAAGTCCTGGGATTACAGGTGTGAGCCACCAAGCCCAGCCTCATTTTTTTGTTTTTGTTTTTGTTTTTTTATAATTTCTATTTCTTTGTTGATATTCTTGATTTGTTCCTTATCATTTAGTTGTGTGTGTTCTCAAGTAGTGTATGGAACTTCTTTTAAGTGATTGCTTTGAATTCTTTGTCAGATAATGCATAAGTCTTCATTTCTTTAGGATCAGTGTCTAGAGATTTATATTGCTATTTTGATTGGGCTATGTTTCTCTGTTTCTTCATGTTCCTTTTTATTTTTTCTTTATTTTTATTTTTATTTTATGTAGATATGGAGGTATCACTATGTTGCTCAGGCTGCTTTTGAACTCAGCCTTAAGTAATCCTTCTGCCTCAGCCTTCCAAAGTGTTTGTATTACAGGCATCAGCCACTGTGCTCAGCCTTTTGTTGTCATTGTTATATATGAAAAAGCAGCTACCTCTTCTAGTCTTTATGGGATGTCTTTGTAAATGGGAAGATCTTTACTAGCTCAGCCTGGTTAGAGATTCTGAGGGCTTCTCACATTTTTAGAAGAGATACATCTTCTCTGGGTTTGTGCGTTTAATTTCCTTATTAGTGAATCTTGCCAGTTTCTTTTTCAGGAGCTTATAGTGTCTTGCTCCCTCTGGTGTTTCACTGGAGTACTGTAGGTTCTCTGGCAGTACAACAAGCCACTGAGCTGCTGCTGCTTTTTTTCTTTATGGAGAGGCTTTATTGATTTGGACATATAGGTGAAATAATGGTTTCAGCGTTGATGGTCAGAGCTAGGTTGAAATGAGATTTCAAAGTAAATCTTGAAGAGCCAGTTGTGGGTCTTTCATAAGGAAAAAGTGAATACTCCAGTGTCAAACTAATGGGATTTCTATTCCCCCTGAGAACTGGAACATGACAAGGTTGCCCACTCTCACCACTTCTATTCAATATAGTACTGGAAGTCCTAGCCAGGGCAATCAGACCAGAGAAAGAAATAAAAGGCATCCAAATCAGTAAAGAGGAAGTCAAACGATCACTGTTTGCTGATGACATGATTGTATACCTAGAAAACCCTAAAGACACCTCCAAAAAGCTGCTAGAACTGATAAATGAATTCAGCAAAGTTTCAGGATACAAAATTAATGTACACATATCATTAGCTATGCTATACATCATCAGCAACCAAGCTGAGAATCAAATCAAGAACACAACCACTTTTACAATAGCTGAAAAAAAAAAAAACACTTGGGAATATACCTAACCAAAGAGGTGATAGACCTCTACAAGGAAAACTACAAAACACTGCTGATAGAAATCATAGATGACACAAACAAATGAAAACACATACTGGCTGGGCGTGGTGGCTCACGCCTGTAATCCCAACACTTTGGGAGGCCGAGGTGGGTGGATCAACTGAGGTCAGGAATTCAAGACCAGCCTGGCCAACATGGTGAAACCCCATCTCTACTAAAAATACAAAAATTTGCCAGGCGTAGTGGTAGGTGCCTGTAATCCCAGCTGCTCGGGAGGCTGAGGCAGGAGAATTGCTTGAACCTGAGTGGTGGAGGTTACAGCAAGCCAAGATAGTGCCATTGCATTCCAGCCTGGGCAACAGAGTGAGACTCCATCTAAACACACACACACACACACACACACACACACACACACACCATGTTCATGGATGGGTAAAATCAATATTGTAAAAATGAACATACTGCTAAAAGCAATCTACAAATTCAATGCAGTTCCCATCAAAATGCCACCATCATTCACAGAACTAGAAAAAACAATCCTAAGGCACAGATGGAACCGAAAAAGAGCCCACATAGCCAATGCAAGACTAAGCAAAAAGATCAAATCTGCTGGAGGCATCACATTATCTGACTTCAAATTATACCATAAGGCCATCATCACCAAAACAGCATGGTACTGGTATAAAAATAGGCACATAGACCAATGGAACAGAATAGAGAACTCAGAAATAAAGCCAAAATAGAAAGTAGAACTACCATTTGATCCAGCAATCCCACTACTCTATATGTATCCAGAGGAAAAGAAGCCATTATATGAAAAAGACAGTTGCACACACATGTTTATAGGCGCACAATTCTCAATTCTCAATTGCAATAATATGGAACCAGCTCAAATGCATATATATATATATATATATATATATATATATATATATATATATAAAATAGAATAGTAATCAGCCATGCAAAGGAACGAGACCAGGTGCGGTTGCTCATGCCTGTAATTCCAGCACTTTGGGAGGCCAGGGCAGGTGGATCACCTGAGATCAGGAGTTCAAGATCGGCCTAGTCAACATGGTGAAACACTTTCTCTACCAAAAAATACAAAAATCATCTGGGTGTGGTGGTGCACGCCTGTAGTCCCAGCTACTCGGGAGGCTGAGGTGGGATAATTGTTTGAACACAGGAGGCAGAGGTTGCAGTGAACCGAGATCATGCCACCGCACTCGAGCCTCGAGCCTAGGTGACAGAGTGAGACCATGTCACACACACACAAAAAGGAATAAAATAATGGCATTTGCAGCAACCTGGATGGAATTAGAAACCATTATTCTCAGTGAAGTAATTCAGTAATGGAAAACCAAACATCATATGTTCTCACTCATAAGTGGGAGCTAAGCTATAACGATGCAAAGGCATAAGAATTATACAATGGACTTTGGGGACTTGGAGGAAAGGATGGGAGGGGGGTGAGAGACAAAAGACTACACATTGGGTACAGTGTACACTGCTCGGGTGATGAGTGCATGAAAAATCTCAGAAAGGGTGGAGCCAAGATGGCCGAATAGGAACAGCTCCAGTCTACAGCACCCAGCGTGAGTGACGCAGAAGACAAATGATTTCTGCATTTCCAAATGAGGTACCAGGTGCATCTCACTGGGGATTGTCAGACAGTGGGTGCAGGACAGTGGGTGCAGTGCACCAAGCCTGAGCTGAAGCAGGGCGAGGCATCACCTCACCTGGGAAGCACAAGGGGTCAGGGAACTCCCTTTCCTAGGGGTGACAGACAGCACCTGGAAAATTGGGTCACTCCCACCCTAATACTGTGCTTTTCCGACGGTCTTAGCAAAGAGCACACCAGGAGATTATATCCCACGCCTGGCTCGGAGGGTCCTACACCCACAGAGCCTCGCTCATTGCTAGCACAGCAGTCTGAGATCAAACTGCAAGGCGGCAGTGAGGCAGGGGGAGGGGCGCCCACCATTGCCGAGGCTTGAGTAGGTAAACAAAGCAGCTGGGAAGCGTGAACTGGGTGGAGCCCACCACAGCTCAAGGAGGCCTGACTGACTCTGTAGACTCCACCTCTGGGGGCAGGGCATAGCCAAATAAAAGGCAGCAGAAACCTCTGCAGACTTAAGTGTCCCTGTCTGACAGCTTGGAAGAGAGTAGTGGTTCTCCAGCACGCAGCTGGAGATCGGAGGATGGACGGACTGCCTCCTCAAGTTGGTCCCAGACCCCCAAGTAGCCTAACTGGGAGGCACACCCCAGTAGGGGCAGACTGACACCTCACATGGCCGGGTACTCCTCTGAGACAAAACTTCCAGAGGAAAGATCAGGCAGCAACATTTGCTGTTCACCAATATCCGCTGTTCTGCAGCCTCCACTGCTGATACCCAGGCAAACAGGGTCTGGAGTGGATTTCCGGCAAACTGCAACACACCTGCAGCTGAGGGTCCTGACTGTTAGAAGGAAAACTAAAAAACAGAAAGGACATCCACACCAAAACCCCACCTGTACATTACCATCATCAAAGACCAAAGTAGATAAAACCACAAAGATGGGGAAAAAACAGAGCAGAAAAATTGAAAATTCTAAAAATCAGAGCACCTCTCCTCCTCCAAAGGAATGCAGCTCCTCAACAGCAATGCAACAAAGCTGGATGGAGAATTACTTTGACAAGTTGAGAGAAGAAGGCTTCAGAAGATCAAACTACTCTGGGCTAAAGGAGGAAGTTTGAACCCATGGCAAAGAAGTTAAAAACCTTGAAAAAAGATTAGACGAATGGCTAACTAGAATAACCAATGCAGAGAAGTCCTTAAAGGACCTGATGGAGCTGAAAACCACAGCACAAGAACTACGTGACAAATGCATAAGCCTCAGTAGCTGATTCGATCAACTGGAAGAAAGGGTATCAGTGATTGAAGATCAAATGAATGAAATGAAGCGAGAAGAGAAGTTTAGAGAAAAAAGAATAAAAAGAAACGAATAAAGCCTCCAGGAAATATGAGACTATGTGAAAAGACCAAATCTATGTCTGATTGGTGTATTTGAAAGTCACAGGGAGAATAGAACCAAGTTGGAAAACACTCTGCAGGATATTATCCAGGAGAAATTCCCCAATCTAGCAAGGCAGGCCAACATTCAAATTCAGGAAATACAGAGAATGCCACAAAGATACTCCTTGAGAAGAGCAACCCCAAGACACATAATTGTCAGATTCACCAAAGTTGAAATGAAGGAAAAAATATTAAGGGCAGCCAGAGAGAAAAGTCGGGTTACCCACAAAGGGAAGCCCATCAAACTAACAGCTGATCTCTTGGAAGAAACTCTACAAGCCAGAAGAGAGTGGGGGCCAATATTCAACATTCTTAAAGGAAAGAATTTTCAACCCAGAATTTCATATCCAGCCAAACTAAGCTTCATAAGTGAAGGAGAAATAAAATCCTTTACAGACAAGCAAATGCTGAGAGATTTTGTCACCACCAGGCCTTCCCTAAAAGAGCTACTGAAGGAAGCATTAAACATGGGAAGGAACAAATGGTATGAGCCACTGCAAAAACATACCAAATTGTAAAGACCATCGAGGCTAGGAAGAAACTGCATCAACTAACGAGCAAAATAACCAGCTAGCATCATAAGGACAGGATCAAATTCACACATAACAATATTAACCTTAAATGTAAATGGGCTAAATGCTCCAATTAAAAGACACAGACTGGCAAACTGGATAAAGAGTCAAGACGCATCAGTGTGCTGTATTCAAGAAACCCATCTCACGTGCAGAGACACACATAGGCTCAAAATAAAGGGATGGAGGAAGATCTACCAAGCAAATGGAAAACAAAAAAAAGGCAGGGGTTGCAATCCTAGTCTGATAAAACAGACTTTAAACCAACAAAGATCAAAAGAGACAAAGAGCTCTCCCTCTCCCTCTCCCTCTCCCTCTCCCTCTCCCTCTCCCTCTCCCTCTCCCTCTCCCTCTCCCTGTCTCCACAGTCTCCTTCCATGGTCTCCCTCTGATGCCGAGCCAAAGCTGGACGGTACTGCTGCCATCTCGGCTCACTGCAACCTCCCTGCCTGATTCTCCTGCCTCAGCCTGCCGAGTGCCTGCGATTGCAGGCGCGCGCCGCCACGCCTGACTGGTTTTCGTTTTTTTTTTTTGGTGGAGACGGGGTTTTGCTGTGTTGGCCGGGCTGGTCTCCAGCTCCTAACCGCGAGTGATCAGCCAGCCTCGGCCTCCCGAGGCACCGGGATTGCAGACAGAGTCTCGTTCACTCAGTGCTCAATGGTGCCCAGGCTGGAGTGCAGTGGCGTGATCTCGGCTCGCTACAACCTCCACCTCCCAGCCGCCTGCCTTGGCCTCCCAAAGTGCCGAGATTGCAGCCTCTGCCCAGCCGCCACCCCGTCTGGGAAGTGAGGAGCGTCTCTGCCTGGCCGCCCATCGTCTGGGATATGAGGAGCCCCTCTGCCTGGCTGCCCAGTCTGGAAAGTGAGGAGCGTCTCTGCCTGGCCGCCATCCCATCTAGGAAGCGAGGAGCGCCTCTTCCCCGCTGCCATCCCATCTAGGAAGTGAGGAGCGTCTCTGCCCGGCCGCCCATCGTCTGAGATGTGGGGAGCACCTCTGCCCCGCCGCCCTGTCTGGGATGTGAGGAGCGCCTCTGCTGGGCTGCAACCCTGTCTGGGAGGTGAGGAGCGTCTCTGCCCGGCTGCCCCGTCTGAGAAGTGAGGAAACCCTCTGCCTGGCAACCGCCCCGTCTGAGAAGTGAGGAGCCCCTCCGTCCGGCAGCCACCCCGTCTGGGAAGTGAGGAGCGTCTCCGCCCGGCAGCCACCCCGTCCGGGATGGAGGGAGGTGGGGGGGTCAGCCCCCCACCCGGCCAGCCGCCCTATCCAGGAGGTGAGGGGCGCCTCTGCCCGGCCGCCCCTACTGGGAAGTGAGGAGCCCCTCTGCCTGGCCGGCCGCCCCGTCCGGGAGGGTGGTGGGGGGGTCAGCCCCCCGCCCGGCCAGCCGCCCCATCCGGGAGGTGAGGGGCGCTTCTTCCCGGCCGCCCCTACTGGGAAGTGGGGAGCCCCTCTGCCCGGCCACGACCCCGTCTGGGAGGTGTGCCCAGCGGCTCACTGGGGATGGGCCATGATGACAATGGCGGTTTTGTGGAATAGAAAGGCGGGAAGGGTGGGGAAGAAATTGAGAAATCGGATGGTTGCCGGGTCTGTGTGGATAGAAGTAGACATGGGAGACTTTTCATTTTGTTCTGTACTAAGAAAAATTCTTCTGCCTTGGGATCCTGTTGATCTGTGACCTTATCCCCAACCCTGTGCTCTCTGAAACATGTGCTGTGTCCACTCAGGGTTAAATGGATTAAGGGCGGTGCAAGATGTGCTTTGTTAAACAGATGCTTGAAGGCAGCATGCTCGTTAAGAGTCATCACCACTCCCTAATCTTAAGTACCCAGGGACACAAACACTGCGGAAGGCCGCAGGGTCCTCTGCCTAGGAAAACCAGAGACCTTTGTTCACTTGTTTATCTGCTGACCTTCCCTCCACTATTGTCCTATGACCCTGCCAAATCCCCCTCTGCGAGAAACACCCAAGAATGATCAATAAAAAAAAAAAAAAAAAAAAATTAAAAAAAAAAAAAAAAGAGACAAAGAAGGCCATTACATAATGGTAAAGGGATCAATTCAACAAGAAGAGCTAACTATCCTAAATATATATGCACCCAATACTGGAGCACCCAGATTCGTAAAGCAAGTCCTTAGAGACCTACAAAGAGATTTAGACTCCCACACAATAATAATGGGAGACTTGAACACCCCACTGTCAATATTAGACAGATCAATGAGACAGAAAGTTAACAAGGATATCCAGGAATTGAACTCAGCTCTGCACGAAGCAGACCTAATAGACATCTACAGAACTCTCCACCCCAAATCAACAGAATATACATTCTTCTCAGCACCACACCACACTTATTCCAAAATTGACCACATAGTTGGAAGTAAAGCACTCCTCAGCAAATCTAAAAGAACAGGAATCACAACAAACTGTCTCTCAGACCACAGTGCAATCAAACTAGAACTCAGGATTAAGAAACTCACTCAAAACCGCTCAACTATGTGGAAACTGAACAACCTGCTCCTGAATGACTACTGGGTACCTAACGAAATGAAGGCAGAAATAAAGATGTTCTTTGAAACCAATGAGAACAAAGACACAACATACCAGAATCTCTGGGACACATTCAAAACAGTGTGTAGAGGGAAACTTATAGCACTAAATGCCCACAAGAGAAAGCAGGAAGGATCGAAAATTGACACCCTAACATCACAATTGAAAGAACTAGAGAAGCAAGAGGAAACGCATTCAAAAGCTAGCAGAAGACAAGAAATAACTAAGATCAGAGCAGAACTGAAGGAAATAGAGACACAAAAAACCCTTCAAAAAACCAATGAATCCAGGAGCTGGTTTTTTGAAAAGATCAACAAAATTGATAGACTGCTAGCAAGACTAATAAAGAAGAAAAGAGAGAAGAATCAAATAGATGCAATAAAAAATGATAATGGGATATCACCACTGATCCCACAGAAATACAAACTACCATCAGAGAATACTATAAACACCTCTAGGAAAATAAAGCAGAAAATCTAGAAGAAATGGATAAATTCCTCGACACATACACTCTCCCAAGACTAAACCAGGAAGAAGTTGAATCTGAATAGACCAATAACAGGCTCTGAAATTGAGGCAATAATTAATAGCTTACCAACCGAAAAAAGTCCAGGACCAGATGGATTCACAGCCGAATTCTACCAGAGGTAAAAGGAGGAGATGGTACCATTCCTTCTGGAACTACTCCAATCAATAGAAAAAGAGGGAATCCTCCCTAACTCATTTTATGAGGCCAGCATCATCCTGATACCAAAGCCTGGCAGAGACACAACAAAAAAACGGAATTTTAGACCAATATCCCTGATGAACATTGATGCAAAAATCCTCAATAAAATACTGGCAAACCGAATCCAGCAGCACATCAAAAAGCTTATCCACCATGATCAAGTGGGCTTCATCCCTGGGATGCAAGGCTGGTTCAACATATGCAAATCAATAAATGTAATCCAGCATATAAACAGAACCAATGACAAAAACCACATGATTATCTCAATAGATGCAGAAAAGGCCTTTGACAAAATTCAACAGTCCCTCATGCTAAAATCTCTCAATAAATTAGGTATTGATGGGACTTATCTCAAAATAATAAGAGCTATTTATGACAACCCCACAGCCAATATCATACTGAATGGGCAAAAACTGGAAGCATTCCCTCTGAAAACTGGCACAAGACAGGGATGCCCTCTCTCACCACTCCTATTCAACATAGTGTTGGACGTTCTGGCCAGGGCAATTAGGCAGGAGAAGGAAATAAAGGGTATTCAATTAGGAAAAGAGGAAGTCAAATTGTCCCTGTTTCCAGATGACATGATTGTAAATCTAGAAAACTCCATCATCTCAGCCCAAAATCTCCTTAAGCTGATAAGCAACTTCAGCAAAGTCTCAGGATACAAAATCAATGTATGAAAATCACAAGCATTTTTATACACTAATAACAGACAAACAGAGAGCCAAATCATGAGTGAACTCCCATTCATAATTGCTTCAAAGAGAATAAAATACCTAGGAATCCAACTTACATGGGATGTGAAGGACCTCTTCAAGGAGAACTATAAATCACTGCTCAACAAAATAAAGGAGGATACAAACAAATGGAAGAACATTCCATGCTCATGGGTAGGAAGAATCAATATCATGAAAATGGCCATACTGCCCAAGGTAATTTATAGATTCAATGCCATCCCCATCAAGCTACCAATGACTTTCTTCACAGAATTGGAAAAAGCTACTTTAAAGTTCATATGGAACCAAAAAACAGCCTGCATTGCCAAGTGAATCCTAAACCAAAAGAACAGAGCTGGAGGCATCACACTACCTAACTTCAAACTATACTACAAGGCTACAGTAACCAAAACAGCATGGTACTGGTACCAAAACAGAGATATAGACCAATGGCACAGAACAGAGCCCTCAGAAATAGTACCACATATCTACAACAATCTGATCTTTGGCAAACCTGACAAAAACAAGAAATGGGGAAAGGATTCCCTATTGAATAAATGGTGCTGGGAAAACTGGCTAGCCATATGTAGAAAGCTGAAACTGGATCCCTTCCTTACACCTTATACTAAAATTAATTCAAGATGGATTAAAGATTTAAATGTTAGACCTAAAACCATAAAAACCCTAGAAGAAAACCTAGGCAATACCATTCAGGACATAGGCATGGGCAAGGACTTCATGTCTAAAACACCAAAAGCAATGGCAACACAAGCCAAAATTGATAAATGGGATCTAATTAAACTAAAGAGCTTCTGCACAGCAAAAGAAGCTACCACCAGAGTGAACAGGCAACCTACAGAATGGGAGAAAATTTTCACAACCTACTCATCTGACAAAGGGCTAATATCCAGAATCTACAATGAACTCCAACAAATTTACAAGAAAAAAACAACCCCATCAAAAAGTGGGCAAAGGATATGAACAGACAATTTTCAAAAGAAGACATTTATGCAGCCAAAAGACACATGAAAAAATGCTCATCATCACTGGCCAACAGAGAAATGCAAATCAAAACCACAGTGAGATACCATCTCACACCACTTAGAATGGTGATCATTAAAAAGTCAGGAAACAACAGGTGCTGGAGAGGATGTGGAGAAATAGGAACACTTTTACACGTTGGTGGGACTAAACTAGTTCAACCATTGTGGAAGTCAGTGTGGCGATTCTTCAGGGATCTTGAACTAGAAATAGCATTTGATCCAGCCATCCCATTACTGGGTATATAACCAAAGGATTATAAATCATGCTGCTATAAAACCCATGCACACGTATGTTTATTGTGGCACTATTCAGAATAGCAAAGACTTGGAACCAACCCAAATGTCCAACAATGATAGACGGGATTAAGCAAACGTGGCACATATACACCATGGAATACTATGCACCCATAAAAAAGGATGAGTTCTTGTCCTTTGTAGGGACAGGGATGAAGCTGGAAACCATCATTCTCAGCAATCTATCACAAGGACAAAAAACCAAACACCAAATGTTCTCACTCATATGTGGGAATTGAACAATGAGAACACATGGACACAGGAAGGGCAACATCACACACTAGGGCCTGTTGTGGGGTCTAGGTAGGGGGGAGGGATAGCATTAGGAGATATACCTAATGTTAAGTGATGTGTTAATGGGTGTAGCACACAAACATGGCCCATGTATATATATGTAACAAACCTGCACGTTGTGCACATGTACCCTAAAAGCATAATAAAAAAAATAAAATAATAAAAAAAAATTTATACTCAAATAATTCAGGATTTTAAAAAAAGAATAATCTCAGAAATAACCACTAAAAATCTTAGTCATATAACCAAACACCACCTGATCTCCAAAAACCTATAGAAATAAAAAATAAATAAATAAATAAAATATAAAAAGCTCTACCTTAGAAAAATTAAATAAATGATGTGGTTAATTATAACACTGAAGAAAAAAAGATCAAAAGAACTTGGCTATTTTTCCAATCCACCATAATAAATATGATTCAATTGCCTATTAAAAATATAATAAAATGCCACCAAGAGCATATTTAGGTGCCTATTTCTTCACCCTATTATGCACTGGGTATAACCTCATTTTTAAAAACTTCAAGGCCGGGCACGGTGGCTCACACCTGTAATCCCAGCACTTTGGGAGGCCAGGGCGGGTGGATCACATGAGGTCAGGAGTTTGAGACCAGCCTGGCCAACATGGTGAAATCCCATCTCTACTAAAAAATACAAAACTTAGCCGGGCGTAGCGACAGGCGCCTGTGATCCTAGCTACTCGGGAGGCTGAGGCACGAGAATTGCTTAAACGGGGAAGGTGGAATTTGCAGTGAGATCACGCCACTGTGCCTGAGGGACAAAGCAAGACGCCGTCTCAAAAAAATAAATAAAATAAAATAGAATAAAAAACTTCATTAATCAGATACATTAAAAGTAATGTTTTATTTGCTCAGAGAACTTAAAAGACATCCCTGAAGTTGTGTAGCTTGAAGGAAGCATAGCTTGACCTTAGAAGGCAGGTTCTTGCTTACACACTGTTGGTGGGAATGTAAATTAGTTCAGCCACTGTTGAAAGCAGTTTGGAGATTTCTCAAAGAACTTAAAATGGAACTACCATTTGACCCAGTAATCCCATTACTGGGTATATATCCAAAAGAAAACACATCATTCTACCAAAAAGACACGTGCACTCGCATGTTCATTGTAGCACTATTCACAATAGCAAAGACATGGAATCAACCTAGTTGTCCATCAATGGTGGATTGGATATAGAAAATATGGTGTATATACACCATGGAATACTACACAGCCGTAAAAATGAATAAAATCATTTCATTTGCAGCAACATGGATACTTCTGGAGGCCATTATCCTAAGTGAATTAATGCAGGAACAGAAAACCAAAGAGTATGTGTTCTCACACATAAGTGGGAGCTAAACATTGAGTACTCATGGACATAAAGATGGGAACAACAGATACTGGGGACTACTAGAAGAGGGAGGAAGAAATGTGGGGAAGGGTTGAAAAACTAACTCTTGAGTACTATGCTCACTACCTGGGTAATGGGATTAAACATACCCCAAACCTCAGCATAATGTAATATACTCATGTAACAAAGCTGCACAAGTACCCCTTGAATCTAAAATAAATGGAGAAGAATGATGGTGGTATTTTTATGGGAATTGCATTGAATTTGTAGATTGCTTTTGGCAGTATGGTCATTTTCACAATATTGATTCTACCCACCCATGAGCATGGGATGTTTTTCCATTTGTTTATGTCATCTATGATTCCTTTTAAAAAATAAAAAGTGAATCAGTGGGCTTTCAGAAAGTTTCTTATTTTCATTTCCTGAGGTTGCTGTAACAAACTCGGTCAATAGAAATTTATTTTCTCACAATTCTGGAGGCCAGAAGTCTGAAATCTAGGTGCTGGCAGGGCTGCACTCTTTCCGGAGTTTATAAGAGAGAATCCCTTCCTTGCCTCTCCAGCTTTTGGTGACTGTTGGCATTCCTAAGCTTGTAACTGCATCTTTCCCTGTTCTGTCATTACATCACCTTCTCTTTTGTATATGTGTCTCCCACTGCGCATTCTTTTGTTTTCAGTGTCTCCCAGGCATTCAAAATATGCTGGTTTCTTATCACCACTCTAAGTCACGCAAGACAGAAACCAGTCTTTTTAGGCAGCTCCCCGAGAAGCCAGACCATTGAATACACATTTCACTTTTCTCTTCTCCCACTGCTGAAGCCATGAGCTAGTTGCTTTTTCCCAGTTTTGCCAAGCTGTATCAGCTTCTGTCTGTGTTGTTACAAGTTATTTGGTGCTGCCACAGCTGCTGGGCCCTCTTTTTTCTTAGTGGCTCCTAACCATCCAAATTATTCCTGTTTCCCATAAGTTGTTTTAGTCAGGTGAGACAAAAACAGCAGCTTCCCAAAAAGTCAGAATGTTAGATAAATGTTCTACTATTTTCTTACTCTCTCAAAGGAGAAAATGTATGTTGGACTTTTGCTCCCAATGGGAGATGTGTTAACCTGAGAGAGGGCCTGATATGGATAAAATTAAAAGCATTTTCATACCTATTTCAATGCAGCTGTTCTTAGCTTTGAGCTTCCCTGGGATACTTTGACTTCCTAACTGGGTTCTTATGTTTTTTGATTATGAATTCAATCTCTTTACTTATTATAGGTCTGTTTAGATTTCAAGTCATTTCCTGAGTCCGTTTTAGTATTTTGTCTTTCTAGGAATTTGGACATTTTGTCTAAATTATATAATTGGTTGGAATACAAATATTCATACTATAGCATTTCCATATAATAATTTTTATTTCTGTAAGTTCAGCAGTAATATCCCCTTTTATTCCTGATTTTAGTAATTTATGTCTCCTTTTTTTTAATCTCTGTCAATCTAGCCAAGGTTTGTCAATTTTATTGATCTTGTCAAACAAACTACTTTTTATTGATTTATTCTGTTTTATTATATGTATTTATTTATGTTCTAATATTTATTATTTTCTTCATTCTCCTTGAGTTTAGTTTCTTTTGTTGTGATTTTGTTTGTTTGTTTCTTAAGGTGAGTGGCTAGGTTATTGACTTGACATTTTTATTATTTTTAATGTCGGTTTTTATAGGTAGAAAACTTTTCTTTAAGCACTGTTTTGCTGCATTTCCTAAATTTTGGTATAATGTGGTTTGGTTTTGATTAATCTCAAAGTATTTTCTAATCTCCTTTGTGGTTTCTGATTTGAGCCACTGATTATTTAGAATCATCTGATTGATTTCCACATATTTTTCATGTTTTTGAATTTTGCAAACTTCCTTTCATTATTAATTTTATATTTAATTTCATTTTAGAGAGAACATAATTTATATTATTTCAATCTTTTTAAATTTATTGAGGCTTATGTATGCCCTAACATATTACCATATGTATTTGAGGAGTATGAGCATTCTGCAGCTGTCAGATGTAATGTTCTGTAGATTTCTGTTGTGGTTAGTTGGTTTGTAGAAATGTTGAAATCACCTGTTTTATTATTAATCTTCTGCTTAGTTGGTATTTCCATTATTGAAAGAGAGTATTAAAGACCTCAAATATTATTGTTGAATTGTTGGTTTCTCCTTTCAGTTCTGTCTGGTTTTGCTTTATGTATTTTGGGGCTGTGTTACTAGGTACATATATATTTATAATTTCATTGTCTTCTTGACTGGTTGATCCATTTATGATTATAAAGTGCCACTTTTTTTCTCTAGTAACATTTTTTTCTCAAAGTGTATTTTATTTGATACTAGTATAGCCATTCCAGCTCTTTTTTTGCTACTGTTTGCATGGCATATCTTTTTCCATTCTTTTACTTCCACCCTATTTGTGCCTTTTAACCTATAGTATGTCTGTTGCAGACAGCATTTATTTGGATCATGTCTTTTAATTCATTCTTCCAATTTGTGTCTTTTAATTGGAGAGTTTAATTCATTTACATTGAAGGTAATTACTGATTTTGAAGGACTTCTGCTATTTTGCTTTCTATTTCCTATATGTATTATGATTATTTGTGTTACTCTTTTCCTCCAATACTGCCTTATTTTGTGTTGAATAGTGATTTTCTAGTGTACCATTTTAATCTCTTATCTCTTTTATTATATTTTTGAGTTATTTTCATAGAGATTATTCTGCAGGTTATATTAACATCTTTTATTTTTTCCAACTTTATTTAGGTATATTTAACATTTTTAAGTTATATACATTTAAGGCATACAACTTCATGATTATATATATTTTTTTGATATAATATATTCATATATATATGTACACACACATTGTAAAATATTCACCACAAAAGCTAATTAGCATATCCATCACCTCACATAGTTATCATTTTTATATGTGATGAGCACACTTGAAATCTACCCTCTGAGCAAATTTCAAGTATATGATACAATATTGTTAACTATAGTGATATTGTTGTACATTAGATCACCAGAACTTATTTATCTTTCATTATTACTAAAACTTTATACCCCTTGACAGACATCCTCCCACATCTTCCTCTCTCCAGCCCCCAGTAACCACTCTTCTACTCTCTGTTTCCGTGAGTTTGACATTTTTAGATTCTACATATAAGTGAGATCATGGGGTATATATTTTTCTACATCTTGCTTATTTAACTTAGAATAATGCCCTCCAGATTCATCCAAGTTGTCACAAATAGAATGATTTTTTCTTTTATAGGACTAAACAATATTCCATTATATATCTCACATCTCACATCTCTCACATTATCTATATATATCATATTATTATTATTAGATAGATAAATAGACAGATCTCACATTATCATTATCCTGTTATCCATCAGTGGACATTAAGGTTTTCTCTTTATCTCAGCTATTGTGAATAATACTCAAATGAACATTGGATTGCAGATTTCTTTCCAAGATACTGATTTTATTTCTTTAGCCTATGTACTCAAAAGTGAGATTGCTGGATTGTAAGGTAATTCTATTTTTAATTTTGAAATGAATCTCCATACTATTTTCCATAAAGCGTTCCAATTTCCATTTCTCCCAACAGTATACAAAGGTTCTCTTTTCTTCACTTCCTGCCCAAAACTTGTTGTAGTTCATCATACTGATAATAGCCTTTCTAACAGGTGTGAGGTGTTATCTCATTGTGCTTTTGATTTGCATTTTCCTGATTAATAATTTTGAGCACCTTTTCTTATACTTCTTGGGCATTTGTATTTTTTTAATTTTGTTCTATATATATTTATATATATGTAACTATATATATAAAACCAAATATATATATATATATATATATATATATATATATATATATATATATATATTTCAATAGTTTTCTTGGTACAGGTGTTTTTAGGTTACATGGATGAATTGTATAGTGGTGAAGTCTGAAATTTTAGTGCACCCATCACTAGAGTATGGACATTGTACCAGGTAATAGTTTCTCATCACTAACCTCACAATCTACCCCATTCTGAGACTCCAGTGTCCATTATACTACTCTGTATGCCTTTGCATACCCATAGCTTAGCTCCCACTTATAAGTGAGAAGATACGATATTTGGTTTTCCATTCCTGAGTTACTTTTCTTAGAATAATAGCCTCCAGCTGCAACCAAGTTGCTGCAAAAGACATTATTTTATTATTCTTTTTATGGCTGAGTAGTATTCCATGATATACAGGTACCACATTTTCTTTCTCCACTCATTTGTTGGTGGGCACTTATGTTGGTTCTATATCTTTTCAATTGTGAATTGTGCTGTGATAAACATACATGTGCAGGTATATTTTTGATATAATGACTTATTTTCCTTTGGATAGATACCCAGTAGTGGGATTGCTGGATTGAATGGCAGATCTACTTTTAGTTCTTTGAGAAATCACCAAACTATTTTTCAAAGAGATTGTACTATTTACATTATCACCAGCAGCATATAAGCATTCTCTTTCCACTGCATCCAAGCCAACATCTATTTGCTTTTTGACTTTAATAATGGCCATTCTAGCTAGGGTAAGGTGATACCTTATTGTTATTTTAATTTGAATTTCCTTGACAATTAGTGATGTTGAGTATTTTTTCATATGTTTGTTGGCCATTTGTATATCTCCTTTTGAGAAATGTCTACTCATATCACTTGCCCACTTTTTGATGGCATTGTTTATTTTTCTTTTTACTGATTTGTGTGAGTTCCTTGTAGTTCTGAATATTAGTCCTTTGTCTTTGTCAGATGAATAGTTTAAAAATATTTTCTCCCATTCTATGGGTTGTCTGCTTATTCTAATGATTCTTTCATTTGCTGTGCAGAAGCTTTTTAGTTTAATTAGGTCCCATTTATTTTTGTTGTAGTTGCATTTGTTTTAGGGGTCTTAGTTATAACTTCTTTGCCTAGGCCAATGTCCAGAAGTATTTTTCCTGTGTTTTCTTCTAGAATTTTTATGTTGTCAGGTCTTAGATTTATGTCTTTGATCCATCTTGAGTTGATTTTTGTAGATGGTGAGAGATAGAGATCCAGTTTCTTTCTTCTACATGTGTCTGTCTAGTTTTCCCAGCACCAATTATTGAATATGGTGTACTTTCCCCAATTTATGTTTTCATATGGTTTGTTGAAGATCAGTTGGTTGTAAGTATTTGGCTTCATTTCTGGGTTATCTATTCTTTTTCTTTGGTCTATGTATCTACTTTTATACCATTACCATGCTGTTTTGATTACTATAGCCTTGTAGAGTAATTTGAAGTCAGATAATGTGATGCTTCCAGATTTGTTCTTTTTGCTTAGGATTGCCTTGACTATTCGGGTTTGTTTTTGATTCCACATGAATTTTAGGATTGTTTATTCTTTCTTTCTTTTTTTTTTTTTTTTGAGATGGAGTCTCACTCTGTCACGCAGGCTGGAGTGCAGTGGCACCATCTCGGCTCACTGCAAGCTCCGCCTCCCAGGTTCACGCCATTCTCCTGCCTCAGCCTCCTGAGTAGCTGGGACTACAGGTGCCCGCCACCGTGCCCGGCTAATTTTTTTTTTTTTTTTTTTTTGTATTTTTAGTAGAGACGGGGTTTCACTGTGGTCTCGATCTCCTGACCTCATGATCCGCCTGCCTCGGCCTCCACGCCTGGCCTAGGATTGTTTTTTCTAATTCTGTGAAAAACGATGTTGGTATTTTTTGATAGGAATTGCACTGAATCTGTAGATTGCTTTGTGCAGTATGGAAATTTTCTCTCTTTTTTTTTCCTTATTTGTTAGATTCATCTTTTTAACAACATCCTAAAACTCCGAGCACTGGGCCAGTGGGGCTTTGGGCTCAGCAGCTATGAAGGAGGGACCCCCAATACCCCCTAAGCCAGGTCATTGTAAGAAGGCACTCACGAGGGGGATATCAAGCCCCTCTTGTATTTCTTCATACAACCAGCTGTTTGGCAGGCTCTATGACATCGATAAAGACCTCGCTCTTTAAGGAGCTAGAGTAGGACAGCATCCAGGACAACTTTGTCATTGCCTAGGAGTTACTGAACAAGCTCATTGACTTAGGCTTCTAGCAGACCACCAACAGCAAGATCCTGCAGGAGTACACCACACAGCAGAGCAACAAGCTGCAAAGGGGCAAGTCAAAGGTGCCACTCACCATCAACAACGCTGTGTCCTGGTGCTCCGAGCGCATCAAGTACAAGAAGAACGAGGTCTTCATTGATGTTATAGAGTCTGCCAACCTGCTGGTCAATGCCAAAGGCAGCATTTTGCTGAGTGAGATCTTTGGCACCATCAAGCTCAAGGTGTTTCTGTCGGGAATGCCAGAGCTGCGGCTGGGCCTCAATGACTCCATGCTCTTCGAGCTCACTGGCTGCCACAAAAACAAATTGGTAAAGCTGGAGGATGTAAAATTCCAGCATGTTGCTCTCGTGCTTTGGCAATGACCACACCATCTCGCCCATTGATGACTTTGAGCTCAGATACTACTGCCTCAGCACCCAGGTCTAGCCACTGACCTGGATTGACTCTGTCCTTGGGAAGTTCTCCCACAGCCTTGTGGAGATCATTGTCAAGACCAAGGGGCAGGCCAGGCGCGGAGGCTCACTCCTGTAATCCCAGCACTTTGAGAGGCCGAGGCAGGTGGATCACTTGAAGTCAGGAGTTTAAGACCAGCCTAGCCAACATGGTGAAACCCCGTCTCTACTAAAAATACAAAAATTATCTGGGTGTGGACACGTGCCTATAATCCCAGCTACTTGGGAGGCTGAGGCAAGAGAATCACTTGAACCCGGGAGGCAGAGGTTGCAGTGAGCCAAGATCGCGCCACTGCACTCCAGCCTGGGCGACAGAGTGAGACTCCATATCAAAACAACAACAAAAACAAAAAAACAAAAAAGACCAAGAGGCAGTTTAAGAAACAGTCAGTGGCCAATAGTGTGGAGATGTCTGTACCCATACCCAACGATGCCGACTCCCCGCACCTGAAGACCAGCGTGTGCAGCGCCAAGTATGTGCTGGAGAAAAACATCGTTATTTGAAGTATTAAGTCCTTCCGAGGGGGCAAGGAGTACCTGATGTGAGCCTACTTTGGCCTCCCTAGAGTGGAGAAAAAGGAGGTGGAGGGCCGGCCCCTTATTAGGGTCAAGTTTGAGATCCCCTACTCCACGGTCTCTGGGATCCAGGTCTGATATATGAAGATCATCGAGAAAAGAGGTTATCAGGTCTTGCCCTGGCTTCCCTACATCACGCAGAGTGGTCATTAGGAACTTCCTACCAACCAGAAAGGGAGAGGAGATGGGGGCTGGCACACGGGGCCTCTGTATAGTCCCTGCTGCAGATTTTAGAGAGGGAGGAAATGTGGGTGTGTATGTGTGTGTGAGGATGGGTTCTGGACTTAGTTTATTGTTCCCAGCACCCGCCCCCTCCTCAACTCTTCCTTAATCCATAGGCTAGGAAGGAGTCTCCCTGCCGCCCTCACCCTTGGGGCTTTCCCTTGTCCCCCTGATTTTATTCGAAGAAATACAAGAGGGGCTTGAAGTACCCACTCATGAGTGCCTTCTAGCAATGACCTGCCTTAGGGGGTGTTGTGAGTCCCTCCTTCATAGCTGCTGAGCCCAGAGGCCCTGCTGGCCCACTGGTCTGCGTTTTAGGATGTCATTTACATCTTGATTTCGTTTTTAACCCAAAAATCATTCAGGAGCAAATTGTTTAATTTTCACATTTTTGTATAGTTTTGAGGATTCCTTTTGGACTTGACTTCTAGTTTTTTTCTACTGTGGTCTGAGAAGATACTTGATATGATTTTGATTTTTTTAAATGTATTGTGGCTTGTGTTATGGCCTATCATATGGTCTATACTGAAGAATATTCCATGTGCTGATGAGAAGAATGTATATTCTGCAGTTTGGGGGTAGAATGTTCTTTAAATATCTCTTAGGTCCATTTGCTCTAGAGTGCAATTAAAGTCCAGTGTTTTTTTATTTACTTTCTGCTTCAGTGAGCTGTCTAGTGCTGTCAGTGGATTGTTGAAGTTCCCCACTATTATTATGTTGCTTTCTCTTCTCTTAAGTCTATTCATTGATTTATAAATCTGAGGACTCCAGAGCTAAGTACATATATCTTCTTGTTGGATTGATGCTTTTATCATTATATAATAACCTTCTTTGTCTTTTTTTTAACTGTTGTTGCTTTAAAGTCTATTCTATGATATAAGAATAGTTACTCCTGCTTGCTTTTAGTTTCTATTTGCATGTAATATCTTATTCTACCCATTTATCTTGAGTCTATAAGAATCTTTACATGTTAGGTGAGTCACTTGAAACAGTAGATATTTGGTTTGTGATTTTTTTTTTTTTTTTTTTTTTTGAGATAGAGTCTCACTCTGTCACACAGGCTGGAGTGCAGTGGCATAGTCTCAACTCACCACAACCTCTCCCTCCCAGGTTCAAGCAATTCTCCTGCCTCAGCCTCCCGAGTAGCTGGGATTACAGATATGCACCACCATGCCTGGCTAGTTTTTATATTTTTAGTAGAGACGGGGTTTCACCATATTGATCAGGCTGGTCTCAAACTCCTGACCTGAAGTGATCTGCCCACCTTCGCCTCACATAGTGCTGGGATTACAGGGATAAGCCACCGCACCCAGCTGGTTTGTGTTTTTTAATACATTTTGCCAATCTGTATCTTTTAAGTGGAACATTTAGATCATTTTATTCAATGTGAATATCGAAATGTGAGGTACTGTTCGTCATTATGAGGATTGTTACTTAGATGTTTTGTTTTCTTCATTGTGTTATTATTTTATAGGACCTGTGAGTTTTATGCTCTCAGAGGTATCCTGGCGCATATCTATCTTTTGTTTCAAATTTTAGAACTCCTTTAGCATTTCTTGTAGGATTGGTCTGGTAGTGAAAAACTCCCTCAGCATTTGCTTGTCTGAAGTCTTTATTTCTCCTTCATTTATGAAACTTAGTTTTGCTGCATAAAAATATCTTTGGCTGACAGTTATTCTGTTTAAAGAGGCTAAAAATAGGACCCCAGTTCCTTCTGGCTTGTAAGGTTTCTGCTGAGTATATGTGTTATCTGGAGAAGTGTCTATTTAGGTCCTTTATTCATTTTTAAATTGAGTTATTTATTTTCATTGTTATTGAGTTGCAAGTGTTCTCAATATATTTTGGATGTTAATCCTTTATTAGATATATGTTTTCCAAATATTTTTCTCCTTTTCTTTAGGTTGCCTTTTCACTCTGTTGATTGTTCCCTTTACTGTACAGAAGTTGTTTTTTTTGTTTTTTTTGTTTGTTTGTTTGTTTGTTTTTGTTTGTTTGTCGTAATCCCATTTGTCTACTTTTGGTTTTGTTGCCTGTGCCTCTGGGATCATACCCAAAAAATCGTTGCCCAGACCAAGTCAAGATGTTTTTCCTGTTTTCTTCTATAAATTCAGCAGTTTTGTATCTTATGTTTAAGTCTTTAATCCAATTTGAGTTGGTTTTTGTATAGTATGAGATAATAGTCCAACTTCATTATTCTGCATGTGGATATTCAGTTTTCCCATAACTGTTTATTGAAGAGACTGTTTTTCCCCATTGTGCATTCTTGGCATTTTTGTAGAAAATCAATTGACTGTAATGATGTGGATTTATTTCTCTGTTTTCAATTCTGTTATTTTGGCCTATGTTTGTTTTTATGCTTGTACCATACTGTTTTGATTACCATACCTTTGATATATATATATATATATATATATATATATATATGTTTGTGTATATATATGTTTATATATATATGTTTGTGTATATATATGTTTATATATATGTTTGTGTATATATATATGTTTGTACATATATATATGTTTGTGTATGTGTATGTGTGTGTATATATATATATATATATATGTATATATATATATATATATCTGTTTGTTTTTTGAGACAGAGTTTTACTCTTGTTGCCCAGGCTAAAGTGCAATGGCACAATCTTGGCTCACTGCAACCTCTGCCTCCCGGGTTCAAGCAATTCTTCTGCCTCAGCCTCCCAAGTAGCTGGGATTACAGGTACATGCCACCACACCCAGCTAATTTTTTTGTATTTTTAGTAGAGACAGGGTTTCACCATGTTGGCCAGGCTGGTCTTGAACTTCTGACCTCAGGTGATCCACCCACCTCGGCCTCCCAAAGTGCTGGGATCACAGGCATGAGCCACCACACCCAGCATGTAATATATTTTTAAATCAAGATGTGTGATACCTCCATCGTAGTTCCTCTTGCCCAAAATTTCTTTGGCTATTCAGGGTCTTTTATGGTTTCATATGATTTATGGAGTGTATTCCATTTCTGTAAAGAATGTCAATGGATTTTGATAGAGATTACGTTTACTCTATAGCTCACTTTGGGTAGTATGGACATTTTAACATTTAACAATATTAATTCTTTCAATCCAAAAATATGGGATGTCTTTTCATTTGTGTCTTATTTAATTTTCTTCATCAATGTTTTATAATTTACAGTGTATAAGTCTTTCACCTACAGAGATTATTTAACTTCTTCCTTTCTGACTGGGATGCCTCTTCTTTCTTTCTGTTGCCTAATTATTCTGGCTAGGACTTCCAGTACCATGTTGAGTAGAAGTGATGATAATCTTCATCCTTTCCTTGTTATCCTTTTCTTGTTTCCCATAGCATATATATTGCAGTTATTGCTTTCTAGTTTTTTTCATTATAGTCAGAAAATATACCTGGAATGACATTGATCTTATTAAATTTGTTAAGGCTTGTTTTGTGACCTAACATGTGATCTATCTGGAGAATGTTCCCTGTGTACTGGAGAAAAATGTGTATTCTTCTGCTGTTGGGTAGAAAGTTCCATATATGTCTATTAGTTTCATTTGTTTTGTAATGTTTTTCAAGCCAGATGTTTCTTCATTTATTTTCTGTCTGAATGCTGTATCTGATATTGTGAATGGGGTATTGAAGTCCTCTACTATTATTGTATTGTCAATGTCTGTCTTCAGATCTGTTGATATTTGCTTTATATATTTAGGTTCTCAGATGTTGGGTGTGTATATATTTATAATTGTTTTATCTTCTTGCTGAATTGACCCTTTTATCATTACATAGTTGACCTTCTTTGTCTCTAGAGTTTTAAACATAAAATATATTTTGTCTGATATAAGTATGACCACTTCTGCTTTCTTTTGGTGACCATTTGCATGAAATATTTGTTCCACCCCTTCACTTCTCAGCTTATGTGTGCCCTTAAATCTAAAGTGACTCTCATTGACAGCATATTACTAGATCCTGTTTTTTTAAAATCTATTCATTAGCAAGCAATGGATTTCTATAATAAAGAAAAAAATCTATTCAGCCATACTCTGCCTTTGATTGGTGAGTTTAATCCATTTACATTTAAGGTAATTACTGATAAGTGAGTACTTACTATTGCTATTTTTTAATTATTTTCTGTCTATGTTGCAGATGTTTTGTTTCTCTTTTCTATCTCGCTTTCTTCCATATATTTTTTTTTTTTCTGAGACAGAGTCTCGCTGTGTTGCTCAGGCTGGAGTGCAGTGGCACAATCTCAGCTCACTGCAGCCACTGCTTCCTGGGCTTAAGTGATTCTCATGCTTCAGCCTCCCAAGTAGCTGGGATTATAGGCTCATGCCACCATGCCTGGCTAATTTTGTATTAGTAGAGACAAGGTTTCACTATGTTGACCAGTCTGGTCTCGAACTTCTGACCTCAGGTGATCCGCCTGCCTTGGCATCCCAAAATGCTGGGATTACAGGCATAAGCCACCACACCCAGCCTCTTCCTTTGCTGTTTGATGAGTTATTTTGGTAGTGATTTGCTTTGATGCTTTCTCTTTATCTTTTGTGTGTCTATTAAAGGTTTTCTGGCAGTTATTTTGAGGATTGCATAAAATATATTCTAGTTTTATTCTTTGATTTTCAGTGGATAACAATGTAGCTTAAATATCATACAAAAAATACTATACTTTTACATCCCCCCCACACACACACTTTGTGTTCTTGTACTCAGAATCTGCTTTTTTATATTTTGTATCCATTAAAAATTTTTATCTTTTAAGTTTTATATAAAGGCTAAAAGTAAATTATGCACCACCATTACATTGTTGCATTAATCTATATATCTCTATTTTATGCTTTCACATCACTATTTAGCATGTGTTTCTTTCAGTTTGAAGAGTTCCCATAAATATTTCTTTGTAAGGCAGATCTAGTGGCAATGAACTCCCTCAGTTTTTGTTTGTCTGGGAAAAGGTTTCCCTTCTTTATTTTTAAAGGATAATTCTGCAGGATATAGTATTCTTTGATGGCAGTTTTTTTTTTTTCTTTCAGGACTTTGAATATATGTTCCTACTCTTTACTGGATTGCAAGATTTCTGTTGAGAAATCCACTGATAGTCTTACAAGGATCCCTTACATGCAAAGATTCACTTTTTTCTTGTTGCTTTCAAAATTATTTCTTCATCCTTGTTTGTTTTAGTCTATTCTCAGGCTGTTAATAAAGACATACCCAAGACTGGGTAATTTATATAGAGGTTTAATTGACATACAGTTCCACGTGGCTGGGGAGCCTCACAATCATGGCAGAAGGCAAAGGAGGAGCAAAGTCATGTCTTACATGGCGGCAGGCAAGAGGGTATGTGCAGGGGAACTCCCCTTTACAAAACCATCAGATCTCCTGAGACTTATTCACTATCACAAGAACAGCATGGGAAACACCCACCCCCGTGATTGAATTACCTCCCACTGGGTCCCTCCCATGACACATGGGGATTATTACAATTCCAGGTGAGATTTGGGTGGGGACATAGAGCCAAACCAAATCTCCCAGATTGCAAGGTTTCTGTAGAGGAATCCACTGATAGTCTTACAGGAATCCACTACATGTCAAGATTTTACTTTTCTCTTGCTGCTTTCAAAATGATTTCTTCATCTTTGACTTTAGATAATTTGATTATAATTGGTCTCAGTGAAGACCTATTTGGGGTTCTTTTCACATCATGGATCTAGATGTTCATTTTTCTCCCTAGATTTGGAAAGTCTTCTTTCATTTATTTCTTTAAATGAGATTTCTACTCCTTTTTCTCACTGCCCCTTCTGAATTCTATAATGTATACATTATATTTTTATACTATCTTGTAAGTCACGCAGACTTTCTTCAGTCTTTTTCATTCTTTTTACTTTTTGTCTTTCTAACTGGATAATTTCAATTATTTTCAAGTTCACAGATTCTTCTACTTGATCAATTTTGTTGTTGAAGTTCTTTATTGGGTTTTTAATTTCTTTCTCTCTTTTTTTGAAAGTACAGAGATTTATTGCAAAGTGAAAAGTACACACTCAAGAAAGAGGCGTGCAGGCATATTCAAGAGTCAGTCACACAATAGAGTTTTCAGCTTCTACTTTTATGGGTTTATTTAACCAGGGAGTAGAATATTTATGAAGATTCCTGGAAAAAGGTGAAGATTTCTCAGAACTGTGGTGCCACTCATTTTTACACCAAAAATGAGTGTAATCTCAGAACTGTCATGGTGCTGGTGGGTGTGTGATTTAGTATGTTAATGAGTATATAGAGAGGTCCTAGGTGAAACCTAGGTCAAATCCAGCACCATATTGGATTCAGTCAGTCTTAGCCAACTTGTTCCACACCCTGTTTTTCATGGTTTTATCAGCCCATAGCCTCTAGTCATGTGAAACTGCTGACTGGAATTTTTTTTTTTTTTTGTCTCACTCTGTCACACAGGCTGGAGTTCAGTGGTACAATCTCAGCTCACTGCAACCTCTGCCTCCCAGGTTCAAGCGATTCTCCTACCTAAGCCTCCCGAGTAGCTGGGACTACAGACATGCACCATCACTCCTGACTAATTTTTTTTTTTTTTTTTGTATTTTTTGTAGAGATGCAGTTTCACCATGTTGGTCAGGCTGGTCTCAACCTCCAGACCTCAAATGACCTGCCAGCTTCAGACTCCCAAAGTGCTGGGATTACAGACGTGAGCCACCATGAACTGCCTGCCTGGAATTCTTTGTTCATCCTCCTTCCTGATGATTAGGGGTAATGGCACTGCCTAGCAAGGGCATGGAAGTCTCTGGCTGACTGGTCTAGGGGATCCAAGGCAGGGTCATCAGGAGAGTCTAAATCTGAGGCAGGGATTGATTGGAATCCTTGCATGACCATCATTTGGTGTGGTACTGTTGCAGCCTAGAAGACACAAACTTTACAAGGAGGTTAAACAAGCATTATACACACACACGTGCACACACACACACACACACAACAGGAGTTGTGTGAAGAAGAGGAAAAATAAAAAACAGGAAAAATATTTGATGTCTAATGGCTGAAAAGTTCCAAAATTTGATGGAAAACTTTAATCTGCACATTCAAGAAGATCAATAGGCCGGGCACGGTGGCTCACACCTGTAATCCCAGCACTTTGGGAGGCCAAGGTGGGTGGATCACCTGAGGTCAGGTCTCTACTAAAAATACAAAAATTAGCCGGGTATGGTGGCAGGTGCCTGTAATCCCAGCTACTCCAGAGGCTGAGGCAGGAGAATCACTTGAACACGGGAGGCGGAGGTTGCAGTGAGCTGCCAAGATCATGCCATTGCACTCCAGCCTGGGTGACAGAGCAAGACTCTGTCTCAAAAAAAAAAATTTCAATAAACTCAAAGTTGGAAAAACTCAAAAACATTCCTCTGTGTGTGTGTGTGTGTGTGTGTGTGTGTGTGTGTGTGTGTACACTTGGTGATATATCACAGGTCTCTTAGGCTCTGATCATTTTTCTTTATTTTCTCTTTCTGCCCTTCAGACTAGGTAATCTCAGTTAACCTGTCAACATAAAGTTTGATGCTTCTTTCTATAGCCAGCTAAAATCTGCTGTTGATCTCTCCAGTGGATTTTTTATTTCAGTTATTGTCCTTTTCAACTTCAGAATTTCCATTAAAATTCTCTATGTGATAAGACATCTTACATTCCTTTTGTTCTTTGACATACTTTCTTATAATCTTTAAGCATATTTTAAATAGCTGATTTAAAATATTTGTCAGGTAAGCCTGACATCTGGGCCTGCACAGGGACAGTATTTTAAAAATATTTTTTAAAGAAATGGGGTCTCACTTCATTGCCCAGGCTATATTTGAGCTCCTTGGCTCAAGCAATACTTCCACCTCAGCCTCTTGAGTAGCTGGGACTATGGGCTCATGCCACTATGCCCAACTCAGGAGGGATGGTTTCTATTGACTTTTTCTTTCCCTGTATATAGGCCATACTTTTTTGTTTCTTTGCATATCTCATAATTTTTTTGTTGAAGACTGAACATTTTAAATAATATAATTGGCAACCTTGGAAATCAGATTCTCTCCTCTTCCTAAGGTTTGTTTTTGTAATTGTTGTTTAGAGACCTGTGAAGTAATTCTTTAAAGTCTGTATTATTTGTTGTGTGTGGCCACTGACATCTCTTCTTGGAATAGCTTATTTGTCAGCTATTGGTTCAAAAACATTTTTCTTAACTGCCTTGAACCAGTAAGTCTTCCTCCCTTTGCCAAGAGGCTTTGCATGCATACTGTGGCACACTCTCAACACCTAGAAAGCATTTGACAACTTTGCTATAGCCTTCACTTCCTGATTACATAAACCTTTAATGTCAACCAAAGGTGAGGGATAAGGGACTTTTCAGGTCTTCCATGAACACATGCACAACCTTACACAAGTATGTGTCCTTCTAGATCCCCAGGAATATGTGGAAGCTTTTCAAAGCCCCTTATGGACATCTGATTCCCAGCTTTTCCTTTAAAGTTTTTTTTGTCAACTTCTTGTTTGCTCTAGCTGTTATTACCCCATCAGGCAGCTGTGATATTTTTTTAAAGTGTCTCTAATTGTTTTCAACAAACATCCCTGAGGAAAAAGCTGTTCATTATTAGTGAGCTCTAAATCACATCAAATAAACACAAGCCCTTGAAAAAGTCAGGTTTTCCAAGGAACTTTCAGACAGGTCAGATAATAATAATTCTATGGAGATGGGACTTTGGAGAAGCTCTAAATTTGTTGAGTTTCCTCTGTTCACTTCTAGGCTGCTAATTCTCATGGCTACTGTGATTGTGAGGCTGTTGGCTTTCAAGGCCACCATGTTTCCGGGAAGAGGAGATGGGAATAGAGCACATTCAAATGCCACAAATTTTCCTGTTCTTACCGAGGTTCAGCCAGGCCTTTGAATTTTTGTTTTGTTGTTTAAATAAACACTATTTGTATTTTTTTTTTTTTTTTTGAGACAGAGTTTCACCCTTGTTGCCCAGGCTGGAGTGCAATGGCGCAGTCTCAGCTCACTGTAACCTCTGCCTCCCAAGTTCAAGCAATTCTCCTGCCTCAGCATCCCAAGTAGCTGGGATTACAGGTGCCTGCCAGCACACTCAGCTAATTTTTGTATTTTTAGTAGAGAACGGGTTTCACTGCATTGGCCAGGCTGGTCTTGAACTCCTGACCTCAGGTGATCTGCCCGCCTCGGCCTCCCAATATGCTGGGATTACATGTGAGAGCCACCGCACCTGGCTAAATAAACACTATTTGGATTATTGAAAACCTTTCGTTAAGTTCCAGATGTCACCAGTGGAGGGTGTCCAGGTTCTTGGTGTCTTGAACAAAGAATTGAACAAAACTCACAAACAAAGCAAGGACAGAATGAAGGGATTTATTGAAAATTAAAGTACACTCCACAGTGTGGGAGCGGGCCAGAGCATAGGGGCTCAAGGGCTCCATTACAGAATTTTAGCGAGTTTAAATACCCTCTAGAGGATTCCATTGATTACTTGGGGTACACCCTATGTAAATGAAGAGGATGAAGTAAAGTTACAAAGTTATTTACTTGGCCTATGCCCTATGGAGATGATATTTCCTGCCATAGCTGAAGTATGAATTGGCCTTATGTTCCCTACTTCCAGACCCTATTTTCCTGCCTAACAGAATTCTGGAAAAGTTGATATTAACAATTTGCCAGTGTTGTCATTGCTTTTACTGATAATCAGATTTTTTAAGGTCCTTTCACTGTCATTCCCACTGACATCATCATTAGTATATTTAAATTTATGTAACTATCAAAAGATTTCATGGCATAAATATAATTACATGAACTTTTAAACATTTGGAGGTTTGTTACAGTACATTGTTTTCACTATTTTTAATTTCTACTGTGGGAAAAAAAGTGCTTTCTAAACAAGCTGGTATTAATGTTAACTGAAATACAAAGTCACTCATAGACAGATTTTTAATTATATCTTTCCTGGATAATCAATGACTCACAAGAAATCATTTTAACCCAACTTACCACTATTTGAGTAAAAGCCAGGGCTATGTATAACTAGCTAATGTCAAATGGTCTTTATAATTTTGATCAGATGAACTTCACTTCAGGCTTCTATGAGTATGCCAGAGGCTATAAGAGTACAAGAATGGGCCAGACGCAGTGGCTCACGCCAGTAATCCCAGCACTTTGGGAGGCTGAGGGGGGCGGATCACCTGAGGTCAGGAGTTCAAGACCAGCCTGACCAACATGGCGAAACTGCATCTCTACTAAAAATACAAAATTAGCCAGGCATGGTGGCGGATGTCTGTAATCCCAGCAACTCGGGAGGCTGAGACAGGAGAATCGCTTGAACCCGGGAGGCGGAGTTTGCAGTGAGCCGAGATTATGCCATTGCACTCCAGCCTGGGCAACAACAGTGAAACTCTGACTCAAAAAAAAAAAAAAAGAGTACTACAAGGATGAAATATTTAATAAAATATTCATTGAAAACGTATCACATACATAAAGGTATGCTAGGTGTTGGGATTGGGGAAAGCAAAGATACAAACATGAATGTGGACAGTTCTTGCTTTTAGTAGAGTTCACAATCTAGTTGGGGAGAGAAACAAACGTTACAACTAGCAGGAGTTAAGTGGGTGAACTAGAGGGGAGAGAACACTGAGTGTGGAGAGCATTACTCACTAATCTTGACCTCACCATTGTCTTTCACACCTCCATGCCCTTTCATATGCGATACCATCTGCCTAGTATGTCCTCCCCATTTTCACTCCCCCTTTCCTGATAAAACCAGCTCAAATTTCACCTCTCTTACCTCAGACAGAAGAATTACTTACCTCTTACACCTCCTTGGTATTCCCCTAGCATTTATAAACAACCTTACGAGAACATATTCTATGCTCTGTGATTATTTGTTTACATGTTTATCTCACCTACCAGAATGTGAGCACCTCACAGGGACTGCATCTTATTTATTTTAGAACCCTCAGCACCTAGAGCAGTGCTAAGTACCTAGTATCCAGGATGGGAATTAAATTTAGTGGTAGAGGGAATATTTGCACCCAAATACCCTGACTCCAGCTCCAAATGCAGAAGGTTTCTCACTATACTAAGACACCTCTTACCATTCCTGCAGGGAGCCTTCAAGGATTACCAGCATCCTAAACTCATGGGGGGACAGCCAAGAGTGTACCTATGTCATTATATGGTTGACATATTTAATATAACAATAATGCATTATTAAGCATTCCTTGTTCTGAAAGCCTCTGAAATACTTTTAAAACTGTGTTTCTTATGTACTTTGCTGGCCACAGAATTACTCCTGCAGCTGAGATAAAACAGAGCAGCTCTTGAAAAAAGCAATATATAATTGTTTGAGAAAGGAAGTGACAACAAACAGCATGTTAGTTGAAATAATAACAATTAAAACTTGTAACCTCTGTGATCCTTCTATTGCCTCTTTCCCTCCTACTCCTATTTGCCACCCAATATATCTCCAATTTCATCTGGGAGATTTTTGGAACTAACTAGACTTCAGCTGATGATGTCATGGCTGCAATACTGCAGCTACCCCTCAGAATTGCCCCGATCCTTGTGTCCCTTCTCATTCTGGCTAATGATTTAATTATAAAGAGAGAAAATAGGATGTACTCTATTCCATACATTTAACAAAACAGTTAAATTGGAGAGAATCAAGAAAGATCAAGCCCAGTGTTGTTAACTGAATGAGATGCTCAAGATATATTTATCACTATGAAAGTTATAAGAAAGGCAATCTTTTTTTCCAATTTAATATAAGTTATAGAATGACATAGCCATATTTCCCTATAGCTTTTGACTAAGGGTCTCGGGATGGGTATAGGTAGCACAAAAAGAAAAAGAGAGGGAGGAGAGAAAGAAGAGAGAAGAGGAGGAGAGAGAGAGAAAAAAAATGAACTTCACCAATGAATCATAGAAGTGGGCGTGTTTTCTGAAGAAGCCACTTTCATAACAGCTCCTCAGCTGTCACTAATGGCCAGAGAACACACATTCACTGAACCCTTACTCTAGCAGAGACCGTCTCCTGTAGCATATGTAGCTTCTCTGCATGAATTTGAATTCTCCATGTAGCTTCTCTGCATGAATTTGAAATGATCTTTTCCTAGACCTTCTTTATATAGAGAGAAGAAAATAGTAAGTATGTAACCTACAGTTTTCTTGTCCTTCTGGAGTGTCAAGCACTAGAAATGTTTTTGTGTGGGAAGATTGAATCAAGTATAAATTGAGGTTACATTTAACAATGTGGTTTTAATTAGTTTGGACAACAGAGTGTGTGTAGTACTAAATGTTTTAGATATCCTGGAGACATACGTCCTTTCTAATGGAACACGTGACTGTGGAAGGTAGCAGAAAAATGAGCCCCTGTTCAAAACCTGGGAATAATGGGTCTTGAAATCAAAATATTGTGTGTTTACTTTGCTTGAAGTCCTGAAAAAAATGAATGAGTAATGAAAATCAACAGACTCTTACTTTTTTGTAAACATTTTGTCTAAAGCTTCAACATTTGGTGTGGGAGTGGGAGGACAAGAATTGACGTAGTTTAATCATACAAAGCTCTTGGGTCTCCTTTGAAATGAAATCCTAAATTTTGAATAAGCTCAGTTGTTTTTAGCTCTGATTGTGACAGTTTTTACTGTGACATGTATCATTTTGAGAATGCATTGAAGGTAAAATATAAAAAACAGTTTTGTTTGGAGGGTAATGTAAAACCAGATAGGCTGACAAGAGTGCTCTAATTGCTTGAGGGAAATCCCATTTTTACAAACCACAGAAAATATGCTATTTCTTAGACTTGTTTCTTTGCTAAGTGTTACTACCTATAAACTATTCAAGAGCACACAAACAGATGGGTATAGTTGGAGGTTAAGAAACAATCTTTACCTCCTTTATGATATAATTCCTGCATGTGATTTATTTATTATAAATAAAAATGGAAAGATTTGAATTTTTGATTTTCTCAGAGTGCCTTTATGTGAATCTTTTCATTTTGAGAATCAGTAAAGTTTTCAAACTCTTTTGCCTCCAAAGTATCTGAGAAAGCCTTTACTTTATAGTTCTTTCTGGGGCTTGTGTAACTTCTTTAACTGATGTGCTTGACACCGGGGATTGGAGATGGGCTATATAAGTCATAACATCTCAAAACTGGATTGTGTAGGTAATTATGTGGCTCTATTGAGAGCATATATGTGAATGCTCTTAGGCAACTCTAAGATGTAATGCAAATGTAAATGATTGTTCATATGTTATTACTGTTATCGAAGTTTTATAACTTATTTTATTTGCCATTTTTAAAGTAAAATGTGATGATTTGATACAATACAGATTTGAATTTGTTCTCTTAGAAGCTAATTATATGTGTTCTCATCCTTTAGGTCCCACTTATAAGTGAGAACATGCAGTATTTGGTTTTCTGTTCCTATGTTAGTTTGCTAAGGATAATGGCCTCCAGCTCCATTCATATCCCTGCAAAGGACATGATCTCATTCCTTTTTATGGCTACATAGTATTCCATGGTATATATGTACCACATTTTCTTTATCCAGTCTATCACTGATGGGCATTTAAGTTGAATGTCTTTGCTATTGTGAATAGTGCTGCAATGAACATACACGTGCATGTGTCTTTATAATATAATGATTTATATCTTTTAGGTATGTACACAGTAATGGGATTGCTGGGTCAAATGGTATTTCTGTCTTTAGGTCTTTGAGGACACATAGAGGGGAACAACACACTCTGGGGCCTAACAGAGGGTGGAGAATGGGAGGAGGGAGAGGATCAGGAAAAATAACTAATGGGTACTGGGCTTAATACCTGGGTGATGAAATAATCTGTACAACAAATCCCCATGACACAAGTTTACTTATGTAACAAACCTGCACATGTAGCCCTGAACTTAAAATAAAAGTTAACAAAAAAAGTAATTCTACAAACAGTGGTCCAGTTCAGAGGAGAAACCAAGAAAATAAAGCTTAGTATTCTTATGATGATTGAACTATAGTCATTTCTCAATTATCTGGGCCCACCAGAAATCCCACACAGCAGATAATTTTTGATATGTATATTTTCTTTGAGAATGCCTTTTATGAAAAAAAATTGCTATAAGTGGCGGGAAGGGCAGCTGTCTAAGTAGGCATCCCTAAGTCTCTATCAAAACATGCATTTACCAAACACAATAACAAGTGGCTTGGCCACCTGCAGATAATTGAGAACTTACTATTTTGTTCTTGACTTGATTACTGCTGGGTAACTCTGTTCTATGTGGTTAATGGGCTTTCTTGAATATTTCCAAAGGTTTTGGCTCACTAGAAATGGCCAGATATTTCTGCCTCTGTATAAGATGTCATTTGGCAGATTCTGGAAAAGATGAAGTCAAGTTTTTAGTAGAACCTGAAGACTAATCTTGGAAAATTTCCCTATGCAAACGCAAGCTGAATAAGTTGTATTTCCTAATAAAAAGATTAGTGGGAGAGAGAAGAAAGTAGAAGACTTTGATCTTTTTTTCTTGGTGGAAATTCCTCTTCGAGGTCACTTTTAGCAGATTTTGCCTGCATATGTTTCTCTGCTTTTTTTAGATTCAGATGCAAGTTTGCAATCATTTGCTTGATCATATTCTTAAACAAGTTATAGGCAAGCTCTGTATCTTCCACACGTGGCTATCTGGTGACAAAGCTCTCAGCTTCTTAAAACAAATTACATCCAGTTCTATAATTTCATCTGACTAATGTGATTTTCCAAAGTATGCCAGTCTTTAATACATTCATTTGTGGATTTTTTCAATCAGTAACAATAAAAGGTAACAATTCTATGTCTTGTTGTTGAGACAGGGTCTGGCTCTGTCACCCAGGCTGGAGTACAGTGGTGCCCTCTTGGCTCACTGCAACCTCTGCCTCCAGGGCTCAAGCCATTCTCCCACCTCAGCCTCCAGAGTAGCTGGGACTACAGGCCTATGCCACCATGCCTGACTAATTTTAGTATTTTTTTGTAGAGACAAGGTTCCACCATATGTTGCCCAGGCTGGTCTCAAATCCTGGGCTCAAGCGATCCTCCTGCCTTGGCCTCCCAAAGCGCTGGGATTATAGGCTTGAACTACTGTGCCCAGCCAACAACTCTTTTTAACACATGTCATAAGCTAAAACAACATCTTTGAAACTTTTCTCCCCAATCACCTTCCTTTTTTGAGCAAAAGTGACTCTTTTGCTTTAGCCATCTTCAATGCTTTCATTTGTTACTCCTTGCCAATAATATTAGGCATGAGGTGTTGACTAAGGCACTAAATCATATTAATCTTCATATACTTGTAATTTTAAAAACTCTTCCCTGCCCAGCAAATTTTAACTCTTTCCTTTAAGGCTCAACTCATAGCTCCCTGTGCTTTTTAATGCTTAATCACTTAGCCAGTTTATAATTATGAATTATATGATTATTTGATTATTGTCTGTCTCCCCATTCCTCACCACATCACTATAAGCTCCTTGAGATCAGTCCTCATCTTATTTTATATCCTCAGCTTCTAACATGTTGTCTGGTGCATAGTTGGCACTAAATAAATATTTTTGAATGAATTAAGTAATGTCAGCAGATGACTAGATATTATATGCTTCTTGAATTCTTTCCTAATCTCTTCAACCACCACACCTATCTCCCACCCTACTGAGAGTTGAGTATTTCCTCTTCTGTATGTCAATGAAAATTTGCAAGTAACTTAGGTGACCAATCATATACCCAGGTTTACCTGAGACATCCCTAGTTTATGCCTATTGTTCTTGCATAACTATTAGTAAACACTCCCTTCATTCACAAGAGTATCCCAGCTTGAACTGTAATTGAAATATTCATCTTCTATAGAAGTGCATTTCTAGGGTCACTTCTAGCCAACGTTTTACTAGTTGGTTGAGTTCTTGAGGACAGGCTTAGTTCTGGTTTATCTTTCTAACCCTGGGGCTTAGCACAGCCTCTGGCACTCAGGGACTGTTCTTTAGAATAAAAATACATTCTTGCTGTCTTGTCCCAAGGATTTTTGCATTATAAAAGAAACACATACACATAGGCAAACACATGACACCTTCACACTTACACAGGTTTTAGGAAAGATCACCAACATTTTTCTTAAGATACTCTTGCTTAAGGTTTTGAAAGAGAAATCTGAGTTTATTTCTGCTAAGCCACTTATTTCTCTTCTACTTTAGGTTATTGAGTAGGAAACTTCCACAATAATAACAAGTAATTTCAATAAGGGTTTCCTATGTTTGTGATATTTTCCCTGAATTTAAATTTGCTGTTGCATGTCTACATAAGCATGGTGAAATTATTCACACCAATGACAATTTGGACAGAACTAAATATTTGATAGTATGAAATAAACATTCTATGGTCCACTAGCTAAGAGTAGTCGAGCTTATCTTTTACAGGTACCTCCCATTTGCCAAGAAAATATACATTTAATCTTATAAACAGTTGGTTTTAAGTGACTTTGAAGCTTTGAATAAATCCAGGGGAAATATTTCAATGTCCTGTGTACACTAGAAATTATTTCGAAGAAAATAAATTGTAAGTCAGATAGTAAATGTGGAACTTATAAGGAAATTGGTGTCTATGTGTTGACTAATTCACTAAGGGAAATTTTTAAAGTCGCAAGTGGTAATGTAATCATTCCAGGAGTCATTATATGCTGCCTGAATGTCGTTTCTGAGATGTTGATTACGTTTGGCTCTGTTTCCAAATGTGATTCCTAAAGTAAGCATGCAGTTATGCATAGCATTCTTCAAACCATTAGAGGTTTTTCTTGTTTGTAGAAACAGAATTGAGGCAGGGTGTGGTGGCTCACGCCTGTAATCCCAGCACTTTGGGAAGCCGAGGAGGGTGGATCACCTGAGGTAAGGAGTTCGAGACCAGCCTGGCCAACATGGTGAAACCTCATCTCTACTAAAAATACAGAATTAGCCGGGCATGGTGAAACATGCCTGTAATCCCAGCTACTTGGGAGGCTGAGGCAGGAGAATTGCTTGAACCCAGGAGGTGGAGGTTGCAGCGAGCTGAGCTCATGCCACTGCACTCCAGCCTGGGCAACAGAGCAAGACTCTGTCTTAAAAAAACAAACCAAAAAAAAACAAAAAAAATTGTCCCTAATTCTCTTCTGTAATTAATATTCTTTTTATTATGTTCTGGTTTCTCTTGCAAGTTGAGTTGATTTTATCCTTTTCTCCTTTTGTTTATCAATTACAATTTAAAAAGTGGCTTCAGACACATTCAGGAAAGTGCACACACACCCTTTCTTATCTGAAACACACCTCTCTGTTAACCCTTACAGCCTGCTTCAGTTGTCTGAAGCAATTTTAATGGTTTTCTAGTCTCCCTAGTAGATGGGGTTCCTGATATTTTGTAAAGAGTAAGAGTAACGCTGGAGAGCATGTGCTTTTCTTTCTTTCTTTCTTTTTTGAGACGGAGTCTCACTCTGTCACCCAGGCTGGAGTGCAGTGGCGCGATCTTGGCTCACTGCAAGCTCCACCTCCCAGGTTCACGCCATTCTCCTGCCTCAGCCTCCCGAGTAGCTGGGACTATAGGCGTCCGTCACCATGCCCAGCTAAATTTTTGTATTTTTAGTAGAGACGGGGTTTCACCATGTTAGCCAGGATGGTCTCGATCTCCTGACCTTGTGATCCGCCCGCCTCGGCCTCCCAAAGTGCTGGGATTACAGGCATGAGCCACTGTGCCCGGCCCGCATGTGCTTTTCAGGAGTGGATTTTAGCCTTAGCAAGAAGGATATGGTGTGGGATCTGGAAACACTTCCTGGCAGAAAGGAAGAAAGAGAGTCTTTCCATGGAAATATATGTATGTATATATACATATTCTTGCACCTTGTTGAAATGTGATGTTTCTTGTTCTCCAAATTGTTGTGATAAGCAGATAACTTTAGCTGTTATTTTGTGTCCATGTCGCAGGGTGGGGTAGGGGGGCGACAGGAGCGGGTGGGGGGCGGGAATTACAGCATTATTACCACCACTGAAATTTTTATGTCTAGAATTATTATAGAATTAGGGACTCTTTATCTTTAATGTAAGTTGAGTGTAATCATTGTAAGAAGAAAAACCAAATGCCAAAAATCCTGTAGTTTCTTAAGAAGAAACCTCTGTATTCTAAAATGCTTTTCCTAAAGTTTACTAAATATGATGTGGTATGTGTGTTTATTTGTAGGGACTGATAACATCTGAACATACCAAACCACACAGTCAAACTCTTGCACCATCGCTACCACGACATTTTACTACAAAAGAATGCCACTGCATGTGGATTCCAAGCAGGCTAAAAAGAAAAAGAACTGATTAGACCTCAGACGACCCACTAAACGGGATGACGGCCACAGCTGAGGTAGAGACACCAAAAATGGAGAAGAGTGCCTCCAAGGAAGAGAAGCAGCAGCCTAAGCAGGACAGCACAGAGCAGGGCAATGCTGATTCTGAAGAGTGGATGAGCTCTGAGAGTGACCCTGAACAGATAAGCCTTAAGAGTAGCGACAACAGCAAGAGCTGCCAACCTAGGGATGGTCAGTTGAAGAAAAAGGAGATGCACTCCAAGCCACACCGCCAGCTCTGTCGATCACCCTGCCTAGATCGTCCAAGTTTCTCCCAGAGCAGCATTTTACAGGATGGTAAACTTGACTTGGAGAAGGAATACCAAGCTAAGATGGAGTTTGCGCTAAAGCTGGGCTATGCAGAGGAACAGATTCAATCAGTGCTAAACAAGCTGGGCCCAGAATCACTTATTAATGATGTATTGGCAGAGCTTGTCAGACTTGGGAACAAAGGTGATTCAGAAGGGCAGATCAACTTGAGTCTGTTAGTGCCTCGTGGGCCCAGCTCCAGAGAGATTGCAAGCCCTGAATTGTCTCTTGAAGATGAAATAGATAACAGTGACAATTTGAGGCCAGTTGTCATTGATGGAAGTAATGTGGCAATGAGGTAAGCCTGGTATGTTTTTTTCTCCCATTTTAAAAAACTGCCCTGAGCTCATAGAAATTTTCTTCCTTTGCAAATCATTATAAGAGGAGCATGGCTATTGACTGTGGCGTGTGTTTCTGAAGGTGGCCAGAGACTAAAATGATCCTGCCCTTGCCTTTTCTTCTTCCACTGAAGTTGCTGCCAATTTGTTTTCAGGTGTTCTAAAGGCAGCTTCGACATCAGTGATGATGCTTCAGAGGAGACATAGCCATTCAGCTTTGTTCCTTTTGTGGTCTGCTGTCCTATCCCTACTTTACTAGACTAACCATCCTGAAAATGCTGCTTTTATAAAGTCACTTTGGGGTTTACTTAGGAACTTTCAGTAACTCTCAACTGTTATTATACCAAATTTTGATCCTTTTCCCTGGCTTTAAGGCTCTTTGTGATCAGGCCTGTCCCTCCTCCCATTTGATTGCATCTCTCATGCTTACTGCATTTACATCTATCTCTTTAACAGTCTCCATGAAAATTATGCTGATTTCTATCCCCATTACCTGTGTTCATGTCTTTTCCCAAATTAGAAGTGGCCTGCTTTGTATCTTCATAGCCTTCAGAATGCACCACCTCCACAAAGAACTTCCTAATTTTTCTGATTCCAATGATGATCTCTGAACTACAATATCTGTGGTAGGCTGAATGATAGCCCCCTAGAGATGTCCACATTTTAATCCCTGGAATCTCTGAATACATTATCTCATATGGTAAAATGGACTTTGCAAATGTGATTAAGGTTCTTGAGATGGGAGAGATTACCCTGGATTATCAAAGTGGGCCTAATGTAATCACAAGTGCCTTTATTAGAGGGAAGCAGCAAGATCAGAATAAGTAGAAGGAGATGGAATGGCAGAAACAAGAAGATGGAGTGACGTAAGAAAGGGACTATGAGCCAAAGAATGTGGGTGGCCTTTCTCACCCATTGGACTGTTTCAGGAAAAAAAAAAAAAAAAAAAAAAGAATGTGGGTGGCTTCTAGAAAGCTGAAAAGGGCAAGGAAACAGATTCTCTCTTTAAGCTTGCAGAAAGAACACAGCTTTGCCAACACCTTGATTTTATATTTCTGACCTATTGAACTTGTAAGAGAATAAATTGGTGCTATTTTAAGTCACTACATGTGTGATAATTTGTTACAGCAGCAGTGGGAGACTCACATAATACCTATAGTGCCTTCATAATTTATTCCATACTCTCTCATATCATTTTTTAAATTTTGTGCCAGAGAGCCATAGGAATCCCTTCTTCTATTTCTCAAATGAATTGTAATCCAGCCTTGGTTTAAAAAACCCCAGTAATCAGGAGCCTTTTTCCTATTGAGTCTATCATTGCTTGATGGACTCACTAGAATCCCTAGACCATAGGCAATCAGAACAAAGTGAAAAAGCCTTAGTCTAGCAAGTTTTAACTTAGATTATCCCATTGTCTTTGAAAGCAGGGATCTTGCTTTGTTTTCCCATGGTATTGGGTGCTCCCACAGAGACATGAGAGAGTGGGGATGGGAGAAAGTCATGAACCGTACCATTGCTGTATACAGGAAATGCTTAGCAGACTATCTAGAAGTACACTTTAGTATATAGTCCTGTTTAATCCTCACAGCAACTTTATCTTACAGATGAAAAAATAAGGCTCAGCAAAGGTAAGTGACTTCCCTGAGTTTACATAGCTAGTAAGTAGTAAAGTGAGAACTCGAACTTAAGTCCTCTGACTTCAAATGAATGAAATGAAACAAACTAACATTTATGAATACTGATTCTGTGCCAGATTCTTTTACGTATGTGAATTAATCCCCACTGGAGACCCTATAAGAATCAACTAATTTGGTTCATCTTTGCAGGTGAAGAGATTCAGGTTCAGAGAGTTTGAATAACTACCCAAGGTTACCCAAGCTTACAAAGCTTAAATTAAAACACTAATCTGACTCCAATTCTCTTTTCATAATATCACACAGTATTATGTGGCTATTAGTGTTATTAAGAATATTTGGGCCAGGTACGGTGGCTCACACCTATAATCCCGACACATTGGGAAGCCGAGGTGGGAGGATCGCTTGAGCCCAGGACTTCAAGACCAGCTTGGGCAACATGGCAAAACCCTGTCTCTACTGCAAATACAAAAATTATCCAGGCATAGTGGCACATGCCTGTAGTCACAGCTACTCAGGAGGCTGAGGTGGGAGGTTCTCTTGAGCTCGGGAGGTCAAGGCTACAGTGAGCAGTGATCTCGCCACTGCACTCCACCTTGAGTGATGGAGTGAGGCCCTATTTAAAAAAAAAATATATATATATATATATATATGACATATTTGCTAGTATCAGAGAATGCATTTACAGATTTCCTTTTTCAATTTTTTAAAATCATGACATCATCATAATTATAAGGTACGTAAAGCAGGCTAGACAGCTCCTTTGTTTTAATGAGGGGAAACCAAAAGATTAGTAACAAGAAAGTTAAATGGTCTGCACACAATACTACAGCAATCAGAATGATGCAGTGGGCCAGTGAAAAGCAGAGGATAATGTCTGTGTTCAAAAGGCCAAAGGTGTCTCTGCTCCCCTCCTAACAGGCATAAGAAAGAGTGATTCTTGAGGGGAAGGAGTTTGGGATGTGTCCAACTCAATCTGTCACCAAACCAGACCACCCGGAACACCCTAGATCGGACCTGATTCCCAAGGCCTACCATTTTTTTTGTTTTGTTTTGTTTTGGTTTGGTTTGGTTTGGTTTGGTCTGGTTTTGTGTTTCGGAGTTAAGGTTGAGAAGAACCTAAGGCATTATTGGGGACTTTGGCTTCATGGTAATGTAATATCTTCCTTCTCTTTGGACTTCTATTCAAGGATTGCTGATCATGAAGGACACTCTGGTTCTTTCGCTTTTTAAGGAATAATGCAGAGATTAATTACTTGGATAATTAGTTTCAACATATCTGGTCTATGTCAGTAGCAAACTGTTATACTGACAGGAAAATGAACTTTGATCTCCTGTATGAGTTACTTTGCTAAATTAAAGGCATCTCGCATGATTTAAATAGAGCCAAGAAATAGCATGCAACCTTATTGTTAGGAACATACTAAAATAGTGCAGAGTAGACCATGTAATTTTTTTTAAATTGCCAGTTGAGTCCTTGTTAGCATCTTTTTCTTTTGTCTGAGTAGTAAATTACCGTTAAGTCCCATTTATTCTGCAATCACATTTCACATGCTCAAAGTTCAGCGCTATAGTCTACTTATGGATTTGTTATTACTGTTAATCTAAATTTGGTTTGTTTTCCTCATTAGTTAGCTGTAAGTTTATGGTGAGATTGGTATTTCTTAGACAAACTACATGTTAATGTCTGTTGTTTCTCAGCCTGTTGGATTATCCTGCATTAAAATTATGATGCTGGCCAGGCACAGTGGCTCAAGCTTGTAATCCTAGCACTTTGAGAGGCCAAGGCAGGCAGACTGCTTGAGCCCAGGAGTTCGAGACCAGCCTGAGCAGCATGACAAAACCCCATCTCTACTAAAAATACCAAAAAATAACCCAGCGTGGGGGTTCATGCCCGTAGTCCCAGCTACTTGGGGGGCTGAGGTGGGAGAATCGCTTGAGCCCAGGGAGGTTGAGGCTGCAGTGAGCCATGATCATGCCACTGCACTCCAACCTGGGTGACAGAGCAAGACCCTGTCTCCAAAAATAAAATAAAATTATGGGCCGGGCCTGGTGGCTCACACCTGTAATCCCAGAACTTTGGGAGGCTGAGGCAGGAGGATCACTTGAGGTCAGGAGTTCGAGACCAGCCTGGCCAACAAGGCAAAACTTCATCTCTACTAAAAATACAAAAATTAGCCGGGTGTGGTGGTGGCGTGCCTGTACAGGAGAATCGCTTGAACCCAGAACGCAGAGGTTGCAGTGAGCCGAGATTGCGCCACTACACTCCAGCCTGGGTGACAGAGTGAGACTCAGTCTGAAAAAAAGAAAAAAAAAATTTATGATGCTTCGTTTGCCATTAGCAGCATTTGGTTAACATTTGCAGTAGTAGTGCACCTGTGGTCCACATACTGATTGATATATGCTAAGATCCTAAAGGGTACATTCATTCTGAGAGCTGTCTCCTTTGGAAGGAGAAATCCATTTCAGAGGAATTAAGGCTTTGAAATGTAAATGCAACCATATTCTTTGTTAAGTCTAGGAGAAGCCCAAACATTTGAACCCCAGAGAAAACAATTGCAGAGGGTGGGGCTAATGACCTATCTGCTAAGCTGAATTTGGCTTGGGAACCTGGATCATGAGAGGTTCCTAAGCAAGTTTACAAGACAAAGTGAACTGTAGTGTCACCAAGATACTCCGTGACTTGCAGGTCCTAGGGTTTTTGGCATTTTTTAGATTGCAAAAGGACATTGTATGTGTTTAAGCAAAAACAAGCCACTTGAAAAGCTTTATTTTCCTCTTTTTTTTCAAAAAAAATTATTCATTCCTTAAATGTTTAGGGGCAATAAACTTTGCATACTTGGCTGTTGTGTAGGTACTCATTGCCACCTTGATAAATGTTGAAACTGCCTTCTGATTCTTATTGGGCATTTGGTGTGCCTCATGAAATGCTTCAGTGGCATACTTTTAATATATTTTAACGGGATGCTATAGGTATGTTACATTTTTTCTTAACATAATTCTCAGTATGTTAGGAAATTGATATCAGAATATAAATATATCAAAATATTAACAGTGTTTGTCTCTGGATTGTAGTAAAACAGTTGGATTTTGGAGTTTTTTTTCTTTATATTTTATGTATTTTCCACGTTTTATACTATAACCATATATTACATTTTTAATGATTATATGTATATATTTAGAGACAGGGCCTTGTTCTGTCACCCAGGCTGGAGTGCAGTGGCATGATCATAGCTCACTGTGACCTCAAACTCCTGGGCTCAAGTGATTTTCCTGCCTCAGCTTCCCAAGTAGCTAGGACTACAGGTGTGCATCACCATACTCAGCTAATTTTTTGTAGAGGCAGGGTCTCACCATGTTGCCAAGGCTGAAAAAAAAAATTTAAACACAGAATTTGGCAGTATAAAATATAAAGTTGGCTGGGCCTGGTGGCTCACGCCTGTAATCCCGGCACTTTAGGAGGCTGACGCTGGCGGATCACAAGTTCAGGAGTTCAAGACCAGCCTTGGCAACATGGTGAAACCCCGTCTCTACTAAAAATACAAAAATTAGCTGGGCATGTTGGCGTGCGTTTGTAATCCCAGCTACTCGGGAGGCTGAGACAGGAGAATTGCTTGAACCCGGGAGGCAGAGGTTGCAGTGAGCCGAGATGGTGCCATTGCACTCCAGCCTGGATAACAGAGCAAGACTCTGTCCCAAAAAATAAATAAATAAATAAATAAATAAATAAATAAATAAATAAATAAAATATAAAGTTGCAGTATCTAACAGCAAATGTTACTCTCATATTTATTTCTGGACTTAGACTGTTTGGGAGAAGATCATAGCACTGCAGAGCCAAATGAAATTCCATCCCTTCAAATCCTCTCTAATGGCAATTCTGATAATTTTCCCAAGTTCTGTTATTCTTTATACTTACCAGCACTGTAGCAGTGGGAAAATTCACAACTGAACATCTTCTCTTCCAGAGTTCATCCAATATTAACCCTTTAAGCACTGTGGTCTTGCATAATTTCCCCATTGTTCAACTTTTTAGGAGTCAGTGGTAGTTATCTCTAAGGCTACCTTAGAGTGTATTGACAGCTAAATATATTTTCCTTTTGTTTCTTAAGTGCTTTCAACTTTCAGTTGAGTAGTATAATTGTTTTGTGGTACTCACTGGGGAGCTTTAAACATGATTAGCATATGCTTGGAAATGTTAATAAAAGCATTTAATAAATTTTTGCAATTTGCCTCAAGAGTGATAAGACAGTGGGAAGTCTTGCAGTACAAGAATTGATGAGGCCCCGGATATTATATATGAATTCATTGAAAGGGAACAATATGTTGGAGTTCATTTTTGTTGTAGTTAGTGAGCTAGTGCCAGTGAGAAGGTGAGGAATCCAAAGTGAGAAGCCCCATCACATTGTCTTAATTAGCCTTCTAACAAAACAATTATTTTCTTCTGATCAGTCTTAACAGACAATAGCCACTTGATTGTAGTAGAATTGGTACGTGTATGCCCATTTGTTACCATCCAAGCTGTTTAATTAACTATAATTTAGTGTGATTTATGTATATGTCAGAGCACTAGATACCATGCTAAGAGATCGTAATTTTCACAGCCAAACAAGGCACAAATCTAGTGCATCTTTTCCCAATTTATCTGCAAATTTTCCCTCTTCCAATTTCTATTTAAATGAATTCTGTTTGGCTTTTTAAGTTTTCACAATGTTTATTCCTATAAGTAATTCTGATAGAATTTCTTCTCCTTTATTTCATGTTCTGATTATAGAAAGAATACTTGAATTTTTTTTTCTTTTTAATAAACATGGGGTCTCACTATGTTGCCGAGGCTGGTCGCAAATTCCTGGGCTCAAACAATTCTCCCACCTCGGCATCCCAACCTGCTGGGATTACAGGCCTGAGCCATCGCACCCAGCCAGAAATACTTGATTTTTTGAGGATATTTTGGAATTAGAGGAAGAAAATAGATCACTTATAACCCTCTCACACAGAACAACAATATTTATTAATATTTCGATGTACTCATATTTTTTCTAAGCTTATACATAGGTTTTCTTCTACAAAATCGGTGTTACATTATATATAGTCTGTATTTTTTCTTTTCTCTTTCAGAATTATGAGCATTTCCTACATCTTAAAATTTTCATGAATATGATTTTTGTTGGTGCATTGTATTAAATGCATATATGTAATAAGAATTTTCAGTGAGCATTTATGTGCATATCTTTTTTGCTGTCGATGTTATTTTTGAAGCTTAATATATATGTGCTTAAGACTTATCCCCAATTAATACTCTATATAAACTTTAAACCTCTGGTAATACCTTTACTTTTTTAATTTTTTGTGAATATCTCAATCTTTGAAAAGAAAGTGGTAGGAGAAACAGAAAAAGAAGAGAGAAAATGGAACTAGTGATAGGAGATAGCCATCAGGGCTGCAATAAATTGGGAGTTGTTACTAACCATCTGTGGCCTTGAATGAAGTTTGTAATAATAATGGCAAATTTGTAACAATTACATAAAAATATCTTGATTTGCTCTTTAAAAAGCATGTTATTTGGCATTATCAAGAAAGTAAATGTCATGGCTGGCCGCAGTGGCTTATGCTTGTAATTCTAGCACTTTGGGAGGCCGAGGCAGGCAGATCACCTGAGGTCAGGAGTTCGAGACCAGCCTGGCCAACATGGCAAAACCCCGTCTCTACTAAAAATACAAAAATTAGCTGGGCATGGTGGTGTGCATCTGTAGTTCCAGCTACTCAGGAGGTGGAAGCAGGAGAATCACTTGAACCCAGGAGGTGGATGTTGCAGTGAGCCGAGATTGTGCCACTGTACTCCAGCCTGGGAGAAAAAGTGAGACCAAAAAAAAAAAAAAAAGAAAAAAAAGAAAAGAAAAGAAGCAAAAGGAAGAAAGAAAGAGAGAAAGAAAGAAAAGAATGTAAATGTCTATTATTAATACCTTGGTACTAAGAAAAAGCCTGCTTCAGATATTTCTTTGCTATCTATTATCAATCTTCTCTCCTCTTATTCTGTATCTTCCTAAGCCATGGGAATAAAGAAGAATTCTCCTGCAGAGGAATACAACTTGCTGTGGATTGGTTTCTAGATAAAGGCCATAAAGATATTACTGTATTTGTGCCTGCATGGAGAAAGGAGCAATCCCGCCCTGATGCACCAATTACAGGTATTGTGTCAAATAAGACATTTCTTCTCATCTAGAGGCAAATCTGGAAAGATAGTTTGGGGATGGTCCCAATTTAGATATTTATTTTTCAAAGTTGTTAAGTATATTTAAAGTATTTTTATTAAGCATATATTTGAAAAAAGATTCAAAGAAAGTCATCATTATTTTGTAGCATCTGACAGTTAAATAAAGAAAACTTCAATTCGGCAAAAGATAAAGCACATAGTTTCAAAAAAAAGGAGTGCTTTTCTATTTGACCATAGACTTCAGACTAAAGGGTGATGAATCTGGTTATGAGCATGACTAAGTTTTCAAGAGAGTAAAAACACCATGGTGGACAATGGATCTCATTCTGTACCAAAGAAGTGATTGTGGGGTTTGCAAATTAGGGAATAAAATAGAGAGAAAGAAAAGTCCCACAGCAGTCAGAGCCAACTTATCCATGAGACACAGTAGGTCTGGCACCTAGGGCCAATGATATTGCTAAGGTCCCATGGAAATGTCTTAATTTTATTTTCTTCTCACATCAGAAGAAAAAATTGAATATAACAGCAATGCATGTACAATGATGTATCTAGCTGGGTTATCCTTGGCTTTATACTGAAGCAATTGAAAACGAAATTTTTAATATTTAATATTTATCTTTGTTTGAGACAGGGTCTCACTCTGTCACCTAGGCTAGAATGCCATGGTGTGATCATGGCTCACTGCAGCCTCTACCTCCCTGGGCTCAGGTTTTTCTCCCACCTCAGCCTCCTGAGTACCTGGGACTACAGGCATGTACCACTGCGCCTAGCTAATTTTTGTATTTTTAGTAGAGATGGAGTTTTGCCATGTTGCCCAAGCTGGTCTTGAACTCCTGGGCTCAAGCTATCTGCCCGCCTCAGCCTCCCAAAGTGCTAGGATTACAGGCATAAGCCACCACGCCCAGCCAATATTTAACATTTCTTATGGAGGAAGGAGCCTAGGAAAGCAAAAATGCCTAAGGTTTTCAAAAGTCATGATGCAGTCCTAACGGCAGAGGGGTCTCTACATTCATTTACAACAGTCTTCTGAGCATCAGCTGTTGCCTGATGTGCCTAATGAGAAAGTCCCGTGAATGGCTGTCTGAGCTGTGTGTGAAGCTATTTGCCATCTGCTGAACAGGCTCTTGAGCCTCAGTCTGAGAATAGATCCTAGCCCTGCTCAAGCCCAGCCAGCAAGCTTTCTTGCCTCGGCAACTAGGAGACCAAAAGGAAAGGGGGTCAGCACTCAGTTGCTATATCTTGATGTTTCACCCTAGTTTTGGTCTTCCCTCAGGCAGAAGCCAAAAATGTAAGTGCCTAGGAGAGATGCTTTAGTTTCCTCCTGGCAGACACATCCTCAGTATTTCCCTGTTAGAAATCAACAACCAAAAAGCTGGTGCTTTGGCCAAAGGGCAAAACAAGCATCAAGAATGCTAAGATATCAGTGTCACTCTCACTCTTCATGGTAGTTTTTAAAACTCAAATGTCATTGAATCCAGTTCCTTCATTTTATCAAAAAGAAGACTGAAGTCCAAAGGGGAAGATGACTTGCCTAAGGTCATAATCCAGATTGATATCATAGCCAGGAACAGGGCCTACTTTCCCTCTAAGAGCAAATAATATCTTCATCCAGTACCAACTTTTGCATTTTTAATATTGGGGTAATACTGTTAATTTCCAAAGATGATTTCTGCTCTGTGGCATATAATCATATTTTGACAGATCAAGATATTCTACGAAAACTGGAGAAGGAAAAGATTCTTGTCTTCACACCATCCCGAAGAGTCCAAGGCAGGAGGGTTGTCTGCTATGATGACCGGTTCATAGTCAAACTGGCTTTTGATTCTGATGGCATCATTGTGTCCAATGATAACTACCGAGACCTTCAAGTTGAAAAGCCAGAATGGAAGAAGTTTATAGAGGAGCGGTTGCTGATGTATTCTTTTGTGAATGACAAGTGCGTTTCTTTCCAGTAGGCCTATATCCAAGTTATCAGTAAGAATAGATTACATTTTAATAAACATTTACCAAACACTTACTGTGTATCATACATTTTGCTAGTTGCCACACAGATAAAAGGATGAATAAGGAAAAGGACTCACCCTTAAGAGACTCAAAGTGTAGTAGAGGAGCGAAAGAGACAACCACAATGTTTTGTTATAAGAGCTACAGTTAAAATTTGTTTTTTAAAAATTGCTTTGTCTATGTGAAGTAATAGAAAAAGGCATCCCAGAGGAGATGACATTTCAGATCAAGTTTACAGATGGAGGAAAGGGGGCTGCTAGGCATGAGGTGAGGGGGACATCATGAATAAAGTTATGAAGGTGTGAAAGTGGGTAGCATGTTGGGGGAACCAGCAGACATGCCAGTACGGCTCAAACATGTAGTTCATGGAATAATGATGAACAGGGAAAATCATCCTTTCTATGTGATAAAGTGGCAACAAAGGGAAGAACTGCTAGATTAGCAGAGGATAGACTTGAGGCAGGAAGGGCAATTAGAAGGCTGTGACAACAGTACAGGCAAGAGGTAATGAAAATCTGAACTCCTAGTAAGGAGTAGGGGACAGAAAGGAAGACAGTCACCTCTTGCTTACTTGCTTTCAGATTTATGCCTCCAGATGATCCATTAGGACGCCACGGCCCAAGCCTTGAAAATTTCTTAAGAAAGAGACCCATTGTTCCTGAGCATAAGAAGCAACCATGTCCTTATGGTGAGTACCTACATACAAAACTGAGTTCTGTACCACCGGAAACATAAGGATTCTGTGAACACTTTTCTCTTCCAGGTTTCCCTTTCAAATGGGAAATCCTGGCTTGTCCACTGTCTTTGAGTTAAAGTTTGTGTCTTCGTGTACACTGTTAGGTATTTAAAGAAAAATCTTAGAAACTGAATGAGGAAAAGGTAGCTAGAATTGAAGGGAAGACTAGTTGTCACTTGTGACAATAGTACATGTGTTCTACCTGCCTAAGTCCTGAACTATGTTGCTGGAAGCAGGGAAATGAAGAAATCTATATGGCCTGTGGAAGTAGAAAGGGCAATACCAAACTGAGTTTGGCCCCAAGATGAACATGTGTCTCAGGCAGGTGACTGCACCCTCTTTCAATTAATACTAACCTTTCCTTTAGATCTGTCCTTTCCAGTTTTTTTGTTTGTTTGTTTGTTTTTTGAGACAAAGTCTTGCTCTGTCACCTAGGCTGCAGTGCAGTGGTGCAGTCTTGGCTCACTGCAACCTCCGCTTCCCGGGTTTAAGCGATTCTCCTCCCTCAGCCTCCCCAGTAGCTGGGATTACAGGTGCATGATGCCAAGCCCAGCTAATTTTTGTATTTTTAGTAGAGACGGGGGTTTCACCATGTTGGCCAAGCTGGTCTCGAACTCCTGACTTCAAGTGATCCACCCACCTCGGCCTCTGAAAGTGCTGAGATTACAGGCATGAGCCACCGTGCCCGGCCCCTTTCCAGTTTTTGTTTTTTTTTTTTAAATAAATATAGTTTTCTAGAGTGTTTTCATGCTCTTACCCCAGTCCCTCTGATACAACGTTTGTGCGCCTAACATTGCGACATGGGCTGCTTGATCTGAGGCTACTTTGAATGTCTGTTTTTTTGGATGATCATTTGTTTTGTGGGGTGTTTTGGTTTTTGTCCTCAATTAATCTTTAAGTCACACAGTATTTTCATATTCATTATCTCATTTAATCTTTACAATGACCCTATAATATAGGCATGATGATGAACTTTGGTTACAGAAGAGGAAAATGAAGCTCACAAAATAAAGTCACTTACCAAGGTCACACAGCTAGTAAGGGACATAGCTGGAATTGAAATTCAGATCTGACTGGACTCCAAACCTGTGCTCTTTGCATTGCACTATGCTGCTTTCTGTTACTCTATGCTGCTTCAGCATGCAGATTATGCCTAGGCAAAGTTGTACATTATCGAAAAATTAAAACTGCTCAGCTTTAGCTTTTTTTTTTTTTTTTTTTTTTTTGAGACAGGGTCTTGCTCTTGCTCTGTCACCTGGGCTGGAGATCAGTGGCATGATCACGGCTCACTGCAGCCTTGACCTTCCAGGCTCAAGAATTCTCCCACCTCAGGCTCCTGAGTAGCTGGGACTGCAGACGTGCACCACCATGCCCAGCTAATTTTGTTTGTATTTTTCTTTACAGACGGGGTTTCACAATGTTGCCCAAGCTGGTCTCGAACTCCTGGGCTAAAGTGATTCACCCACCTCAGCCTCCCAAACTGCTGGGACTACAGACAGGAGTCACCACATCCAGCCAGCTCTTAGCTTTTATGCTGCAATTTTCTCCATAGCTTTCCACTTTCTCTCTCCCATCACAGTGTATGATGCCTCCTTGGTGTTGTCTGTCTCTCATCTTTGTGGACAGTTAATTTTCTGCCTTTACCCCAAACAGTAAAACCCTAACCTGAGTGACCAGATTGTTACAACAGTTTTTGGCACAGAGGGTTCCATCACTGAGAGAGAGTCTTACCCCAAGGCATTATTTTTCAGGCAAAAAATGCACCTACGGCCACAAGTGCAAATACTACCATCCGGAGCGGGCCAACCAACCCCAGCGTTCGGTGGCTGATGAGCTCCGCATCAGTGCCAAACTGTCCACAGTGAAAACTATGAGTGAAGGCACCCTGGCCAAGTGTGGCACAGGGATGTCTAGTGCCAAAGGTGAGATAACCTCAGAGGTCAAACGTGTGGCCCCCAAGCGCCAATCAGATCCCAGCATCCGGTCTGTGGCTATGGAGCCTGAGGAATGGCTGTCCATTGCCCGTAAGCCTGAGGCTAGTTCTGTCCCCTCGCTTGTGACTGCCCTAAGTGTTCCCACAATCCCACCCCCCAAAAGCCATGCAGTGGGTGCACTCAACACCCGTTCGGCCAGCAGCCCAGTGCCAGGATCCTCCCATTTCCCCCACCAGAAGGCCTCTTTGGAGCATATGGCCAGCATGCAGTATCCTCCCATCTTGGTTACCAACAGCCATGGGACCCCTATTAGCTATGCTGAGCAATACCCAAAGTTTGAATCCATGGGGGACCATGGCTACTATTCAATGTTAGGTGACTTCTCCAAACTGAACATCAACAGCATGCATAACCGAGAGTATTACATGGCTGAAGTAGACCGGGGGGTGTATGCCCGGAATCCTAACCTCTGTTCTGACAGCCGTGTGAGCCATACCAGGAATGACAACTATTCCTCTTACAACAACGTGTATTTGGCTGTAGCTGATACCCATCCTGAAGGCAATTTGAAGCTGCACCGCTCAGCATCCCAGAACCGACTTCAGCCTTTTCCTCATGGTTACCATGAAGCCTTAACACGAGTGCAGAGCTATGGCCCAGAGGATTCTAAGCAAGGCCCCCACAAACAGTCAGTCCCCCACTTAGCTCTGCATGCCCAGCACCCATCAACTGGAACACGTTCCAGCTGTCCTGCAGACTACCCCATGCCTCCCAATATCCATCCTGGGGCAACCCCCCAGCCAGGCCGTGCCCTGGTGATGACTCGGATGGATAGCATTTCCGACTCCCGCCTCTATGAGAGCAACCCCGTGAGGCAAAGACGACCTCCCCTGTGCCGGGAACAGCATGCCAGCTGGGACCCGCTGCCCTGTACAACTGACTCCTATGGCTACCACTCCTATCCCTTGAGTAACAGCCTCATGCAACCATGTTATGAGCCAGTCATGGTACGGAGCGTGCCTGAAAAGATGGAGCAGCTTTGGAGGAATCCTTGGGTTGGAATGTGCAATGATTCCAGGGAGCATATGATCCCAGAACACCAGTATCAGACCTACAAGAACCTCTGCAATATTTTCCCTTCTAACATCGTCCTTGCAGTGATGGAGAAGAATCCCCACACAGCAGATGCCCAGCAACTGGCAGCCTTGATTGTTGCTAAGCTTAGGGCTGCACGTTGATATGACATAGTACTTATTTCTTTATACAAATATGAATATTAATACTAATAATACACTAATACAATAATTATAGTAACTAATAATTTGTGTTGCGCTTTACAAGTTAGAGTGTTTATATCATTTAAGCGCTTAACAACCCTGTGAGGTACGTCTTACTAACATCCTCTTTTATAGAGAAGGAAGGTGAAGGTCAGTGAAATTAAGTGGCTAGCCAGGGTCACACTGCTAGCAAATGACTAAGTCAAGACACACACCCAAGTCCTCTAAATCCAAGTCCCATGCCCCTTTGCACTGCACCATGCAGGTAATGGAGGACAAAACCCAGGGGGAGAGGTCTAGATGTAAGAAATCCCAGAGGATTCCATTACCAGAGTTTTCCTTTTTCTCTTTTCGTTTCTTTCTTTCTTTCTTTATTTTTTTTTTTTGAGACAGAATCTCACTCTGTTACACAGGCTGGAGTGCAGTGGCACTATCTCTGCTCACTGCAACCTCCACCTCCAGGGTTCAAGTGATTCTATGGCCTCAGCCTCCCAGGTAGCTGGGATTACAGGCGTGCACCACCATGCCCAGCTAATTTTTGTATTTTTAGTAGAGACGTGGTTTCACCGTGTTGGCCAGGCTGGTCTCAAACTCCTGGCCTCAAGTGATCCGCCCACCTTGGCCTCCTAAAGTGCTGGGATTACAGGTGTGAGCCACTGCGCCCAGCCTACCAGAGTTTTCGTAGTCACATATTCTATATTACAAAGTATGGATGATATATCCAATTTAGAGAGCAAAAGCATCAGGATCAGATCATATGTTGAATTAACCTTTTAGGTTTTTTCTAATAGAAATATTTAAAGCTATTTAAAAGTAAATGCATACTTTATTGCATGGATATCTGATCACTCAATCTATATTAATGAAACTATAGGGTCACATTGAAGCTTCTAGAACTATATTTTAAAGCTATTATTAGCAATTATATTGCATGTATGAATATATATATTTGGTTTGAGATGTGTGTGTATCTCTGTATAACCTTTTATATAGTGATAATGAGAGGGTAGGCTCTACACAGTCCTTCGTCTATAGCTGTATAGGTCACTAATCTGACTTGATGATTTTAAGTCACATTTCATAGTTTTAACTAGTTATGAGAGAGAAATTATATGGCAATATTTGAACATTGCTTTCTTAGGCACCAGAGCAAAGCAACTCTGTTTCCTTTGCACATTTTACCTGCCAACATTTATTAACAGTTCTTACCTTCCAAGTCTCTTCACCTTAGCAAATTAGGGATCAGGTTGCAGTCTTCTGCAGAGAAACTGATGGTTAAGCTCAAGTTCCAAGCATAGTATGTGTGTGCTACACAAGCTCAGAAGAGTTTGACAAGGACCAGGGGACTTACTACCACAATCCACTTCCCTTATCCCAGGAGAGATGGCCAAACCCATGTGGCATTAAATGGTGAATAAAAAAGCTTCACTCAAGGAGGGACTATTGGATGCTCTTTGGACTTCTGACCTATGCAGTATTCAACATCATTGGATGAAATGTAATGGAGGACAGTGCACAGCCATGTATCCACTTTCTCTTCCTGTCCACCCTTTGGGTAATAAGGTCAATCATTGGTGGAACAGAATTTCTCTAGGAAACAAAACCAGGGGATTTTATTTGTGGAAAAAGGAAGTTTCCAAAAGGGGATACTGCATCTTTACTAATAGCTGGCTCAGTTACTCACTTTAAATCCATGCAAAGAGTGCACTTGCTGTTAAATAATTGTTAAATGAGTTATTAGAAGGCAGGACTTTTGGTTTGGGCGACACCATTTGCGCAACTTGTATCTTGCTCAGGGTGGAAAACTTCATAGCTAAATGCCTCTAGAAGAGGTGTTTATTGTTTTTTTTAAGCTGCACTAAATGAATTCCCTTTTTGAATCCATTGTATATTTCAATATTTCGAACCATGATCAGCTCACTATTTCCTGAGCTGGAACTTGCTAACTTCTATGATCGTTTTTTCATGAAAGTTGAGAAGGCCGGGCCTTGGCCTTTTGTTTCTTCATGAGAAGGTGTGACACTGCCTATAAATGTTTCTTACTGTGAAACACTCTGAATGTGAGGCTGTAGTCAGGGTTGTTTCTGGTGGTTTGACAATGGCTTGCATGCTGCTTTCTGGCTTTCTGTCTCTGTCCAAGTTGATCAATACTGCATCTTAACCAATGTTTCACTTGAGTTAACCACAGCTTTACATTCTATCTCCTATCTTCTGATCTTCGTATACCCCAGCATATTGAAAAAGAGTAAAAGTATTTTCTATCAATCAGGTAGATCCACAGAGTGACAGTTGCCACTGCAGTGCTTGCTATTTCACACAAACACCATTTCATACCTTCAACTTCTTGGACTTTCTAAATCGGACTCGTGTCTAAATCAGGGTATTTGACAATCTCAGATGATGCTACTGCCTATGTGCCAGTTAGTTCATCTTCCTACCAAGATCATGAATGGCACCACACTATCCACTAGCTGTACAATTTACAGAGAAGCACAAGATTCATCTTGTCACCTACAATTCGTCTTGAACATGTTCATATTTAGTACTCAGAAACTGTGTAAGCTCCTCCCAATACAGAAAATATTTTTTAAGGCAGCATATGTATTTCTGATTTACTAAAAACGATTGTCATTCTCCTCTCATTCTTCTTTTTGGTATGAACCAAAAGCGGCTAGGAGCAATGCCTCAAATAACCAGAAATGACCTTTTGTTGATACAAATTGTATCTCTTTTTTTCCTGATTGTATAGAAACAAATGTACAAAACTCATCTGAAGCTAGGTTTGGCACTGAATTTTCACCATGAGGTTTGTGGCACTGTGTGTCACAGGGAAGTAGCTCAGGGGTTGTGAGGGAGCTTTTATTTCTAAAGGGCAGTAGTAATTTATAGACAAAAACAATTTTTCAAGGCCTCTTTATTACCACTGCACAGCTATCATGTGTAAAATTTCAAGCATTATATTGCATAAGTTCTCTTTAGCCTATTAAATTTAATATGTCCTTGCAAAAGGGATTTTGTGTAAAAAGTGTCAGTGTTAGTGACTCATCTGCAAGAATCTACAAATGGAGCTATACAACTATGAATACATAAATACAGCATGGTTCCTAGTTATTAGAGAAACATTTTCTTTATATTGAGGTCTACGCACTTCTTGACTTTCCATTTTGTCTGTAATTATAAAACAGCAAATAACAAAGAAGCATTGGGACCCCCTCGGCTGCCTTGATAATAAAATCAAGCTTCCTTCATGGGACTAAGCATGTGTCCTTCAGGATACTTACCTCTAAGCACTCAGCAGGGGTTACTACAAAGCGTTTTGTGTGGTTTTCAAAAAACAGTGTATTTTGCAAGAGGTGCTTTGTAATTTTAATTATTTCACTGATTTTCTGACCTCATAGGAAGTCTGTGCCTGTTGAGGCCTTCAATTTTGTAGCTTTTCTGATTTTTTTTCTTCTTTTTGTGATTTTGTTGTTGTTTTCATTTTGATCTAAAGGAGAAGTGTGACCCCGGAGTGGCATGGTCAATCCAGGGCACCCTTTCTGTAAGACAACTCAAAGGAAAAGAAGCCTTTTCAAAGGTAATATCGAGCCATTGCACTCTCTCTTAAGGTGCCAGGTATGGGAGAATGACAGATGCCTTATGGAAATGGTCTACAAAACTTTTCTTCTTCTAAGTAATAAAACACATAGCATGATTCTCTCTCCCTCTCTCTCTCTCTCTCTGCCCACCCCCTGCTAGTTTCCAGGAGAATACTTCTCTAAAATTCATTTTTTTCTATTTTGGAATAAATTATCTTTATACAGTAATTCAAACACTGATTTCCATTAACCTTTGGCCCTGAGTTTTCTTCTAACATAGAAGAGTTCATTTTGAGAGGCACTCAGTTACCATTCAATCTGTGCTGTAAGTATGGGACTTTGTACAAATGCCCTTTTTGAGGGCCAAAAATTTCAATACACTTTGTTCTACTTTGTGAACCAGGTCTGGATCTGCACAGAGAAAGTAATGCTGAGCTGTCCAAAGAGTCCGCTCAGGTCTCCCTCCTAACCCTCCTCTGCCTTCCCCTAGTTTGCTTATCCTCACGTCTGACACTGAGGAGTGCATAGTCTTCAACTGAAATGGCACTACAGTTAGTTCTCATTGGAAACAAACAAGTGTATTTCTGGAACCTGCTCGTCTAAAATAGTCAATGCCTTTGTAAAGACTCAGCATATTCAATATCTATTGTATGGTAGCTAGCTATATACATAGATTGACTATTTTTAGTCCTGGTTTGTGTATTGTTGAGCTATAGTAGTTTGCTTTATCCATTTGTGGGATTAAACAATACTGTTTAATGGTTGTAAACTTTTATAAAATCTCTTTGGGTTTTTTGTTTGACCCAAACATAATGTAAGTCTTAATGACAAAATACACAAAGTTAACCAGAGGTGAGTGAAAATATAGCCCTTCCCCAGTTTTGTCTGCCCCTATAATGCACGTGCATTGCTTTGTAATATGCTCTCGCTAGCATGAATGTGCTATGACTACTTCATGAGGTTTTGTTTCACCTATAATTGTGATGGAAAATGCTGTATTGCTGACAACAATGAACTGTAACCACAGTTATTTACTGCATAAACTATTTGTGTACTAACCACTCATGGCTCTGTTTCTTTAAGAATACCAACAACAATGGGCCGGGCATGGTGGCTCATGCCTGTAATCCCAGCACTTTGGGAGGCGAAGCAGGCGGATCACCTGAGGTCAGGAGTTGGAGACCAGCCTGGCCAACTGGCGAAACCCTGTCTCTACTAAAAATACAAAAATTAGCCTGGTGTCATGGCACGCACCTGTAATCCCAGCTCCTCGGGAGGCTGAGGCAGGAGAATTGCTTGAATCCAAGACTTGGAGGTTGCAGTGAGCCGAGATCATGCTACTGCACTCCAGCCTGGACGACAGAGTGAGATTCCATCTCAAAAAACAAAACAAAGAAACAAAAAACAACAACAACAAAAGCCATGCCACACATACATATACATATACTACATATACTCTAGTTTGCTCCTAAAGTATTAGATTTATGTCCTTGCGACTTATATTTTGAGATTAAAAACTATAAAGGCAGGGATTTCCCCAAATGTGTTCATCTGAATTTTACCACAGTAAGTATATGTCCTCAAAATTTTGAAGACTAACAAACAGTTCCAAGTGCTAATCGAACTGGTGCTCCCCGCAGGGCAGGGCTGGGCCTGCTTTTGCCCACCAGTCAGAACCAAGTGGCGGGCCCAGGGCCCAGACTTAATTTTTGTACGCAGCCTGTAGTTTCTCCCCTGAATAGCCTCAGGTCCAAAAATACATCATCTGCTGTCTCAGCCAGAATATCAGAGCCAAAAGGAGCCTACTATCCTACACTTCACACTCAGAGCGCTCAGCTGCATCAACCCCTTCAGGGTATAGTGCGTGAACTGAGGCTCCAAGAGCACTGAAGAGATTTGACCAAGGCCAAACAGAATTAGTGGCAAAGGCAGGTACTGGAAGCCCAGGCCTCATGACTCCCAGGCTGGTAAGCCCTTTATCATAGTGGAGTTGGTTCTTCTTCTCTCTGAAGCCTCCTACCCACCCTCCACCGCACTCCAGGCCAGTCTCATTCTAAAGGTAGAGGTAGCCATGATGGTTGCAGCAGAGCCCAGTCTACGAGCCTTTAGAAGAGGCTATTTGTGAATCTGAGAATCTTTTTTTGTTATCATCCTCCACAGGACTAAGAGTGCTTATCTCTCCCCACCTTTTTCCTGTTCTGTCTCTTACTCTTCCTGTCACATTCCTCGGGCATACATGTATCAAGTTCTTACTGAGTACGGGATAGGGGTCTGGCCTATACTAAGCTAGGCAGGCAGAAGAGGAATAGTCCATCTTGGGGAACTTGCACTCAGGGGGGGAATGAAGCACACTCAGAGAATAAAGTAAGACATTAAGACTTCCTTGGAGGGCAGTGGCAGCATGAGGGTAAAGAGAGTGGTAAGAACAACTAGAATTCCAAGACGGGACAATCAACAAACATCCAGTGCTTCTGCCCTAATCTCAGGTGGAAAATGAACTAGTCTGGTCATATCCCTCTCCACCTCCCCTCAGGCCTCATGTAATACCAAGTCCTTCATATCACCATGTTCCAATTATCCTGTACCCTGCATTGGTGCCCCCAACCATGCTTTCTCAACCTCTCCAGACTTTGACCTTCCTTCTACTCCTTGTTCTGACTAGTAGTCTTGCCTTTGAAGACCCAGTGCCAATTTCACCTCCTCTATCAAGCTGTCCAACCCCCGGTCAAGCTACTGTTAGTCCCTCCCAACAGTGGGCCTTGTAGGAATATTGAGCAATACCTCTTAGCTCTTGTCACTCACTTTGGCACACCGTCTCTACCACAAAACAGGGAGTTCCTTGGGCACGGGAGCCATGTTCTTTGCCACTGATGAATTACCTATCGGGGGGAATCTCTGAATTACTGTTGTTGAACAATAAGATAATCTATGCTCCCTTTCCTTGACCCCTATCCCTGTTTCCCAGTTAAAAGAAGTGTGCATTTCAGGCTGGGGACGGTGGCTCACACCTATAATTCCAGCACTATAGAGGCTGAGACAGGAAAATCACTTGAGGCCAGGAGTTTGAGACCAGCCTGAGCAATACAGGAGGACCCGTCTCTACAAAAAATTCAAAAAGTAGCCAGGTGTGGTGGTGAACACCTGTAGTCCCAGCTACTCAGGAGGCTGAGGTGGGAGGATTGCTTGACCCCAGTAATTGGAGGCTGCAGTGGCCCATGATTGTGCCACTGCATTCAAGCCTGTGCAACAGAGCAAGACCTTGTCTCCAAAAATAAAAACAAAAATGAAAATTGTGTGCAGTTCAGACTTTCTAATCAGTCTCTTATCTCTAATCAGAAAGAAAAGGTCCATGGGCACTAGGCTAAGTAAGGTTGCTTCCTGACAGCTCCACTCCCCACCCACCAATCCTTGCCATCTGAAGCCCTTCAACCTGGCCTCAGAACTCCCAGGTTCCAGGATACCAGCCAACAATGACCCTTGGCTCTTACTCTCTGGACCTGGACTAGAAATGAGCTCATGTAGTCTGCTCCTCATCTTTAGATCAGTCTTTGAGGGCCAGGGGAAAGCATGACAATGGGTCATTTATATAGAGACCGGAGTCCCAATTTCAAGGCTTACCAACCCTCACATGAACCTACACCACTCACACATACAAAGCATGATATGCTTTAGACAACACTTTCCCATCTATTGTCTGTTTCAATCCTTACAAGCATGTGAGGCAAATATTATCTCCCTGCAAGTGAAAAAAACTGTGGCATGATTTGCCCAAGGTTGCTCCTCTTAAGCGGTGGAGCTTGCCTGGAACCCAGGTCTTTGGCAAGCTTTTTCCTGTATACCAGTGCATCTGAAACCTCAGTGTGCATCAGAATCATTTTAAGGGCTTGCTAAGCCAAAGATTGCTGTCCAATCTCACCCTTTCTGATTCAGGTCAGGAATAGGGTCCAATAATTTGCATTTCTAACAAGTGCCCAGGTGATATTGACAGTTGCTAGAAAACACTGATCTATACTGACCTATTAAGTTGCTCTGTGGCCTTAGGCAAATCCCTTCTTTTTTTTTCTGCCCCACTGTCTCAATGCATACAATCGGGGGTGGGGGGGTGTAGACTAGAACTGTGACTTCCAGACCTTATTTATTTGTTTTTTTTTTTTTTTAAGCAGCAAAACCCATCTTTCTGGCCAGGTGCGGTGGCTCATGCCTGTAATCCCAACACTTTGGGAGGCCAAGGCGGGTGGATCACCTGAGGTCAGGGGTTTGAGACCAGCCTGGCCAACATGGCAAAACCCCGTCTCTACTAAAAATACAAAAAAATTCGCCGGCCTTGGTGGCGGGCACCTGTAATCCCAGCTACTTGGGAGGCTGAGGCAGGAGAATCACTTGAACCCAGGAGGCGGAGGTTGCAGTGAGCCGAGATCGTGCCATTGCACTCCAGCCTGGGCGACAGAGGCTGTCTCAAAAAAAAAAAAAAAACAAAAACAAAACAAAACCAAAACATCTTTCCAAAGAAATCTCATATATGATTCCAATACATAAGAATCTGGTGAAGTGCTGGATGGGAACCCAGAGCTTATGGCACCTATCTCCCCACAGAGCAGGCACTGGAGTACCTCCCGGAGTACACATCTGCAAATCCCTTCACTAGATGTGGCCTATATGTTCTTTGAGGACTCTTCCAGCTCTGCCATTCCAAGATGCCAACAGACTTCTAGCATTTTGCCATTGTGAGGGGACAGGGAAGAGCTGGAAGGAAACTGATGTTGCACAAGACTGCTTTGCCCATGCCTAATGCTTGGATCATACACAGGAAAGATCTTAACACTGCTGGGCTGTTGGACTAATGGATCCCTTTGACAACTTGATAAAAGCTAGAAAAATGATTATACGTATACCCACAATGATACTTAGTATATCCTTTCAAGTGTTGTAGACACTCTAGGGGTCCTAATCCAAGTTAAAACTCTTGACTGGGCTCTAGCACGGCACTTTTACCAAATTCCTCTTTGGCATTTTCTTAGCATAAGCTCTCTCCGTCATTTCTTGGTGCGGCCGTTTACAGAAATCCCTTAAGGCACCTAGCAGAGGCATCAGGTTATCATTTGGTCCTTCCTCACCAGGCTGAAGGCTCTAAGGAATGAAAACATGGTTTATTCATCCCTATCTCTTGGTAGCTCAGGGCTGACATGGGGTAGGCACTCTAAGGTGAGGTGAGTTTCTGAGGGGATTTGGTGAGCACAGAGAAGGGGCTCTGGATCAGTCCCTAAGATGTTTCTCTGGCTCTAATGCACACCACAGGGAAGCCCACTCTCATCTTTTCTAGGCCAAAAGAGTGCAGAAGTGACAAAGAAAATATTCTCTCTGGCTTTCAACTGCTGTTTGGTGCATAGTGAGGGCAGGTGTGGAGAACAGCAGGAAGCCTGCTGGGTAGCAGCAAGGTGGCCTGGCTCTTCCCGCTGTCAGGGAGGCTCTAAGCAAACCACCTGGCCACTCGCTAGGCTCTGTAGCCAGCAATGCCTCTGGAGCCTGATGCTTCCAAGTGAGCTGGCCTCATACTACAGCTGAGAACAGAAATGGTTTGAGGAGTCCGGAATAAGATATGGGTGGAGCCTGGTTATAGGAGCAATCAAAGCCAGAGGCCCAAAGGACCTCAGGACCTAGCTCCTGGTCAAAGCCTTGTCTGGAGCCTCCACAGATAAGGGAAAACTATACTGGTCTGCCCCAGCACCCACCCTCTTCATCTCACAAACACCAAAACTACAGTTGCCTGTTTATTATTTTTCAAAACAAAACAAAAACAAAAGACATTCAAAATTCCCCTGTGGTGGACAACTGAGTTGATGTGGCTGATCCAGGCTGTCTCCCAGGTTGTCTCAGGGAGCATCAGTTGTACTAGGGGGTGGGCTGTTGCCCTGGCACGGCTGGATGAACACTTGCACCAGGGATGGCCATCAGAAGAGCTGCAGGCCAGTTTTGAGCCCATGCAGCTGCCCCTGGCTCCAGAGAAGGCCCTCGAAGTTGCTGCTGCTGCTGTTGCTGCAGTTGCCACTGCCGACACCACAGCTCAGGCCCAAGGTGCTGAGGAGAGAGTGGGAGGTCAGTCAGGGAAGGAGGCAGCTTTAGGCTCTGGAGGGGCCAAGAGTGCTTGACATGTGTGTATCTGTGGGATGGGCCCACTCTCCTGCCTGGCTTTACAAAGAGACTGGAGCAAATCCGAGAAACGACTTCGTGTGGGCCCCAGGGTTGACTTGGCCCTCTCCTCAGTTGAGGAAGGGAGGGAAGGAGGCAAGAACTTTTCAAATGAAGTTTTATGCAGAGCCCTAGTAGATAAACCAGATTAAAGCAGAGCTGTTTGGGTTGAGGTAGGGGAGGGGGCCCCACATAACCTGACTCCCAAGACATTGAAAGTAGCTGCCTTAACAGGACATCCTTTCAAGGCCTTAGAGCTTGGGGGCCTGGATCCCTCCCACACCCAACACCTGGTTAAGGGGCCCAAGGCCAGGCTTGGGCTATAAGACTAGGCCCACGATTGCAAGATTGCTTTAGGGAGGGTGGCTCTGCCCTCCTTCTCCCTGGCCCTGCTCATAACACTCTTGCTTCCCCTGCTTCCCGCAAGTCAAGGTCCTTCCAGCTGGGTGAGGGTGACAGCTGAGAGCAAAGCCATCACCCTACCCTCAGGCAGATCCATGGTTACACTACTGCAGCTGAAAGAACCCTTACGGATAATCTAGTTCCACCACCTCCCATCACCCACAATCTTACAGACAAGTTAACTGAGGCCCAGAGATGGGAATGGACTTTCCCAAGGCCACATAGCCAAGTCAGGGGTGGAGCTGAGACAAGAAGCAGGGGTGGGCATGCCCCTCCACAGCAAAGGAAACGTCCCTACTACAGTGGGTGTGGGAGCTGGGCTGAATCAGCTTCCTTCTTGACTGAACAGCTCCAGCTGCCCACACTTCACCCTTGCTATCCATGGTACTCAATAAGCCATCCTTACCCAGGGCCAGGCTGGTTGGGAAGGAGGGGTAAGGGCACCTCTCTCAGACATGTGAATCCCACTCCCAACTACAGATCTCCTGGCTTCCCCAGCTGCCACCTCTCTTCTCCAAGAGGCCTGCTGGCCCATGGCCTTGGACAGAGTCCATGGCATTGCCTTGGGTCTGGCCTGCTTCTGGGGCCCCTGGATTCTATAGCCCTTTCCCAGAATGCCCAGATGAAGAGGGGTTCATCTCCCAGGGAGTGGGCAGGCAGCAAAGGGAAAGACTTAGTTTCAGGGGCCCGCAGGGGTTCCTCTCTAGTACTCACAGGATTATCTGGTCAGAATGGCCCAGCATTCTGGAATGTACAGGCCCTTTGGATGGGCTCCTTTGTGTTACTAGCATAGCCCCTCAGCAAGGGCTGCTTGGTTCCTGGCTCCCTGGTGACCCAAGGGCTCCCACGCCTGTGATCCAGAGGCGAGTTTTGAGGGAGAGCATGAAGCCCCGTGCAGGCCTTGCTACCAAGGTGCCTGGACAGTGTGGGGAGGCCTACTGATTACTCTATGCACCATTAGACAAATCCCTTCCCCTTTCTGGGCCTCAGTTTTCTCCTCAGTAACGTGAAAAAGCTGGATGAGAGCATCTATTTTTGACTTTTTAGGAGTGGTGGACCAGTTAGAGAATCTGCTGAAAGCTATGGACCCTTCTCCTCCCAAAATGTGTGTGTGTGCCTGCACACACACACACACACACACACACACACACACGTCCATCCATAAGCACAAACTGAATGCAATCTGAGAGGGATGCCAAGCCCAGCTGTGTGTGGCTACTTCACTGGCTCCCCACACTAGGGACAGGGAGAGCTGGCAAGGGCCCAGCCAGGGACTGGGGCTTACACTTCACTCATTTAGGCCCTGACTGGGGACAGCTACCTCCCCCACCCACCTCACCTTGTCTTCTCTCCCTCCCACAGGTGGCAGAGAAAGGGGGTGAGAAATCCTGTTGCCATGGGCACTCACTCAGTCTTGCATGTTGAGGGTTCCAGCCGCTGCTCTAGCACAGGCTGGTCCAAAAGATACATGGTGTCATAATTCTCCAGCATGAGCTCTGCTGGGTCCTCGGTCTGACCTGGCATTCGGCCTAGGGGAAATGTGTCCCATCGCACGTCTTCTGTGGAGCAAAGGGAAGTGGCAAGACTGGGCTGATGAGCTGGTTCTCCGACTGGTGCACAGGCCTGCTCACCCTGTCCATCCACCCACCCCACTTAGCACAGGTGGGCTCTCTCAGGATCTCCAGCTTCACTGCTCTCGGTATCACTTCTCATGAGCCCCTCTCCACCAGAGTGCTTCACCACACATTCTTTATGGTCCTTCTCCCCCTCTATGTGCTTACATATACAAGTATACAACTACAGACATTTTTGTCCCTCTTTGCTCTTTTCCTACTTCCCCAGGCATGTTCCACACGGACACAAACAACAACTTCTGACCAGGCTGTATCACTGCTTCAACTTTTCATCTTCACCCCTATTTCCCTGTCTGTAGACACACACACAGGGACACATCATGGAGGGTCTGGATGTCCCAGAATTCCCAAAGCACCTCCCCCTCAAACCCCAAACCCACCAGTACCTCAGAGTAGCTGAATGACCTAGATTTCCTACAAATCTACACACACACTCCCCTGCCTGTTTGAATACCACATATTTTCTTAATGCAGAGATACACACACACCCCCATGCCCAACTCAGGGTGGACTCCCTGAGATAGTATGTTCCCCTGCCCCCTGCAGTTCTTGCCCCAAGATGCACAAGGTACACCCCTTTTCTAGGGAACGGCTGTCTCACCACACATCCCACCCCTCACAGCCACCCAAATATGTATACAGAAGCACACATACACAAGTCCTTCACTCAGTGACTGTCCTGTTCACTCCCTGCCTCCCACACCCCTCATTCACTGGCATACAACCAGCAATCTTCCTGTCCCTACCTCCCCACACATGTGTACACACATAAGGAGCAATGGCAAAGGAGAAAGGGAAAGAGTTAATGTTCTAGACTTTCCACATTCACAACTCACATCCCCCCATATACAGATGCTCCACTTTAGAATGGGGATGCCGGACATCCCCCATCCCTCTCTGTCGTATCACTGAGACGCCTACCACACAGTATTATATTAAATGTCCCTCCCCATCCTTCCACAAGTGCATTCAGTGTTTTCAAATGAAGCCTTCACTGGTGCATTCCATGTAGATTCCATTTCTGGCCTTCTGCATCTCCCTGGTACTCAAAGAATTCTCCCTGTCATAATGCCCCTGGCATTCTATAATGTGTCAACCCTGGACCAGCTTTTTATGTAACCCAGAGCTCCTCAGGAAGGACTGTTCCTCTACTTGTCCATCCCCCTCCCCTGGCTCTCTTACTGGAAGTTGTGCCTGTCTTAATGTCCTGCATTACTCCATGATACAGAGACACCTTCGTGCACAGGGGCCACTACCTACATAGGCTCTGTCACTGACCCGATCATCTCTCTGTCATCACTAATATCGCCAATGCTGTCTACATCACTACCCCTGCCTCTTTAGCCTGATACCCTTGTACATGTCCCCAGTGACGGCGTGAACATACAGGCCATCTCTGGATGGCTATATCTCACTGCCTGTTCCCACTACCCCTCCATAGCCACCAACCTCAATGCTATCACTTCTCTCTCACACAGATTACCTATTAGCCCTCATGGATTTCAGCAACCCTGCCTCCTCTTCACAAAGCTGTACGACAGCCTGCTTGGCCATGACTTAACTGCCCCTACTTTTCCCTTTTTCCTATACACACACACACACACACACACACACACACACACACACACACAAATTCTGCTTATGTCAATGCCCCTCCCTTTCAATATTTACAAAGAACCCCCAACACAGCCCTCCTTGCCCTAAGTTATTTGTCACTGGGCTATGGTTTGACCAGCAGGTACAGGAACATGCCCATACACACACACACAGAGAGACAGACTTTATGTTTTATGTTCCAGCCCTTCCACCCTGTCCATACAAGGACAAACAAAGGCCATAGTATCTTTCTCTATAAACTCATTCACTGCCTCCCCTCTCACTCTCTGCCACTGCACACCCCACATCACGCAGGCCCAGCTGTTCTCCCTCCCTCCCCAGGCTTCAGCACACAGACACCACACTGTTCTGTCATCCCTTCTGTGTGTTCCGGCCTCCGAGGTTCCTGTTCATTAACCTAAGCAAGGGTACTCAAAAGGAAGAGCAGATCCCTATCACTAACCCTCCCTGCAGCCTCTTCCTAGCTTTGGCCTCACTAATTTGTGTGCTCACCTAAAAATCACAGCATTCCTTATTCTGTCTTGTGATCTCACTTCCTGTTTCTCTGACTTAATGCCCTAGGTTCCTTCTTTCTTTCTTTCTTTCTTTTTTTTTTTTTTTGAGACGGAGTCTCGCTCTGTCACCCAGGCTGAAGTGCAGTGGCGCGATCTCGGCTCACTGCAAGCTCCACCTCCCAGGTTCACGCCATTCTCCTGCCTCAGCCTCCCGAGTAGCTGGGACTACAGGCGCCCGCCACCACGCCCAGCTAATTTTTTTTTTGTATTTTTAGTAGAGACACGGTTTCACCATGTTAGCCAGGATGGTCTCGATCTCCTGACCTCGTGATCCGCCCGCCTCGGCCTCCCAAAGTGCTGGGATTACAGGCATGAGCCACCACGCCCGGTCTCCTAGGTTCCTTCTTTCTAATACACACATCAAAATCTTGTCTCACCACCAGCCAGCCTCAAGGCACACACACACATACACAGAAAGCACTGTCTCACTGCAAGTGAAAAACACGTGCAGAACCATATATGTACACACTCCCTACTTCTTGCTATCTTCTGCCTCTATGTTACTGCCCAGGGCTCACACCCATGTCATCCTCTCAGAATGTGCTCTTATGTGAGGTAGCCAGCAGCCTGACAGTGGTCCCTGGCACTCACAGGCTCCATCCTAAGAGGTGGGAGAAGCCAGCTGTCATCTATGCACCAGGCTGCCTTCCAGGCTTGCCTCACATTGGCTACCTCCTGCTACTTTCCATCTCTTCCTAGGGTAGAAGGAAGCCTCAAGAGCCAGCCAAAGAGAAAAGAAGTCCATGTGGGGACAAAGTAGTTCTTACCTGAGCTAACCTGCCATGCAGAGCCCTGCAAAGCTCCTCTTTTCTGGGCCAGAAGCCTAGCATTCTCGGCAGTGGGGGACTCTTGCCCTGTAGAGAAAGGCCCCACCTCCATTCTGTCTTCCTCTTCATCATCTTCATCATCTTCATCCTCCTCTTCCTCCTCTTGGTCATCATTTTCTTCCTCCTCCTCTACCTGGTCTGGCAAGACCTCTTTCTCCTCCTTCTCCTCTTCCTTGACATCATTAACACTGCCCTGCTCCTCCTGTTGCTGGGCCTTTGCTTCAGACCCGAAGCTGGAGCTGGCTGGCTTGACGCTCCAATACAGGCTGTCTAGTGTATATGGAGACTTCCCAATGGGGGAGGCCTCAGAGCCCTCCTGCACCAGGCTGTTTTCTCCACTCTGGGTATAAATGGAACAGATGCGCAGCAGCTTCTCCTGCTCCTCGTCTGGCAGGCCCTGCCCCATGGCTTTGAAGATGCTGAGCAAAGGGAGGGATGGGGTAGGAAAGATTCAAAATCTCAAGCCACTTCATACCCCAACACTCCAGGGTTTGAACTTGGTCTCTGAACTTCCAGACCTGCCTCTGAAAGGCAGTGTAGTAGAGCAGACAGAACATAGAAACAACAGGACCATGGACCCAGAACAAACTCTGTGGTTCATCTCTGTGCCTCACTTCCATTCTCAGGTAAAATGAGGACAATAATGATACCTAATGTATAGGATTGTTGGGAGGAGTAAATAAGAAAGCTCACATAGAATGCCTGGCACAGTGCCTGGCACATAGTGGGCATGCAATAAATGATAGCTATTAGTCTGCACTTAAAAGCTACATAAATGCACAAAACAGCCAACAGGCCTGCAGGGCTGGAAATGAACAGATCCCTCTCTTCTCTGGCCTAGCTGAGCAACCTGTCTTGAGCTCCAAGGATATGCCTGGAAGTGTTCTGTGCTCCTTCTGCGTGGAACACAAACTGTGATCCCTTTATGGGAGCAGCTACAGCCCAGCCTGGAATGGAGGAAAAGAAAAAAAAAGCAGCGGCTGACAAGACAAAGCAGGATGTGGGAGGGAGGCCAGATGAGCACTGCGAACCTACTGCAGGCACTGCGGGGCTGAGGGAGACAGAGAGCACGAGGAGGGCAGGAAAGACCAAGGGAGGGCTTTGTGCAGGAGGTAGGGCCCGGGAAGCCCAGAGACAAGAGCAAGCACACGGTGCTGCTGCGTGCAGTGAGTAGCCCAGCTAGAGGGCACGGCCTGTGCTGAGGAGCCGTGGGAGGAAGAGAGGGCTGGGAAGGTAAGTGTGTGCATTGGTGTGTGTGTGAGGGTTCACCTGCCAATTCTGAGTACACATGAAGGCTATGTTTCTGAAGATCACCAAGTGACCATGTGGAGGCTGGCCTGGACAGGCAGCCTGGAGGCAGGGAGACCAGGGAGGAGCCTGTTCCGACAGTTGAGGCCAGAGTCGGGGAGGGCTGACCTGGGGCACTGGCAGTGGAGATGGGAGGGAGTGAAGCTGTGAAGGACACACAGACAGACAGAGAGCAGGGCTTGGTGACTGATGGCAGGGGTCAGGCAGAGTTAAAGATGATGACACTGTGCACACAAAAGACGGCGCCAACAGCAAAACCACCAACAGATACAGAGCTGCTGGGAAGGGGAGCTCGAGGGGAGAGGAGGGTGAGCACCCCTCACAGAGCCTCTCATAGAGCCTGGCACCTAACAGGCACCCAGTCACAGATGGATGCGGATGGTTCACAGACGGGCCATGAGCTCAGCAGGCTGTTTTCTCTCTGGGCACATGCAGACTGGTCACATATGCAGGGTGACTGGTCAGTGGGGGCAGGGCTGGGGGGCTGATGACTTCACTGGAGATCCTGTCTATGGAGGCAATTTCATATTCCAAGACGATAGTGGCTCAAATTAAATTGATATTGGCTGGCTGGAGAAAGTGCTTGAAAAGCTTCCAGCTCTAATCAGATGAAAAGCCAGAGAGAAACTTTGTCCTCTCATGGTGGTCCATTAGTGTGATTAATAATAAATATTCCCAGACACTTGATACTGGCAAAATGCCTTATCAGCCCTGTTTATGATTACCCACCTGCTATCTCGAACCATTAGTCTGACCACTAAGGTGCGGGGGTGATGCGAATCTTAAAATACACCCCCTTCCTCGAGTATGTCTGGTCATAGCTCAGGACTGAGAAGGTCACAGATTCAGGCTGATGGGATGAAGGTAGACTTTGGGCTCACACCACCTGGGCCAAGATCCCTGTCCCACCATCAACAAATGTGTAGCTATTAGATAAGTCCCATCACTCCTTAGAGCCTCAATGTCTTATCTGTCAAATAGGGTATAATATATAATACTTCCACCTCCCAAGACTGCTGTGTCAAAGTAAATGAAGTTAACCTCTACAAAAAAACACAGCACCATGCCTGACACTTAATTTCCAATAGTATCTTTTATTTTTTCTCTGGGGAAAACAAAAGCCAAGTTCTGTGTTTAACAGATGCTTTCTGCAATAATACAATCTAGTGGAGTATTACAGAAGAGCATGGGACTAAGGACAGGCTATCTGGATTCTGGCCCCAGCTCTGACTTGCAGCATAATACCTGGGCAAACCCCCTCTGTTCTCCACTCTGTGTAACGGGGTGATTAGGACTAGATTCACTGCTTATCTGGGAAAGGCAGGATCTGTGCACAAGAAATCGTACCCAAGTGAGCCGCTGTTACTGCCGGCATGTGTCGCATCCCTCTGGTATGCTTGGGTTGGGAGAAGATCTCTGTGGTCCAGACTTCTCCGAGACCAGCAGCTTCCACTCTGCAGGCACTTAGGATTGGAAAGTACCTTGAAGGCCACCTATCCAAACCTCTCCATGCTGCTCTTGTCACTCCCTCCCTCCCATTATATACACATGCCATGTTCCTTCTGGACTTTGAAACTTGCTTTATTCTTTCTCCTGCTTGAATTGTTCAAATGCCTCCTCTTGAAACTCTGACTCATCCAGGCCCTTTTGGTTCTCCTCCCAATTGCCCACCCATCCACATCACTTCTAGTCTGGAGCACACATCTGGCAATGTGGCTGTTCAGTTCCAACTCCTGGAAGTCTTGCCTTGACTGACTTTGTCTACAAAGCCACTTTTAAAACCTTACAAATACCTCTGTGTCCCAAATGCCATCAGGGTTAAAGAAAGACTTTTGGACTCAATAGGGGGATCAGGGACTAAGAGGGTCTTGGCATCCAGACTCCCACTTCATTCATTCCCCAGGCACTGGGTCAGCTCCCACCAAGGACAGCACTGCTGGGAATGAGAGAGCAGAGCACGGTTCAATTCAACGACATTTACTGAGGCCTGTTTGGTGCCTAGACTTGTGTGGTGTGCTAGGGCACGGACAGCTGATGTAGAGTCCTTGCCCTTGAAAAGCTTAGTCTGATAGAGGGAAGGAGACACTAAGGGAAGTAGACACGGCAACACAAAACCTCAGATTTGGGAAGTATTCGAGAGTCAACAGGACAGGGTAGATGGTGCCGCCACCAAGTGAGATAGGGAACAGAGGAGGAAGATCACTTTAGAGTTGAGATGGGGACTGAGACGACCAATTCTCTTTTGGTCACAGTAAGGTGCCTGTGGGCCATCCAAGGGGAGATGTCTGACATGTAGTCGAGTACAGGAGGCTGAATCTTGGGGGAGGGGCCAGGGCTAGACAGATTTGGGTTTCAGCACTTTATAGGAACTAGTAATAAGCACAGGCATTTTTTGAGGAGGGGGTGGTAAACAGCATCAATGCAGCAGACACAGAGACTGACAAGGGCCCACTGATTTGGTAATTAGGAGGTCAAAGCAACTCTGGGGGTGAATGTCAAATTGCAGCAGGTTGAGGAGTAAGAGGGTAGTGAGGAAATGGAGAGTGTTGAGTGTAGACTACTCTTTTGAGATGTTTTGATGGGAAGGGTGGGAATGATAAGCTGATGATAACCCAACAGAGGGATGCAGGGTCAAAGGAGATTTTGCTTGTGTTGCTGTTATTGTTGTTTTGTTTAAGATGAGAAAAGCTCAGGCACGTTCCTAGGTTGAAGAGCAAGAGCCAGCAGAGCAAGGTAGAGGCTGGGGTGAGGCCCCAGCGATGCTGGCAGAGGTGGCTCCAGAGCACAGGTGGAGGAGCAGGCTTTGAGGTGGGGCAAGGCCACCTCATCCTGAGACTGGCGAGAAGGTTGAGTGCAGCCGCAGATCAGTTCACGAGGGCTGGACCTCAGGTCGAGGGGGCCCTGCCGGATGCCTCCATGTGCTCGAGGAAGCTAGGGTGAAATGGGAGAGGGGGAGGGGCTTGAGGTGAGCGGTAAGGGTTTAGAATAGTGAGGAAATGGGAGAGAAAGTGGTCAGAAAACAAGTAAAAGTTCAGACAAGCAGAACTGAGGCCTCGCCCGAGATTAAAAATCATACCTCTGCAGTGGCAGCAATCCGCAGGGCTATGTGGTTTTCTCCAGCAGAGCTCAGCTACCCGGGCTGAGGAGCAGGGGAAGCAGAATGGGGAGGATCAATTCCAGCTCAGGGGTTTGCAAGTCAGATATGGCCAAAGGATGGGCAAAGCTGAAGGTGCTGATGATGAGTGGCCGAACTGAGCAACCACAGACAGGATAGAGAGGAAGCAAGGTCAAGGGATGCAGGAAATGGAGGGATGGAGATCTGGATGCAGGCAAAGAGCAGATGTCATGGGATGCAAGGGTGAGAACTAGAAGGACGAGAAGTGGTGGTCACCGAGTGGGATGCTGGGATGTGAGCTTTCAGAGGTGGAATAGCTCCGAATGATGGAAATGGGTTGCTGAGTGTAGTGGAGAATGAAAGTCACTGGAGTTGAGGAGCTGTAGAGTGTCAGATGAGTCATCCAAATGAAACAGATATTGCTCAAGAAAGCAAGAAGGGAATCAGGCGCTAAAGGCTTCCATGATTATGAGGGAAGTGGCTCAGGGTCAGGAAATGACAGAGAAAAGGAAAGGGAGACAACCACAGGTATTTACCAGTGCAATATTCAGTTTGACCATAGAACCCAGGGTGGATAGGGTAAAGGAGACTCACAGGAGGTATGGCTACCATGGTAAGTTGGGCCAGAATCAGAAAGATCTTTGAATGTCAGGCTAAGAAGCCTAGACTTAACAGGAAGGCAATAGGGAGCAACTGAAGGTTGCTAAGCAACTATCAGAGGTATACTTTGGAAAGATAATAGAGGAAACAGCACTGGGCTTGGAGTCAGAAGACCTGGGTTCAATAATAAACAGCAGCTACCATTTATTGTGCACTTACTCTGTGCAGGCCACTGTGCTAAGCACTCTAGGGGGATTGTCTTATCCATTCCCACACTGGACTCAGTTCAGTCAGGTCTTAAGCTGTATGATCTTAGGTAAGAAAACCCTACCCCTCCCCTCTCTGGACTCAGTTGTCCCATCTGTCAGTGGGAGTGAGACTGGGCTAGACTGTCCCCAAAGGGCCCTTCTAACTCAGTCATTCTAGGGCAGTGTGGCCCTGAGGCTTGAAGGGCCTCACCCTCTTACCGGATGGAATTCAAGAGACTTACATCCGAAGGAGTTGGGGGCTGGCCCAGCAAGGTGAGCCCAAGCAGGACTCAACCATCCGGGGCCAGTCAAGGGAGGCGGAGCAGTTGAACAGCCTCCAGCCCCTTCTTGCTTCCCACTGGCCTGCAGAAAATCGGCGAGCATTCCGTCCTGAGAGAGAAGAGAGGATCTAAGGAGAAGGAAGCAGTGAGCCCCCCACCCAACATTTCACCTCAGAAAGTTTGGCTCTGTCCCTCCCCATCCCCCCAGACTCCCCACCTATACCTCCCAACTGCTCAAAGAATTCAGGGCACTTTGCCCCAGCCCAGTTTAGTTGGCTCTGAGAAGAAAAGGAAAAGGGAGATTTGTCCACTGCTGCCGTGGGGCCCTCTTGGGCAAACCTAAACCTTTAACACGGGAGGTGTTTGCCTGGTGCTTCTTAGCAGAGAGCTGAGGACAGTGGCAGAGGCTCCTGCCTGGGCTGCCTTAGGCCCTAGGGCTAGGGCTAGTCTCCCTCACCAGTCTTGGTGTTGGCCACGATCAGTTCAACGGTCCATCTGAGGATGTAGGTAGGCCGGATCCCGCTGATCCCCAAGGCTGGCAGTTCAGAGAGCATCCTCTCCAATAGGGCCTGCGTGAAGTTCTGGGAGTGCAGGCCCCTGAGCAGGGGCTGCCAGAACTGAGAGAACGGCTTTGGCACCAGGACGTCATTCAAGTCCACGTTTTCTGGTTTGTAAGGGACACCCATTTGGGGGGGCAATAGGAGAGAGAGAGCAGGAGAGCACGAAAGAGAGAGCAAGAGACAGCAAGAGAAAGGAAGTGAGAGTGAGAGCAAGAGAATGTGTGCGCGCGCATGAGCCAAGCCCCCCACCAACAACAGAGTTGCCACCGCAGAACAAAGGAAAGAGGAGAGCAGAACAGTGGGGAGAGAGAAACCAGTTAGTATCTGGCAACCAACAACTGACTCAAAATAAAGTATAAACAAAACAGAGATCTGGTTCTAGCTTCAGCTTTGTCAATAACTCACTGTGTGACTTTGGGTCAGTACCTTCCCCTCTCTGGACCTCAGTCTGACCATCTGTAACATGAGGATGTTGGACTAGATGACCTCACAAGGCCCCTCCAATTCTGCTGTTCTAGCTCTCTAGCTAGCAGCTAAATCACAACGAACATGGCACAATAATGTCATTAAGACTCCCCGACCCCACCCCATCCCACCCCACCCCATTCCAGAGCACTTAAGGGCAGCCCCACAACTGTCAGTGGGGCTACCTGTTCTGCTCAGCCAGGAAGGCTGAGGGACTTTCAGAGGCCATGGAATGGCAGGAAACAGCCTTCACACCCCAACCCAGGGCCCCCCAGCCCACCCCAGCTGTTTCCACCCAGGAATCAGAACCCTAAGGGTGCAGTGAGCCCCCAGAACCCTACCTTCATATTCTATCTGCAAAGCTGCCAACTGTTCAAATGTGGGGACAAGGAAGCCATCATCCAGAAAAGCATCCAGCACAGCCTCCCTGGAACAAGAGGACACTAGTTTAGCAAAGTGATGCTGGCAGAAGACCCTCTCCTACTCCTCCACCCACCTCCAAAGCAGCTAATGCCTCTGGCTCAAGTGGCTGAAGCAGCATAGGGAGGAGGGGTGGTGGGTGGGTAGGAGTGGGGAGGAAGGGAGTTGACAATTGGATCTTAGGCTTCAGCCTCCTCAGGCAGGGGCTGGTTAGAGGCTGGGATCAGTGGGTTTTGAACAAGTGCTTACCAAGCACTAATGCTGATCTATGGCCCATAACGAGAGCAGTAGTGTCTGAATACACTTCAACACACAGACAGGAAAAAGTTCCACATCCACAGAAGGAAATAAATGCCTGGGATCATGGGGTCAAGGGCTTTTAGACTCAGTTCTTGCAGTCTGTTTATCTTGACCATTCTTCAGTACCCTACCCCTTCTCTTCTCCCTGGCTACCTTCTTTTAGATCCTAGAAGTAGAAACCTTGGGGACCCAACTGCTAGACCAAATATGGTCCATAGGCCTTATTACTAGGGGTTCTAAAAACCCAGAACAAAGTTAGAGGGGTTGCAGGAGTAGGCTATAGGGGTAATCTCTCATCCCTATCTATTAACCCATTTATGCCGAGTGTTCCATTATTGGAACGCTAAGCTTGTGGGAGTTATTTATATCCTACTGCTCAAGGTCTTCACCAAGGTCTGATTTTTCAAAAAAAAAAAAAAAAAAAAGAAAGAAATTGCAACCTCCGGCATAAATGGGTTAATAGCTCAAACCTACACCAGCAACAGCAAGCTGATTCCTCCAGAGTTAGTGGCTTCCCAAGAGGCTTTCTGCTACAGTTTGGATGTTTGTCCCCTCCAAATCTTATGTTGAAATTTGATCCCCAATGTTGACCTTGGTGCCTGTAGAAGGGGTTTGGGTCATTGGGTCGGATCCCTCATGAATGACTTGGTGCTGTTCCCACAGTATTAAGTTCTTGTTCTATTAGTTTCCGCAAGAGCTGGTTGTTAAAAAAGAGCCTGACATCTCCCCCTCCACCTTGCCATTTGATATCTGTACATGTGGACTCCCCTTTGCCTTCTGCCATGAGGGGAAGAAGCAGCCTGAAGCTCTAACCAGAAGCAGATGCTGGCACCATGCTTCTCATACAGGATACAGAAGCATGAGACAAACAAACCTCTTTTCTTCAAAATTACCCAGCCTCAGGTATTCCTTTATAGCAACACTAAACAGATATAGACATTCTCCTAACTGACCAAGCCTAGACGTGGAAAAAAGAGCTCCCAAGTTGTCCTAATGCCTGGAAAATTGACATACTTAGATCCCTCTCTCCAGCATTACCAGGCAGACACTACTGTGTTAGGGGCATAGTTTTCCCAGCTGCTAATGAAGCCACCACCAACCCTTTTGCTGAAGGGTAGAGCCAAGAAACCTAGGCTGGGCAAACACTGATAAAATACTTTTGGAACGAGTATCCTGGACATGAAGAGAAGACTCCAGGGGCAATCCCAGCCTACACTGCAGTTCTCACCCAGGGTTACTCTGCTACCTACACCACCTACCTAAACTCTCCAACTTCTCTCTAGCTGAGGTTTAGCATTGCCTCCACACGTTCTTAGCGGAAAGTCCCCCAAAGCCCTTCCAGCTGAATTTAGGTAGAAAGCCCCCAAGAGCTAGGGAGGAAAGAAGAATGGGTAGACATACTATGCGCCTGCTCTGGACTGAGCTGAGCACTTTGTTTTGGAAACAAAGGCTCACAGCCATACTTGAGAGACAAGGAACTTAGTCTCTAGGAGCCAGACCCTGAGAAGGTCCCGCCTCTATTCCCCTAACCATGACTATCCAAGGGATGCTAATACTCTCCAATGGCAGTTCAAAAGAAAACACCAGGACGGGCGTGGTGGCTCACATCTGTAATCCCAGCACTTTGGGAGGCCAAGGCAGGTGGATCACCTGAGGTCAAGAGTTCCAGACCAGCCTGGCCAACATGGCAAAACCCCGTCTCTACTAAAAATACAAAAATTAGCCAGGTGTGGTGGTACGTGCCTGTAGTCCCAGCTTCTCGGGGAGGCTGAGGCAGGAGAATCCCTTGAACTCGGGAGGCAGAGGTTGCAGTGAGCCAAGATCGTGCCACTGCACTGCAGCGTGGGCAATAGCGAAACTCTGTCTCAAAAAAAAAAAAAAAAAAAAAAAAAAAAAAAAAAAAAAGACCAGGCCGGCTGCAGTGGCTTATACCTGTGATCCCAGCACTTTGGGAGGCCAAGGCAGGACAATCTCTTGAATCCCAAAACTTGAAACCAGCCTGGGCAACATGGTGAGACCCCATCTCTACAAAAAATTATAAAATTAGCCAGACATGGTAGTGCATGCCTGTTGGTCCTAGCTACTTAGGAGGCTGAGGTGGGAGGATTTCTTGAGTGTGCGAGGTTGAGGCTGTAGTTAACTATGTTCGCACCACTGCACTCCAGCCTGGGTGACAGAGCAAGACCCTATCGTAAAAAAAGAGAAAAGGCCAGGCACAGTGGCTCATGCCTATAATCCCAGCACTTTCGGAGGTCCAGAAGGGCAGGTCATTTGAGGCCAGGAGTTTGAGACCAGCCTCGCCAACATGGTGAAACTCTGTCTCCACTGAAAATACAAAAACTAGCCAGGTGTGGTGGCTCACGTCTGTAGTCCCAGCTACTCTGGTGGCTGAGGCATGAGAATCACTTGAACCCGGGAGGTGGAGGTTGCAGTGAGCCGAGACTGCGCCACTGCACTCCAGCCTGGGTAACAGAGCAAGACACTTTCTCAAAAAAAATAAATAAAAAATAAAAAAAAAACAAGACAAGACTAGCAGTGCCCACCATACATATATCTTTTACCTCAAACTTAGACAAGGGCTAGGCAGTGAGTGAGGTGGTAATTATCAAGGGATTTTCCTAGTTGTCAAGAGCTCCACATGCCACCCGACAGACAGGAAAGCAGCTGGCCAGCAGATGGATGATAGTGGGCATTCCTGCCTCTGGCCATTCTAGTATAGGCAACCCCCACCTGGAAGTTGGCAGGGTTGAGGGCAGACAGTTCTGCCAAATGTAGGGTCACTGTGGAGGGGATCAGGATTATCCCTGGGATTTTGTACAGCAGAGGTTGGCAAGCTAGGATAGGGAAACCGATTTCAATGAGGCTGCTACCCTCTATCCTAGAGAATACGCAGCTCCCGGTTACCTAGTTACACACCTGTTCTCGCATGTAACGCCCTTGAGCTCTGCCAGGACACATTCTACACGTGGGGACGGGTTATTCCACGCCTTAATGGCCTTAGGTAAATACCTAAATTTCTCCAGCACCTGCCAGCAAAGAGGGTCCCATCAGAAGGCTGGTTCAGCCAAGCAACCCACCTCCACCCCTCCAGGATCCCTTCCCATAGGACCTCTCAGCACTGCCCTGCAGGGGACAGGGCAGGGCATGCAGGGGGGGGCCCACAACTCCCCTACTGGCCTTGCAACTAAAAATAGCCTGACTCTCAAATGTGAGACTTCCTCCTCCTTCTCCCTCCCTTCCTCCTCCAACTGAATTTCCTGTGGGTAAATACTGAGATGTTCAATGGGGGAATTTGGCTGGAGATAGAGACTCTTAGGCCAAAGGGCCAGAGATGAGGAGAGGCAATGAGTTACAGAAGAAAGATAACTGGGAGATCCAGGTACTAATCCTGGTTCTATCATTAACTGTATATGTGACTTTGGGCCTGTCCCTTCACTCATCCATGGCTTCAATTTCTTAATCTGTGAAAAGGAAGGGCTGAGCTAAATGGTTTCTGAGTGACCTCCCTAAAAACAGCACCCCTCCAGCTCACCTGATTTAGGGAAGCTCTTGGGCCCCATCTACTGGTCAGCTGCGGAATTGCAGGGCTGCGCAACTACCCATTCCCAGTTGTTCCCTACCACCCAGTGGGGCAGATTATCCGCAAACTTCATCATCTGTTCCCTTCCATCGGTGTGGAGGATCAGCCAATTGGACTCTGCTCCTCTTGTCTCCTTCCTAGTTCCCCCCTCTCTCTTTCCGAGAAGTTCCCTCACGCTTTGTCACTTTTCTTTCAAATTCCTTCTCAAGACTTCTCTCAGGTAGCTGGCAAGAGGGAAGAAATGGCTGGGGCAGATGAGAGCACACCAAGTCCAGGGCACTTTCTTACCGTAAACTGCTCCTCTTCGTATGATACCAGCAGTTCTCGGGCTCTTTCTGAAAACAGAATGGGGAGACAGATAGGACTGCCAGCCCAGACCCCTTCTCCTGATGGGATTCTGAGCCTCTCTCACCTCATTTCTTGAGTTGTAATTGAGGAACTAGAATTCCTTCCCCAACTACTTCACAGGGCTCAAGATGGTTTGTGAGGCAAATGTGACAGCCATTATACTATGGAAACTAGCCAGGAGGATGGTTTGTGACAGTAATTTTTTAAGCTAAGATTCACCACAGCCCCAGAGGAAATGCTGAGCCAGGGAAATAAACAGCGTTAACCCTAAGCCTGAGCCTTCTGGGCTCATGGGCCGCTTTCTGCCCTCCAAAACACCTACCATATAGCTCTTTATGACTCAGGGCCTTTTTGCAATGAGAATCCACCTCTTCGCTGCCTTTGCTGTCTCCATCGGCCTTTACATCTGACTCCGTACTTTTCCCATCATCCTGAGGCTCTGGTTTCTGTTCTGTGATGTCATCAACAACAATGTTCTTATCTTCCTCTTGATCCTCTTCCTCTATCCCTTCCCTGAACTCCTCCAACTCCCAGGTCTCTCTCAGGCTGTTCTCCAGTTGGCGGCACCAATAGGTCTTCTGGAGCCAATCCAGGACAAAGTAGCAGCCTAGAGGGGGGAAGGCAGGCAGTGCCACAGGATCAGGCAGGCAGCTAGCAGGCCTCCAGCCTCATCTTGTGGGTATTATAGGAAGGCCCCAGGAAAAGGCTTGGCTCCAAGGTTCAAATCTCAAATATCCAGAAGCAGCCTCTTTCACTCTGGGTTATCCCCCTGTTCTTTGCTTTATCCTGCTTACCAGCACTTTTTCTAGAAAAAAAAACCTATTATTGGACTTAGAGACGAGATGCCAAAAACAGTTAAGGGGCTAGTAAGTGGCAGAAGTAGGAATCAGCCCCATTAGCTAGTTACATGGCCTTGGCCAAGTCTCCCCTTTTCTAGATCTGTTTTCCCATCACAAAGAGTGAGGCTAAATCCAGGATTCTTAATCGGGATGGGGTGGATGTCCAAGGAACCCTTGGGTTCATGACACTGCTGATGGCTCATGCCTGGCAACCTCCCCACCTCAACTATGGAGAGGTATGTGAGACTAATGAGGCACTACCTGAGAAACAACATTTAAGGGGAGTGGCCGGGCACTGTGGTTCACGCCTATAATCCCAGCACTTTGGGAGGCCAAGGTGAGCGGGTCACTTGAGGTCAGGAGTTTGAGACCAGCCTGTGCAACATGATGAAGCCCCAGCTCTACTAAAAAAATACAGCCAGGTGCAGTGGCTCATGCCTGTAATCCTAGCACTTTGGGAGGCTGAGGCGGGCAGATCATGAGGTCAGGAGTTCGAGACTAGCCTGACCAACATGATGAAACCCCATCGCTACTAAAAATACAAAAAAAAAAAATTAGCCAGGCATGGAGGCGCGTGCCTGTAATCCCAGCTACTCAGGAGGTGGAGACAGGAGAATCACTTGAACCCAGGAGGTGGAGGTTGCAGTGAACTGAGATTGCGCCACTGCACTCCAGCCTGGGTGACAGAGTGAGACTCTGTCTCAAAAAAAAAAAAAAAAAAAGTTAATCAGACATAGTAGCATGTGCCTATAGACCCAGCTACTCAAGAGGCTGAGGCAGGAAAATCACTTGAACTCGAGAGGTGGAGGTTGCAGTGAGCCAAGGTCGTGCCACTGCACTCCAGCCTGGGCAACAGGGTGAGACTCGTCTCAAAACAAACAAACAAACAAAAAACAACTTAAGGGCAGGCAAAAAAACCTCTGTAGTCAAGGTATCAAAATATGCCAAGCCATGTTGGAAGCTGAAACAAAAGGAGAAATCAGTAATACTAATCCCGTTTTACTTAAAGTTTTGATATTATGTTTATCATGAATTTTTCCACATTAATATGTTATTTATCTTGATTATGGAACTTTTGACTTCTCCCCACTTTAAATGTTGTGCCCAAGGCGAGGCCTCACTTCTTTCACCCTAGTCCCAGCCTTGACTCCAGGTGGAGACCCTCCTGCCTATCCCTCTACCCTCAGCGCCACCAAGCCCAGGCCCCTGGGCTTAACTGTGATAGGTATAACCTCTGAGGACTCACCTCTGCGGCAGTCATTTATATGGGGCATTTTCTTGTGGGTCAACTCATGGCGAAGGTCAACAATCCAATCCGGAATATTTACCTGATTACAGGGGAGGGTGTGAGTACAGAAATTGGAAAATAATTATTAAAGCTGGAAGGGAGCCAGAGATTAATTATCCTGACCACCTCCTGCCCCATTTTACAACTAGAGAAACTGAGGTCCTGAAAGAAGATTCCAATCACAGTGACAGAGCCAAGAAAAAAAAACAGCTCTTCTTATTCTTTTTTTACTGCTCTATGGAGGAGGTATTGAAAATCAGAAAAGTGGGTCAGGCACAGTGGCTCATGCCTGTAATCCCAGCACTTTGGGAGCCCAGGGCAGGTGGATCACTTGAGGCCAGGAGTTGGAGACCAGCCTGGCCAAGATGGTGAAACCCCATCTCTACCAAAAATACAAATGTAATCCCAGCTACTTGGGTGGCTGAGGCACGAGAATTGCTTGAACCTGGGAGGCGGAGATTGTGGTGAGCCAAGATCACGCCACTGCACTCCAGCTTGGGCAACAGAGCAAAACTCTGTCTCAAAAAAAGAAAAGAAAATCAGAAACATAAAAGGCACACACCTCCCCTAACCACCAACCACCCTTCTACAACAAAGAAATACCTGTGAATGAGCATTAACAATCACGTTCTCCAGCCTCCCTCTAGCCTGTCCTTCTCCCTGAGTATCCTTTACCCCTGCTTCCCTCCTACACCTCCTCCGGGAAGCGCTAATGACTGAGAGCATGCCTGCCCTCTGGGCCTCTACACAGTTCACATACTCCTCAGGGTAGGAATGTCTGAGTTACAGAAGTAGAGACATGGGATGGGAATTCCTGATTTACAAAGTGACTCATAGTGGCTGAGCTGTCTCCTCTCTCAGACTGTCAGCTCCATGAGGGCAGGTGCTGTGACTGTCACCTCTTTCCTGTCCCCACCCAGTGCTACATTTGGGCTCCTCCCAGCAAGCTGGGCAGGCCAAGCCCTCTGAGATACCAGTCATATGAGAGCAAGGGAGCAACTGTGCCTCCTTCAGGCTGGAAGCTGAGGCTCTGGGATTCTTGCTGGGCTTGGCTGGTAGTGATGGGATGAGCTAGTCTGACTGTGTGCCCACAATACCCCATGCCCCATTTGGTGAGCCCTCTTGGAGACAGAATTGAGCAAGTTCACTGAATCATACGCACCTCTTGAGCCAGACACTTGAGGGGGACCTTGGCAAACTTTGTCTTCCTCTCTGAGATAAGATTCACAAACCTGGAGTTGAGGGAGAAATAAGTGGCACAGCCCAAGGAACCATTTTATTCCAAACACTTTGCTGAGTTACTGAAACCCTGCATTTCCACTTTTCCACCGACTGTCCTGTCCTATTCCTACAGCTGGTGTGTCAGCCAGAGCAGGGACAGTTCCATCCATTCCAACATTTAATGAGAGTCTGCCCTATAATGAAGCCATACAGATGAATAAGACACTGCTCTAGCCTTGAACAGTTCGGTCTAGGATAAATAATAATGATACAATGTAACATATTAGGCTAGAACATAATATGTTATAAATGCTGCAAAGGACTACATCAGATAATGGGGAGCACAGCTAACCAATGGAGAAAATAAGAAGAGAAAGGGAGGATCTCAAGGCAGACAAGGGGAAATAGATAAGCAAAGACTTTGACAGATATGAAAACTCAGTAGCAACCTTTTTTTCCGACGTGTATACAGCTAGAACCATTATGAGTCACTTTGTAAGTCAGGAATTCCCAGCCCATGTCTCCACTTCCATAACTCAGCAATCTTTCAGTGTTCATGAGGGAGAGAAGGGGAAAAGGGTAGTGCTAGGAATAGACAGGGACAGGGTTGGAAAGTCCACATTAAATCACAGGCGAGGACCCTGAGCCATTCAGACAAGTTCCTCTGGGTGAGGAATTCAAAGGTAAGAAAAAATATCAGACCACCAAGAGACCCACAGAGATCACCTGGTCTGAATCCCTTCCTCCACATTCCAAGATAGAAAGAAAAATGGAAGAGAAGGCTTTCAGGAAAAAGGAAGAAAAAGAGGAATGCGTTGACGAGGGTACCAAAAGCTGATAAGTCAAGCAATAATCACAGGCTGATCCACAGTGAGGTACACGCAGGGTTTTGCTTCAGGTAACACCTGAAGCCAAGTTTTGCTTATCACATGCCTCCCCTGCCTCCAGTCCCCAAAGCCAACCTCCACCCCTACCCCATGCAGGTCTTACCTGACCAATGCCATGCCATAGAGCAGTCTAAGTTCATCAGTGCCCAAGCCACCAGTTACATCCAAGAGCTTACAGCGTATCAGGTCAGCAGTAGAAGCCACTGCCAGAGGGAGTTCGTTGCCTGACCTAAAGGGTCACAGTCCAGCACCATCATAAAGAGCCCTTACACTGGTCCACCCTCCACCTCAGAACCTAGGTTGTTGCAGGCTACACCCATCATATTCTGGTTCAAGAGAGCATGAACAGACACAAAACAAGAAGGTGGGAGGAGACACGGTAATGTCTGTGGGATCCAACAGTATACAGGGCATGAGGAGCTGACTAGGCCGTATACAGGACACCTAACTGGTAGACTGTCCATCAACAGTTGTGTGGACACACCCCTTTCTTTCACCCCCAAATCAACTCATTGAGCTAGAGGAGCCCCTTATCCCTTGTAAGTCGGCTCCCAACTCAATCTTACCAACTGGACTGAGGCGCCCCACTCAAACACTGTCTTGCAGGCAAGACTTCCTCCCCATTGGAATCGGAAATCTACCCTAGGGTACTAATCTACTCCTTAAGCCCTGGCTCAGGCCTCACTAGTCCCTCCGGCATCCTCTCCAAGTTGGGAGAAAGTCACTTTTTGGAGGTAATGGGTAAACCTCACAGATATAACAAGAGAATTGTTGAGGCACAACCCCTTACTTTCCATTCCGCTAACGGGATTAGCGCAAGAGATGGCTGCCGCGTTCCCCCAGGCATTTGGGAGAGGGACAACTTTAGGCGACTTAGGGGAAGACTGGAGAACAGGGCCTTATAGAAACTCGACAAAGGAAGAGGTGCAGCGCCACCAGCACGCAGGCAAAAGGGCCGAACCCGCCACCTTACCTGCTCCTCCACACCGTGATGCGGTTAAGCGCGTACCGCTGCAACTTATGGTCGTCACAGAACAGATAAACCGTCACCTGGTCCCACTCGGCCCTGCTGAGCCAGGCGACCACGATGCCGTGGGCCGAGAGTGGCAACGACCCTTTCCCTTTAACGCACTTTCCGTACCACGCACTCCACACGAGATCCATCCCCTGGGAACCTAGACCTGGCCCGGCCCCGGATTCCCACGACATACTGAGCTCAACAACAGGCTCTGTGCCGCGCCGCTCCGCACAGCCTTCAGCTCAGCGTGCTACCCTCACTCCGAACCGCCACCGCACCAGCAGCCAATAGGAGAGCGTGACCCCATACGCAAGCCCGCCTTCCAGCGTCAGCATGGCCAATCGGAACGTCAGAATTGGGCGCCGACCTAATGACATGCGGGGTTAAAAACTCACCGGCCGGAAGTGTTCTTTTCACAAAGCAAACCCTCCAGGGGCAAGAGTTCAGCCTCTAGGTTCCGCCAATTTCCTGGTTGCTAACCGGCTTCTGTACCAGACCGGAAGCGGTATGTCTTCACTGCAAGAGGAATTTTATTTTGCTCCCCTCGGCGGGTGGCAGCTTGATTGTAGTCATCCAGTGAACTGAAAATGCGATTTTAAGTATATTTTTATTGCCGTGAATCAGGACCTAACCTAGTAAAACACTGGACACTGAAGCAGGGCTACAGAGGAAATATCTCATATCGAAACAGTTACAGTTGGGTTGAAAAAATCTGCTTTTGTGGCAGGTAACCAGGGGCCCTGCCTTTTAAATTAGTACCAGCCTGGCCAGGCGTGGTGGCTCACGCCTGTAATCCCAGCACATTGGGAGGCCCAGGCGGGCGGATCACTTGAGGTCAGGAGTTCCAGACCAGCCTGGCCAAAATGGTGAAACCCGGTCTCTAGTAAAAATACAAAAATTAGCTAAGCATGGTTGCACATGCCTGTAATCCCAGTTACTCAGGAGGCTGAGGCACAAGAATCGCTTGAATCCGGGAGGCGGAGGCTGCAACAAGCCAAGATCGCACCAGTGCACTCCACCCTGGGTGACAGATCGAGACTCTGTCTCAAAAGTAAATTAAATAAATACATACATAAATAAATAAATAAATACCAGCCTAGAGACCTGAGTTTTACTCTAAATTTTGCCACTAACTATGTGGACTTAGACTAGTCTCAGTTTTCCCATCTGTACAGTGAGAGTTGTAGACTGGTCTCTAGGTTCTCTGTCATAGCAGAAAATTGTAGAATTTTACTCTGCCAACATTCCACTGCTATGTTGGTTTCAACATCCACCAAGGTATACTTAGTTTTTCTGCAAAATTCCTTGGTATTTTGGAGTTCTGGGAGAAAAGCGGTATTATGAAGTTCCTCCGATTTTACGAGTTGACTGAAATATGTTTAGGACTATGTCCCAATCCTTCTTGCAGAAGTTATTTTCCAATGTAACACTTGAGAGAGAGAGAGAGAGAACTGTTGCTAACGATCTTAACAGCATTGCTGTGAGTGGCACTTTTACGCTTCACAGCAACAAATCCCAATTCATCCTCTATATGTGCTTCTTTCTCCAGCCAACTTTTCCTAAGATATAGTCTGCCTATAGTTATTTTATTTTTCTTTTTTTCTTTTTCTTTTTTTTTTTGACATGGCGTCTGGCCCAGTCGCCCAGGCTGGAGTGCAGTGGCACAATTCTCGGCTCACTGCAACCTCTACCTCCAGGGTTCAAGTGATTCTCTTGCCTCAGCCTTCCAAGTAGCTGGGATTACAGGCGCCTGCCACTATGCTTGGCTAATTTTTGTATTGTTAGTAGAGACAGGGTTTCACCATGTTGGCCAGGCTGGTCTGGAACTCCTGACCTCAAGTGATCCACCAGCCCAGGCCTCCCAAAGTGCTAGGATTACAGGCATGAGCCACCGTGCCCGGCCTGCCTATGGTTCTTGACTGACAGTTACTCTGTCCCAAGTAGCCATGCCAACCAGTTGGCCAGGTGTCTGCCTGAAACCAGATACCCTTTTTCCTTCAGGATCATGACAGTGTGCTGGCAAAGAAGTCTGGGGAGTGGTTTCTATGACTCCTCAAGATACAGGCCAGTCAGAGGAGCTGCCAGATCTGCGGCAATCATTCACACACATTTTGGGGTTTATAGGCTAAAAATTTTGCATAGTCCTTTTCAGGCAAAGACCCCTATTTATCCCCATTCCATCCACATAAAGCTGAAGTTCTCTCTATTCCGTGTGTTCTAAGAAAACATGACCAAAGCATGTAACAAGAGCATTATGTCTAATATGTGGCAAATGGGGCCTGAGACCTATTGAGAATTAGGAATTAGTGGACGAAGTGTGTCAAATAGTGGTAATTTTGAAGAAGCACTGCGTTAGTTTCCTGTTGTTGCTATAGCAAATTACCACAAACTTGGTGGTTTAAAACAACAGACATTTATTTTCTCGTAGTTCTGGAGGCCAAAAGTTTGATAACAGTATCACTGAGCTGAAATCAAGGTACTGGTAGGTTCATGATTCCTCCAGCTGCTCTAGGGAAGAATACACTCCTTGTCTTTTCTAGTGGCTGCTAGCATTCCTTGGCTTGGAGCACATTATTCCAAACTTCAAGACCAGCATCTTCAAATCTCTCTCTGCTCCATCTTCCCCTCTGTGTTTGTAAAGTCTCCCCCAGCCTCCATTTTAAAAGGATACATGTGGTGGCAGAGTCCACTCAGATAATGCAGGCTAATTTCCACATCTCAAGATCTTTAATTACAATGAAGTCCAATGTTTTTCTTTCTTTTTTCTTTTTCTTTTAACCACATAAAGTAACATTCATAGGTTGTAGGGATTAGGATGTGAGTATCTTTTGGGGGACAATTGTTTCAGCTTACCACAGGGAATATGGATCTGTCCTGGCACATGCTCAAGAATCCTAAGAATCCCTAGGCTTGTGGTGACGTAGGACACTCCTAGCAGTGCCAGTGGGCACGAATTAAATAAAATCTCCAAGTCCAAGGCATTGTCTGTGAAATCCTGAAGTTAATCAAATGTATCTTCAAGCTACTGCTTCCCCTTCATTATTTCACCATTTCCCTCCCCCTCACTTCACCCCAACGTCCACTTTTGTGTATCTAGTTCACCTAGAGCAGTCCTGTGGCCCCGGCTAAGCAAACACCTATATGTTGATGTTCTTCAAGTCTCTAGCTGAGTTTTCTGTGGGACTCCAGACACATTTAATCAACTGTCTGCTGCACTCATGTGATCCCGCAGGCAACCCAATATCAACCTGTCTAAATCTTAAATACTTTCCCCCAAAATCTGTCCCTCCTCCTATATCATTCAATACATGGCAACAGTATTCACAGAGTCATCTGAACCTCAGTACCTGCACTCAGGTAGCTTGGGCTTGAATTGTGTCTTCACCACTTACTATTTGAAACCTTGAGCAAGTTACTTAACTTTTCTATGCCTCGTTTACTTCATCTGTAAACGGAAATAATAAGAGCACTTATTAATAGTGCTCGCATAATAGTCTCAAAGGACTGGTATGTGGATTAAAAGAGGTGAGCATTGGCCAGGTGTGGTGGCTCTCACCTATAATCCCAGCACTTTGGGAGGCCGAGGAGGGTGGATCACTTGAGGCCAGGAGTTCAAGACCAGTCTGGCCAACATGGCGAAACCCTGTCTCTACTAAAAAAAATCACAAAAATTAGCCAGGTGTGGTGATGCGCCTGTAATCCCAGCTATTCTGAGGCATGAAAATGGCTTGAACCCTGGAGGCAGAGGTTGCAGTGAAGTCCTTCTGATTTTACAGGTTGGCTAAAATGTGTTTAGGACTATGTAGCCAAGATCGTGCCACTGTACTCCAGCTTGGGCGAAAGAGGGATACTCTGTCTCAGAAAGGAAAGAAGAGGGGGTGGGGGAGGGAGGAGGGACTTCTTAGAAGAGTGCATGACACACTGTAAGCACTTACAGCTGTTAAGCTATATATATACATATATATATATATATATATATATATATATATATATATATATATATTTTTTTTTTTTTTTTTCGTTTGGCAGAGTCTCGCTCTGTCGCCCAGGCTGGAGTGCAGTGGCATGATCTCAGCTCACCACAACCTCCACCTCCCAGGTTCAAGCGATTCTCCTGCCTCAGCCTCTCAAGTAGCTGGGACTATAGACATGCCACCACGCCTGGCTAATTTTTGTATTTTTAGTAGAGACAGTGTTTCACCATGTTGGCCAGGCTGGTCTCGAACTCCTGACTCAGGTGATCCAACCACCTCAGCCTCCCAAAGTGTTGGGATTACAGGTGTGAGCCACATGCCCAGCCTAGCCTATATTGTTAATCGTATTGTCAAAGGCATGTGAACCAGAGCAACTCCATCCTGAATAGGGGCTGGGTAAAATAAGGCTGAGACTTACTGGGCCACATTCCCAGATGGTTAAGGCATTCTAAGTCACAGGATGAGATTAGGAGGTCAGCACAGAAGACAGGTCATAAAGAACTTGCTGATAAAACAGGTTGCAGTAAAGAAGCCGGGCTAAAACCCACCAAAACCAAGACGGCCACAAGAGTGACTTCTGGTCTTCCTCACTGCTGCACTCCCACCAGCGCCATGACAGTTTACAAATGCCATGGCAAAGTCAGGAAGTTACCCTATATGGTCTAGAAAGGGGAAGCATGAATAATCCACCCCTTGTTTAGCATATCATCAAGAAATAATCAGGCTGGGTGCAGTGGCTCACACCTGTAATCCTAGCACTTTGGGAGGCCAAGGCGGGTGGATTGCCTGAGCTTAGGAATTCGAGACCAGCCTGTGAAACATGGTGAAACACTGTCTCTACTAAAATACAAAAACAAACAAACAAACAAACAAACAAGAAAAAAACAATTAGCCAGGCGTGGCAGCATGCGCCTGTGGTCCCAGCTACTTGGTAGGCTGAGGCAGCAGAATTACTTGAACCCAGGAGGTGGGGGTTGCAGTGAGCCGAGATCAAGCCACTGCACTCCAGCCTGGGTGACAGAGTGAGACACCGTCTCTAAAAAAAAAAAAAAAAAAGAAAAGAAATACCCATAAAAAAATGGGCAACCAGCAGCCCTCAGGGCTGCTCTGTCTCTGGAGTAGCCATTGTCTTATTCTTTTACTTTCTTCTTTTTTTTCTGTTTCTTTCTTTTTTTTTTTTTTTTTTTTTTTGAAACAGAGTCTCCTGTGTCACCCAGGCTGGAGTGCAGTGGTGTGATCTCTGCTTACTGCAAGCTCCACCTCCTGGATTCCAGCGATTCTCCTGCATCAGCCTCCCGAGTAGCTGGGACTACAGGCGCCCGCCACCATGCCTGGCTAATTCTTGTATTTTTAGTAGAGACAGGGTTTCACCATATTGGCCAGGATGGTCTCGATCTCCTGACCTCATGATCCACCCACCTTGGCCTCCTAAAGTGCTGGGATTACAGGCGTGAGCCACCGCGCCCGGCCTTCCTTTACTTTCTTAATAAACTTGCTTTCACTTTACTCTATGGACTCGCCCTGAATTCTTTCTTGCACGAGATCCAGAAACCCTCCCTTGGGGTCTGGATCTGGACCCCTTTCCTGTAACATCTTTCTGGCAAACCCCAAAGGGACTATGGTGAGGAAACCCCCTACCCAAAAGCTAACTTTGGGTAAGTGGTGGGGTCCTGTAACAGTATTATCATTCTCCACTACTTCACCTCCTCACTCACTTCCACTGTTCCATCTTCTCCCGCACCCTTGGTGCCACCCTCCCCCAAAACTACATAATCTACCCACTATCTTTTTAATCAGTCCTCTTCTTTACATTCTCATGGCCACTGTTCTAATTCAGGCCTTGGTTTTCTCTGGATCACTGTACTGTCTTCCTAACTGGTCTCTCTGTTTCCATCCCTTACATAGAAGAGAAGGGGTCTTATAAACTGGAAACTTATCTTGTTGGAATAATAAATCCCTAGACTCTTTTCCTGAAATAGTAGGCTTTAAATAGCTTTTCAAAGTTTTGTTTTTTGGCCTGGCATGGTGGCTCACGCCTGTAATCCCAGCACTTTGAGTGGCCGAGGCGGGTGGATCACTTGAGGTCAGGAGTTCAAGACCAGCCTGGACAACATGGTGAAACCCTGTCTCTACTAAAAATACAAAAATTAGCCAAGCATGGTGGCGCGAGCCTGTAATCCCAGCTACTTGGGAGGCTGAGGCACAAGGATTGCTTGAACCTGGGAGGCGGAGGTTGCAGTGAACTGAGATCACACCACTGCACTCCACCACAGGCAGCAGAGCAAGACTCTGTCTTAAAAAAAAAAAAAAGTTTTTTTTTTTGTTGTTGTTTTGTATTCTTTTGTTTTTTGAGACAGGATCTCGCTCTGTGACCCAGGCTGGTGTGCAGTAAGGCCACCATAGCTCACTACAACCTCAACTTCCTGGGCTTTAGAGATGTTTCCACTACAGCCTCCCAAACAGCTAGGACTGGACCCCCACCTACCAGCTGGGTATGCATGCCACCACACCCAGCTAATTTTTTATTTAGTTTTTTGTAGAGATAGGGTCTCACCCTGTTGCCCAGGCTGGTCTCAAATTCCTGGCCACAAACCTAGGCCTCCCAAATTACTGGAATTACAGGTGTAAGTTACTGAGCTCAGCCTTTGTTTTTTTGTTTGTTTTGAGACAGGGTCTTACTCTGTCACCCAGGCTACAGTATAGTGGTGCTAAAAGCGCCTTTGCAAAAAAATTATAGCAGTAACAAAATTATGACAGTGAAAGTAAAAGAGGTCTGAACTAACCCACTCCATCTTGCCTTTAACCTACAAACTGTCGGTGGTCATTCCTGGGTGTGGGCCAAGCTAACTATGGGAGAAATTTACTTTATGGTTTAAATTATAATAGCCCTTCTCAAAACTAAACTACCTTTGTAAAACTAATGAAAGACCTCCAAGTTAGGAGGATGAAAGGACCCTGAATTCCGCTAAGATGTAGGTATAATTAAATGATTACCAGCCATTATTCCGGAGGTCACAAGATTTGCAACTTCCCCAATTACTCCTGTAAATAACATCACTATTGTGGAACCTAAGATTGGCCTTTTGAGGTGTCTTTTCAGGCTTTTGCATTTATTTTATTTTATTTTATTTTATTTCATTTTATTTTATTTTATTTTATTTTATTGTTTTTGAGACAGGATCTCATTCTGTCACCCAGGCTGGAGTGCAGTGGTGCCATCTCAGCTCACTGCAACCTCTGCTTCCTGGGCTCAAGTGATCCTCCCCGCTCAGCCTCCAGAGTAGCTAGGACCACAGGCATGCAGCACCACACCAGACTACCTTTTTGTGTTTGGGTAGAGATGGGGTTTCACCATGTTGCCTAGGCTGGTCTCAAACTCCTGAGCTCAAACAATTTCCTGGCTTTGGCCTCACAAAGTGCTGGGATTACAGGCTTGAGCCACCGTGCCCAACTGGCTTTTGCATTTCTGACTGTTGCATGGCCCCAGTCAGACCAGCAATTCCCCTGTGATCCCCCAACCAGAAGTGGACTCCACATGCAAGGACCATTTTCCACACTCCTATGATTGCATCTCCAACCAATCAGCAGGATCCTTACCCTAGCCCTCTGCCTATCAAACTCTCCTTTTGAAAACCTTAGCCTTCTAATTTTGAGGGAGGCTGACTTGAGTGATAATAAAACTCAGGTCTTCCGTTTAGCTAGCTCTACGTGTATTGAATTCTTTCTCTGTTGCAATTCTCCTATCTTGATAAAATGGCTCTATCTGGGCAGCAGGCAAGTAGAACCCATTGGGCACTTACAGTGTGACCATAGCTTGCTGTAGCCTTGAACTCTTGGTCTCAAGTGATCCGCCAACTCGGCCTCCCAAAATGCTGGAATTATAGGCGTGAGCCACCTTGTCCGGCCAAGCCACCTCCCATTCTGTTCAAAGTCATCCCTCTGCTCACTGAGATAAATGCATATCTGATTGCCTCCTTTGGAAAGACTAATTAGAAACTCAAAAGAATGTAACCATTTGTCTCTTACCTACCTATTACCTGGAAGCCCCCTCCCTGCTTCGAGTTGTCCCACCTTTCTGGACCGAACCATTATTCATCTTACATGTATTGATTGATGTCTCATGTCTCCCTAAAATGTATAAAACCAACCTGTGTCCCAATCACCTTAGGCACATGTCGTCAGGACCTTCAGAGGCTGTTTCACTGGTGCACATGTCCTTAACCTTGGCAAAATAAACTTTCTAAATTGACTGGGACCTGTCTCAGCTATTCAGGGTTCACAGGTTTTACAATAGTGATGTTATTGCTTCCCAGGAGCAATTTGAGGAGGGTCAGAATCTTGTAGCCTCTAGCTCCATGACTCCTAAACCATAATTTCTTTTCTTTCTTTTCTTTCTTTCTTTCTTTCTTTCTTTCTTTCTTTCTTTCTTTCTTTCTTTCTTTCTTTCTTTTTTTAGACAGAGACTTGCTGTGTCGCCCAGGCTGGAGAGCAGTGGCAGGATCTCGGCTCTCTGCAACCTCTGCCTCCCGGATTCAAGCGATTCTCATGCCTCAGCCTCCTGAGTAGCTGGATTACAGGCACATGCCACCATGCCCAGCTAATTTTTTGTATTTTTAGTAGAGATGGGGCTTCACCATGTTGGTCAGGCTGTTCTCTAACTCCTGATTCAAGTCATCCACCTGCCTTGGCCTCCCAAAGTACTGGAATTACAGACATGAGCCACCGCACCCGGCCCTAAACCATAATTTCTAATCTTGTGGCTAATTTATTAGTCCTACGAAAACAGTCTAGTCCCCAGGCAGGAAGGGGATTTGTTTTGGGAAAGGGTAGTTATCATCTTTGTTCCAAAGTTAAACTGTAAACCAAGTTCCTCCCAAAGTTAGTTCGGCCTATGCCCAGGAATGAACAAGGACAGTTTGGAGGTTAGAAGCAAGATGGAGTTGGTTAGGTCAGATCTCTTTCACTGTAACAATTTTCTGTTATAATTTTGCAACAGTGGTTTCAATATGGGGTTCACTATGTTGCCCAGGCTAGCCATGAACTCCTGGACTCAAGCGATCCTCCTGCCTTGACCTCCCGAAGTGCTGGGTTTATAGGTATGAGCCAGCATGCCAGGCCAACTCCAGCTCAATTAATGATACAAGAAGCATCATGGTATTGGAAAAGGAGCTATCATTTATTACTTCTCTACTACAGACTGGATGCTTTACATAACACTTTCTTCCTTATTTATATCTTCTTATCTTTCTCGTGTGTGTATGGGTGTGTGTGTTTTGTCTGCTTGTTTGTTTTTTGAGACAGAGTCTCGCTCTGTTACCCAGGCTGGAGTGCAGTGGCACAATCTTGGCTCACTGCAACCTCTGCCTCCTGAGTTCAAGCAACTCTCCTGCCTCAGCCTCCCTAGTAGCTGGGATTACAAGCATGTGCCACCACACCCGGCTAATTTTTCTGTTTGTTTTTGACATGGAGTTTTGCTCTTGTTGCCTAGGGTGGAGTGCAATCGTGCAATCTCGACTCACTGCAACCTCTGCCTCCAAGGTTCAAGTGATGCTCCTGCCTCAGCCTCCTGAGTAGCTGGGATTACAGGCTCCTGCCACCTCACCCAGCTAATATTTTTTTTTTTTTGTATTTTTTAGTAGATACAGGGTTTCACCATGCTGGCCAGGCTGGTCTCGAACTCCCGACCTCAGGTGATCCGCCTGCCTTGGCCTCCCAAAGTGCTGGGATTATAGGGGTGAGCCACCACGCCCAGCCTTGAAGCTCCTTTGTGAAGCCTGTAGACCAAGTTTTATTGTTTCCATTTTCTAGATAAGAAAACAGAGGCTCAAGAAAGTAATGTGATTTTCCCAAGGTCATACTGTAAGTGACAAAGCAGAGACTGAGACCCAGATTTCCAACCCAAGTTCTCTTTTTATTATGCTGTACTAGAAGCAATGGGGTGAATTTATTTATATCCCGTGTGATCCTGTGGACATGTGAATTTGTATCTGTAGGTGCTTTACTGGGAACTCCTGGAAAACAGGGGTTATGAGCTGATTGATTTCCACAATTCTTACAGCAGGATCCTCCATATTAGGAAGCAAATGTACATAGAAAGTAAGGGAGGAAAGAAGACAGAGAAAATAATGGAAGGCTGGCAAGAAGAAAAATAAAGTAGAAGAACAAAATGAAAGGTAAGAAAAAAGAGAAAAAAGTAAAGGGACAGAAAGAAATAATATACATTGCTACATGTGTTGATTAAAGAAAAGAAATAATTCTCTGTGATTTGAAAGGTCTTTCAGAAGCAACAGATATATTGGCAAGAACATGAAGTTAGAACTCAGGGAACCGTGGGTGCAGAATCTACCTCCTACTTAAATGCTCTATTACTTTGGCTGAAATTACGTCCCCTTCTAAGTCTGTTTCCTCAACCTGCAAAATGTGGTTAATACATGCTAACTTTTAGGGTGATTTGTGAGGAAAGCTTGAAAAAAGGAAAGGTGTTTATGGCATCTGACAGGAACTCAATAACAGCATTCCACACCTATGGTTACTCCCACTGAGAGCCTAGAGCCTCAGCCATTCCAGGACTGTTTAATCTTCTTTCCCTTCCAGGTTCTCTATGGGCAGACGGCGAAGGTCTTGGATCAGGTGCTCCAAAGCTTCCTCCCTGAGAACCCTGACTCCAGCGAGGTATAGGTACAGGCCTTCAAGACCCAGAAGGAGTCACAGTCAGCCTCTCAGAGGATGCTGGCTGCCTGGGGAAGGTGGTAGGAGGAGGAAGAGGTGGTGTGTTGAAGTGGTTAAAATCAGGTTTGAATTCAAAACAAATAACAACAAAAAACCTTGTGAATAATCCACTGTTTACTAGCATGTGGATAATTGAGAGTTGACCATGTCCTCTGAGCCTGCCTCAAGCCTTTCATTATTTGGGTTATATGTCCCTTGGGCCTTTGCTAGTTGACCCCTGGCTTCAACTACTGTGGTATACCAGTTAGGGCAGAGGTGATTACATAGGCCTGAGCTGGGAGGCTCTGAGCCTTAATTTTCCTGATTCTCCTTCCCCTCACATTTAGCAACTGATATCCTAGATGAGTTCTGCACTCCCCTATAAGCTCAAGCCAGGGCTGGACTGGTGCCCTTTTTCTCAAGTTTGTCATGGAGCACTTTGGCCATGATGTGAATCTGGCTAATCTTTGGCCTTTTTCTAATCTTCATCCCTCTTACCACATCCTGGCCTCTTTCCCGGCCTCCTGAATAAGTCTATATTTGCACCTCAGGATTATATCTGTCTTTTTGTTTTTCTCAAACTCTTCTCAGCCTTTCTGCTTCTCTTGGAATATCCTCCACTTTCCTTTACTGCCTCCTTCTCTTCAACTTGCTGAGTTTGATTAGGATGGAGGTGCCTTACATGGTCTGGTTCATGATCCTTTGCAAAGTGCCTTCTGCCTTCTGTCTGACAGTTTTCAGGGAAGGTAACTAGTGCCAAATACCAAACTAATCCCAGAAGCAAGTTTGCTTTTCCTCTTTCTTTCCTCTTCTATCCCTCTTCTTTCCATCCTTTCAAACTGAGCCACTTCTACTTGCCAGGTTTTGTGTTGGGAACTAAGAAAACAAAGAAATCAGATGGAATCCCTGCCCTCAATGAGATAAGCACCTCCCCAACCTAGGTCTTTGCCTCTTACTAACAATGAATTCTTTGGCAATTTGTTTAGCATTTCTGGGCTTTGCTCCTTAAATAAGTAGAAATCGGGGCTGAATATGAGTACTGTAAGAGAAGCCAGAGGGAATGCAAAAGAGGGAGTGATCGGTTCCATCTCTGAACAACAGTGAAGGCGCCCTAGTTCATTTCTGCTTCTATAACAAAATACCGCAGGCCAAGATAATTTATAAACAACATACATTTATTTTTCATAGTTCTAGAGGCTAAGAAGTTCAAGATCAAGGCACTGGCAGATTCAGTGTCTGGTGAGGACTGCTGTCTGCATCTGAGATGGCTCCTTCTTGCTTCATCCTCACATGGTAGAAGAGCAAAAGGGATGAACACAGTGTTCTCACATGGCAGATGAGATAAAAGTGCCAGGCAGCTATCTGAAGCCTATTTTATAAGGACATTAATCTCATTCACAAGGGCAGAGCCCTCATGACTTAATCATTTCTCAAAAGTTCCCACCTTTTAATACCATCACCTTGGGGTTTAAGGTCCAACATATAAGTTGTTTGTTTGGTTTTGTTTGAGACTGAGTCTTCCTCTGTCACCCAGGCTGGAGTGCAGTGGCATGATAACAGCTGACTGCAGCCTCGACCACCTGGGGTCAAGTGATCCTCCCACCTCAGCCTCCTGAGTAGCTGGGACCACAGGTGTACACTCTCATGCCTGGCTAATTTTTTAAAAATATTTTTAGAGATGGGGTCTTCCTATGTTGCCCAGGCTGGTCTCTAGCTCCCAGGCTCAAGTGATCCTCCTGTCTTGGCCTCCCAAAGCGCTGGGATTACAGGTGTGAGCCACTGTGCCCAGCTAGATTATTTTCCATGTATGTTCAAATATCCATATGTGTATATGTGAGCATGTAAGTGTATGTAAACAAAGGAAATGCATGTGAAAATATGGGAGCTTGTAGTGGAGTTGTATGTGAGTATATGGAATATATGTGAATGGCGGGAGGTTATGGTGTCTGGGAGAATATATATATGAATAAATGCATTTGTATCAGAGTGTAGGGCATAAGACTATGGTGGAATATATATGAAAGTGTGGGCAAGATGTGTCTATGGGAGCTCATGTAAGGTTTGCAAGTACCTGTATGTGAGTGAAAGTGTATGTCAGAGTTTGAGGTGAGTGTGTATGGTATGGGGAGGGGAGGGCTTGCATTGTTTCATGTGAGTGTGTGGGTATGGAGAATAAATTAGTGGGTTAATTGGGCAACCCTAGTTCTACTCCTTAGTTTACATCATTCAGTGAAGGCTTTCCAGTGAATTGCTTTCAGCAGCAGTTTCTGGGATTTGGGCACTCTAGGGTTAGGAAACTTGTTATTTTTTCCCTTTCAGGCCCTTTGTTGAGGTATACCCTCATTTAGCTCCACACACATTTTGTGAGCACTTACCGTGCACAAGGCGCTACTCTTAGATCTTTCCTGGCAGATAAGAATACTCTCTGAGGAGTCATGTCTCTCAATATTATCCTAAATCCTTTCCCTCACTGGATTCTCATAAGAGCTGGCTCCCTTCATTGTATAAATGGAGAAAGCAAGACCTGCTCAGAGCATGGGCTTGCAGGCAAATAGACCTGGGATGAATTTCTCTCTCTGTTATTACCTAGTTGTGTTAGTTTGTAAAGGCTGCCATAACAAAATGCTACAGAATTGGTGCCTAAAATAACAGAAATTTATTTCCTCACAGTTGTGAAGGTTGGAAGTCCAAGATCAAGGTGTTAGCAGGGTTGGTTTCTTTTGAGGCCTCTTTCCTTAGCTTGCCAAGGGCTACTTTCTTGCTGTGTCTTCTACATGGTCTTTCCTCTGTGTTAATGCATCCCTGGTGTGTCTGTCTGTCTTTTCCAATATTCTCTTTTTTTTTTCTTTTGATGGAGTCTCGCTCTGTCACCAGGCTGGAGTGCAGTGGTGCGATCTCGGCTCACTGCAACCTCCACCTCCCGGGTTCAAGCAATTCTCCCTGCCTCAGCCTCCCAAGTAGCTGGGACTACAGGCATGCACCATCACGCCCAGCTAATTTTTCTATTTTTAGTAGAGACAGGGTTTCACCATGTTGGCCAGGATGGTCTTGATCTCTTGACCTCATGATCCACCCACCTCGGCCTCCCAAAGTGCTGAGATTACAGGCATGAGCCACTGCACCCGGCTTAATATTCTTTTCTTTCTTTCTTTTTCTTTTTTTTTTTTGAGATGGAGTCTTGCTCTGTCGCCCAGGCTGGAGTGCAGTGGCACCATCTTGGCTCACTGCAAGCTTTGACTCCCGGGTTCACGCCATTGTCCTGCCTCAGCCTCCCGAGTAGCTGGGACTACAGGCGCCCGCCACCACACCCGGCTAATTTTTTCTATTTTTTAGTAGAGATGGTGTTTCACCGTGTTAGCCAGGATGGTCTCGATCTCCTGACCTCGTGATCTGCCTGCCTCGGCCTCCCAAAGTGCTGGGATTACAGGTGTGAGCCACGGCACTCAGCCTATATTCTTTTCTTAAAAGGATGTCAGTCAGATTGGATTAGGGCCCACCCTAACAGCTTCAGTTTTTTTTTTTTGTTGTTGTTAGAAACTGACTTTATTAATAAGTCACATGATACAAAAGAATGAGAACATTCAAAGAATGAGTAAAATACTGCTTTGTCCCACAGGACAAGCAGAAAATGTTAAGGCACAATGGATGCTCAGAAAACGTAAGAAGCTGAAGGGAAACACATCATCTGTGTATTCAGACACACACACTCCAACCCATCACACGGACACACCCTCACCCACCCATCAGAGAAGAATTCACCTGGAATCAGCTGGGGGTGGTGGCTCACGACTATAATCCCAGCACTTTGGGAGGTTGAGGCGGGTGGATCATGAGGTCAGGAGTTCAAGACCAGCCTGACCAACATGGTGAAACCCTGTCTCTACTAAAAATACAAAAATTAGTGGGGCGTGGTGGCACGCACCTGTAATCCTAGCTACTCAGGAGGCTGAGGCAGGAGAATCGCTTGAGGCAGAGGTTGCAGTGAGCCGAGATGCGCCACTGCACTCCTGCCTGGGCAACAGAGCAAGACTCTATCTCAAAAAACATAAAAAAATAAAAAAAATAAAATCACCTGGAATCAAAGCAGCAGGGACAACCTGCGCTGGAGCGGCCAGAACAGGCCAGCGGGCAGCTCGGTGAGACAGAGCAACTCCAGGACGGGAGACAAGAACTGGCAGCTGACATGACCCTGTGGCCAGGACATTCCAAAAGAGGCCTCTTCTTTCTGCCTATTATTTTAACAAATAAAGTCCATGCTGCCAGAAGGCAAGCCCACCTCAAAACTCCTGGCACATTCACAAGCTACCAAAGGGAGGAGGGTGAACAGGCTCTGATACTTGGAGTAGAGGCCTGAGCTTCCTCTCCCACGGTTTTCCACTGGGAACGGAAGACAAAACCAAGCCCTGTGCTGCCACAGGAAGTCCCAGGAAGCACCTGTGAGACCTGCACACCCACCTCAGAGGGTCCCAGGGCTGGGAAAGCCCTCCTCTCAGGGGCTCAGCTCATCTGCGACAAGACAGAGCCCCTGCTCCCTGGAGGGCAAGCTGGGACCAGAGAAGCCAAGCACCCACATCAGTCACCTTTCCAAGTGTCCTCGAGAAAAGAGAGACTGTCCCGTGTGGCCCAGGCTTTTCCAGGCACGCACCGGCCCCCAGAGGAAGCCATGGTGCCGCCTGGGAAGGAGCGAGCACCAGAGGTTACCCAGGGCACTTCCTGGCGTTGCCCCGGCACAACTTAGATGAACAAAGACGAAACTAAAACCTGAAGACCCAGACACAGGAGGAGAGGGCAGGTCTGGTCAGTCCCCTAGGGGAGCTGCTTGGGCTTCAGGCAGTGCCCACCAGGGGATTTTCAAGAGTTTTTTCACAGACTGTGAGTGTAGATCTGGAGGCCAGGTGGTCCACAGGACAGCCACCTTCCAGCAGTGACATCACCAAAGGTTATCAGAAAGGCATGCTCTTTCTGGTGTCTCGTGCCTGCAAAGGAGACCAGAACGAGGGGCACAGGACCCCAGGTAGGGCCCTGCCTGGCTCCCTCCATTCCTGATTCAACAGGGAGGTGTGGTGGGGGCCCTCACCATGTTTCTGTCCGGGTTCAATCCAGGGAGGACCTTCCCACCCTCCTCAGAGTGGTGGCCCAGCCTGGCAGTGGGGGGTGGAGCACCAGCAGGAGGAAGGCAGGAAACTGGTCATCCAAGTCCAGGGAGTGGAGCACTACCAGGAGGAAGGCGGGGACTGGTCACTCAAGTCCAGGGAAGAGGCCAAAGGCACACACTGGACCTTCAGGTCCCAAACCTCAATCCTTGATCCTCTGCCACTGGAGCTGCCACCAGGCACTTCAGAACAGGGGAAACTGCCCATCTTGAGGTGGGCACAAAGGCACGTTTCTAGGTGAGGGTGGCAGCTGCAGCTTGATCGGATGGTCCTGAGATAGCAGCAGGGCCCAGCATCCGGGGAAAGGGGGGGAAGGGAGGGCAGGCTGCAGAGGGGCCCTGTGGGAGGCCCTGGCCAGCTTTGCACAGCCCGGGCATGGCCCCGGGCGCAAAAGTCACTTCTCCGTGGTCTGAGAAATCTGCTGAGGCAGCCCTCCCCATGTGGTGACCCATGAGACTGTTAGCCAGCCCCTGCTCCTCAGGAGGACAATGCCGGGCCAGGGCCCCCAGTTGCCCTCCTCCTGCGGGGTGCAGCGTCCTCAGCCCTGCTCCAGGCTGTCGCTGGGCTGCACCACGGTGTAGCTCCCCTGGCCCAAGGACAGCTGCTGGCTGAAGAAGGACGTGGTGCTCTTCGTCTTCACTCGCCTGATCCCCTTGCCGTCCTCCACATAGGCGATGGTGGAGAGATGCTGGATCCGGCTGGACACCACACTGCCCTGCCTCCGCAGCTTGGGGCGCTGAACAGGAGCTGGCGAGGAGCTGAGGTCTGAGGGCGAGCCAGTTGCACTGTCCTGGGGGCCTGCGGGCTCCGCCGCCTGGCTCAGTTAGATGCAGTACTCAATGAGGCTGCTCATCAGTTCGGCCTGCTTGGAGTAGATCTTGAGGAGCTTGTTGACAGGTGTGACCCCGCTGTCCCTGTCGAACTCCAGCCACAGGATGGGCTCCTCCTCCTCAGGGGAGGTGTGGTCCCACGACAGCTCCTGGAAGCACAGGCCCAGCAGGACGTGCTTCTCTCTGCTGTCCACGACGTGCACACCTTCCAGGCTGATGGCCACAGAAACTGATTTGCGCCCACCCCGGTGCAAAAAGCCTTGGGCTGGCTTGTCAACCTCACCGTGGAAGAAGGCACACCCATAGAAGGGCAGCTTGTGGCACTTGAGGAGGTAGGCGCGGTAGTGGGTGCCCAGGGCGGCCTCACACCCGCCGTCGCTGCTGACCTCCTGCACCTTGCGGTAGGCGTTCAGCAGGCTCTGCTCACCCGGCCCGGCCCTGGCCCCACGGCCCCGGAGGGCAGCAAAGAGACCCTGGCCCCGCTTACAGAGGTGGGCAGGGAGGAAGGAGTCCAGCTTCTCCCTCAGGTCGCAGGCTGCCGGCCAGTCGGGCTGGTAGGTCACGAGCTGCACGCGGCACACCAGGGCGCCCAGAGCCTCGCAGTCCTCAACGTCGCACAGGTACCGTGCAGCCAGCACGTTGCCCTTGGCCTCCTCATAGAGCAGCCGCAGGACCTCCTCGTCGGGGATCTGGAGCTCCCGCCCCTTTGGGAAGAACACGTTCCTTCGGAACTGCAGGAAAGGCTCATCCATGGCCACGTCGTCGTCCGGGGCACTGGTGAAGCGCAGCAGCAGCTCCGGCCACTGGCGTCCCAGCTTGTAGGGCTGGTTCTTGGGTTTCAGCTGCACCTCCAGCAGAGGGGAGACCAGCCAGAGCGCGAAGACATCCAGGGCGATGTCCGGAAGCTTCAGGACCTCGCGGACGGCGCAGTGCAGCTCATGGGCACGGAGCGAGGGCAGGTTCTCCACAGCCAGGGGCACCACCGTGTCATCTGCCAGGTATACCAGCACGTCAGCCGCTCGGGCTCCCACGGAGGACACGCTGCTTCGGTGGGACCGCTCAGTGGGGCCGGGCTGCCCGACACTGCCTTCCGTCCCGTCCATCTCACAGGGTCGCAGAGCCCGCCACCTGAGAGGCAAGGCTCCTGCCCGGAATCCTGCCCCTCCACCAAGCCCACGGAATCTTGCTCTGTCACCCAGGCTGGAGTGCAGTGGCGCGATTTCGGCTCACTGCAACCTCTGCCTCTCTGGTTCAAGCGATTCTCCTGCCTCAGCCTCCTGAGTAGCTGGGATTACAGGCATGCGCCACCACACCTGGCTAATTTTTTTTTGTATTTTTAATAGAGACAGGGTTTCACCATGTTGGTCAGGCTGGTCTCGAACTCCTGACCTCGTGATCTGCCCACCTCAGCCTCCCAAATGCTGGGATTACAGGCGTGAGCCACCATGCCTGGTCCAACAGCCTCATTTTAACTTAATTACTTATTTAAAGACTCAGTCTCCAAATACAGTCACATTCTGAGGTGCTGGGGGTCAGAGCTTCAACATACGAATTTTGAAGGGATACAATCAGCCATAGAACTAGCTGTGTGACCTTGGCCTCTCTGCACCTGGTTTCTCCCCAGGGTATGTAGAGATAATTAGGGGTGATATTCTAAATATTTGACACCTGGAAGGGAGTCTGACAACCTACAAACTTTCGTGGCCCTAGTGTTAGAGCAGAGTCCTAGAGGCCCCTGCTATGCCAGGCATTAATCCTTTGGTTGTTGAATTATATGGGGAGGTCCTAGGGGGAGGAGTTCTCATGAAGGAATCAAGGTGGTGGTGGTGCGAGTGAAGAGTGTTACCAATCAGTATAGAAGTTTTTAAATATTTTAACAGCCTGTACAGCTCTATCCCTGCATACTACCCAAATATCAGTCCCAGTAGAATTAATGCCTACCTTATTAGTGTAGTTATACACACACATGTTGACCTCTTCTCCAAACACTCACCTTGGTTTCTCTAAAGTAATCCTATCAGGCCCAATTCTAGGGTCTCAAAAACTCAGCTGCCCCAATGCTGAAGAGCTCTTTTCTCCTCTCTCATACACTGTGGAGTTTACCAAGATAGGGTAGCTGGTGGCTGTTTGGGGCATGGTCTCTATATTACTCTGTTCTCACACTGCTAATAAGGACATACCCGAGACTGGATAATTTATAAAGGAAAGAGGTTTAATTGACTCACAGTTCCACATGGCTGGGGAGACCTTGCAATCATGGCTGAAGACAAATGAGGAGCAAAGTCACATCTTACATGGCAGCAGGCAAGAGGGCTTGGGTAAGGGAACTCCCCTTTATAAAACCATCAGATCTCGTGAGACCTAATCACTATCATGAGAACAGCAAGGGAAAGACCCGCCTCCATGATTCACCAGGTCTCTCCTGCAAAAAGTAAAAGTAGAGGTTCCTCTTCAAAGACTTTCCTCCCCGTCTAATTAGGAATAAATAGTAACTTCTCTTAGAAGCAAAATTTATTCAAAGACCTGTGCTAACATTCTTAAATATCTGCTAGCTGTAATAAAGACATCAATGTACTTTATGTTCTTAGCTCCCACAATTTAGCCTAAATATTTGCCCTGGCATGCTTATACTGGTCCAAGCAAAGCATTAGGCCATACCCTGTTGCTCTTCCTTATTTGAAGGTGTTTTTACCTTTCTCAGCATTCCACAAGTTACTTCCTCCTTCCTTTGTTCTCTTCTGCCTTTGCCTCTTTTAGAAAGTTCTAAGTTGCTAGCCAGTCGGAACAAATACAGAATTTGAGGTCCCATTCCACCCCATGGAAACTGGACACAGCAGTAGGGTGGACGTGTCAGGTTGTAAATGACCCTGTCTCCTTTGTTCAGTGTACTCTCATGGCAAAACTGCTGGCAAGTGTACCCTTTCTGCAGAAAGTATAAAAATGGCCTTGCTGAGGAAAGTAAATTTATGTTCAAGTGCTATTTCTTTATGGCACTGGGGAACAAGCATTTCGAACACTCCCATGACACATAGGAGTTATAGGAGCCACCAGTCAAGATGAGATTTGGGTGGGGACACAGCCAAACCATATCAGTCTCTAGGGACTCCAAGAAAGACACCCATCTCTATGTCCTGGAATGGTGTAGACTGTTTTATGTCTACACCATTACAGTGTAGCAAGACACCCATCTCTATGCCCTGGAATGGTGTAGACTGTTTTATATCTACACCATTACAGTGTAACAAAAGGCTAAGATTACAGTCTGGGCTTAGTTGCCTCCTCACCGTCTCCCTCTCTTGGTGGACTTCACTCTTCCCTTTGTCCTACAAGGGTCTGGACAGTTCAGTGTTCTGTGAAAGCTTTTGCTGGGAAGCAGAAAGGAACTTGAACAGTAGTCAAGTTAGAGCCATCTCTCTCCCTCATAGGAGACTCTTTCTTGACCTTGACATCCATTTTATCCCATTCGCCTTTTTCCCCAGGGGCCAGAAATGAGACATCTTTGGGCAAGGAAGCCAGAGCACTCTGCCTCCTGTCTCTTGACTGAGGGCCACTTCTCCACAGCTCTTTATCTCCTGACTCATCTTTGCTTTTTTCTTTTGTTTTTGTTTTTTTTGAGATGGAGTCTCACTCTTGCCTAGGCTGGAGTGCAGTGGCATGATCTCAGCTCACTACAACCTCCGCCTCTTGGGTTCAAGTGATTCTCCTGCCTCTGCCTCCCAAGTAGCTGGGATTACAGGAGCCCGTCACCACGCCTGGCTAATTTTTGTATTTTTAGTAGAGGCGAGGTTTCAACATGTTGACCAGGCTGGTCTCAAACTCTTGACCTCAGGTGATCTGCCTGCCTCAGCCTCCCAAAGTGCCCACCTCATCTTTGGGAAGTTGATAGAAAGGGGTGGGGGCAGAGCCTTTCCTTAGCGTTGGGGGTTCCTTAATGGGAACCCAGGCCAAGAGGAATAATATGAGATTTCAGGGCAGGCTACTGACCCCAAGCCTCGGATAGTTTAGCAAAACCTAAATGAAGGGTGTAGTCAGCTTCACTACCTCAGCATTCCTGGGGCTGTCCAGCAGGGCTCTTCTGGAAAGCTGAGGCCAAACAGAGAGAGAGAGAAGAAAAAGGTCCAACACGGTGGCAGCCAGTCAGAGGTGACTTTGGAAGTGGAGCAAGAGATCCCAGAACATTTGAGAAAGTTCTTTATAAACAGCTCCTAGATTTTGAAGGGAGTGGTTATGAGGAATGTTTGCTGGGATGAGGGTTTAGGGAGGCCGGGGTGATTCAGTTTCATCTCCTCTCTTTGATGGAACCATGGGATCTCAGCCAGACTCCCTTGCAAGCTAGTGGGGGCATTTTGTTTGTCCACCATTGAGTTGCTAGGGCAGCCTAATATTATGGAAAGAGCACTGAATTTGGAGCCACATAGTCTGAGCTCTAGCTCCAGCTCTGCCACTGAATTGCTGTGTGACTTGGGCAAATTTCTTCTTAGATCTCTGTAACATGAGACAGGGAGGGACTTCTTGGTCTCTGTGGGATCCATTCTGCTCTATCTTCCTGAGTCTCTGAGTCAGTGGAGGTGGTGTAGGGTAGGGGAATGGACCAGCTTCTGCCTTCCAGCTTCCACCTTCAGCCTTGCCTCTTGGGATTGGGGCCAGTAAGCCTGAGAGAAGTCATTCCTCCTTTTACCTCTGCCTCCCTAGGGATGGCTCACTGACCCTCATTTTCTCTAGACCTCGGCTACTTCTAGTTCTTTTAGTTGTGATGTTAGGTTGTTAATTTGAGATCTTTCTAACTGTTTGATGTGGGCGTTTAGTGCTACAAATTTCCCTCTTAACTTTGCCGTAGCTGTGTTCCAGAGATCGTGGTATGTTGTATCTTTGTTCTCATTAGTTTTAAAGAACTTCCTGATTTCTGCCTTAATTTCATTATTGACCCAGAAGTCATTTAGGAGCAGGTTATTCAATTTTCATGTAATTGTATGGTTTTGAGTGAATTTCTTAGTCTTGGTTTCTAATTTGATTGCGCTGTGGCCCGAGAGATTGTGATAATTTCAGTTCTCTTCCATCTGCTGAGGAGTGTTTTACTTCCTATTATGTGATGATTTTTTTTTTTTTTGAGATGGAGTTTCACTCTTGTTGCCCAGGCTGGAGTGCAATGGCACAATCTTGGCTCACAGAAACCTTCGCCTCTCGGGTTCAAGCGATTCTCCTGCCTCAGCCTCCCAAGGAGCTGAGACTACAGGCATGAGCCACCATGCCCGGCTAATTTTTGTATTTTTAGTAGAGATGGGGTTTCACCATGTTGGACAGGCTGGTCTCGAACTCCTGATCTCAGGTAATCTGCCCACCTCGGCCTCCCAAAGTGCTGGGATAACAGGCGTAAGCCACTGCGCCCAGCCTTATGCAATTGATTTTAAAGCATGTGCCATGTGGTGATGAGAAGAATGTATATTCTGTTGTTTTTGGGTGGAGAGTTCTGTAAATATGTAACAGATCCATTTGATCCAGTGCTGAGTTCAGATCCTGAATATCTTTGTTAATTTTCTGTCTCAATGATCTGTCTAATATTGTCAGTGGGATGTTTAAATCTCCCACTATTATTCTGTGGGTGTCTAAGTCTCTTTGAAGGTCTCTAAGAAATTGCTTTATGAATCAGGGTGCTCCTGTGTTGGGTGCATATTATATTTAGGATAGTTAAGTTTGTTGAATTGAACCCTTTACCATTATGTAATGCCATTCTTTGTCTTTTTAAAAATCTTTGTTGGTTTAAAGTCTGTTTTGTCAGAAACTAAGATTGCAACCCCTGCTTTTTTTCTGTTTTCCATTTGCTTGGTATATTTTTCTCCATCTCTTTATTTTGAGCCTGTGTTTGTCATTGCATGTGAGATGGGTCTCTTCAAAACAATGGTCTTGGTTCTCTATCCAGCTTGCCACTCTCTGTCTTTTAATTAGGTCATTTAGCCTGTTTCAATTTGAGCTTAGTATTGTTATGTGTGGATTTGATCCTGTCATCATTTTAGCTGGTTATTTTGTACACTTGTTTATGTGGTTGCTTTATAGTGTCACATCTTTGAGATGTTTGGGGGTCACCAATATCAGATACCCCCTCAGAAACGTCCTCACTATAAAGGATGAATTCATATAGAGCAAGGAGTCTAGCAGCACTCCTGTGCCTTTGTGCCTCCAAGGGTGAGGGTCCAGAGAAATAGGTCTTACTTGCCCTTGAAAATACATCTTTTTTTCTTTTTTTCGGAGTGTCTCTCTGTCACGCAGGATGGAGTGCAATGGCATGATCTCGGCTCACTGCAACCTCCACCTCCCAGGTTCAAGCGATTCTTCTGCCTCCGCCTCCCGAGTAGCTGGAACTACAGGCGCATTCCACCACACCGGGCTAATTTTTGTATTTTTAGTAGAAACGCGATTTCACCATATTGGCCAGGCTGGTCTCGAACTCCTGACCTCATGATCAGCCTGACTCGGCCTCCCAAAGTGCTGGGATTACAGGCCTGAGCCATCGCGCCCAGCCTGAGAATACATCTTTATAGAATACTCAGTATAGTGCTCTGCCTCCACACCCTGCTAAATTAAACTGGTTGTTACTGGGAAAAAAAAATCTCCTGTTTGGGTTTTACCAAGAGACACACACACTTTGACTTTAGTCCTGTCCCCCTCCCAGTGAAAGTGGCAAAAACAATAACTGAAGGATTTAGGCATTACTGTACTCTCTTTTCTTGGGCAGTAGGTAAAAGTTATTTTAAAATTAACTAGTTTTTTTTAATATTAAAAACAATACCTGCACATTGTAAAGCATTTAAACAGTACAAACAGCCAGATTACCAGGTTCATTCCACAAGGGTACCCAATGAAAACAGTTTCTTGTGTGTTCCTTTGAAAAAATGTTAATATTTCTACAGAACAACCTTTTTTTTATTCACACAAATGGACTCAAACCAGTTACACTGTTCTCTGCCTTACTTTGTTCCCTTAACTATTTGGATGACTTTCCATATCAGTACAAACATATTCACCTCACTCTTTTTAATAGAGATACAGATGGAGGTAGAGTTTATACTGTAGTTTAACAGATCAGTCCCTAAATGATGAACATTTAGGGATTCCACCCCCTCCACCCAGTCTTTTGCTACTAGAAACAATGATATAGTGACTATCCTTGTACACATGTCCATGCACAGGTGTGAAATATCTGCAGGCTAAATTCCTAGAAATATAACTGTTGGATCAAAGAGTATGCACACTTAACATTTTTTTTTTTTTTTGAGACAAGAGTCTCACTTTGTCACCTAGGCTGGAGTGCAGTGATGTGATCTCGGCTCACTGCAACCTCTGCATCCCGGGTTCAAGCGAATCTCGTCCCTCCGCCTTCCGAGTAGCTGGGACCACAGACATGCACCACCATGCCCAGCTAATTTTTTTGTATTTTTAGTAGAGACGGGGTTTCATCATGTTGGCCAGGCTGGTCTCATACTCCTGACCTCAAGTGATCTGCCCGCCTTAGCCTCCCAAAGTGCTGGGATTACAGGCATGAGCTTCCACACCTGGCACACACTTAACATTTTTGATTAATACTGACAAATTGCCCTCCAATGAGATTGCCCAATTTATACTCTTAATAGGCTATGTAGAAGATGGACTGTTTTCCCACACTGTCACTCACACTAAGTATTAACAAACTTAATAATCTTATAGGTGAAAAGTTGTATCTCACTTTAATTTTAATTTTTCTTTATGAGCAATGATGAGCATCTTTATCAGTAATTCATCTTTCTTACTGTCTACTTACTGTTCATGCCCTTTCCCCATTTTGTATTGTTATTCATCTTAATCTGACTGATTTATATGATCTTTTTGTTATTGAGAAAAGTAGCCCCTCTCTTACTTGTTTTATGTATTATAAAATCTGATACCACTTTGTTGTTAGTGTTTTGACTTTGTCATATATATTTTTGTGATGCAAAAGTTTTAAATATTATGTGAAATGCATCAATATTTTCTTGTATGGCTTTTGGATTTTGTATGACATTTAGAGTTTCTTCACTTAAAGGTTATACAATCTTCTTATACATTCATTAGTCTCTTTCTTTCTTAGCATTTAAATCTTAGATCCATCTGGAATTTTCCCTATTTTATAGTTAACATTTCAAGCTTAGCACCCCTAAATATGCTTATTTCCCTCAGACTAGTGCTTTTCAAATATTTCCACAAAAGGATATCTCAGAGGAGAGGAGTGTCCTTGAAACCCTGGGGATCTGGAGAGATTTGGTGCCAGCCACAGGATCAACATTTTTTTTTCTTTGAGACAGAGTCTTGCTCTGTTGCCCAGGCTGGAGTGCAGTGGCATGATCTCAGCTCACTGAAACCTCTGCCTCCCTGGTTCGAGCGATTCCCCTGCCTCAGCCTCTCGAGCAGCTGGGATTACAGGCACCCACCACCACACCCAGCTAATTTTTGTATTCTTAGTAGAGAAGGAGTTTCACCATGTTGGCCAGGCTGGTCTCGAACTCCTGACCTCAAGTGTTCCACCTGCCTTAGCTTCCCAAAGTGCTGGGATTACAGGCTTGAGCCACCCCGACCGGCCAAGATAAGGAATCTTTAAAAAAAAAAAAAAAATATATATATATATATATATATATATATATATATATATATATATATATATTTGCTCTTGTTACATATTAAAGAATTCCTTAATATGACTAAAAAATCAGTTTTTAAATTTCCCTGGCATAAAACAATCTATGAAGACCGTTTAATAAATTGATGTTTTAGCCAGATGCAGTGGCTCATGCCTGTCATCCCAGCAACTTAGGAGGCTGAGGCAGGAGGTTTGCTTGAGCCCAGGAGTTCTAGACCAGCCCGGGCAACATATGGAAAACTTGTCTCTACAAAAATAAAATAAAATAAAAAATAGCCAGGTGTGGTGGTGCACACCTGCAGTCCTAGCTATTCAGTAGGCTGAGGTGGGAGGACTGCTTAAGCCCAGGATTTTGAGGCTGCAGTGAGCTATGATTGCTCCACTGCACTCCATCCAGCCTGAGCAATAGAGCAAGACCCTGTCTCAAAAAAAAAAAAAAAAAAGAAAGAAAAGAAAAGAAGTTGATGCTTTTATTAACATCAGTAATTTGTGGGGACTGCATGAGAAATTTTCGTTGAAGGTGCCAAGGCCCAGAAACTTCCTTGCAAATCCGTAACTATCAGCCCCTAAGACTGAATTCTTTCAGCTTCTCTCTGAAACCTATCTTTGAGTCAGACTGCTGCCTTAATTAACTTTTTAACTTCCTTTGCTAGACCTTCTAGAAAATTAATTCTTCCTCCTTAATTCTCTTTAGAACTAGCCACTTTCAAAGAGTTGCTCCTGAAATATACAATACATTGTTGTTAACTATCAATTTTAAAAAGTTGCTTCTGACAATAAGCATAGAATTCCATCAATCTCAGGATACACCTGAAGCTTTTCTAAAATAGTTTATCACCAGGCACGGTGGCTCATGCCTGTAATCCCAGCACTTTGGGAGGCTGAGGCAGGTGGGTCACCTGAGGTCAGGAGTTGGAGACCAGCCTGACCAACATGGTGAAACCCCGTCTCTACTAAAAATACAAAATTAGCCAGGCGTGGTGGAGCATGCCTGTAATCCCAGCTACTCAGGAGGCTGAGGCAGGAATATTGCTTGAACCCAGGAGGGAGAGGTTGCAGTGAGCTGAAATCATGCTATTGTACTCCAGCCTTCAGGCAACAAGAGTGAAACTTCATCTCAAAAAAAAAAAATCTTTAAGTCATTTTGTCTGGGTGCGGTGGCTCACACCTGTAATCCCAGCACTTTGGGAGGCCGAGGGGGCTGGATCACCTGAGGTTAGGAGTTGAAGACCAGCCTGGCCAAGATGGCAAAACCCCGTCTCTACTAAAAACACAAAAATTAGCCAGGTGTGGTGATGGGCACCTGCAATCCCAGCTACTCAGGAGGCTGAGGCTGGAGAATCGCTTGAACCCAGGAGGCAGAGGTCTCAGTGAGCTTACATCACACCACTGCACTCCAGCCTAGGCGACAAGAGCAAAACTCCATCTCAAAAAATAAAATAAAATAAAATAAAATAAAATAAAATAAAATAAAATAAAAAGAATTTCTTTTGTGGGAAACAAACAAACACCTAGCTTTTTCATAGATTTTCCTAATCTAAGCTGAGGTTCATGTCTCCTGGGGGAAAATTAAACAAAACGAGGAACAGAAGGCTGAGTGAAGGATCCTGGCAGAAGTGGCAGTGAAGCTGGCCTCTTTGGGATCCAACTTTAATCACCCAAAGAAAGGCTACATGGTTGATAGGGCACATCTATGTTCCATCGCCTTGGAACACAGATATTCAGGGGGCATGGACTGGGATTAATCACAATCTAATTCCAATTTCAACTAGGCATAGAGAAGAATTTCTCTGGTAAATGTTTGAGAAAATAGAAATGGCACAGTAGCGCATGCCTGTAATCCCAGCAGTTTGGACAAGGCAGGAGGATTGCTTGAGTTCAGGAATTTGAGATCAGCCTGGGCAACACAATTAGACCTTATCTCTATTTTTTAAAAGTAATATTAATATGCCGGGCACGGTGGCTCATGCCTGTAAACCCAGCATTTTGGGAGGCTGAGGCGGGCGGATCACCTGAGGTCGGGAGTTCGAGACCAGCCTGACCAACATGGAGAAACCTCGTCTCTACTAAAAATACAAAATTATCCAGGCATGGTGGTGCATTCCTGTAATCCCAGCTACTTGGGAGGCTGAGGCAGGAGAATCACTTGAATCCGGAAGGCGGCAGTTTCGGTGAGCTGAGATCGTGCCATTGCACTCCAGCCTGGGCAACAAAAGCGAAAGTCCATCTCTAAATAAATAAATAAATAAATAAATAAATAAATAAATAGAGAAAATAGTAAGATTGATATCCATCTTCCTAGTCTTCAGGAGGATATTCCTCCCTTGCCTGTACACGCCTTTCCCCTACACATACACTCTGAGCTGAAGCATCTTATCCATCTGTCAGAGGCTGGTTCAAGTTGTAGGCTTGAAGGCTGGGATTTGAGTCTTGACCTAGGCGAAAACAAGGACCAGGGCCTGGCCAGGAAAGGATCAAAAGGATACTGTTCACAACAACCCTTCCTATGAGTAGTGGGCATTTTATCCAACAAAACCTGTTCATGTTCACATTTGTTTTGTTTTGTTTTGTTTTGTTTTTTTGAGATGGAGTCTTTCTTTGTCGCCCAGGCTGGAGTGCAGTGACGTGATCTCAATTCACTGCGACCTCCGCCTCCCAGCTTCAAGTGATTCTCCTGCCTCAGCCTCCCAGTAGCTAGGATTACAGGTGTGCACCACCATGTCTGGCTAATTTTTTTTTATTTTTAATAGAGATGGGGTTTCACCATGTTGGCCAGGCTGGTCTTGAACTCCTGACCTCAGGTGATCCGCTCGCCTCGGCCTCCCAAAGTGCTGGAATTACAGGCGTGTGTCACCATGGCTGGCCATGTTCATACTCTTTCTTCTTTTTTAATTTTCTTCTTCTTCTTATACTTTAAGTTCTGGAGTATATGTGCAGAACTTGCAGGTTTGTTACATAGGTATACATGTGCCATGGTGGTTTGCTGCACCCATCAACCTGTCATCTACATTAGGTATCTCTCCTAGTGCTATCCCTCCTCTAGCCCCCTACCCCCTGACAGGCCCCAGTGTGTGATGTTCCCCACCCTGTGTCCATGTGTTCTCATTGTTCAACTCCCACTTATGAGTGAGAACGTGAGGTGTTTGGTTTTATGTTCTTGTGTTAGTTTGGTAAGAATGATGGTTTCCAGCTTCATCCATGTCCCTGCAAAGGACTTGAACTCATCCTTTTTTATGGCTGCATAGTATTCCATGGTGTATGTGTGCCACATTTTCTTTATCTAGTCTATCATTGATGGACATTTGGGTTGGTTCCAAGTCTTTGCTATTGTGAACAGTGCCACAATAAACATACATGTGCATGTGTCTTTATAGTAGAATGATTCATAAACCTCTTGGTATATACTCAGTAATGGGATTGCTGGGTCAAATGGTATTTCTGTTTCTAGATCTTTGAGGAATCGCCACACTGTCTTCCACAATGTTTGAACTAACTTGCACTCCCACCAGCAGTGTAAAAGCATTCCTATTTCTCCACATCCTCTCCAGCATCTGTTGTTTCCTGACATTTTAATGATCCCCTTTCTAACTGGCATAAGATGATATCTCATTGTGATTTTGATTTACATTTCTCTAATGACCAGTGATGATGACCCTTTTTTTTCATGTTTGTTGGCTGTATAAATGTCTTCTTTTGCTGGGTGTGGTGGCTCACGCCTGTAATCCCAGCACTTTGGGAGCCTGAGGTGGGTGGATCACGAGGTCAGGAGTTCAAGACCAGCCTGGCCAAGATGCTGAAACCGCGTCTCTACTAAAAATACAAAAATTAGCCAGGCATGGTGGCAGGCACCTCTAATCCCCACTACTTGGGAGGCTGAGGTAGGAGAATCACTTGAACCCTGGGTGGGTGGAGGTTGCAGTGAGCCAAGATTGCACCACTGCATTCCAGCCTGGGTGACAGAGTGACACTCCATCTCAAAAAATAAATAAATAAAATAAAATAAAATAAAAATAAATGTCTTCTTTTGAGAAATGTCTGTTCATATCCTTCGCCCACTTTTTGTTGGGGTTGTTTGTTTTTTTTCTTGTAAATTTGTTTAAGTTCTTTGTAGATTCTGGATATTAGCCTTTGTCAGATGGATAGATTGCAAAAATTTTCTCCCATTCTGTAGGTTGCCTGTTCACTCTGATGATAGTTTCTTTTGCTGTGCAGAAGCTCTTTAGTTTAATTACATCCCATTTGTCAATTTTGGCTTTTGTTGCCATTGCTTTTGATGTTTTAGTCATGAAGTTTTTGTCCATGCCTGTGTCCTGAATGGTATTGCCTTGGATTTCTTCTAGGGTTTTTATGGTTTTAGGTCTTACATTTAAGTCTTTAATCCATCTTGAGTTAATTTTTGTATAAGGTGTAAAGAAGGGGTCCAGTTTCATTTTTCCGTATATGGCTTACCAGTTTTCCCAACACCATTTATTAAATAGGGAATCCTTTTCCTATTGCTTGTTTTTGTCAGGTTTACCAAAGGTCAGATGGTTGTAGATGTGTGGTGTTATTTCTGAGGCCTCTATTCTGTTCCATTGGTCTATATATCTGTTTTGGTACCAGTACCATGTGGTTTTGGTTACTGTAGACTCGTAGTATAGTTTGAAGTCAGGTAGCGTGATGCCTCCAGCTTTGTTCTTCTTGCTTAGGATTGTCTGCTATGTGGGCTCTTTTTTGGTTCCATATGAAATTTAAAGTAGTATTTTTCTAATTGTGTGAAGAAAGTCAATTGTAGCTTGATGGGGATAGCATTGAATCTATAAATTACTTTGGTCATTATGGCCATTTTCACGATATTGATTCCTCCTATCCATGAACATGGAATGTTTTTCCATTTGTTTGTGTCCTTCTTTAATTTGTTGAGCAGTGGTTTGTAGTTCTCCTTGAAGAGGTCCTTCACATCCCTTGTAAGTTGTATTCCTAAGTATTTTATTCTCTTAGTAGCAATTGTGAATGTTGTGAATGGGAGTTCATTCATGATTTGGCTCTCTGTCTATTACTGATGTATAGGTATGTTTGTGATTTTTGCACATTAATTTTGTATCCTGAGACTTTGCTGAATTTGCTTATCAGCTTAAAAATATTTTGGGCTGAGATGATGGGGTTTTCTAAATATACAATCATGTCATCTACAAAACAGAGACAATTTGACTTCCTCTCTTCCTGTTTGAGTACCCTTTATTTCTTTATCTTGCCTGATTGCCCTGGCCAGAACTTCCAATATTAGGTTGAAGAGGAGTGGTGAGAGAGAGCATCCCTGTCTTGTGCCAGTTTTCAAAGGGAATGCTTCCAGTTTTTGCCCATTCAGTATGATGATGGCTGTGGGTTTGTCATAAATAGCTCTTATTATTTTGAGATACATTCCATCAACACCTAGTTTATTGAGAGTTTGTAGCATGAAAAGGTGTTGAATTTTGTCAAAGGCCTTTACTGCATCTTTTGAGATAATCATGTGGTTTTTGTCATTGGTACTGTTTATGTGGTGGATTACAGTTATTGATTTGTGGATGTTGAACCAGCCTTCCATCCTAGGGATGAAGCCGACTTGGTCATGGTGGATAAGCTTTTTGATGTGCTGCTGGATTCGGTTTGCCAGTATTTTATTGAAGATTTTTGCATCGATATTCATCAGGGATATTGGCCTGAAATTTTCTTTTTTTTGTTGTGTCTCTGCCAGGTTTTGGTATAAGCATGATGCTGGCATCATCAAATGAGTTAGGGAGGAGTCCCTCTTTTGCTATTGTTTGGAATAGTTTCAGAAGGAATGATAACAGCTCCTTCTCTCTCTTCTTCTTCATTATTCTGGCTAGCAGTCTATCTATTTTGTTGATCTTTTCACAAAACCAGCTCCTGGATTCATTGATATTTTGAAGGGTTTTTTTTGTGTATCTATATCCTTCAGTTCTGCTCTGATCTTAGTTATTTCTTGTCTTCTGCTAACTTTTGAATTTGTTTGCTCTTGATTCTCTAGTTCTTTTAATTGTGATGTTAGGGTGTCAACTTTAGATCTTTCCTGCTTTCTCTTGTAGGCATTTAGTGCTATAAATTTCCCTCTAAACACTACTTGAGCTGTGTTCCAGAGATTCTGGTACGTTGTATCTTTGGTCTCATTGGTTTCAAAGAATTTATTTATTTCTGCCTTAATTTCATTATTTACCCAGTAGTAATTCAGCAGCAGGTTGTTCAGTTTCCAGTAGTTGTGCGTTTTTGAGTTAGTTTCTTAATCCTGAGTCCTCATTTGATTGCACTGTAATCTGAGAGACAGTTTATTACAATTTCTATTCTTTTGCATTTGCTGAGGAGAGTTTTACTTCCAATTATGTGGTGAATTTTAGAATAAGTGTGACCTGGTGCTGAGAAGAATGTATATTCTGTTGATTTGGAGTGGAGAGTTCTGTAGATGTCTATTAGGTCCACTTGGTCCAGAGTTTAGTTCAAGTCCTGAATATCCTTGTTAATTTTCTGTGTCATTGATCTGTCTAATATTGACAGTGGGGTGTTAAAGCCTCCCACTATTATTGTGTAGGAGTCTGAGTCTCCTTGTAGGTCTCTAAGAACTTGCTTTATGAATCTGGTTTCTCCTGTATTGGGTGCATATATATTTAGGATAATTCGCTCTTCTTGTTGCATTGTTCCCTTTACCATTATGTAATGCCCTTCATTGTCTCTTTTGATCTTTGTTGGTTTAAAGTCTGTTTTATCAGAGACTAGGATTGCAACCCTTGTTTTTTGTTGTTGTTGTTGCTTTTTTTTTGTTTTTTTGTTTTTTGTTTGTTTTTTTTTTGCTTGGTAAATATTCCTCCATCCCTTTATTTTGAGCCTATGTGTGTGTTTGCACGTGAGATGGGTCTCCAGAATACAGCACACTGATGGGTCTTGACTCTTTATCCAATTTGCCAGTCTGTGTATTTTTACTGGGGTATTTGGCCCATTTATATTTAAGGTTAATATTGTTATGTGTGAATTTGATCCTGTCATTATGATGCTAGCTGGTTATTTTCCTGTTAGTTGATGCAGTTTCTTCATAGTATCGATGTTCTTTGTAATTTGGTATGGTGGCTGGTACTGGTTGTTCATTTCCATGTTTAGTGCTTCTTTTAGTCACTCTTGTAAGGCAGGCCTGTTGGTGACAAAATCTCTCAGCATTTGCTTGTCTGTAAAGGATTTTATTTCTTCTTCGCTTATGAATCTTAGTTTGGCTGGATATGAAATTCTGGGTTGAAAATTATTTTCTTTAAGACTGTTGAATGTTGGCCCCCACTCTCTTCTGGCTTGTAGGGTTTGTGCAGAGAGATCTGCTGTTAGTATGATGCGCTTCTTTTTGTGAGCAACCTGACCTTTCTCTCTGGCTGCCCTTAACATTTTTTTCCTTCATTTCAACCTTGGTGAATCTGATGATTATGTGTCTTGTGGTTGCTTTTCTCAAGGTATATCTTTGTGTTGTTCTCTGTATTTCCTGAATTTGAATGTTGGCCTGTGCCAAGACCAACTCGGTCAGGGAGACCCTAACCCAGTGGCGCTAGAGGAATTAAAGACACACACACAGAAATATAAAGGTGTGAAGTGGGAAATCTGGGGTCTCACTGCCTTCAGAGCTGAGAGCCCCAAACAGAGATTTACCCATGTATTTATTAACAGCAAGCTAGTCATTAGCATTGTTTCTATAGATATTAAATTAACTAAAAGTATCCCTTTTGGGAAACGAAAGGATGGGCCAAATTAAAGGAATAGGTTGGGCTAGTTAACTGCAGCAGGAGCATGTCCTTAAGGCACAGATCACTCAGGCTATTGTTTGTGGCTCAAGAATGCCTTTAAGAGATTTTCTGTCCTGGGTGGGCCAGGTGTTCCTTGCCCTCATTCCCGTAAACCCACAACCTTCTGGCATGGGTGTTAGGGCCATTATGAACATGTTACAGTGCTGCAGAGATTTTGTTTATGGCCAGTTTTGCTGCCAGTTTATGTCCAGATTTTGGGGGGCCTGCTCCCAACAGGCCTGTCTCGCTAGGTTGGGGAAGTTCTCCTGGATAATATCCTGAAGAGTGTTTTCCAACTTGGCTCCATTCTCCCGGTCACTTTCAGGTACACCAATCAAATGTAGGTTTGGTCTTGTCACATAGTCCCATATTTCTTGGAGGCTTTGTTTGTGCCTTTTCATTCTTTTTTCTCTAATCTTGTCTTCACACTTTATTTCATTAAGTTGATCTTCAAACTCTGATATCCTTTCTTCTGCTTGATTGATTTGGCTATTGATACTTGTGTATGCTTCACGAAGTTCTTGTGGTGTGTTTTTCAGCTCCATCAGGTCATTTATGTTCTTCTCTAAACTAGTTATTCTAGGTAGCAATTCATCTAGCCTTTTTTCAGGATCTTATCTTCCTTGCCTTGTGTTAGAACATGCTCCTTTAGCTTGGAGGAGTTTGTTATTACCCACCTTCTGAAGCCTACTTCTGTCAATCTGTCAAACTCATTCTCCATCCAGTTTTGTTCCTTTGCTGGCAAGGAGTTGTGATCCTTTAGACGTATTCTGGTTTTTTGAATTTTCAGCCTTTTTACAGTGGTTTCTCCCCATCTTCGTGGATTTATCTACCTTTGGTCTTTGATGTTGGTGACCTTCGGATGGAGTTTCTGAGTGGACATCCTTTTTTGTTGATGTTGATGCTATTACTTTCTGTTTGTTAGTTTTCCCTCTAACAGTCAGGCCCTTCTGCTGCAGGTCTGCTGGAGTTTCCTGGAGGTCCACCCCAGACCTTATTTGCCTGGGTATCACCAGCAGAGTCTGCAGAACAGCAAAGATTGCTGCCCGTTCCTTCCTCTGGAAGCTTTGTCCCAGAGGGGCAACCACCAGATGCCAGCTGGAGCTCTCCTGTATGAGGTGTCTGTCTGCCCCTGCTTGGAGGTGTCTCTCAGTCAGGAGACATGGGCATCAAGGACCCACTTGAGAAGGCAGTCTGACCCTTAGCAGAGCTCCAATGCTGTGCTGGGAGATCTGCTGCTCTCTTCAGAGCCAGCAGGCAGGGACATTCAAGTGAGCTGAAGCTGTGCCCACAGCAGCCCCTTCCCCCAGGTGCTCTGTCCCAGGGAGATGGGGGTTTTATCTATAAGCCCCTGACTGGGGCTGCTGCCTCTTTTTCACAGATGCCCTGCCCAGAGAGGAGGAATCTAGAGAGACTGTCTGACTACAGTGGCTTTGCTGAGCTATGGAGGGCTCTGCCCAGTTGGAACTTCCCCAGGGGCTTTGTTTACACTGTGAGGGGAAAAACGTCTACTCAAGCCTCAGTAATGGTGGACTCCCCTCTCCTCACAAAAGCTCCAGTGTCCCAGGTTGACTTCAGACTGCTGTGCTGGCAGTGAGAATTTCAAGCCAGTGGATCTTAGCTGCTGGGCTCCATGGCTGTGGGATCCACTGAGTTAGACCATTTGGCTCCCTGGCTTCAGCCCCCTTTCCAGGGTAGTGAATGGTTCTGTCTCACTGGTGTTCCAGGCACCACTGGCGTATGAAAAAAAAACTCCTGCAGCTAGCTCAGTGTCTGCCCAAATGGCTGCCCAGTTTTGTGCTCAAAACCCAGGGCCCTGGTGGCATAGGTACCCGAGGGAATCTCCTGGTCTGTGGGTTGTGAAGACCATGGGAAAAGCATAGTATAGGGGCCAGAGTGCACCGTTCCTCATGGCAAAGTCGCTCACAGCTTCCCTTGGCTAGGGGAGAGAGTTCCCCAACCCCTTGCATTTCCCGGGTGAGATGATGCCTCACCCTGCTTTGGCCCGCCCTCCGTGGGCTGCATCCACTGTCTAACCAGTCCCAATGAGATAAACCAGGTACCTCAGTCGGAAATGCAGAAATCTTCTGCCTTCTGTGTTGATCTTGCTGGGAGCTGAGGACTGGAGCTGTTCCTATTTGGCCATCTTGCCTGAGTCTAGCCATGTTCATATTCTTAATGCCCATCAATGAAGTGGGTGCTTTCATCTCTACTTGTTAGATGAGGAAATTAAGTCTCAAGAAGGAAGAGGCCCTCCAAGGCCACAGTGAGTGAGTATCAAAACTGACTACAAATCAGGCCTTGTAAACTCAGGTCTGTGGCTTCCAAACTACTATGATTTTCCCCAAATTTGTCCTCTGTCAGTTGCCCATGGCAGAACTGCTCTCAGAGATAATCCCCACTCACCTTATCTGAGCCCTGGAGATTTGGGGGAGAATGGACATCACTAAAGGAGGGCAGGGGCAGAAGGAGCACTTTGGCTGACACTACCCAGGCGAGGACGTGGCTGCAGCATTTCCACAGAAGTGGTACAGTCTCCTCTGCAAGATAGGCCTCTTGGAGGAATTCATTTTTCTGAAGCTCAAGAAGCCTGGACAAATCTTGTCAGCCCTATAACCTTCAGCCATGGCATTTATCTCATACATAACCTGGTACCAAGAGGGCCTGGGAATATCACCCCCTCCCCTGAGGAAGTAAATAGGGAGTAGCAGCTCGTTCAATAAACAGACGCAGGGAGTCATTGAGCACCGTTCAATGGAGTGGAGAAAGAGAGGAGCAGAAAAAGAGAGGAAACCCTGACGGTCAGCCTCTGTATCCTGGCTGTAACCCCAGGATCCATGAGAAGGATTCAACGGGGCTGGCTGAAGAGTCAGTTCTTTGTTATACTTCTCTATTCATTTCTTCTCTGGATCCTAAAGCCACCCCTGACCCCTATTCATTGAACAAGGGACAACCTGGCTGTTTTCTTACTCCTCTTGGTGCCCATGGGCAAGATAGAGGTAGTATGAGGGCCCGATAATCTTGTATCTTAGATGTGAAAAAACGAAGGGATGTGATGTCCCCAGGGTCTACCCTAGGGGAACAAAAGCATTAGACATTTTACTCCTTGAAATTGCAAGACAGATCTAAATGTTGGGTCACAGGCAGGACCCTGGCCATTAGCAGCTACTCTTGGGCTCTGCTTGGCTCAGAGAGGGAGCCAGCAGGGGCCTCAGTGTAGGAGTTTGGGGTCAGATCTGAGAACCTTCAGCTTCCCTATAGAAAAAAAAAAAAAACAATCTCCCAAGTCCCTCCCCAAAAGCTCCTGCAAGAATTCTTCAGGCTGCCACTGTCCCCAGGCCATATTCAGCTATGGAGACAGTATACCAGCCTTCCTAAATGCTGGTTTTGATACCAGTCTTATGGCTCAAGTTTCTCTGTTCCAGGGCCATGGTGGAGTTCTACTGTCTCCAGATTTCAGGAATTCTCTTGTATTCCATTATCATATACCAGACTGAGGATAAGAGGCACAGAATTGCAGCCATGGTCTTCTTCACCAAGGTAAGAACTACCTCCACCCCACAGAAGCCAGGAGCTGGCCTAGGACAGACATGTATATCTTCCTCTAAATAAAACTTGCTTTTGTGCAGGACATTGCTCATTGTCTGGATTGTTGTATGACTCTAACCAGCCATTGACTCTGGGACTTGGTATAGTCATCTAGAAAATGAGGGGTTCAGACTAGAGAATATGGAAATCCATAGTATTTAAGACAAGAAGTTTCCTGGGGAGATCCCGTGGAATTTTTCTTGCCCTCCTGAAACCTTTTATCTCCTTGAAGAGAACAGATGCCAAGCATTTGTTCCTACTCTGGTAGGGACACACTTGGGATGACCCAGGTTACGGTTAGCAGGTGTAAGTCTTATATAGTTCCTTCAGTTCACCAGCATATGGTTCCAGTGGTCATTTATCCTCTGAGATCAGGGTAGTTGTGGGTTGGTAACAGGGCCACTGAGGGCAGAAGTGCCTCCTGCTTTGGGGAGGACTCTCTCAGCTGGCAGAATATGAGCTGGAAAGCCTTTCAGGGGCCCAAAACCTCAGGGACTGACTCTTCCAGCATTTTGAAACTCTCTGGTGTCCAAGTTGTTGTTTTGAGACTCGTTTCTGAGCTGTCTGTGTAAAGGCATCTGTGCCAGGAGCATGATGGCGAGGCTGGTGAGTCTGCATGGCTTCAACAACATCTTCCACACCCTGGGTATATTGGGTGCACAGGGCCCAAATGTGGGGTGAGATTCTGAGCAGAGGGAGGAAGGGAGGAATGCTCTAGCACCACTACCTCAGACCTTCCCTTAGCAAAGGCCATCCGCTAGGAATGGGGAAGCTGGGGAAGGTGGATTTTCTCATCACCCTCCTCCCCTTGCTGGGAAAGCATTAGTGTGCTCCATGATAGGCAGTGCGGCTTAGTGGAAAGACCCCTGGCCTTTCTGTTAATATCTGGGGGATCTTAGGCCTCCTCTGGGCACTTGAGTTAGATGCTTAACACTTGAAAGAACCTTGGTCTGGGATTCAGTCACCCTGGATTCTCACTACAATTCTGTCCCTAACATACAGTGTGACACTGGGAAAATATCTTCATTTCCCTGGAACTTATTTTTCCCATCTGTAAAAGGTTTGTACTATTAATAGATGCCTAGCACTTTGCTTCAAAAGTCAGGACACCTAAGTTCTAGTCTCAGTTCCAATTTGCTACCAATTTGTTGTGTGACCTTGTTCAAATCACTTTGGGCCTCATGTAAGTTTTCCCACCTGTCAGTGGAGAGGGATGCATTTGGATCCAGGGATCTCTGAGGTGCCTTCCTGATCTAACATTCCATGTGTCTGTGCTTGATGAACCAGAGTAGTTTCCATCAGGCCTAGCTGCCAGCCCTTCTGAATGCATTCTTTGAGACCAATGAGTAGGTGATTTTGGCCAGCATGAGTGTCCTGTCAGACATATTCTACCCATTGGGTAAGTAACGCATGGGAACCTGGGCCTTGACATCACTGTTTCCTCAAAGTCCTTCTTTGATGATGCAAAATGTGCAAAGGGAATGACTGCATGTGTTTTTGGGGGTACCTGGGGCTCTTCAAATGTGTTCTGTGGAGGTTGTAGGTGGGTGAACCAAGTGTACAGAGCATGGGTACAGTGGAGAGATGATGACTCACACTCTGCCTCTGAGACCCAGGTCCACATGCCACCCTGGGAGGCTTTGTCTGACCCTCACCACTACCACCTTCCCTCCAAGGCAGAATCAAATTAGCTCCCAGAGTCTTTTCCCCAGCCCTCTAGTGCAGGGGTCATCAAAATATTTCTGTAAAAGGTCAGAGAGTAAATATTTTCATCTTTGTGGGCTATATGGTCTCTATGACAATGGTTCAACTCTGCCATTGCAACCACAGACAACATGTAATTGAATGGGCATGGCTATGTGCCAATAAAACTTTATTTTCCAAAACAGGCTGGGTGCGGTGGTTCACGCCTGTAATCCCAGCCACTTGGGAGGCCAAAGTTGAACCCGGGAGGTGGAGATTGCAGTGAGCCAAGATTGTGCCGCTGCACTCCACAGCCTGGGTGACAGAGTAAGACTCTGTCTCCCAAAAAAAAAAAAAAAAAAAAAAAAAGAAAATCAAACAAAAGAAAACTTTATTTTCCATCTAGACTTGGTCCCCAGCCTATAATTTTCCAACCCCTGTTCTAGTGTAATACTGAGCCCTATGAATTATGGGCATTTTGTGTTCACGTTTGTTTCCTCTACCACACCAAGGGCAGGGATAGTGACTTAGTCATCATTTCTTTAACCTCAGAGGCCCACCCAGGGACTGGAAATTTTCAACTCAACTAATATTTATTAAATACCTACTATGTCTTCAGCTCCCCTCTGCCACCCCGCTATGTCCCAACATCATACACATGCAGAGAACTGAAACATGGGAAATGTCTGTTGAATTGTTTCACTTAAAACATGCATAAATAATTTTTGAAGCTGGGTGATGGGTTCATGGGCCTTCATTTTACTATTCTTACTACTTCTGCATAGTTTTGAAAACTTTCATATGGAAAAGTTTTAAAAAAGAAAAAGAGTATAAGACAAAGAGCCAGAAGGAAGGATATCACACAGACCTAGGAGAACTTGCAAAGCAACATAAAGCATTAGTACTTGCAAACCAATCTGCTGAGTACATGTAGGAAGTACTGGATGTGTATAGGTAAGCACAGAGGGTGAGAGTCTGTGTGAATGAGTGTGGTTGTGTGTCTCTGTGTCTGTATATCATTATGTGAGTGTGTAAAGAAACATAGTTGTGTGTGTTTGCAAAGGAGGCTTCATTGTGACAGATTGTGGACATGTTTATGTCCAAAGGAGATGAATATGAATGTTCTGAGTGTGGCTAGATGTATATGTACAGGTTTGAGTGTATGCATATGTAGTGTGTGAGAGTCTGTATGTCCAGGTGTGTGCACTTGTGGATATTTTATGATAGTGTATGTGTGCGTCATACACACATACATCTTCGGGGGAGGTAGGTACATATGTTTCTGATCAAGGAGCAAGTTGCATGTGAGTATTTAATGGTAAACTTGTGTGTGTGTGTGCCAAAGGAGTAATGGTGACTTACTCAGGGCTGTGAATCCGAGTGTACTATGTCCTCTACTGCTTGCCTGGGGAGCAGAGGTTGAGTGCTACAGAAATAGGCTCTCATGGCTGGGCTGGGGCCCAGGCACACAAGGCCCTAGACACATAGCCTTAATCTGCACAGGAGGAAGGCTGTGTCCACGCAAGAACTGTCGTCATGTTTAGAAACTTGGTGGGTAGTCTGGAGAACAAAGGGAATGTGACCTTCTTCCATGATCAGATTTGCCACAGGTTTATTCCCCTGCTCTTTCTTCCACCTCATAGATAAGAATAAGGAAGTGGTGAAGGTGAACTCACAGCCCTCAGCTAATTTCTCCTATGTTCCCCTCTCCCTGCCCCCTTCTTCCCCTTGCAGCACCCCCAGTGTCTATGAGCAGCAAGCTCCAAGTTGGCCTCTAAAGTCACTGGATGCTCTGTTCCCTGTGGTTGTCTCAGGCCTGTTACTGTAAGCAGGGATGCCTGGGCAAAGCCCACCTCTATTCCTGGAGCTCAGCTCACTGAAAACCTAAGTTGGTTGATACCCACCCAACTGCCTTTTCGCTTGTCTCCTCCAGGAATCAAAGGTCTCTTGTCCTATCCTATCCCTTTTCCTTTCTCCCCTTTTTATTTCCCCTGGTTAGGACTGGGCTAGAGGCCCACTATCTTAGTCCATTTTGCATTGCTATACCTAAGACTGGGTAATTTATAAAGAAAAGAGGTTCTGCAGAGTGTACAAGAAGCATGGTGCTGGAATCTGCTTCTGGTAAGGACCTCAGGAAACTTTCAATCATGGCAGAAGGCAAAGGGGGAGCAAATGTGTCACATGACGAGAGAGGGAGGAAGAAGGTGAGGGGGTGTCAGGCTCTTTTAAACAACTAGCTTCCACGTGAATTAATAGAGAGAGAACTGAATTATTACCATGAGGATGACGCCAAGCCATTCCTGAGGGATCCACCTCCATGACTCAGACACTTCCCATTGGGTCCTAACTCCAACACTGGGGATCAAATTTCAACATGAGATTTGGAGAGGACAAAAAGCCAAACTGTATCAGCCACCTTACCCCCTCCTCCCAGAAAACAGAAAAAGAGGCCAGTGCATGTCTAGGGGGAGAGGAATTGTTGGAGGATTATCAGAGCCTGGGGCCAGAGCACTTGCCTGACTCCCTCACATCAGCTCCCTTTTCTTGCTCCACAGACTGTCAAACTCACCTTCTTCCACTGTGCCTATTTCCTCCAGTTGTCAGAGCTCTAGAAGTTCTTTTGCCAGATGGCCTGGGATAGAGACCTGTGGGCTCTGCAAATGTCTGAAAGTCCTTTATAAGGGTGGATTTAATGGTTGAGACTGGACAAGGTTTTGGTCAAGGGTCTGGGCTTTGGATTCTCTTTTGCCTCTCTGGGATCCCTGGGGCCCATGCTAAGGACCCATGACATGGCAACCAGGGTGCCTGACTTGGCCCAAAGATAACTGAGCCTTAGTCCTGAGTTCAAGCCTGTCTTTGTCTCCTTTATATAGGCAGAAAATGATGTTCATGTTCTGCAAAGTGGACATTTTCCTCTACCAGGCCATCAACCATATTCATTGCAAGCAAGCTGATTTAGGCAGAGCTGCAGGCAGTCTGTATGTTGATACACAGATTTCCTCTTCCACATCATCTCCACCTTTCAGTTCCTGACACCCACAAAGCTCCTTCCTCTATTTTTTTGGGCTGTTTACAAGTCTTGGAAGGTCTAATTCTCTCCAGCCTCTACCTAGAAGTGAAAATATAGGGATAGAAAAGTGGTTTAGGATTTTGGATAACTTAAGTTTCATCCTTCCCAATTCTGCCACCTGATGCAAATCTCTTTGCTGCTCTGGCCTCAGTTTCCTCCAGCTATAAAATGGATTCATTGTAAGTTGCCCTGCCCACTTCCCAGGGCAGTTGGAGAACAGTCTTTGAAGGTTGGGTATTGACATGTCTGCATGCAAAATAAGCTAGATGACATGTAGACCTGGTTTCCTAGAGAAATTAGATTGTGGGTATCAGAGCACTGAACAATGTATCTGGAAGGTGAACATCCTTGCAGAACAATATGCAAATGATTTCTCTGGTCTTGAGCTTGAGAGCACAGTTAATTTTTGAAATATTCTATATAGCCCTGCTCATAGCACATTGCCTCTTTAGGGAAATTCCTAGTTCTAACCTGAAACTCCTTCTCAATTTGTTACCACATTCTTCTAGGGTTTTGAGCCTGGCTCTGGTTGCTCAAGCAACATTTGGGAACCTCTGACTTGAAGGAAAATGACTAGCAAAGATGTTTCCCTAACCTTTTCATTCTCTGCTTTTTTTTTTTTTTTTTTTTTTTTTTTTTTGAGACAGTCTCACTCTGTCGCCCAGGCTGGAGTGCAGTGGCATGATCTCAGCTCACTGCAAACTCTACCTCCTAGGTTCAAGCAATTCTCCTGCCTCAGCCTCCCAAGTAGCTGGGATTACAGGCACTCACCACCATGCCTGTTTTAGTGGAGATGGGGTTTCACCATGTTGGCCAGGCTGGTCTCCCAGGCTGGTCTCGAACTCCTGACCTTAAGTGATCCACCCGCTTCAGCCTCCCAAAGTGCTGGGATTACAGGCGTGAGTCACCGTGCCTGGCCCATTCATTGCTTTTTGATCCTTTGAGGATATGCAGTCAACTCGCTGTCTTATGCTGTTTCCAGGGTTCTGTTTAAAAAGGGGTGTGGCACTCCTGCTTGAAGGTGAGGCCTGAAAAGTGGGAACAGTGGGTTATCTGGATTGCTGGGATGAGGACAAGAGGACAGAGTGTGTATAGAGTCCTCATTTGCTTTTTCAGGGCCCATAATTTGGGTTCTGCACCCTAAAGCTGACTACTCCAGCATCCTTTAACATGGCTAGAGGAGTATTTAGGGGCTCTTTATCCCCAAATGTGAGATAAACTGTGGCTGACTTGCTGGAGAAACTTCCCTTTAGGCTTCTTCACCTTCAAGTCAGTGGTGGTGGAGAGCAGAGAGGAGCATTGACCTAGACAGGCCCTGAGATTATTTTTCCAGAGATAAGTGTCTATCTCATGAATGCACAGTTTATCAGGACCCATTCATTAGGTTTCTTCTGGGTGGAGTGTTTTCATGGAAGTTGGAAAGGAGCCTTCACACTTTGGTCTCCTGCTCACTGAGGAGGCAGGACCTATGTATCCAGATATTGAGGTGCCATCCTCTAGTTAGACTAGATGGCAGTACCACATGGGGTGAGGGGTTGTGGGGGTGGCCCCAGGCTGAGGGTTCAGCTTCATGCCTTTTTTAAAGCTCCCTCTGTACAACCTTCTCTTTTCCTTTTTTCCCTTAACTTCTTTTGTCTCTTGATTGTTACTCACTCCTCTCATTCCCCAACAGCCCTCTCTACCATTCTTCCATTGTTTTGCTTCCTGCCTATCATTCCCTGGCCATAAGCATCCAAAATGAATACTCGGCTGGGTGTGATGGCTAACGCCTGTAATCCCAGCACTTTGGGAGGCCGAGGTGGGTGGATTGCTTGAGGTCAGGAGTTCGAGACTAGCCTGGCCAACATGGTGAAACCCAGTCTCTACTAAAAAAAAAAAAAAAATTAGCCAGGCATGATGGTGTGTGCCTGTAATACTAGCTGCTTGGGAGACTGAGGCAGGAGAATCACTTGAACCTGGGAGGCAGAGGTTGCAGTGAGCCGAAACGGTGCCACTGCACTCTGGCCTGGGGTGACAGAGCAAGACTCTATTTCGGAAACAACAACAACAACAACAACAAAAACCTAAAATGAATACTCACAAATGCATTCACTTATACCCAGCTGTACAAAAGATGGCTCTCTAATTCCTGGGGGAAAGCCAAGCAAGGTGAAGAGGATACAGATGTTGTAGAGCAATTCATTGCTCCCAAGGTCTTCAAAACTCAGCAGAGGTCCCAGTGAGAATTCAGGGATCAGGCTAGCCAACCTCGGTTGAGAAAGACCCCATGTCCTTCCCTTCCCTTCCTTTCCTTTTTTGTTTTTTCTCTTCCTTATTCTTACTCCTTTGAAAAATTCCTTGCTTTCCTTTTCTTTAAATATGACAAAGGCTCCCTCACCAGGGGTGACTTTCAAGAGCAGGGCCATGCAAGGAATAAGAGGACTGTGTGGAAATGGCTCTCTCCTCCTCACAATGTTTCTTTAACTGAAGAGAGAGCAAGGAAACCATTTCCATTCCTACTGCTTCCTTAGGTCTCCCCAGGAACAGATGGTTACTGTCAAAACCAGTGAGTGGATAAGCTGGTTGAGAGGAAGCCCCTGCTAGCAGAGTATAGAGGGCTGGGCCCTGGATTAGGAGTCCAGAGCCCTTTATATATCCATGGGAGGGAGGTAAACAGGGAGAGAGGGAGAAGGAAGCAGAGGGAGAGAGAGGGAAAAGGAAGTAGTATATTCTAAGCTATTTCCTACAGAATCTTTTTCTTGCTTAGATGTAAGTCCAGGTCTGGCAAGGGCAGGGTGGGCAGAGGGAACAGTGGTGGGCATGGGATGGGCACAAAAGTGCCTCTGTCCTCTGTGCTGAGGATTCAAGGTGAGGTGAGAACCAGACTTAGTGTCTCCATGAATCAAAAATATGGAGTGGAAAAGCAAAAAATTTAGTTGAAGGAACTTTTTATTTGGTAAGCTTCATGCCAAGAAGCTCAGCTAATTGTTTTCCACTAAATCAATCAGGTGAACCAATTTGACCAAAACGGACCAAATGGTCTGCTTAGTTTTGATGTCATGTAAACAATAACTTCTCCCTGGGCCCCAGTTTTCCTACTAATACTAGTCTTATGTATGATGCCTATTACTTATATAATAGCAACACTATAGAATTATTTCTTAGGTTAGTTTCTCTGGTTCGGGATACACTTCTCCCCCACCTTCAATTCCAAAACAGCTGCTCAGAGCTAGAAGAGAGCTGCATTCCTTTTTTTTAACAGCTACTCAGAGGTAGAAGAGAGCTGCATTCCACCCCCCACACACCCTTTTTTTTTTTTTTTTTTTTTTTTTTGAGATGGAGTCTCACTCTGTTGCCTAGGCTGGAGTACAGTGGTGCAATCTCGGCTCACTGCAACTTCCACCTCCTGAGTTCAAGTGATTCTCATGCCTCAGCCTCCCCAGTAGCTAGAATTACAGGGGCCCACCATCACGCCCAACTAATGTCTGTATTTTTAGTAGCAACGGGGTTTCTCCATGTTGGCCAGGCTGGTCTCAAACTCCTGATTTCAGGAGATCCACCCATCTCGGTCTGTCAAAGTGCTGGGATTACAGGAATGAGCCACCGCACCTGGGCATGCATTCCTCCTCTTAAAATTTCATTCTTTGACATTCCAGTGAAGGATGAGGAGTTTATCTGCAACATGGCAGCTGTTAACCTGGAAGGTCTGCACAAAGTGGCCCAATTGTAGTAGCATTCCAGTTGGGATCAGACCCCAGTGCTGCCTCCTCTAACCAGCATCCAAACTTCTAATCCTAGGCTGGCTGGATATCCTTCAAATCTTCTGGGTTCCATGGAGTTGGTTAGACTTTTCCTTTCCTTCCCACCTCCAGTCCTACCCCATCTCTCCCATCCTTTACCTGGCCCAGACACTTTTCTAGGATAAAGGCTTATTTTCAGCACTCTATCGCTTATTATCTCTTTCTTTTTCTCAGGTGATTTTGCCCCCTCCCGCCTTGAGTCTTGATTTGGCTACAACATAAGAGGATGTCTGATGCAAACTAGCTAAAACCATGTAAAAGCTTTCAACTTGGGAAACACTAAGCTCCCCAAAGTCAGGTGCCAGCTCCTTTCTAAAGCCCTGGCTTCCTAGTTCAAGCCCCATACCTAATAGGCTATGGGTTGAGGACAAAGTTTGCCTTAGATCATAGAGATTTCCAAGTTGCTGCAGGTGTTTGAGTACCTAGTCACTGGAAATGGGCATTGAGGGGTAGGAGGAGTTGGGCCTTGATTATCAAAATGTGATTTTGACTAGAATGATCTGAGATCTATCCAGCACGGATATTCTCCGTCTAATCAACTTCATCTCTCTGAGCCTCAGTTTCCTCCTTTGCAAAATAGAGATAACTCCGCTGGGTGTAGTAGCTCACACCTGTAATCCCAGCACTTTGGGAGGCGGGAGGATCACTTGAGCCCAGGAGTTCAAGAGCAACCTGGGCAACACAGAGAGACTCCATCTGTATTAGACAGACAGAGAGAGAGAGAGAGAGAGAGAAAGAGGGAGCTCTCCACATCCTGCCAACTTCACAGAGCTATGGGGGTGCTAATTAGATGGCCATCCAGGTGGTAACCTATTATGGCCAGATTGCCCTGGCATTCTAATTGTTAGATGTTGAAAAGTAGCTGAAGTATATGGAATACTCCATGGATGTAAAGAGGTTAGATAACAAGTATTAGAATCATCCGAGCTCCAGAATCAGCATCCCTTTGGGGTGAGGGGACAACTCCAGGAGACAATGGCATTGTATGCTCCAGGTCTGAAGAGGGGAATGGATGGAAGAGAAACTTGTGGTCTGAGCCCTTCATGTATGGAAAGTTGTCTTGCTTTACTCCTAGGAGTTCCAAGCCAACCAGGAAATTGATTTCTAAGATCACTTCATTTAAACATCATTGGGCTGCATAAATTCCATCTCAGCCCACAAAATATGCTTTGACCCCTGCCTAAGCTCCTATTACCCCCACTGGTCTCCATTTTCCCTTCACTTATTATCCTTTCCTCCCCTCACCCAATTTTCTAAGCACCACAACCAGCCTGCCAGCAGCCAGCTCACTCAGGGCCTCATCCTTTGGACAAATTCCTAGAACTCACGGCCCAGATGGGAGAATAATGAAGATTCATTTACCCCAGGACTCTTGCTTGATTTGTTGTTGAGCCTCTGCCTGATTTTCAGTCATCAGCCCCCAATTTTATTCCCAGAGCCAGCAAGGGCCAAGCCTCATTTTCCTGGGGGCCCAAATCCTCCCCCATTTTCCTTCCATCCAGGCTTCAAGCCAGAGGCCAAACGGGGGTCAAGGATGACGGCTCATTGGCAGGGCCAAGCAGGTGGCCCTGCCCTAGGTTCAGCCCTAGGGAGCTTCTTGTTTTCTCCTGAACTTCCAAGAATCTCCATTCCCAGATGAGGCATGCTGTCAGATCTTGGCATATGACACCAAATATGTCCCCCTTTCCCTCTTCTGCCTGAGTCTAAATGTCCCTTTTCCTTTGACCTACAATGTAGAAGATTCTTGCTAAGAGCTGGATGAGGAAGGCTTCATGGGGTGGGGCGGGGCGGGGGGTGGTGGGTCGCATCAACTAGAGTGCAATTCTATGTGCGAAGAGGGAAAAGCCCAGCTTCCGAACCTCCAAGATAGCTTGTTTAAAATTTCTATTGAAAGAATCTAGGGGTATTTACCTCTCAGCTCTGGACGCTGAGTTTTCAGACCTGCATATTTTGGGTAGAAGGGCCTGTGTCAGGCTGTGAAGCCAGTTCCTGGCAGGCCAAATGTGGCAAAGAACCATTCAGTAAAGCAGCCAGCCCAGCAACACAGGCCCAGGAGGCAGCTTCGGAGCTGGTTCAGCTACAGAAGGTCTGAGACGCCTCTTCCAAGCCCCTTTAGGAAGCCTGACTCTCTGGCTTTCAAGCTGCCTGCTGTCCCCAATCCCTCTCTTTCTGGTGCAGACACTGAAGAAAACGGTTGTCTCTTGTTTCCTGCCTGGAGCAGCTGGGGCTACTTGAATATTCTGCGGGATATTCCTGGAAGGTGACCTCCCTGTATCCTCCTCTTTCGGAGACAAAGGCAAAGCAGGATGTGGTTGGGAATTACACTTTTAAGGAACAGGACCATTAGGTGACGCTAAGCCTCTTAGCCACTATGTGGCGCCATTTACCCATTTTTCTGTGCAAGGTTAGTGGGCGGTGGCTACACGCAAAGCAAACCAAATATCAAAACTCGAAAACTTTTCAGGGATCTAGTTCTGACTAGGCTCCTAATATGTTGAGGGTACTTGGGCAAATCTCTTGACCTCTAGGCGCCTCAGTTCCTCATTTTGTGAAATAGGAGACAGATGGTGGGGGGGTCCCTGAAATCCCTTCCAGCTTCATAATTTTGCAACTATGTGAGTGAATTCCCAATGAACATCCAAGCGATGCAATTTTGGGCCTTTGGGTCACACACAGGGTGGGTAAAAAAAAAAAAATAAAAGCGCACAAGGGCCAAGGCATGGGTTTGGGGGTGAGGGTGAGAAGGGGGTGGTCATGGAAGCAGGGATCCTCTACAACACATGGGCCAGGATTTTTCTTGAGCTTTCCATGGCGCTAGGGAAAAGATAAGGAGCCATTCATTTGCTTAGTAAACATTGATCACAAACTAGATGCCAGGCACTGTGTGATAGAGGCAAGGCTGCGGTGGTGGGTGGGAGAGAAGTGAATGGTGGGTGGGACACCAAGATGAGTAAACCTCAAAGTGTTTACCAGCCAGTGGGGAATAGATGAGTAAACAAATAACCAGTGCACAAGGAAGAATGGAGTCTGTGCTAAATAGAACTATAAACTGCTGGAGGTGACAGGGAGGAAGGAGGGATATATTCTGACCAGATAAGAAAGGTCTCACAGAGGAGGAGCCATTTTAACTGGGCTTTGAAAGATGAACAGATGTCTGTGTGTGGTGGGGGAGGGGTTTGGAGAAAGGGAGAGCAGGAGGGGGAGGGAAAGGCAGGCATTCTGGGCAGAAGGAATGGCTTAAGGAAAAATGAGGGATGGGTACATTATGCTGTTTTGGCGGAATAGGGAGTAGTCTGAGGTGGCAGGAGAGACGGAGTGGGAAAAGAGTTCACAAAAATGGTTTGGGGCCAGATTCTGGATTTACAGAGACTTTTCACCTGGTCAGATAAGGTACAGAGCGTATGGGACAGGCTCCCAAGATATGGACAGAGTTCTAGCCCTCCCGTATGGAGAGGGCAAGACCCAGTACTTCATACGTATACAAGGCCACCAAGGGACAGTTAAGGTGAACAAGGCAGGCAAGCCTGACTGAAAGTATGGTAGATTAAAGGGGAAGGGAGCCTGAGAGGGCATTCTGAAGGAGGGCAGTCTTCCAACAGCGAGTATTCCACTCTCCTCTGTCCTAAAACCTACATAGTAGAAGCTTTTAAAAATTATTTAACTTATTATTATTATTTTTTTTTGAGACAGAGTCTCGCTCTGTCACCCAGGCAGGAGTGCAATGGCATGATCTCAGCTCACTGCAACCTCAGCCTCCTGAGCAGTTGGGATTAAAGGTGCTCACCACTATGCCTGGCTAATTTTTGTATTTTTAGTAGAGACAGAGTTTTACCATATTGGCCAGGCTGGTCTCCAGCTCCTGACCTCAGGTGATCCACCTGCCTCAGCCTCCCAAGGTGCTGGGATTACAGGCGTAAGCCACTGTGGCTGGCTTATTTAACTTTTATTTTAGGTTCAGGTTTGTTATATAGGTAAATTGCATGTCACGGGGGTTTGACTGTAGATTATTTAGTCACCCAGGTAATAAGCACAGTACCCGATAGGTAGTTTCTCAATCCTCTCCCTCCTTCCACCCTTCACCCTCAAGTAGGCCCTGGTTTCTGTTGTTTCCCTCTCTGTGTCCATGTGTTCTCATCATTTAGTTCCCACTTATAAATGAGAGGATGCAGTATTTGGTTTTCTGTTCCTCATTAGTTCACTTAGGATAATAGCCTCCAGTTCCATTCATGTTGTTGCAAGGCACATGTTATCACTCCTTTTAATGACTGTGTAGTATTCCTTTTCTTTTTTTGGAGACAGATTCTTGCTCTATTGACATGGCTGGAGTGCAGTGGCATGATCTTGGCTCACTGCAACCTCCACCTCCTGGGCTCAAGGGATTCTCATGCCTTAGCCTCTTGAATAGCTGGGGTTACCGGTGTGTACCACCATTGCCAGCTACTTTTTGTATTTTTGGTAGAGATGGGGTTTTGCCATGTTGCCCAGGCTGGTCTCGAACCCCTGGCCTCAAGTGATCCACCAGCCTTGGCCTCCCAAAGTGCTGGGATTACAGGCGTGAGCCACTGCATGCAGGCTTTTTATGTCTACATAGTATTCTATGGTTTATATGCACCACATTTTCTTTATTATTATTATTATTATTATTATTGAGACAAGGTCTGACTCTGTCGCCCAGGCTGGAGTGCAGTGGCATGATCTCAGCTCACTGCAACCTCTGCCTCCCGGGCTCAAGTGATTCTTGTGCCTCGGCCTCTCAAGTAGCTGAGACTACAGGCGTGTGCCACCACACCTGGCTACTTTTTGCATTTTTAGTAGAGATAGGGTTTCACGATGTTTCCCATGCTGTCTTGAACTCCTGGGCTCAAACAATCCTCCTGCCTTGACCTCCCAAAGTGCTGGGATTACAGGCATGAGCCACCGCACCTGGCCCCACATTTTCTTTATCCAGTCTATCATTGATGGTCATTTAGGTTTATTCCATGTCTTTGCTATTGTGAATAGTGCTGCAATGAATATAGGCGCGCATGTGTCTCTATAATGGAACAATTTATATTCCTTTGGTTGGGTGTATACCCAGCAATGGGATTGCTGGGTCGAATGGGAATTCTGTTTTGAGTTCTTTGAGAAACTGCCACACTGCTTTCTTTTATTTATTTATTTATTTTGAGACAGGGTCTCTGTTACCCAGGGTGGAGTGTAGTGGCATGATCATAGCTCATTGTAGCCTCAAACTTCTGGGCTCAAGTGATCCTCCCACTTCAGCCTCCCAAATTGCTAGGATTACAGGTGTGTGCCACCATGCCTGGCTAATGTTATTATTTTTTTATTTTGTAGAGACAGGGTTTTGCTATGTTGCCCAGACTGGTCTCAAACTCCTTGTCGCAAGTGATCCTCCCGCCTCAGCCTCCCAAAGTGCTGGGATTACAGGAGTGAGCCACCATGCCTGGTCCTACACTGCTTTCCACAGTGGCTGAACTAATTTACATTCCCACCAGCAGTGTATTCACATTCCCTTTTCTCCACAGCCTTGCCAGCATCTGTTATTTTTTGGCTTTTTAATGCTAGCCATTGTGACTGGTGTGAGATAGTATCTCACTGTGGTTTTGATTTGCATTTCTCTAATGATAAGTGATGTTGAACGTTTTTTCATATGCTTGTTGGCTGCATGCGTGTCTTCTTTTGAACAGTGTCGGTCGGACGCGGTGGCTAATGCCTGTAATCCTAGCACTTTGGGAGGCTGAGGCGGGCGGTTCACGAGGTCAGGAGTTCGAGACCAACAATGTGGCCAACATAGTGAAACCTCGTCTCTACTAAAAATACAAAAAATTAGCCAGGCGTGGTGGCAGGTGCCTGTAGTCCCAGCTACTTCGGAGGCTGAGGCAGGAGAATACCTTGAACCCGGGTGGCAGAGGTTGCGGTGAGCTGAGATCGCACCACTGCACTCCAGCCTGGGCAACAAGAGTGAAACTCCATCTCAAAAACAAAACAAAACAAAACAAACAAACAAACAAACAAAAAAAGAAAACTGTTCATGTCCTTTGCTCACTTTTTAATGGGGTTGTAGTTTTTTGCTTGTTAATTTAAGTTTCTTATAGATTGTGGATATTAGACCTTTGTTGGATGCAGAGTTTGACAGTATTTTCTCCCATTCTGTAGATTGTGTTTACTTTGTTGATAGTTTATTTTTCTGTACAGAAACTCTTTAACTAGGTCTCATTTGCCAATTTTTATTTTTAAATTTTCTATTTTTGTTTTTTTTATTATTATTATTTTATTTATTTTTGGAGACGGAGTCTCGCTCTGTCTAGCAACCTCCGCTTCCCGGGTTCAAGCAATTCTCCTGCCTCAGCCTCCCGAGTAGCTGGGACTAGAGGCACACGCTGCCACACCTGGTTAATTTTTTTGTGTTTTTAGTAGAGACGGGGTTTCACCATGTTGCCCAGGCTGGTTTCGAACTCCTGAGCTCAGGCAATCTGCCCGCCTCAGCCTCCCAAAGTGCTAGGATTACAGGTGTGAGCCACCGCTTCCGGCCTTATTTTATCTTTTGAGACACAGATTCGTTCTGTCACCCGGGCAGGAGTGCAGTGGCACAATCTTGGCTCACTACAACTCTGCCTCCCAAGTTCAAGCGATTCTCTTGCCTCAGCCTCCCTAGTAGCTGGGGTTACAGGCGCCCACCATCATGCCCAGCTAATTTTTGTATTTTTAGTAGAGATGGGGTTTCACCATGTTGGCCAGGCTGGTCTCGAACTCCTGAGCTCAAGCGATCCACCTGCCTTGGCCTCCCACAGTTCTCGGATTACAGGCAATTTTAATTTTTATTTTTGCAATTGCTTTTGGCATCTTGGTAGAAGCTTTAAAGATCTGACCTATGAGGAACAAGAAGAGGTCCTGCTTCAAGGATGGAAGAGTCATTCCAGGAAACCTGGCAAACTGCCTCTGCTGTGGCTGCATTTGCAGGACTAGTCACCAGTTTGTTTCCAGTTAGACCTCACCAGCCCGCGGCAAATAGGAAAAGGCTGAGGCATTATGGGAGCTGGCATCAATCTAGTTAGGATAATAAAGCAGGTGGGATTTAGGTCAGTCTTAAGGAAAGCAGAAGACTGTATTCTGAAGAGTGAGAGATCTGGTAACCGTAAGAGGTTATAACTTGTGTTTGTTCAATAGCCGATGAGTGCCCACTCAATGCCAGGAGCATGGCCGGAGGGAGGAGTATGAAAAGTACTCTAGGAAAAAAAAAAAACAAAGCAGGTTATGAGAATGCAGAGGACAGGACCCTGTCTTGGAGGAAAGGCATCAAGGAAGGCTCCCACAAAGTGGTGAGACATTAGAGATGGATATGGAAGAAGTAGTTGATATACAGTTGGAGGGGATAGAGCAGTGTCCCGAAGAAAAGCACCATGCATGAAAGAGACTGGCAGGTTTAGGGAAGCAAGAAGCAAATGAGCTGGAGTGGTTGAGGAGAAGCACAGGTAAGGGGAAGGGAAAGGGGGCGGGCAGAGAAAGGGAGCTGATGCTTCTACCCTCCCCACTCTGAAAATCTCCAAGTGCCCAAGTTCTTATTTGCCATTTTTTGTTAAGAATCCAGCTCCGTAGAGCTGAACTCAGGGGTCCCTGTATACCTTTGTGTTTGTCACCACTCCCCTCCGCTCTCATTCTAGCCATGAAGTCCACTGAGGAAACCACCCGCTGCACCAGCCTTACAGCAAGTCAGTAATGAAGAGGGAAGAGGAGCCAGGAGCCTGCTCGCATGTCTTGAAACTCTCAATTCAGCTCAGCCCTGGCTCTGAGGGAGGAACGGGCTGAAAAGGAAGAGTTAGGGAGGTTGTTGGATTGTGGTAGGAATTTTTATTCCTCATAGAAATTTCTGGTCTGGTGAAGGGAGAGAGGCATGGAGACTGGGCCAAGGGGTGGGGGCTACCTTGGAATTTAGATTCATCTGGGTGATCCATTAGCAAACTCTCATTAGCAAAATAGGAGACTGGCCCAATCCTCAGGGATGGGTCCTGGAGGCAGGAGTCGGGGAAGGGTGGAAGGAGGGGCTATGGCTTGTCTCAAAGGGGCTGGGGTATCTGCCAGTTCTGGCACAGGCCACAGGCAAGCAGGATTCTCTCTTGTTCCTCTGCCCCTCCCCTTCTCCAATCTCTATCCCCTGCCTTGGCATGAGGGCCTCTAGAGAAAAGAAAATAAAAATGAGTGGGCAGAAACAGCTGGATACAGTCAGGAACACATCTGGCCTCCCGGACTGTCTCCTGGTCCTTGTTTTGCTTCTCCCCCCATGCCCCTTCCTCCTCTGCAGGCTTCTGATAGGAGGACTGTAGCATAGCTGGGGGAAGGGTGGGGAATTAGAGTGGGGCTGGGTGATGGGGGAGAAAGTTGTTCTAAATATTAACTGGTCTTGTGAGATGTCTTCTTGGCTGGAGCCTGACCACCTAACTTACTGTTTTTCCTCCAACTGCTGCCTCCTCCTTTCCCTCTGCTGCAGGCTGGAACTAAGGGCGGCGGGTGGCGGCGGGAGGAGGAAGGAGGAGAAGCAAAGTTGGCCAGGGTCCTGCTGGCTGGGGGCCAGGACTGCCTCCCTAAACAAGCAGGCGGGGGCACATATAGCCCTGGGTTGAGTTGTTGCCCTTACTCATCTGGCCACAGCAGGAAGAAGAGGCGCCCGGAAAACCTTAGCTCTTGGCTATCTCTTCCCTGAGCACACCCTGGCCCTGGGGCCTGAGATCTCTCCATGCAGGGGCAGCCATGAGCTCCGGGGGCAGCAGCAAGGCTGGCCACACCACCCATCAGCCACCTCCAGCCCCGCCGCTCAACCAGCCATCAGTCCCTTAACTGCCAGTGTTCGTGGACCATGCAAAACAACCAAGTGAGTGAACAGGGGCTGGCTGAGGGTTGGGAGAGGTTCCTGGACAGGAAGTGCCAGCCTGTGCCCTCTTTTTTTGCCCTCAGGGACAAACATGGGAGGTTTAGGCAAACTCTTCTCAGGGGGTAGGGGACACTGAAATGTTGATCAGTGTAGGTGTTTTGACCCCCACCCCCCAACCATTTGCTTTTCTGTGTTCCTCTTGCCCTCTCTCCCTCTCTCTCTCTCTCTCCTCTCCCAACTCCCCACTCTGTTCTTATTCCTTTCTATTCCCAGGCAAGGGACTCATTAAGCCCAAAGCAATTTTAGGGTGCCCAGTGGAGAGACTCACAGAGGCTGCTAGTGCCGATGCTGCTGGTGCTGCTGCTGAGGAGTGCCCAGGACCAGGTGCCAGGGGAGTTGGAGTCAATAACCACCACTGTCAGATCTACTGACCCCCAAGCCAGTTTCTCCAGTCAGGTACCTCCTACTCCCTGTGGAGGCCTGGGGATCTCTAAGGCCCTACAGCTTCCCTGTCACTCCCATTTTCACTCCACTCTCTATCCCCTGCACTTAGCCTCCCTTGGTGGCTCTTCCATTTACTTCTTTCCCCACCCCACCCCACCCCAGTCCCAAGTTTTCAAAGTGATGACAGAAGATTAAGAGACACCCCATTCCTATCTTGGCCATTTAGTCTGCAGTTGCCTGTCTGTAACTTTCCCTGCTGTATACCGTGGCACAACTATTCTCTCAGAGCCACCAGGTGCCTCCCAAGAGCCCCTGAAAGACATCTGTTTCTAGGCTAGGCTGGTTTTTCTCCTGGAATCGCTGGGCCCAGGAGAGACTGGCCAGTCACCGTGACCACACTTGAGAGCTCACTGTCCTCCTGATTCCTGAAGACCGAGGAGGAAAAGGCACTCCAGCTCCCTGCCTGGGTGCCTTGGCTGTCACATCACTTCTGTGGATCTCAGCCCCCTTTCTGCCCTGGCCAAACCTGGGAAGGGAGAGGAAGGCAGGAGGGTCATGTCCTAACCCCTGTCATCCCTCCTCTTGCCAGTAGATCCCAGCCAGCCTAGAAGCAGGCTCACAGTTTTCCATGGAGGGCTTGGATAATAAACTGATCCTGGATGTTGGTGGCATACGCCACCTGATCTACATCAGCACCATGAGGGCCTTTCCAGGTACCCGCCTCTACAAGCCGACTGAGCCATCCCCACCTGGCACCCCAGCTGCTCAGGGCCCACTGGTCCAAGAGCTTTTCTTTTCTTTCTTTCTTTCTTTTTTTTTTTTTTCTGAGATGGAATTTCGCTCTTGTTGCCCAGACTGGAGTGCAATGGCACAATCTCGACTCAATGCAACCTCTGCCTCCTGGGTTCAAGCGATTCTCCTGCCTCAGCCTCCCAAGTAGCTGGGATTACAGGTGTACACTGCCCTGCCCAGCTAATTTTTTGTATTTAGAGGTTTCACCATGTTGGTCAGGCTGGTCTGGAACTCCTGACTACAGGTGTGAGCCACCGGGGCCGGCCAAGAGTTTTTCTTTGACTGTAATCCTGAGCTCTTTGGCTACCTGCTGGGCTACTACCATATTCAGCAGCTGCACTGCCCTGCCAACATTTGTTGGGATGTCCTAGAGGAGGAGTTGGCTTATTGGGGCCTGGCAGAAGCACCCCTGGCACCTTGCTGCTGGCTCAAGCTAAGTGGCAAGGAGACCCATACCCAGGACTTTCTGTCCTGGGAGGCCTGTGAGAATGCCTGCATGTGTGAATGCCTTCTGCTGAACCACACAGAAGGCCAGGGACTGCAAAATACTTGGAAACCGTGGCTCTGGGTGCTTCTTGACCAACCTCAGTCTTCCTTAGGGGCCAGGGTAACTCATTAACAGTGTGTGGCACCATGCTAGACACTCCTACCCCCGAAGGACGCTCCCAAAATGCCACAATGGCTACACACTTGGCATGGTGCTTGGGACTCGAATCTATAGACTTCCGGCACAATTTGAGGGCATCCCTCAAAAAGGGAAGCCAAGGATGGAAGTATAGTTAGAGAGGTGGGGATGCTGGCAGATGGGATTTCTGACAAGCATCTTTTTCTCTAGTGCCTTTCCCTGTTCTCCACACTGTTTGCCATGTGTACCCTGGGCATCTTCTTCCAGCAGACGGAAGTCCAGCTGGATTACTTCTCTGGCAACTTCACTACTATGGAACATGGGATGGGGGGTGGGGGAAAACCAGCAGCAGCAGTAGCAGCAGAACAACGGTTTTGTTTACCACTGTGCCCCACATCTGCTATACCTGGAGCTGCTCTGTCCCCTTTGGTTTGGAACTGACCTCTTTGCCTGGACCATTTCCTGCCCGAATAAGGTGTGCTTCCTGTGTAGCCCTCTCAATCTAGCTGATATCTTCTGTTTGTTGCCTGCATTGGTGGAATTGGTAGTAGGTGACAAGGCTGTATGGCAACTCTATCTTAGCCTAATCCTTGGGGCCATTCATTCTCTCTATGTCCTCAAGCTGGTTCGTCTCCTGGGCTTCCTTAAAAAGTCCTTGGCCATGAGAGTCCTTGTTCATACACTCCATTCTTCCTGGAAAGAGGTGTGTGCCTTTCTCCTGATTTGGGTGGCTGATATCTTATCCTTTGGCTTGCTCTTCCTCTATGGGGAGCTCTTAGGCATGTGTATCTCAGGTCAAAGTGAGCCCCACTTGGGAGACATCTTTACATGTCTCTGGTGGACTGTCATAACTCTCACCACTGTCGGCTAGGGAGATGTCTATCCCCTGTCTGCTCTGGGCCAGCTCACTGCTGCTGTCACAGCCACTGCAGGCATGTGCACTGGTATCTTGTTGGTTCCTGTGCTCCTGGTCCACTTCCAGTGCTATTATGCTGTGGCCCTGGCTCGCCAGAAACTAAGGCCCAGTAGGACCCTGTAAATAGGCCTATTGATCCAGAGGGATGGACCCCACTTTCCCTTCTTTCCTTTTGCCAGTTTCTGGTTACAGATAAGAAGGAGCCCCAGATCATGGCAATTCCTGCTAGTCAGGATCAGCTAACCATTACCTGCAGGTCATACTTTTCCCTATTATCAAGGGAACACCCTGAAGGAAGGGGCCTGGGGCAAGGCTAGCTAGGCTTCAGCTTTCCCTTGCCCTACCCCAGGCCTTTTTCTTAACCCCGGAGTGACCAGAAAGGATAGAAAGTAGTTCTTTCTGGATTAGTGTTATATCTCCCTCTCAACTAGTTCTCCCCTTCCATCCCCTCATCCCTGCCCCTGCCATCTAGACTAGGGTCCAGATGAGAGACTTCTGAGTGATGGTAGCCATAGGATTATCAACATCCATTGCCTATGAGTATTAATGGTGATTGTCTGTGGGTATTGATAGTTAATTGTCTGTGAGTACCTGACAGCAACGGGTTATGGCTATTGATGACAATTGGTACCTTCAGTGCCCAAGCATAGCCAGATTGTAGCATTGCTCCCCGTACTGCTCCTGGGACAAATGCTCCTTAGAGCTGTAAGAAGGCCTTTGAAGGTCCTCAGAGACTCCAAGCAGATGCGGGTCAGTCAGGTCTGAACCAAAGTACTCTAACTGCATGATATCCTCTTCATCCCTTTTTTTTTTTTTTTTTTTTTTTTGATGGAGTCTCGCTCTGTTTCCAGGCTGGAGTTCAGTGGCGCCATCTTGGCTCACTGCAACCTCTGCCTCCTATGTTCAAGCAATTCTCTTGCCTCAGCCTCTCGAGTAGCTGGGACTACAGGCACGTGCCACCACACCCAGCTAATTTTTGTGTTTTTAGTAGAGATGTGATTTCACCATGTTGGCCAGGCTGGTCTCGAACTCCTGACCTCGTGATCTGCCCACCTCGGCCTTCCAAAGTGCTGGGATTACAGGTGTGAGCCACTGTGCCTGGTCTCTCTCTTCATCCCATTTTATCCTTGCCCACTCGTCCTCATCTCTGTGACTTTTTCATAATATTTTAGATATAGTATTAGCCATCATTAATCACAATGTATTAGTCAATATTAGTCACAATACCTCAGCCATGATAACAGTATGTAATCACCTATAGATATGAAATGTTATCATTGCACATCACATGGACAGGAATGAAGAAACTGGGATTTTTGGCAACAATCGGCAAGCAATTTCCTCTTCCAGATTAAAAACACAATTTTGAGGCTGGGTGCGGTGGCTCACACCTGTAATCCCAGCACTTTGGGAGGCCAAGGTGGGCGGATCACTTGAGCTCAGGAGTTCGAGACCAGCCTGTCCAATATGGTGAAACCTCGTCTCTACTGAAAATACAAAAATTAGCCAGGTATGATGGTGCACGCCTGTAATCCCAGCTACTCAGGAGGCAGAGGCAGGAGAATCGCTTGAACCCAGGAGAAGGAGGTTGCAATGAGCCTAGATCACGTCACTGCACTCTAGCCTGGGAGACAGAGAGGGACTCCATCTCAAACCAAGACCAATTTTGATTTTGCTTATTTATTAATTCTTTATTATTTTTTCCAAACACTTTTTAGTACCTACAATGGGGCTACCCCAATCCCCGCTGCTACCTTCCCACCTCTTCTACTTTTTTTTTTTTTTAACTACCTGCATGTTTTTTCCTCCCTCCTTTTCCTGTGGTGCTTCCCACCATACACATCTTTTGGAAATGGCTTCCAGGAGGAAGAGAAGGGACCATCTCAGGTATGACTTCAAATCAAGCCACTGGGTTGTCTGAGAAGTACCCCAAGCAACTAGTCTGGACTGGGAGGTTGAATTGAGTCCTTGCTGTTGCTGAAGCTGTGAGAATAATTCTGTTTAAAAAACTTTTAAATAAAATATCCTTCAAAATATCCTTCAAAGTCTCCGTCCCAGGGTCTGTTTGTGGTTTTTCTGGGAGAGGCTTGTGGGAATCAGCAGTTGTGGGGTGGTGCAATAAACTAATGACAAGACCTTATAGACAAATTATTTTATTTTATTATTTTTTTGAGAGGGAGTCTTGCTCTGTCACCCAGGCTGGAGTGCAATGGCATGATCTCAGCTCACTGCAACCTCTGCCTCCCAGGTTCAAGCGACTCTCCTGCCTCAGCCTTCTGAGTAGCTCGGATTACAGGCGCATGCCACCACTCCCGGCTAATTTTTGTATTTTTAGTAGAGACAGGGTTTCACCATGTTGCGCAGGCTGGTCTTGGACTCCTGACCTCAGGTGATCCACCTGCCTCAGCCTCCCAAAGTGCTGGGATTACAGGCATGAGCCACTGCACCCGGCAGGCAAATTATTTGGTAGGGTAAAAAGCAGTTTGTTATCTTCATTGAGTCTGTTCCTCACAATAAACTATTATCACTCACAGACACCTTGATTGGGAGAGAAAAACTTTTTGTTTGTGTTGGGACCAGGTTGAGGAAGGGAAGGAGACAGGTCTAGGAGTTGCTGGTGGAAACTGTGGGTACTTATCAGGTGGGAGGTTGTAGGCAGAGAGGTTTCCGTTTAAGGAACACTGAGAGAGGATCAGAATTATGGCAAAACATCAAAGACAATCTCGACCTTCTCATTGCCTAGAAGTGAAAGGTGTTGGAGCAATTTGCAGCTTTCAGAGACCATTCTAGTCCACCGCCCTTAATTTAGAGTTGGGAAAAAATGAAGTTTAGAGAAGCGGGGGAATTTCCCTAAGGGCACAAAGGCAAGTAGTGGCAGAACTGGGAGTTCTGTCACCTCAGAGCAATACTGTATCAATCTTTGTCAACTCATTAGCATCAGAGGTGGGTTGTTAGAATTTCCAAATAAAAGTAGAGAAGACTGTACCCTGTTCTAGGCAGCAGCAATGGTGGTAGTGGCATGAGGGGATGGTGGTGGGATGAAGTGGTGGGGGTGGGACTAGGATGTAATGGAAAGCCTTGGAAGCTTGAATGAGTAGGCTTGGATATTAGGGTTGAAAGGACCTTTGGGAATTGGTGGCCCCTACTTGGGTAGGGGCAGAGAAGCATAGAATACCACAGAACATTATAAAAATAACCAGATAGAATGTCAGGGCTGGGAGAAACCTGGAACCTCATCAAGTCCAGCTCACTCCTGTTTCAGGTGGGGAAACTGAGATCCAGAGAGAGGCTGAAAACTTGACCTGGTTTCTACAGTGAATCAGGAGAGAAGTAGGGCTGCAACCATCCCTGTCACACAACAAGAAACACTGGCTGCCTTTGTTGTTTCCCTTGCATCTGAGTTGGATGATCAGACTTTTTAACCAAGAAAGAGAGATGAGGGAGGGGAGCCCAGTGTTTCATGGCCTGCCTAGAGCTACTTATATAATTAAACATTATAGAATGACAGCATGAAAGCCTTAGTATGCACCTGTTTCTGTAACATAACCCTATATCTGAACCCACCCTACACCTCCAGCATGTAATGCCCTGCAATACTGAGTCCAAGAAGCCCCTCAAATTTAGTGATACCTCAAGACTGAGACCACAAATCCTGTAGACAGTAGGGCCTTCCCTGAATACCAAGCACTCCCTAGTCTTTCTCATGATTAGGTTCTCACTCTCACACTAAGGTCACTCCTTTTTTCTGCCCAGGCATACATTTTATCTTCTCTGAGGAGGGAAGGGAGTAGATGGGGATGCTGAAAAGCACTTTAATTTGAGCAGTTCTTGCCATATCTTTGCCCCTCATGTGAAAACTTCTCAGCCATGGAACTAACTTGTTCCCATACCCACTCTCATAGCACAGTCACCCTCCACCCCCATTCATCCACACCCCTGACATTTACTCACTTCGCCCATGGCAGAGACCGTACTGGCCATGCTCTCTGCACAGCCCTGGAAAGCCTCTTGTTTCTAGTCACTAGGAGAGAAGGTCCAGTCTCCCAGCACACACTTCTTATCTGGATGTCTCTCATTGTGAGGGACTGGGAGGTCTGTAGGCCTACCTCAGCCTGATTCTGGCCCTATCTAGTGAAGCACTCAGTGATCTCTTGCGCCCCCCTCTGGCCTCAGTTCTTTAGCGGTTGCTACAGCAAGTGGTCTAGTTGGGCCTGCACTTCCAAGTCAGACCCATAGAGGGCAACCACTTGCCAGTTTATGAGAAATCACTCTGGGTGTGGCCTCTCCCTTTGTTCACTTCCTTTTCAGTGCTTGTAAAATTCTAGAACCACAGGCTGTCAGAATCAGAGGGTGTGTTTAGATAACTTATATTTGAATATCCTCATGATAAAGATAGAGAAACAGGCCCAGAGAAGAGATGAGACCAGTCTAAACTCAGACAGTGATTCACTCTGTGGCAGTTAGGGCTAGAATCCACGTTTCCTGAATGCCAGTTCAGAACTTTTGAAACACACGGCCAAGCATCTAACCCAAATGCCTCATTTTATAGTTGTGAAAACTGAGGCCCCGGAAAGAAGTTGACTAAGGTTGTACAGTCGTTGTGATAGAGCTAGGACTCAAACCCAGGTCTTCTGAATCCCAGTCCAGATTCAGAAACATAATGTTAGGCATCTAGTTCATCCTGTTGGTTTTTTTTTTTCTTTATAGATGAAAAGAGTTCAGAGAGGGAATCTAATTTACCTGAAGCCACAGAGTAAATTAGTGAAAATCAGAACCGGAGCCCAAGGCTGGCTGTAGAACTGGGACTGAATGGAAACTGGGGACTCTGACTTCTAGTCTCCAAGAAACCTCAATAACTTAGGGACCCCAGTGTCTTGGAATTAAATAACAGAGGTAGGGATGCAGTCCTTGCTTAAGCTGACTATGAATGAATCCCCAGGAGGCTGGAATCTGGGGCATAGTGTGTACGTGTGTGTGTTTGGGAGGGAGGGAGTCTGCTCTGGTCCCCTCCAAAAAACTCTTAAGAAAAGACTCACCTCATTTCTCCCCTTTCAAGGCCTCTGGCTTTGAGAGTGAGAAGATGACTCACTCATTGCCCACAGTTGCCGCTGAGAACATAATTGCTAGCTGGGACATCACCACAGCATCCAGCCATCACATTTGCAGAGTAGTGTCTTGTTTTGTCAAAGCTCTTTCCTATTTTTCTTTTTCTTTTTTTTTTTTTATTTCAGCTTCCTCAAGCTCCAGGGAGCCAGATGAGGCAGATACCATTACCTCTTCTTTTATAAAGAAGAAACTCATTTATGGAGGGGTGGGGGGAATGAGGGGGGACCTGAACTGGTGTTGGACTGACTGAGACTAAATCCCCAGTCCTCTGATTTCCAGCTTTCTGGAGTGTCTGCATAAATACCCAGAGTCCCAGAGGAGACAGCAGTGTCCCTCAAATGCCTGATGACAGCTCCTCCCTCATTTATTAATCACTGAGCTGGGGCCAGATACTGTACTGGGCTTTCATTGGAGACAAAGGTGACAGAAACCCTGCCTTTAAGTGTTCACAATCTGGATATTGATTAAGTCACCACTCTGCCCATTTCAATCCTCAGCTTTCTCTTCTTCTACTAGAAAAATAACTCCAACAGTGCTTTATTTTATTTTATTTATTTCTTATACATTTATTTGAGACAGAGTCTCATTCTGTTCCCCAGGCTACAGTGCAGAACTTGGTCACAGCTCACTGAAGCCTCAACCTCCTGGGCTCAAGTGATCCTCTCACTTTAGCCTCTTCTGAGTAGCTAGGACCACCATGCTTGGCTTTTCTTTTCTTTCTTTCTTTTTTTTTTTTTGAGACAGCATCCCACTATGTTGCCCAGCCTGGTCTCAAACTCCAGGACTCCAGTGATCCTCCCACCTCGGCCTCCCAAAGCACTGGGATTACAGATGTGAGCCACCTGGCCCAGCCTTGTTTTATTATTTTTGAGACAGGGTCTGGCCCTATAGTCCAAGCTGGAGTCCAGTGGTGTGATCACAGTTCACTGCAGCCTCAACCTCCTGAGCTCTGGTGATTCTCCCACCTCGCCCTCCCTAGTAGCTGGGACCACAGGCATGCAACACCATGCCCAGCTAATTTTTAATTTTTTTTGTAGAGATGGGGTTTTGCTATGTGGCCTAGACTGGTCTTAAACTCCTAGGCTCAAGCGATCTTCCTACCTCGGCCTCCCAAAGTGTTGGGATTACAGGTGTGAGCCACCATGCCCAGTCCAATAGTGCTTTTTGGCTGGAGACATTGAATCAATTTTATAACCTTTTCAGAGATTGATTAGGAGTCAGAACACTAACATTCTAGTTCCAGTTCTGTTACTTCACTGTGTAATAGTGAGCTAGTCCTTTCCTATGCATGGGCTTCAGTTTTCACATCTGCAAAATGATTTTGTGGGATGGGGTCAGAAGACAGTAGGAATATAGTTTCTAAGAACTTCTGGCTCAGATCATTTAGGAGATGAAGACACTTTGTAATCTGTGGGCAGTGTTGTTTCTTTGGGTAAAAGGCTGGAGGGTAGGAGCCCGCTGGGCCTGTTATGAGACCTTTCATCCTGCTGTCTTCCTCCTTAACTTTGTGAGGTACCCTTCCCAAGGAGCAGGGAACTTGGGCTTTCTGAAAACCTCAGAGGGACCCCATTTCTACCTCTCCTTACCAGCAACACTCAGGAAGCACCAGAACTATTTTGGATTGGAAGTTATTTAGCCAGATTCTGAGGTTGAAGTTCATGAAACAGAGACAGAATCAGAGAAGGAGAAGAGAGAGGCATAAAGGAAGAGGCAAAGAGACAGAGAAAAGAAAGAAAGAGGTGGGGTCGGGGGGAAGAGGGAAAGACTAAAGAGGAAAAAATGGAGGAGAGATAAAAATAGAGAGCAGGAATTAGAGACAGACAGAAACAGACAGAGACAGGAAGAAAAAGAAAGAAACACAGAGAGAGAAACAGAAGAGAGAAAGAAACAGAGAAGGGAAGAGGAGAGAGGAGAGAAAAACAGGGGAAAAGAGACAGAAACAAGGAAAGACAGAGAGAGAGAAAAAATATGAATGAATATGATAATATGATAGTGGACATACCTAGTCCCAGGCAGCCGCATGAGAGAAGTTGCATAAAATCCTACGTCTTGAATAGGATCTAGAAGTGAAAGAACCCTTGAAAAAATCGAGGCCAGAGAGCAATTGAGCTTTGTTCATAGTCACACAGCAAGCTGGTGGAAGTGCCAGGACTCAAACCCAAGACTAGGATAGAGTAGTTCAAAACAGACTGGCCTGAGAGTCTAGAGGTCTTGAGGTTTGTCAGTCTGTCTTTGAGGGACTGCGGGCAATGTAATAACACAGGAAGAGTGCCAGCACATTGTCTGCTGCAGAAGAGGCACTGGCATCAGGGAGTTTTGCCCTCTTCCCCCATCAGCTTTCCTCTGAGGACGAAGACATACAACATACATGCATGCCTATTAAGGCTGACTAGGGTAAGTTTGGTTCTATTACACAGCACTTTTGGGAGATTAGAGGCAGACTTCATGGAGGAGGTGACTTGTGGGTCAGGGCTTGAAGGATGAAAACAACAACCAAAATTTTAGTTGCGGCTGGGCATGCTGGCTCACGCCGGTAATCCCGGCACTTTGGGAGGCTGAGGAGGGTGGATTACCTGAGGTCAGGAATTCGAGACCAGCCTAGCCAACATGGTGAAAACTGTGTCTACTAAAAATTAAAAAAAAAAAAAAATTAACTGGGGATGGTAACACGAGCCTGTAGTCCCAGCTACTGGGAAGGCTGAGGCAGAAGAATCACTTGAACCTGGGAGGCAGAGGTTGCAGTGAGCCGGGATTGCACCATTGCATTACAGCCTAGGAAACAAGAGCAAAACTCCGTCTCAAAAAAAAAAATAATAATTTCAAAGATGCACTTATTCTTTAAAAAAATTCAAAGTAAGGCTGGGTGCAGTGGCTCACGCCCATAATCCCAGCACTTTGGGAGGCTGAGGCGGGCAGATCATGAGGTCAAGAGATCGAGACCATCCTGGCCAACATGGTGAAACCTCATCTCTACTAAAAATACAAAAATTAGCTGGGCGTAGTGGCATGTGCCTGTAGTCCCAACTACTCGGTAGGCTGAGGCAGGAGAATCACTTGAACCCGTAAGGCGGAGGTTGCAGTGAGCCGAGATAGCGCCATGACACTCCATTGTGGGTGACAGAGCGAGACTCCATCTTAAAAAATAATATTCAAAGTAGGTAGGATTTTGATAGGTGCAGAACTGGGTGGTTCTAGTTCAAGGGAATAGCACAAGGGGTAGGAGTGCTTGAAGAGGACATGAATAGGCAGCTAAGCAAGGTGTCATCTGCCTTCTGGAGGGCAGAGGGCATGAAAAAGGGGTCCCAGATTTTGGTCACCCCATGAATGACAGGTGTCTGGGTTGGCTTGTGATGACAGTGAGGAGGAAAGGGAGGCTTTTGAGAAGGGATGCAGTAAGAACAGGGTTGAGTTCTATGAAGATTCCCTCTGGCAGGCAGCCCTATGGAGGATGGATTGGAGAAAAGATACTGACATCAGGGAGCCGTGACAGATCTTTGCTGTTGTCCAGGTGACAGATAGGTAATAAGAATCTGATGTGGTGTGGTGGGGGTGGGTATAGATGCAGTGGTTTTGGGGGTGGCTTTCTAAGTTTCCTTTAGAGAAAACATAGGATCTGAATTTGGACCATTGTTGGGGGACTAAGGAGAGAGATGAGCAGAGGGCCAAAAAGCAGCCACCCAAAATTCCAGACAGGTAGCTGTCTTTTCCTAGCTTATGATTGGAGTGTGTGTGTCTTTTTAAAAATTTCTGTTGGCTGCTCTGAGAGTTTGTGTGTCTCCCAATGTTCGTGAGCAACCTCCTGCATATGCATCTGTGTATGGATGTGCGTCTCCAGGCGTCTAAATGCGTCTGTACCTTCCTCTGTGCGTGTTTCACCTAATCCATGCTGTGGTTAAACTGATCGGCTAAAGGAATGACTTCACATTGCTTCATGCATCTTAAAGTGCAGGAATAAGCATCTTTGCTCCCAAACGTGCTTCTAAATTGTGTTTGCTAAGCTAGGCTGTGGTGCATTTGATTGACTAAAAGAGCTATTCCGAATTGCCTGTGCTCTGTGGCATAGCTACAGCTTGAAATCCTATTACTGCTGGCTACAGGAATTACCATAATGTGTTTGGCTTGATTTTCCAGACAATAATTTAGGACCTTGCCACCTCTCTATGCAGATCTACACAGCTAAATGAGAAGCGGAACTGGGAATCTTTTTTGCAAACAAAACTCTGGCCCATTAAGAACTCTCTGCTGCCTTGTGAAGGTAATAGGGAGGGGAATGCAGTCTTAAAGGACCCCACAACCCTGATTATGGTTTGATTTTGCCCAGAGACAGAGATATGGAGTCCACATAGGCTTAAGGTCTCTTACAGAATTTAGACCATTTTTTTTCATTTTATTTCCATTCCAGCCTGTGAAATGGCGAGTGTTCTCATCATGCTTTCTTCTCTTTCTCAAGAGCCGTCAGCTCTACCAAGCACAGTAAGCTCTCAATAAGTATTTATTGCCTTGAAATTGAATTATAGCTGTCTAAGCCAAAACCCAGAGAAAAGGAGAAATTTATTCAAGATCTCACAGAGGAATTTGAACTTGAATCCTGGTTTCTGGATTTCCTGTCAAGAACTCTTGCAAAAATGTCATCCTGCCTTGTGATAGCTCAGGTTCAGACCTCTGGCAGTGGAGGGCTTATACTGCTCTGACCAACGTGTGACTGGGTCTAGTCTCTTTACCCCTCTGGGCCTCAGTGCTCTCATCTGCACTGTGTGAAGATTAGGCTACAAGGTATTCAGAGGGCCTTTCTAGTTCTGCTCCTAGGAATCTGTGACCAACACTGAGAATATAAACCTGTGGGCCCTTGGGTGGGGTGAGGAGGGGAGGAAGCAGTTGGGGCCTGCCTCATAAGCTGTGTGTCACACCTTCCTCCCTCTCCCCTGACTCCAAATCTCCATTAAAAGAAGTAGAATAACTTTTCCGGTTTGGGAAATCATTCTCTGACCCAAAAGCCATTGGGCCTCTGGAAAGTGGGACAGCGTGTCCAGCCCACAGCCTCTAAATGCCTTATAGGGCTAGAAAGGCCACGGTGGCTGGCTGGGCGGGTGGGAAATGGTTGGCTTGGAGAAGCTCCCCATTTCTGGAAGATCTAACCCTGGTGGGGAAGGGAGGTGACTGCCACTTAGCCCTGGCAGGTTGACAGGCTGGGCTGAACCAGTGTGTTCTGGAAAGGCCAGGAATGATGTCATGGGACACTTTGGGCTGCAACAACAGGAAACCACTGAGTGTTTACATTGGCTCTCAGAGCTCAGGCAGCCTGTTTTTTCTTCACTTCCTCAGTCTATCTGTTTCCTCTGATTCAAATACTATGAAGAGGGACTCATTGCCCAGGCCAGGGAAAGTGGAAAGGAGGCCCAAGAAGAAAGAGCCTCCTTCCCAGCCCAGAATGTCAGATGCTTGGGAGGGAAGGCCAGCTTTACCCTAGCTGGGCCCCTGCCAAGAATAGATCTTAGGGTAGGGAAGCAAGACAGTTAGGGCCTACTCTGAGCGTTCTACAGCTCCATGGATAGCAACTTCAAACTTCTTCCAAAGACCCAAGTTCTAAACTTGGAAGCCATCTTGTATTCTCTTCAGATCTAATCAGTTACCAAATCTTGTTAATTAAATCTAATTGATTCCATTTTAACCAACAGTGGATTTGTGTGCAAACTGCTGTGTTGTGCTGTCTGTGTGTGGCAGGGGAGACAACACAGGTAGTGGGTGACATACAAAGATAAAAGAGTTCTTGCCCTCAGGGAATTAATGATAGAGTGACAGAGTAACAGTAGGATGTCCTCCATCTGTTTCCATCTCTTCATCTCCAAGGCTGCTGCTCCAGTTCAGGAACACCCATCATTTCCCAGCTGTATGCAACAGTCTTTTAATGGGCCTCCCTGTTTCCAGTCTTTCCCCTCCCATGCTTCCTTCATAATTATATTGAAGTGACTCCGATATAATTATGGAGGAATGCTCTCCAGCTCCACTCTCCAGCTCCACTCTCCAGCTCCACTCTCCAGCTCCACGCTCTCTCATCAAGCCTCCTAGATGGTGTGGCAGGGTGGCTTTGAGTTTTGTCTCGGTGTCAGGCAGACCTGGGTTTGAGTGGGTACCTTACCATTCACTATTGGCTGTGTGACAGTGGGCAGTGGCTTTGCTTTTCCAAACAGCTATTTGTCTAGCTTTAGCTTCTTTATTGACAAAATGAAGATAAATTCTACCTCACGGGGCTGTTGTGAGAATTAAATGAAATAATGTATGTATGGTGCCCCATACAGAGTTAACACTTGATAAATGGCAGTTCTAATTACCATGCCTCAGATGTGTCATGTTCATTTCTATCTCAGCTCCTTTATGCCATCTGAAACAGGCTCCTTTCTCTTAAAGACTACTGTAACTGGTAGGAACCTTAGAGACCATATAGAGGAGTCTGATTACCCCTACTGAGGCCAGGGAGGGGAAACAACGTGCTCAAGGTTACACAGAAAGTGAATTCCAGATCAGGTGCAGTGGCTCACACCTGTAATCCCAGCACTTTGGGAGGCCAAGGTGGGTGGATCACCTGACATCTGGAGTTCTAGACCAGCCTGGCGAACATGGTGAAACCTCGTCTCTACTAAAAATACAAAAATTATTTGGGCGAGATGGTGGGTGCCTGTAATCCCAGCTACTCAGGAGGCTGAGGCAGGAGAATCACTTGAAGTTGGGAGGTGTAGGTTGCAGCAAGCTGAGATCACGCCACTGCACTTCAGCCTATAGTGTGACAAGAGCAAAACTCCATCTCAAAAAACAAAAGAAAGAAAATGAATTCCAGAACCACAACTAAAACACTTTACAAATGTTAACTCATTTTATCTTAACAGCAGCCCTGTAAGGTCGGTAGTAGGGGTAGTATGTACTATTATTAGATCCATTTAATAGATGAAAGGACAGGCTCAGATAGGTTAGGTAACTTGCCTAAGGTCATGCACCTGGAAATGACAGATCCAGGTTATGAATCTAAGTAGTCTGACCTCAAGCAGCTGAGCACTTGAAATGTGATTACTGTGACTAAGGAATTTAATTTCTAATAATAATTTATTTTAATAAATCTAAAGTTAAAATGTAATAGCCACTTGAAGCTAATGGCTACCATGTTGGACAGGATGGTTCTAGATTATAGGGCTTCTTCAGACTCCGGAAGAATAAGAGCCATATCTAATAAACTTTTATGTCATTACAGTGCCCAGCACTGTGCATGACATATCTACCATTATGTTCAAATTCAGTTATGTTAGCAGGCTCTTGTGATCCAGGCAAAAAGTGAGCCTACAATATAGTAGTCACAGTCAAGAGGGACAGAAGGGAACATATTTGAGAGATCATTATTAACAACGTGGTAGTCACAGTCAAGAGAGACAGAAGGGGACATATTTGAGAGATCATTGTTATCACTATCACCATCATCACCATTATCATAGTAAAATTAATAGGTAATTAAGTACTTATGTGCCAGGCAACTGGTTTAGGTGCTTTACATAGATTAATTCATTTGATTCTTACAACAACTTTATGAAGTAGGCTTAGGTACCATTACCATCATTCCCATTTTGCAGGTAAGGGAATGAGGCACAGAAAGTTGAAGTGACTAGTAAGTTGCAGAGCCAGGATATAAGCCAAGGCAGGCTGGTTTTAGAAACCAATGTCTTAACAACTACTCTATATCATGCACTGGAGCAGAGGACAGATGTCCAGGGAGCAATATGACAGCTTTGGTTTGGTTCATGGTAGGGTTGTGGTGCACGTGGGATGTCCAGAGGGAGATAGCCAGTAGATGGCTGGCCATGTGGGTTTCAAGCTCAGAGAAGAGTGCAGGGTTAGAGATAGAATATTTGAAATCATCAGCATAAAGATGGCAGTTGAAGCCACAGGAAACCATGTCATCCCACAGGGAAAGTGTGCGGTGTTAATAGAGGTTAGGAAACACTATGCATCAACATAAAGGAGGGATTCTCTGATAGTGGATTTCAGGTAGAATGAATAGGCTCCTTCTGAAGGTGGCAGCAGATCAGAAATAAGCATAGGGAACAAGAAGGGCAGAGAAAGGGATTGAACTAAACATCTTTCCCCCAAATCTGCTCTTCTCTAGTGGTCTCTACCTCAGTGAATGGCTCCACCATCAACATAATTGGACAAACCCAGAACCTGGGGATCACCTCTAACTCTTCCATCTCCTTCACCTGTCATATTCAATCTATTATCAAAGTCCATTGGCTCTTTTCAAAATTTATCCTGAACCTAACCTCTTCTGCCCACCTCCACCACCACTACCCTTGTCTAAGCCATCATCACACTTCACCTATATGACTGAAGTGGCCTCCTTCCTGGTCTCCCTGCTTCCATACTTACCTCCCTACAGTCAATGCTCAACCCAGCATTCAGAGTGATCATGTTAAAAACAAAAGTCGGTTTATGTCATTCCTCTGTTCGCACCTAGCCCATGGCTTCTCCAGCACACTCAGGACTTACAATCCTATTAAAGATGCCTCAGCCTCTGTCCTGGGCTCCAGATTAATGTTTGACATCTCCATGTGATAAATTACCATTTGATAATTTGACATCTCCATTTGGTTTGACCTTTCCGTTTGGTAAATTACCATTTGGTAAATTCTCCATTTACCACTGGTAAATCAAAGACAGCCAAAACAGAACATTGCCACTCCAAAGCTTGTTCCTACACAATCTTTCCTGCCAAAGAAACATGGCACCATCATCCACCCAGGTAGCAAGCCAGAAATCTAAGCGTTAGCTTTGCCTCCTCTTTCTTATTACCCCTAACCATTCAGCCTATCGGCAAGTCCTGCTACACTCAGAATATATCCCTAACACATCCACCTCTCTCTTCATTTACTTCCCACCAATCCAGTCCAAGTCCCTATCATCTGTCAACTGGATGACTTGCCCTAGCCTCCTTACAGGTCTCCTGGCTTCTACCCTTGCCCCCTACAACCCATTCTTTACAATAAATCCAGAAGAATCTTTGTAAAACATAGATCATGCTAATCCCCTGCATGAAACTCTCCAGTGTCTTTCCATCACATGAGGACCACAAGCCAAATTTTTTGCTATAGCCCAAAAGAGCCTACATGATCTAGTCCCTGCAAATGTTTCCAACTCCTTCTCCTACTACTCACTCCTTTTCTCACCGTGATTCAGCCACTCTGATCATTTTTCTGGTATTTGAACAGCTCAAACCCATCACCACCTCCTCTCCTTACTAATCACCTGATTCACTCCTTCCTCAGGCATCAGCTCAGATATTCACTGGCTCTGAGAGACTCTTTTCCATATCCCAGACTAAGAAATTCCTTCTGTGTGTCACTCTCACAGCATCCCGTCATTCTCCTTCACAGCGTTAAGCCTAGGTTCAATCGTTAATTTCATTAATTGATTAATCAATCAATTTTTGAGACAGGGTCTTGCTGTGTCCCCCATGCTGGAGTGCAGTGGCATGATCACAGCTCACTGCAGCCTTGACCTCCCAGGCTCAAGCGATCCTTCTACCTCAGCTTCCTGAGTGACTGGGTCTACAAGTATGCACCACCATACCGAGGATTTTTTTTGTTTTTTGTTTGTTTTTATGTTTTTTTTTTTTTGAGACAGAGTCTCGCTCTGTCACCAGGCTGGAGTGCAGTGGCATGATCTTGGCTCACTGCAACCTCCGCCTCCTGGGTTCAAGCAATTCTCTGCCTCAGCCTCCCGAGTAGCTGGGATTACAGGCGCCCACCACCATGCCCGGCTAATTTTTGGATTTTTAGTAGAGATGGGGTTTCACCATCTTGGCCAGGCAGGTCTTGATCTCCTGACCTCGTGATCCACCCGCTTCAGCCTCCCAAAGTACTGGGATTACAGGTGTGAGCCACCACACCCGGCCTGTTTTTATGTTTTGAGACAGAGTCTTGCTCTGTTCCCCAGACCGGAGTACAGTGGTACAATCTCGGCTCACTGCAATCTCCACCTTCCAGGTTCAAGCTATTCTCCTGCCTCAGCTTCCTGGGTAGCTGGGACTACAGGCATGTGCCACCATGCCCAGCTAATTTTTGTATTTTTAGTAGACGAGGTTTTGCCATGTTGGCCAGGCTAGTTTCAAACTCCTGAACTCAAGCAGTTCTCCTGCCTTGGCTTCTCAAAGTGCTAGGATTACAGGTATGAGCCACTGAGCCCAGGCTGATCATCAATTTAATTACTAGATTGTAACCTCCATGAGAACAGGGACTGTCCATCGTAGAATTCTGTCCCATATGCCTAACACAGTAGCTGCAATATAGTATTAATTCATTTGCTTATTCATTCATGCAAAACTATTTATCAAACAGTCACTATTTGCAAGTTACTGTTCTAGGAGCTTGAGGTACAAAACAGACATAAATGACTTGCCTTCATGGAGCTTATATTCCAGTGGGTCACACACTGAGTGGCAGGAATTATATTTGATATTTATTGGATCTGTGATATTAAGCCTGAGTAGAACTGTATTACTTAGTTTATTCATTTATTCAACAAACATCTAATGAGTATTTTCAATGGACCAGGTATTTTATACATCTTTTCATTTAATCCGTGAAATAACCCTGTGAGAGAGATATCACTAGCCCCATTTCTAAGAGAGAGAAATTGAGGCGAGAGAAGTTTAGCAACTTGCCTTAGGTTAAGTAGTAAGCAGTCAAGTGCATGTAGTTTGACCACAAAGCTTGCCAGCTTACTCATCACACTATAACATACTGCTTTTGACAAGTCAGTTCTGGCTCTAAAATGATACAAAGGAACCCCTGCAGGGCCTCTGACCCAGAGGGAGATCTTGAGAAAATGAAGCTATGGAGAAAACTCCCAGCCTACACCAAGCCTGATATAACCCCGATGTACTCTCCATTCCTTGTGGTGATAGAGTAGACCTCATAACTGGGTTTCCTTTGACAGATGGGGAAAATAGAGACACAGGGTCAGGGAAGGAGTCACCCAAAGGCACATTTAGCAGTGAAGAAAGACCCTGGCACCCTTGTATTCATGATATCATAGAATAAGGCACTGAGAGTTAACTTCAGGAAGGAGACCAGTGGTGGTGGCTACAGAACAAGTACCCAATTGTCAATCTTAAGCCTGGGTTCTTGGGTAAGGTCCTGTCTCCATGCCTTTATGTGAACCCAGGAGGTCTTTGCTATTCCAGACCATTCCCTGCCCTCACTTCCAATTCTGCCCTATCCTGAGCCAAATGTTTGAAAGACAGGAGGCAGGGGACATGGTTCTGGGGCTCAACCTCTCCCACCATAAAGGCAAATATAAGGAAAAGTCACTGGGCGTGGTGACACATGCTTGTAATTGTTGCTACTCAGGAGGTTGAGGCAGGAGGATCACTTGAGCCCAAGTGATCTGCCCAAGTGAGCCCAAGACTCTGTCTCAATTAAAATTAAGAAATAAAAAGATACAAGGAAATGTATTCAACACTGAAAGGGAGGCAGGGTGCAAGGGCAGGTGGAAAGGGGCATAGCCCTACCAGACTGCCCTTCCCTGAGGTGCAGGACAAAGCTCTGTCTGTGTAGTCATCTCTGCGAACTGATTCCAAATGCCACGGTGTGGGGCAGACAAACAAGGAAAGGGGGTGGGAAGGATTTACAATCTTTGGATATGGGCTGGGCAGAGCCTGTCAGTCGGTATGAGACTGTGTGTGAGTTAAATGAAGACAGTTTTGCATGGAGACAGGGCAGGCCTGGGAGAGGAGGAGAAAGGGAGGAGCATGAGGCAGGGTGAGTGAAGAACCTCTGTACCCAGTTTTGTTGCTAGAACACAGTTGTGACTGTGTATTTCTAGGAGATGTGTTCATACCTGAGTGGGTAGGTGGAAGGTAGGGCTTATTTATGCAAGGCCCATGCAGGAATATGTGTATGTGAGGTGTGTGTGTGTGTGTGTGTATGCGAAGTGTCAGGGGAGGGAAAGTTGTGGGTGTCAGTGTCCTTGTAAAGTCAGTCTGGATGTGCATTTCAGTTTTTGTGTGGAATGCAAGAAACACAGGATATAGGCAGGCAGTGTGTATCGGGGAGATTTTATATGTGAGACATGTAAGGGGAAAATGGGGCTAAGCATGCAGTGTGTGCTGAGGGTTATGGGGAACATTGAGGTGAGGTGTTGGCAGAGTACATGGCATGCTGTCTGTGTGGAGTAAACAAGAGCTTTGGAATGGTCTAAGTGTACCAGGCATTCTCAGTAACCTCAGCCATGTCTCTCTGAACCTCAGCTTCTCTGCTGAAAAAGGATAAGCCCCACCCACATACAGGGTTGTATAAAAATTCAGTGAGTTAATCAATGAGAATTGTCCTGCTCACAATAGGTGCTCAAGAAATGGTTACTACCATGATTCTGGTTGTGAAGTGAAATTGCCAACACCTGAGACAGAGCTCATTAAATGTCTACCAAACTGAAGAATAAATGACTTCTTGGTTTGGTTTTGCCTGCTTAACACCAAAAAGCCAATTGGTAACTTAACTGGGGCTTGTATTAGCTCATTATTTTTTATTCATTTATATTTTATTTTTTATTATATTTATAGCTCCAGGGCTCTCAATGAGAGCCCTGGAGCTATATATACAAAGTCCCTGAAGGTGTTGGTGGGGAGTAGGGAAGGGAAGAGATTGTTGGAAAGCCAATCAGACAGGCCTGGGCAAAAACCAGGGGAAGAGGCCAAGAACACTCTATGCACCCAAGGAACTGAGTCAAGGAGAAGTAAAAGCCAGTGAAGTGTCCAGAATGCAAGGGGATATAGGGTTTCCATGCCTACCCTGGGCTCCGTTATTCCAAGGCAGCTCTTGAGTTTAAGGCTCAGGCCTGCCCAGAACAAGGCAAAATTGACCTCTTAAAGAGCAGAGGAAAGGGAGGGGCAGAGACTGCTTGTACAGGAAATGCCCATTGCTATGAACTTGATCACATATAAAGCACGTAGCTCTACAACCTAGTCTCTAGGGCTTGACCCAAGCCAGGGCTCAGCAAGTGGTCATGGAGAACAGAAGCCACATAGTCCCAGGGCCATAACAGTATTAAGGATAAAGAGTAGATTTCCTGGCCAGGCGCGGTGGCTCATGTCTGTAATCCCAGCACTTTGGGAGGCCAAGGTGGGCGGATAATGAGGTCAGGAGATCAAGACCATCCTGGCTAACACGGTGAAACCCCATCTCTACTAAAAATACAAAAAATTAGCCGGGCGTGGTGGCATGTGCCTGTAGTCCCAGCTACCTGGGAGGTTGAGGCAGGAGAATCACTCGAACCCGGGAGGCAGAGGTTGCAATGAGCTGAGATCACACCACTGCATTCCAGCCTGGGTGACAGAGCAAGACTCCACCTAAAAAAAAAAAAGTAGATTTCCTGACAACTTATTTGTGTGTATGTTGTCTGTCTCCTCTCACTAGAATATTCTTCACTACTATTTTCCCGGTACCTAGACCTAGCATGGAGTAGGTACTTCATAAATGGTTACAATAGATTATAGCCATAAGAATTATATTTATTGTACCCGTTATTACCATTTTTTCCTTTTTGGTATTTTTTTAACTGTGGCAAAATACATATCACAAAATTTTCCAACTTAACCATTTTCAAGTGTTCAATTCAGTGGCTTTAATTACATTCACAGTGTTGTGCAACCATCACCACTTATCTATTTCTGAAACGTTTTCATCAACCCAAACGGAAACTCTGTAACCATTAAGCAATAACTTCCTACTCCCTGCCTCCCTCCTGTCCCTGGTAACTTCTAATCTACTTTCTGTCTGTATGAATTTGCCCATTTTGAATATTTCATATAAGTGTCTTTATATAATATTTGTCCTTTTGTTTTTGGCTTATTTCATTAACAATGTTTTCAAGGCTCATTCACATTACAGCATATATAAGAACTTCATTCCTTTTAACAAATGAATAATATTCCATTGTATGTATATACCGTATTTTATTTATCCATTGATCTGTTGATGGACATATGAGTTGTTTCCATATTTTGGCTATTGTGAATAATGCTGCAGTGAACATTGGCATACAGGTATCTGTTTGAATACCTGTTTTAAATTCTTTTGGGTGTATACCAAGGAGTGGAATTGCTGGGTCATATGGTAATTCTATGTTTAACTTTTTGAGGAACTGCCAAACTGCTTCCCATAGCATCTGCACCATTTTGCATTATTACTAACAATGTATGAAACTTAGAATTTCCCCACAACTTTTCAACATTTACTTTCTATTCTTTTTTAAAGCTTTTAATACTTGTTTATTTTTAACTGTAGCAAAATACACTTAACATGCCACTGCACTCCAGTGTGGGTGACAGAGTGAGACTCCTCAAAAACAAATACACATAACATAAAATTTACCATTTTAACAATTTGTAGATTTACAATTCTGTAGTGTTAAGCATATTCACATTGTTATATAACCAATCTCCAGAACTCTTTTCATCTTGCAAAATTGAAATTCTATACCCATTAAACAACAACTCCTCATTTTGCCCTTCCACCAGGCCTAGGGAAACCATAATTTTTCTTTCTGTCTCAATGAATTTGACTACTTCAGGTACCTCATACAAGTTAAATTATACAGTTTCTTCCATCCTTCCTTTCTTTCTTTCTTTCTTTCTATTTTTTTTTTTTTTTGGAGTCTTGCTGTCTCATCCAGGCTGGCGTGCAGTGGCACAATCTTGGCTCACTGCAACCTCCGCCTCCCAGGTTCAAGCGATTCTCCTGCCTCAGCCTCCCAAGTAGCTGCGATTACAGGTGTGTGCCACCATGCCCAGCTAATTTTTGTATTTTTAGTAGAGACGGAATTTCACCATGTTGCCCAGGCTGATCTCAAACTTTTGACCTCAGGTGATCCACCCACCTCGGCCTCCCAAAGTGCGGGGATTACAGGTGTGAGCCACTGTGCCTGGCCAGTATCAGTATTTCTGTGACTGGTTTATTTCACTTAGCATAATGTCCTCAAGCTTCATCCATGTTGTAGCTTGTGTCAAAATTTCCTTCCCTTGTAAGGCTGAATAATATTCCATTGTATGTCTATACAACATTTAGTATATTTCATTCATCCTTTGATGGACACTTGGGTTGCTTCTACCTTTCAGCTATTTTGAACAATGCTGCTGTGAACTTGGGTGTATGAGTATCTCTTTGAGACCCTGCTTTCAATTACTTTGAGTATATACCCAGGATTGAAATTTCCAGATCACATGGTAATTTGGTTTTTAATTTTTTGAGGTATTGTCATACTGTTTTCCAAAGTGCCTGTACCATTTAATATTCCCACCAACAGTTCACAGAAGCTCCAATTTCTCTATATCCTCACCAATACTCCACTCTTTTTGGGTTATAGCCATCCTAATGGTTGTGAAGTGGTAGCTCATTGTGGGTTTGTTTTGCATTTTCCTAATGACTAAAAATGTTGAGCATATTTTTATGTGCTTATTTGATATTTTATATCTTCTTTGAAGAAATATCTATGCAAGTACTTTGTCCATTTTTTAAATTGGGTTGTGCTATGGTTTGAATGTGTCCCTCCAAAAGTGTGTTGGAAACTTACTCCCCAATGCAACAATTGGGAGGTGGGAGGTGGGACCTAATGAGAGGTGATTAGGTCATGAAGTGTATTAACACAGGAGTGGGTTTGTTATTGTGGGAAAAGGCTCATTATAAAAGGCAAGTTTGGTCCCCTTTTCTCTCTCTCTCACCCTCTCTTGCCCTCTAGCCTTCCACTATGTGATGACACATCAAGATAGCCCTCACTAGATGCTAGCTCCTTAATCTTGGACTTCGTAGCCTCCACAAGTGTAAGCCAATACTTTTCTGTTCCTCATAAATTACCTACTCTCGGGTATTCTGTTATAGCAGCACAAAATGGACTCAGGTTATTCATCTTTTTGTTGCTGAGCTGTAGCAATTCTCTATATATTTTGGATACTAACTCCTTATCATATATAATTTGCAACTATTTTCTCCCATTTTGTAGCTTGTCTTTTCTGTTTCTTCGTAATGGTTTTTTTTTTTTGTTTATTTTTGTGAAGCAGGGTCTCGCTCTGTCACCCAAGCTGGAGTGCAGTGTTGCGATCTTAGCTCACTGCCACCTCCTCCTCCTGGGTTCAAGCGATCCTCCTGCCTCAGCTTCTCAAGTAGCTAGGACTACAGACACATGCCCCCACACCCAGCTAATTTCTGTATTTTTAGTAGAGATGGGGTTTCACCATGTTAGCCAGACTGGTCTCAAGTGATTCCCCCGCCTCAGCCTCCAAAAGTGCTAGGATTACAGGTTTGAGCCACTGCACCCGAACCATGGTGTTTTTTTTTTTTGGGGGGGGGTACGATACAACTTTTTTTTATATATACTTTAAGTTCTGGGATACATGGGCAGAATGTGCAGGTTTGTTACGTAGATATACATATGCCATGGTGGTTTGCTGCACCCATCAACTCGCCATCTACGTTAGGTATTTCTCCTAATGTTATCCCTCCCCTTGCCCCCAACCCCCAACAGGCCTCAGTGTGTGATGTTCCCTGTGTCCATGTGTTCTCATTGTTCAATTCCCACTTATGAGTGAGAACATGCTGTGTTTGATTTTCTGTTCCTGTGTTAGTTTGCTGAGAATGATGGTTTCCAGCTTCATCTATGCCCCTGCAAAGGACATGAACTCATTCTTTTTTATGGATGCATAGTATTCCATTGTGTATATGTGCCATGTTTTCTTCATCCAGTTTATCATTGATGGGCATTTGGGTTGGTTCCAAGTCTATGCTCTTGCAAATAGTGCTGCAATAAACATATGTGTGCATGTGTCTTTATAGCAGAATGATTTATAATACTTTGGGAATATACCCAGTAATGGATTGCTGGGTCAAATGGTATTTCTGCTTCTAGATCCTTCAGGAATCGCCACATTGTCTTCCACAATGGTTGAACTAATTTTCACTCCCACCAACAGTGTAAAAGCATTTCTATTTCTCCACATCCTCTACAGCATCTGTTTCCTGACGTTTTAATGATTGCCATTCTAACTAGTATGAGAAGGTATCTCATTGTGGTTTTGATTTGCATTTCTCTAATGACCGGTGATGATGATCTTTTTTTCATAAGTTTGTTGACAGCACAAATGTCTTCTTTTGAGAAGTATCTGTTCATGTCCTCTGCTCACTTTTTGATGGGGTTGTTTGATTTTTCTTATAAATCTGTTTAAGTTCTTTGTATAGTCTGGATATTAGCCCTTTGTTGAATGGATAGATTGCAAAAATTTTCTCCCATTCTGTAGGTTGCCTGTTCACTCTGATGATAGTTTCTTTTGCTGTGCAGAAGCTCGTTAGTTTAATTAGATCCCATTTGTCAATTTTGGCTTTTGTTGCAATTGCTTTTGGTGTTTTAGTCATGAAGTCTTTGCCTATGTCTATGTCCTGAATGGTATTGCCTAGGTTTTCTTCTAGGGTTTTTATGGTTTTAGGTCTTACATTTAGGTCCTTATTCATCTTGAGTTAATCTTTGTATAAGGTGTAAGGAAGAGGTCCAGTTTCAGTTTTCTGCATATGGCTAGCCAGTTTTCCCAACACCATTTATTAAATAGGGAATCCTTTCCCCATTGCTTGTTTTTGTCAGGTTTGTCAAAGATCAGATGGTTGTAGATATGTAGTTTTATTTCTGAGACCTCTGTTCTGTTCCATTGGTCTATATATCTGTTTTGGTACCAGTACCATGTTGTTTTGGTTACTGTAGCCTGGTATTATAGTTTGAAGTCAGCAAGTGTGATGCCTCCAGCTTTGTTCTTTTTGCTTAGGATTTTCTTGGTTATACGGGCTCTTTTTTTCTTCCATATAAAATTTAAAGTAGTTTTTTTTCTAATTTTGTGGAGAAAGTCAATGGTAGCTTAATGGGGATAGCATTGAAGCTATAAATTACTTTGGACAGTATGGCCATATTCATGATATTCTTTCTTCCTATCCATGAGCATGGAATGTTTTTCCCTTTGTTGTGTCCTCTTATTTCCTTGAGCAGTGGTTTGTAATTCTCCTTGAAGAGGTCCTTCACATCCCTTGTAAGTTGTATTCCTAGGTATTTTATTCTCTTGTAGCAATTGTGAATCAGAGTTCATTCATGATTTGACTCTCTGTTTTTTTTTTTCTTTTATTTATTTATTTATTTTTTCTTTTTTTTTTTTAATTATACTTTAAGTTTTAGGGTACATGTGCACATTGTGCAGGTTAGTTACAAATGTATACATGTGCCATGCTGGTGCACTGCACCCACTAACTCGTCATCTAGCATTAGGTATATCTCCCGATGCTATCCCTCCCCCCTCCCCCCACCCCACAACAGTCCCCAGAGTGTGATATTCCCCTTCCTGTGTCCATGTGATCTCATTGTTCAATTCCCACCTATGAGTGAGAATATGCGGTGTTTGGTTTTTTGTTCTTGTGATAGTTTACTGAGAATGATGATTTCCAATTTCATCCATGTCCCTACAAAGGACATGAACTCATCATTTTTTATGGCTGCATAGTATTCCATGGTGTATATGTGCCACATTTTCTTAATCCAGTCTATCATTGTTGGACATTTGAGTTGGTTCCAAGTCTTTGCTATTGTGAATAATGCTACAACAAACATACGTGTGCATGTGTCTTTATAGCAGCATGATTTATAGTCCTTTGGGTATATACCCAGTAATGGGATGGCTGGGTCAAATGGTATTTCCAGTTCTAGATCCCTGAGGAATCGCCACACTGACTTCCACAACGGTTGAACTAGTTTACAGTCCCACCAACAGTGTAAAAGTGTTCCTATTTCTCCACATCCTCTCCAACACCTGTTGTTTCCTGACTTTTTAATGATTGCCATTCTAACAGGTGTGAGATGGTATCTCATTGTGGTTTTGATTTGCATTTCTCTGATGGCCAGTGATGGTGAGCATTTTTTCATGTGTTTTTTGGCTGCATAAATGTCCTCTTTTGAGAAGTGTCTGTTCATGTCCTTCGCCCACTTTTTGATGGGGTTGTTTGTTTTTTTCTTGTAAATTTGTTTGAGTTCATTGTAGATTCTGGATATTAGCCCTTTGTCAGATGAGTAGGTTGTGAAAATTTTCTCCCATTTTGTAGGTTGCCTGTTCACTCTGATGGTAGTTTCTTTTGCTGTGCAGAAGCTCTTTAGTTTAATTAGATCCCATTTGTCAATTTTGTCTTTTGTTGCCATTGCTTTTGGTGTTTTAGACATGAAGTCCATGCCCATGCCTATGTCCTGAATGGTAATGCCTAAGTTTTCTTCTAGGGTTTTTGTGGTTTTAGGTCTAACGTTTAAGTCTTTAATCCATCTTGAATTGATTTTTGTATAAGGTGTAAGGAAGGGATCCAGTTTCAGCTTTCTACATATGGCTAGCCAGTTTTCCCAGCACCATTTATTAAATAGGGAACCCTTTCCCCATTGCTTGTTTTTGTCAGGTTTGTCAAAGATCAGATAGTTGTAGATATGCGGCGTTATTTCTGAGGGCTGTGTTCTGTTCCATTGATCTATATCTCTGTTTTGGTACCAGTACCATGCTGTTTTGGTTACTGTAGCCTTGTAGTATAGTTTGAAGTCAGGTAGTGTGATGCCTCTAGCTTTGTTCTTTTGGCTTAGGATTGCTTTGGTGATGTGGGCTCTTTTTTGGTTCCATATGAACTTTAAAGTGGTTTTTTCCAATTCTGTGAAGAAAGTCATTGGTAGCTTGATGGGGATGGCATTGAATCTGTAAATTACCTTGGGCAGTATGGCCATTTTCACGATATTGATTCTTCCTACCCATGAGCATGGAATGTTCTTCCATTTGTTTGCATCCTCTTTTATTTCCTTGAGCAGTGGTTTGTAGTTCTCCTTGAAGAGGTCCTTCACATCCCTTGTAAGTTGGATTCCTAGGTATTTTATTCTCTTTGAAGCAATTGTGAATGGGAGTTCACTCATGATTTGGCTCTCTGTTTGTCTGTTGTTGGTGTATAAGAATGCTTGTGATTTTTGTACATTGATTTTGTATCCTGAGACTTTGCTGAAGTTGCTTATCAGCTTAAGGAGATTTTGGGCTGAGACAATGGGGTTTTCTAGATATACAATCATGTCATCTGCAAACAGGGACAATTTGACTTCCTCTTTTCCTAATTGAATACCCTTTATTTCCTTCTCCTGCCTGATTGCCCTGGCCAGAACTTCCAACACTATGTTGAATAGGAGTGGTGAGAGAGGGCATCCCTGTCTTGTGCCAGTTTTTAAAGGGAATGCTTCCAGTTTTTTCCCATTCAGTATGATATTGGCTGTGGGTTTGTCATAGATAGCTCTTATTATTTTGAAATACGTCCCATCAATACCTAATTTATTGAGAGTTTTTAGCATGAAGAGTTGTTGAATTTTGTCAAAGGCCTTTTCCGCATCTATTGAGATAATCATGTGGTTTTTGTCTTTGGCTCTGTTTATATGCTGGATTACATTTATTGATTTGCATATATTGAACCAGCCTTGCCTCCCAGGGATGAAGCCCACTTGATCATGGTGGATAAGCTTTTTGATGTGCTGCTGGATTCGGTTTGCCAGTATTTTATTGAGGATTTTTGCATCAATGTTCATCAAGGATATTGGTCTAAAATTCTCTTTTTTTGTTGTGTCTGTGCCTGGCTTTGGTATCAGAATGATGCTGGCCTCATAAAATGAGTTAGGGAGGATTCCCTCTTTTTCTATTGATTGGAATAGTTTAGAAGGAATGGTACCAGTTCCTCCTTGTACCTCTGGTAGAATTCGCCTGTGAATCCATCTGGTCCTGGACTTTTTTTGGTTGGTAAGCTATTGATTATTGCCACAATTTCAGCTCCTGTTATTGGTCTATTCAGAGATTCAACTTCTTCCTGGTTTAGTCTTGGGAGAGTGTATGTGTCCAGGAATTTATGCATTTCTTCTAGATTTTCTAGTTTATTTGCGTAGAGGTGTTTGTAGTATTCCCTGATGGTAGTTTGTATTTCTGTGGGATTGGTGGTGATATCCCCTTTATCATTTTTTATTGCGTCTATTTGATTCTTCTCTCTTTTTTTCTTTATTAGTCTTGCTAGCGGTCTATCAATTTTGTTGATCCTTTCAAAAAACCAGCTCCTGGATTCATTAATTTTTTGAAGGGTTTTTTGTGTCTCTATTTCCTTCAGTTCTGCTCTGATTTTAGTTATTTCTTGCCTTCTGCTAGCTTTTGAATGTGTTTGCTCTTGCTTTTCTAGTTCTTTTAATTGTGATGTTAGGGTGTCAATTTTGGATCTTTCCTGCTTTCTCTTGTGGACATTTAGTGCTATAAATTTCCCTCTACAGACTGCTTTGAATGCATCCCAGAGATTCTGGTATGTTGTGTCTTTGTTCTCGTTGGTTTCAAAGAACATCTTTATTTCTGCCTTCATTTCGTTATGTACCCAGTAGTCATTCAGGAGCAGGTTGTTCAGTTTCCATGTAGTTGAGCGGTATTGAGTGAGATTCTTAATCCTGAGTTCTAGTTTGATTGCACTGTGGTCTGAGAGATAGTTTGTTATAATTTCTGTTCTTTTACATTTGCTGAGGATTTCTTCACTTCCAACTAAGTGGTCAGTTTTGGAATAAGTGCCATGTGATGCTGACAAAGATATATATGCTGTTGATTTGGGGTGGAGAGTTCTTTAGATGTCTATTAGGTCCGCTTGGTGCAGAGCTGAGTTCAATTCCTGGGTATCCTTGCTGACTTTCTGTCTTGTTGATCTGTCTAATGTTGACAGTGGGGTGTTAAAGTCTCCCATTATTAATGTGTGGGAGTCTAAGTCTCTTTGTAGGTCACTCAGGACTTGCTTTATGAATCTTGGTGCTCATGTATTGGGTGCATATATATTTAGGATAGTTAGCTCTTCTTGTTGAATTGATCCCTTTACCATTATGTAATGGCCTTCTTTGTCTCTTTTGATCTTTGTTGGTTTAAAGTCTGTTTTATCAGAGACTAGGATTGCAACCCCTTCCTTTTTTGGTTTTCCATTGGCTTGGTAGATCTTCCTCCATCCTTTTATTTTGAGCCTATGTGTGTCTCTGCATGTGAGATGGGTTTCCTGAATACAGCACACTGTTGGGTCTTGACTCTTTATCCAATTTGCCAGTCTGTGTCTTTTAATTGGAGCATTTAGTCCATTTACATTTAAAGTTAATATTGTTATGTGTGAATTTGATCCTGTCATTATGATGTTAGCTGGTGATTTTGCTCGTTAGTTGATGCAGTTTCTTCCTAGTCTTGATGGTCTTTATATTTTGGCATGATTTTGCAGTGGCTGGTACCGGTTGTTCCTTTCCATGTTTAGTGCTTCCTTCAGGAGCTCTTGTAAGGCAGGCCTGGTGGTGACAAAATCTCTCAGCATTTGCTTGTCTATAAAGTATTTTATTTCTCCTTCACTTATGAAGCTTAGTTTGGCTGGATATGAAATTCTGGGTTGAAAATTCTTTTCTTTAAGAATGTTGAATATTGGCCCCCACTCTCTTCTGGCTTGTAGGGTTTCTGCCGAGAGATCTGCTGTTAGTCTGATGGGCTTCCCTTTGAGGGTAACCCGACCTTTCTCTCTGGCTGCCCTTAACATTTTTTCCTTCATTTCAACTTTGGTGAATCTGACAATTATGTGTCTTGGAGTTGCTCTTCTCGAGGAGTATCTTCGTGGCATTCTCTGTATTTCCTGAATCTGAACGTTGGCCTGCCTTGCTAGATTGGGGAAGTTCTCCTGGATAATATCCTGCAGAGTGTTTTCCAACTTGATTCCATTCTCCACATCACTTTCAGGTACACCAATCAGACGTAGATTTGGTCTTTTCACATAGTCCCATATTTCTTGGAGGCTTTGTTCATTTCTTTTTATTCTTTTTTCTCTAAACTTCCCTTCTCGCTTCATTTCATTCATTTCATCTTCCATCGCTGATACCCTTTCTTCCAGTTGATCGCATCGGCTCCTGAGGCTTCTGCATTCTTCTCGTAGTTCTCGAGCCTTGGTTTTCAGCTCCATCAGCTCCTTTAAGCACTTCTCTGTATTGGTTATTCTAGTTATACATTCTTCTAAATTTTTTTCAAAGTTTTCAACTTCTTTGCCTTTGGTTTGAATGTCCTCCCGTAGCTCAGAGCAATTTGATCGTCTGAAGCCTTCTTCTCTCAGCTCGTCAAAGTCATTCTCCATCCAGCTTTGTTCCGTTGCTGGTGAGGAACTGCGTTCCTTTGGAGGAGGAGAGGTGCTCTGCTTTTTAGAGTTTCCAGTTCTTCTGTTCCGTTTTTTCCCCATCTTTGTGGTTTTATCTACTTTTGGTCTTTGATGATGGTGATGTACAGATGGGTTTTTGGTGTGGATGTCCTTTCTGTTTGTTAGTTTTCCTTTTAACAGAGAGGACCCTCAGCTGCAGGTCTGTTGGAGTACCCGGCCGTGTGAGGTGTCAGTGTGCCCCTGCTGGGGGGTGCCTCCCAGTTAGGCTGCTCGGGGATCAGGGGTCAGGGACCCACGTGAGGAGGCAATCTGCCCGTTCTCAGATCTCCAGCTGCGTGCTGGGAGAACCACTGCTCTCTTCAAAGCTGTCAGACAGGGACATTTAAGTCTGCAGAGGTTACTGCTGTCTTTTTGTTTGTCTGTGCCCTGCCCCCAGAGGTGGAGCCTACAGAGGCAGGCTGGCCTCCTTGATCTGTGGTAGTCTCCACCCAGTTGGAGCTTCCCGGCTGCTTTGTTTACCTAAGCAAGCCTGGGCAATGGAGGGCGCCCCTCCCCCAGCCTCGCTGCCGCCCCGCAGCTCCATCTCAGAGTGCTGTGCTAGCAACCAGTGAGACTCCGTGGGCGCAGGAACCTCCGAGCCAGGTGCGGGATACAATCTCGCGGTGCGCCGCTTTCCAAGCCCGTCGGAAAAGCGCAGTATTCGGGTGGGAGTGACCCGATTTTCCAGGTGCCGTCCGTCACCCCTTTCTTTGACTCAGAAAGGGAACTCCCTGACCCCTTGCGCTTCCCAAGTGAGGCAATGCCTCGTCCTGCTTCGGGTCGCGCACGGTGCGCACACCCACTGACCTGCGCCCACTGTCTGGCACTCCCTAGTGAGATGAACCCGGTACCTCAGATGGAAATGCAGAAATCACCCGTCTTCTGCGTCGCTTACTCTGGGAGCTGTAGACCGGAGCTGCTCCTATTCGGCCATCTTGGCTCCTCCTCCTCCATGATGTTTTTTGATACATAAAAGTCTTAAATTTTCATGAAATCCAATTTACCTATTTTTTTTTCTTTTGTTACTTTTGGTTTCCTTTCCAAGGATCCATTGTCAAATACTAGATTATGAAGATTTTCACTTTTTTTTTTTTTTGAGAGTTTTACAGTTTTAGGTCTTATATTTTGGTTGATACTTCTCTGTTGTTGTTGTTTTTGAGGTGGAGTCTCCCTCTGTCGCCCAGGCTGGAGTGTAGTGGTGTGATCTCGGCTCACGGCAACCTCCACCTCCCAGGTTCAAGCCATTATCCTCCTGAGTAGCTGGGAATACAGGTGTGTGCCACCACGCCTGGCTAATTTTTTGTATTTTTAGTAGAGATGGGGTTTCACCGTGTTAGCCAGGATGGTCTCAATCTCCTGATCTTGTGATCCGCCCACCTCGGCCTCCCAAAGCACTGGGATTACAGGCATGAGCCTCCGTGCCCTGCCCAGATTGATACTTTCTAAAATTTTAGTAACGTGTGCAAACAAGGTTGATACATTTTGACTTGATTTTTGTACATGGTGTCAGATAAGGGTCCAACTTTATTCTTTTCATATAGAAGTTCAATTGTCCTGGCACCATATGTTGGAAAGGCTATTCTTTCCCCCAGTGAATGGTTTCAACATCCTTATCAAAAACGATTAGCCACAGATGGCTGCATTCATTTCTGGCCTTTCAATTTTATTTCATTCATCTATATGTCTATACTTATGCCAGTACTGCACTGTTTTGATTTTAGTACCTTCATAGTAATTTTAGAGATTGAGAAAAATGTCCTCCAACTTTCTTCATCTTTTTCAAGATTGTGTTAGCTATTCAGGGCCCCTTGTAGTTTCACATAAATTTTAGGATTAAAAAAAAATTTTGAGGATTAGCCTTCCCATTTCTGTAAGAAAAAAACCTGTTGGAATTTGCTACAGATTGCATTAAATCTGTAGACCATTTGAGATAGTATTGTGTTTTAAAAAAATATTAAGCCTTCATACCAATTAACATGGAATGCTTTTTGTATATTTAGGTTTTCTTAAACTTATTTCATCAAAGTTTCCTAGTTTCAGTGTACAAGTTGTTCAACTCCTTGGTTAAATTTATTTTTAGCTATTTTATTCTTTTAGATGCCATTTTAACAGAATTTCTTTACTAATCACCTTTCTGGATTCTGTTGAATAGAAATACAAGTGATTTTGTGTGTTGACATTGTACCCCACAATTTGGCTGAATTTGATTATTAGCTCTAATAGCTTTTGTTGTGGATTATTTGGGATTTTTAAATATATGGGATCATGTCATCTGTGAATAGAGGTAGTTTTATTTCTTCTTTTCTTTTCTTTTTTTTTTTTTTTTGAGTTGGAGTCTCACTCTGTTGCCCAGGTTGGAGTGCAGTGGCTCCATCTCGACTCACTGCAACCTCTGCCTCCTGGGTTCAAACAATTCTCCTGCCTCAGCCTCCTGAGTAGCTGGGATTACAGGCACCTGCCACCACACCTGGCTAATTTTTGTATTTTTTTTGGGGTAGATGTGGGGTTTCACCATGTTAATCAGGTTGGTCTTCAACTCCTAGCCTCAAGTGATCCACCCTTCTCAGCCTCCCAAACTGCTGGGATTACAGGCATGAGCCACCTCACCTTGCCTTATTTCTTCTTTTTCAATTCTGATGTTTTAATTTCTTTTTCTTGTCTTATTGCTCTAGCCAGAACTTCTAGTACAATTTTGAATAGCAGTGATGAAGCTAGGCATCTTTGTTTTTTTTTTTTTTTTTTTTTTCTGAGACGGAGTTTCACTCTGTCACCCATGCTGGAGTGCAGTGGCATGATTTCCGCTCACTGACACCTCTGCCTCCTGGGTTCAAGTGATTCTCTTGCCTCAGCTTCCTGAGTGGCTGGGATTACAGGTGCACACCCCTACACCCAGCTAGTTTTTGTATTTTTAGTAGAGACAGGGTTTTGCTATGTTGGCCAGGCTGATCTTGAACTCCTGACCTCAAGTCTAGCCTCGGCCTCCCAAAGTGCTGGGATTATAGGTGTGAGCCACTGCTCCCAGTCAGCATCTTTGTCTTGTTCTTGATCTTAAAGGGGAAAAGTTTTCAGTTTTTCATAATTGAGTATGTTAGCTGTGAGTTTTTCCATAAATGTTCTTTTTCATGTTGAGAAAGTTTCCTTTTATTCCTAGTTTTCTGAGTGTTTTTATCATCAAAAGGTATAGATTTTGTGAAATGCTTTTCCAGTCTCAATTGAGAAGACCATGTGGGTTTTTCCTCTTCCTTCTTATTAATGTAATATATTACATTGATTGGCTTTTCTTAGGTTGAATGTTCCTTCAATTCATGTGATAAATCCTACATGATTATGATGTATAATCCTTTTAATATGTGACTAGATTTGCTTTGTTAGTATTTAGTTGAGGACCTTTGCCTCTAAATTCATAAGGGAGTTTAGTCTGTATTTTTTTTTTAACATTGTATGCCTTCATCTGGCTTTGGTATTAGGTTAATTCTGTCCTCAAAGAATGAGTTAGAAAGTATTCCCCCTTCTATTTCTTGAAAGAGTTTCATAAGGGATGTTAGCCTGTAATTTCTTTCTTTCTTTTTTTTCTTTCTTTTCTTTTTTTTTTTTTTTTACATTGTATGTCTTCATCTGGCTTTAGTATCAGGTTAATTCTGGCCTCAAATAATGAGTTATAAAGTATTCCCCCTTCTTCTATTTTTTGAAAGAGTTTGAAAATAATTGGCTTTAATTCTTCTTTAAATATTTGGTAGAATTTGGCCAGGCATAGTGGCTCATGCCTGTAATCCCAGCATTTTGGGAGGCCAAGGTGGGCGGATCACCCGAGGTCAGGAGTTCAAGACCAGCCTGGCCTACATGGTGAAACCCCGTCTCTACTAAAAATACAAAAATTACCTGGGGCATGGTGGCAGGCACCTGTAATCCCAGCTACTTGGGAGGCTGAGGCAGGAGAATAACTGGAACCCGGGAGGCGGAGGTTGCAGTGAGCCAAAATCGTGCCATTGCACTCCAGCCTGGGCGACAAGAGAGAAACTCCGTCTCAAAAAAAAAAAAAAAATTTTGGAATTTATAAGTGAAATCATCTGGCTCTGGTTTTTCCTTTGTTGGGAGGTTTTTCACTGCTATTGCAATCTCTGCTTGTTATAGGTAGGTTAAGATTTTCTATTTCTTCTTGAGTTGCTTTAGGGAATTTTTGTGTTTCTAGGAATTTGTCCACTTAATCTAATTTATTCATGAGCAATTGTTTATAGTATTCTTTTGTAATAATTTTTATTTTTGCAAGGCTGGTAGTAATATCTCCACTTTCATTTATTATTTTACTTACTTTTTTTGTTGCTGTTATTGTTGCCCAGGCTGGAGTGCAATGGCTTAATCTCGGCTCACTGCAACCTCCGCCTCCCGGGCTCAAGTGACTTTCCTGTCTCAGCCTCCCAAGTAGCTGGGATTACAGGCATGCACCACCACACCCGGCTAATTTTGTATTTTTAATAGAGATGGGGGTTCTCCATGTTGGTCAGGCTGGTCTTGAACTCCCGACCTCAGGTGATCCACCTGCCTTGGCCTCCCAAAGTGCTGGGATTACAGACATGAGCCACTGTGCCTGGCCTATTTTACTTACTTATTCCCTCTTTCTTCTATTGTCATTCTGTGCAAAAGTTTGTCAATTTTGTTGATTTTTAAAAATGAACCAACTTTGGGTTTCATTCATTCTTTCTACTGTTTTTCTATTCTCCATTTTGTTTATCTCCACTCTAATGTTTATTATTTCCTCCCTTCTGCTAGTTTTGTGTTTAGTGGGTTTTTTTTTTTTTTCCTCAGTGGGTAAAGCGAAGTTGTTGACTTGAGCTCTCTCTTTTTATTTTTTAATGTAAGCATTTAGAACTATAAATTTCCAGTCCCAGCTACTCAGGAGACTGAGGCACAAGAATTGCTTGAACCTGAGAGGTAGAGGTTGCAGTGAGCCAAGATCGCACCACTGCACTCCAGCCTGGGCGACAGAGGGAGACTCTGTCAAAAAAAAAAAGAAAGAAGAAAGAAAGAAAAGAAAAGAAAGAAGAAAAAAGAAAGAAAGAAAAAGAGAAAGAAAAAAAGAAGGAAGGAAGAAAGGAAGGAAGGAAGGAAGAAAGGAAGGAAGGAAGGAAGCAAGGGACGAACTACAAATTTCCCTCTAATCAGTGTCTTCACTTTATTCCCAAATTTTTGGTATGCTGTGTTTTCATCTTCATTCATCTCTAAGTATACTCTAACCTCCTTTTTAATTTCTTCTTTGACTCATTGGTTGCTTATGTCATTTAACTTCCACATATTTGCAAAATTTCCAGTTTTCCTTTAGTTATTGACTTCACTGCATGTGGTCGAGGAAGATACTTTGTATGGTTTCAATGTTTAAAAAATTTATTGGGACTTGTTTTATGACCTAACATATGGTCTATTCTGGAGAATGTTTCATTTGCACTTCAGAAGAATGTGTGTTTTGAGAAGAATATGTATTCTGCTGTTGTTGAATGGAGTGTTCTATATTTGTTGGTCTAGCTGGTTTATGGTGCTGTTCAAATCCTCTACTTTCTTATTCATCTTCTGTCTATCCATTGTTTAGAATAGGGTATTGTGTCTTCCACTGTTATTTTAGAACAGTGTATTTCTTCCTTCATTTCTGTCAGCTTATTTCATATTTTGAGGTTTTAACTGTTTGTTGCACATATGTTTATAATAATTATACATTATTAATGAATTGACCCTTTTATCAATATATAATTTCATTCTTTGTTTCTTGTAACAGTTTGTTTTGTTTGATACATATATTGCCACCCAGCTATCTTTTGGTTACTATTTGCATGGAATGCTTTTTCTCCATCCTTTTATGTTCAACCTATTTGTGTCTTTGAATATAAAGTGAGACTGTTGTAGACAGACAACATATAGTTGGATCATGTTTTCTAACTATCCTGCCAATTTCTGCCTTTTGATTGGATGATTTAATCAATTTACATTTAAAGTGATTACTGATATGGAAGAACTTACTTCTACCTTTTTGCTATTTGATTTTTGTATTTCTTTTTCCCTTTTAAATAATTTTTATCTCTTTATTGATATTAAAAATTTCAAATATATATCTGTCCTGATTTTCATTAGTACCTTGTCCAAGTTTTCCTTTAGCTGTTTGAACATATTTAATACAGCTTTTTTTTTTTTTTTTTTTTTGAGATTTAGTCTCACTCTGTCGCCCGGGCTGGAGTGCAGTGGTGCAATCTCAGCTCACTGCAAGCTCTGCCTCCCGGGTTCACACCATTCTCCTGCCTCAGCCTCCCCAGTAGCTGGGACTACAGGCATCCACCACCATGCCCGGCTAATTTTTTGTATTTTTAGTAGAGACGGGGTTTCACCATGTTAGCCAGGATGGTCTCGATCTCCTGACATTGTGATCCACCCGCCGTGGCCTCCCAAAGTGCTGGGATTACAGGCGTGAGCCACCGTGCCTGGCCTCTTAAAGTCTTTGTCTCAAGTCCATTGTCTGGACTTCCTTGAGGATGGCTTCTATCCATTTATTTTGCTACTTTCCCATTTTTTTGTATGCTTTGTGATTTGTTTTTGTTGAAAACTGTACGTTTGAATATTATAGTGTGGTAACTGTGGAAATCAGATTCTCCTCTTTCTTCAGGGTTTGCTGTTTCGTTGATTGTTGAAGGCTGTTGTAGTCTGTATGTTTAGTAACTTTTCCAATCTATTTTTGCAAAGGTTGTATCCCTTGTCACGTATGGTCACTGAAGTTTCTGGGTTTTTTTTTAAAAAGCTTATGTTCAGCTGGTGTTTTCATAGAGATTTCCTTGAATTCCAGGAGCTGGAAACAAAAACAAACAATAAACAACAACAACAACAGAAAAGCAAACTCTTCCTCCTGCTGAAAAACCCCCAAATCAAAACCAAACACCTCTCCCAGTCTTTGCAGATTGTCTCTGTGCTGAGACAATCCAACACTTATCCAGGCTTACACTGAGCCTGAAGTGAATGCTTAGTATGGTCTAAGTTCTGAGTTAAAATAAACAAAAACAAGTGCCTGTGTCAGTCTTTCAGGAAGCCCCTAGAGAGACTAGAATGGACTTACACTATGATTTGTGATTAATACCTGCTATGCTATTCCTGGAACCAGGGATCAGGGTCCCACACTGGGAACATGGGATGCCACTGCTTTAAGACTGCCACTACACCCTGGAGGAGATGGGACAAGGACAAGTAAACACACTACACAATTTACTTACCATTTTCAGCTGCCTTTTTTCCCTTTTTTCCTTGATTTACTTGGTTGTTGTAAACATTTTGACTGTTTTCCAGAGTTTTGACAAAGTTGGTTCTGACAGTTTCTGCTTGTTTTTTGATATTTCTGTGGAGGGATGAGAACTTGAAGCTGTCTATACTGCCATTTTGCTGCATGGTCTATAATTTTTAAATAAGAGCTTTATTGAGATTTAACTGACATATGTATTAGTCCATATGTATTAATACATATGTATTAGTCCATATGTATTAATACATATGTATTAGTCCATTTTCATGCTGCTGATAAAGACATACCTGAGACTGTCGAGAAAAAGAGGTTTAATTGGACTTACAATTCCACATGGCTGGGGCAACCTCAGAATCATGGCAGGAGACGAAAGGCACTTCTTACATGGCAGTGGCAAGAGAAAATGAGAGAGAAGCAAAAGTGGAAACCCCTGATAAACCCATCAGATCTCATGAGACTTTTCCACTGTCATGAAAATATCATGGGAATGACCGGCCCCCATGATTCAATTACCTCCCCCTGGGTCCCATTGTGGGAATTCTAGGAGTTACAGTTAAATTGAGATTTGGGTGGGGACACAGCCAAACCATATCATTTTGCCCCAGTCCCCTCCAAATCTCATATCCTCACATTTCAAAACCAATCATACCTTCCCAACAGTCCCCAAAAATCTTAACTCATTTCAGCATTAACCCAAAAGTCCATAGTCCAAAGTCTCACCTGAGACAAGGCAAGTCCCCTCTGCCTATAAGCCTGTACAATCAAAGGCAAGCTAGTTACTTCTTAGATACAATGGTAGTACAGGTATTGGGTAAATGCAACCATTCCATATAGGAGAAATTGGCCAAAACAAGGAGGTTACAGGGCCCATGCAAGTCTGAAATCCAGTGGGGTGGTCAAATTTTAAAGCTCCAAAATGACCTCCTTTGATTCCAGTTCTCACATCCAGTTCACAATGATGCAAGAGATGGGTTCCCATGGTTTTGGGCAGCTCCACCCTTGTGGCTTTGCAGGGTACAGCCTCCCTCCTGGCTGGCATTAATATCTGTGGCTTTTCCAGGTGCACAATGCAAGCTGTTGGTGGAGCTACCATTCTGGGGCCTGGAGGACGGTGGCCCACTTTTCACAGTGCCCCAGTAGGGACTCTGTGTGGGGGCTCCAGCCCCACATTTCCATTCTGCACTTCCCTAGCAGAAGTTCTCTATGAGGGCTCCGCCCCAGCAGCAAACTTTTGCTTGGGCATCCAGGTCCCATACATCTTCTGAAATCTAGGCAGAGGTTCCCAAGCCTCAATTCTTGACTTCTGTGCACCTGCAGGCTCAGCACCACATGGAAGCTGCCAGGGCTTGGGGCTTCCACCCTCTGAAGCCACAGCCTGAGCTCTACGTTGGCCCCTTTCAGCCATGGCTGGAGTGGCTGGGACACAGGGCACCAAGTCCCTAGGCTGCACGCAGCTCAGGGACCCTGGGGCTGGCTCACGAAACCACTTTTTCCTCCTCGGCCTTCGGGCCTGTGATAGGAGGGGCTGCAGTGAAGACCTCTGACATGGCCTGGAGACATTTTCCCCCATGGTCTTGGGGATTAACATTAGGCTCCTTGCTACTTATGCAAATTTCTGCAGCAAGCTTCAATTTGTCCTTAAAAAAAATGTTTTTTTTTTCTACTGCATCATCAGGCTTCAAATTTTCTGAATTTTTATGCTGTTTCCTTTTTAAAACAGAATGTTTTTGGGGAGGTGCAGTGGATCACACCTGTAATCCTAACACTTTGGGAGGCCGAGGTGGGCGGATCACCTGAGGTCAAGAGTTTGAGACCAGCCTGGCCAACATGGTGAAACCCTGTCTCTGCTAAAAATACAAAAAATTAGCCAGGCGTGATGGCGGGTATCTATGATCCTAGCTACTCAGGAGGCTGAGGCAGGAGAATCGCTTAAACCTGGAAAGTGGAGGTTGCAGTCAGTGAGCCAAGATCATGCCACTGCACTCCAGCCTGGGCAATAGAGCGAGACTCCATCTCAAAAAAAAAAAAAAAGGAATGTTTTTAACAGTACCCAAGTCACCTCTTGAATGCTTTGCTGCCTAGAAATTTCTTCCACCAGATACCCTAAATCATCTCTCTCAAGTTCAAAGTTCCACAAATCTCTAGGGCAGGGGCAAAATTCCACCAGTCTCTTTGCTGAAACATAACAAGAGTCACTTTTGCTCCAGTTCCCAACAAGTTCCTCATCGCCATCTGAGACCACCTCAGCCTGGACCTTATTGTTCATATCACTATCAGCATTTTTGTCAAAGCCATTCAACAAGTCTCTGGGAAGTTTCAAACTTTCCCACATTTTCCTGTCTTCTTCTGAGCCCTCCAAACTGTTCCAGCCTCTGCCTGTTACCCAGTTCCAAAGTTGCTTCCACATTTTTGGGTATCTTTTCAGTAGTGCCCCACTCTACTGGTATCAGTTTACTGTATTAGTCTGTTTTCATGCTGCTGATAAAGACATACCCGAGACTGGGAAGAGAAAGAGGTTTAATTGGACTTACAGTTCCACATGGCTGGGGAGGCCTCAGAACCATGGCAGGAGGTGAAAGACACTTCTTACATGGTGGTGGCAAGAGCAAAATGAGGAAGAAGCAAAAGCAGAAACCCCAGATAAATCCAGCAGATCTTGTGAGACTTATTCACTATCATGAGAATAGCGTGGGAAAGACTCGCCCCCATGATTAAATTACACCCCCACCGGTCCCCACCACAACTTGTGGAAATTCTGGGAGATACAATTCAAGTTGAGATTTGGGTGGGGACACAGCCAAACCATATCACCATGGAATTCAGTCTTTTAAAGTGTACAATTCACTCAGGCGAGGTGGCTCACACCTGTAATCCTAGCACTTTGGGAGGCTGAGGTGGGCCGATGACTTGAGGTCAGGAGTTTGAGACCAGCCTGGCCAACGTGGTGAAACTCTGTCTCTACAAAAAATACAAAAATTCGCTGGGTGTGGTGGTGGGTGCTTGTAATCCCAGCTACTCGGGAGGCTGAGGTTCAAGAATCGCTGGAACCTGGGAGGCGGGGGCTGCAGTGAGCCAAGATTGTGCCACTGCACTCCAGCCTGGGTGACAGAGCGAGCCTTTGACTCAAAAAAAAAAAAAGTGTACAATTCATTGGCTTTTAGTGTCCTCACTGAGTTGTGTAATCATCACCACTATCAAAATGTAAAACATTTGTGTCACCCTAAAAAGAAACCCTAAAGGCTGGGTGCAGTAATTCACACTTATAATCCCAGCATTTTGGGAGGCTGAAGCAGGATTACTTGAGCCCAGGGGTTTGAAACCAGCCTAGGCAACATAGTGAGAGTCCATTTGTTAAAAAATAAAATAAAACAAAAAAGAAAATGCTAGCTGGGTATGGTGGTATGTACCTGTAATAATCCCAGCTACTGGGGAGGCTGAGGTGGGAAGATCTTTTGAGCCCAGGGGCTGGAGGATGCAATGAACTATGATCGTGCCGCTGCATTCCAGCCTGGGTGACAGAATGAGACCCTGCCTCAAAAACAAAACAAAACAAGCAAACAAACAAAAACCCTCAAAAACCCTGCACCTTTTACCAGTCACTCCCATTCCTTTCACCCTCCTTACCCCAGCGCTAGGCAACCACTAGTCTACTTTCTATCTCTATGGATTTGCCTTTTCTGAATATTTCATATAAATGAAATCATACATTTTGTGGTCTTTTGTTACTGATTTCTTTCACTTGGTACAATTTTGCATGGTTCATATCATATCATGTGTCAATACTTCCTTTTAAAAATTTTTTGAAATTTTAATTTTGAGATAATAGTAGATTTACATACAGTTGAAATAAATACTATAGTCCCCTGCATTTTTCCTCAGTTACCTGCACTCATAAAATCTTGCATAACTATTGTGTAATATCACAACCAGGATATTGACATCGATATAGTCAAGATGCAGAACATTTTCACTACCACAGAGATCTCTCATGTTGTCCTATTATAGTCACACCTACCTCCCATCTACCTCTATATCCTGCTTCTTTTTTTTTTTTTTGTCTGAGACAGAGTCTCGCTCTGTTGCCCAGGCTGGAATGCAATGGCGCCATGTCTGCTCACTGCAACCTCCACCTCCCGGGCTCAAACAATTCTCCTGCCTCAGCTTCGAGTAGCTGGGATTACAGGCGCCCACCACCATGCCCGGATAATTTTTGTTTTTTTAGTAGAGATGGGATTTCACCATGTTGGCCAGGCTGGTTTTGAACTCCTGACCTCAAATGATCTGCCCACCTCGGCCTCCCAAAGTGATGAGATTACAGATGTGAGCCACCGTGCCCAGCCCCCTACATCCTTCTTAACCGCTGACAACCACTATTCTGTTTTCCATGCATTTAATTTTGTCCTTTCAAAAATGTTATATGAATGGATTCTTACAATGTGTAATCCTTGAGATTGACTTTTTTCACTCAGTATGATTCTTTTAAAGTTAATCCAAATTGTCACCTATATCAATAGTTCATTCCTTTTTACTGCTGAATAGTATTCCATGTTATTGATGCACCGCAGCTTGTTTATCCATTCACCCACTGAAGGACATTTGGGCAGTTTCTAGTTTGGCGCTATTATTATTACTTTATTTTGAGACAGGGTCTCACTCTGTTGCCCATGCTGGAGTGCAGTCGCATGATCATGGCGCACTGCAGCCTCAACCTTCTGGGCTCAAGTGATCCTCTCACCTCAGCCTCTCAAGTAGCTGGGACAAGCATGTGCTACTACACCTGGCTGATTTTTTCATTTTTATATTTTGTAGACATGGAATCAAACTAAAGACCCAGGCTCGTTTCGGATTCCTGGGCTCAAGCAATCTTCTTGCCTCAGCATCCTAAAATGTTGGGATTACAGGCATGACCCACCCCACCCCACCATGCCCAGCCTGGGCTATTATTAATAAAACAGTTATGAGCATTCCTGTACAGGTTTTCTTGTGAACAGAAATGTTTAATACTCTGGGATAAATGCCTAAATATGCAGTTACTGAGCGATGGTTTGAATGTGTCCCCCAAAAATCATGTGTTGGAAACTTAACCCCTAATGCAACAGTGTTGGAATGTGGGGCCTAATAATAGATTGTTAAGCCATGAGGCTGGAGTGAATGGATTAATGCTGTTATCGTGGGAGTGGGCTCATTATAAAAGGGGAAGTTTGGCCCCCTTTTACCGTCTCTTCCTTACCCTTTATTTGCTCTTCTGCCATGGGATGATGCAGCAAGAAGGCCCTTGCCGGATGCTAACCTCTCGATTTTGGACTTTCGAGCCTCCAGAAAACATGAGTCAATAAATTTCTGTTCATTATAAATGATCCAATCTGTGGTATGCTGTTGTAGTAGAATGAAATAGACTAAGACATACTGGGTCACACTGTAGCTGCATTTCTAGTTTTATAAGAAACTACCAAACTATTTTTCAGAATGACTGTATCATTTTACATTCCCAACAACAATGTATGAGTGATTCAGTTTCTTCACATCCTTCACTGATTCAGTTCCTTAAATTTCTTCACATCGTTGGTGTTGTCGCTGTTTTTTTAATTGTAGCCATTCTGATAGCTGTGTAGTGATGTCTCTTTGTATGACTTGGGCATATAGTACCTACCTCAGTGGGACTCGTGAAGGTTCACGTGTATAAAGTGTCTGGCACAGCTAGATAAATGTTAGCTATAATTATTACTACATAGATGGAGATGACATGGTCCCTGCCATCAAAGTAGTTATTATCTCGTGGAAGACAAAGATGTGGAAACAAATAATGTTAATCCAGATTGCTAAATGGAGGAGTCATGATCCAAAAAATATGGGACTCCAGACTGAAGATGAAGGATCATTAGGGAGGATTTCTCAGGAGAAGTAATCCTCAGCTAAGCCTTGAAGGATAAGTTAGCTTAGCTAAGCAAAGGGAGGGCTGGCATGGATTCATTTCAGGCAGAGAGGACAGAAAGGGCATATTATGGTAGCCACAGATTTAATATGGCTGTAGGTTAGGGAGGTAGTAGTGGGAATAAGCCAGAGATGTAGCTGGGGAGGACATTGTGAGGGATCAAGCAAGGACCTACTTGTTACAAAAAAAGAGTTTAGACTTTACCCCCATAGACATTGGAGAGCCACAGAATCCCCAAGGGTGATATCTGACCGAGGTGGAGACTTTTTTTGCACCCCTTTTCTTCAGAAATTTCTGCCCAGATGCCCACTGGAAAGGAGGTGACTTCTTCATGGGACCCTTGGTAGGCTGGCATGCTCCCTTTTCAAGGGCTTCTGTTATAAAAAGCTCTTTATGCATTAGGCATATTTACAATTCTTCTCTAACCTACCACCAAACAAAGCACAAACATGGCCATAAACACTTAATTAATCACATCTCAGTTCTGATTAAGACAATAAACCCAGATCCCAGATTTCCATTCTTTAATTCACTGCCCCAGTGTGACCTGTATTTCCCCAGGCCTCTCACAGGCTTTCCTGCTCTCTCCTTTGTCCCTGCTCTAGTGAAATTCAGAAAACTTTGGCCTGATAAGGAAACTTGCATTCTCGGACTGGTCCGCTGTAAACTGGGCTGTGTTCCCTTGGGCCAGCCTCTTCTTCCTCTGAGCCTTAGTTGCCTCATCTGTATCAGGAAGCATGTCAGCCTTCAATGGTCTAACATTCTCTAAAGGTATTTGTAATAATAGGAAGGAACCTTTCTCACACTTGTATTTTTCGATAGTTCATTCTCACAGAAATGCCATGAGAACCCTAACATGATGGATATTAGTCTCATTTTATTAAGAAAGAGGCTGTGTTTCAGAAGAATGGTCATGTGTCCAATGTCACACATCAGTTCAAGAGCAGAGTATGGCCTTGAACTTACTCGGTCCAGTGTCTTACCACCAGACCACATCCCCTTCTTCACCTTCTTTATCAATTCCTTTCACTCATCTCCTTGTTTCCCCTGACTAGCTCCCATGACCCAACCACCACACCACAAAGGACAGTTTCATGCTAAAAAGAATCTACTGCTGTCCAGGGACCCAAGAATCCTTGGCCTGGCAAAGAGGACTGAGAAGAACAGTCAGAGAGCCATTGAAACAGGCCCAGGAGGGGGGCATGTCCTTCCCTTCACCCTGCACTGCAACCCAGAGCCATGGTGGCAGGGCCAGATTAAGGCTTTAGAGGCCCTAGAAGAGGAACAGAATGTGATGCTCCCGTCTGTATGTAATGCAAAAGAAAAACAACAATAAGCCATTGAAGGCCAGGTGCGGTGGCTCACGCCTGTAATCCCAGCACTTTGGGTGGCCGAGGTGGGTGGATCACCTGAGGTCAGGAGTTCGAGACCAGCCTGGCCAACATGGTGAAACCCTGTCTCTACTAAAAATACAAAAATTAGCTGGGCCCAGTGGCACACACCTGTCATCCCAGCCACTCGGGAGGCTGAGGCAGGAGAATCACTTGAACCCGGGAGGCAGAGGTTGTAGTGAGCCGAGATCGCAACACTGCACTCCAGCCTAGGCAACAGAGCCAGACTCGGTCTCAAAATAAAATAAAAATAAAAAATAAAAAAAAGCCATTGAAATCAGCACAAGGAAGTTTATTAATATTCTGATCACCTTCATGATGACTAATATAAAATGTTTTTAAATATCAGATAGGAAAGTATTCTCATTTTGGGGACTAGCTTTTTTCGCACTTGTTTGAGGGTGACTATCTACACATCTGCAGTACATGGTGGATGTGAGTGCCTGATCCACTTGGGCTCACTGCTGCTTGGGCTCACGTACCTTGGGGCCTTCTGTCTGTTATGGCCCCTGGGAGCCCTGTCAGTACCCCTCGGACACTGGACTCCACAGGGACCACTCCCAGGGCTCAGCCCAACCCTCCAGCCCAGGCTGTTGGCCTGATGCAAGGGTTTAGGGCAGGACAAATAATTGAGGCTCCTTTTTTATTCTGTCTTTATGGCTCCTACTCTCCCTTTTCCTCTCTGCCTGTCTCTGACTCTGTATACTTTTTCCCATATCTCTTTTTTTTCTTGTCCGCTGTATTCTTTCCTATTGCTTAGTATTTCTCCTTCTTTGCCCCAGTCTCTTGGACTGTTTCTCCTTTTGTCTTATCCTTTCTGTTTGTTGCTCTGCCTCTTGTCTTTTCTTCTCTCTCTTACCCATACTCCAGTCTCTCCTTTTGTTTTTTGATGTCTATGGGTGTGTGTCTCAGTCTCAACCTCTCCCTGTCTTTGTCTGTCTCATTTTCTTTCCCATCCCAGAGCCCACAGGGACCTTTACAGAGGGTAAGCTGTTATATCCTGGGCTCTCTCTCCAGAAGAGATAGAAATGGTGACTTAGGGCTAAATTTAAACTTTTCAGGCCTGGGTGGGGGCCCTCCAGCAGACAGTTAAGGAAAAAGGAGGGAAAGCTGGTTTATTCAGTCAGGGGACGGAGACTGGGGTGGGAACTTGGCAAAGACTGTGAGTTCCAATGCAGTCCCAGCCCTACACTCTCTGACTGAGGCCTTGAGGCTATTTTTGGAAGCTTTCAAAATATCCCAGAAGGCGTGTCTATCCCCTCCATTCAGTCTGGGATGCCAGAGGATTCACTGAAGATAGCATAACTGAAGCCTGTCCTGTATTCTTCCTTAGCTTCCACCAGCCACTGACAAAACAACAGTAACGCTGTCCCCAGATTGGGACATCATGGAAGAGAAGAGAGTAGTAGCAGCAGATCATGAGCCATCCAGAAAGTGGGAAGGGATGAATAACATGTGCCTCAATTCCCAAGACCCCAAAGTATCCAAGCTGGAAGGGATCCTAAAGGTCAGCTAGTATCACCCCTTCAATATTTATATGTGAAAGCCAGAGAGGGCGCTATTAATATCACTCCTTAAATATTTATATGTGAAGACCAGAGAGGGCACTATTAATATCTCTCAAGAAGGAAGGGAGAAAAAAGAATCTCTTAAATCCATTTCCTTCATCTCTGCCCTAGTTTACTCTCTCTGGAGTGGATTGTTGCAACAGCTTGGTTTCTCTGCCTCCAGTTTCTCCCTGGGCAATCTAGCTTCTATACTGGACAGATAAACCTATCATATTTTCGGGTGGGGTGCAGGGGAGAGGCAGCCCTGACTGTGTCACTTCTACTTCAAGTTTTCACTAGTTTCCCACTACCTAGTGGATAAAATCCAAAACCCCTTAGCCTGAAACATAAGCCTATTTGTGATTTAGCCCCCACTCACCTTTTCAAACTTCTTTCTTACTTGCTATGTTTCCCTTTAGAACCTTCCAAACTCTCTACCACTCTCCCAAACTGACATTCTTTCCTCTTTGTCTCGTCCTCTCTCACATGCCTGCAGGTAGAAATTCAAACAGCATAGAGAAATGAAAAGCAGGCTGGGTGTGGTGGCTCATGCCTATAATCCCAGCACCTTGGGAGGCCGAGGTGGATGGATCATCTGAGGTCAGGAGTTCAGCAGCTCGAGACCAGCCAGGGCAACATGGTGAAATCCTGTCTCTACTGAAAATACAAAAAAATTAGCTGGGCATGGTGGCGGGCACCTGTAATCCTAGCTACTCAGGAGGCTGAGGCAGGAGAATTGCTTGAACCCAGGAGGCGGAAGCTGTAGTGAGCCGAGATCTCGCTATTGCACTCCGGGCTGGGCAACAAGAGCAAAACTCCATCTCAAAAAAAAAAAAAAAAAAAAAAAAAAACCAGAAAGAAAGAAAAGAAAAGAAGGGCCAGGCGCGGTGGCTCACGCCTGTAATCCCAGCACTTTGGGAGGCCGAGGCAGGCGGATCACGAGGTCAGGAGATCAAGACCATCCTGGCTAACACGGTGAAACCCCGTCTCTACTAAAAATACAAAAAAAAAAAAAAAACTTAGCTGGGCATGGTGGTGGGCACCTGTAGTCCGCTACTCGGGAGGCTGAGGCAGGAGAATGGCGTGAAACCAGGAGGCGGAGCTTGCAGTGAGCCGAGATCATGCCACTGCTCTCCAGCCTGGACGACACAGCAAGATTCGGTCTCAAAAAAAAAAAAAAGAAAGAAAAGAATATTAGGCCGGGCGTGGTGGTTCATGCCTGTAATCCCAGCACTTTGGGAAGCCAAGGCAGGCGGATCACCTGAGGTTGGGAGTTCGAGACCAGCGTGACCAACATAGAGAAACCCCGTCTCTACTAAAAATACAAAATTAGCCCGGTGTGGTGGCACATGCCTGTAATCCCAGCTACTCGGGAGGCCGAGGCAGGAGAATCACTTGAACTCAGGAAGTGGAGGTTGCGGTGAGCCGAGATCATGCCATCGCACTCCAGCCTGGGCAACGAGAGCAAAACTCCATCTTAAGAAAAAAAAAAAAAAAGAAAAGAAAGAAAAGAAAAGTAAAACTCTTTAAGCTTTCCACACCCTACTCCTATCCAAAGATAGACCTTCCCACCTCTCTGACTTAATCTCCTACTATTCTCTGTCCCCAACCCCCACCCCACAGTGATCCAGTCATAAAGAGCCTCCTTGCTGTTCCTAGAACATATGAGCTCCACCTTAGAACCTTTGTCCTTTGTTAATTTCTCTGTCTAGAATTCTCTTTTACCAGATATCTTGCTTCTTCCCTCAGTTCATTCATGTCTCTATTTATTTCTTTTTTTTTTAATAGAGGCGGGGTCTCACTATGTTGCCCAGGCTGGTCTTGGACTCCTGGGCTCAAGCGATCCTCCCACCTTGGCCTCCTTAAAGTTCTAGGATTACAGGTGTGAACCACCATGCCTCTATTGAATCGTTACCTTTCAGTGAGGCATTCGCTGACCTTTCTTGTCTACATTTGCAACGTCCTCCACACCTCCTTCTCTGCTTTATTATTTAGCACTTATTACCATCTAACATACTATACATTAGACTGATTTACTTGTTTATTGCCCGTCTTCCCCCACTAGAATGTAAGTTCCATGATGGTAGTGATTTTTCAGCATGGCTATCTCCCCAGTACATGACAGAGTACCTGCTAGATCATGGATTGTCAATAAAAATATTCATTGCGTAAAATTCAACAGGTGATAACCACAAATTCTGTTACATATTTCAGATTGCTTCTAGATTGTACTCTAATCATTTGATTTGCTTGCCCTTTCTTTGGTAGAACAGTATTTTGTACTTGATGTGTGCTGCCATACTTTTGGCTTCTGTACATGCTGGTCCCTCTGCCTAGAATGAATTCCTCTCACTGTGATCTATGTGGAGAACTCCTGCTCACTCTTTAAGTATTTGCTTAAGCTCCATCTTTTTGTGCTTCCCTTCCACTCTCCCATAGCATTTCTGCTTTCTGCCATTGTATTTATCACTCTGGGCCTTGATAGTATATTTATACATCTGCTTCCCCTACTAAACTGTAAGTACCTTGAAGGACTAGGAATTATTGATGGTGGCATCTGCGGTTCCTAGCATAGTACCTGGCATTTAGCAGGAGCAGCTGTAATCAGAAAGACCTGGATTTTGGTTTTTTTCTTTTTTCTTTTTCTTTTGAGACAAAGTCTCACTCCTTCACCCAGACTGAGTGCAGTGGCACGATCTCAGCTCATGGCAACCTCCACCTCCTGGGTTTAAGTGATCCTCCCACCTCAGCCTCCCAAGTAGCTGGGATTAGAAGTGTGCGCCCATGCTGGGCTAATTTTTTGTATTTTTAGAAGAGACAGCGTTTCACCATATTGGCCAGGCTGATCTCAAACTCCTGACCTCAAGTGATCCACCCGCCTCAGCCTCCCAAAGTGCTGGGATTACAGGTGTGAGCCACCACACCCTGCCAGAAAAACCTGGATATGAATCCACCTTTGCCATTTCCTAGTGTGATCTTCAGCAAGTTACTTCACTTCCTGTGTCTCAGTTACATACCTTGTAATACAGGCATCATGATACTCACTGCAAGGTGTTATGGTAAAAATGCAATGAAATAACTCTGCATGCTAGAACAAATTTGTGGACCTTTAGATATCTCACTTGCTCCTCCTGGCTCCTCCTGAGGGAAATAGGGCAGGTATTATAAGCTTCATTTTTCAGAAGAATCAATAGAGGTCCAGAAAAGAGAAAGTTCATTTTCTTTTTTTTCTTTTCTGAGATGGAGTTTTACTCTTGTTGCCCAGGCTGGAGTGCAATGGCATGATCTTGGCTCACTGCGACCTCCGCTTCCCAGGTTCAAGCAATCCTCCTGCCTCAGCCTTCTGAGTAGCTGGGATTACAGGTACCCGCCACCACACCCAGCTAATTTTTCATATTTTTAGTAGAGACGGGGTTTCACCATGTTGCCCAGGCTGGTCTCGAACTCATGACCTCAGGTAATCCACTCGCCTCAGCCTCCCAAAGTGCTGGGATTACAGGCGTGAGCCACCGTGCCTGGCCTGAAAGCTCATTTTCTAAGGTTGCAGGGTAAATAAGCGAAAGAGCCAGAACCCAAATCGGAATCTCCCAAATTGGAGGTTTGCTGTCTGCCAGGGAAGTGGGAAGGGTGTGGACTCCAGGGTTCCTGGTTTCTAAGCCAGCATGTGGGTATTGTGTGTTGCTCTTAGAGAAGACTGGCACCTCCTGGACAGCATGACCTGCTCCACCAAGGGAAACAGAGTGAAGTCCCCCTTTGCCTCCAGATCCTCCTTAGTACAGGGATTCTTGGCTACCTCAACATCTTAATCAGGAAGCAGAAGGCAGTCCCTTACTATTTGATGTCGGAGGGAGTAGAAATTTAAGAGCTTCCTTTCATGAGAGGTAGCTGAAGGCTAGGCCTGATCTGGGAGGATTCTGAGAGGGAAGGTAAGCACGGGAACCATTATACACAGGACTTACTGTTTGCCAGCTACTTTCTCACGTATCCATTAATTCAGATTATAAACATTTACTGAGCACCTACTATCTGCCAGGTGCTGTGCTAGATGCTAGGGGTGCCCCAGTGAATGAGACCAGAAAGGAAGGACACACATGGCAAACAGGTGACAATCATAAAGAACACATGGTAGTCTTCTTATTTTATGGATAAAGAAAGGGGGTCTTAGGAGGGGACATAAATTGTCAACATCACACAGCTAGTGTGGGGACTCAAAATGCAGATTTGTTCATCTTTAAACTTGATACACTTTCCATTACACCACCCCACCTCCCTGAATCTGCTGCCTCCAAATCATTTCCCTCACGTTCCTGTTTCAGCACTCAAAATGTCACCATTGGCTGGGCGTGGTGGCTCAGGCCTATAATCCCAGCACTTTGGGAGGCCAAGGTGGGTGGATCATGAGGTCAGGAGTTTGAGACCAGCCTGGCTAACATAGTGAAACCCCGTCTCTACTAAAAATAAATAAAAAAAAATTAGCTGGGCATGGTGGCAGGCACATGTAATCCCAGCTACTCGGGAGGCTAATGCAGGAGAACGCTTGAACCTGGGAGGTGGAGGTTGCAGTGAGCCGAGGTAGTGCCATTGCACTCCAGCCTGAGCAACAAGAGTGAGACTCCATCTCAACAAAACAAACAAACAAAATGTCACCGTTAGAGAGATACTTCTGTGGGATAACACTAGCTTCTCCAATAATTCACTATTAAAATATCAGAACAGCATACTCCGTGGCCTGATATTATCATATCTCAGTTTATCAGCTTTAATTTATCAGTCTAGTAGGAAGCAGAGGGGAGTGGGTAGCAGATGGTGAGTTCTGATGGAGGGCAGAGAAAGGAGGAAAGGTATGATAGCCTAAATGTACTAGAAGGAAATATGTATTAATAATTTTATAATCTTAGCACAGAGCCAGGCGCAGTGGCTCACATCTGTAATCTCAGCACTTTGAGAGGCCGAGGTGGGCAGATTGCTTGAGGCCAGGAGTCCCAGATCAGCCTGGGCAACATGGCAAAACTCTGTCTCTACTAAGAATACAAAAATTAGCTGGGCGTGGTGGCTCATGCCTGTAATTCCAGCTTCTTGGAAGGCTAAGGAACGAGAATTGCTTGAACCCGGGAGGCGGAGGTTGCAGTGAGCCAAGGTCGCGCCATTGCACTCCAGCCTGGGGGACAGAGCAAGAATCTGTCTATAAATAAATAAATAAATCTTGGCATAAGACAGAAATAATAAAATAAGTATTATTTTAGTGGTACAGTTGACTACATAAATGTAAAATAAAAATTATTTTGTGTTGCAAAAGTTAAAGCAAATTCAAAAGACAAATGATAGGCTGGGTGTGGTTGCTCACGCCTGTAATCCCAGCACTTTGGGAGGCCAAGGCAGGCAGATCACTTGAGGTCAGGAGTTTGAGACCAGCGTGGCAAACATGGCAAAACCCCGTCTCTACTAAAAATACAAAAATTAGCTGGGCATGGAGGTGTGCGCCTGTAATCCCAGCTACTCGGGAGGCTGAGGCAGGAGAATCACTTGAGCCTGGGAGGCAGAGGTTTCAGTGAGCCGAGATCACGCCACTGCACTCCAGCCTGGGCAACAGAGTGAGACTCGGTCTCAAAAAAAAAAAAAAAGTGAAGTATATATATATATATATATATATATATATATATATATATATATATATATATTTTAGCATATTGACAGAGAGTAAAATGACTGATGATACCAAGTGTTGATGAGCATGTGGGGATAATAGCTCTTGTATCCATTTCTCATGGAAATGGAAGCTAGAAAACTGTCTCTGGAGACTGAAATCATGTATCAAAATTTAAAATTTGTTTACTGAGGAATAAATATAGCTAAGCGTGTAGAAATATATGCCTAAGGTTATTTATCATAAAATTGTTTGATAGTGTAAAATTGAAAACAACTCAGTGTTGGCCGGGCGCGGTGGCTCATGCCTGTAGTCCCAGCACTTTGGGAGGCCAAGGCAGGTGGATCACCTGAGGTTGGGAGTTCGAGACCAGCGTGACCAACATGGAGAAACCCTGTCTCTACCAAAAATACAAAATTAGCTGGGTGTGGTGGTGAATGCCTGTAATCCCAGCTACTCGGGAGGCTGAGGCAGGAGAATCGCTTGAACCTAGAAGGCGGAGGTTGCGGTGAGCCGAGAGTGTGCCATTGCACTCTAGCCTGGGCAACAAGAGCGAAACTCCATCTCAAAAAAAAAAAAAAAAAAAGAAAGAAACGAAAACAACTCAGTGTCCTTTGTTAGCAGAATGGTTAAATAAACTATAATACATCCATGCAATGAAACACTATGAAGCCACATAAAATGGTGAAATAGACCTATATTAATTGGCATGCAAAGATGCCCAAGAATACTGTTGAGTGAAAAAAAGCAGGTTATAAACCAGAATGTAGAGTGTACATTATGGTGTGTGTGTGTGTGTGTGTGTGTGTGTGTGTGTGTGTTATCCTGGATTATACTAATAAATATATTATTTTGGAAGAAAGGAGGTACATTGGGCAGAGTCCGCCAGGGTCCAGGTTTGGGCATGGCATACCACACAAAGCGACACAAGTCATAGACAAGTCACACAAACAAGTGACAAACTGGAGTCTGTCCAGAGGGAAGCAAGTAGGCTGAGAGGGAGTGGAACTCAAGTCAGGGAAACAGTTGAAGGATCTGGGCCAGAGAGAATGTAAATCTCAGGGAAACTGATTTTGACTTATATAAATGCAGCTCTTTGAATCCCTAGCTCTCCTGTGATTGAGTAGGCTGTCTAGCTAGGGACTGGGAGTGAGCTTCTCATCACTGAAGGTGTGTAAGGAGATGGTCAGGGAGTTAGATGACCTCTGAGTCCATTCTTTTCTAGTTTTTGAGAGGCTCAGACTTGACAAATGTGGACGTGCATGGCCTGCCTGAGGCTGATGGGAAAGTCAAGGGCAGGGGCCTCAGGGAAAAAAAACCAATGGGATCTGCTGTGAGTTAGAGCAAAGGCCAGTCAGCTTAGCTTCCCACCCCTATCCCCTCAGAGAGATCTCCCCTCCCTAGCCACCCCATCCCACTCGCTTCTCCCTTATCTCAGAGCATCTGACCTGTGGAAACTGCAGGTCTTCTAGCCCTTAGATTAGAATTCCTCCCTCCTCTTCCCTTCTTCTGAGTCAGAGAGCTTAAATTGGCTCTGTTATTAGGGTGAATAGGTAGGTGGTTACCTAGGTGGTGTGATTCCCAAGGGCACTAGACCTATTCCCTTGTTTCAAGATACCTCCCCAATGTCTGATTTTTCATTAGTGCTTTGTACTTTGAATCTTGAATGCTTTCCAAAATTCCTTTGCAAAAATGCCAATGATTCCGGGAAGAGGATCACCTTAAGCTGCCAGGAAAGGGGAGGGGTAGGGAAGGGCTTCTGTATTCTGCACAGGACTGCTTCTGAGTGTCTAGAGGAAGATTTGTAGGCTGGGAGGCTGGGCAAGGCAAGAGTGGGAGGAGACGTTTGGGGAGGGGTTTTTCTATTCAAGGGCCCAAGTACTCTGTGGTTAAATCTTAGAACCAGCTAGGCTCCATAGTTCCTAGGCCCAGCGCACATTCGAATCACCCAGAGAGCTTTTAAAAATATTGATGCTAGAAAGTTCTAGCAACTGTACTCAAGCTAGAAAGTTCTAATTTAATTGGCCTGGGGTGGTGTCCAGATATAGTTGTTTTTATAAAACTTCCCAAGTGATTCTAATGTGCAGCCAGGGCTATGAATCACTAAACCAAGAGAAGCCTAGTTAGATGTAATCTAGTTTGAGGGAGAAGAAAAAGGGGCTGGATTAGCTTCTTGGTCCCCTGTCAGGTGGGACCCACTGGGAAGGTATGGTATTACTCCATTGCTCCCTGGCTACAACCCATTGTCTCAAGGGTGATTGAGGGCTGGAAAGCTAATTACCTATGTAAGGTGACCTAACTTTCTGGTTTGCCTGGGACTTTCCTGGTTTTGAAACGGAAAGTTCTGCATTCCCAGCAAACTGGAAATGTTGGTCACCCTACACAGGGTGACTGCAAGTATTTAGACCTTAAGTTATTTGAGCACTGATTGGGACAACCACTTTTTTCTCTCCCTCAGTTTTCTCTTCTGTAAAATGGGGCCAGCTTTTAAATCCTTGTTCTGCCTCTCTCACTGGCTGCTGCAAAATGGAATAACATTAGCAAAAGGGCTCAGTGATATGTATAGCACTTCAGGATGGAATGTTATAAATAATAAGCAGTACCTGCCAGGCTGAAAAGGTCACAGGATGCTTGCCAATTAAATCTGTAACATCCTTTGTGGTGGTAGGCTGGCTTTCATATATTCTTTCCTTCTCTCCCATGAGTTCCTTTACCTTTTCCCCTAAATCCTAGGATATCAGAGCTGGAAGGGACCATAGACACTTCTTAGTCCTATCCCACCATCAAACAGATGGAAAGATGGAGGCCTAGAGAGGTAAAATAACTGATTCAAGATCATACAGTTTATTAGTGGCAGAGCTGGGGTTCAAACTTAGCACATCATTATGCCCAGCTCCGTCGTCTCAGAACTGCGTATCACTGACCAACCACCTCTCTGACCCCCATAATCCCATAAAAAGGACATTATGTTTTATTTATCCCACAAATACTATTTGAGTACAAAGAAAAAAGGAAGCTCAAGGGACAGTGGCAGCTCAGGGCAGGGGGAATCAAATTCAGACTGAGGAAGCAGCTATGGTCAGGGACTTCTCAGATGAGGTGAGCTGAGACTAGAATAAAAGTAATAGTTCTCCTGGTAAGTGGGGGAAGCCATTAGGGGAATGACATTCTAGGCAGTGGAAACATGTCCAATGACCCAGAGGAGGCAGACAACATGGCTTTTCAGTCCAATCCAGGGCTTGGGATTACTGGAGAGCAGGGTGATGGGACAAGAGATGAGACTGATCATATATGCCCTGTTAAGGAATTTGGACTTTTCCCTGTAGGTGTCAGAACACCATGAAGGGATTTAAATAGCCACTCATAACTCCAGGGCAAACAGAGGGGGATTTTAAAAACAATGGAAAAGTTAGAGTTACCCCCAATCTCAGAACAGAGCTAACAATCACTCTTCTAGCACAAACTGCCAAGTACTGGAGCTGATGCCAAGCCCTGAGTCATCCCTGGGCTACTGGGCTGGGAGGAGGCCCAGCCCCACCCTCCCCTGTCTGGGCTTGGTTTAGGCTGAGCCATGTAGACTCCAGGCCTAGGCTGGCAGGCCTTCAGGCTATCCTTCCCCAAGTGTGCTTCCCAGGCTGCTCTGAGCCTGGAGCTATCAGGACCCTCCTCGCTTCTGATAGCTGATAGCTGGCCTCTGACAATGCATCCCTCAAGGTCTCTGCTTTGCTTATTGCTCTCATCTGTATCAGTGGAGTTTTTCCTACCTCTCTTCTGGGCTTCATGTAATGAACCCTCCTACTCCCAGGTCTCGATAGCACAGATTTTCCTTTCTTTCTGCTCCCATGGATTTTCCCTAAAGCATGTTTGTCGGGAGTTGAGTGTCCAAAGCATTGCGGGGGCACAGAGAAGAAAGGGAGTTTCTGTAGGCGGGGCGGGGGTGGTGGTGAGGGGGACAGCTTTTCTTTTCTCAGAAAATGACATTTGACTTGTATTGTGAAGAGTGAGTATGAGTTGGTCAAGTGGAAAAAGATTATAAAACTGAGGAGCAGAAGGCTCAAAGACACAGAACTTTGAATCTATGTGGAAATGCTTAGGTGTGGCTCCAACATAGAGGAAACGCTTGGTGAGGTGAAACAGAGCAGGGATGAAGGAGGAAACATTGAGATAAAACTGCCCAGCTGCCTCCACCTTGATGGTTCATGGGTACCTCAAATTCACCATGTCCAAAAACTTCATTCTCTTCCTTCTGCTCCGCAAGTTGGTACTATTATAGGGCTTCTAATCACTAATTCCTATCTGTTCTGTAATACCTCTTTAATCCCTCAAATTTATCCTCTTCTCCCCATTTCTAATATAGGTCTAGTATCCCTAATCCGAAAAGTTGGCACTCAAAAAGTTTCAGATTTTGAAGCATTTTGAATTCTGGATTTTTGGATTAGAGATGCTCAATTTGTATAATGCAAATATTCCAAAATTTGGAAAAATCATAATTTCAAAACACTTCTGGTTTCAAGCATATTGGATAATGAATATTCAACCTCTACTACCATCCAAGTCCATAACTGAAGCATGAGTATATCTTTTCCTTTTGTTCAATAAAAACTGGGTGTCCCTTTTCACAGCTCAGTTGCATGTGACCTGTGGCTTCCATGTCTGTACTCTATTGTTAATAATTTCTCCTCTTTCATTTCTCCCCTCAACAGGGTTCCTCAGTTTTAACTTCCTGATCTTCACTTCTCTCATCCTGATTTTAAAGTTGTGTTTATTTAATTTTACAATTTTATTGCTTTCTTGTGGTGAGTTACTTCAAATCATTTGTGGAATGAGTTGAGAGATGAATGAGTTGAGAGATAGCTGGCCCAGAGGAGATAACGATAACATAGCTCACATCCTCATTATTTTTTGCCTGAGCTGTTACAATGGCTTCCAAACTGAGTTCTATATCCCCCATCTCATCTCATCCCCTCAATTCTGTCTTCCTTTGGCATGTGACATTATCTTTTCTAAAAACAAAAACCTGATCAAGTCACTTCCCTGCTTTAAAACTATAAGCAGTTTCTCATTATCCCGAGGATAACATTCAAGACCCCTAGTATGGCCGGGCGTGGTGGCTCACGCTTGTAATCCCAGCACTTTGGGAGGCCAAGGCGGGCTGATCACCTGAGGTCGGAAGTTCAAGACCAGCCTGTCCAACATGGAGAAACCCCATCTCTACTAAAAATACAATAAATTAGATGGGTGTGGTGGTGCATGCCTGTAATCCCAGCTACTCGAGAGGCTGAGGCAGGAGAATCTCTTGAACCCGGGGAGCGGAGGTTGTGGTGAGCCGAGATCGCACCATTGCACTCCAGCCTGGGCAACAAGAGTGAAGCTCCATCTCAAAACAAAACAAAACAAAACAAAAAAACAAACCCTAGTATGAGGTACAAGGCCCTTTGTGAATTCACCACCTCTCATTCACTCTTATTATAGACACTGGTTTTCAATAGAGATAAAAAGCAAACACTGTTCCTGCCTTAATGAAACTTATGGTTTACTTGGGGAGACAGACATTAATCAACTCAAGACTCAAATAATTGTATATTTGCAAACTGTAGTAAGTTAGTAAGTTCTATGGAGGAAAGGTGGTTAGTTTGCTCTATCTCTTTTTTTTTTTTTTTTTGAGATGGAGTCTTGCACTGTCATCCAGGTTGGAGTGCAATGGCGTGATCTCGGCTCACTGCAACCTCCACCTCCCGGGTTCAAGCAATTCTCCTGCCTCAGCCTCCCAAGCAGCTGGGATTACAGGTGCCTGCCACCACACCCAGCTAATTTTTTGGATTTTTAGTAGAGGTGGGATTTTGCCATGTTGGCCAGGCTGGTCTCGAACTCCTGACCTCGTGATCCGCCCACCTCGGCTTCCCAAAGTGCTGGGATTACAGGCGTAAGCCACTGCACCCAGCCAGGTGGTTAGTTCTCTAAGGACATGTGGTAGGGATCCTGACATATGGTGGGTTTTAGAGAGTTCCACAAGTAGTGATATTTGATCTAAAGGAAGGATTGAATTGGTGTTAACTAGGTAAATGGTGAAGGTGGGGAAACATGTGCTCCCCTGCAGAATGCATAGTATGCAAAGACCTTCATGGGGGATGGATTGGAGGAAGCATAACACATTTTAGAGATGGAAAAATGGCTAGTGTGGCTGGAATGCAAGCAGTGACAGAGAGAGTTGGTAGAGAGAGGCTAGAGAAATAGGTAGGAGCCATACCATAAATGCCTTTTAAAGGCCATGACAACGATTCTTTTCATCATAAAAGCACAGGGGAGAAGCCATTGAAGGTTTTTAAGCTGGAGAATGACATGATTTTGCATATTGAAAATATTTCTCTGGCTTCTTTGTGGACAAATGGATGGAGGAGAGCCAAAAAGGATGTGGGAAAATCAGTTAGGAACCTGATGTAGTTGTCCATTCGACTGGGCTGGGACCAGGGTAGTGGCAGTGGACATAGAGAGAAGCAGACAGATTTGAAAGTTTTTAGAATGGCTCATTGATAGAACTTAGCAGTGGGTTGAAATGGCTGGAGGGGGTGGGGGGGGCGTGAGGAAAAAGAAGATATTAAAGATGACTCTTAGATCTCTGGAAGGGGACAAGTTTGAGGAGAGGAATGATCAGAAGGGTTTTTGAGGCCTGGAGTGGTCACTCATGCATTTAATCCCAACACTTTGGGAGGCGCGGTGGCTCACGCCTGTAATCCCAGCACTTTGGGAGGCCGACGTGGGCAGATCGCCTGAGGTCAGGAGTTCAAGACCAGCCTGGCCAACGTGGTGAAACCCCTTCTCTACTAAAAATACAAAAATTAGCCGGGCGTGGTCGTGGGCGCCTGTGATCTCAGCTACTTGGGAGGCTGAGGCAGGAGAATTGCTTGAATCTGGGAGGCAGAGGTTGCAGTGAGCCAAGATCGTGCCACTGCACTCCAGCCTGGGCAACAGAGAGAGACTCCGTCTCAAAAATAAAAGTAAAAATAAAAAATAAATAAAAGAGAGGACTGGACGTGGTGGCCCACGCCTGTAATCCCAGCACTTTGGGAGGCCGAGATGGGTGGATCACGAGGTCAGAAGATCAAGACCATCCTGGCTAACACGGTGAAACCCCGTCTCTACTAAAAATTAGCCAGGCGTGGTGGCACGCACTTGTAATCCCAGCTACTTGGGAGGCTGAGGCAGGAGAATCGCTTGAACCTGGGAGGCGGAAGTTGCAGTGAGCCGAGATCATGACACTGCACTCCAGCCTGGGTGACAGTGTGAGCCTCCATCTCAAAGATTAAAATAAAATAAAATAAAATAAATAAAATAAATAAAATAAAATAAAATAAAATAAAATAAAAAAGATGTGACTGGAAATGAGAGGTAAGGCCTGGGTATGGATGAGGAGAAAATGCCAAAGATCCCACTGTCCGTAAGTGGCCAAGTGAACACCTGAATCTAGGCTGGGATGCCAAATCCTGTGACCTTTCTACTCAACTTACTACTTCTTTTTACTGGGAGGAAAAATGGTTGCCGAAAGGCAGAGTGTATTACTTCAGCAGGGAGAAGAAGGTAGACTGCTCAAGATATGGCCTAAGGGAAGAGACAACATGGGTCCAATGTGTACAACCTTGTGTGTGAGGGAGAAGTGCTGGTAGGTGGTAGCTTAAAAAAATTTATATATATATGTATATATATATATATATATCTATGGCCAGGAGCCCGTGGCTCACACCTGTAGTCCCAGCACTTTAGGAGGCAGGGGCAGGTGAATCACAAGGTCAGGAGTTTGAGACCAGCCTGTCAATATGATGAAACCCCATCTCTACTAAAAAAAAAAAAAAAAAATACAAAAATTAGCCAGGCGTGGTGGCGGGTGCCTGTAGTCCCAGCTCCTTGGGAGGCTGAGGCAGGAGATTTGCTTGAACCCGGGAGGCGGAGGTTGCAGTGAGCCGAGATCATGCCACTGTGCTCCAGCCTAGGTGACAGAGAGAGACTCTATCTCAAAAAAAAAAAAAATATATATATATATATTTGTGTGTGTGTGTGTGTGTATGCGCGTGTGTATATGTATGTGTGTGTATATGTGTGTGTGTGTATGTGTGTATATATATATAAAATTGGGTACAGTGTCTGTCTGGAGAGCTGGGTTCCAGCTCACTGGCTATGTGGCCTTGAGCTGGGCTCATACTTTGTCTTTGCCTTTTCATAGTAGGACTAGGAATCCCTACCCCACCAAAGCAAGGAACAAATGAGATAACAAAAAAATAACACGTGAAACAGACCACTACCACCACCATCCACAAATAACATACGCACAAGCTCCTGGCACTGCACATGACACACACTAGGTGCTCCAGAAAAGGTTCTGGAATGAGAATCATCATTTCTCTGTATATATAGGTATGAAAAAAAAAACGTGCACATTGTTGTGTGGATAGACAGGTGGTTAATATAGACTCCACAGGCCTCCTTTTTTCTCTTTTTTTTTTTTTTTTTTTTTTTTTGAGGCAGAGTGAGACTCTGTCACCCAGGCTGGAGTGCAGTGGTACTGCAACCTCCCCCTCCTGCAAACTCCCCCTCCTGGATTCACTGCAACCTCCCCCTCCTGGGTTCAAGCGATTCTTGCACCTCAGCCTCTCAAATAGCTGGGACCACAGGTGCATGCCACTATTCCCAGCTAATTTTTGTATTTTTAGTAGAGACAGGGTTTTGCCATGTTGGCCAGGCTGGTCTCGAACACTTGGCTTCAAGTGATCCACCCCCCTTGGCCTCCCAAAGTGCTGGGATTACAGGCATGAGCCACTGCACCCAGCCATCAAGGGTTCCTTTTCTGAGAAATAAAAGATGTATGTGTTCTCAGGCTTCCAGCTTCTCTCCTACCACGTTCTGGCTGGGGAGGTGCCAGCCTCCTTTGGGCTCAGCCCCTTGGATGAAATGGCACCCCACATTAAGGGGCATTATGGAGGCAGGATCCCTAAGGCATGCCCAAGATTCATTCATTTATTTAACCTAATATTAATTGAGGTCCTACTCTGTGCTGGGTGCTACAATGTATGCTGGGGCTATGATGGTGAGCAGAACAGACCTATTTCCTGCCCTCATCAAAATCATGATCTAATGGGGGAGTGTAATAGTTTACCATGTGTCCCGTAACAAATTATGAGTGGTTTAAAACAACAATTAATTTTCTTACAGTTCTGGAGGTCAGAAGTTTAAAATGGTCAGCAGGGCTGAGTTCCTTCTGAAGGCTCTAGAGAAGAATAAATTTCCTTGTCTTTTCCAGCTTATTGAGACTGCCTGCATTCCTTGGCTTATGGTCCCTTCTCTCTTCAAAGCCAGCAATAGCAGGTCAAATCCTCACACTGCATCACTCTGACATCCTCTCATGCCTCCCTCTTCCACTGTTCCACTTATAAAGACCGTTGTGATTACACTGTGCCCACGCGGGTAATCTAGGATAATCTTCCCATCTCAAGGTCAGCTGATTAGTTACCTTAATTCCATCTGCAACCTTAATTCCTCTTTGTAATGTAACATAATATATTAATAGGTTTTGAAAATTAGAGGCCGGGTGCAGTGGCTCATGCCTGTAATTCCAGCACTTTGGGAGGCTGAGGTAGGCAGATCACTTGAGTTCAAGCGTTTGAGACCAGCCTTGCCAACATGGTGAAACCCTGTCTCTACCAAAAATACAAGACCACACCACTGCATTCCAGCCCGGGGGACAGAGTGAGACTCTATCTAAAAAAAAAAAAAAAGAAAGAAAGAAAGAAAATAAAATTAAGATATGGATATGTATGTTCAGGGTGCCATTTTTCTGTCTACTACAGGGAGGTAGATATTAAACAAGTAAATACACAGATAAAATACATTATTTCAAACTATAAGTGCTGTGAAGGAAACAAATCTCTGAGATTGAGAATATGGTGCTCTTTTTGTGGGGGATGTATTCTATTTTAGTAAAAATGGGCAAGGAAAGAAGTAATATTTATTATTATTATTATTATTATTATTATTATTATTATTATTTTGCTATGGACTTTCGCTGTTCTTGTCCAGGCTGGAGTGCAATGGCACGATCTCAGCTCACTGCAACCTCTGCCTCCTGGGTTCAAGCGATTCTCCTGCTTCAGCCTCTTGAGTAGCTGGGATTACAGGCACCTGCCATCCCACTCAGCTAATTTTTTGTATTTTTAGTAGAGATGGGGTTTCATCACATTGGCCACATTGGCCAGGCTGGTCTCGAACTCCTGACCTCAGGTGATCCACCCACCTTGGCCTCCCAAAGCGTTGGGATTACAGGCGTGAGCCACCGCACCCGGCCTTTCAGTTGCTCTTTACTTGCTGTGTTTCCCTTCTATCAGACATCCCTCTAGTCATATTAACACCATCCCAGGCCAGGCATGGTGGCTCACGCCTGTAATCCCAGCACTTTGGGAGGCAAAGGTGGGTGGATCACTTGAGGCCAGAAGTTCAAGACCAGCCTCTACTTTCATCCCCTGTGCAGTCTATGAGGTCAGAGCCCTGAGGATGGGAAGCAACCTCCCTAGGCCAGCAGGCAAGCCCATGACCCTTGGGATGTGCTGTGCTAATCCAGCCCCCTGGAAGATGGGGGCAACTAGAATGTGGAGCACCGGAAGGCTGGTGCACTTGCAGTTCAGTGATGCAGCCAGTCTGAGGGTTAATCAGGACAGAGACCTTTGCCCACAGAGCCAGGATGATTTCATCTCTATGGCAAGCATCATCAATCAATCAGGAGGCCTGGAGCTGGACAAGTTTTTGGGAGATGAGAAGATAATGCAAGCCACAATCCTTGCCTTTAGGAGCTTTTGTTGGAGATCCAGAACCCATGTCACAGGAAGAGTAAGACCTCTCCAGTTTCCAGGTCAGCTTCTAAAGCTTCTAAACAAGAGAAGCTCTCATTTCTCCTGGGTCTCAGATCTGGCCCTGAGCCATGGTAGGTACTTGATCCAGGTCTGCTCTCAGCAGAGAGACCCACCAGCAAGCCCCTGTAATTTTTTCTCCCTCCCTAAGAACTTCTCAGCTTCTATTTTCAGATGTCCCCCAAAGCAACAGGAGCATGGGATCATTAATCTTTTGTATTAACTTGCTTGATTCTTATTGCTCTTGAGTCTGGAGACCCAGTGGAAAGAATCCTAGCCTGGGAGTCAGGAGAACTAGTCTTTTTCCTGACCAACTCCATTCACTTCCCTTGGCCGTAGTTTTCTCACTTGTAAAATTGGGACACGTAGCCTAGATGATGTTAAAGGTGTAATATTTTAAGATTCTGATTTCTGTTTTTACTCTTTCATTGAGGATATGGGAGAGGTGGATTTAGGCGGTGATGAAGGACCATGCTCTAAGATTCAGAGGTTCTATGAGTTAAACATGGGGCTCTCTCTCTTCTCCCAAGCATTCTGATACTCAGAATAAATGGCTGGATGTCTTTGGAACCAGTCATATGGCAGTATATTTAGGACTTTGTTGGCCTGCAGAAAGTAGAACCAGACCTCTTGGCCCCCAGTCCCAAAGTCTTAGAGAAGTGGAGGCTGGGGAGTTGGGAGTGGTGTGTGTGTGACAGAAAACTGGAGAATGGCTTCTCATCTTCCCCTGTGGCATTATTTTGCCAACACCACATTCTCTGGAGCCACTGGAGAGGCTCAGGAACACATGATGTGGCTGGTTTGAAGGGGCACTTCAAACCTGGGGGATGGCCCCGCATTTTCCCCACTGAGACATAGCCACATATGGGCTCACATCTTCATGTAAATACATGGCTAGGCTGAATATAAACCAATGCCTTTGGTGTAGTGTGAAGTAGGGGGAAGTCTCTTAAAAATAGTTAGGAATGTTTGAGGCCTGTATTTCTCAGAAAAAAAATAATGTTAAAATGTGTTCTGGTCTGAGACTAGGGAGTAAAGAATGAGAAAAAGTGTTTTAGGAACGTAAGTGGTGGGAGGAAGGGGCTACTATACATTAGGCTGACTTGGAAATACAGATTAGGCCGAACAACACACACACAAGCAAATGGGCACATAAACAGGCAAGCATGGGAGCCTGTTTGCTCCATGTGTATGTTATCCATGTGTATGGATAACATACACATGGCCAAACAAAGGCACATCTGGGGGCCCAGGAAGACTCCAGAACCTACATTTATATACCACATACACATAGCTATGACCACACTTTTTCTATGTGGAAGTATGTATTTTTTGAGATGGAGTTTTGCTCTTGTTGCCCAGGCTGGAGTGTAGTGGCGCGACCTCGGCTGACTGCAACCTCCACCTCCCGGGTTCAAGTGATTCTTTTGCCTCAGCCTCCCGAGTAGCTGGGATTACAGACGCCTGCCACTACACCCAGCTATTTTTTTGTATTTTTTGGTAGAAACGGGGTTTCACCACATTGACCAGACTGGTCTTGAACTCCTGACCTCAGGTGATCCGCCTGCCTCGGCCTCCCAGTGTGCTGGGATTACATGCGTGAGCCACTGCACCTGGCTCTATGCAATCATTTTATGGAGACCCTTCTTTTTTTTTTTTTTTTTTTTGGGACAGAGTCTTCCTCTGTCGCCCAGGCTGGAGTGCAGTGGCGCGATCTCCACTCACTGCAAGCTCCGCCTCCCGGGCTCACACCATTCTCCTGCCTCAGCCTCCTGAGTAGCTGGGACTACAGGCGCCCACCACCACACTCAGCTAATTTTTTATTTATTTTTTTTTTGTATTTTTTAGTAGAGACAGGGTTTCACCACATTAGCCAGGATGGTCTTGATCTCCTGACCTCGTGATCGGCCCTCCTCGGCCTCCCAAAGTGCTGGGATTACAGGCGAGCCACCACGCCTGGCCTTGCAAAGACCCTTCTTATAGCCAACCTTATATATCCTCCTGGCCAAAAATATTGGGAGGTAGCTATTATTATTACCCCAATTTTTACAGGAAACTGAGGCTTGGGTTAATCAACTGATTTACCTAAAGTTGCTGAACTAGTTATTGGAAAAACAGACTAAAACCAGGTGTTCTGTTTCCAAAATTTACTGCTTTCAAGGTGGCACTTTCTCTCTCTCTCTTTCCCTCATACATATACTAAAGAAAAAAAAATGTGCAGCTATCTTGCTATATATACATAAAGGCATATACGTATGAATAAAGCATATACACCACCAGTGGCCAGTAGGAGTTTTTGGGTTGTGCTCTCATGGAGGTCTTAGTAAGAGGAGAAGGGTCTGCTCAAAGCCCTGACCCATCCTGCTTTCTGTTCCTTGTCCAGTCACCTATGACTGTTTTTTCAGAGCGTTGTAGGTGGGAGCTTTTTATGCCAGGGTAATAGTTTTTATTGGCCCTGCTGAGATGAAGTCTTTTATCCCCATACCTCAACACTTAGGATGTGGGGAGTGGTGAAAAAATATATTATATTCCTTTTTTTTTGTCTGTCTCCCTCACTAGGTTGTGAGCCCTGTAAGGGTAGAAACTTTTGTTTTTTTCATGTCTGTATACACAGAGCCTAGTACAGTGCCTTTTGTGTAGTAAGCATACACACAAAAAATTGTTGAATGAATGAATAATAAAGTCAGATAGTTGAATGAATGAATAATAAAGTCAGATAATAAAGTCAGATAGGCTTGTTTCATTATAGGATGAATAATAAAGTCAGATAGGCTTGTTTCATTATAGGATGAATAATAAAGTCAGATAGGCTTGTTTCAAGACCCTACTTATAATGAGATCATGGCCAAGTGACCTTACTTCCTTGAGCCTCAGTTACCTTATCTGTCATATATGGATTGACACTCTGATTACCTAAGATGTTCTTGGTAGTGAATGACATAATGATTTGAAAATGGCTCTGTTTTTATTTGAGGGCTTCTTACATATTGATTTTATAGACCCTTAGGGCATAGAAATTTTCTCTTCAACCTCCCAGAGTATGGGGTCATGTAACCTTTGTCAACAAACTTTCAATTACGAGGACCTCAGTACTTTTTGAATGACTCTCTCCAGTTTTGGACAGCTGTGACTATACAAACCTTCTCCCTCGTGTCCCACTGTGGCTTTCTCCCACTTGATCCAGCTCTGCCTCTTGGCATTCAGAAGTCTGATTCAGAAGAAGACATAGACATCTCCCTGAATCTTCTAATAGGTCTAATAGATCAGAAACCTCTTTTCATGATAGCTTGTGGTTTTTTTGTTTTATTTTGTTTTGTTTTGTTTTTTGAGACAGAGTCTTGTTCTTGTCGCCCAGGCTGGAGTGCAGTGGCGTGACCTTGGCTCACTATAACCTCTGCTTCCCGGGTTCAAGTTGTTCTCCTGCCTTAGCCTCCCAAGTAGCTGGGACTACAGGTGCCTGCCATCATGCCTGGCTAATTTTTGTATTTTTAGTAGAGACAGGGTGTCACCATATTGTCCAGGCTGGTCTCGAACTCCTGACCTCAGGTGATTCACCCGCCTTGGCCTCCCAAAGTTCAGGGATTACAGGCATGAGCCACCATGCCTGGCTGATAGCTTGTGTTTTCAAAAGGCTGAATTATTGTATGGATATACCATAATGTATTTAATTAGTGCTCTGGTGATGGACATTTATGTTGTTTCCCTTGATTATTATAGTATTGCAGTGAATGTCTTTGTAAATGCCTCTTTGTACACAGTATAGTGTTTACCTAAGGCAGACTGGGAGCAGAGCTGAAAAGATCTATGCCTGTGTGTGTGTGTGTGTGTGTGTGTGTGTGTGTGTGTGTATTGTGTTTGTTGTTGTGAGTTGGGAGAGAGAAAGTGATGACATAGGAGAATCTGTTCCATTAGTCTTGTCTCCTAACAGGATAAGTTGAGGCAATGTGAAGGGGAATGTGTGCCCTTAGAGAAACTGAACATAATACAAGTTGATAGGCCTGCAAGGCTGGAAATGAGCAGATCCCTCTCTTCTCTGGCCTAGCTGAGCAACCTGTCATGAGCTCCAAGGTTATGCCTAGAAGTGTTCTGGACTCCTTCTGCATGGAACAAAAACTGTGATCCCTTTATGGGAGCAACTACAGCCCAGCCTGGAATGGAAAATTAAAATTAAAAAAAGCAGCTGCTGACAAGACAAAGCAGGATGTGGGAGGGAGGCCAAATGAGCACTGTGAACCTACTGCAGGCACTGCGGGGCTGAGGGAGACAGAGAGCACGAGGAGGGCAGGAAAGACCAAGGGAGGGCTTTGTGCAGGAGGTAGGGCCCGGGAAGCCCAGAGACAAGAGCAAGCACACGGTGCTGCTGCGTGCAGTGAGTAGCCCAGCTAGAGGGCACGGCCTGTGCTGAGGAGCCGTGGGAGGAAGAGAGGGCTGGGAAGGTAAGTGTGTGCATTGGTGTGTGTGTGAGGGTTCACCTGCCAATTCTGAGCACACATGAAGGCTATGTTTCTGAAGATCACCATGAAGATCACCAAATGACCATGTGGAGGCTGGCCTGGACAGGCAGCCTGGAGGCAGGGAGACGAGGGAGGAGCCTGTTCCAACAGTTGAGGCCAGAGTCGGGGAGGGCTGACCTGGGGCACTGGCAGTGGAGATGGGATGGAGTGAAGCTGTGAAGGACACACAGACAGACAGAGAGCAGAGCTTGGTGACTGATGGCAGGGGTCAGGCAGAGTTAAAGATGATGAAACTGTGCACACAAAAGACGACGCCAACAGCAAAACCACCAACAGATACAGAGCTGCTGGGAAGGGGAGCTCGAGGGGAGAGGAGGGTGAGCACCCCTCACAGAGCCTCTCATAGAGCCTGGCACCTAACAGGCACCCAGTCACAGATGGATGCGGATGGTTCACAGACGGGCCATGAGCTCAGCAGGCTGTTTTCTCTCTGGGCACATGCAGACTGGTCACATATGCAGGGTGACTGGTCAGTGGGGGCAGGGCTGGGGGGGCTGATGACTTCACTGGGAGATCCTGTCTATGGAGCCAATTTCATATTCCAAGAGGATAGTGACTTAAATTAAATTGATATTGGCTGGCTGGGGAAAGTGCTTGAAAAGCTTCCAGCTCTATCAGGTGAAAAACCAGAGAGAAACTTTGTCCTCTCATGGTGGTCCATTAGTGTGATTAATAATAAATATTCCCAGACACTTGATACTGGCAAAACGCCTTATCAGCCCTGCTTATGATTACTCACCTGCTATCTCGAACCATTAGTCTGACCACCAAGGTGCGGGGGTGATGCGAATCTTAAAATACACCCCCTTCCTCGAGTATGTCTGGTCATAGCTCAGGACTGAGAAAGTCACAGATTCAGGCTGATGGGATGAAGGTGGACTTTGGTCTGACACTACCTGGGCCCAGATCCCTGTGCCACCATCAACAAATCAACAAACATGTGACTTTTGGACAAGTCACATCACTTCTCAGATCCTCAATGTCCTCATTTCTACCAATGTAACTGTCATTTCTTGTGAGGGTTACATTGAGGTTAGATATTGAAATGGCCTCCCTAATGCTCAGCACATAGTAGGTGCCTTGTTTAATATTATCTTCTCTCCTTTTACCCAGATGCTAGCTTTTTTTCCTAAGAAGTAGCTACAAGACTGAGGATGGTTAAAAGCATGATTTTCCTACTACTGCAGTTTGTACTCTCAGCCACATTATGCTGTGAGAGGGTCTTTTTCCTTAGGGGAGACAACAGTATCTAAAGAATAAGCTAAAGAATAGTTTATTCTCTTTTTTGTGTAAGGGGCACAAGTAGTCAAGTGTTTGCACTACTGACCCAGGGGAAGAAAAAGAGAGAGAGAGAAGGCCTCAGAGTGTGGGGCCCCAAGCTGATATTTTTTCTCATCTGTCTCTGACACATTTCTCTTCTATGAATGAAGCTAGAACAGCAATCTCAGGGGCTTAGTTAATTCTTCCTGCAAGAAAAACCCAAGAGCAAATGTGCTGAGTGAAACAGAAGGACTTTCCAACAATGATGAAAATGAAAAGCAGCCCTCAGAAAGTTTTGAGTGATGGGGAACTTTCAATTGCTACCCTTCAGTGAATTGTTGGGGTCAGGGGGATTCTTTTTGCAAAGTATCCCTTGCTGTTCTCCAACCAGTTTGTCCCTGGTATTGCCTCCTCTGCACTGCACTGCATCCCCTGAAGGAGGAATGCCACTTGAAATGCAGAAGCTTCTTTATTGCCGTGAACTTAGATCTAGGATGGGAACAATATATTTGCAGATGATTAAAAGTCCAATTTCATTTCTCTCTTGAGCTTGGACATAGACTTTCATATAAATCAGCTTGATTTTTCTTTTGTTTTTTTCTTTTTCTTTTTCTTTTCTTTCTTTTTTTTTTGAGACGAAGTCTTGCTCTGTCACCCAGGCTGGAGTGCAATGGCGCAACCTTGGCTCACTGCAACCTCCACCTCCCGGGCTCAAGCGATTCTCCTGCCTCAGCCTCCGGAGTAGCTGGGATTACAGGCATGTGCCACCGTGCCTAGCTAATTTTTGTATTTTTAGTAGAGACAGGTTTCACCATGTTGTGCAGGCTGGTCTTGGACTCCTGACCTCAGGTGATCCACCCTCCTCAGCCTCCCAAAGTGCTGGGATTACAGGTGTGAGCCACCGTGCCTGGCTACCTTTTTTCTTTTTTCTTTTTTTTTGAGATGGAGTCTCATTCTGTTGCCCAGGCTGGAGTGCAGTGGTGCAATCTTGGCTTACTGCAACCTCTTTGCCTCCCAGGTTCAAGCAATCCTCCTGCCTCAGCCTCCCAAGTAGCTGGGACCACAGGTACGTACCACCATGTCCAGCTAATTTTTTGTATTTTTAGTAGAGATAGGGTTCACCATTTTGGCCAGGCTGGTCTCAAACTCCTGGCCTCAAGTGATCCACCAGCCTCGGCCTCCCAAAGTGTTGGGATTACAGGCATGTGCCATCACTCCCGGCATCACATAAATCAGCTTCATGCAGTTCTTGCTTGCTGTTCCCTTGACTTTGATGCCCAGACTTGCTGCAGCTCCAGAACATTCCCAGCCCCCAAGGAATCCTGAGCCTTTCAAACTGGACCCCAAGTCTGTCCCTAAAGCCCTGACCAAATATTCCTTTGCATCTCCTGCCCACTGACTCAGATGCCCCCGGCTTCCTTGGACTCCAGCTCCAGAATGTCCCTGTACCACCTCTGCTCATATTGGCCCTCATTAGCTGTACTGCTTGAAAAAGACTTGCCTGTCTCCCTTAGAACTTTCTGAATTTAGCTTGTCTAAAAACCCAAATCTCTTCATACCCCTTATGTTCCTCTCACAGAGTAACCAACCTATATGTGGATGTATGGCTCCTATTTCTATGTCTTCTCTCTAGAAACACTGACATAAACCTCATCAGATCTAAACCTACTCATGGGTATTACTGTGGCCCCAGGATGATTGATCTAACTCTCAGTTCAAATAGGATCACAGTAGGGGGTAAGGTGGGGGGACTATCAGAAGTTTGGGCAATATAGGCATGAAATGGTTTACAAGGAGGTAGGAAACAAAGCTGTTTCACTGCCGTCTTAAAGAACAAGATAGCACCTCGGCTGCCTCTGCTCTGCTCTGGAGACAGGGGCGTAACTGAGATGAGTCCCTGCTAGCCAAAGGGTTTCATGTCTAGCCCCTAAACAATGTCTAGCTATTGACCATAATCACCATAACAAGCTTCTGTTTGGTGAAGTGGGGAGGAAGGCACTACTTCTCTGGCTCTAGCCCTCAAAATTTATTGCTTTATTTATTTGACTCTTAGCCTGAACATTATTGGTGTATAGAAATGCTACTGATTTTTGTACATTGACTTTGTATTCTACAATTTTGCTGAAGCTATTTATCAGATCTAGGAGCCTTTGGGCAGAGATTATGTGGTTTTCTAGGTATAGAATCATATCATCTGCAAAGAGAGATAGTTTGACTTCTTCCTTTCCTATTTGGATACCTTTTATTTCTTTATCTTGCCTGATTGCTCTGGCCAGGACTTCCAGTATTATGTTGAATAGGAGTGGTGAGAATGGGCATCCTTGTCTTGTTCCAGTTCTTTTTTTTTTTTTTTTTGAGATGGAGTCTCGCTCTGTTGCCAGGCTGGAGTGCAGTGGCGCCGTCTCGGCTCACTGCAACCTCCACCTCCTGGGTTCAAGCAATTCTCCTGCCTCAGCCTACCAAGTAGCTGGGATTACAGGCATGTGCCACCACACCCGGCTAATTTTTGTATTTTTAGTAGAGATGAGGTTTCACCATGTTGGTCAGGCTGGTCTTGAACTCCTGACCTCGTGATCCGCCCACCTCGGCCTCCCAAAGTGCTGGGATTGTAGGCGTGGGCCACCGTGCCCAGCCAAGTCTTGTTCCAGTTCTTTAGGGGAAAGGCTTTCAGCTTTTCCCCATTCAGTATGACGTTGGCTGTGGGTTTATGATAGATGGCTCTTTTATTTGTTTGTTTTGTTTTGTTTTTTTGAGATGGAGTCTTCCTCTGTCACCCAGGCTGGAGTGCAGTGGTGTGATCTCAGCTCATTGCAACCTCTGCCTCCCAAGTTCAAGTGATTCTCCTGCCTTAGCCTTCCAAGTAGCTGGGATTACAGGTGTCTGCCATCATGCCTGGCTAATTTTTGTATTTTTAGTAGAGACAAGGTTTCACCATGTTGGCCAGGCTGGTCTCGAACTCCTGACCTCAAGTGATCCAACCGCCTCAGTCTCTCAAACTGCTGGGATTACAGGCATGAGCCACCTATAGATGGCTCTTGTTATTTTGTGGTATGTTCTTTTGATGCCTAGTTTGTTGAGGGTTTTTATCATAAAGGTTGTTGAATTGTATTGAAAACTTTTTCTGTATCTATTGAAATGATCATACGATTTTTGTTTTTAATTGTGTGTATGTGGCAAATCACATTTATTGATTTGTATACATTGAACCAGCCTCGCACTCCAGGAATGAAGCTGATTGATCATGGCATGTTAACTTTTTGACGTGCTGCTGGATTTGTTTGCTAGTATTTTGTTAAGGACTTTTGCATCTATGCTCATTAGGGATATTGGCCTGAAGTTTTCTTTTTTCATTTTGTCTCTGCCAGATTTTGGTATTAGGCTGATGCTGGCTTCACAGAATTAGTTAGCGAGGAGCCCCACCTCCTCAATTTCTTTTTAGAATAGTTTCAGTAGAACTGGTACCAGTTTTTCTCAAGAACACATCCCCATTTACCATAGCCACAAAGAGACTGGGCACTGTGGCTGACACCTGTAATCCCAGCACTTTGGAAAGTTGAGGTAGGCAGATCACCTGAGGTCAGGAGTTCCAGACCTGCCTGGCCAACATGGCCCTGTCTCTACTAAAAATACAAAAATTAGCCAGGCATGGTGGCGTATGCCTGTAGTCCCAGATACTCAGAGGTCAAGGCAGAAGAATTGCTTGAACTCAGTAGGCGGAGGTTGCAATGAGCTGAGATTGTGCCATTGCATTACAGCCTGTGTGATAGAGCAACACTCCATCTCAAAACAAAACCAAACAATAGCCACAAAGAAAATGAAATATCTAGGAGTACAGCAGCTAACCAAGGAGGTGAAAGATCTCTCCAAGGAGAAGTACAAAACACTGCTCAAAGAAATTGGAGATGACACAAATAAATGAAAAAATATCCCATGCTCATGGATTGGAAGAAGCAATATCATTAAAATAGCCATACTGCCCAAAGCAATTTACAGATTCAACGTTATTCCCATCAAACTACCAATGTCATTCTTTACAGAATTAGAAAAAACTGTTCTAAAATTCACATGGAACCAAAAAGGAGCCCAAATAGCCAAAACAATCTTAAGCAAAAAGAACAAAGCTTGAGGCATCACACTACACAACATCAAACTATACTATAAAGCTATCAAGACCAAAACAGCATGGTACTGGTACAAAAACAGACACATAGACCAATGGAACAGAATATATAGAAAACTCAGAAATCAGGCCTCATACTTATAACCATCTGATCTTTGACGAGGTCGACAAAAACAAACAATAGGAAAGAACTCCCTATGTAATAAAAGGTGCTGAGATACTTGGCTAGCCATATGCAGAAGAATGAAACTAGACCCTTACCTTTCACCATTTACAGAAATTAACTCAATATGGATTAAGTATTTAAATTTAAGATCTCAAACTATAAAAATCACAGAATAAAACCTAGGAAACACACTTCTTGACATAGGCCTTGGTGAAAAATTTTTGTCTACGTCTCAAAAAGAATTACAACAAAAGCAAAAATTGGCAAGTGAGACCTAATTAAACTAAAGAGTTTCTGCACAGCAAAAGAAACTATCAACAGAGTAAACAGACAACCTACAGAATGAGGAAGACATTTGTAAACTATTCAACTGACAAGGGCTTAACATCTAGAATCTATAGGGCACTTAAACAAATCAATAATCTAAAAATAAATAACCCTATTAAAAAATGAGCAAAGGGCCAGGCGTGGCGGCTCACGCCTGTAATCCCAGCACTTTGGGAGGCTGAGGCAGGTGGATCACCTGAGGCCAGGAGTTCGAGACCAGCCTGAACAACATGCTGAAACCCTGTCTCTACTAAAAATACAAAAATTAGCAAGGCGTGGTGGCATGCACCTGTAATTCCAGCTACTCGGGAGGCTGAGGCAGGAAAATCACTTGAACCCAGGAGGTGGAGGTTGCAGTGAGCCACGATCACGCCATTGCACTCCAGTCTGGGCAACAAGAGTGAAACTTTGTCTCAAAAAAAAAAAAAATGAGCAAAGGACGTGAACAGACACTTCTCAGAAAAAGACATACAAGTGGCCAACAAATATATGAAAAAAAAATGCCTATCATCACTCACCATCGGAGAAATGCAAATCTAACCCACAATCTAACAGATGTAAGGTGGTAACCTTACATCAGTCAGAATGACTAGTATTAAAATGTCAAAAAAAACAACAAATGCTGGCGAGGCTGTGGAGAAAAGGGAATGCTTATACACTGTTAGTGGGAATGTGAATTACTTCAGCAACTGGGCAAAGCAGTTTGAAGATTTGTCAAAGAACTTAAAACAGAGCTACATTTGTTCCAGCATTCTTATTACTAGGTATATACCTAAAGGAAAATAGATCATTATACCAAAAAGACACATGGACTTGCATGTTCATAGCAGCATTATTCACAGTAACGAAGACATGAAATCAATGTAGGTGCCCATGATCAATGGTTGACTGGATAAAGAAAATGGTTGACTGGATAAAGAAATGGTCAACTAAGGCCAGGAGCGGTGACTCATGCCTATAATCCCAGCACTTTGGGAGGCCGAGGTGGGCTGATCACAAGGTCAGGAGATCGAGACCATCCTGGCTAGCATGGTGAAACCCCGTCTCTACTAAAAATACAAAAAAAATTAGCCGGGCATGGTGGCGGGTGCCTATAGTCCCAGCTACTTGGGAGGCTGAGGCAAGAGAATGGCATGAACCCGGGAGGCGGAGCTTGAAGTGAGCCGAGATCACGCCACTGCACTCCAGCCTGGGTGACAGAGTGAGACTCCATCTCAAAAAAAAAAAAAAAAGAAAGAAATAGTCGACTGGATAAAGAAAATGTGGTACATATACACCGTGGAATACTATGCAGCCATAGAAAAGAATAAAATTATGTCCTTAGTAGCAACATGGATGGAACAGGAGGCCATAATCCTAAGTGAATTAGTGAAGGAACAGAAAGCCAAATACCGCATGTTCTCACTTATAAGTGGGAGCTTAACATTGAGCACCTACAGACATAAACATGGGCACAACAGACACTGAAAACTACTAGAGGTGGGAGGGAAGAGGACATGGGTTGAAAAGCTTCCTAATGAGTACTATGCTCACTACCTGAGTGCAATATATCTATGTAACAAACATGCACATGTACCCCCTGTATCTAAAATAAAACATGAGAAAATAATATTTAAAAAATTTCTTGCTTGTACTATTGCCAGAGCTTCTTAACTGAGCTCTTTGTCTTCTGTACATTAGCTATCTGGCCTTGGGTAAGTCTTTTCCTCTTTCTGATCCCCAGTTCTCCTGACCTGGAGTGAGACTGGACTAACTAGTCTCTGATAGTTTATGCTCTCTCTCTATTTCCCATCCTCTCCTCCCCAGAGGTCCAACCTCATCTTTCTCCCTCAGCCCCTTTCCCCCTATTTCTTAGCTCCCCGAGCCTCTGACACCCCCTGCCCCTGCTTGGACTTCTATGCCCCCTTTCTTTTTTTTTTTTTTTAAGACAGTGTTTTGCTCTGTCACCCTGGCTGGAGTGCAGTGGTATGATCTTTGCTCACTGCAGCCTCTGCCTTCTGGGTTCAAGTAATTCTCCTGCCTCAGCCTCTCGAGTAGCTGGGATTACAGGCACATGCCACCACACCCAGCTAATTTTTGTATTTTTAGTAGAGATGGGGTTTTCCCATGTTGGCCAGGCTGGTCTTGAACTCCTGACCTCGAGTGATCTGCCTGCCTCAGCCTCCCAAAGTGCTGGGATTACAGGTGTGAGCCACCACACCTGGTCCTTGTTTCCCTTTTAGTAGTGTCTTCAGCTACTTGACACTCTCTACCCAACTCTCCCCTGTGTATGTGTGTTGTGGGGAGTGGTTGGCATGGGAGGTGGGGAATGACACAAGGGAGTTTCCACTTTCCAGAAAGTTGGAGTCGCCAAGTAAATTCTTTGTCTTTAGGCATTTAGCTTCATGCCAGGTCCCTGTAGGTTCTAGGTGAACATGAGTGAAGAAATCAGTTGAGTTCCTTGAACATCTGGTGGAAAAGGGCCAATGGCAGTATTAAGGCGTGTGATGAGCTGTCATTGCTACTCCTGCTGCTGAGGCTTTCTGGTGAGTGCTGCTCTTCCTTGGGGACAACTGCTCATGGAGACTGTTTGGGCTTTCCGATGAGTGCTGCTCTTTGAACAAATGCTTAGCTCAAGGAAATGATCTTGGCAGGGAACTTTGTTTACCCTAGCACACATCAATGAATCTTGTTAGCAGTGAGAGAAACCGAGGCACACTGAATCGTGGACACTGTTGGTCTGGGAAGGCAAAGGAAGAGGATGGAATCAGACTACTGGTTCCTGAGTGCAAATGCAAGACCAGCCCATATGCAATCCTGTTAGGCTCATCTATTGTCCTAGGGAGTATACTTCCTTTCTCATCCCTTTATAATGTCAGAGTGGGAAAGGACCTTGGAAGCCCCGGAGTCCAGTCCTTTCTTGCTACAGAAATGGAAACTCAAGCCCAGAGAGGGGGAGGGAATTACCCAAGGCCACATAGTGGTCATAGGATGAGTTAATGGCAGAGCTATACGTAGAAGCCAGGTGTCCTGACCTCTCAAGTATCCTTTCCATTGTCTCAAACTGGCTTACCATCTGTGGTGCCTTACCTCACAAAGGATACTCAGACCATGCCTTCACATGGTTGCCAGTGGAGAGGAGGAAAAAAGGACTATGGCCAGCCACTTTCAAACTAAAACTCGGACTTATTTTATTTTACTTTTTTTGGAGACGGAGTCTTGTGCTATTGCCCAGGCTGGAGTGCAGTGGCCCAATCTGGGCTCAGTGCAGCCTCCGCCTCCCGGAAGCGATTCTCCTGCCTCATCCTCCCGAGTGCCTGGAACTACGTGCCATCACACCCGGCTAATTTTTTTGTTTTTTTTTTTCGCATTTTTAATAGAGATGAGGTTTCGCCATGTTGAGCAGGCTGGTCTCAAACTCTTGACCTCAAGTGATCTGCAGGTCTTGGCCTCCCAAAGTGGTAGGATTACAGGTGTAAGCCACTGCACATGGTCTCACTTACTATTATTATTATTATTTTTGAGACAGAGTTTCACTCTGTTGCCCTGGCTGGAGTGCACTGGCTCAGTCTTGACTCACTGTAACCTCCGCCTCCCGGGTTCAAGCGATTCTCCCTCCTCAGCCTCCCGAGTAGCTCGGATTACAGGCACGTGCCCGGCTAATTTTTGTAATTTTAGTAGAGACGGGGTTTCACCATGTTGGCCAGGCTGGTCTTGAACTCCTGACCTCAGGTGATCAGCCCGCCTCAGCCTCCCAAAGTGCTGGGATTACAGGAGTGAGCCACTATGCCCGGCTCTCACTTATTTTTTTTGTATAGATATGGGAGGGGGTCTTGATATGCTCCCCAGGCTGGTCTCGAATTCCTGGGCTCAAGCAATCCTCCTGCATCAGCCTCTCAAAGTGTTAAGATTACAGTCATGAGCCACCGCACTCAGCCTAAAACTCAGACTTGACCAGACGACTTCAACAGTCTAGAACACTGCCATCCTGGGATTCTGTGACCTTGACAAGAAGGAGAAAGGGAGCTGGCAGACAAACCCCAAGGGTGTGGACTAGGGAGGTCACATCTAACCTGAGGGAATTATAGCCAGCCCCATCAGGACATCAGAAAGTGAATGTACTGGGAGAGGGGCTAAAGGATCAGGTCACTGATTTGAGGAAGGTGAAGACTGGGATTTAGATGAAGGAAAGATAAATGAGGACTGAGCAAGGATGGGTAGGAAATATGATGGGGAGAGTCCTACGGAAGAGAATGGATGAAGTGTTTTAAGAGGTGAGGCAGTTTAGCCAAAAGAAGAGAAGTTTCCTGTGGACCTGAGATCTTCAGGCCTTTGAGGAGCTGTTAGGGACAACAGGGGATCTGTGTGGCCTCAGGGAGCAGAACTGAGATCCATGGATGGAAGCCATAGAGAAAAGGAGTTCAGACACGGCAAGAACTTTCTAAGAGCCAGAGCTGTCTAGAGAAGGAAAAGATAGGTAGTGAGCTCCCCATCAGTGGAAAGTTGCAGTCAGGGGCTGAGTAAGCATCTGTCAGGGCCCAGGGTCTGGGCCCTGAGTGGGGGTGGGGCTGGAAGGCCAGGACGTGGAAGGCTAGGGGCTGTGACCAGGGTGGGAGAGGAGCCGGGTGGGTCTGGGTGGGGAGTGGTAGCTACCCTAGGTCCGCCCGGGCCCAGCCGGGCCCCCCACGTGGCCGCTGTGGCCTGGCTGCGCCGGGCCTGGCCAGGCGGGGCTGGGCGGGGCAAGGCCAGCGGTCGGCGGGGAGGCGGGCGCGAGGGCGGGGAGCGGCGCGGAAGCCGGGCCACATAAAGGAGCGGGCGGCGCGACAGGGGCGGCTCTTTCCTGGGTGGGGTTTGTGAAGTCGTGGCCCGTTAGCAGGAAGCCTAACAGTCGCCCCGACGCTAGTGAGGGACCCAATCTGAGTCCCCGGCCAGCCGAATCCAAGCCGTGTGTACTGCGTGCTCAGCACTGCCCGACAGTCCTAGCTAAACTTCGCCAACTCCGCTGCCTTTGCCGCCACCATGCCCAAAACGGTGAGTGCCGGAGGTGGGCGCTGTCGACCCCAATGGCTCTGGCTGAGCCTCATAGCCCTTTGCTGATGGCTGAGGGCTTGGCCAGCCACCGGCCCGCCTGGGACGCCGCGCCCTCCGCCATAGCCAAGGGTAGGGAGGGGACCGGAGTGGGATCCTGGTCTGGTGCGCCCTCAGGGGTTGAGGGGGTGTCCAGGCTGGAAGTTTGGACGGGGCGAGGCCTGCCTCTTTCTCAGGTTCCAGTTCCCTGTGTCTGAGATGCAACAGTCAGGACGGCTTCGTTGGGGCCTGGGGTTTCCCCTTTTCCCTGATGGGCCATGGGCACAGAGGAGAGGATTCTGGTCCAGAAGACAACACTTTCCCCAACCCAGGAATTGGCACCTTTCTGGGGCAAGGCTGCCAATGTCCAAGAGGGGACATGGGAACAGAGAAGCAGGGAGAAAGGAGGGAGCCGCTCGGGGCGGATCCGGCACCCCCACTCATCTTTCCCACAGCCTCACCGGGTGGCTCCAGCTGTTTTCCACTAGGAGGTGAGGAGAGAGATGTGAGGAAATCGTCATCGAGGCTGCACCCGAGAGCACCAACACTTATTTAGGCACCAGTCTGAGGAGAGGCCTACCCCATCTCCTGGGAGAGAGGACCGGTTTCTCCCTCCTCTCCACCTCCAAATCCCTGCCCCTCCTATTGCTTAATGCCTCTCTATCTCCTCCTATCCCCTCCGGACTATTTTGTGTGGTGTGGGTTTTCTCGTGGGGCCACACCTTTCTAGAGTGGTGGTTGATTTGGGGATGCGTCTCCACCCCACTGGCTGTTACGAGAGGAACAGAAGCCTCCTGGGAGTGGGGATAGGGGGGCCGGATGCCCAGGAGGGAGAGGGGAGGAGGGGTGTGCCTGACTAATGAGCTCTGCTTGCTTTTGTGCAAGTCATGCCAAATGGCTGCTGAGGCCCTTCCCTTGCTCAGAAAGGCCTGGTGACCACCCTGGCTTGAGTCCCTTAGGCCAAACAGCTTGTTGAGCTGGCCTAGGCAATGCAGTGCTCCCAAACATGTCTCCCCAGGACTGCTTGAGCCTTGTAGAGGTGAGATAGTGACTAGTAGCCTTGAAAAGGGCTGAAGGTCCCCTGGGATGAGAGGAGGAGAGTTGGGGGCCCAGCCTTTTGGGTTTGTGATGAGCTTTGGTTGCCACGTTACTGTATACCAGCCTCACTGCCAAGTCGTTCTTGCCTTTCCAGAACCTTGTCCTTCAGAAACACCAAGTTTTCAAAAAGTATGTGCTTTCACTGTCTATCTCCTTTAAATTGCTTGTGGTTTTAGGACATGAGGCTTTTACACACTTTGTTCCCTAGTCCCCGCCCCCAAAGAGAGAGAGTAATGGTTTTGGAGAGAGGGGAAAATATCCCATTGTCTGCCAAAACAAGATTATAAAGATCCTGTCAGGAGCGGCTCTTTGGGTCTCTCTCTGTGGTTGACTCCTGACTCCTCTTAAGGTGCGGCTTTGCCTGAACAGTTGGGTGGATCTCTGGGAATAGACATTGCTCCACGGTCTTTCTTCTGTAGTGGCATATCTCATCCTCAGTTCTGAGATAGCCCACTTTGAAACACAGCTTCATGGGCCTGGAAGTTGCTTCAAACTTGCATTAACCGTCTCATCTGAGTCAAAGTGGCAAAGAAGACAAGACAGCGTGTTTATTGTTTTCCTGGGAATGGAGAGAGAATGGAGTATAAGCTGTTTGTAGTCAGGCCTGGAGTAATGAGGGTACCTAAATACTGAAGGCATTTTTATGCAGATTGACTGAAACCTGAATCAAATTGGAAGGAGAGGGCTGAATTTTGATAGACTGGAAGTATTAGAGAATTTTCTATACTTTGACTCAAGGAATGGTCAACTTTTAGGAAAAGCAACTATATTATGTCTGTTAAGATCATAGAATCTTAACCTGAAAGGGACCTTGGAGACTATTTAGTACAACTCTCTTAAAAAAAAAAACTAAAACTAAAACAAAAATCTAATGAGGCTATTGAGACCTACAGGGAAAGACCTACCTAAGGGCACATGGTGACTGAGCCAAGATTGGGGTCCAGGCTTTCTGATGCTCATCTCATTGACCCTTTATTCTGACCCAATGATTGAGTTCTTGACATTTGAGTTCCCTTTCTTGCTCCAAACAAATTGCCCACTGTTCTCAGACCTTTATGGTCCTCAGATAAAAGGAAATGAGTAATTTGAGCAAAGTGGCCAAGGTTGACATTTGTGTGGTCTCCTGGTAAGGTTCGGTAGTGTCACCAGGTGCCTTCTGTTACTTTTCTTATTCCTCATACCAAGGCCAAGGTGTTCAGGGGCACACCCTAGTTCACTGAATACCAACCAGTAATTTTAATTAAAAGGGGAAAAAATTTCCCTTTCTCTGCTCCATTTTCATTTATGTGCTTTAGGCTATTTCTAGCGTGTGACAGATGGAGAAAGGTAGTGGAAAATCAAACTCGTTCATTCATATTGCAGCATGTCTACAACCTATCTAGGGTCGGTTTCACTTTTATAGCTAATTGTCCCTCCTAGTCAGCCCAACCTCCCCTACATTTGTTAAAACACGCCAGCCGGGCGTGGTGGCTCCAGCCAGTAATCCCAGCACTTTGGGAGGCCGAGGCAGGCAGATCATGAAGTCAGGAGTTCGAGACCAGCCTGACCAACATGGTGAAACCCTGTCTCTACTAAAATTACAAAAATTAGCTGGGCGTGGTGGTGTGCGCCTGTAATCCCAGCTACTCGGGAAGCTGAGGCAGGAGAATCGCTTGAACCTGGGAGGCGGAGGTTGCAGTGAGCCGAGATCACGCCACTGCACTCCAGCCTGGGTGACAGAGTGAGACTCCATCTCAAAAACAAAAAAAGCAAAAAAACAAAAAAACATGCCTCACTACCCACCGCCACCCTTGCCTTCTTGCCATTCCTTGGACTCTGCTTCTGGTTGCCAGTTTCCTGAGTCTGCTTTAGTAGCCAGAATGGAAAAGCTTATTAATTGCCATCTACATTTTTTGGTGATGATGACAGTTATATATATATATATATATATATATATATATATATATATATATATATATATATATATATTTAAAAAGGCCTTTCCCCCTCCCTACCTTCTTTAATTTTTTTCTTTTAGGATCACAAAGGCTTTGAGGCTTTCTTGGATTTCCTAAAAAAAGAGTGTTTTGAATTTTCGAGATGTTCTTGAGTTTCTGGTTTCCTTCCTTGGGATTTATTAGATGTTAGTATTGAAAAGGCTCTCCACAACTATAAAGTCCAATTCCTCTCATTGTATAGATGATGAAACTGAAACTCATGTTAGGGGGAGACTAACCTAGAGTGATGCAGTATGCCAGTTGCAAAACTAGGACTTGAATCTAGGTCTTAGTTAGAGGGTCAGTCTTGGTGAAACACCTCTTTGATCTGCTGGGGTTTTAGCCATAGATCAACAGATCAGGGGAAAGGCAATCGAGTGGTCATTTGATGGGACCATCAATGTGAGCAGACATAGAGCCTAGATCCTTGAAGTATTTGAAGGTGTTTGGGTCGGCATTCAGCTAAACTTTAACAGGGACTATGTGGACTGTTTATTCTCCTGCCATTCCTAGCATTACTTGAGCCACTCGAGTGGCACTAAAGTGGTACTTGGTAAATAGGAGCCAGATTCTTAGTCTTTTAACCCTTGAACCAGCCCTGCCTACAGACTTAAGTGGGGGGAAAAGGATCAGGAAGAGAGGTCATATGAGAGAGGATCCTGCATCTCTCCACTTGGGTTCTTCAGTTCACTTGGCCCTTTGTGAAAGTGTAGATGATAGAGACAGAGCAGGAACCATCTTGGGAATTTCCTTTACGCTTTTCTTTTAACAGCCCTCTGGGTAGGGAGGGGGCTGGTGGGGCAGGAAGGCCTTTGTGGGACCCACACCAACTAATCTATGCTCTCTCGTGTTAGGCTTGGAGAGGGAAAGGTTGCTCTGTGAGTCAGTGATAGAAGTAGTATTGATCACTAATCTTCTAACTTTCCATTCTCTAGCTGCCTGCAACAGTAGCTTGTTTTAGGGTGTTGTTCTTACTTTTCTCTTACCTCCTCCTCCCATGAAACTACTTTACCGAATGATGGAGCTGGAAAGGACATTTGGAAGTCATCTAGTCTATTTCCCCTGCCTCCAAATCTAATTCTCTCTGGATGAGATAATATGACAGCTACAATTATTCTGAACTCTGTTCTAGTGTTGCATGGCAACAGCCTGTCTTAGGTCCCTTTGTATCTTTCTGGGAGTTTCCCCCACTGGAATTTCTAGACTCAGGGTCCCCAGAGGGGAGAATATCTGGCTACCAACACTACCAGAGTTAGGCCTTTCATAACCATAGCTGCTGGAAATTTGGCATTGTTACAGATTGCTAATAGTCTGTCTCTAATCTTTCAAAGATAGAATTGAATTTATCATGTGCCTCTTTCCTAACTCAGAATCTTCTTTCCCTGCCACCTGCTCTATTACTTTGCTTGCAAAAAGGAAAAAACAGGGTACAGATGTGGTCTCCTTTGGGATAGTCTGTTGGTTCAAGTGAAGGGGGTGGTCTTTTCATGACTGACTGGCTTTGCTGTCCATCCCTCCTTCCATTTCATGCTTGAGAGAGCTGAAAAACTTTTCAATTCCAGGTTCTAATCTGTGGTATAGAAGTTGTCACTTTGGAGGATTAGCTCAGGATTCCATGAATTTGGAAGGTGGGTGCTGGGAAATGGAAAGCATCACTGAACTGAGAATTTTTCTTCTCTTTCCATATAAGAAGAACTTCTCTCCTGTCCTCAGTAAAGTGAGCCAAATGAAGTGGGACTTTAGGCAAGTCCTTTCTTCAGGCCCTCTGTCTCTCCAGCTTGTCATGAGGGAGCTGTACCAGTGATGGGTAAACTCTAGGAATCCCTCCAGTACTGATGTTTTTGAGAATCTTGATGGTATAAGAGCATTGAGTCTCTTATATGTATGTTCATTCCTTCAGACATTCTTTCTTCAACATTTGGGTACCTTCTATGTGCCAGGCAGTATTGGAAATACAAAATTGAACAGCGCTTATTAAAATGTATCCTCTTGTCCCATTATACTCCTTGAGTGCTGTTTCTTCTTAAGTGCTGAGTTCAGAATGGACTGTTTCTCACATGGGAGTTGGTTTGTTTCATTAGTAGATCCAAGAAGAATACTGGCTTGAGTACTCTTGGCCATTTCTTCCCGAGTCATGGGAGAGAAAGGGCTGTGTCTTTCCTTACTGTGGAAAGAAATAAACCAAGTGAGAGTATATTATGAAGACTGTGGGTTGACTGAAAAGCTTTGGACAAACACTAAAAGCCTCATAGATTTTCCTGCCATTCTTCCCACATTTTTCAGTGACCGCCTGCCTGATAGTAGAATAGTCCTTTTTATTTCTGCTGAAAGGAAGGCCCGGAAGCTACTAGATTATGTTTCAGATTTTCTTCTAACATGGTGAGTGTGGTAGTTAGATATATTGGTAGATATTGAGGCCTTCCTAAGGGCTCCTAAACAAACCTCATAAAGTATCTACCACCAGTGAGCTGAGGACTGGCTATTGTGGGGTACAGCTTTTTTTTTTTTTTTGATACGGAGTTTTGCTGTTGTTCAGGCTGGAGTGCAATGGCACGATCTCAGCTCACTGCAACCTCCACCTCCCGGGTTCAAGCGATTCTCCTGCCTCAGGCTCCCGAGTAGCTGGGATTACAGGCATGCGCCACCATGCCCAGCTAATTTTGTATGGGGTACAGCATTTTAAAGGCATTTGCATCTAGGGCAACCCAGAGCTTCCCTAGCCTTAAGCTTTCCTTTAGCTGGTTGTTCTGGATGGGCAGGGTTTCTCACAGGAGTGTTTTGAACCATGGAACAACTGAGCTGGCCTTAAATCTTCTGCCTCAGCCTTTATCTTCTTGATGGGGGCACTAAAGTCCAGAAAAGGGAAAGGATTTGAGTGAACTGGTGATAGTGCCAGGACTAAAACCTAACTTGCTTGGCTCCAGTGTAGGGGAGGGATGGTGAATGCCTACCTTCTAAATGGCACTCACTGTGAGGTGCTCAGTGTCTTCTCCCTCTGTGCTGGTGGTGACATGACCGTGGAGTTATGGCCATGGGAAGAGCAAGTTCCTCTGAGTGTGTAGAGCTGATCTCATGGGTTTCTTTATTTGGAAATGGCTCAGGCTCTGACCTTGTCTCAGGAACTCTTTGTAGCACTTCCCAGGAAGGTAAGTGTTTTGCTTTGGCTTGTGACGGGTGGTGGAAGGCATATGTGTAGGCTGAAGGGAGGTAGAGAGAGGACACTAGTCACATTTTCCTGCTTGAGACTAGGCCTTGCTGTCCTAAGAAACTTTAGAGAGTAATTTCTTCATCGTATTCATAGCCAGAGGGGTTAGGCAGCTTGTTCGAGGTCACATATAGTTGGTAACAGTATTGAAAGGAGAACTTGGATTTCCTAATTCCCAAGTTAGTGGTCTCCCACTGGACTTGGCTGTCTTAGAAGGATGACTCCACCCAGAGAGCACAGACTTCCAGAGAACTGGCTCTGTGGTGATTACATTAACAAGATGGGTACAATGGAGTTCCCCTAAAATGGTTTTGCTATAGCAAGTTTTTCTGGGATCTCCGATGACTGTCTTCTCTTCCTGTCTACCCCTCACCCCAGTTCCCTGCTTTCTCTTTGCCCTGTTTAATTTTGAGCTCTGACCTTTTTGAATTCTGAATTCTGACTCAGCGCTCCAGCTTGATCTGTCCCTTGAGTTAGGAGAACAGTATGGCACTTTTTCAATTTAGTGACAGTATTTGCTGCTGTAGCAAATTGTTTGAATGCAGACTAGAATCTCCTGGCCTCAAAGTTCACCACTCACCTCTAGGTGCTTATAGGCCAAGCCTGGGGCAGGAAGCTAAAAAAAGACCTTTCAAGCCTCCGTGGAAAGGAAGCATAGAGTAGTGTTGAAAAACAGACTCTGGAACTAGACTGCCTGGACTCAAATCTAGCTCTGCGACCAACTAGTTATATAGCCTTGGACAAGTTATTTAACTTCTGCACCTCATTTTCCTTAACCATAAATAATAATAGTACTTACAGAGTTGCTGTGAGGATTACATGAGGTAATTTATGTAAAGGGCTTAGAACTGTGCCTAGAATCTAACAAGTGATATACAAATGTTATGATTATTTACTGAATTTTACTATATGCCTAACTTTGTGCTAGATGGGATGGATAAGAAAGAAGACAGGTAGTTGAATTCTTACCATTTAATGAGTGGTTACTATGTACTATTTACCATAAGGGATAGAAATAAATGAAGGGATGATACAACTGCTGCCTTCAAAGATCTCCTATCTCCTATTTAATTGGGGATTTAGGGCTAATTCACTTAAAAACGGCTTGAGAAAAATATATACTTTGCATTGCATTTTCTACAACTTTTTGAGGAGAAAGGGTTTACTGGGACATGAACAGGGCCTTAAAGGGTGTGTACACTTGGGAGCAGTGGCCGTTCTGGGTGGGAAAGTGATGTGTTTTTGGTATGTGGGTGTAAACCAATGGCCCTAGACCAATGCTCTCTTGAAAGTTACTTTATCTGAAGTGAAGGGAGGCTTGAGCTGCTGACTGATTCAAGGGGAGCCACAGATATAAGCATAGATGAAGCTACTCTTTCTAGGGTAATTTGGATCCAACAATCCTTTCTTAATTGGCAAACAAGGGCCTGTGGGGGAGACCATACCTTTGGTTTTCCAGAATTGGGCAAATTAATTTTTTTTTTTTTGAGATGGAGTCTAGCTCTGTTGCCCAGGCTGGAGTGCAATGGTGCAATCTTGGCTCACTGCAACCTCCGCCTCCTGGGTTCAAGCGATTCTCGTTCCTCAGCCTCCCAAATAGCTGGGATTACAGGCATGCGCCACCACGCCCAGCCAATTTTTGTATTTTTAGTAGAGATGGGGTTTCACCATGTTGGCCAGGCTGGTCTTGAACTTCTGACCTCAGGTGATCCACCCGCCTCAGCCTCCCAAAGTGGTGGGATTACAGGTGTGAGCCACCACGCCCAGCCTGGGCAAATTAATTTTTAAAAATGTTGCTTTTGTTGCCTAAGTAGGTATGTGAGAGGGTCTTTTCTTCATGCTTACACATGAACTAAACCAAAGAATAGAGCTTGGCAATAACTTTATGTCAGCAGCCTAGAAACAGCTTTTAATTCTCTCATTGACTTTGCTATAAAATCAGGTATTTGGGAAAGGGTGGAGATGGCAGGGAGGATTTCTCAGTGTGTGGTTGTTAGAGGTGGAGGAGTATGACGTTTTCTGGCCAGGGCACAGCTGCAGCATCTGGGTCTTGAATTTGGAGAAAAGGCCTTTTGGGCGACTTTCAAAGCACAGCCCTTTGTCTGTGCCTAATGACACAGATACCAGATCTGATGCTCCTTTCAATCGGCTTGTTGTGGCATAAGGTAAGTGTTGACATAGCTCTTAGGCCACTAATATGGCAAATGGCTCTGTGCTTGCTTAGTAGAACTGTTTTGCCAGTTATCTTCTGTGATTGGTGACTTCGAATATTGAAGTTTCTTCCCATTCCTGGCAACCCTTCTACCTTGTGGGAATTTGATAGATACTTTGTGCATCCAGGGTAGTGATCAGGGCCTAATGAGAGAAGAGTTGAGATATGACAATTTGGTTGTACAAAACAAGATATAATCCTGAAAATTTTTTTCCTGGGTATATATTTGGGAAGTGACTGGGGCCAAGGCCTAGGAGGGGGAACAAGGCATACCTGTCAGGCTTGATCAGTATTTCTTTCCCTCTCTTTAGCCTTGGCCTCCATTAAATACCTGAGAAGGATCAAGTCTTATTTTTCTCAAGTTGTGTGTTTAGATAAGGTTCCTGATCTTACTTTCGTGATCTAATCTGCCTTCCCTCCAACCCATGATCCATTTCCTTTTTTTTCTTTTCTTTTTTTTTTGAGACGGAGTCTTGCTCTGTTGCCCAGGCTGGAGTGCAGTGGCATGACTTTGGCTCACTGCAACCTCCATCTCCTGGGTTCAAGAGATTCTCCTGCCTCAGCCACCCAAGTAGCTGGGACTACAGGTGTGCGCCGCCACGCCCGGCTAATTTTTATATTTTTTTTAGTAGAGATGAGGTTTCACCATGTTGGCCAGGCTGGTCTTGAACTCCTGACCTCGGGTGATCTGCCTGCTTCAGCCTCCCAAAGTGCTGGGATTACAAGCGTGAGGCACTGCGCCTGGCTGATCCATTTATTTTTTCAGATTCTCAGCCTGGATGTTTGATGAAGCTCACCAAGAGCCTCTTTTATCTGTTGTAATTTTTAACTGAGGTTGACTAATCTATGGTATAGAGTTGGAGGGTGAGGGTCAAGGTAACAGTCAATCTGGGCATCATTAGTTAAGTCGTACAAATCTTTGCTATTTTCAAGGGTTTTAAGTGAGCTAAACTCCTCTCCAAACATCCTTGTAGATACTTGTGGGAGACTGACTAATTCCTTTACAAAGAAGAAAAGTCACATAACTTCTTTGCCTTTTAATTTTCTTTTTCTCCAACATGAAAATATCAGCAATATTAGAAAGAGGCACATGGAGTTTGCGTGTGGTGGCTCATGCCTGTAATCCCAGCACTTTGAGAGGCTGAGGCAGGTGGATCATTTGAGGTCAGGAATTTGAGACCAGCCTGGCCAATATGGTGAAACCTTGTCTCTACTAAAAATAGAAAAAATAGCCGGGCGTGTTGGCGGGAGCCTGTAATCCCAGCTACTTGGGAGGCTGAGGCAGGAGAATCACTTGAACCTGGGAGGTGGAGGTTACAGTGAGCTGAGATCACGCCATTGCACTCCAGCCTGGGTGACAAAGCAAGACTCTGTCTAAAAAAAAAGAAAAAAAAAAAGAAATATGTAAATGGAAAAGAACAAACCCCCCTCCCAGGTTCCTTATTCCCCTTGGTGCCTGGGCCATTGTAGATCTAGCATATGCTTGGTGGGGACATCTGCCATTTGCTTTAGGGTTACACTACATCTTTCTACTTTGAGTGCTTGAAGAGTTGCTCCAGCAGGGCCTGATGTGGGCCTGGTGAAAATCTAGCCTAGTTGCCTTTCTGTCTGCCATAGCCTGGGCATTTTCCTAAGGTTGGGAGTTTTTTTCCTTCTGGTCTTAGGCCAGTTGCCAGAGGAAACCGATGACTAAAGGCTTCCTCCCTGCAACGTCAACTTCTGGAACCTTTCCTGATGATTCCTACCAGTCAAGTCTGCCTTATTTGGCTATTTTCTCCCCCCTCAAGTTACTCCCTCTCCTTGCCACCCCACCTCAACTAGTCCTCTGTTCTCCTTTAGTACAGGGAATGCCTTCTTCAAGTTTATACAATACCACCTGCAAACTTCTTTTCTTCTTGTTTAGAGTCCTAATATGGGGGAGGAGTGGGGAAGGAGAGAGGAAGATGGGAGAGCTCTGGAATGACTGTGATTTCTCCACCCTGCTTTCTTATCTCCCTTTATCCTCTTGGCACTGCCTGGTCACTCCTCTACAGCTTCTTACCTAGATCTCTGACAGCCTAGGAGTGGTCTCGATTGGCCTAAAGAGGTTCAGAGTGTGGGGGTGGGATGGGGCTAGGGCTTTCAGCATTTGAAACTATTTCTTTGGAGCAGGTAAAGCCTTCCAGTTGGTAAGTCTAGTTCTTTAAGTATGCCTGTTGTATGCCTAGCCTTCTCACTTGGCTTTCCTGGGTGGGCTGAGTCTAAGTTCCCTCTACCTCCCCTTCCCAGTCCTGAGCTGTCTAACTTTAGGTTAGAAGAGCTGAGCTTTTGACACTTACAGCTTGGGGCACTTGTCTGGGTGTCTTTAAAAATACCTTTTAGTAAAAAATGGTACAATGGAAAGAAGAGTGAGATATTTGGTTTTTAATCTCTGCCTGTGTGACCTTGGGCAAGTCACTTTTATGAGGCTTAATTTTCTTATCTACAAAATAGAGACATTGGCTTTTTCTGACATTCTGATTATTTGTGCCCAGTCTTTAAGAGGCTAGGAAAGGGGTCTTGGAAAGCGTGTAGCAGAGCAGAGTGGTGACTTTTCGGAGAAGCTTCCTTTTCCCATTTAGAATGGCATTGAGTGTGTCATTTTCTCCTCTGGCTATCAACATGTAAGCAGCCCCCTCTATTTCAGTGAGCTCTGCTCTGGGATATACTGAATCTACCTACCAGAGAGCTCACTGTGGAGATTCTGGCTTGGAGAGACAACTGTTGACTACATGCCTTGGGTGGGGTCTTGGAGTCCAGCCTGCAGACTACAGTTGCTGGCTATTTTTGGTCATCTGTGACTCAGGAAGAATAGAAGACCCTTGGATTGGTCATTGTTCCATCAGGGAAAGGGAAGACAAAGAAACAAGCTAAAACTGAGGACATATGAGATTTCACTTCCTTTACTCCCTCCCCCACAACATCCCTTTTTGTAGGGCTATGAAATTGCTTTTGACTGAGTCTTAAATTGCTAAGCTCCCTTTCCCCTTCCTCTATCTGAATCATTGTTGACTATGTTGCCCTTGGACGGGGAGAGCTAGGTGATATGGGCTTGGGTGGAGCAAAAGGGAGAATTTCTAGTCAGGAAGATTGCCACACACCTAGTGTTGGGCTTTCAACTGATCCTGTATTTTGTAAATATGGTTTCCTTTGGTATTAGTCCTGGAGATCAAAGGAGAGGGACTTCTGAATTTTCTGTGAGGGCCTACAAGGCTGATAGGGAATAAGCAAGTTTATGGGAAAGGTGTACCCTTCACTGGATCTGTTTTTACCCATCCTCTACTTCTTCCTCCTTTTCGTCCTTCTCACTGACACTTTATCCAGTGCTTGCTTGTGAAACAAGGATCCCACATTGGATCTCAGCCACCTAAGAGTTGGCCATGAACATAAACCTTACCTGCTCTGAGCCCCCTGGAGAAAGCACAAGAAGTCTTGGCATCTGTTTTCCTTCCTTTAGAAACAAGTTCCTTGGGCATCCTTGGGCAGTTTAACCAGAGAAGCCTTAGTTGGGTAGTGCTGGGCAGTGCTGTTAGGGGGAAGATTCTTCTCCAGCATTGAGCTGGAATGGCCTGTGGGCTATGCAGGAGCTTGCTGCTGGAAGCAGCTGCCTTGCTGGAAGCTTCTCATTCTTCCTAGGTACCTCACATGGGTTGTTAGCGATGCCAGTTGTAGGTGGTGGATCAAAATGGCTGTTGGTTTGGGAAGGTAGGCAAGCAGGTGGAGGAAGAAGGAATGTAGAGTCAAATGGAAGAAGAGTGGTTCTTTTTTTATATTTCCCCTTTTTTTAAAACTCAGCATGGCATATGACAAAGTTTAGCAAATAGAGAGAGAAATTGTGTATAAATTCATCATTTTAACATGGCAATAATTATTTGTATTTCTTGTCGTATCTCATATATGTACCTTAGTTTTTGGTGGTGCAATCATAGTGTACATAAAAAAGTTCTCCTTCTTTCCCCCTACTTAACACATCACTAAAAACTTAGATAAATGCTATTTAATTTTAAGAAATGAACATTCTAATGGCCATGTAAAATTCTATTCAAAGGCTATGCCATAATTTAAAACCATTCTCCTTTGGGGGAGCATTTAGATTACTCCCAGCATTTGCTAGTATAGATACATTCCCATGAATGTGAAAAGAGAAAATTGAAACCTCTTAGCATAGCATATAGGGAGGTCCCTTTGGTACCTCACCCCATTCTAGCTTCCTCTCCCAACTCAGCTCCCATTTATTCCCACATGTATGCTATGTGGTAGCTTTGTGGGCCCAAGGTTTCCCAAGTCCAAGTAAGCTATACCCGTCCTTTTTCTTTTTTTCATCCAGCTTTTTCAGGTTGAATTTGTTTTGTTTTGTTTTGTTTTTTTGAGACAGAGTCTCACTCTGTTGCCCAGGCTGGAGTGCAGTGGTCCAATCTTGGCTCACTGCAACCTCCACCTCCTGGGTTCAAGCGATTCTTGTGCCTCAGCCTCCCTAGCAGCTGGGATTACAGGGATGTGCCACCAAACCTGGCTAATTTTTGTATTTTTTTAGTAGAGAAAGGGTTTTACCATGTTGGCCAGGCTGGTCTTGAACTCCTGGCCTAAAGTGATCCACCCACCTCAGCCTCCCAAAGTGCTGGGATTACAGGTATGAGCCACTGCACCTGGCCATGATTTTTTTTTTAACTGTGGAAAGCAATGCCATACCTCTTCTTTCTGCTTTAGCCTATGTTCTTTCCTTCAGCTTGAAATTTCAGGTGCCTCTTCTTCATCTCCCCCCCACTCCATGTCACTTCCATTGGAAACTTTCTTTATTACTCCCAGATAGTATTGTACTATCTTCTATGTGCCCACTGTACTTTGTAAGAACTTCTGTTATGTTATTTACCATGCAGAATTGCAGCCATCTGGGCTCCTAGGCTTGCTCTTTCATTAAACGTGTGCATTTGGAAGCTTCTAGCTCTTCCTGTCTCAAGAAGGGGCCATTCTCCAGGTGGAGGTGGTTAGGAATGGACAAACCTTTGAGGAGCATTTGGTCAGTAATATACATGGTGAGGGAGAAGCAGTAGCAATGAATGCAGGGGATCCAACAGTGTTGGATGAGCACCTGGTAGGGCATACTAACCACTAGTAATAGAGAAAATACACCTTGGAGAAGGGACAGGTGTATTAGCACCTATGGGGAAGAGAGGCCTGAGTGTAAGTACAGAGAAAGCCTAGCTGGCCTTGAGTCACCAGTGCAAATTCTGAAACCATTCCAGATTTTAGTTCCCCATCTGTGGAATGGAAAGAGTAATAGCAACCTACTTTTTAGGGTTATGCTGAGGATTCATTCAGTGCACTAATGCATCTGCAAGTGGTCTGTGAGGTGTGAGGCACAAAGGAAGGAAGGTAGGCCCAGGACACTCCAGTATGTTTGTTCCAGTTGGCCTTTTAAAGTTCTGTGCTATATGTGATTCCAATCAAGCCTCTGAACCCAGAATGCCAGATGCTACAGTTTCTCTGAACCCCACATAGGTGCCCCTACAGCCAGTTTTTTATTTTTTTTTTAAGTAGGAAGTATGCAGGGAAGTACCATCTCCTCACTCATTTGAGCAGCCTGACTCCAACTGGCCCTAGCACAGCCCTACTCAAGAATGACCACAAGTGCCTGGGGAGGGAGGGGCCACCATCACCTTAGCTCTTTAGTATAAAATAAGTGGTTTAGAGTAGAGGGTTTCTTAACATCCCTTTAGCTATAGGTAGAAGTGTAGAAGCTGCAGTGAAACTGAGCACCTTTCAGGTCTTCTGGTCTGAAGCCTGCCATGTACTGTGGGAAGGACAGATCTTCATGTCTGTCACTAACTGTATACTCTTTAGAGGCCTGCCCATCTCATCTGTCTTAGGAAAACAGTTCATGAAGAACCATCTAAGCCAAATTCAAGGTCTTTGAGTGGAGAATCTCAATTAATTGCTTTTTGTTTTCACCACATACTACCCATGGCTTCTTTTGTTGTTTTTATTGTTGTTGTTGGGACCCTTGGCTTCTTGCTGCTGCCTTGGCCATTTGCATACCCCCATTCCACCCCAGGACTTTATGTTTTGTAAGGAAGCAAATTACCTGAGCCAGTGGAAGATCTACTGGTCACCTATAAATCAACACGAAGAAGGGACTTGCTCAAGGTCATGTATTGAGGCAGAAGCAGAAACTGGTATTGAAGGCAAGACTCTCAGGAGTGTGTTCTTTCCATTATGTCAGTCTAGCCCACTAGTGTGTAAGCTTCATGAGAACAGAGATGGTTTCTCACCACCCATTATATCCCCGGTACCCAACACAATGATGCCTGGCATAAAGTAGATTCTCAACAAATATTTATTGAATAGATATGTTAATAGCTACTATTTTCATGTTGGAACTGTCTTCTTTAGATTCCTTTAGCTAGATCTACCAGATAGCCAAACAACAATTCCATTGATCCACTGGAAACTACCTAATGTGGACCCAGCTGGGCCCTGGCAGAATGGAACAGGGTAGCACCGGGGAATGGGAAGGCATTGTCTCTCTTGTGCACCTTGGAGAGACTGTTTATCTGTGAGTGGCCAGCATGTTCATAGCCATTTCTGCTCCCTTTTCCCATATCTTCACATAATACAGTAGTGTTCGTGTCAAGTGGGAATATTCAAATCAAAACTTTTTGTGGATTCTAACAGGCAGCCATGCAAACATTTCTGTCCACCTTTGTGAAGTAGCCCAAAGTTTGGCTGTACAGTACATATTTGAGACATTACTCAATTTTTAATTTTTTTGTGTTTGTGCTGCTCATTATGGCATGGCCAGCAGGCAGGGCTGCATTGCATAATTTAATCCTGAGAGGTTTGTGCACCTGAGGTTTAGGGATTTGGTTGGCCCCTGTGCTGAGGCCTAGGAAGAGACAGGCATAGACCAGGGAGGATAGCAAGGAAGTCCTGGCGATCATAATGTTGGGGCATCCAGTGGATATCCACTCTTGCTATTGCTACTGTTGCCGCCGCCGCCACCACCACCACCACCACCACCACCACCACCACCACCACCACCACCACCCAGGCTGCTTTAGGGCCCAGAGCTGCTTATCTTTGCAGACTTGGTATTTTTTGGCCAAGGTAGACTAATTTTGGGGGCAGTAGGAGATATTTTCCTCCCATCCACTCCTGAGAAAAGGGTAGGGCCAGCATTTGAGAGGTGTAGGTTTATGCTTACTAGGTAAGGTTGACTGTCCTAAAATAGAGAGAGCTTCTGAAGTTCACCTAGTCTTTAAAGGACTTTTCCCATCTGTTTTTTTAGTCCTGAGCCATATAAGGAAAGTTAACAGACACAATCTCTGCTGTGTGGTGGAACAGATTTAAATAAATACAGACTTTGTTTTACAATTTTGGATTAATTTTTCATTATGAAACTAAACATGTTTGTTGTAAGAAATGAAACAGCATTGAAAAATATAAAGCCTCCTGTCTTCTGCCCCTGACTGTATTCTCCAGAGACAACCATCATTAACCAGTTAGTTATGTGAACATAAACTCTTTTTTTTCTTTCTTTCTTTTTCTTTTTTTTTTTTTTTTGAGATGGAGTCTTGCTCTGTTGCCCAGGCTGGAGTGCAGTGATGCGATCTTGGCTCACTGCAACCTCCGCCTCCCAGGTTCAAGTGATTCTCATGCCTCAGTCTCCCGAGTAGCTGGGGTTATAGGTGCCTGCCACCATGTCCAGCTAATTTTTTCTATTTTTAGTAGAAATGTGGTCTTGCCATGTTGGCCAGCCTGGTCTTGAACTCCTGACCTCAGGTGATCCACCTGCCTCGGCCTCCCAAAGTGCGGGGATTACAGGCATGAGCCACTGCGCCCAGCCCATAGACTCTTTTTTCATGCATTTGTATATATATGCCTTTAAATGCACAGATAGTACAAATCCGTATTGTTCTGCTTTTTTAACTTAGTATGTGCTGGCCATCTTTTAATGTCAAATCCGATTTTAAAGTCTACAGGGGCTCATTAATAAGCAAATCAGCAAATAGGTAGAACACTTTTTAAACATTAAAATCTTTTTTTTCTTTTTTTTTTTTGAGGCAGAGTTTTGCTCTTTTTGCCCAGGCTGGAGTGCAATGGCGCGATCTCGGCTCACTGCAACCTCTGCCTCCCGGGTTCAAGCTATTCTCCTGCCTCGGCCTCCCGAGTAACTGGGATTACAGGCACATGCCACCACGCCAGACTAATTTTGTATTTTTAGTAGAGATGGGGTTTCATCATGTTGGTCAGGCTGGTCTCGAACTCCTGACCTCCAGTAATCCACCCGCCTCGGCCTCCCAAAGTGCTGGGATTATAAGCGTAAGCCACTGTGCCTGGCCAAAAAAGCTTTTTTATATAGAGACAGCGTCTCACTCTGTTACCCAGGCCGGAGTGCAGTGGTGTGATCATAGCACACTGTAACCTCCAACTCTTGGGCTTAAGCAGTCCTCCTGTCTCAGCCCCCTGAGTGGCTAAGACTACAGGTGCATTCTACCATGCCCAGTTATTTTTCTATTTTTTGTATGGACAGGGTACTAGCTATGTTGCCCAGGCTAGTCTTGAGCTCCTGGGCTCAAGCAATCCTATCACCTCAGCCTCCCAAAGTGTTGGGATTAAAGGCGTGAGCCACCAATGCCTGGATGAATTGGTGGAACACTTAAAATCTACACAAATAAAGGGGCCATACTCTTCATTAAGTGGAAAATAAAGAAGTTGTAATGAGGATTTGTCTGTCTGAGAGGGAAGGTTTTCTGAAGATGTGATATGTGAACCCTTCTGTTGCGATGAAAGATGATGGTAGCTGCTCCCCTTTCTATGCTCAGTAGGCCCCACCTATAGAGATTGCTTTAGATCCTGTGTCTAAATGAGCTCAGTGGAGTGATTAGTGGTAGGATAAACTTATTTTCTATGCTTAGCATGGTCCCCTTCCTGTTTTGTGGTTTTGCCAGCTTGGGGTGGTTTGATTCCAGACAGTACCTGACTGAGAATCCTGCACCTCAGAAGACCTCTGGCTGTTGGAGCTGTCTGAGGTGAAGGAAAGAAACTTTGTGAGTGTACATATGTGTGTGTTTGTGATAGGCACATGCTTTTCCAATGTTCTCCACAGAAGAGCAGTGGAGGCTGGTCCGATGGTAGTGGGTTACCGATGGTACTGGGTTGTCAGAACTTGTTAACATTAGCATCACTGAAGTTTTTGTTTTTGTTTTTGTTTTTTTGAGACAGAGTCTTGCTCTGTCACCCAGGTTGGAGTGCAGTGGTATGATCTTGGCTCACGGTAGCCTCCACCTTCCAGGTTCAAGCAGTTCTCATGCCTCAGCCTCCCAAGTATAGGCGTGCACCACTGTGCCTGGCCAATTTTAATATTTTTAGTAGAGACAGGTTTTTGCCGTGTTGGCCAGGCTGGTCTTGAACTGTTGGCTTCAAGCAATCTTCCTGCCTTGACCTCCCAAAGTGTTGGGATTGCAGGCGTGAGCCACCACGCCTCAGCCACTGAAGTGGGTGTACAACCCCCCACTGCTAAATTTGACTGGCTTAAAAACAAACAAACAAACAAACAAAGAAGAGCTGTGGAAGGGCCTGTCAATTATCAGAGAAGCTAGATTAGAATCCCCTTCCTAACAACATACACATCAGGAATCTTGTCCAGGTGGTAGGAAAGTGGAATTTTGCAGAGCACTCAGCTGTAGGTGAGCCACCAGTTGAATAATTGAGGAAGATAGTGATTTGTGAAATACAAATATTTTGAAAGAAAAATTCTAGCCTAGTGGTCACTGGTCCTGGTCTTAGAAGCTTTCTAACTTGAGAGTATTGATTATGTTGAAGGAACCAGGCCACTAGAGGAGAAGCAGAATTACCAGAAATGCTGGCTCTATTCTGCCCACTCATGGCAGGCCCCACCTTTCTCTTGCCTTTTTATTCCCAGACTTCCACAGTTGGTGGGGCAGAGTTCTGCTTGCCCAGCCTTTAATCCTGGAACCTCTGCTACCAGAGGTTGACCCTGACTGGGCTAGGCCCACAGGCCACTGCAGGCATTATTCCCTTCCCCTTCAGACAAACAGGAAGCTGCCTGCACACTCTTAGTGATTGGCACTTTCAGGAGCTTTGTGAGGCAGGGAGTTTGAGATCAGGTTCCAAAAGGAAAAGGAAATGACATTTTAAATAATTTTTTGGGCTACTTGAGAAGGTGTGGATCCAAAGTATCTCCAGGCATTTATTGTAGGCCAGGCTTGCAGGAATATCTGTGTTTCCATACTTACTTGCTGTTTGACCTTGGAGAAATCCCTTAACCTCCCTGAGCCTCCACTTCTCCCGTTGGTAAAGTGGGAATGATTATGTGTTAACCTCAGAATTGGTGGGAAACTTGGATAAGTTAGCAGTGGAAGGCTCTGAAATGTTAGCTCGTAGAAAATCAAGTGTTCAGGATTCAGGTGCTCAGAGAAGTTTAAATCATGTTTTAATAGTCTCTGTTGACAAAAGCAGTAGAGTATATCAGTAGATGAAAGACTTTCAGCTCACCACTAAGAATAGTTATGATCCTTAAACGGGTGAGCCTCAGTTATCAGAAAATGTTCACTTCTGTGATACAGCTCATTTATAGACCATTTAGGACCAATGAGGCATTGCCATATAATCATCTCTCAACCATCCATAATAAAACTCTCTTCTCGGCCAGGCGTGGTGGCTCATGCCTATAATCCCAGCACTTTGGGAGGCTGAGGCGGGTGGATCACGAGGTCAGGAGTTTGAGACCAGCCTGACCAACATGGTGAAACCCCGTCTCTACTAAAAATACTAAAAAAATTAGCTGGGTGTGGTGGCGAGTGCTTATAATCCCAGCTACTCAGGAGGCTGAGGCAGGAGAATCGCTTGAATCTGGGAGGCAGAGGTTGCAGTGAGCTGAGATTGAGCCACTGCACTCCAGCCTGGGTGACAGAGCGAGACTCTCTCAAAAAACAAACAAACACACAAACAAACAAACAAAAAAATCCCCTCTCTTCTCAGCTACCTGTGGACTGCCTGTTCTAAATAATGTGAGCTCAGGGAATACAGGCTCTTCTGATAATCCAAATAACACATAATTAGTTATGCAAACGTGTCCTAAAAGTTTCCAGGGTGAAGTGGTTAGGTTGCTGTTGCTGAGTAATCCATAGAGTATTACTCTTATGTTGATGTGGGTAACTGACCTTAACTATAAGGAAAATGGTGAACTTTGCACTCTGGAGCAAGGAAAGTGATAGGCTTCTACTTCTCAGGTCATTTGTGCCTTCACTGACCATCCCTCCAGCTGTGAACTCAGGTAGAGGCAGCATATTTATGAGAATCGGATTAGAAAGGAGGCAATCCTTCAAAGATCGGAGGTTGAGAAGACATGTTTGAGTGTGCCCTGCATGGACTTTTATTCCAGGGAGAGTCGAGTAGTTCTCCCTTCATCACACTCTACTGAGATTGTCCTTTGGCAAGAAGAACCAAGCTTAAAGAAAATCTTAAAAGAGCCATTAGGAACCTCTTGGGGCAAGTTCTTCTGGAACCTCTAGCTGCTTAACATCCCAGAAAAAGAAATTCTAGGGTTAGGAAGCTGGAAAGGATTTATAATTTTAGGGGATAGCTGCCCATTTTCCAAATAGTTTTCTGTTTAAAATAGCCAAGTCAGATGCGAATTGAAGGAATCTCTTGACAGGTTGGCTGGCATTGCCCTGTAATTTTTTTCCAGTGTCCAAGTAATGATAATTCTCTATATTTGTAACAAGTTTCATAGTTGTAAAACTCTTTTTTATTGTTATTACTATGTCATTTGATATTCATCAACTCTCTACAGTTGGCAGGTTAGGAATTATTATCTTTTTTAAAATTATTTTTTAAAATAGAGACAGGGTTTCACTGTGTTGGCCAGCCTAGTCGCGAACTCCTGGGCTCAAGAGATCCGCCCACTTCGGCCTCTCAAAGTGCTGGGATTACAGGTGTGAGCCAACACACCCAGCCAGGAATTATTATCTTTACTTTTACATAAGGGAAAACTGGGGCTCATAGACTTTAAGTGGCTGCAAAAATTACTCAGCTAATGAGTAATGGAGACAAGGCTTGATTGGGAGACAGAAGACTTTGGTTTTCGACTATGCACGGGGTGGAGTGTGGGAAGGGAAGGCAGTGTTGTTTCATAAAGGCCTGGACTTAAGCTCTGGTCATGGTTAGGTCAGAGTTCTGAAGCTAGAAAGGAAGTTTCAGCTTTAAACATTTGGCCCTTCCCCCGTTCCAGTGGTTGCCCAACCTCTTTTCAGTCTCTCTTCTAAATATTGTAAGTCAAGACTAATGTTTAGAGAGAGAGCACTTGGGGGCTGTGTGGGGATGGCCACCTGTTATATTTGTGTCCTGCCTACTTGGGGCCTGGCCTGACTCTGGTTTTGCAACTGGCTTCCTGTGTAACCCATTCTTGGTAGTGTCAGACCACTGCCTTCAAGGCTAATTGTGCTTTCCACCTGGTTGAGCCAATAACTTATTTTGTTTTGCCATGCTCCTGGACATATGGGAGTTGCTTATTAGTAGGTGAGAATTGTTTGGGGGCTGCTTAGACCTAGCTAATGTAGAGTCTTGTTTGTACCTTGGTGGGAGCAAGAGCATCAATCCAACTTTTTGTTGAGAGGAAGAGGTATTGGAGAATCATGGAAAAGGCACTCTTTTTTAGTTGAAGAGCTGTTGTTTATGCTGGGCCTTGCTGTTAGCTTTCCAGAGCAATCTTGACCAAGTCCTTGCTCGTTTTTGGGCCATAGCCTGTTCCACAAGAGGTTGGTTTGGCTAACCTCTGAGGGCTATTTCCTGCTCTGAAACTCTGATTTATTCAGAAATGTTATACTCCCCTAACAATGGAGGCTGGTCTGCCCTCCCATGGGTACGGGAATGGTGGCACACATCTCAGAAATGGTTTTGTTCTGTGCGGAACTGAGCCAAATGGACAACTCTACCAGCTCCAAAAAGTTGGAAGTGGTCAGCTGTGTCTGAATTTTGTAAGGGAGCATAACTGGGTGGAGGGGTGAACAGGCATCATTAGAGGCCGGATGTGGATGAGGAGGGAAGAAGTGCCCTGGAGAGGTAGTTCATAGAGAACCCACCAGAAACAGGTGATAAGCTGACATCATGAGGTAGATGGTTTATCCCAGTCTGTGGCCAGGTAGTTCCTGGTCACAAGCAGTTGGTACGCCCTCAGGAATGTGATACCATCACATGGGAATGTGTCACTAGAGCAGCCAAAAGGCTGTGGATGCAGGAAGAGCAGCTCTCTCTTGTCACCATTCCCTCTGTGAAGGGTGGGAGATTCTTAAAATTGGGCCATAGAGACCATATGTGGCAAATGAAAAAAACAATTCACAATGGCAGATAGGACTGGTCCTTTAGAGAAAGGAAAAGTTGTAATGCTTGCCTGATGTCAAAGCATGTGGGGTTGGATTTGCTAGTTCCAATACATTTTAATTTTTTTTCTTGTGGACTTGAAGCAAGGTTTGGAAAAAGGGGGAAATTTGAACTCATGACCTTTGGAAACCAGAATGAAGCTTAATGTTGACTGTTAGAGCTGCCCTTCTTATAGTAGGGGGCTGAGTTTTGCATGGAGCCATCTAGGCTCCCTGCCTTCTGATCTACCTTGGCCAGGGTGTACCTGGGGAAGTCCAGCTTGCCTGTGTAATTGATCTTGACCAGTTTGTAGGAGCACGTGTAGACTCTGATTAATTGGTTTGGGTTAAGGCTTTGGGAATCAATATTTTCTGAGCACTCCCACAGGGAATTCTAACATTGGGCAAAGGTTGATTACTGCATCTCTAATAGAAGCCTCTCCTTGCTACATGTGACAAAACTGAACCAGAGAAAGGGGAGGGAGGCCTGTGCCCATGTCAATATGGCATGGATACAGCTGATCTGAGCACTGAGCTAATGCTTTTTCCAGGGCTCTTTGGACTCTTCTAACAGTTCAATTGGACATCCTCTAAACTTGGTCAGAGGTCCAGAAGGAGATAGTAGTTATGGCCCCCAACCCAAAAGTGCTGGAGGAAGGGGTGGGGTTAACTAATTGCACCCAAGGGAGGTGAGCAGCCCTTTTTAGAGAGTGAGTTCACCGTCTGGGCGTGAGCAGACCAGTGGTTGGGGGAAAGGGGAAGGATAGAACAGGATAGGAGGTGAGTAATGCTGTGGGCATCAAGACATTCAGTTAGTGGGAACATTATAGGGAGCTGGTGAGCTCAAGGACCTGGTGACTTCACTCCTCAGATCCATGTGGACTTGCAGGGCTGGAGCCCTGTCTCAGTGTCCAAGACGTGTGTCTTGTGCCTGGGAACTGAGGACTGCTTGTTCTCTGCTTCCTGCTTCAGCTGGATGGCCTTTACGCTTGATTAGGGAGTGAGCCCAGCCATAGAGCAGCCTCTCCTTGGCCCCAGCCCCTACTGCTACTATCCTTTCAGAGTGGATCAAGCTCTCGCGCATATTGGGGCACACTGTATCACAGTGTGGTCTTTGATTATTTTTCCACTGTTTTACATGTAGTATCCCGAGTAGAGAATAAGCTCCTTCTATGGTAGGAAAGGGGGCTTTGTTCCAAGTCCTTCCTAGGGGCATGGGAAGGTGCTTAATGGAGAGAAGCAAGCAGCATGAGTAGGACACTTTGGGTTTCTTTTCTCTCGCCAGTATCAAAAGGAACTTTTCTTAGGAGAGAAAGGTAACTGGGAGCTTTAGGGTGGATATAGTACACACTTCATTCTCTGGGGTCCAAGAATTATGTCTTTTTCCTACTAGGTGGGGAACCCCTTGAAGTAGTACTTGGCATAGTCTCTGTATTCCCAGTGCAGAGTAAAATACCCCACACTTTGCAGGGGTTCAATAGCTGCTGAATTGGTTTAAGGGCATTTTTTGTCTTATCCTCTCCCTTGAGTCAGATTAGATTCCCCAGAAGCCCCCTATCTCCTGGCTGAAGACTATGGAAGCTAACAGGGGAGGAAAGGAAGGGCTGCATCCACAGTTGGCTGTCTGGCACCTCTTGGATCCAGAAATCCACCTATAATTCTTAGCAGTAGTTAACTTTTCAGGTGTATATACTTTCACATGTAGATGTTTTTTATTTCTTTTTGTTTCTTTTCCTTTTTTTTTGAGATGGAGTTTTGCTCTTGTTGCCCAGGCTGGAGTGCAATGGTGCAATCTCGACTTACTGCAACTTTCGCCTCCTGGGTTCAAGTGATTATGCTGCCTCAGCCTCCCGAGTAGCTGGGATTCCAGGTGCCCGCCTCCACGCCTGGTTAATTTTTTGTATTTTTAGTAGAGATGGGGTTTCACCATGTTGGCCAGGCTGGTCTTGAACACCTGGCCTTAGGTAATCCACCCACCTCAGCCTCCCAAAGTGTTGGGATTACAGGCGTGAGCCACTGTTCCCGGCTCTTTTCTTTTTCTAGAGGAGGAACAATTGTGAAGAGCCAGGGTGGGAGGTTAGAAGGTAGGCACTCCTGAATGGTTGTTTCTTCCCACCACTTTTGAGAGAAGGGCCAAGCAGATCATGAACATCCTAGACTTAGTCCAGAGGAGAAAGGCCTTAGTGTAGTGTTGGCCACTAATGGAGGTCATTAGCCGTGGAGCTCTGTGGTGGCCTTCTTTCATTCTTAGCCTCTCACTCCCATTGAGTTTGGCATCCTTAGCTTGATTTCCTTTTATTCTCCAAACCTTTTCTGAGGGAATAGGGAGAGAAGCAAGGCACACATGTTCCTTTGCTTCTTGAGCCCTTAATTGGCCAGCTGGGAGGGATCCCCTTCTTGCTTCTTTCTTCTTCATGCATGCCTGTTGCTCTCTAAGGTCAGGGATTTGAGCCAGAGGCCTGGGAGTCAGGTACTTTATGGCTCAGCCCCTGGCCTGGGGCCTCCTATTGTGGGGATCAGCTTGGCCCAGGGCCTTCCTAGTATGAGAATGGAATGAGCTTTTGTGGAAGATGGTTAGTGGTCTAAGCTTATTATCTATTTTTTCTGCCAGTGCCTTTGCATAGGAAGGGAGTAGGCTGCTATGTATGATCAATTGGTATGTGGGCCAGTTATCTTTGGCTAACTTTCAGATAAAACCTTTGCTGTCCATCTTTTTTGGAAAGTAGAATGTGAAAAGAGATATTTATCCAGGTTTGAGGCCTTGCAGATAGTCAGTGGAGTTATCAGTATTTGGTTAAGTCTAGGAATTGGTGAACTTGCCTGTTGGACCAGTTTTTGTATGTATCATAAAAATAAGTTTTACCATTTTAAAAACATTTTTTGTTTGTTTGTTGGTTTTTGTTTGTTTTGTTTTGTTTTCAGACGGAGTTTTGCTCTTGTTGCCCAGGCTGGAGTGCAGTGGCATGATCTCGGCTCACTGCAACTTCTGCCTCCCAGGTTCAAGCGATTCTCCTGCCTCAGCCTCCTGAATAGCTGGGATTACAGGCGCCCACCACCACTCCTAGCTAATTTTTGTATTTTTAGTAGATACGAGGTTTCGCCATATTGGCTAGGCTGGTCTCGAACTCCTGGCCTCAGGTGATCCTCCCACCTCGGCCAGCGTTGTTTTTTTAAAAAAGAAAAAAGAATATGTAACCAAGACTATAAGTGGCTTACAGAGACAGTTTGCCAATCTCTGCTAGTCTGTGCTTTAGACTGCCAATTTATTGTATACCTATTTCTTATATACTCATGGCTTCTTTATAGTCACCTCTTTCCTGATCCAGACACACTGCAGGCCTTTGAATCCTGCTTCTTGTAGCCAATCATAAATACCTTCCATGTTGGTTACTAACTAACCAAACCATTGTGTCTCCTTCCATGTATACATGGGGTCTGTGGTCACCTAGGGTTAGAATTAAAATTGTACTTTTCAAAAAATCAGCTCCTGGGTTCATTGATTTTTTGAAGGGTTTTTTGTGTCTCTATCTCCTTCAGTTCTGCACTGATCTTAGTTATTTCTTGCCTTCTGCTAGCTTTTGATGTGTTTGCTCTTGCTTCTCTAGTTCTTTTAATTGTGATGTTAGGGTGTCAATTTTAGATCTTTCCTGCTTTCTCTTGTGGGCATTTAGTGCTATAAATTTCCCTTTAGGGACTAAAGAATATTTATGAGTAGTCAATGAGTGAGGTTGGCTTAAATGGTTTTCAGGTGATAATTAATGGTGAGCATCCTAAGTAGAGTTGCCTCAGGTCTTCCTGCGATTTTTTTGGGGGGCCTAGAGTCTCATCAACATTGCTCAAGTTGATTCAAGAGAAAGGAGGGTGGTAGTTATAAGATAAATGACAGACCAAATATTAGAATCATTTTAACCATTATTTATTGCTGCATGACTTTGGGTAATGTATTTAATGTCTCTCAACCTTAGTTTCCCCATCTTTAAAATGGAGGATAGTGGGCCGGGCGCAGTGGCTCACGCCTGTAATCCCAGCACTTTGGGAGGCCGAGGCGGGCAGATCACGAGGTCAGGAGATCCAGACCATCCTGGCTAACACGGTGAAACCCCGTCTCTACTAAAAATACAAAAAATTAGCCGGGCATGGTGGCATGTGCCTGTATTCCCAGCTATTCGGGAGGCTGAGGCAGGAGAATCGCTTGAACCCAGGAGGCGGAGGTTGCAGTGAGCCAAGATCGCACCACTGCACTACAGCCTGGGTGACAGAGCAAGACTCCATCTCAAACAAACACACAAACAAAAAACAAAAAAAAAAAACAAAACGGAGGATAGTACTGATACCTACTTCACTGAGATTTATGAGAGTTAAAAGAGCTCAAGAGTATGAGTATATCTAGGAGAGTACCTGGCATATTGAAAGTGCTTGATAAATGGCTGAGTTCCCTAAGTCTTTTCCATCATACTTTGCCCTCTTTAAGGATTTGAGATCAAATAATTTTAGAACCCTGAAGTCTGCTTTTAATTTGTGAGTGTGCCTCCTATACTACATTATCTCTTTAAGATTTTTTTTTTTTTTTGAGACGGAGTCTCTGTCTGTCGCCCAGGCTGGAATGCAGTGGCACGATCTCCGCTCACTGCAGCCTTTGCCTCCCAGGTTCCAGCGATTCCCTGTCTCAGCCTCCCGAGGAGCTGGGACTAGAGGCATGCACCACCACGCCCGGCTAATTTTTGTATTTTAGTAGAGATGGGGTTTCACCATGTTGTCCAGGCTAGTTCTGGAACTCCTGGCCTCAAGTAATCCACCCGCCTCAGCCTCCAAAAGTGCTGGGATTACAGGCGTGAGCCACCACGCCCGGCACTCTTTACGGTTTTGTTTTAATAGATGAGGAAACTGATACTTCAAACAGTGATGCCAATGACTGGCCTAGTTTGTGGTGAAACCCATCGTGCCTTCTGCTGCAATCTGTTGGAGGGAACGGTTGTCTGAGAATCCATGTGGGTGTATCTATCACTTTGTAAAGAGGAACTCCAGCTCTGGGAAGCCTTAAAAGTCCCAGGATGAGGGAGTAGTAGAAAAGGAGAAGAGGGACATGAGACCCAGGGTAGAAAGGATGGTTATGGGGTGTGAAGAATGGAGGATGTAGGAAGGAGAAAATGATTAGAGGAATCCTTACTTAAGAAGGCAAAACAGTTTGTGAAATCAATGGATCTCCACCCCTTTGCAGAAGCCAGGCAGCCTTGGCTGGGGCCCACCTCAGGCCCTTGTTATGCTGGTAGCTTTCACTTCTTCTTTGTGTGTGTGTGTGTCTGCGTGTGTGTGTGTGTGTGTGTGTGTGTGTGGTGGTGGTGGTGGTGGAGTATAGATGCAGAGGGATCTTAGTTTGGTTGCCTTTCCAGGTCTATCTGTAGGTAGGCAGGTTATCCATGTGTATTGAAAGTATGTTGTCGGGCCGGGCGTGTTGGCTCACGCCTGTAATCCCAGCACTTTGGGAGGCTGAGGTGGGTGGATAACCTGAGGTCAGGAGTTCGAGACCAGCCTGATCAACATGGTGAAACCCCGTCTCTACTAAAAATACAAAATTAGCCATGCGTGGTGGCACATGCCTGTGATCCCAGCTACTTGGGTTGCTGAGGCATGAGAATAGCTTGAACCTGGGAGGTGGAAGTTGCAGTTAGCCGAGATCATGAGATCGTGCCATTGCACTCCAGGCTGGGCTACAAGACAAAACTCTGTCTCAAAAAAAAAAAAAAAAAAAAAAAAAAACAAAGAAAGAAAGTATGTTGTCATGGGCTCCCTCAAGTCCTGAAGAGTGATTCCTCTGAGGTCTGTGTGAGCTAGGGTGGGGAGTGCTCATTAAGCTAAGCTGGTGCCTCAGTGGGGCTGTGGGAACATAATCAGCTTCTTATCTTTATTTTATACATTAGTCTATCTTGCCTGGCTTTGTCTTCAGGGATTTCTGTCTCTGATTGTGGCCCATCTCCCCCAAATCTATGAGCTGGCACCTAATGCCAAAGTGGTGGGAAGATCTTTAATTCATTTTCTTCTGATAAATTCTGGGAAGAGGGTCAGGAAGCTGGGAAAGGAGACACTGATATTTAACTTCATGCCTTTGAGAGAAAGGCATACTTTGTGTTTCTTACCTCTGTATCCCTGTACATGCTGTCTCTCTACCCAGAATACCATGAGGTTCCTTTTCCCTTTAATCTTTTTCTTGTGACAGTCTCCTTTGTCCTTCAGGAGAGGTCAGCTCTATCTCAAGCAACCTTCTGCCTTCTCACCTCCCCTTGTCTCCTCACCTTCCCCATTATGGCCTGGATGCCTCTTGCTTGTGTTTCCACAGTCCACTTTAATTACCTCTATCTCTGCCCTTGCTGTATAGAATGGTAATTTCTCATCCATTTATCTGCATATTTCCTCCATCTGACAAAAAAATGCCCTCACGTGCTTGCTCATTCACACACACACACACACACACACACACGAATTATTTCAAAGCCTGATCCGATCCATATTGGGTGTCTGATAAAGTGGTGGTATGTAGAACCTGTATGTGTATACATATGTCTGTGTCAATGATGTGGGTTCTTTCTGAAACACCTGAGGTAGGTAAGAGGTAGCCTTACTTGTTTTTCCAGATCTTGCTAGAATAGTAGATTTTTAGGGTTTGCTTTGGATTATGGAACAATGTATGTTGCCTTGACCATTAGGGAGGCTTCTGGGTAATTTCCATAGAGATTCTGGTTGGCCTCTTTACTGTTGTCTGAAAAAACTAGACCAAACATTCGGGGCTGGGGGTAGGATTCTTATTCTCTCCAAAGAACTGATATGAATATGTGTGTGGGGGGCTAGATAGGTTCATGCTCGCTCACCTCAGCATTGAGGGGTGTGAAGGTTATATGTTTGTGGTGGTAGGGGTGCTAAAAACCCTTGTATTATTGCAGGATAGGTTAAATAGTTTTTACTAGTCTCAGTAAATTGTTAGCTGAGCTTGTGGTTTGGAGGGAAAGATGTGGCTTTATCAACTCGAAAAAACAAAGCCAGCTTTTAGAGAAGTTACCTCAAGCTACATAGGGACCAAAACTAATAAGCTGGATGCCATGTGGTCTCTTATCTTATCCTTGCCACCAAGAGACTCTTCCAAAACAATCATAGATCCATACAGCCCAAGAGCATTCTTTGGGCTCTCTGAACCTCTGCTTCCAGGAAGGCGGTCATACAAAAATGAAGGCTGTGAGCTAATGGCTGTAAACAAATACACTTGCAGCAGGTTATGAGGCCACCTTTCAACCTTCAGCACATCCACTGGAGGTAGGTATTTTTGAGACTACTCTCAAAAAATTTTTTCTTAAGGCCTACGTGATAAACCTTGTTCCCTAATGGGGATGAGAATTGGATTAGGCTGTAAGATTAGCCTAGGGGAACAGCAGGCTGGGTGGGGGGTTGGGGACATCCTGCTTAGGGGTAGCCAGCCAAAGTCCCCCATACAAGCCCAACCAAGGATCATGCCACATTGAAGGTCTGCACAGTAGTGAGGCAGTGCTGTGGAATGACATCTGCCTTCCAACTTCTTACGTGAGTAAGGAGGCTCTCCCTGAATATTCAGATGGATGTTCAGCCACATTCTTTGCTATATTTATAGGGTGGGGAGGGAAGACAAGGGGGAGCCAGGGAGTCCGAGCTGTTTAGAGAGGAGAGAAGGAAGTTTCAACAATGGGTAGGTTCAGGCTGTGGTTCCTCCTCACTGCCCCTTCCTCTTTGAGTTTGTCAGGGGACCTTCCTATGGCCTGAGATCATTTTCTTTTTCAAAGTGGCCAAAGCCACTGTAGGCACATTTAAATCAGGGTGCTTTAGCAGAAATACCAATGCTGGCATCTAAAACCCATGTGTAGTGAGACTTGATTGACATTTGGGACCTTTTTAAAACTGTAATTTTATTGTATTTTTGCATTTCCTGGTTTGTTAATCAAGGAAGAACATTGGCATGTCATCTTCCAGTCTCCAAATGTAAGTTAAATTGTCAATTTGTGTTTTTCCAGAAAATTTCTTTTTCCAGAAGTGCTTTGAATCATGATCATCTATCTGTAGGCATGGATCCTCCAATTTAGAAGTTGCTCCTAGTGTTACCTAGTTACCCTTCCTGTTCCATTCTGTGAAACTGGGAGATTTACTGTAGATTATTCAGTCTGGTCAGACAGAAAACTGCAGCTCCCTCCCCAGTCAACCAAAGCCTCCTCTATGGAGGGGAGGTATGGTAATGACATTATCTTTCCTTAGGCAGCCGCGTGTTCTCTGAGAACAGGATGTGGGGAGGGCTGGGCCCCAGTCACAGGGTATGGGGGTGGGCACCGGAAAATGGGCTGGTGGTAAGGCCATGAGGATTAGTGCTTGCCTTCTTGGCTTTGAGAGGCATGAAGAGCTCCTGTATTCTTGATTGTTCACTCATGTGTACACCCCACCCTCGCACATGGCATGTCTGTGTTCTTACCCTAAGAAAGACTGTACCTGAGAAACACCTTGTGTAAGAGCCCCAGCTGTTTGGCTTGCAGAAACTCAGTGAGGTGGAGTGAGTGGGCCCAGGCTGCTCACTGTACCAACCCATGCCTTGTGATTCTTTATGACAGCCTGTGGCTTCAGGCCACTTTTGCTAAGCTTTATTGGGGAGCTGGGCCCCAGTAGATAATGGGCAGCTTTGCTGCTCTTTCTCAGGGCCCCAGTTGTTTCCCTCCCCACAAATGGCTCCTTAGCTGAGGTGATTTGCATGTTCAACTTCCTTTCAGGCCCCATCCTTCTCTTCTCCCTGCCCCCCACTGCTTCTGCTGGGGACCTGTGGTGATGTTCTGCCTGGGGTGGGGAAAAGAGGATGTAGCTAGCTTCCTGTGCAAAAGAGGGTGGGGCGCCGGCCTTCCTGCCTGTCTGCCCACCCACCCAGTGCTTGAGGAATTGCCTGAAGAGTTCAGTTCAGAGTCACCAGAGCCTGAAGGGCTTTCTTCAGAGTAGAGATTGACCTTTGCTCATGCTGGTCTCTCTCCACAGTTTTCTACTGTGGGAATAGCTGGACACTTTTTTCCTGAAATCGCAATGCTGAAAGGACCTTTAGAGGCCAACTAGACCAACCACTTCACATTACAGATGGGGAAACTGAAGCCCAGAAAGTCATATAAGTCCTATAAGGAATCAGTGGCAAAGCTAGGATGAGTAGAATTCTAGAAGGTCAGACCTAGGGCTCTCTCCCTCCCGTCAAGCTGCTAATCCAGTGGGTTACAAACTGTTTGGCTGGGCTACCTGGTGAGCTACAGCCTCCCTTCAACCAGAACAGCTCTACTTTTACGTACTTCATATTTTGAAGTTTTGTGTGATTTTCTGTTTGGGAGATTGAGGAGGCAGGAAGCTGTTAGAAATGTAATAAAGTCAAAACCACTGAGCAAAACCCAGCCATTACAGTTGGGAACACTCAGACCTACAGGGGGAAGTAAATATCCGAAGTTTACTGGGATTGGACTCAGAGACCCAATCTCTGAACCACCATTCATGGCTGGTTGCTCCGAGCTAAAGATGTGGCTCCTTCTACCACAAGGGCTGTTCCCACCCTGTGTTACCAATGCTATTCTCCTTTCCCAAAGACAGCCTCTTTTGTAGCATCCTAAGACAGACCTGAAGTCCAGAGGCTGCTCAATTTCTTGGATGAAACAAATGATAAGCCAGGAGCGGTGGCTCACGCCTGTAATCCCAGCACTTTGGGAGGCCGAGGCGGGTGGATCACGAGGTCGGGAGATCGAGACCATCCTGGCTAACACAGTGAAACACCGTCTCTACTAAAAATAAAAAAAAATAGCTGGGTGTGGTGGTGGGCGCCTGTAGTCCCAGCTACTCGGAAGGCTGAGGCAGGAGAATGGCGTGAACCCAGGAGGCGGAGCTTGCAGTGAGCCGAGATGGTGCCACTGCACTCCAGCCTGGGCAACAGAGCGAGAATCTGTTTCAAAAAAAAAAAAAAAAAAAAAAGACAAATGATAATAGGCAAGCCTTTGGAAGGACCTTTGTGTAGCCTTAAATAAGATAAACTTGGAAAGGTAAAGAACAGAATACTAGTAGTTGGGGAGATCAGGGTTCTAGTTCTATTTCTTTCACACTTGAGCATGTTGCTTTTTACCTTACTGAACCTCCATTTCTCCCTTCTTTAAAATGGTACTTGTCTCGGGCTTGTCTTTTTCTTACAGGGTTTAATTCAGTGAGAGAATGCATATGGGCAAGTATCTTTTAAATTGTAGAGCACTGTGCGCATGGGGCTAGGATTATTGTTGTATACAAGTGAGCCAGAGACCCTGGAAGAATCTGGGTTGGATAATGGCATTGCAGGAGAAAGGAACTAAAATTTATGAAACATCTACTACATGCCAGGTACCAAGCCAGGTGCTTTTCTGTTTGTAAAGGATAAAATGTCAGCCTTGCAACACTCCGGTGAGGTAGGCATTATTACTCCCATTTTACCTGTAGGAAAACTGAGGCTTTAAGAGGTCTAGGGACTTGTAATGTTCCAGAGACTACCTCTAGAGCCCAGGGTTTCTGTCAGGTATTTGTGAAGAGATCTTAAGAATGTCCTATGGTTTCTATTGGGGTTTTCTAGCCCACTCCCTGCCTCACTCCAGCCTCTCTCCTCTGGTGGGGATGAGACTGTCTCTTGTTGGCTTCATGTCTCAGTCCTGAACTCTTTATCCTCAGATTTCCTTGGAGTGCACTGGGCACAATTAGGTGCCCTTGTTTGGCCTTTAGCTGATGGGGAGCCCTTTGGGTCAGCCACCTTTTGGCTGATAGTAAGGATGTCCTGCTACCCTGGGGTGCTGGTAAGGAGAGCCAGGGATTTATAGCTAGCCAGACAGACTTGGCTCTTGGTCAAGGTCATGCAGCTAGAAAATAGCAGTTGGTTCCTTTCTTTGAGACTCAGTTTCCTCATTCATAAAATGGGTTTAATAATGCTTAACTTGCATGTGTCTCTTGTCCAGTGTGCTGGTAAATGTTTAACAATCAACTCTTCGGCAAATCCATGATTTTTACTGTTTGCCAATTCCCATGGTATAAATACTCCCACCATGGCTGATTTCAGGTTACCAATATGCAGTCCTTGATGGAGGAGTTGGGAAGAGATGTGCATGATCAGCTCTAGTGCAAGCTGGTTCTAGTGCACCATTGCTAGTCACACCTATTTTAGACTCCTACCCTCACCCTCCAACATACTCACATCTGTATGCAAATGCAGCATCCTCTCAACCATGCCTCTTCTTTTCCTCAAGTTCCAAGAGCATCAAGGAAAGAGAGAGCTTCATTTAAGGTCTGCTCCTTGCCTGAAAGTTCTTCCAGGAAAGAGTGAATGTGGAGTGTTTAAGACGCAGAGAACTCAAGAGGGCTTTGAGTGGGGCCCTAATTATAGCATTGTGATCATCATGCTTTGGCTGCTGAAGTATCTGAACTGTCTGTTTTCTCCCACTGTTTGATTCTTAGCTAGATGGGAGGATGGTTGAAGATCCTGGACAATGGTCTGAGGGTCTGGTGCACTTAGCGTTCTGATTGTAATTTCAAAGTCTCCTCCTCTTCCTGCCTGCAGACCTTACTTTGCTGGGTGCTAACCTCAAGGTTCCTGTCATGGGGATCTCTGGGCCAGAAAGCATTTTGGATGACCAGAGATCCCTGGTCCTGTTCTCTCATTTCAACAGCATCAAGGCCATGTGTTGTTTCTTTGAACTTTTCAGATGGAAAGAATCACCTGAGGCATTTGTTAAAATGCTAATTCCCCAGCGTCTTCTCTGGAGAGTCCATTTCAGTAAGCTTGGGGTGGTGTCCAGAAGTCTGGACTTTTTGACCAGTGCCAAATTCTTATGGTAAGCTAAGTTTGGGATATACCTCATTAAGCACTGCACAACACTCCTGCCATGGTGGCATCATTATGCCCACGTTACAAGTTGAAATTTAAGAGTTCATGGTTTATTATTGGTAGACCTGGATCTTGAGATCAGGTTTTCAGAATACAAAGCTATGTTCCTCTTACTACAGAGACATTACTTTAGTGCACAGTGGTGTATGTGATGGTGTGTAGTGATGATTTTAGGTAGGGAGGAGCAGGGATAATCCCTGCACTACTTTACAAATAGGGAGGCCAAGGTGCAGAGGGATTTGAGGGCAGTAGCAGAACTGACTGCATCCTTGCATCCTTGATCTTTTGTGGATGTGGACCGTATTCAATTGGCTTTTTTTTTTTTTTTTGAGACGGAGTCTTCCTCTGTCGCCTGTCGCCCATGCTGCAGGACAGTGGTGCAATCTCGGCTCACTGCAACCTCTGCCTCCCGGGTTCAAGCGATTCTCCTTCCTCAGCCTCCCAAGTAGCTGGGACTACAAGAATGCACCGCTACACCTGGCTAATTTTTGTATTTTTAGTAGAGACGGGGTTTCACCATGTTGGCCAGGCTGGTCTTGAACTCCTGGCCTCAAGTGATCTGCCCGCCTTGGCCTCCCAAAGTGTTGGGATTACAGGCGTGAGCCACCGCACCCGGCCTTTCAGTTGCTCTTTACTTGCTGTGTTTCCCTTCTATCAGACATCCCTCTAGTCATATTAACACCATCCCAGGCCAGGCGTGGTGGCTCACGCCTGTAATCGCAGCACTTTGGGAGGCAAAGGCGGTCGAATCACTTAAGGCCAGGAGTTCAAGACCAGCCTGGACAACAGGGTGAAACCCCTTCTCTACTAAAAATACAAAAATTAGCCAGACATAGTGGTGGGTGCCTGTAATTGCAGCTACTTGGGAGGCTGAAGCAGGGGAATTGCTTGAACCCGGGAGACGGGGGTTGCAGTGAGCCAAGATCACGCCATTGCACTCCAGCCTGGGTGACAGAGTGAGACTCTGTCTAAAACAAAACAAAACAAAACAAAACAAAAACAGTTTGTGATCTTCTGGATACCATCTGAGGGAGTTTGGAGGTCCCAGTGGGTTGTGTTGAGGGTTGCAGACTTGTGTGTGTTAATGGGACATAACTGGAGAAAATGGCAAGGCAGAGTCCAGAATAAGGAAGGAAGATCAGGCAGCCTTTGAAAATAATAAGGCAGCATAGGTGCTGTGTTGTGCTCTGCCTTTCCATAGGATTCTGCTTCTTGGGGAGGAAATCCCCATCTCTCTCAAGAGATAAAATATTTAAAATAATGCTGGAATACATGTGTATTTAACTGTTGTGCATGGTTTCACATTGTCTTGCCAACTAGAAATGTAATCACCTTTTAGTTTTCCCTGAAAGTGAGAGTCCTTTATGCTAGAAGGGCTCTTTAGAGGTCTTCTTGGGCAGCCCCTAGCCCTCTGTAGTGAAACAGGTTTTTGTTTTAAATTATTCCTGACAGGTAGGATATTCGTCATAATATGGCTAAAAGGGGAGGGATTAGTAATCATCACATTCTACTTATGATGTGTCAAGTACTTTCATGTCTATTATTATTATTATTTTTATTTTTATTACTGTTCAATTATTTTCTTCCTCCAGTGTCAAACATGTCTGTTATGTTAACTTAAATCTCCCAATAACCCTGTACTGAGGTCGATATTATTAGACCCGTTTTATAGATTAGGAAACTGAATTTTAGAAAGAGGAAGGTCAAAAAGGCTCCAAAGCTCAAAATGCTGAGACCATTATTTCCAGGACAAGGGCTCCTGGGTTTTCTGTGGGTTTCCCAGATACTAGATTTGGTTCTTAGCTTACCAGCAAGGTAGGTAGGAAGCCAACCTTAGCCTACCCCTGGGGTTGAAAACAGAGGTTTTTTGTTTTTTGTTTTTTTTTGACAGGATCTCTCTCTGTTGCACAGGATAGAGTGCAGTGGCAAGATTTTGGCTCACTGCAACCTCTGCCTCCTGTGTTGAAGCAAGCGATTCTCATGCCTCAGCCTCCTAAGTAAGTATTAGTAGCTGGGACTACAGGCGTGCGCCACCATGCCCAGCTAATTTTTGTACTTTTTGTAGAGACAGAATTTCGCCATTTTGCCCAGGCTGGTCTTTAACTGGGCTCAAGCGGTCTGCTTGCCTCACCCTCCCAAAGTGCTGGGATTACAGGCATGAGCCACCACGCTCAGCTGGAAACAGAGCTTTTTGATTAGGGCCAGAAGCGTCCCCCTGCAACTGCATATTTGACTAATCCTGGCTTCAGCAGTTTTAACATTCCCATGAGCAATAGATGGAACCCAAGTTTGGGTTTGGATCAGCTCCAGTGTGCTTCAGAAGTATGATGCTGGAGGTTGCTGGAGTCTGTTCCTAAGCAGAGGGAATAGAGCCCTCTTCTGGCACCCTGGGCAGAGCTGGCATATTCAGGCAGCCAAAAATGGTCAGTTTCCAGTCTACAAATACTTCCTGTAAAACTTGCTGGCAGGAAGCTGGGTCAAGCAGGAAAGTGACGCTAAAGAGTGAAGCCCAGCTAGGTGTGGCCCCGGATAGGGGCTTTGCCCATCTGGAGACTTACTTTATTAATGATGGGTCTGCACTTCTTTTATTTCAGCAGCTTTGAAGTTTTATGGGAGTTGAAGGAATCTGTTGTTCTTGGCTGCCTGGATATGAACCCATTACTCAAATTCCCTTCCTCTTTCTCTGCTCTGTGCCCTCCTCAATCCCCAGCTTGAGTCTTGGCTATGCCTATTACTGGGGGCCTTCCCAACCAGTTGCTATTCAAGTTTTTCCAAAGAAAACAGTTCTGGAAACAGGGCTCTCTGAGTTCTCCTTCCATGGTGTTATAAAATATTTAGTCTCCCTAGAATGGGTGGTGGTGATTGTCTCAGATCCTGAAAGTTAGGCCTGCCCTCTGTTGAAAGCTAAACTTCCAAGCAGTGCCAGCTTGGAGTTTTTCACGGAAACAAATTGATCCAGCCTCCTCCACATAGTTTTTTTTTTAGATCAATAATAGTATGCTTGAAGTATCTACTGTTTTCTAAATGTCAGGCTGGCACTATGGCTTACTAAATAGGCTAGTGGATCAAAAGCCAGGTTTTTTTTTTTTTTTTGAGATGGAGTCTTGCTCCGTCACCCAGGCTGGAGTGCAGTGGCGCAATCTTGGCTCACTGCAATCTCCGCTTCCCGGGTTCAAGCAATTTTCCTGTCTCAGCCGCCCTAGTAGCTGGGACAACAGGCACACAACACCATGCCTGGCTAATTTTTTGTATTTTTAGGAGAAACAGGATGTCACCATATTGGTCAGGCTGGTCTCGAACTCCTGACCTCAGGTGATCCTCCCACCTTGGCCTCCCAAAGTGCTGGGATTACAAGTGTGAGCCACCGCGCCCAGCCTCAAAAGCCAGGTTTTTAGCCCCTCCTCCCACACTGCCTAGCAGCTGTGTGGCTCTGGGCCAGTGCCTACCTTTCTTTGGACCTCAGTTTCCCCAGCTGTATGTTGCAAGGTTCGAATCGAGTGATCTCTGACGTCTTTTTCAGGTCTGACAGTTTGGGATTCTGGACTGTTTATTTTCTTAGAGGACAAGTTGAAGTTCAGAAGGGAGAAGCCATATGAGATTCTAGGATGCATGGGTTGAAATAATGAGAAAATGTAAAAAGAGGAATGGCCATGCTAAGGAGCTGGTGTGTCAGCCCATGTGCCTAAGAAGGAGAGATGAGTTGGGGCTGGAGAGTATTTGCCCTGGGGGTATGGTTTGGCTAAGGTGATTTTGAAAGTAAGAACTGAAGTTAGGTTCAGACACTAAGCAGATGGTTTTCTTCCTGACTTTCACGTGTGGAGAGAAAAACAAGAGGGGTTTACCTGGGCCTGAGGTTGAACAAAAGGCCATGCAATTACGGCTGGATTAACGAAGAAACTAACTTGCTAAAGTGACATCACTGTTTCTGATTTTTTTCTTTCAATTTTCACCTCTGACCTGAACTCTGCTCCCACAGGGACAAGGTGGTTATATTTCCATTGCTAACCCTCACACATATGGTAATTGGAGGAGTAACTCTCAGTTTCCAGTGTGCCCTTGTCTTCCAGTTGAAATGCTTCTTGAGGAGCTTCGGATGACAGGGCTGGGTCAAAACAAATGAAAGGGGACCCTTGTCTCTGACGCCCTCTGGAGCAGTTGGAGTGGTTGAAGAAATACTGCTAACCCATTAAGGTGTGAGTGAGGTTGGGTGTTGTTCTCCTTTCTAGAAGCTACTGGGAAAAGGCACAGGCATAGGAAAGGTTAACCCCAGTCAGGTTTTATGGGCTGTATTGAGAGTCTGGAAGAGGTCCTAGCAGATAACTGTACCAGTTACCACTTCCAAGTCAACAGGGAAGAGGCTGACTTGCTGAGAAGTGAGTTAGTCAGTGAAGGAAGAGGAGGAGGAGCAGAATGGCCCCTAGGCTAAAGATTCAAAGCAAACCTTGTTTTCCCTCTTATGGAAAAAAGCTAGTTGAGACAGTGCTGTCATCCAGAGAGGCAAAACAGACCAGGACCTGCCCTGCCCTGCCTTGGCCCCACTCTTAGTAGCAGGAAATGGTGGGAACTGGAGCCTAAACAATGGAGTTTAGCTTCCGACCTGATGAAGGCAGTGTGAGTGACGCTGTGATGACTATTCTCTGGCCAAGGAAGATACTAGAACTCTGGGATTGCGTTGGTAGGGCACATCCTTCTTCTGGCTCCCCTGCCCCACTTATACTTGCCTTCTTCTCTACACCAGCAGCCCCACTGAAAGCCCAGCAGGGGTGGCCCCCTGGGGAGGTGGCAGGTGGAAATGAGGTCATTGAGCTCAGACCCAACTGGGCTGACTCACAACCTCTGCCCCAGTGAGACAAGGGGACCTTCCCAAGCAGTGCTTCCCAGATGTGCCCAGGCTTCCTATGCCAGAATGTTTGAGTCTTAGCCAAAATAGTTGCCAAGCCAGTGTCTGAAGACAACATGACAGGAGAGGTGGGTGGAGTTGTGGAAGGAGCTCCAGGAATGTCCAGAAGACCCGCCTCCACTACTTGTTGGCTGAGTAAATGTGACCTCAGTGATGTTAAGTGAGACTGTGTGTGATGAGGCCGACACATTGTTGGCATTCAGTAAGTGTTCATTTCCATCCTTCTGTCACCTGCCTCTATGCACTTCAGTTTTCTCATCTATGAAGTGGGGATGGTAATGTTCATCCCCTCAGCTCGGAGGTCCATGCTCCAGGCAAGTTACTTGTAATTATTTGACTTACTCTCTGCTTTTCTCTCTGACTCTTCCAAACTTCTCTCCAGGAAAGAGCCATCTTATAGTTCAGTGACATGGGGTAGGTGAGGGGAAACCATTGCTAATCCCTTTTGCTGTAGCTGGGCTACAGCTCACCTGGGTGCTTCTGATGATAGGCAAAGAGAGGGTTGCTTATTTGAAACTGGCAGGCCCAGACACCAAAGTACCTCTCAGCTGCTGGTGCCAAGACAGAGGTAGCATCTGGCCTGGTTACTTTTGTGTCTCAGCCCAGCTAACTGGAGACATGAGAGAGAACCCAGTTTGTTGAAGGCTTTGGACAGTGTACCACCGAGATGAGTTTGTTTGTGCTTAGTGAAGTGCTTGGTGTGGGAAGCGTCTATGTTGAATTGCTCAGTAAATAACAGTGGGCTTATTGTTCTTGGGCAACAGGTGGGAGGGCCAGTGCATGTGAGAGGATGACACTCCTCCTTCCCCAAACACACATGCAGACATTTTGTTATTGTTCCTTCAAACCTTAATGTTCTTCTGAGACACAGTCTTTAACCTCATGCTGTGCCTAGATCCTCAGGGCCTGGCTTAGGCAGGGATCTAGGCATATAAACAGTTCTCTTCTGGGGACTACATCTTGAAATGCTACCCCATCCGGGTCAGCTCCTGTATTCCTGTCAAACTGAAGGACTGGCTGGGAATTTTCTGCCAACTTTGGAAACTTCATTTTTAGGTTCTTTCCTCCCAAACAAGACCACTGTCTTCTCTTTAGGGAGAGAGCAGCGTCTAGGCCCGAAAAGAAGACCATGGGTGCCTACTAAGGGTGAGCATCCAGTGGGCCCTCTGTGGCAGTGGGTCTGGGCCTGCAGCCCATCTTGCACTCTTGAATCCCTGATTAATCTAAGAGAGAACAAAGGGACCTTCTTTGATCAGGACTTCTATCCTATCTATCACTTTCAGGCCCCAGCTGTTACTACCCTTACTCCCTGCTACCTCTGACACGTACACAGAAAACAGGAGAGCATAGACCAATGGCCTTGTCCTCATGACTTAGTTTTTTTCTAATTTTTAATTTTAAAATTTTTATTATTTTTTAACTTGATTTTTTTTTTTAAATAGAGATGGTCTTGCTATATTGCCCAGGATGATCTCTAGCTTCTGGCTTCAAGCTGTCCTCCCACCTTGGTCTCCCAAAGTGTTGGGATTTACAGGTGTGAGCTGCTGTACCCAGCCTAATTTTGATTTTTTTAACCTGACACATCATAATAAATGCATACATAAATTGTACATATTTATGGGGTACATAGCAGTGTTTTGATATATACAATATATAGTGATCAGATCAGAGTAATTAGCATACTCACCATCTCAAACATTTATCATTTCTTTTTGTGAGACAGGGTCTCACTATGTTGCCCAGGCTGGAGTGCAGTGGCATGATCTTGGCTCACTGCAACCTCTGCCTCCCAGGTTTAAGCGATTCTCCTGCTTCAGCCTCCCGAGTAGCTGGGATTACAGGTGTGTGCCACCATGCCCAGCTAATTTTTGTATTTTTAGTAGAGATGGGGTTTTGCCATGTTGGCCAAGCTGGTCTTGAACTCCTGACCTCAGGTGATCCGCCCACATTGGCCTCTCAAAGTGCGGGGATTACAGGTGTGAGCCACCGTGCTTGGCGGGGTGTTTAACTTTCTGTGCCTGGCTTATTTCACTTAACATAATGTCCTTCAGGCTCATCCATGTTGCTGCAAATGACAGGATTTTTATTTATTTATTTATTTATTTTGAGACGGAGTCTTGCTCTGTTGCCCAGGCTGGAGTGCAGTGGCATGATCTTGGCTCACTGCAACCTCCGCCTCTCGGGTTCAAGAGATTCTCCTGCCTCAGCCTCCTGAGTAGCTGGGATTACAGGCACACGCCATCACACCTGGCTAATTTTTGTAGTTTTAGTAGAGACGGGGTTTTGCTGTGTTGGCCAGGCTGGTCTTGAACTCCTGACTTCAGGTGATCTGCCCATCTCAGCCACCCAAAGTGTTGGGATTACAGGCATGAGCCACTGTGCCTGGCCAGGATTTCATTTTTTATGGCTGAATAATATTCCATTATGTATATATGCCACATTTTCCTTATCCATTCATCTGGTTTTGGACACTTGGGTTGATTCCATATCTTGGCTATTGTGATGTAGTGATGCAGTAAACACGAGGGTGCAGATATCTCTTGGATATACTGATTTTTTTTCCTTTGGATAAATAAATGGCTAGTAGTGGGATTGCTGGATCATATGGTAGTCCTATTTTTAGTTTTCTGAGAAACCTCCATACTGTTGTCCACAGTGGTTGTACTGGTTTACAGTGCTGCTAACAGGACTCACATTTGCTTCTGAGTTAAGTGGAGACAGGAATGGGAATTCTTTTGTGTTTGTTTTTCTTTCCAACTTTTTAAAAACCCAAAATTATTTATCTCCACATTGAAGTTCAGGAAACCTCAGGCTGCTATCCCTGGGGAAGAAGCCATAGTGGAATGGCAGAAACCCTGAGTAGAGATTCAGAAAAAACAGGTTCTGGTTGGGTTTCAGCTCACACCTTCTGATTTTAGTAGAGCCCTTTTACCAGGGTGATCCTCTACGAGGGAGGAAGCATGGCCAACCCTAGCCTCTCTGACATGCTTATTCATCACTCAGGATGGGCCCTTCTTTACCAATTGATTTATTTAATAAATATTTGTTTAACGAATATTTGATTACGTACTTTGGGCCAGCACTGGGCTTCACCCTTGATCAGTGCCCTGAAGACGCTGGATTGGCATGACCTACAATTGACATGATCTGTTCGAGACACTGGCTTGCTTCCTTTGAAAATTATTTCCAATATTGTGAATTAAAGGGAACTCCTAGGCTTTAGGATATGTCCCTGGAATCCCACCCCCCCTTAGTTTCCTTCCTGGGTGTTTTCTTCCAAAAAGCCTGGTTCTGATTGTGCCCCACCCTGCCCAGAACCTCTAGACTGGCTGGCCACTGCCAACAGGATTAAGGCCCAACCTTCTAGCATAGCCTTCAATGCCCTCCACTTATCTTCCTAGACTCTGCCCTCTCTTCACTTTGCAGGCCTCATTCACCCTGGAGTAGGACTGACTTCTAAAGGGACCATCTGCATCCTTGCCTCCTTCTGGGCCATCATACATGTTGTTTTCTCTACCTGGGACATTTGAGTGCTCTTGTGCCTACCCTCACAGTCTTTCTTTTCCACAATCCAGCTTATTCTTTGGAAATCAGTGCAAACACTACTTTGAACTGTGGTTCCTAATTTCCACGAAAGGTTTTCTCTGTTCTTCTATTATGGCACTTTTCAGGGTCTCCCTTGTACATTTTAGTTTTTGTGTTTTTCAGTAAGTGCCTTGAGATCAGGGACCGGTTCTACTGGTCTGTTCCAACCATAGTTCCTTAAACATTGTGTTCCATTAATATTGGGTGAATTGAAATGAATTTATAGGAAGCTCCTTAACCTGGGGTCCTCAGACCTCTATGGGGTCCATGGACAGAATTTGAAGTGGGAAGGATATATGAACTTGGATGGAGGAAAATTACTTATTTGTTTTTTACCAACCTCTCCTTTGTAATTTAGCCATTTGTTCAATTATAATGTAGGCAAATAAAAATAAAAATAAAAATAAAATAAAGGCAGCAATAATAGCAGTACCCATGACCTTGTTACCAACTCTTAGGCTGTGGAGTGTTTTCCTGGATTCTACCCTTTTTTTAAGGTTTCTTAATAATAGAAGTTTATACAGAAACTATCTAATGTACTTTTTTTTTTAGATGAAGTCTTGCTCTGTCACCCAGGCTGGAGTGCAGTGACGTGATCTCGGCTCACTGCAGCCTCTGCCTCCTGGGTTCAAGCGATTCTCCTGCCTCAGCCTCCAGAGTAGCTGGGACTACAGGCGTGCACCACCATGCCTGGCTAATTTTTGTATTATTATTATTTTTTTGAGATGGAGTTTTGCTCTTTTTGCCCAGGCTGGAGTGCAGTGACGTGATCTTGGCTCACTGCAGCCTCTGCCTCCTGGGTTCAAGCGATTCTCCTGCCTCAGCCTCCAGAGTAGCTGGGACTACAGGCGTGCACCACCATGCCCGGCTAATTTTTGTATTATTATTATTTTTTTGAGATGGAGTTTTGCTCTTTTTGCCCAGGCTGGAGTGCAATGACGCGATGTCAACTTGCTGCAACCTCCGCCTCCCAGGTTCAAGGGATTCTCCGACCTCAGCCTCCCAAGTAGCTGGGATTATAGGCATGCTCCACCACGCCCAGCTAATTTTTTTGTATTTTTAGTAGAGGTGGGGTTTCACCATGTTGGTCAGCTGGTCTTGAACTCCAGACATCAGGTGATCCACCTGCCTCGGCCTCCCAAAGTGCTGGGATTACAGGCGTGAGCCACCGCGCCTGGCCTAATTTTTGTATTTTTAGTAGAGATGGGGTTTCACCATGTTGGCCAGGCTGGTCTCGAACTCCTGACCTCAAGTAATTCGCCCGCCTTGGCCTCCCAAAGTGCTGGGATTACAGGCGTGAGACACCATACCCGGCCCCTAACATACATATTTTTATATCACAATTAGTTATTGTATATTTCTCAAAATATTATTTATGCTCAATACACGTTTGAAATTACAGTGGCAATAACTAACTAATAAGACCTAGTGCTCGGTAATTACTTAATATGATAATAAGCACATATTATTAAATTTTGATTTATATTTCAAATATTTCGATATAATTTTGTTATATTGTATCTACTTTATTTCATGCATTTACAAATATTCTAAGAAGGGGTCCATAGGCTTCACTAGACAGGCAAGAATGATTCGTGGCACAAAAAAGTCAAGATGTCAAATTTCCCCATCTTTGTATGTGTATATTATGCTGTATCTATCTCCAATATCCCTTGTTTGGTACCCATTCATTTAGCCAACATCTTGCATGAGTACCCATTGAATCTTGAGTACTGGAAAGGTAATTCTAAGTAAGACGTAAACTTTGAGTTGAGAATGAAGTCTATTATTCTAAAAAGCCCACTGCCCCCTTTCTATTCTCTCCTGTCCCTTCAGTCATTGGTGTTTTGAGGTCACCCTTGACCCAGCTCAAGGGTGATTTGAGGCTGGATATAGTATGGTGCCCCTCAAATTCCAGTCCAATGGCCCCATCCTACTTTATGACGGCCCATTCTGTAGGGGTCACTGACTTGGCAGGAAGCCTAGGGTAGGACCAAATCAAAGTGGCTAACCTTGCCTTACTCCCACTGGGGTACTTGCCTTACTTGTTCCTGCCTTCAGGGCCTTTCCTGTCCCATTGTCAATCCTAAAATAGATTTCCTCCTTGGCTCCCTAGCGAGATTTATTTACAAAGTTGTTTTCTGGGCCTGATCCTCATCGTAATTGTTTATCTGGCAAAATAGCTGCCTGGCCCCCTCTTCCCTGCTCCTGACCCGTGTGTTCAGGAAAGTCCTAGAGGTTCAAAGACTGATAAGGTTTAATGTCTTACTCACTCCATGGAAATTTGCATCTTTGGCAATACTATATCTAGTGCTTTCCCTCAATACTATAAGCAGTATGTGACCAACTTAGAAAATGTAGATTAGATTTTTTTTTTTTTTTTTTAGTTTAAAGAAAGGAGAAAGCACCCATAAGATCACCACCCCAAAACCAAGCCTGACTAATACTTGGACAAGATTCCAATCATCCTTCTATGTATACATTTTACAAAGTTGAGCTCACGGACTCTATGAAATACTGTTTACATTTCCTCAATATTACTAAAGTGTCTTCCGTGAGCATGAAATAGTCTTCATAAAGATTTTGTATGACCATATAAGAAGCCATTTTGTGGCTGTACTATATACATTATTTAAGCAAAATATCTAACAACTAAAAATCAATCTTTTTTTTCTTTTAATGGGAGACTTTTGTACTCTGTAAGAGGAATTTAGCATATTGGTTTACATTGTGAGGTTTGGATTTAGACCTGGATTCAAACCCTGTCTCCCCTGCTTAATAGCAATGTGACTTTAGACAAATACCTATTTCTTTATCTCCAATGTGGAGATAATACTCTACTTCACAGGGTGATTATTGATATTAAATGAGGTAGTACATATGAAGTGCCTGGTGAGTAGCAAGTCTTGATACAGGAAAGCTGCTGCCTGTTACTATTACTACTGCTACCATTACTACTGAGTTTTCAGCCAAAGGACTAAATCTCTAATTATGAAATTTCAGCTATCATTGACCTAGCTTCGAGGATCTATTTGTAAAGGTGGTATTTTTTCTAGTGCCCGTGAAATCATGTGTGTGGCTGTCTCTTATTTTGGTCTGGGCCTGTTTCTGCACCTTTGTCCTCCCACTGAGTTGGCTTTGGTAGCCCCTCTATGCCACCCATACCCACCTCTACTGAGGCCCCCTTCCCCTCTTGAGCCTAAGGAAGCCAATGAGACATAAATATAGGAAGCATTAGCAATGCAAGGCAGTATATAGAACCACCGACATCAGCACTGAAATGGTCTTTGGACCATTTATCTAGTTTAATTGGCTGCCCTCCATCCCATTCCTGCCTTTGCACAGGTAAGGGAAACTAAGGCCCAGGAAAAGGACAGGAGTTATCCAAGGTTGTAGATTTGACCAGCTACATGCTAGGCTTGGAATCCAGTGTTCTTCTTTGTTTTTAATTTTTATTTTAAGTTCAGGGGTACATGTGCAGGTTTGTCATAAGGTAAACTCATGTCATGGGGGTTCATTGTACAGATCATTTTATCACCCAGGTATTAAGCCTAGTACCCATTAGTTATTAAAATATTTTTTCCTGATCATCTCCCTCCTCCCACCCTCCACCTTCTATGTGTCTGTGTGTTCTCATCATTTAATTCCCACTTATAAGTGAGAACATGTGGTATTCTACAACCTCTGCCTCCCGGGTTAAAGCGATTCTCGTGCCTCAGCCACCAAAGTAGCTGGGATTACAGGTGTGCACCACCTTGCCTGGCTAATTTTTGTGTTTTTAGTAGAGATGGGGTTTCGCTATATTGTCCAGGCTGGTCTTGAACTCCTGGCCTCAAGGGATGCGTCCATCTTGGCCTCCCAAAGTGCTGGGATTACAGGTGTGAGCTACCATGCCCAGTCTGGCATTTGATTTTCTGTTCCTGCATTAGTTTGCTAAGGATAATGACCTCCACTCCATTCATGTTCCTGCAAAGGACATGATCTTGTTGTTTTTTATGGCTGCATACTAACATACATTTTCTTTATCCAGTCTACCATTGACTGGCATTTAGGTTGATTCCATGTCATTGCTATTGTGAATAGTGCTTCAATGCACATGCGCGTTTATGTATTTTTATGATAGAATGATTTATATTCCTTTGGATATATACCCCATAATGATATTGCTGGGTTGAATGGTAGTTTTGTTTTCAGGTCTTTGAGAAATTGCCACACTGTTTTCTACCATGGTTGAACTAATTTACACTCCCACCAACAGTGTATAAAGGTTCCCTTTTCTTTGCAATCTCACTAGCATCTGTTATTATTTTTTTTTGATTTTTTAATAATAGCTATTCTGACTTGTGTGAGATGGTATCTCATTGTGGTTTTGATTTGCATTTCTCTAATGATGTAAATTTTTTATATATGCTTCTTGGCCACATGTATGTCTTCTTTTGAAAAGTGTCTCTTCATATCCTTTGCTCACATTTTAATGGGGTTGTTTTTTTTCTTGTAAATTTGTTAAAGTTCCTTATAGATGCTGGATATTAGACCTTTGTAAGTTGCATAGTTTGCAAATATTTTCTCTGGTTCCGTAGGTTGCCTGTTAACTCGATAGTTTCTTTTGCTGTGCAGAAGCTCTTTAGTTTAGTTAGATCTCATTTGTCAATTTTTGCTTTTGTTGCAATTGCTTTTGGCGTCTTTGTTATGAAATCTTTGTCCATTCCTATGTTCAGAATGGTATTACGTAGGTTTTCTTTGAGGGTTTTTATAATTTTGAGTTTTACATTACTTTTACATTTAAGTCTTTAATACATATAGAGTTGATTTTTATATGTGAGATAAGGATGGGGTCCAGTTTCAATCTTCTACATATGGCTAACCAGTTATCCCAGCACTGTTTATTGAATTGGGAGTCCTTTTTCCATTGCTTGTTTTTGTCGACTTTGTCAAAGATCAGATGGTTGTAGGTGTGTGGCCTTATTTCTGGGCTCTCTATTCTGCTCCATTGGTCTCTGTGTCTGTTTTTGTACCAGTACAATGCTGTTTTGGTTACTGGAGCCCTCTAGTATCATTTGAAGTTGGGTAGCATGATGCCTCCAGCTTTGTTCTTTTTGCTTAGGATTGCCATGGTTATTCAGGCTGTTTTTTTGTTTCCATATGAATTTTAAAATAGTTTTTCCTAGTTCTGTGAAGAATGTCATTGGTAGTTTGATAGGAATAGCATTGAGTCTATTCTATGAATTGCTTTGGGCAGTATCACCATTTTAACAATATTGATTCTTCCTATTCATGAGCATGGACTGTTTCTCCATTTGTTTGTGTCATATCTGATTTCTTTGAGCAGTGATTTGTAGTTCTTCTTGTAGAGATCTTTCGCTTCCCTAGTTAACAGTATTCCTAGATATTTATTCTTTTGTGGCAGTTCTGAATGGGATTGCCTTCCTGATTTGGCTCTTGGCTTGACTGTTGTTGGTGTATACGAATGCTAGTGACTTTTGTATGTTGATTTTTGTACACTGAGACTTTGCTGAAGTTATTTATCAGATTAAGGAGCTTTTGGGCCGAGACTATTGGATTTTCTAGATATAGGATCATGTCATCTGCAAACAAGGATAGTTTGACTTCCTCTCCTCTTGCTTGGTTGCCCTCTATTTCTTTCTCTGGTCTGATTGCTCTGGCCAGGACTTCTAATACTATGTTGAATATGAGTGGTGAGAGAGGGCATTCTTGTCTTGTGTCGGTTTTAAAAGGGAATGCTTCCAGCTTTGGCGCATTCAGTATGATGTTGGTTGTGGCTTTATCAGATGGCTCTTATTATTTTGAGGTATGCTCCTTCAATACCTAGTTTATTGAGAACTTTTAACATGAAGGGGTGTTAGATTTTATTGAAAGCTTTTTCTGCCCTTTAGATTATCATGTGGAACCCAGTGCTCTTTGTCCTGATATTAATTTGCCTCTGCAATTGTTTACCAGTGCTATAGATAATCCAGGTAGATCAGAGGTGAGAAGAGAACCCTGTGAGATGAAGCTGTCTAGTATAGATGGAAAGGCCTTCCTGGAAGAAGTACAGTTATCATTTGCCTGCTCTTAGTTGTAGGCTGATCTGCATTCTTTTTTAAAAATTTTTTTGAGACAAAGTCTCGCTCTGTTGCCCAGGTTGGAGTGCAGTGGTGTGATCTCGGCTCACTGCAACCTCTACCTTCTGGGTTCCAGTGATTCTCATACCCCAGCCTCCCAAGTAGCTTGAACTACAGGTGTGCACCACCATGCCCGGATAATTTTTGTATTTTTAGTAGAGATGGGGTTTTGCCATGTTACCCAGGCTGGTCTCGAACTCCTGGCCTCAAGCAATCCACCCACCTCGGCCTCCCAAAGTGCTGGGATTACAGGCATGAGGCATTGCACCCGGCCTTCATGCTTGTCTGTTCTTTGGTAAGTATTGCTCTGTGGCTGTGTTGTTTGTCTTCAATAAGCTGCTTGGGAGCAGGGGTTGTGTTTGGGTCAATATTCTCCCTTCATCCCCATCAGTATCTAAGTTGCCCAGGCTCTTAGCATCCTAACTCCTTCCTCTGTGGTTGAGCAGAGACACTTGTCTCAGGCTCTGTTGAACACAGAGCCAGATGACTAACCTGCTTCCTTTGATCTCATCCTAGATCAGTGTGCGTGTGACCACCATGGATGCAGAGCTGGAGTTTGCCATCCAGCCCAACACCACCGGGAAGCAGCTATTTGACCAGGTAAGGCGGAGACTCCTTAGCCTCCTCTCCTTCTCTGAATAGCTTCCACCACAATGCCAACAATCCATGACTTTTGCCTCTTGTCAAAGAATCTCTCTTCCTGTTCACTCCAAGATAGATCAAAATGAAGGCTGATTCCAGACTTAATATGAAAGGAGGCAAAGTTAAACTTTGGCAGCCTGCACCCTATGGTCCTGATTAATTTTATCTTTGGTCCTGAATAAGGGAGAAAAGAAAATGGTGTATATTCTATGCTAGATGCTTTAAAAATCTTAGCATATGGAGCCTTCCTTTTAACTCTGAAACATGTAAGTGATGTCTTCTCCATTTTAATGATGAGGCTCAGAAGTTAAATAACTTAATTGCACCCAAATGATATTTGGCTGGGATTTGCACTCCACATTGTTGCCACTGCACCACACTGCCTCTGTCCCATGTTTTTGCTTCCTAGTAGAAGGAAACTAACTTACTCTCCCTGAGGTAGTAAGCTCTATGCACATTTCTCTCAAAAGAATGTTGGGACTTAGGACAACATGGGAGTTGATGGATGCAGTAGGAGGCTGCTTCATCTCCTACAGGCATGCCATGAAGATAATTGCTTACTCGCCATAGTGAAGAGGTCATTCCCATCTCCAACCCAAGGGGTGTCCCTTCATTGTGAATCATTATTGTCAGAAAGGATGTACTGTATACTATAATAAACAGATGGCAGCTACAGACATTTTTAGCATTCAAGGGAATGTGCCGTCTGTGGCCAGACTTCTAGGAGCAAAAATGAGGCTCCCATTTCCAGAGGCTGGGACCTCACCAGACAGGCCATTATCCTATTTCTCCACCAGACTCCGATGAAGTGGAGGTCTGAGTTATTGTCCAGGATGTTAGGCTGCATATCACCCTGATGGATTCTCCAGGCCCTCTTGCTTCCCTTTCTTCCTTGCTCTCTGTGTCCTTCTACCATATGAGAACTTCCCCAGGGTTGGAGAGAGGAAGAAAAAAAGAAGGAGGTAGTGTTCAAATAAGCTAATTCTATTCCTGTGAATACTTCTGACTGGTGAGAGAAAAGACAAGAGTAGAATGGAGACAGGGGTAGGAGAGGGCTAGAAATTTGAGGACAGCTTGGGTACACCTTCTGAGTTCTTATTACATAGAGTGGGAAAATTATTGTCTGTGGCTAATACAGATGAGAGTTAACATTTATCCAGGACTCAGTGTATGCTAAGTATTATGATAAGCATTTGACTATCACAAAGCTCTGTGAGTGCATGAATTAGTATGGGCATGTTTTACAGATGAGGACACAAAATCCTCATTTTCCTAGTTAGACCCTGGGAAAATTATTGAACTCTCTGGGTTGGTATCTTCATCCCCTCCCCCCGAGAAATATCTAATACTTACCTCACAGGATTTTTGTGAGTGTGTTATGTTTTGTATCTTACCTGTTACTCAAAAATCTGATTATAGTGGCATATAAGGATGTCCAATCCAAAAAGATAAATTCGAAATAGGTGAGAAAGATAAGAAAACACAAATAGGAAAGAAAGTGTTAGCTGGAAGAAAGCATCCAGCATATGGTAGAGAAGTAATAAATGATAGCTCCCTTTCCAATACCATTGTGCTTCTTGTATTATTAATTGAGCTGGAGTTGACGTGATGTGGTGGCTCATGTCTGTAATCCTAACACTGAGATGGGAGGATTGCTTGAGCCCAGGGGCTCGAGACCAGCCTGGGTAACACAGCGAGACCCTGTCTCTACAAAAAATTTAAAAATTAGCATGGCATGGTGGTGCACACCTATAGTCCCAGCTACTCAGGAGATTGTGCCAGGAGGGTTGCTCAAGCCCAGGAGTTCAAGGTTACAGTGAGCTATGATCACGCCACTGTACTCCAGCCTAGGTGACAGAGCAAGACTCTGTCTCTAAAAAAAAAAAAAAAAAGTAAAGAAAAATAATCTAGAATTGGGAGAATTGGGAGATGGGCTTAATGATCCTCAGAATATCTAACTTCAGATTTAGGTGGAACTTACTTCTCTGGAGTTTGTTTTGTGTTTGTTTTACTTTGAATGGCAAAGTGTAATCATTGATACTTAATTGGTGAAAATACAAATTAGTCTGAGGAATATTTAAATACAAGTTTACTACAATTAAAGTGATGTGCTTACATTCACATAGCTCACAAGTGATTATGGTGCTAGTCTGGAATGACTAAATGCATTCTAATTATAATTGTGCTTTGCATTCTCTCTTCACATGGAGGTTATATTGGAGAACTTTTAAAGGGACAGCCTAGTGAAGTCAAAAGGGCCTGGATAGAAAGTCATGAATCTTGGGCTGTAGGGTTGGCTCTATCACTAATTCGCTGTGATACAAACGTTTCCCTTATTTGGGCCTCAGTTTCTCATCTGTACAATGCCTAACTTGTTTCTCAAATCTGGTTATCTCTCAGAAAATTTATCTCTGGCATTTATTTGTGCATTCCATCTCTCTTTCTCTCCCATTTCTGTTCCTAGTATTGGGATTTCAGACAATCCTTTTCTGTAAAAAGGAGAGAAATGCCTCACCTGAGTATGATCAGCTGCTGGCATATGTGAGGAGGTAGGGCTAGCTGGCAGGGGGATCATCTCTTCCTTGACAGGCTTTTTACTGTCTCTAAGACAAAAGGGAGGAAGTGTCCATAGAACACATAGGCTTTTGGGCCCTTTGCTTTAGACAGCAGTATCATTCTGGGTAGCAGCTATTAGAGAGGGAAGCGGTTAGTCAGTGCAGATTTTACAGACCAGCTGGGAGCCAGAGGCTCCTTTGACATTTACCTATACTCCTTCCAAGAGCCCTGATTCTACTAATTCCCCATCCCAAACCAGATGACGCCATCCTCTACCCTCAACACTGGGGGCTTTGTATATGTGCATTGCAGGGGGATGGCTGTGGAGGATGAGGAAGGCATGATTTGGAGCCTAGTGGGGGCAGAAAAATTCTTGAACAAAGAGGTTTATTAACTTCAAAAAACCTCAATGCCTGGTAGTTTTTTGTTAGTGTTGGTTTGGTTTGTGTGCTGTGGGTGTGGATTTGAGGGAAGTCCAGATAGTAGGGAACCCCAGATAGTAGGGAACCCTGGGCAGATTGGTATGCTAGTTCTGAATGCTACTGCTTCCAAAACAAAGCCTTTGGGAGACTTGGAAACCAAGAAGTCCATGACTTCTCATCATTGTTATCTTGAGAAGTATCATTTATTGAGCACATACTATGGCCTATTCCTGGCTAGGCGCTTTAATCCTCACAATGCTCCTGCCTCTGTGAGGTGAAAGAACATACTCTAGGTCATGTAGTTAGTAAGTTGTGATATGGAATTTTGAATACAACTCTGATCACAAAACTATACTTTTCCTGCACTGCACTACTCTGTTTGGGGTGATTGGGAGTATTCAACTTAGAGAAGACTCAAGGAAGATATGCTTTCTGTCTTCAGACCTCTGAAGGACTATCATAAGAAGGAGGGGGGCAGTCACATTCTGTGAGTCAGAGGGACAGAGGTGGACCCCACAGGTGAGAAAATACAGGGAAAAAGATTTGAACTCAAGGAATTGAGCATTTGGCCCTCTTGAGGCCAAGGCAGGTCAGGTCAGGAATCAGTAGAGTTATGTGTTCATAGGCATTTGGGGGATGTGAGCTCTTCTCTCTCTAACTTGATGAGGCATAAGGGAGGAAGTCCGTTCTGTCTGGCTCTTGGGACCCATCATTCAAGGAGGCCCTCCTGGTAGAGCCTGGGCCTGGGAGGAAGGAGCTAGACTCCTTGGCAGGAATTGGCAAAAGCTTTATGGCCATCCTGGAACGCAGCAGTCATCTGGCCAATGACCAGAGAGGAAGCCAACCAGAGAGGAAGTACTCCTTGGCACCAGCAATAAATAATAGGCAACAATGGGATGCCATAGCTTGAGGAAGTCTAGGGCCTGGTGGGAAAGGGAAGTAGGACTCATAGTTTGTCTCATTTACCTCTCTTCTTGTGAGTGTGCTACAGCTAGAGGGGAGAGAGAACATGTTTTGCTATAGTGATTTTGTCACTTGCTTCAACTTCTAAAGCTTTTGATCTTGGATTACCTAGGTGCCACTAAAGGGCTGTGCTCAAGGACAGAGGTGAAATCTCAAAGCATCGATTCATTCATCTATTTACTGATTCATTTAATATTGACTGAAGGTCTACACTGTCGAACACCATCTCTGTTCTTCAGGAACTTGGAGTTCCTTACCTATAAAAGCATAGAAAGGCACATGCAACTCTCTACCCACAAAGAAAGAAATAAACGCCCTTGAGGTCAGGTTCCATGGGGTGATATATAAAGCATAGGATTTAGAACCAGCCCTGAGTTCAAATTCTGTCCTGTTACTTCGCTGTGTGACCTTGGATGGCTCATTTAGCCTCTCAGTACTTTCCTTTCCTTTGTAAAATGATAATCATGCTAATCTCAGATTTTGTGATTTAATCCTCAAATAAGTAAAATGCCTGGTGCATACCAAGCATTCTAATATTGGTGGTTCTTATTAAGGACTAAAGTAGGTGGCATTGCCCTGAGAGTTCAGATGAGGGAGCTATGAAATCAGGAAGTTCTTCTGGCTCAGTAAAGTACTTAGGACTTGAATACTCTGCAATAAGGACAGTAAACCTTTTTTTTTTTCATTTTATAAAATAACTAACATATATTATAGTAGGAGGATCTCCATCTTACAGATGAGGAACTGAGGCTTACAGAGGTGAAATTATCTGTTTAAGGTCATATAGCTAGGAAGTGGTATAGCTGGGGCTTAAACCAGGGCACATAGCATTTCCAGTTTTTCTAATGCTTTTGATCAACTGTCCTCTGGAACCTTCTTCCACTTTACCTGCTTCCAAAACTTAGAACCCTAGCTAGGTTGGGCATGGTGGCTCATGCCTGTAATCCTAGTGCTTTGGGAGTCCAAGGTGAGAGGATCACTTGAGGCTAGGAGCTTCAGACCAGCCTGGGCAACATAGCGAGACCCCATCTCTACAAAAACTTAAAAATTAGCTGGGCATGGTGGTGCATGCCTGTAGTCCTAGCTACTTGGGTGGCTGGGGCTGGAGAATCACTTGAGTCCAGGAGTTCAAGGTTACAGTGAGCTATGATTGCACCACTGCACTCCAGCTTGGTTAACAGCAAGACCCTATCTCTAAACAAACAAACAAAAAACGATAAAAGAAAGAAACTTAGAACCTCAGCTGAGTATGTTCTCTGTTATAGAGCAGGTGACCACTTGACCACAGGCAATGTGTAATAACAGAAACAGCAATAGTGGTAGCCCATCTTGGTGCTTTCCAGTGGTGCAATAATTTGCTTTCAGGTGGGTGGCTGATGCAGATGCTGCCAAATCTGTAATGGTATCTTGGGGGTCTCAGGTGTTTGGGCATTGATGCAGTTTTGCACATTGTTTCTCACACAGTTCTTCTCTTGTGGCTCCAGCATTACTCCCTCATTCTCCTCTAGGCGTGCACGCTCGTGTGTGTGTGTGTGTGTGTGTGTGTGTGTGTGTGTGTTTGGAGACAAGGTCTCGCTCCGTCACCCAGGCTGGAGTGCAGTGGTGTGATCTCACTGCAACCTTCGCACCCCACAGTCTCAAGTGATCCTCCCACTTCAGCCTTCCAAGTAGCTGGGACCACAGGTGCCCACACCAGCTATCTTTTTGTATTTTTAGTAGAGATGGGGTCTCACCATGTTGCCTGGGCTGGTCTCGAACTCCTGAGCTCAAAAGATCTGCCCCGCCCCAGCCTCCCAAAATGCTGGGATTACAGGATGAGCCACTGCGCCCGGCCATGCTCTGGGCTTTTGAAGTGGCTGATGACATCACTAGTTTGTTTACTCAGATAAATGCATGGGGGATTCAAGAAGAGAATTTCTGGGCTTTTGAAGTGGCTGATGACATCACTAGTTTGTTTACTCAGATAAATGCATGGGGGATTCAAGAAGAGAATCTCTGGGCTCCTAAGCTGACCTGATCTCCGCTCCCCTCTACAGACCTCAGATGTAGGTTGCCTCCACATGTCAAAAGGAGGTAAAGGGTTTTTTTTTCTTGCTTCCAGAAGCTCCTGATAATTAACGAGGATGTACTCCAAGGCAGATCTTTTCTTTTCACTGCACCTCAGTTTTCCATTTTATGTTGCTTGAACCCTGTAACTCTCCACAGTCATGGAGCTGAGTAGAATACACAACCTCCAGTTTCTTAAGCTAGTGTCTTAAAAACTGAAGTCCTACTTTCTTTAGGTGTATGGGGCAGGTTCCAGGAGGGATACAAAGCTGTGAGATGAATGTGGTTTAGTATTCTAGAGCATTAATTTTACTTGCAATAATTTTAAAAATTCATTATTTATGGAGTAGAATATAAAATTTGCACAAATAATTAAACCTGAGGCTTCAAAGAAATTATAGCTGGGTTACAGCCATCTACCTATTATCTCCCCCTACCCCATCCTACCACACCCCCTATGTCCCTTGGGTATATGCATTCATTATTTTCTGCTGCTTAAGGATTTTTTCCATGGGAGCTTTGAGAAATACTGGCTCAGATCCGATAAGCTGGCTGTCGGGTCAAAGGGAGCCAATAAAGAATTTTCTTTTTCCTCAGGGATAGGACCATTTCTCAGAGTGGAATGATAAGGACCCTAGTCACTGGAGCCACAGAGGTTATTCCTGGAACTGGAAGCTAGATGCTAAGCTCTCACTTGAAAATAAGGTTTCTCTTTCCTCTGGAATGGAGGTCTCAACTGGAAGCAAAGCTGGAAGCAAGAAAAACTTGGCTTGGAAAAGGGGTTTAGAGTTGCCTGATAAAATGGTTCACAGCACCCCCATGGGCCTTAGAGATTTCCTTGTAGCCTGGGGTCAGGAGTCATCCATTTTTGTTCTTTGTTCTTTTTCAGTTTCAATTCTGATTTCAGACCATATTTCCTTCCCGCCACGTCCTCAATTTCTCACTTTGAGACTTCAGTGCAGGCTGAGAGATATTACTCATCTCTTTAAGCCCTAGAGCCTAAGGAAGTGGAACATTTATGTTTCTGATTTCTTTATGTTCACAAAGGAAGAGACAGTGCTCAGAGAGATCACCCTCCCTCCCCCCAGCACTGAGCCTGAATTCTCTCTTTTTTTTTTTTTGACATCACTTTAGGTATTACTTTGCCCAACTTCTCCTGAGTTACTCTGGATCTCAGAACTACTTTAGTCACCATGATCCTTCTCTCTCTCTCTCTCTTTTTTTTTTTTTTGAGACAGAGTTTCACTCTTGTTGCCCAGGCTGGAGTGCAATGGCGCGATCTCGGCTCACTGCAACCTCTGCTTCCTGGGTTCAAGCGATTCTCCTGCCTCAGTCTCCCAAGTAGCTGGGATTACAGGCATGTGCCACCACACCCAGCTAATTTTCTATTTTTAGTAGAGACGGGGTTTCACCATGTTGGTCAGGCTGGTCTTGAACTCCTGACCTCAGGTGATCCACCTGTCTTGGCCTCCCAAAGTGCTGGCATTATAGGCATGAGCCACCACACCTGGCTAATCCTCCTTCTCTTATCACACCCCTACTCCCACCCAATAGTGAAACAGACAACGTGGTGCAAAAAGAGGCTAACGGTCTCACTCCTGGGATTTCTGGGACTGGCTGCATAGTCTGTGCCTACCTCACTTCCTTTCAGTCTTGGAGTCTCTTAGCCTCTACAATTAGTCTGTTAGTACAGGCAAAGACCAGTTGCTGCTTGTCTGAGTCCATTTTATGTTTGTTTTGTTTTGTTTTTGTTTGTTTGTTTGTTTGTTTGTTTTTGACAGTGTCTTGTTCTGTCACCCATACTGGAGTGCAGTGGTGCAATCTCAGCTCACTGCATCCTCCACCTCCCAGGTTCAAGCTATTCTTCTGCCTCAGCCTCCCGAGTAGCTGGGACTATAGGCACGCACCACCATGCCCGGCTAATTTTTTTGTATTTTTAGTAGAGACCAGGTTTCACCATGTTAGTCAGGATGGTCTCGATCTCCTGACCTCATGATCTGCCCATCTCAGCCTCCCAAAGTGCTGGGATTATAAGCGTGAGCCAACACGCCCAGCCCATTTTATGTTCTTATAATAAAATACCTGGAGCTAGTTACTTTATACAGAAAAGAGGCTTATTTGTCTCCTAATTGTAGTGGCTGTAAAGTCCAAGAGCATGGCACCAGCACCTGCTCAGCCTCTGGTGAGGGCCTTTGTGCTGTTTCATAATGTGACAAAAGGTCAAGTAATTCACAGGGACAGGGGTCCCCATGACTGAAACACCTCTCATTACATACTACCTCTTAATGATTCTACCTCCCAGCACTGCCACACCGGCAATGAAGCATCAACATGAGTTTTGGTGGGGACAAACCACATCCAAACCATAGCACTGCTCTACTACTTCTGTTCCAAGTCTGTTCTCCCCCCATGACCTAATATCCTGGCCCTCATGGTCCATCTTCTTCTCTTCAGCATCTTCAGTGGGTCTTCTCTCTCTCTCTCTTTTTTTTTCTCTCTCTCTCAGCTGGATTGTTTCTTGGATCTTGCCTTTTCCCACCAATTGCATCTGGACACACTATTCTTCTGCAACCCTGTGGAAAATGATTAGAACTGTTAATTGGGCCTTGGGCCCTGTTTAGATCTAGGATGATATACAAGGTGCTTTAAAAAAATCTTTTCTGTTCACGCCCACCCACTACCTTCATCCTCTGCAAAAAGCCAATATTACATTTCAACATAAGCATTCACATTTCTCCATCTGAAACTTTCTGGCAGTTCCAGCTGCCTATTGACTTAGAGTCAGGGAATCAACTGGCCATTGAATTCTGGAAGCCTTTTGAACTTTCCTCATTACCTCCCACCCCCACTGATCTTTTCTAAACATGTTTCTAATTATCCACATCAGCAAGAGGTAGCTGGGAAATGGGATTGTTTTTATTAACCATTTGCAAAATAACCTTGTAATGTAATTAGTACAATGATAGAACTTAAGAGAAAAAAGAGATCATTGAAGCCATACTCCCCAATTTGGATAGATAAGGAAGGCGAGGCCCAGAGAGGAAATATGCTACCTTGATATCATACAGCTAGTTGGAGACAGACATGAACATTTTGCTCAGGTTTCCTGATACTTGATCCAAGCTATGAAGGGGAAGGGTGACCTGGTGAGCAATGAAGGTCGATGACTTGGGGGACATGGCTTCTCCCCAAAGTGGTTGTCGCTTGGGTCTAGTGGGAATGCCAGGAAGCATATCTCGATGCAGAAGTGATCAAAGTTTATTACCTGGATGGGAAATTTGGGCCAAAGGAGAGACAAGGCAATTAATCACTTGAGAAGCTCAGGAGTCGTAAGCTCATATGAGTACTTGGCATTAGGACATAGCATGCTAGAGAAGAAAAGGTACAAGCTCTATAGTCAGACACATCATGGTTCTATATGGCTCTGTAATTTTAGATGCATTACCTCTCTAAGCCTTAGTTCCTCATCTATAATATGGGTATAATTGCTATCTCACAGGGTTGTTTACTGTTCAGCGCCTGACACATGATTGGTGCTTAATAAATATGAGCTACTTTTTTCTTTGGGGTCTCTGAAGCTCTAGATTGTAAACTCTGGGTGTGACTGTGGGGCCTGACTTTGGATGCATAATAGAAACTTTGTGGATACAGTGTTAGTGTGTGTATGTGTGTCTTTGTGAGTGAGTGTGTGTGTGCATGTGTGTGTGTGTATTTTGAAGGGAGATATTAATTTGTTCATAAGGGAAGGACATCAGCAAAACTGGGTCCTTGTTCCCTGCTTCCATCTCCAGGTATATTTCTATGATTCTTTCTCACCTTACCCTTACCCTCCACTTGCATCCTTCTCCCAAAAAACAAAATAAAAAAGACTGCCTAAGGCCAGCCTGACCTCATTAGGATGTGGCTCAGCTTCACTGCTGCCATCGACAGTGGTGGGTATGCTGGGGTTGAGCTGAGGGCCAGACTATTAACATGCTAATGTCAGGGACTAGAGAACAGAGCTCATCTGTGTTCTCTTGGCAAGCCTCCTTTTCCTGCCCACTGTTCAGCCAGGAGGCTCAGGACAACAGGGGGCACCTCAGCTGCTACACTGAGGTACTTACCCTATTTCTACCCTCATTTCCACCCTAAACCTGTGTAAGAGGAATCATGACTTGGCTCTGATCAGGGTTGGAAAAAATCCTCTCAGAACCCAGGCACAGCATGGCTTCAGAGTCCTTCACAATCCCCGTTTTATCTTCTCAAACATTCTTTATTTGGGGTATTGTAAATGGAACTCAGTCTTAAGGGTGTGGGTATTACCCCCAGTTGCTAAGGATGAAGGACAATATATGGGAGTGGCCCAAGAGAACAAGATACAGGAGTTAATCCAACAATCTCCACCTTCAGCCTTTAATCCATCATGGAAGTGGGAAGTGGTGTGACATTGTAGAGGGAAGGAGGAGGTGGCAGAAATCACTGGATATGCATGGATTTGGAGTCAAACAGACCTGGTTTGAACCCTAATTCTGTCACTCACAACCTGAAACTTGGGCAAGTTATTTCATTTATTTGAACCTCATTTTTGATATCTATAAAATGGGCCTAATTGTAAGTCTAGCATAGGGGTATTATGAAAATTAAAGGAGATGATGGATGTAAGGTTCTTGGTATGTGTCAGTGCTCATAAGTAATAGATCCCTTTCCTGCCTCAGCAGTACTTTGTGCAGAGAGATGCCGACATCAGTTCTTGATTGCTGCTCAAGTATATTTTCTTGCCAGATGCTGAGCACCTTAAACCCTTTAAGGGCAGATATAATATTGACTTCAAACTTTGTGTCCTCTGTGCCTCACACAGAGGAAGTATTCAATCAATGGTTGGTTGTTTTGGTTTTCTCTTCTAGGTGGTGAAAACTATTGGCTTGAGGGAAGTTTGGTTCTTTGGTCTGCAGTACCAGGACACTAAAGGTTTCTCCACCTGGCTGAAACTCAATAAGAAGGTAACTGCTTATTCCTCTGTTGGATTTAGAATTCTTTTCTTTTCCAGAACATTCCTGGGAGGGTACCATGTGCTAGTTGGCAAATCCTGGATACCTAGGGCTGTGTTTGTGACTGGGTGGTCTGTTGACCACTTGGATCAGAATAAGGACCGAGGACACAAGCAAGGCAAAGCTCTTGCTCTGTCTCTACTTTGACTTCTAACAGCGACAATGGCCAGCATTCAAAGAAGAAGAGACTCTTTTCTTTCTAATGGGAACACTAGCTTGAACTTTGACTTGTTTTGGATCAAATCCATTAGTGGCTTTTCAAGAGAGGATTGGTATCCCCTTCATCTCTCCAAACTCAATGGCTTTAGGGGATTTGTGTTTTTTTTGTTTGTTTGTTTTTGTTTTGTTTTGTTTTTGACGGAGTCTCGCACTCTCGCCCAGGCTGGAGTGCAGTGGTGCCATCTCGGCTCACTGCAAGCTCCGCCTCCTGGGTTCACGCCATTCTCCTGCTTCAGCCTCTCGAGTAGCTGGGATTACAGGTGCCTGCCACCACGCCCGGCTAATTTTTTGTATTTTTAGTAGAGACGGGGTTTCACCGTTTTAGCCAGGATGGTCTCGATCTCCTGACCTTGTGATCCGCCCGCCTCGGCCTCCCAAAGTGCTGGGATTACAGGCATGAGCTACTGAGCTTGGCTGGGGATTTGTTAAAAAGAGCCACAGATTCTTGAACTAGAAAAAAAAAAATCTGAAAGATCTTACAGTCTTATGCTGCACCTTCTCCAGCAGTCAACTAATGTCTGAACCCCATATAGATGTTTCCCTCTTTCTTGATCTTTTACCTCAGTTGGACCCCAAATGGGATGGTTTGAGTCCATGCAAGCTCTCCACCCCAAGCAGCATCTTCACGGGAACCTGGCAGCCTTCCATCTTCGTATCCTCAAACTGGCTGGCCTTGTCCTTAGAAGTCTCCATACTGTCCTGCAGTTTGCTTCTCTGATTGTGTCTAGGGAGTAGGTACCCCACCTTCTGCTGGTAGAGTCTTGTTTTCCTAAAGAGTTGAGTCTTTTGCTGGACAAGTGTGGAGCCACTAGTATTCCATTTCAGGCTTTAAAAAATGGTCTAATTTGTGCTCTTGTTTAGCCAGTTCTCAGTCCTCAGACATATATCCTAGTCCTTACTTTGCTAATTTATGAAGTTGGAGGAGACTTATAAGACGAGCTTAAAAGAAGAGCTTATGCCTACTATCAGAATTTGGGGATAGTTGGATATAGTCAGATAAAAGTGGTTTGAAGATTTCTGATCATCAGTCGGTATTAAGGTAATTTCAGGAAGAAATTCCCAACAGAAAGTGATTACAGACATGGGATTCAGTCCCCAGTGAAAGTAATGTATTATTTTTCTTAATTACCAGGGGAGTTGCCACCCAGCTGTCTAAGATTATGCAAATTGATGATCTTTCAGTGTTTTCTCCCCACCCTACAGCCACTCCATTACCCTTAAAACCTATTTTTTGAGAGTCCATAACCCTTACTCTTCCCAGGTGACTGCCCAGGATGTGCGGAAGGAAAGCCCCCTGCTCTTTAAGTTCCGTGCCAAGTTCTACCCTGAGGATGTGTCCGAGGAATTGATTCAGGACATCACTCAGCGCCTGTTCTTTCTGCAAGTGAAAGAGGGCATTCTCAATGATGATATTTACTGCCCGCCTGAGACCGCTGTGCTGCTGGCCTCGTATGCTGTCCAGTCTAAGTATGGCGACTTCAATAAGGAAGTGCATAAGTCTGGCTACCTGGCCGGAGACAAGTTGCTCCCGCAGAGGTGAGGTGGTTCCCTGCCCTCCTTTGCCTTGGCCATAAGGGGCTGCAGCCCACAGCTGACCAATCCCTGCCTCACAGGGATGCCAGATCTGTTCTTCTCCATTGGGGTCTGTCTGAAGACTGTGTTATGCTGCTCAAGAGACATTTGCATATAGTGTCAGACTCTGTTGTTGTTTTTCTGGCTTTCCAAATAAAAAGCCTTTTTGTTTTCCCTCTGTCTACCTGGTTACAGAACTTTATTACCCTGGAGGCAGGTGCTTATATAGAACCAGAGATTGAGTAATTTCTTTCACCCATCCCTGGTTCCATTTTCTCAGTTCTTTTTACTGATTTAGATCTCTTATATCAGAAGTTCACAGGGGAGAGAGAGAAATAAGCAAACCGAGGACATGGGGAGCTCAAATAGTCTTTTAATATTGACAGCTAGTGTACAGAGCTTTCCCCTTTTGTAAACTTCAAAGTCAAAAGCTCTAAAACACTCATTATTTTTGTTTTTGTATCACAATAACACACAAAATGAACAAAGCAGGCAATATCCTTATTTCCTGGCGAAGGAAATAGAGGTGCAGAGGTACTCACACTGACTTTCCCCATCTGGTGCAGCTCATCTGAGGCAGAGCCAGAGCCAGACCTGGAAGCTTAGCACCTTAATATTTTAACACTAAGTTTTTTCCTACTATACCCAATGGCCATTTCCATAGTCTTTTGGATTAGAAGGAAAAGCTTTGCTTCATTCTGGGAGCCTCAGTCCCATTGGAGTTATGGCATATATGTACAACACACCCATAAGATATTAGGGATAGTGCTTGTACCCTGGGGACTCTACCTGAGTCATTGCCATGATATCTGAGATGGCATGTTTAAAGCAAACCTTGTTTATAATCTAGTAGGTCTTGGAGGTTGGGCCTGTTGGTTTTTCTGAAAGCCATTAGGACTCAGTTCATTGCTCTGTAGCCAAAGGCCATCCTTTCATTTCTGAGCAGTATTCTTATAAACATAGAGTGTTGGTCCTAAGAGGATCTAGGAGAGAGTGTACCTGACTCCATGAGGTCCATCCCTACTGTTAGCCCCTAAAGTCAGCACAAACTCCTGACACATTACTGCTATGCTTAGGGACCACAGCACATCATTTGATTTGTGGATGAAGGTACAAAGGAAGGTGTTCCCCTTGTTGTTTTTGATCATCCATTCTTGTAGCTCTCTTACCTTTCAGGCAATTCCTTGTGTCTAGTTTAACACCTTCTTGCTATAATTTCGGTCTGCTTCCAGTGTGACCTCAATTGGCTGACTCTACATCCTCTTTGCATCAGCCCCTTAGAAAGCTAAATGGGCTTCCCTTCTCTCCTGCACAGGGACTTTGTGCTTTAAACTACTCATCACCCATTGTCTTTCCAGAGTCCTGGAACAGCACAAACTCAACAAGGACCAGTGGGAGGAGCGGATCCAGGTGTGGCATGAGGAACACCGTGGCATGCTCAGGTAAGCTTGCCCAAGCAGTGGTGGGCCCCACTTCCCTTACAGGGTGAATGAGAATGCGTTCTAGGGAGAAGAGACTGATGACAAGGGACATTGGTGGATGTTGGAGAAAGAGGGAACAGGGACGATAGAAGGCAAACTAGGACCATTATAAGGCTGTTTTTTGTTTGCTTGTTTGTTTGTTTTGCTGAATGCTGGTAACTGGTAGCCCAAACAGTTTTGACTATCAAGAAATGGAGGGAGCTCTTACACATGGCAAAGCATTTTTGAGGGTTGTGTAGTTGAAGGACAAATATCATCATTTTGCCATCACCACATTCTGAGCCCTGCTAAGAATGTGCCTTTATAAGAGGCTGTCACAATGAATGAGAGAAAGAAAATTGCTTCTATGGCAGCCAACATGCCAGAGGCCAGCAAGGGTCAGCCCATCTTTATTCCCCTTGGGAGCTTAGACCCTAGGTTTTTGTTAGGAGATTTTGCTTTGCAAAAGTCATGCTGTGCTCTGTTCTCCATCATCTGCTTGCCTTTTGTCCCCTTTCCCACTCCTGATAGCAAGATCCTTGTCAGAAGTACAGAGTAAGCAGGCTTTCTATCTCCTTGGGTCTGACTCACAAGCCCCACTTTGTGACCCCCAACTCTGTGTCATTTAGGGAGGATGCTGTCCTGGAATATCTGAAGATTGCTCAAGATCTGGAGATGTATGGTGTGAACTACTTCAGCATCAAGAACAAGAAAGGCTCAGAGCTGTGGCTGGGGGTGGATGCCCTGGGTCTCAACATCTATGAGCAGAATGACAGGTATATCTCAGATCTCTTTTAGTTTATTTAGGTCACGTTAACATCTAGGGCTCACTTTTCACCAAGGAGCAGGGCCATATCTCTTGGGTCCCATCTCAGTTCTTTTTCTACCTAATTTAGTCCAGCCCAGATGATTTCACAACTTCCCTTAGTCAATACTAAATCCTGTATTGACTAGACTCACACTGTCAACTATGGTAGCCACCAGCCACATGGGGCTATTGAACACTTGAAATGTGGCTACTTTGAATTGAGATGTGCTGCTGTAAGTGTAAACTACACACTGGACTTTGAAGACTTAGTGTGAAAAACAGAACGTAAAATGTCTTAATATTTTAAAAAATATTTATTTACATGTTTAAATGATAATATTTTAGATATATTGGGTTAACTAAACTTACTATAATTTTATTACATCCATTTCTTTTTACTTATTTTCATGTGGCTACTAGAAAACTTAAAATTATATATGTGACAGTCATTATGTTTTTATTGGATCGTGCAGGCCTAGACTATCTTATCAGCATTTGTAATTAGTCTCCTGTGATGGTTAAGTGGCTTTTGGCCTATAATCCTCTCACTGTAGCCTTATCCCACTTGCTTATATTTTTCACTTGGTGTGCTCTTGGTGAGGATGGAGAGCAATAAATTATTGTTCCATATAACTCCTGAATCTTGGAGTTCATTATTTACTTTCTCTCAAACTTTTGTAAGCTTGGATAGAAGAGACTCAGTTAAATAGGGCTGGGGATTCCCTTGAGGAACTGTTACAAGTTCCATGCCTCAAACAAATACATAACAAAACAAACTTGAGACAAGGAATCATATGTTAGTTGTACTATCAGGAGATCTTTAGTGAACTCTCAATGCTGGCAGCTGACCTGGTGGCGTGTGATGACACTGGCTGAGCTGTCACTGAGTCTACCTCCTCCAGAGAGAAGTGTTTGTTTGGCCAGGCTCAGTGGCTCACGCCTGTAATCCCAGCACTTTGGGAGGCTGAGGAGGGAAGATTGCTCAAGCCCAAGAGTTCAAGACCAACCTGGGTAACATAGTGAGACCTCGTCTCTATTTATTTTAAAAAAAAAAAAAGAGAGAGAGAGACATAGAAGCTTGGAGGTGACAGTGAGGGCAAGCCCCCAGTTCTCTACACCCTTCTTGTCTTGCCCTTGTCCTGATGTTATTGGTTTCTATTTCTACAGACTAACTCCCAAGATAGGCTTCCCCTGGAGTGAAATCAGGAACATCTCTTTCAATGATAAGAAATTTGTCATCAAGCCCATTGACAAAAAAGCCCCGGTGAGTGATTCCTCCCTCTGACCAAGACAGGTACTTGCCAAGGCCTGCATAATGAGCAATCATGCTATTCTATTTTTCTCTTCCTTTTCTGATGTGTTTGTGTGTACGTGTGTGCGCGCATGTGCACGAACAGGAAGCACAAATAGAGATTGGGAATGGAGGGGGATGTTGATGCCAAGAAATGGCCAGCAGACATCCTGTACCTGGTTCTACTCTGCTACCTGTCTCTCTCACTGTGGATGTGGGAGAGCCACAGGCAGTGTTAAGAACTGCTTCTTAGCCATTGCCTCTGCTGCCCTGAGGTTCTGGGGTGGAAACCGAATGCATCTCATATTTCCAAGCCCCTGGGTCCCAGAAAGTGGACACTGTTCACATATTTGATTCCTTCCTTCCTTCCTCTCTCTCTCTCTCTCTTTCTTTTTTTTGATGGAGTCTCGCTCTGTTGCCCAGGCTGGAGTGCAGTGGTGCAATCTTGGCTCACTACAACCTCAGCCTCCCGAGTAGCTGGGATTACAGGCGCATGCCACCATGCCTGGCTAATTTTTGTAGTTTTAGTAGAGACAGGGCTTCAACATGTTGGCCGGGCTGGTCTTGAACTCCTGACCTCAGGTGATTTGCCTGCCTTGGCCTCCCAAAGTGCTGGGATTATAGGCGTGAGCCACCATGCCCAGCCCTTGACTTCTTTTTTTTTTATTGTGGAGAAAGGGCTGTGGCCAAAGTCCAAATCTGAAGATGATCCTACAGACTTCTTGGTAGAACTTTACTGCTGCCCTCTCAGACTTTTCTCCAGAGCAATCCAAGACCAAAAAAGTGCTTTAAGTTCATTCATTTCTCTAACACACTCGCCATGCTTCTTACCCACTCAGTAGCCTGCAGCTGACAAGACCAGACAGCTGGTGATTGTGGGTAGGTTAGGAAACTGAGCTGAGTGTCCCCTTTTCTGGGATACTGCATGTCCAACAAGGCCCAGTGACAATGCTGAGCCTGACCCTTTTCATGAAGGCTCAGTGATTCTTCTCCAGCCATGAGGTGCCTGAACTTCCCCTGCTAGGGACTTTACACATGTTGTCTCCTTAAACCCTCAGCAACATGGTCAGGTAGGTACTAAGTAGCATACTAATTTTATGGCTGACAAAACTGAGGTTAGAGAGATGGAGTGATTTGCCCAAGATCACACAGCTAAAAATGGTAGAGCTGGGATTTATACCTGCACCCCAAGCTATATGAGACAGTAGCAGTGTGTGGTCAGTGGCAGAGGAGATGGTGGTGCCCATCAGCTGGTGACTTCGGTCCAGTGGTATTTGTAGTAACAAACTCAAACTCACTGGATTTTCTTGTGTGTTTTCTTTTATTGCTGCTGTGCTCAACTATTATCAGAAAAAGTTAAGTAACAAAGCCAGCTGAGATCAAGGGCTCATTTTAAAAACAACAACCAGGACAAGCAGTGATCAGGAGATTTATGTATTCATGTATGTATTTACAGCCTGCCTTGTTCCAAAAAGGATTTAAGGGGCTGGGTCTAGGATTTGCTTTTAGGAGATTGTAGAAACAGTCCAGCCACCCATACTGCACCCACCAGGGTATTATTCAGGGGTCATTTGGCTTCCAAAAGAGGTCACCTGAGACCTAGCATGTTCCCTAATTAGCAGAGAAAGTTTGAATCCTTCAACTTGATTAAGAGTAATTTAGGATGCTTTCACAAGCAAAGATTGAAAGAAATTGTGGTTTCATAAGCAAAGATTGAAAGAAATTATGGGAAGAACATGGGTTTCAGAGTCAAGAAACCTGGGTTTCTAGTCTTGGGTCTGTCTACTGTCTAACCCTGGGCAAGTCACTTTACCACTCTGATAATTAGTCTTCCCATCTGTAGTGCAGGAGGTCAGATTAAATATTCTTTCCAGTGCTTTTGGATTTAGCTTTTCAGAAGGCAGAAGATCACCTTCACCTGTCCCTCCAAATTCTTTCTGATTGCTGATTTCCCACCAGGACTTCGTCTTCTATGCTCCCCGGCTGCGGATTAACAAGCGGATCTTGGCCTTGTGCATGGGGAACCATGAACTATACATGCGCCGTCGCAAGCCTGATACCATTGAGGTGCAGCAGATGAAGGCACAGGCCCGGGAGGAGAAGCACCAGAAGCAGATGGAGCGGTAGGTGCTGCACACTGATGTGGGGGGCCAGGGCTGGGGCAAGGAAGCTTCTCAAAGGTGCCCTGCATGCTAAGTCAGGACATGAGGCCAACCTAGGACTTCATAGATGAGAGGTTAGACACCAATATTCACATTTATTCAGAAAAAATCTACCAAGTTTGAGGGGCAGTTTTTACAGAGCTGGATCTAGCAGGAAACTGCCCTGTAGGACCTCACAGTCTACTCAGTCTAGTAGCAGAGAGAGGGAAAACAATATATACATAACTCAAGGTACAAAGGCCATGTCATTCATTCACTTAATAAATATTTATTGAGCAATGAATAAGAAAAGACCAAAAATCTCTGCTTTTGTGAAGCTAGCATTCTAGTGGGGAGGAGACGAACATAATAAATAAGCAAATTATGTGGTACATAAGATGGTTAAGAAGTGCTATGGAGACAAAAACATAGAAGAGGGATGGGGAGAAGGGTAAGCCAAGTATTCTGAGGGCCCAGATGGAGAATACCTAGCCAAGGGAGATAAGAAGGTTCCTGGAAGAGGTGCTAGGGCAAGAAAAAGCAAAAGCAAATACTTATTCCAGATTTGTAACAGACTCTGGGAAAAAGAAGCCTAGAGCTGGGCTTTAGGGCAGGCAGTGTTAGACCTGAGGACTGATGCACTAGCCGTAGAGATTACTAGACTTGAAGCACTTCATCCCAGCACAGAGCCAAAACTTGTCTCCCTAACAAGGTGGATAGGGCAGGTCTTATTGGACCATTTTCAAGATAGGGGAACAAGAGCAAAGCAGTGACATAGCTAAGGTCACCCAGTGGGTTGGTGGGAGAGCTAGGATTCCTGACTCAGGGGTACATTGACAGGGCCCCGTGTACACTGGCCTATGTGGGGCTATGATATGAGGACAAGGGTATAGAGGTAAGGGAGGGTGGCCCAAACTCACAATCCCTAAGTGTGTTGGGAAGGTTGGGTTGAGAGACCCAGAGGCAGCAAGCCTTGGAATTCCCCAGGCTTTTTTTTTTTTTTTTAGATGGAGTCTTGCTCTTTTGCCCACGCTGGAGTGCAGTGGCGCAATCTCAGCTCACTGCAACCTCCGCCTCCTGTCTTCAAGCAATTCTCCTGCCTCAGCCTCCTGAGTAGCTAGGACTACAGGCGCATGCCACTATGCCCAGCCAATTTTTTTTGTATTTTTAGTAGAGACGGGGTTTCACTGTGTTAGCCAGGATGGTCTCGATCTCCTGACCTCGTGATCTGCCCACCTCGGCCTCCCAAAGTGCTGGGATTACAGGTGTGAGCCACCGCGCCTGGCCTCCCCAGGCTTTTGTGGAGCGTTGTTATCCTGTTCTATCCATTTTATCTCCTTCCCTAGTGCTATGCTGGAAAATGAGAAGAAGAAGCGTGAAATGGCAGAGAAGGAGAAAGAGAAGATTGAACGGGAGAAGGAGGAGCTGATGGAGAGGCTGAAGCAGATCGAGGAACAGACTAAGAAGGCTCAGCAAGGTGAGGCTTGGAGTCACCTTGGAGATTGGATTTTTCCAGGCCTAACTCTGAGCTGGAGAACCTTCTGCCTGAGCTGTAGACTCAGACAATGTAGTTCAGGTGTGGCTACAGACTAGAAGAAGAATGGGCAAGAAGAGAGCTCAGAACTTTCTGCCAGCTTTGTCTTGGGGTGGATCATTTCCAGGAACGAAGCTATTGTGTCGTCTTTATCTCTGTGCTCTTCACTGCCTTCTCCCCTCCTTTTCTGCTCAGAACTGGAAGAACAGACCCGTAGGGCTCTGGAACTTGAGCAGGAACGGAAGCGTGCCCAGAGCGAGGCTGAAAAGCTGGCCAAGGAGCGTCAAGAAGCTGAAGAGGCCAAGGAGGCCTTGCTGCAGGCCTCCCGGGACCAGAAAAAGACTCAGGAACAGCTGGTAAAGCTGTAGGGTGGGCTGGGATTATGGGAACTGAACTTTCTTCCTTGTCTGCCTACTTACTTATAGCTACTTTTGCTTACATGCTGGCTTTTTAGAGCAGGCTACCACTCCATGGGCCTCCAGCAAATAACTAGTTCAGAAGCAAGCTGAGAAGTCACTAGTGTGGCCCAGAAATTTTTGCAGTCTTCCCTAACCCTTAGTTTCTGTTCACTTTCTTAACTCTTGGGTATCTGAGCTGATTGACCTGGCAAAGGAAAGGGAAGGAGAAAAGAACAAAAGGGACTCATATTTGAGCTCCTGCTGTATGTTGCTGTGTTGGGAATATTTCCCTTTTCCTTACTTATTTCTTCTTCCCAGTAACCCTATGGGATTAACCTCATATGAGATAATATCCCAGATAAGGAAATTAGAGCTCAGGGAAGAGATTCACCAAAGATCACACAATTGTAGCTAAATAAGGATTAGAACCCACCCATTTCTGCCTCTGTTTGAAAGCTTTGCTCCCTGAAATCACATGCAAAACTATGTGTCTATGCATTTTTGGGGCATTTGGCATCCATACTTTCATCACAGTTTCCAAGGGTTCTGTGACTCAGAAGTTAAGAACCTGTGGTCCAAACTCCTTGACATATACTCTTCCTTTGTACTGTTGGAGGTGGGAATAGAGGGAACCAAGACCTGTCTCTCATGAGGAAGCTGTCATGGGAGATTTACCCAAGGTGTGCATAAGCTTTTTTCCTTGTTCAGATAGCTTTGTGACACTTGAGTGTCTTTCCTGTACTTGTCCTGGGAAGACTCTTAGTCGAATCCTGAGCATTCTAGGATATCAGGAAAGGATCTGCCACTTCAGGAAGTGACCCAATGATGGCCAAAGCTTTACTGAGGCCCCCAGCTGCATACTTGCCAAGAGGGGCAGGGGGAGAGATAATGAGGAAGGGACAGAGATGGCATATTGTTTGTCTTCAAGAGGCCTACAGTCTAGGTGGGGGAGCTCTGACTTAAAAGGAAGTGGTGGTCAGGGAAGATGGGACTGGAATGAAGTAGTCTGGTAAAAGAGTCTCTGAGGCAGCAAGCAAGTGGAGCAGTAGGTCCCTTACTAGTCCCCCAGGGGACTTGGGTTGAAGACACCTGGGTCCTGAGGACCAGAAGGCCCAGCTCTCACAGGCTTCCAATTTATCCGTAGGCCTTGGAAATGGCAGAGCTGACAGCTCGAATCTCCCAGCTGGAGATGGCCCGACAGAAGAAGGAGAGTGAGGCTGTGGAGTGGCAGCAGAAGGTAAGACACAGGGCCTAAAGCAAAGCATTGAAGGAATGGGTGCCATATGCATAGGTAACAGCTCCTTAGATTCCTTATGTTTTGGCTCCCTCCCTCTTTCATACTTCCCACAGCAGGCAGCATGGGAGAAGGCACTCATGGTTTCGTCAAATACTTACTGGAGTTCTCTAATACCTCTAGGAAGTTGGTACAATTGCTCTTGTTTTATGGATGAAGAAACTAAGGATCAGGCAGATGAAGTGCCTTGTCCTACCTGGTGCCTGCCTCTTGCCAGACCGTTCTAGGCATATACAGGATGCCACAGTTTAACTGGTCTCACTGACAGTCTTTCTCTCCTTCTGTCACTGGACAGGCCCAGATGGTACAGGAAGACTTGGAGAAGACCCGTGCTGAGCTGAAGACTGCCATGAGTACACCTCATGTGGCAGAGCCTGCTGAGAATGAGCAGGATGAGCAGGATGAGAATGGGGCAGAGGCTAGTGCTGACCTACGGGCTGATGCTATGGCCAAGGACCGCAGTGAGGAGGAACGTACCACTGAGGCAGAGAAGAATGAGCGTGTGCAGAAGCACCTGAAGGTATACAAGTAGGGCCAAGGGGCAAGGAAACTATATGCATTGATTTAGTAGCCCATGGCATTCCCTAGACCATCATGGGGGATAGGTATAAGATCCTGTCCCAGTGTTGTATGGGAGCCCAAGCCGTTCTTAAGTGACAGCTTTAAGGATAGGCACCTCTCACTTATTAATCAGACCTTGGGCTATCTCTTCCCTTTTTGAGATTTTCTCTCTGCCCCACCTCCCACTCACTCCATTCACCTCTTACATTAAGAAAATATCTAGCTGACAAAATTCCCACCTGAATCTTTTGTATGTTGTTCTACTCTTAAAGGATACCCATTATCAACTGGTCCCCTAAGTTTATTTATTTTTTTTTAATATTCTTGCCCCACTGCAGTTCTAACAGAGTTGGAAATGACTCTCAATATTTATATATAGAGAGAAAGGGTGAGGAAGAAAGAAGGAAACAGAAGAGAAGGGAAGTCTGGTCAAATAACAGGAGGTAAAATGAGAGAAAGCCATTGACCTCTGTGTTCCCATACATCCTCACAGGCCCTCACTTCGGAGCTGGCCAATGCCAGAGATGAGTCCAAGAAGACTGCCAATGACATGATCCATGCTGAGAACATGCGACTGGGCCGAGACAAATACAAGACCCTGCGCCAGATCCGGCAGGGCAACACCAAGCAGCGCATTGACGAATTTGAGTCTATGTAATGGGCACCCAGCCTCTAGGGACCCCTCCTCCCTTTTTCCTTGTCCCCACACTCCTACACCTAACTCACCTAACTCATACTGTGCTGGAGCCACTAACTAGAGCAGCCCTGGAGTCATGCCAAGCATTTAATGTAGCCATGGGACCAAACCTAGCCCCTTAGCCCCCACCCACTTCCCTGGGCAAATGAATGGCTCACTATGGTGCCAATGGAACCTCCTTTCTCTTCTCTGTTCCATTGAATCTGTATGGCTAGAATATCCTACTTCTCCAGCCTAGAGGTACTTTCCACTTGATTTTGCAAATGCCCTTACACTTACTGTTGTCCTATGGGAGTCAAGTGTGGAGTAGGTTGGAAGCTAGCTCCCCTCCTCTCCCCTACCACTGTCTTCTTCAGGGTCCTGAGATTTACACGGTTGGAGTGTTATGCGGTCTAGGGAATGAGACAGGACCTAGGATATCTTCTCCAGGATGTCAACTGACCTAAAATTTGCCCTCCCATCCCGTTTAGAGTTATTTAGGCTTTGTAACGATTGGGGGATAAAAAGATGTTCAGTCATTTTTGTTTCTACCTCCCAGATCGGATCTGTTGCAAACTCAGCCTCAATAAGCCTTGTCGTTGACTTTAGGGACTCAATTTCTCCCCAGGGTGGATGGGGGAAATGGTGCCTTCAAGACCTTCACCAAACATACTAGAAGGGCATTGGCCATTCTATTGTGGCAAGGCTGAGTAGAAGATCCTACCCCAATTCCTTGTAGGAGTATAGGCCGGTCTAAAGTGAGCTCTATGGGCAGATCTACCCCTTACTTATTATTCCAGATCTGCAGTCACTTCGTGGGATCTGCCCCTCCCTGCTTCAATACCCAAATCCTCTCCAGCTATAACAGTAGGGATGAGTACCCAAAAGCTCAGCCAGCCCCATCAGGACTCTTGTGAAAAGAGAGGATATGTTCACACCTAGCGTCAGTATTTTCCCTGCTAGGGGTTTTAGGTCTCTTCCCCTCTCAGAGCTACTTGGGCCATAGCTCCTGCTCCACAGCCATCCCAGCCTTGGCATCTAGAGCTTGATGCCAGTAGGCTCAACTAGGGAGTGAGTGCAAAAAGCTGAGTATGGTGAGAGAAGCCTGTGCCCTGATCCAAGTTTACTCAACCCTCTCAGGTGACCAAAATCCCCTTCTCATCACTCCCCTCCAAAGAGGTGACTGGGCCCTGCCTCTGTTTGACAAACCTCTAACCCAGGTCTTGACACCAGCTGTTCTGTCCCTTGGAGCTGTAAACCAGAGAGCTGCTGGGGATTCTGGCCTAGTCCCTTCCACACCCCCACCCCTTGCTCTCAACCCAGGAGCATCCACCTCCTTCTCTGTCTCATGTGTGCTCTTCTTCTTTCTACAGTATTATGTACTCTACTGATATCTAAATATTGATTTCTGCCTTCCTTGCTAATGCACCATTAGAAGATATTAGTCTTGGGGCAGGATGATTTTGGCCTCATTACTTTACCACCCCCACACCTGGAAAGCATATACTATATTACAAAATGACATTTTGCCAAAATTATTAATATAAGAAGCTTTCAGTATTAGTGATGTCATCTGTCACTATAGGTCATACAATCCATTCTTAAAGTACTTGTTATTTGTTTTTATTATTACTGTTTGTCTTCTCCCCAGGGTTCAGTCCTCAAGGGGCCATCCTGTCCCACCATGCAGTGCCCCTAGCTTAGAGCCTCCCTCAATTCCCCCTGGCCACCACCCCCCACTCTGTGCCTGACCTTGAGGAGTCTTGTGTGCATTGCTGTGAATTAGCTCACTTGGTGATATGTCCTATATTGGCTAAATTGAAACCTGGAATTGTGGGGCAATCTATTAATAGCTGCCTTAAAGTCAGTAACTTACCCTTAGGGAGGCTGGGGGAAAAGGTTAGATTTTGTATTCAGGGGTTTTTTGTGTACTTTTTGGGTTTTTTAAAAATTGTTTTTGGAGGGGTTTATGCTCAATCCATGTTCTATTTCAGTGCCAATAAAATTTAGGAAGACTTCACAGTGACTCAATCGTTCTTTGTGGTATGAGTGGGTAGCTGTAAGATATTTCACTGCAGTTTCTATTTATATATTACCTTCTTATCTTTGGTCTCATTTCATCTATACCTCAGTTCTATGGAGAGGGGTGATATGACTATCCCCATTTTATATAGGAGAGAATGGGCTCAAAAAAGTATAATAACTTCCCAAGGTCACAGGACTGTCTAACTTAATAGTCTGTGCCCTTTCGGTAGTTCCAGGCCAACTTTTCTACTGTGGGTGTGGATCCTGCATTGACCATGTGATGCTCCTGGACTTGCCTGGCATTGGGACCTAAGAGGTACTTATTTGTATCTCTTGATTTCTCTTGGGATGCTCAGGCCCTGTCCTGCCTCTTTGTCAGGAAGGTCTTCAGGCTTTTCCTGCCTCCTACTACCCTCACATATTGTAGTGCCAATAAAGGTCAGGGAAACTACCTTGGGCCCTGTTGCAGAAGGCAGTGGGGAATGGAGTGTGAAGTGAGGATGGAGAGTGTGTGTATGTACAAAAGCTATTGGGTAGTACTTTATAGTTTATAAAACATGTATAAAACATTTTGTAGCCTAGATATGGTTATCCTCATTTTGCAGATGAGGAAACTGAGGCCAGACAAACCTTCTAAACTGTCCTGGACCTGGCACTCTCACTTACCACTTTCCTTCCTGGTAAGCCAACACTTGCAAGGAAAAGTAAGTTATCATATATTTCCTTCCTTCCTTCCTTCCTTCCTTCCTTCCTTCCTTCCTTCCTTCCTTCCTTCCTTCCTTCCTTCCCTCCTTCCCTCCTTCCCTCCTTCCTCTCCCTTCCTTCCTTCCTTCCTTCCTTCCTTCCTTCCTTCCTTCCTTCCTTCCTTCCTTCCTTCCTTCCTTCCTTTCTTTCTCTCTCTCTCTCTGTCTCTCTCTCTCTCTTACTCTTTTTATGGAGTCTCTGTTGCCCACTCTGGAGTGGAGTGGTGCAATCCTGCCTCATTGCAACCTTTAAGCGATTCTCCTCCTGCCTCAGCCTCCGTAGGAGGTGGGACTACAGACACACACCATCATGCCTGGCTAATTTTTGTATTTTTAGTAGAGATGGGGTTTCACCATGTTGGCCAGGCTGGTCTTGAACTCCTGGCCTCAAGTGATCTGCCTGCCTCGGCCTCCCAAAGTGCTGGGATTACAGGTGGGAGCCCATGAGGCCTGGCCCAGTTATCGTATGTTTTGTGAGCTTTAAATCCTTAACAACAACCCTTTGAGGCAGTGGCTCAAAAACTTGTCTGCACATTAGAATCCTTTAAAGATTCCAAAGCCCAGACCATATCTTCAAATCAAATTATAACCTCTAGTATTGGGATCCAGGCACCAGTGTATGTATTTGATGATTCCAGTATGTCCTCCTGGGGGTGGGCAGACATATACTAGGAAGAGGAGACATTTGCACAGCTTCAATTCTAAGGTAGCAGATATAGTTCGAAGTCCCTAGAACATCAGTGTAGGAGGAGGCCTTAGGAGTCTCTGCTAATGATTATCCCAACTGTTGTTGCCTTGGAAAGTGAAGGAGTTTTAGATCCCCTCCAACCACAACCAGAGGATCTCTGTTTTTGGATATTGGGTTGTATGTGTGTAAATGATTTATTTATTTATTTATTTTAAATGGAAAACAGGTAGACTTCTCCCAGGAAGATGGATGTGGCACGCAAGATAATGGCCCTCTAAAGACATCCATGTTCTAATCCATGGGACCTATAAATATGTTACCTTACGTTGCAAAAGGGACTTGGGATGTCATTGGGTTAAGGGTTTTAAGATAGGGAAAGGGTGCTGTATTATCCAGGTGGGCCCAATATAATCACAAGAGTCATTAAAGATGGAAGAGGGTCAGATTCAGAGAGATTTGAATATGCTATGTTGCCGATATTAAAGATGGAGGAAGGGGCCATGAAACAATGAATGCAGGTGGCTTCTATAAAATGGGAGAGTCAAGGAAATGGATTCTCCCCTAGAGCCTCCAGAAGAAATGCAGCTTTGTGGACACCTTAGTTTTAGCTCAGTTTTAGCCCATTTTGGACTTTCATCTTGTTACTGGAAAGGGGTTCGATCCAGACCCCAGGAGAGGGTTCTTGGACCTCTCACAAAAAAGAATTGAGGTGAGTCCATAGAGTAAAGTGAAAGCAAGTTTATCAAGAAAGTAAAATTATGGTTACTCCATAGGCAGAACAGCAGTATGGGCTGCTTGATTGAGTATACTTGTAGTTATTTCTTGATTATATGCTAAACATTATTCATGAGTTTTCTAGGAAAGGGGAGATATTTCCCCAGAACTGAGGGTCTCTCCCCTTTTTAGACTATATAGAGTGACTTCCAAACGTTGCCATGGCATTTGTAAACTGTCATAGTGCTAGTAGGAGTGTCTTTTAGCATGCTAATGAATTATAATTAGTGTATAATAAGCAGTGAGGACTGCTAGAGGTTACTTTCATTGCCATTTTGGTTTTGGTGGATTTTTGCTGGCTTCTTTACTGCATCCTGTTTTATCAGCAGAGTCTTTGTGACCTGTATCTTCTGCTGACCTCCTATCTCATCCTGTGACTAAAAATGCCTAACCTCCTGGGAATGCAGCCCAGTATGTCTCAGCCTTTTTTTTTACCCAGCCCCTATTCTAGATGAAGTAGCTCTGGCTCAAGCATCTCTGACAATCTGACCTCCAGAATTTGTTCTGTTTTAAGCCACTCTAGCATTATTCTCCATTTCCCTATTTCTTGAAATTCCTTATTCTTGAAATGACAATATTATAGAAATGGAGAAGGGAACAAATTAGTGGTTGCCTGCAGTTAAAGAACAAGGCAGGGGATGGAGAGCATGTGAGAAATGGATATGGCTATGAGAGAGCAACAGGAGGGGTCCTTGTGATACCTAGTGTCTTGACTATATCAATGTTAAAATCTTGGTTGTGATATTGAAGGCTAATTTACAAGATGATACCACTGGGAGAACATGAGTAAATTGTACATGGGATCTCTCTGTATAATTTCTTACAACTGTATGTGAATCTACAAAGACCTCAAAAAAATTAATTTAAAAAATAATGGGTAGAGATGCTGGGTATATATCCAAGAGCAATGAGTGCTTATGTCCACCAAAAGACATAGCAATACTATTTGCAATAGCACCAATCTGGAAGCTAGCCAGACTTTCATCAACAGGAGAATGAACAAAACAATTGTATATTCATAAATGGGGTATTACTCAACAATAAAAATGAATGGACTACTGCGATATTGTGAAATATATATATTTGGTCTTCCTCTTATTTCCTGGCATACCACTCCTAAAATCCTTGGGAGCTCCAAAGTGCTGTCTTTTTGTATGCTAATGATTGACTAATAACTTCAGTGTGGGACTGGTCACCAGAAAGACAAAGCATGAATAGAAGGTTGGGACTTTCCTCTAACCTCCAGGGAGGGGAGAGGGGCTTAAGGTCAAGTTGATTGCCAATGGCTAATAGTTTAATCAACCATGCCTACATAATGAAGTCTCCATAAAAATCTATTACGTTGGTGCAAAAGTTACTGCTGTTTTTGCCATTAAAAGTAATGGCAAAAGGTGTGGTGGCGCATGCCTGTAATCCCAGCTACTCTTCGAAACGCTGAGGCACGAGAATCACTTGAGCACAGGAAGTGAAGATTGCAGTGAGTGGAGATGGCTCCTCTGCACTCCAGCGTGAGTGACAGAGCAAGACTCTGTCTCAAAACAAAACAAAACAAAACAAAACAAAACAAAACAAAAACAACCCTCACTCTGGATCCTCCTTGAAGAAGAAGCCAAAATTCCTTAGCCTAGTGGCTCTTCACTATTTGACTTGTCTTATCTTCCACTATCCATCATCATCTATCTCCCCACAGCACTTTGCATTCCAGGCATACTAGACCTGGCATCCCTCAAAATCCCAGACTTTCTCATAATGACGTTCCATTGCAATAATAATTGTAATTAGCATTTATTAAATACTTACTGTTCAGTGTGCTTTACAGGTATTACCACATATCTTCACAGTATCTCTGAGACAAGGGCAGTTATTACAGATAAGGAAACTAAGGTACAGAAAGGATAAGTAACTTGCCCAAAGTCACATAGCTTGGAGTGACAGAGGCAAGATTTAAATGTTTCCTAGAGCTTCAAATTCAGAATAACAAATATATTATTTTTATTCTTATTCCACTTGGCTCATCTTCTTATGCCTCTCTCTCACTTGGTGGCGCCACTATCCACGCCTTTTTCCAGAATAAGAACTTGGATATTTCTCCTTGACAATTTTCTTTCCCTAGCGCGGTCCCAGTGCCCAATCTCCTGCCTTTCATTCTGCAAATAGCTTTTTAATGCCATATCTGCTTCTCTTCTGCTGCTGGGACCGTTGCCTCTAGTGAGTGGCCTCCTCACTAGATCTCCAGTCAACTTTCTATCCTCTGCTGCCAGTAACTTGTCAGAAACTTCTACTCTTCTTTTCTTTGTTCAGTTTCTCCATTCCTACCTGAGTTGGTCTCACATTCTCTGCAAGGCACAAGTGATTTCACCCAGTTCAGTGACTAATTATGGCCTATGTATTAATGACTCCCATGTTTATCTCTCTAGTCCATAACTCTCTCCAAGTTCAATTTGGACAACTAACTGCTCCCTTGAAACCTCTACCTGCATATCTAATACGATTCTTAAAGTTTACTTAGTCAAAGCAGAACGCTTGATTTTCTTCCCAAATCCTTTCCTCCCTCAATCTTCCTCACCTCAGTAAATGATGCCACCATTTGCCCAGTTGCTCAGGCCCCCAAATCAGGCACCATCATTCCTCTTTTCTCACTCCTAGAACCAGTTCATCGGTAGTAAGGCCTGTCCAGTCTACTTTCTTTCTTTATTTTATTTTATTTTATTTTTTCCATATGGACTCTCACTCTGTTGCCCAGGCTGGAGTGCAGTGGCATGATGTCGGCTCACTGCAACCTATGCCTCCTGTCCTCAAGCGATTCTTCCACCTCAGCCTCCCAAGTAGCTGGGACTACAGGCACGCACCACCACTTCTGGCTAATTTTTGTATTTTTAGTAAAGACAGGGTTTCGCCATGTTGACTAGCCTGGTTTTGAACTCCTGACATCAAGGGATGCGCCCACCTTGTCCTCCCAAAGTGCTGGGATTACAGGTGTGAGCCACTGAGCCCGGCCTATCCAGTCTTCTTTCAAATATGACTCCAAACACAACTACTTTTTACTTCCTCCAATTCATCACCTAATCTGAGCCATTATTACCTCTGGTCAGGACAATTGAAATGACTTCCCAACAGGTCTCTCTGCCTCCACTTTTGCTCTCCTACAGTCCATTCTTCACACAGTAGCCAGAGAGACCTTTTACAAGTGTAAATTAGGTTACATCACTCCCTTACTTTAAACCTCCCATGGGTTTTTTTCTTTAATCACACTCAGAATGAAATTCAAATCTGTACTGTTACCTTCCAGGCTCTATGTAATCTGGCCCTTTCTCACCTCTTTTTTCATTTCACCTCTTAGCACCCTTCCCTGGCTTACTATGCTTCAGCCACATTGTCCTTATTTCTTTTCCATTAATATCCCAAGCTCATCCAAGTATCAGGCCTTTAACTGCCCCATTGTCTGGAATGTTCTTGCCAGAGAATTTCCCATGACCGGCTCCTCATCATTCAGGTCCCAGCTCACAGAAGTACCCCTTTATCACCCTATCTGAATTAGTCCCCACTTCCCAACTCACATACACACCTATAATAGCTAACTTATATGGCTTACAATGTGCCAGATACCGTTCTAAGCCCTTTTGCATAAATTAAATCACCCTTACTATGCTCTTACAAGATAAATGCTGTTATTGCACCATATTATAGATGAGGAAGGACACTAAGACACAAAAAAGTTAAACAGCATTCCTAAAGTTACACAGCTAATAAAAAGGCAAACCATGATTTGAATTCATTCTCTATTTCATTATCCTGCTTTATTTTTTCATAACATTTCTCACTAACTGAAATGATCTAATTTATCTATTTCTTATTGTTTATTACCCATCTGTCCATCTAGAATATAACCTTCACAAAGGCAGGGACTTTTTTTGTTCACAGCTGTATTCTCCAACAACTTACCTGGACACAGTAAGTACTCAATGTTTGTTGAATGAGTTAATGGCTCCTCCCTAGGAATGTGCTGCTTTCTCTAGTTGGGATGATCTTCCTCTTTCTTTCTGAATTCCAACATATAATCTTTTTTAAATTTATTTTGTAATTGTTTTTAACTTCTTATTTCCATAGGTTTTTGGGGAACAGGTGGTGTTTGGTTACATGAGTAAGTTCTTTAGTGGTGATTTGTGAGATTTTGGTGTACCCATCTCCCGAACACAGTATATACTGAACCCAATTTGTGGTCCTTTATCCCTCACCCCCTTCCCATTCTTTCCCCGAGTCCCCAAAGTCCCAACATCTAATCTTTTAGGACCAGCTTCAGTCTTGCTTTCCCTCGGAAACCTCCTGTCCATCCTCCCCTCCTCACTAATGTACCATATTGTCTGGTCCTCCCCTGGCTTCAGCTCATGAATGAAATGACACTGAGTGGCTCTCTTCACGTGTGAATCTCAACCTGATTATACAATCCCTCCCAAAAGGGGCAATGTCTTTTTCATCACAAAATCTTCCACTGCCAGACCAAGCTTAGTACATAGGTTCTACATGAACACTTGCTGTATGAATTAGAAACTCAATTTCACTAAAAGCATTACCTTGCTCTTCAGATTATTTATAACCATGTGAAATTGCAGACCTGTCCTGTGGTAGAATTTGCTGTCAAAAGACATTGTTATTTTAACCTCTTGTTTTCTGTCTCCCAGCCAATTCGCCCACCCATAGCTGAAAGTCTTCCAATCCCAGAATAACTTAATTTTTCTCACAGCCCTTGGTTTGGATCTTGTCAGAGGGGTTTAGGAAGTGTCAATTCCACCCACTATTTTTACATATCCATTGACCTCTCCAAGAAAACTTCTAGTTTAGCCTGAGCCCCTTGTCTTGTCTTTCTCTGTTAGTACAATTTTCTTCCTCATCCTGGTTAGGGGTATCTTTGGTGAGTTTTGGGTCTATGTAAATAGAACAACTTGGCAGCAGGGTGGTTCAGCTGCCACTTTTCTGGATAAGTGAAAAACTGTTCAATGGTCTACATTTCTGAGAAGGTAAGGTAAGGGTCTTATTACCAGTGGCAGAATTTAGTCTCACCCAAATAGAAAAGGGCTTGTGGAAAAATATCCAAAATAAAGATAGCTCCATAAACTGCTCCTTGCAAATGCAATATCTTTGCAAAGTAAAACCCTGCCCAAGTACTGTCTGTTAGGGATTTGCTGAGCTGTGTGTTTTTTTTGCAATCAGTGTAGGCCCAAAGGGTCTTTGCTAAAATCCACTCTTGAAACTTGAAAATCCAGAATTATTTCTTCTTCTGAATTATTCCTTCTGATCTTGGAGCCCATGTTTTGTTCCTCTATTCCTCCTTTATTGCTTTCTTTTGCAGTAAGTATTTCCTAATGTAACACTTTAATTTATTTAGTGTTTTCTGCCTTTTTTTTTTTTTTTTTTTTAGTTATTTTGTTAGTGGTTGCTCTAGGGCTTAACATATACGTCTTAACTTGTGAAAATCACCTTCAACTTATACAAACTTAATTCTGGTGAGATAAAGAAACACTTACATGGCTCTATTATCTCCCCCTTTTGTGCTATTATTGTTATGTATATATATATATATATATATATTACATTTATATATGTCACAAATGCAATAATATATTGTTATTACTTTATACAATTTCAAGTCTATTAAAGAAATGGAGAAAAAGAGGAAAGCAAGTATACATTTATAGATTTTGTTATATTTTCTTTCTTTAATATAAATTTGCTCTCATCTACCTCCTTTGGGCTATTACTGTCAAATATATTACATTTCTATATGGTATAGACCCAACAGTATACATATTGCTTTATACAATTGTCTTTTAAATCAGTTAAGGAGAACAGAGAAGAAATATGAATTTACACTGTCTTTTATTCCATAAATAACTTTACTACTGCTCTTTGTTTCTATGTGTGGATTCAAATTGCTGTCTAGAGTCACTTTCTTTCAGCATGAAGAACTTTTCTTAACCCTAGAATTTCTGTTTGGTTATTTTTAAAAATAATTTACACCTCTATATTAATATTCTCCATTTGATAAATCTCGTGGCATCTTTTTACTTTGTTTTTTAATTGTAATTTTTTAATATTGAGATGAAATTCACATATTACAAATTCCACACTTTCAAAATGTATAATTCAGTGGATGTTAGTCTATTCACAAAGTTATAGGCTGCGCCTGGTGGCTCACACCTGTAATCGCAGCACTTTGGGAGGCCAAGATGGGCGGATCACTTGAGGTCAGGAGTTCGAGACCAGCCTGGCCAACATGGTGAAACTTCATCTGTACTAAAAATACAAAAATTAGCTGGGTGTGGTGGCAGGTGCCTGTAATCCCAGCTACTCAGGAGACTGAGACAGGAGAATCACTTGAACCTGGGAGGCAGCGGTTGCAGTGAGCCAAGATTGCACCATTGCACTCCAGCCTGGGTGACAAGAGTAAAATTATGTCAAAAAACAACAACAACAACAGAAAAAAAACAAAGTTATACAAATACCACCACTATCTAATTTCAGGGCATTTTTATCATCCCTAAAAGAAACTTCATATTCATTATCAGTCACTTTCTACTACCCTCCTCTCCTTACCACAAGTTCCTGGTAACTTTGGGGCCCCAGTAAATCAATAAGTTAACAGGAACCAGGGAGGAGCCAGGCTGGCAGAACAGGGACCTAACCCAGTTTGCAGAGCTCACCTCTTTGTGTGAAAAACCACAGTCAGTATCTTGCAACACCAGAAACGGAAAGCATGTGGGTCGCAAGACAGCTAAAAGCAGCATAGTGTTTCCCCTGGGCACCTGGATAGGAAAGACCTGGCAGTTAAAAATTACCCCAACATATTCTTAGCATACAGCACAAATTCACTTGCACATAGCCCCCTCCAGCATGACCTTATAAAACTTTTGTCCATCCCCTGCTTCTTTGCAGGCAGCCTCTTCCCTGCTGTGCTGCCCATTGCTTTCTTGCAACATGTCTTTGTACTTTCTTTAATAAATTCTTTTTCCTTTACCCACAACTGTCTTAGTAAATTCCTTTACTGCCCACAACATCAGCCCCAGCTAGTTGCACCCACAACATTTTGGTGGCCCATATGGGGAGTGTGTGGGACTGATCAGGGAGTGCTCCAAGACTGCTAGAAGAATGCTCGGGAGCTACTCAGGGAGTGCTCAGGAACTGCTTAAGAACGTGTCTCCTAGTTTCTCCCTTTTCTCTTCCCTAACTCCAACCTCTTGGTGGACAGTGTCCAAGCCTGGAGCCAATTGACGATCCCAGCTGAGGCCACTCCCCAGAAGACCAGAAGGTCCTGATAGCACGTCTGACCACTGCCCAATTGGGTGGGAGTTTAGAGTTTTGTTTTTCTTTCCAGTCTTCCTGTGAAAAAATTCCAGTATCTTTCTGGCAATTGATGGTCACTGGCCAGAGCTACTCTCTGGTGGAGTCTGAAGGTCAGGGGGTGAACAGGTTTGTCTGCCTTGTTCGGAAGAGAGGAAAGCTCTCTCCCCAAAGTCCCCAATCCCTACATGTAGCATGATTGGCAGCTAAAGCTCGACTAAAGCTAACCTACACATGTTTTGGGGAACTCAGACCCCCTCTTCCTCATTCTAAATTCTACTGTAAAGACAGCCAAACCTGCTCTGGATGTTGCCAAATCAGATGATTTCAAGTGGCCTCAGGTGAATCTCCCCATTCCCATTCCTTCTCCTGGGCTAGTTCCAGGCTGTGTTCTCCATTCATCCTCATTCCTCCTACCTGGACTAGCCATCCAGCATAAAACCCCAGGGCCATCAGCCACAATGCTGGGAGATCCTTCCAATAGGTAGGATGCCCCTTTGGAAAGTGCATCTCGAAGTCCCTCAGTGGACGTGAGTGGAACCCTTTTCCTCGGCAGGATGCCCTGAGACAAAGTGCAGTTCATGACCGCAGCGGACATTACCCCCAGCAGCTTGTCATTTTCAGTCCCATCATAGGACAAATCTCATCTGTTCCCTCAGACTCACCTCGGGGTTGCTTCCTAAAACACTGGGATTAATTTAACCCTCAGACTCTCAAAAAGAAATGTCTAATTTTCTTGTGTAATACAGCATGGCCCCTATGCAGGAAATCCTCAAATTAGCCTCCTCATTCTTTTATAACTGAGAGCCGAATAAGGAGAACAAAGCTAAGAAAAAAGAAAAACACAGGAACATTAGGCAGTCTCAACTGTTGGCTGTTTTACAAGCCCCCAACCCCCTCCAGGTAGCCCTAAGGACACTCCTACAGGTAACTGCCATCGTGCAAAAGACCAGGCCACTGAAAGGCAAACTGCCTTAATGGGATAAATGTGAAAAAGCCCTGCGTGGCTTGTCCCCTCTGCCACAAGCTCGGCTACTGAAAATGAAACTGCCCTAAGGGTCAAAATGTTCCCCAGAACAGAATCCCAACCCCTAATGGCCTTGAGCTGCAGGTACTCTCTTCTCTGACTGGCTCCCAAATCAGAGTCATCATCAACAAGACAAAGCCAAAGGCAACTCTGGAGGTGGCAAGTAAAATAAATAAATTTTTTAAGTTCAAGAACTGCCTACTCTGTACTAATCTTCTTCTCTAAGCAACTCTCCTCCAAATCCTGTCAGGTAATGGGGCCAAGTGGCACCCCTTCCTTCAGTAGAAAAATTCACACCACTTTATTCTACTTAAAGGATAAATTACCATTCTCCCAAGAGTTTCTGGTAATATCTAAATACCCCACCCCCCTTTGGGACAAGAATATACTTTCTAAGATGGGTGTCTGCTTTATATTTACCCAAACTCTAAATTCCTCTTTCCCTCTAATAGCCCTATTTCTCCCAGGAAAGCTACCTAGATCTATAACCAATAGCTTCAACCTAAATATTCTTACCTCAGGAGTTTTAAATATAGCCCACACTTATTCACACAAACAAGAAATCTAACCGAGCAATCCCTTGATGGGGGATAACTTCTACATCATGTAGATAACCTCCTTATCTGCTCCCTCTTCTCAGGACTCACACAACAACATGTAATACAAACCATAACTTCCTAACAGAATAAAAGTAGCTCGTCTAATTAAAAGATTACAAAGGTGAAGAGGTATTTATGGTAAGAAATGTTACAAAGAATCTTGTATGGGAAATTCTTGTCCTAAAATAAAATAACTGGTTGCTTAAGAAAAGAGGATGTCTAGGACAAGTTAGAAAGTCCAACAAGTATGTCACTGCCAAAAGCAATCTACATATTCTTTTTCTTTCTTTTCTTTCTTTTTTTTTTTTTGAGATGGAGTCTCATTCCGTCACCGAAGCTGGAATGCAGTGGCACAATCTCGGTTCACTGCAAACTCTGCCTCTTGAGTTCAAGCAATTCTCATGCCTCAGCCTCCTGAGTTGCTGGGATTACAAGAGTGTGCCACCATGTCCAGCTAATTTTTGTATTTTTAGCAGAGACGAGGTTTCATCATGTTGGCCAGGCTGGTTTCGAACTTCTGACCTCAAGTCATCTGCCTGCCTCGGCCTCCCAGAGTGCTGGGATTACAGGCATGAGCCACTGTGCCCAGCTGCAGTCTATATATTTGATGCAATTCTCATCAAAATACCATCATCATTCTTCACAGAACTAGAAAAAACAATCCTAAAATTCATATGGATTTTAAAAAGAGCCCACATAGACAAATCAAGATTAAGCAAAAAGAACAAATCTGGAGGCATAACATTACCTGATTTCAAACTATATCACAAGGCTATAGTTACCAAAACAGCATGGTACTTGTATAAAAATGGGTACATAGACCAATGGAATAGAATAGAGAACCCAGAAATAAAGCCAAATACTTATAGTCAAGTGATCTTTGACAAAGCACACAAAAACATAAAGTGGGGAAATGACATACTATTCAACAAATGGTGTTGGGATAATTGGCAAGCCATATGTAGAAGAATGAAACTTGATCCTCATCTTTTACCTTATACAAAAATAAACTCAAGATGGATCAAAGACTTAAATCTAAGACTTGAAACCATCAAAATACTAGAAGATAACACCGGAAAAACTCTTTTAGACATTGACTTAGGCAAAGACTTCATGACCAAGGACCCAAAAGCAAATGCAACAAAAACAGAGATAAATTGATGGCATTCAATTGAACTAAAAGTCTTCTGCTCAGCAAAAGAAATAGTCAGCAGAGTATACACACAACCCACCAAGTAGGAGAAAATCTTCACAAACTATGGATCCGACAAAGGAGTAATATCCAGAATCTACAAGGAACTCAAACAAATCATCGAAAAAGAAACAAATAATCCCATCAAAAATTGGGCAAAGGATATGAATAGACAGTTCTCAAAAGAAGATATACAAATGGCCAACAAACATATAAAAACATATAAAAAATGTTCAACATCACTATCAGGGAAATGCAAATTAAAACCACAATGCAATACCACCCTACTCCTGCAAGAATGGCCATAATTAAAAGTTAAATAAATAATAGATGTTGGCATGGATGTGAGAAGGGACTACTTTTACACTGCTGGTGGGAATGTAAACTAGTACGACCACTGTGGAAAACAGTATGAAGATTCCTCAGAAAACTAAAAGTCAGACTACCATTTGTTTGAGTTGGAGAATGTATCTTCTTCAATTTTTTGGAAGGGTTTGTGAACAATTGGTTTCAATTGTTTAAATATTTGGTACAATTCACCAGTAAAACCATCTGGTTCTGGGCTTTTCTTTGTGAGCAGCTTTCTGAAGACAAATCCAATCTCTTTACTTCTTATAAGTCTATTCAAATTTCTATTTCTTTTTGAGTCACTTTCAGTAATATGTATTTTTCTAGGAATTTGTCCACTTCATCTAGGTTATCTAATTTGTTGGCATACAAATTTTCATCATATCCTCTTATAATCCTTTTTATTTCTGTAAGCTTCAGATTAACATATTCCCTTTCAGTGCTGATTTTAGTCATCTGAATTTTCCCTTTGATTCTTGATCAGGTTAGCTAAAGCTTTGTCAATTTTGTTGGTCTTTTCAAAGATCCAACTTTGGTTTTGTTGATTTTCTTTATTGTTTGTTGAGTCTCTTTTTAATTTATTTCTGCTTTAATAATTACCCTTTCATTCTTTCTGCTTGCCTTGTGTTTATTTTTCTTTTTTTCTAGTTTCTTAAGGTGGAACACTAGGTTATTAATTTAAGATCATTCTTCTTTTTAATATAGGCATTTACAGCTATAAACTTCCCTCTAAGCAGTGCCTTAGCTGCTTCCCATAAGTTTTTCTAAGTTAGGTTTTTGTTTTCACTCATCTCAAATTATTTTCTAATTTTTCTTGTGATTTCTTCTTTGATCTCCTGTTGTTAAGGAATCTATTGTTTAACTAACACATATTCGTATACATTTTCAAAATTTTATTTTTATTGATTTCTAATTTTATTCCATTGTTTTCAGAGAACATATTTTGTGTGGTTTTAATCCTTTTAACTTCTTTGTTTTTCTTTTAAATTGTAGATAAACAGATATAGATAGACAGTATGCTGGAATGAGGTATTCCTCCTCCCCAGTGTTTGTTCTTGTCTCTATTTGTTTATTTCATAAATTTTCACTACTAATTCTGCAAAATCTTTTTTTTTCCTATGTGTAACCATTGAAGCCTCTGCTTGCTTATCTTAGTGGCCAGCTAAAAATTCAACAAATATTAACTGAAATGCCTAGAACCAATAAGCCTAACAGTCTTCACTGAAGGGCTCTGTGTACATGTTGAAACACGATTTCAACCCTCAGCCAGGCAGTTTACAACTTCATTTTAACCTTTACTTCCTGCTTGTGCAGCACCTTAATGACAGCCAGAGGTGAGAGCTTAGGGCCTCCTCAAGTCTTTTATGAGCATGTGCTCGGCCCTGACCATGGATACAACCCGAAACATGTGAATGGCCCTCTACATTTCCAGGAATATGTAGAAGATTATCAAAGCCCCTATGAGTGTCCCATTTTTTGTTTTTTTGCTTTTATTTTAAACTTTTTGGTTAGTTTAGTGTTTGCACCAACTCTTATCCACACCTCGGATAGTGTGTTGGTAAAACAGTTGCCTCTGTTTCTGATAAACCCCCTGGGAAAGGTCTTTTTGTACTCAGTCAGGTCTTCAGAGGAACAACCAAAGAGGTCATATAATAGCAAATTATCTCTGAATGAGGCTTTGAAGCATCTCAACCCTGTTTTGCCCTATGTAGTTGTTACCACGTTGCTAATTTTCATCATGATAGTGGGCTGTTGGTTTTCAAAAGTACCATGGAACTGGGAAAGAGGAGGTGGGAACACTAAAGATAAAAATGTCGTAAGACTTGTGGCTTGCTGTTCTTATTAAGATTCACCCATTTTTTTTAAATAAATGGTCCCCAGACTGCTGTAAGACTTTAGTTAATGTCTATGTCCAAAAGAGTTGATTCTGACAATTTTAAAACCAGTTTTCTTATTGCATTTATGGAGGATAGAATGTATAGGTGTTCTTACTCCTTCATTTTTACTCCTTCCTTTTTTTCTTTCAGAATGGTTTCCTTTAGTTCTTTGAACATTATTTTTTAATGTACTTTATTTGCACAGCAATTTTATGTTCACAGCAAAATTGAGTGAAAATATAGAGTTTCTATATACTTTGCCCCCACACATGCATACCCTCCTACTTTATCAATATCTCACAACAGAGTGGTTTATCTGTTACAACTGATGAAACTACCTTGGCATCTCATTATCACTAAAAGTCCATAGTTTACATCAGGGTTCACTCTTGGTGTTGTGCATTCTGTGGGCTTTGAAAAATGTATAACATGTATCCACCATCATAGAATTACACAGAGTATTTTCACTGCCCTAAAATCATTTGCACTTCACCTATTCATCCTTCCCTCTCCCTAACCCCTGACACCCACTGATCTTTTTACTGTTTCTGTAGTTTTGTTTTTTCTAGAATGTCATATAGTTGGAATTGTATAGTACGTGACCTTTTTTGGTTGGTTTCTTTCACTTAGTAATATGCATTTAAGGTCCCTCCATGTTTTTTCATTGCTTGATAGCTCATTTCTTTTTGCCTCTGAATAATATTCTATTATGTGGTTGTACCACAGTTTATTTATTCATTTACCTATTGAAGGGATATCTTGGTTGCTTCTAAGTTTTGGCAATTATGAATAAAGCTGCTATAAACATCTGTGTACCTTTTTCTGCACAGACATAAGTTTTTACTCATTTGGCTAAATACCAAGAAGTATGATTCCTGAATTGTATGGTAAGAGTATGTTTAGTTTTGTAAAAAACTGCCAAACTTCTCCATGACTCTCCCATCAATGCCTTCCCCCAAGAGGTAGCAATTGATGACCTCTGTCATCATAGATTTGTTTTGCCTTTTTTGAACTTCATATAAAGGTTATATAAAGTTTATATACAGTAAGTTTGTATATAAACTTTGTATTAAAAGTTTATATACAGTAAGTTTGTATATAAACTTTATATTAAGTTTATATAATGTTTATATACAATATGTTAAACTATAAAGAGGTTATATAAAGTTTATATATAGTATGTTTGTATATAAACTTTGTATAAACTTTATATACAGTATGTCCTCTTTTGTGTTTGGCTTCTTTTCCTCAACATAATATCTGTGAGATTCATCCATGTTACAGTATGCCAAGTTGTATTCCAGTGACCTGGAATAGTCTCCTTTTGATGGACGTTTGGGCTGGCTCCAGTTTTTGCCTATTATGGATAAAGCTACTGGGAATATTCTGATATAGGTATTTTAATGGTCCTGTACACTCATTTTTTTGGGTCTATTTCTAGGAGTGGAATTTCTGAATTATTTAGGTAATTATTTTAGTTTTAACCGATACTGAGGGAGAAGGTTAGTATGGACCGAAGGAGAGAAGGTAGTTGTTACTCACATGCTTTTAAGTTGCTCAGAACTCACCCCAATAACATGTCTAAACTAAGTCACAATCCTACTGTATGAGGTCACTGACCTACCTTAAGGCTAGGTTGGGATTTGTTCAAGAATGGGACATGTACACCAGTGTTCATGGCAGCATTACTCACAATCCTTAAAAGGTGAAAACAACCCATGAGTTCATCAACAATCGAATAGATAAACAAAATGTGATACATACATATAATGGAATATTATTCAACCTTAAGAATGAATGAAGTTCTGAAACATGCTATAACATGGATGAGCCTTAAAAAACAGTAAGCAAGACACAAATGAAAATATTGTATGAGTCCTCTTATATGAAATATCTAGAATAGGTTAATTAATAGAGACAAAAAGTAGAAAAAAGGTTATCAGAGGATGGGGAATGTGGATGGAGAGTTATTGCTTACTGATTAGAATTTCTGTTTGAGATCATGAAAAAGTTCTGGAAATAGAGTGGTGATGATTACACAACATTGTGAATGCACTTAAAGTCACTGAATTGTACATTCAAAATGGTAAATTTTATGCTATGTATAATTTACCACAATAAAAAACATGCTTTGTTAAAAAAAGAATTGTCCATGGTGGTTTAGTGGTTAGGATAATTTCAAAAGAATGAGACAGCAGGTTGGGAAGGTGGATGGGCATCGGTGACTCAAAAAGAAAGGTAGCAGAAGCTGACACCAAGCATACATGAAACAGACCCAAAGGCCTAGAATCCTCAAAGTTATCCAGTCAGTCCCCACCCCCAACAATCTCTAATACTACTTTATTATCTACAGACAATGTCAGAACCCTTATGTGTTCAATGCTTCTGAATTGAAGCTCTTATTTGGGGTGAAAACTACGTGGCCTAAGTGCTTTCTGTTGTCTGGCATAAGATCAGGCAGCATCCAGGTGATTCCACTGTTACCCTGTCCCTGGGGGCACAGTGGCACTTTCGCCTTTTCATTGATGCCCAACAACGCAGATATAAAAATTGGAACAGATGGTGAGGGGGCTTCAAATTTGTTGGCTGGCTCTCAACTCAGGGAAAGCAGCACAGGGAAAGATCTGCTCAACAAAACAAAATGTGATCCCCAGCAGGTCTAAACAAATAAGTGTTCAAAATGTATTTAGTGGCACTGAGCCACCAAAGAAGAGAAGGGACGTCTGACAGCATAGGAGCAGGAAGATACATACTAAATCAAATTATCATTATTATTATGAAGCAAGCCACCAACAAGCTGGAGAATTTGGGGCTCATGCATTTCTTTTATTACTTTTTGTTAGGCAGATTGGCTGGAAAAATGATTTCTCTGGGTAGAATGGGACTACTATGGACTCTTTTTTTATTGTACTTTAAGTTCTAAGATATAGGTGCAGAAGGTGCAGGTTTGTTACATAGGTATGCACTTGCCATGGTGGTTTGCTGCACCCATCAACCTGTCATCTACATTAGGTATTTCTCCTAGTGCTATCCCTCCCCTAGCCCCCCACCTCCTGACAGGCCCCAGTGTGTGATATTCCCATCCCTGTGTCCATGTGTTCTCATTGTTCAACTCCCACTTATAAGTGAGAACATGTGGTGTTTGCTTTTCTGTTCCTGTGTTAGTTTGCTGAGAATGATGGTTTCCAGCTTCATCCATGTCCCTGCAAACAGCAAGAACTCATCCTTTTTTATGGCTGCATAGTATTCCATAGTGTATATGTGCCACATTTTCTTTATCCAGTCTGTCATTGATGGGCATTTGGGTTGGTTCCAAGTCTTTGCTATTGTGAATAGTGCTGCAATAAACATACGTGTGCATATGTCTTTATAGTAAAATGATTTATAATCCTTTGGGTATATGTCCAGTAATGGGATTGCTGGGTCAAATGGTATTTCTGGTTCTAGATCTTTGAGGAATCACCACACTGTCTTCCACAATGGTTGAAATAATTTACACTCCCACCAACAGTGTAAAAGCATTCCTATTTCTCCACATCCTCTCTAGCATCTGTGGTTTCCTGACTTTTTAATAATTGCCATTCTAACTGGTGTGAGATGGTATCTCATTGTGGTTTTGATTTGCATTTCACTAATGACCAGTGATGATGAGCCTTTTTTCATATGTTTCTTGGCTGCACAAATGTCTTCTTTTGAGAAGTGTCTGTTCATATCCTTTGCCCACTTTTTGATGAGGTTGTATGATTTTTTTCTTGTAAGTTTAAGTTCTTTGTTGATTCTGGATATTAGCCCTTTGTCACATGGATAGATTGCAAAAATTTTCTTCCATTCTGTAGGTTGCCAGTTCACTCTGATGGTAGTTTTTTTTTTTTTTTTTTTAATTTTTTTTTTTTTGCTGTGCAGAAGCTCTTTAGTTCAATTAGATCTCATTTGTCAGTTTTGGCTTTTGTTGCCATTGCTTTTTGTGTTTTAGTCATGAAGTCTTTGTCCATTCCTATGTCCTGAAAGGTATTGCCTAGGCTTTTTTCTGGGGTTTTTATGGTTTTAGGTCTTATTTTTACATCTTTAATCCATCTTGAATTAATTTTTATGCAAGGTGTAAGGAAGGGGTCCAGTTTCAGTTTTCTGTATATGGCTAGCCAGTTTTCCCAATACCATTTACTAAATAGAGAACCCTTTCCCATTGCTTGTTTTTGTCAGGTTTGTCAAAGATCAGATGGTTGTAGATGTGTGGCATTATTTCTAAAGCCTCTGTTCTGTTTCATTGGTCTATATATCTGTATTGGTACTAGTACCATGCTGTTTTGGTTACTGTAGGCTTGTAGTATAGTTTGAAGTCAGGTAGCATGGTGCCTCCAGCTTTGTTCTTTTTGCTTAGGATTGTCTTGGCTATGTGGGCACTTTTTTGGTCCATATGAAATTTAAAGTAGTATTTCTAATTCTGTGAAGAAAGTCAGTGGTGGCTTGATGGGGACAGCATTGAATCTATAAATTACTTTGGACAATATGGCCATTTTCACAACTCTTCCTATTCATGAGCCTGGAATATCTTTCCACCTGTTTGTGTCCCCTCTTATTTCCTTGAGCAGTAGTTTGTAATTCTCCTTGAAGAGGTCCTTCACATCACTTGTAAGTTGGATTCCTAGGTATTTTATTCTCTTTGCAGCAATTGTGAATTGGAGTTCACTCATGATTTTGCTCTCTGTCTATAATTGGTGTATAGGAATGCTTGTGATTTTTGCACATTGATTTTCTGTCCTGAGACTTTGCTGAAGTTGCTTATCAGCTTAAGGAGTTTTTGGGCTGAGACGACAAGGTTTTCTAAAAATACAATCCTATCATCTGCAGAGACAATTTGATTTCCTATCTTCCTATTTGAATACGCTTTATTTCTTTTTCTTGCCTGATTGCCCTGGACAGAATTTCCAATACTATTTTGAATAGGAGCAGTGAGAGAGGGCATCCTTATCTTGTGCAGGTTTTCAAAGGGAATGCCTTTAGTTTTTGCCCATTCAGTGTGATATTGGCTGTGGGTTTTTTCAGAAATAGCTCTTATTATTTTGAGATGCATTCCATCAATAGCTAGTTCATTGAGAGTTTTTAGCATGAAGTTGTGTTGAATTTTATCAACAGCCTTTTCTGCATCTATTGAGATAATCATGTGGAATTTGTCATTGGTTTGTTTATGTGATGGACTACATTTATTGATTTGCATATGTTGAACCAGCCTTGCATCCCAGGGATGAAGCCAACTTGATCGTGGTGGATAAGCTTTTTAATGTGTTGCTGGATTCGCTTTTCCAGTATTCTATTGAGGATTTTCACATCGATATTCATCAGGGATCTTGGCCTGAAATTTTCTTTTTTTGTGTGTGCGTCTCTGCCAGGTTTTGGTATCAGTATAATGCTGGCCTCAAAAAATAAGTTAGGGAGCAGTCCCTCTTTTTCTATTGTTTGGAATAGTTTCAGAAGGAATGGTACCAGCTCCTCTTTGTACCTCTGGTAGAATTTGGCTGTGAATCTGTCTGGTCCTGGACTTTTTTTGGTTGGTAGGCTATTAATTACTGCCTCAATTTCAGAAGGTGTTATTGGTTTAGTCAGGGATTCGACTTCTTCCTGGTTTAGTTTTGGGAGGGTGTATGTGTCCAGGAATTTATCCATTTCTTGTAGATTTTCTAGTTCATTTGCATAGATGTGTTTATGGTATTCTCTGATGGTAGTTTGTATTTCTGTGGGATCAATGGTCATATTCCTTTTATCATTTTTTATTGCGTCTATTTGATTCTTCTCTCTTTTCTTCTTTATTATTCTGGCTAGTGGTCTATTTTGTTGATCTTTTCAAAAATCCAGCTCCTGGATTCATTGATTTTTTTGAAGGGTTTTTTGTGTCTCTATCTTCTTCAGTTCTGCTCTGATTTTAGCTATTTCTTGCCTTCTGCTAGCTTTCGAATTTGTTTGCTCTTGCTTCTCTAGTTCTTTTAATTGTGATGTTAGTGTGTCAATTTTAGATCTTTCCTGCTTTCTCTTATGAGCATTTAGTGCTATAAATTTTCCTCTAAACACTGCTTTAATTGTGTCCCAGAGATTCTGGTACATTGTGTCTTTGTTCTCATGTGTTTCAAAGAACTTACTTAGATCTGCCTTAACTTTGTTATTTCCCCTGTAGTCATTCAGGGACAGGTTGTTCAGTTTCTATGTAGTTGTGTGGTTTTGAGTGAGTTTCTTAATCCTGAGTTCTAATTTTATTGCACTGTGATCTGAGATACTGTTATGATTTCCGTTTTTTTCATTTGCTAAGGAGTGCTTTATTTCCAATTATGTGGTCAATTTTAGAATAAGTGTGATGTGACGCTGTGAAGGATGTATAGTCTGTTGGTTGGGGGTGGAGAGTTCTGTAAATGTGTATTAGTTCTGCTTGGTCCAGAGCTGAGTTCAAGTCCTGGATATGCTTGTTAATTTTCTGTCTCGTTGATCTGTCTAATATTGACAGTGGTGTGTTAAAGTCTCCCACTATCATTATGTGGGAGTCTAAGTCTCTTTGTAGGTCTCCAAGAACTTGCTGTATGAATCTGTGTGCTCCTGTATTGGGTGCATATATATTTAGGATAGTTAGCTCTTCTTGTTACATTGATCCCTTTACCATAATATAATGCCCTTCTTTGTCTCTTTTGATCTTTGTTGGTTTCAAGTCTGTTTTATCAGAGACTAGGATTGCAACCCCTGCTATTTTTTGCTTTCCATTTGCTTTGGAAATATTATTCCATCTCTTTATTTTGAGCCTATATGTGTCTTTGCAAGTGAGATGAGTCTCCTGAATCAGCACATTGATGGGTCTCCTCTCTTTAACCAATTTACCAGGCTGTGTCTTTTAATTGGGGTGTTTAGCCTGTTTACATTTAAGGTTAATATTGTTATGTGTGAAGTTGATCCTGTCATTATGATGCTAGCTGGTTATTTTGGCCATTAGTTGATGAAGTTTCTTCATAGTGTCAATGGTCTTTTCAATTTGGTATGTTTTTGTGGTGGCTGGTACTGGTTTTTCCTTTCCATGTTTAGTGCTACCTTCAGGAGTTCTTGTAAGGCAGGCCTGGTGGTGAAAAAGTCTCTCAGCTTTTATTTTTCCTTCGTTTATGAAGCTTAGTTTGGCTGGATATGAAATTCTGGGTTGAAAATTCTTTTCTTTAAGAATGTTGAATATTAACCCCCACTCTCTTCTGGCTTGTAGGGTTTTTTCCAGAGACATCCGCTGTTAGTCTGATTAACTTCCTTTTGTGGGTAACCCGACCTTTCTCTCTGGCTGCCCTTAACATTTTTTCCTTCATTTCGACCTTGGTGAATCTGATGAGATTATGTGTCTTGGGGTTGCTCTCTCGATGAATATCATTGAGGTGCTCTCTGTATTTCCTGAATTTGAATGTTGGCCTGTCTTGCTAGCATGGGGAAGTTCTTCTGGATAATATCCTGAAGAGTGTTTTCCAACTTGTTTTCATTCTCCCCATCATTTTCATGTACACCCATCAAACGTAGGTTTGGTCTTTTCACATAGTCCCATATTTCTTGGAGGCTTTGTTCGTGCCTTTTCATTTTTTTTCTCTAATTTTGTCTTCACGCTTTATTTAATTAAGCTGATTTCAATCTCTGATATCTTTTTTTCTGCTTTATCAATTCGGCTATTGATACTTGTGTATGCTTCACAAAGTTCTTGTGCTGTGTTTTTCAGGTCCATCTGGTTATTTATGTTCTTTAAATTGGTTATTCTAGTTAGCAATTCATCTAACTTTTTTTCAAGGATCTTAGCTTCCTTGCATTGGATTAGACCATGCTCCTTTAGCTTTGAAGAGTTTGTTGTTACCCACCTTCTGAAGCCTACTTCTGTCAATTCATCAAACTCATTCTCCATCCAGTTTTGTTTCCTTGCTGGCAAGGAGTTGTAATTCTTTGGAGGAAAAAGGGCATTTTTGGAATTTTCAGCCTGTTTGCGTGGGTTTCTCCCCATCTTCGTGGATTTATCTACCTTTGGTCTTTGATGTTGGTGACTTTTGGATGGGGTTTCTGTGTGGATGCCCTTTTTGTTGATGTTGATGTTATTCCTTTCTGTTTGTTAGTTTTCCTTCTAATAGTCAGGCCCCTCTGCTGCAGGTCTGCTGGAGTTTGCTGGAGGTCCACTCCAGACCCTGTTTGCCTGGGTGTCACCAGTGGAGGCTGCAGAACAGCAAAGATTGCTGCCTGTTCCTTCTTCTGGAAGCTTTGTCCCAGAGGGGCACCTGCCAGATACCAGCCGGAGCTCTCCTGTATGTGGTGTCTGTCAACCCCTCCCAGTCAGGAGGCACAGAGGTCAGGGATCCACTTGAGGAGCCAGTCTGTCCCTTAGCAGAGCTGGAGCGCTGTGCTGGGAGATTCGCTGCTCTCTTCAGTGCTGGCATGCAGAAGTGTTTGAGTCTGCTGAAGTTGTGCCCACAGCTGCCCCTTTCCCCAGGTGCTCTGTCCTAGGGAGTTGGGAGTTTTATCTATAAGCCCCTGACTGGGGCTGCTGCCTTATTTTTCAGAGATGCCCTGCCCAGAGAAGAGGAATCTAGAGAGGCAGTCTGGCTTCAGAGGATTTTCTGAGCTGTGGAAGGCTGTGCCCAGTTGGAATTTCTCCGTGGCTTTGTTTACACTGTGAGGGGAAAACCACCTACACAAGCCTCAGTAATGGCAGATGTCCCTCCCCTCACCAAGCTTGAGCCTCCCAGGTTGACTTCAGACTGCTGTGCTGGCAGCAAGAATTTCAAGCCAATGAATCTTAGCTTGCTGGGCTCCATGGAGTTAGGATCTGCTGAGCTAGACCACTTGGCTTTCTGGCCTCAGCCTCCTTTCCAGGGGAGTGAATGGTTCTGTCTCGCTGGCATTCCAGACACCACTGGGGTATGAAAAAAAACTCCTGCAGCTAGCTCGATGTCTGCCCAAATGGCCACCCAGTTTTGTACTTGAAAACCAGGGCCCTGGTAGCATAGGCACCAGAGGGAATCTCCTGGTCTGCCAGTTGCGATGACCATGGGAAAAGTGTAGTATCTGGGCTGGAGTGCACCATTCCTCAAGCCACAGTCTTTCAAGGCTTCCCTTGTCTAGGGAGGGAGTTCCCCGACCCCTTGTGCTTCTCGGGTGAGGTGATGCCCCACCCTGCTTCAGCTCGCCCTCCATGGGCTGCATCCACTGTCTAACCATTCCCTATGAGAGGAGCTGGGTACCTTAATGTATATGGCCAAACTGTTGTATTAATTTATATAATAAAAAGTTGTATTAATTTTTATTTCCATGTGGTTAATTCTAACAATCTTCTTTTATGTTATTAGGTGCTGAATTAATAGGTTAAATATTTAAATTTAAAAAAAATTTTAAAAATATAAATGACTTTTTCTCATGTGTACTGATTACTAGTGTTTGTTCTCATTTGAATTGCCTTTCCATGTCCCTTGCCATTTTTTAAATTGAGGAATTGATTTTTTATGATTTAAAAGAATTATTTATATAATTCTTGAAATATATCCTTTGTTATAGATAATTTAAATATACCCTCCATCCCATTTGTCAACTTTGTTTATGGTGTATGTGTATGCACACAGATGCATGAGTTTAAGCATTCAGAATATTTTCTTTTTTTGGGGGGCATATATATGATTTCTTCCTTAATTTGAGTTTAATTTTAGCTTTTGCAACTGCTTGTGCCTCGAAAATAGAAACTAGATTTTTTCTTATCCTCCATGGTGTCTATGGTGGGACTTTGCAAATAACAGGGGCCTAGTAAATGTTTCATTAAAATCAAATCAGTCTTTTGACAGATTTGAAGAATGCAGTGGAATTAGTCAAAGGACATGTTTTTCAGATGACCTTATCCTGAATGTGACTTATTGTATATACTTTCTTTCCATTCCTATTGTATACATTCTTGCTAACATTTATTTTTGTCATTTAAAAATTTTAGCCATCTGCTATGGTTTGGATATGGTTTGTTTGTCCCCAGTAAAGCTCATGCTGAAATTTGATTCCCAGTGTAGTGATGTTGGGAGGTGGGGTCGGTGAGTGGTATTTGGGTAATTGAAGCTGATTCCTCATGGATGGCTTGGTGACATTCTCGTAGCAGTGAATTCTCACTCTTACAAGATTGGATTAGTTCTTGTAGGAATGGATTAGTTACTGTGAGAGTAGATTGTTATAAAGCCAGGATGTCCCTCAGATTTTCCTGTCTTCACAGGTGCCTGTTTCCCCTTTGACCCTCTTTGCCATGTTGTGATGCAGCAAAAAACCCTCATCAGAAGACAGGGCTGTGCTCTTGAACTTCTCAGCCTGTAGAACTGTGAGCAAAATAAATCTCTTTTCTTTGTAAATTACCCAGTCTCAGGTATTCTTTTATAGTAACACAAAATTGACTAAGATACTATTCTAGTGGGTGTAAAGTGGTATCTCACTGTGGTTTTAATTTATAATACCCTAATAAAAAATAATGTTGGGAAACTTTTCATATGTTTATTGGCCATTTAAATATCTTCTTTGGAGAAATGTCTATATAGATCCTTTACCTAATTATGTTGTTTTTTATTGTTGATGTTAAAATTTTCTTTATATATTTTAGATTTAAGTCCCTTATTAGATGTATGTTTTACAAATGTATTTTTCCATTCTATGGGTTGCCTTTCTACTTTCTTGATAGCATCGTTTGAAGCACAAAGATTTTAACTTTGATGATGTCCAGTTTACCTATTTTTTATTTTGTTCTTTTGCCTTTAGTGTCATATCTAAGAAATCATTGTTTCATAGAAGGTTACAAAGATTTACTCCTAATATTTTATTCTATGAGTGTTATAGTTTCAGCTCTTACATTTAGGTCTTTGACCAATTTTGAGTTAATTGTTATATATGGTGTGAAGTAGGGGGTTCAACTCTATTTTTTATGTGTGTTTATCCAATTATCCTAGCACTGTTTTTTAAAGATTATTTTTTCCCCTTGGCATTTTTGTTGAAAATCATTGACTGTAAATATGAAGGTTTATTTCAGAACTAAAAATTTTATATGTCTGTCCTTATGCAGGTAGCACACTGCACTGACTGCAGTACCTGCATAGTAAAATTCGACATTGAGGAGTGCTAGTATTCCATTATTGCTCTTCTTTTTAAAAATTGTTTTGACTATTTTGATCTCTTTGAATTTACATATGAATTTTAGGATCAGCTTGTCAATTTCTACAAATAACTTAGCTGGGGTTCTGTTAGGAATTGTTTTGAATTTCTAGCTCAATTTGAATAGTATTGCCATCTTAAGAATATTTAGTCTTCCAATCCATGGACATAGAATGCTGATATGGTTTGGATTTGTGTCCCCGCCCAAATCTCATGTTGAATTGTAATCCCCAGTGGAGGGCCCAGAGGAGGGGCCTGGTGAGAGGTGATTGGATCATAGGAGTGGATTTCTCCCTTGCTTTTCTCATGATAGTGAGTGAGTTCTCATGAGATCTGGTTGTTTAAAAGTATGTAACATCTCCCACTTCATCCTCTTTTCCTCCTGCTCTGGCCAGGTAAAACATGCTTCCTTTTTATTTGCCTCCGCCATCATTGTAAATTTCCTGAGGCCTCCCCAGCCATGCTTCCTGTACAGCCTGAAGAACCATAAGCCAACTACACGTCCTTTCTTTGCAAATTACCCAGTCTCAGGTATTTCTTTATAACAACGAGAGAATGAACTAATAACAGAAAATTGGTACCTAGGAGTGGGGCATTGCTATAAAGATACCTGAAAATCTGTAAGCAACTTTAGAACTGGGCGATGGGCAGAGGTTGGAACAGTTTGGAGATCTCAATAGAAGACAGCAAGATGAGGGAAAGTTTGGAACTTCCTAGAGACTTGTTGAATGGTTGTGACCAAAATACTGATAGTGATATGGACAATGAAGTCCAGGCTCAGGAGGTTTCAGATGGAGATGAGGAACTTACTGGGGACTAGAGAAAAAGTCATTCTTGCTATGCTTTAGCAAAGAGACTGGAAACATTGTGCCCCTGCTCTAGGGATCTTTGGAACTTTGAACTTGAGAATGATGATTTAGGGTATCTGATGGAAGAAATTTCTAAGCAGCAAAATGTTCAAGATGTAGCCAGACTGCTTCTAACACCATATGGTCATATGCATGGGCAAAGAGATGATCTGAAACTGGAACTTATATTTGAAAGGGAAGCAGAACATAAAAGTTTAGAAAATTTGCAGCCTGACCATGTGGTAGAAAAAAAATTTTGGTTTCCTTGGGAGGAATTCAAGCCAGCTGCAGAAATTTGCATAAATGAAGAGGAGCTGAATGTTAATAGCCAAAACAATGGGGAAAATGTCTTGAAGGCATTTCAGAGACCATTGTGGCAGCCCCTCCCATCACAGGCCTGGCCTAGAAGGGAAGAATAGTTTCATGGTCAGGCCCAGAGCCCGCTGCCCTGCTCAGCCTTGGGACACTGCTCCCTGCATCTTAGTCACTCCAGCTCCAGTTGTGGCTAAAAAGGGCCCCAGACATGTCTCAGGCCACTGCTCCACAGAGTGCAAGCTGTAAGTCTTGACAGCTTCAACATGGTGTTAGGCCTGCAGGTGCACATAGGGCAAGAGTGGAGGCTTGGGAGCCTCTACCTAGATTTTGGAGGATGTATGGAAACACCTGGATGTCCGTTCGGAAGTCTGCTGCAGGAGCAGAGACCTCATGGAGAACCTCTACTAGGGCAGTGAGGAGGGGAAATGTGGGGTGGATCCCCCACACAGAGTCTCCACTGGGGCACTACCTAGTGGAGCTGTGAGAAGACAGCCACCATCCTCCAGACCCCAGAATGGTAGATCCACTGACAGCTTGCACCATGCTCTTGGAAAAGCTGCAGGCACTCAATGCCAGTCCATGAAAGCAGCTGAGGGAGCTGTACCCTGCAGAGCCACAGGGGAACAGGTGCTCTGGGCCTTGGGAACCCACCCCTTGCATCAGGATGGCCTGGATTTGAGACACGGAGTCAAAAGAAGTTATTTTGGAGTTTTAAGATTTAATGACTGCCCTGCTGGGTTATGGACTTGCATGGGGCCTGTAGTCTCTTTGTTTTGCCTGTCTCTCTTTTGGAATAATTGTGTTTACCCAATGCCTGTACCTGATTGTATCTTGGAAATAACTAACTTGTTTTTGATTTTACAGGCTTTCACATAGGTGAAAGGGATTTGCCTTGTCTCAAATGAGACTTTGCACTATGGACTTTTGAGTTAATCTTGAAATGAGTTAAGACTTGGCAGACTGTTGAGAAGGGATTATTATATTTTACAATGTGAGAAGTACATGAGATTTGAGAGGTACCAGGAGCAGAATGAGATGGTTCGGATTTATATCCCCACCCAAATCTCATGTCAAATATAATCCCTAATGTTAGAGAAGGGGCCTGGTAGGGGGTGATTGGATCATGGGGGCAAACTTCCCCCTTGCTGTTCTTGTGATACTGAGCGAGTTTTCACAAGATCTAGTTGTTTAAAACTGTGTAGCACCTCCCCCTTCACCCTTTCTTCATCCTGCTCTGGCCTTGTAAGATGTGCCTCCTTCCTCTTCACCTTTTGCCATGATTGTCAGTTTCCTGAGGCCTCTTCAGCCATGCTTCCTGTACAGCCTGTGGAACCATGAGCCAATTAAAGCTCTTTTTTAAAATAAATTATCCAATCTCAGGTAGTTCCTTATAGCAATGCGAGTATGGACTAATACAAATGCCTTTCTATTTATTCAGGTCTTCATCATTTTCTTTCATTAGCATTGGTAATTTTTAGCCTACAGAACTATACATGTTTTCTTGCATGTATAATTAAATATTTTCTTTGAGTGATTGTACATTATATTGTGTTTTAAATTTTGATTTCCACGTGGTCATTATTACTATATAAAAATGCGAATGATTTTTGTGTGTTGATGTTGGGTCCTGTGACCTTGATGAGTTCCCATATTAGTTCTAATAAGTTTTTTGTATATCTCTTGATATTTCCTATGTAGATCATCATTTCACATGTAAATAGGGACAATTTTACTTCTTCCTTCACAATCTGTTTTCTTTGTTTCCTCTTTTGCCTTATTGTGATGGCTAGAAATAAGAGTGATAAGTGCCAGGTGTGGTGGCTGATGCCTGTAATCCCAGCACTTTGGGAGGCCAAGGCAGGCAGATCACGTGGTGAGGAGATAGAGACCATCCTGGCCAACATGGTGAAACCTTGTCTCTACTAAAAATACAAAAATTGGCTGGGTGTGGTGGTGTGTGCCTGTAATCCCAGCTACTCAGGAGGCTGAGGCAGGAGAATCACTTGAACCCGGGAGACGGAGGTTGCAGTGAGCTGAGATCACACCACTGCACTCCAGCCTGAGTGGCAAAGTAAGACTCTGACTCAACAACAACCAAAAGAGTGATAAGAGTAAGCATTCTTTTTTATTTTATATGTATATATTTATTATATTTATATATAAATATATATTATCTAGATAATATATATAATATATATTATCTAGATAATATATATTATCTATATAATATAGATAATATATATTATCTATATTATCTAGATAATATATATTATCTAGATAATATAGATAATATATATTATCTATATTATCTAGATAATATATAATATATATAATATATTTATATATAATATATATTATATATAAATATATATATTTCTCAAATAAATATATATATATATATACATATTTTTTTTTTGAAACAGAGTCTCGCTCTGTTGCCCAGGCTGGGGTGCAGTGGTGTGATCTCAGCTCACTGCAACCTCCGCCTCCCGGGTTCAAAGATTCTCCTGCCTTAGCCTCCCAAGTAGCTGGGACTACAGGCACCCACCACCACTCCCGGGTAATTTTCGTATTTTTAGTACAGATGGGGTTTCACCATGTTGGTCAGGCTGGTCTCGAACTCCTGACCTTGTGATCTGCCTGCCTCCGCCTCCCAAAGTGCTGGGATTACAGGGAGTGAGCATTCTTGATTTGTTCCCAATTTCATGGGAAAGTATTCAGTCTTTAATTATTAAATATCATGTCAACTGTATGTATAATGTAGACACTCTGTATCAGATTTCTCTGTATTCCTAGTTTGCTGAGAGTTTTTATTATTAATGGTTATTGAGTTTTGTTTAATGTTATTTCTCTATCAATTAATATGATCATACAATTTTTCTTCTTTAGCCCATTGATACTACATGTGTTGCTTTTTAAATATTTTTAAAGGAAAAATGGTTGTTTTATTTATTTGTACTTAAAGCAGCCAAAGTAGTACTGATGTCATTATAATGCAGCAAATGCAAGACCTCTTTCCACAAATATTAGCATAACCAACAAAATAGGGGGCATAGTAAGACAGAGCCATAAAGGGCTGAGGAAATCAATGAAGTATGTTACAGCATAACCCTTCACTCTTCACCTCAATCCTTCACCCTTCACCTCCATAGAGTTTTTATTTTATTTTATTTCATTTTATTTATTTATTTTTTTGAGGCGGAGTCTGGCTCTGTCACCCAGGCTGGATTGCTGTGGCTCTATCTTGGCTCACTGCAGCCTCCACCACCTGGGGTCAAGTGATTCTCCTGCCTCAGCCTCCCGAGTAGCTGGGATTATAGGCACCTGAGACCATGCCAGGCTAATTTTTTTATTTTAGTAGAGATGGGGTTTCATCATGTTGACGAGACTGGTATTGAACTCCTAACCTGAGGTGATCTGCCTGACTTGGCCTTCCAAAGTGCTGGAATTACAGGCATGAGCCACCGCACCTGGCCTCGACAGAGTTTTTTTTTTTTTTTTAATAAGTAAAGCCCAATCCCAAACAGTAGGAATATACCTTCATCACACCAATTTGTACTTTTGTTTCTTATTCTTGAGGTTAGATTCTAAACCCTAAAGATATCCGAACTAGTATTAGATCTACTTATCTATAGCCAGAGACATCTTCTATCATGTTGTCCTTAGCAGCCAAGGTTATTAAAATGTCTTTTCTCCAGGAAGATCTAATAGGAAAAAAGAAAGAAACCTCTCTGAGTAGGCTCCAAGCATACCCCACCCTCCATCAAATTGACTGGATAGGCATAATGGAAACCAGAACACATGGTTTCCAAACAACAAAAATCCTATGAGGGAGGGGAGGGGAGAGGAAGGATTCAGTCAGTGCCCAGACTGAAATTGAGTAATAGCAACTTCACTCATGTTCACACATCTTAAGGTTGCATGTTTGTGGAGTACTTTAGGAATAAATCTATGGCTTGTGGAGTACTAAAATACCTAGTGGTCTGCTGTACTACATTATGGCTTTCCCCAGCAGTTTCCAAGGCAACCTCCAAGTCAGGAGAATTTGGCTGGAACTGCATGCAGGACTGCAGAGATTCCTCTCCACAGTTATAGAAGGAAGTGTTTCAGGCCTGATTGTTCCAGGACTGGGTGCACCAGGTCTGAGTGTTCCAGGACTGGATGTTCCGGGTGTGGTTGCTCCAGGTTGAATTGCTCTAGGTTTGGTTGCTCCACATTGGAAGGTTTCCAGTCGTGTTCACCAGGCATCCGTGGTGGTAGGAAGAGTAGAGACTGGGGTAAGTAGGTGCTGAGGCCTTCCGAGTCACACCATTGCTATTTTTTGGCCAGTCGTTTTTCTGCCACCTCTTAGATTTCATCCTCTGGTTCTGGAACCAGGTCTTCACCTTTGTAGCTGAGGTTCAGGATGTTGGAAAGTTCTTGCATCTGCTGGAGGCTGAAGTATTTCTGTCTCTGCAATCTATCATTGAGTACACACAGCTGGTTGGAAGAGAACAGAGTTCTGGTCTTCTGTTTCTTGACTGGGACCTTGTTTTCCTTTTTTGTGGCACTCTTCTCTGCAGAAGTGGGTTGCTTGCCTTTGGGACTGGTGGAAGAATCAGGGCTGTCCTGAATAAGCAGATCCATGGAGGAAGGAAGAGGAGAGACAGTCTCTGTGTGAGGCATCTCAGCAGAAGACATTTGCAAGGATGGATAGTTTTCTTCAGGCCCACAAATTACAGGTGTAGGTGAAAAGTCTTTACAGTCGGATGCTTCAGAGAAAGGCAGGCTTTGTGAACAAGCTGAATCCACACTCATGTTATTATTGGGGAAGAGGAGAAAAAATTTAAGAGCTGGACTGGAAAAAAGACTAGGGTGGCTTTAAGACTTTTTTTCTGGAAGATCTTAGAGAAATATGACCTCCAGAAGCAAAAGTATCAAGAAGTTGGGATGAAGTGAGTCACCTCCACAATAGCAGGAGGCAACCAGCTCAGTCTAGCAAAACAGCTTTTTAAATATTGAAAGAACTCTGCAGACATAGACTAACTCTTATGCTTTTATGTTGTATTATTCTTTTTTATAGACTGCTGTGGTCTGAAAGTTTGTGTCCCTCCAACATTCATATGTTGAAATCTAGTCACTAAGTTGAGGCCATTAAGAGGTGGGGAATTTTGGAAGGTGATTAGATCATGAAGGCAAAACCCTCATTATTGGGAATAGTGCCCTCATAAAAGACCCCAGGGAGCTAGCTATCTTCTTCAATCATGTGCCATCTTTCAGTCAGAAAATAGGCCATCACTAGACAATGAATCTGCTGGTGACTTGATGTTGGACTTTCCAGTGTCTAGAGCTATGAAAAATAAATTTGTATTATTTATAAACTACCTAGTTTATAGTACTGTGTTATAGCAGCCTGAATGAAACTACGACATAGACTGTTGGATTAGATTTACTTAAATTCAAATGAAGATCTCCACATCTAAGTTTACAAGATGCTGGTCTATACTTTTCTTGGTTTGCACTGTCTTTGACTGATTTTGGTTTTAAAGTAATACTAGCTTTATAAGATGAATTGAGTAGTGTTTTCTATTTTCTGGAAGAGTTTGTGTAAAATAAGTGTTAATTCTACTTTAAACATTTGTAAGAATTCTGTAGTGAAACCATCTGATCCTATAGATTTTTCATTCAGGAACTTTTAAATTAATATTTCAATTTTGTTAATAATTATAGAAACATCCAGATTGCACATTTCATCTTTATTGAATTTTGGAAGTTTGAGATTTTTAAGAAATTGGTCCTTTTTCTTGTCAAATTTTTCAGTGTAACTTTTGAAATAGTATTCCTTATTATCTTTTTAATAGTTGCAGGTTCTATAGAGATACTCTCTACTTTATTCCTAATATTTGGATATATTGTCTCTGTCTTAATCTTTGTCAGTTTTGCTAGAGGTTCGTCAATTTTGTTAATTTTTTTCTCCTAGAGAACCAGCTCTTTGTTTCATCAATTTTTCTTTTTCTTTTCTTCTTTTTTTTTTTTTTTTTCAAGACCTCACTCTGTTGCCTAGGCTGCAGTGCAGGGGTGCTATCATGGTTCATTGCAGCCTCGACCTCCTGGGCTCAAGTGATCCTCAGCCTCCCAGGTAACTGGGACTACAGGCACACATCACCATGCCAGGCTAATTTTTATATTTTTTGTAGAGACAGGTTTTTGTCATGTTGTCTAGGCTGGTCTCAAACTCTTCTGGCTAAAGTGATCTGCCCATCTTAGCTTTCTGAAGTGCTGGGATTATAGTCATGTGCTACTGTGCCCAGCTGTTTTTTTTTTTAAATATTAAATCTCATTAATTAAAAAGGTGTTTGGGCTGGGCAAGGTGGCTCACGCCTGCAATCCCAGCACTTTGGGAGGCCGAGGCGAGCGGATCACGGGGTCAGGAGTTCGAGACCAGCCTGACCAACATGGTGAAACCCAGTGTCTACTAAAAATACAAAAATTAGCCAGGCATGGTGGCATATGCCTGTAATCCCAGCTACTCAGGAGGCTGAGGCAGGAGAATTTCTTGAACTGGGAGGCAGTGAGCCAAGATCGCACCAGTGCATACCAGTCTGGGTAACAGAGCAAGACTCCGTCTCAAAAAAAAAGTCTTTACCAATTACTTCCTTCTGTTCACCTTGGGCTTACTTTGCTCTTCTTTTACAAGTTTTTATTTTTGCAGTAGACATTTTAAAAAAGAGAAGACCTTTTTAAATTAACATTTAATGATGTAGTTTTTCCTCTCGGCACTATTTTAATTCATCCCACATATTTTAATATATTCTATTTTGTTTTCATTACGCTCTATGTATTTTCTAATTGAGGTAAAATTCAGGTAATATAAAATTAACCATTTTAAAGTGTACATTTTAGTGACAGTTAGTATATTGACCATGTTGTATAGCCATAACTTCTGTCTAGTTCCCAAACATTTTTATCCCTACAAAAGTAAATGACATAACCATTAAGTAGCCACTGCCCACTGCCCTTTACCCCCAGCCCTGAGCAACCACTAATCTGCTTTCTGTTTCTCTGCATTTACCTATGCTGGATATTTCACATCAATGAAATCATACATTAGTGACTTTTTGCATCTGGCTGCATTCACTTAACATAATGTTTTTTAAGTTCATTCATATTGTAGCATGTATTAATGCTTCCTTCTTTTGTTTTTTTTTTTTTTTTTCTTGAGAAGGAGTCTTGCTCTATCGCCCGGGCAGGAGTGCAGTGGCACGATCTCTGCTCACTGCAACCTCTGCCTCCCAGGTTCAAGCGATTCTCCTGCCTCAGCCTCCTGAGTACCTGGGACTACAGGCGTGTGCCACCACAACCAGCTAATTTTTTGTATTTTTAGTAGAGACGGGGTTTTACCGTGTTAGCCAGAGTGGTCTCGATCTCCTGATGTCGTGATCCGCCCACCTCGGCCTCCCAAAGTGCTGTGATTACAGGCATGAGCCACCGCACCTGTGCTTCATTCTTTTTAAGACCAAGTAATATTCCACTGTATGGATATACTGCATTTTGTTCATCCATTCCTCAGTTGACATTTGGATTCTTTCCGCTTTTTGGCTATTGTAAATAGTGCCATGGCCATCATGCACATGTTTCTGTTTGAATACTTGTTTCTTGGACATATACTTAAAAGTAGAATTTCCCAACAGAAAAGTACAAGGGCTGCAATCTTTCCATATCATTCCTAATACTTGATTTTTTCTATTTTAAAGAAATTATAGCCACCCTAGTGGGTATAAAGTGGTCTCCTGCTGTCATTTTGATTTGTATTTCCCCAATAGCTAATGATGTTGAAAATATTTTCATATGCTGGCTGATCATTTGCACGTCTTCTTCTTTGGAAAAATGTCTATTCTAATCCTTTTTATGTTTTAATTTGGTCAAATGTCACTTGGTTGTTGAGTTGTAACAGTTCTGGGTACTAGAACCTTATCAGGCATGTGATTTGCAGGTATTTTCTCCCATTCTGTGGATGGTGTTTTTACTTCCTTTGTAGTGACCTTTGATGCACAAAAATTTTTAATTTTGACACTAATTTATCTATTTTTTTGTTTCTTGTGCATTTGGCGCATACCTAAGACTTCCTTGCCAAATCCAAGGTCTTGAAGACTCACTACATATTTTTTCTAAGAGTTTTATACTTTTCCCTCTTACACTTAGGTCTTTCATTTTGAGTTAATTTTTGCATATGGTGTGAGGTAGAATGTCCACTTTTTTTGCATGTAGATATTCAGTTTTTCTAGCATTCTTTGTTGAATATTTTTTCCATACTGAAGGATTTTGACATCCTTATTAAACATCAGTGGACCAGCTGGAAGCAGTGGCTCATGCCTGTAATACCAGCACTTTGGAAGGCCGAGGCAGGTGGATCACGTGAGGTCAGGAGTTCAAGACCAGTCTGACCAACATGGTAAAACCCCATCTCTACTAAAAATATAAAAATTAGCTGGGTGTGGTGGCAGGTGCCTGTAATCTCAGCTGCTCTGGAGGCTGAGGCAGGAGAATAGCTTGAATCTGGGAGGCGGAGGTTGCACTGAGCTGAGATCAGGTCAGTATACTCCAGCCTGGGTGACAGGGCAAGACTCTGTCTCAAAAATAAATAAATAAATAAAAATAAAAAATCAATGAACCACATATGTAAGTATTTATTTCTGGAATCTCTATTCTATCCCATTAATCTATATGTCCATCCATATGCTAGTATGAGAATATTTTAATTATTGTGGCTCTGTAGTAAGTTTTGAAATAGGGAAGTGTGAGTCTTCTAATTTTGTTTTTCTTTCTCTAAATTGTTTTGGCTATACAGGGTCCCTTGCAATTCTACCTGAATTTTAGATCAGCTTTTTCATTTCTGCAACAAGCGCCTTTGAAAATTTGATTGGGATTACTTTGAAATCCTAGGTCACTTTGTGTAGTATTGGCATCTCAGCAATATGAAGTTTTCCAATCCATGAACACAAGATGTCTTCTCATTTATTTAGATCTATAATATTTTCAGCAATATTTTATAGGTTTTCAATGTATATATCTTGCATTGTCTTGGTTAAATTTGTTCCTAAGTATTTTATTCTTTTTGATTCTATTGTAAATGAAATTGTTTTCTTAATTTCTTTTTCAGATTGTTAATTGCTTGTTTATACATATACAACTGATTTTTGTGTATTGATTGTGTATCCTGAAACATAGCTGAATTCATTAAATCAGGAAGTTTGTGGAGTTTAAATGATTTTGTATATGTAAGATCATTTTATCTCCAAACAGACATAGTTTTATGTCTTCCTTTCCAATTTTGATGTATTTTCTTTCTTTTCCTTGCCTAATTGCTCAGGCTAAATCTTCACATACAATGTTTGATGGAAGTTGGGAAAGGGAGCATTTTTGTCTTTTTTCTGATTTTAGGGGGGAAAGTTTTCAGTTTTCATCATTGTGTATAATGTTAGTTGTGGGCACATACCAGAATATCTGGGACATATTTAAAGCAGTGTGTAGAGGGAAATTTATAGCACTAAATGCCCACGAGAGAAAGCAGGAGAGATCTAAAATTGACACCCTAACATCACAATTGAAAGAACTAGAGAAGCAAGAGCAAACAAATTTGAAAGCTAGCAGAAGGCAAGAAATAACTAAGATCAGAGCAGAACTGAAGGAGATATAAACACAAAAAACCCTTCAAAAAATGAATGAATCCAGGACGTGGTTTCTTGAAAAGATCAGCAAAATTGATAGACCGCTAGCAAGACTGATAAAAAAGAAAAGAGAGAAGAATCAAATAGATGCAATAAAAAATGATAAAGGGATACCACCACTGATCTCACAGAAATATAAACTACTATCAGAGAATACTATAAACACCTCTACACAAATAAACTAGAAAATCTAGAAGAAATGAATAAATTCCTGGGCACTTACACCCTCCCAAGACTAAACCAGGAAGAAGTTGAATCTCTGAAGAGACGAATAACAGGTTCTGAAATTGAGGCAGTAATTAATAGCTTACCAACCAAAAAAAAGGCCAGGACCAGATGGATTCACAGCTGAATTCTACCAGAGTTACAAAGGGGAGCTGGTACCATTCCTTCTGAAAGTATTCCAATCAATAGAAAAAGAGGGAATCCTCCCTAAGTCATTTTATGAGGCCAGCATCATCCTGATACCAAATCCTGGCAGAGGCACAACAAAAAAAGAGAATTTTAGACCAATATCACTGATGAACATCGATGCAAAAATCCTCAATAAAATACTGGCAAATTGAATCCAGCAGCACATCAAAAAGCTTATCCACCACGATCAAGTCGACTTCATCCCTGGGGTGCAAGGCTGGTTCAACATATACAAATCAATAAACGTAATCCAACACATAAACAGAACCAACGACAAAAACCACATGAATATCTTAGTAGATGCAGAAAAGACCTTCAACAAAATTCAACAGCGCTTCATGCTGAAAACTCTCAGTAAACTAGGTATTGATGGAATGTATCTCAAAATAATAAGAGCTATTTATGACAAACCCACAGCCAACATCATACTGAATGGGCAAAAACTGGGAGCATTCCCTTTGAAAACCAGCACAAGACACAGATGCCCTCTCTCAGCACTCCTCTTCAACATAGTGTTGGAAGTTCTGGCCAGGGCAATCAGGCAAGAGAAAGAAATAAAGGGTATTCAATTAGGAAATGAGGAAGTCAAATTGCCCGTTTGCAGATGACATGACTGTATATTTAGAAAACCCCATCACCTCAGCCCAAAATCTCCTTAAGCTGATAAGCAACTTTAGCAAAGTCTCAGGATTCAAAATCAATGTGCAAAAATCACAAGCATTCTTATACACCAATAACAGACAAACAGAACCAAATCGTGAGTGAACTCCCATTCACAATTGCTACAAAGAGAATAAAATACCTAGGAACCTAACTTACAAGGGAAGTGAAAGACCTCTTCAAGGAGAACTACAAACCATTGTTCAACCAAATAAAAGAGGACACAAACAAATGGAAGAACATCTCATGCTCCTGGATAGGAAGAATCAATATCGTGAAAATGGCCATACTGCCCAAGGTAATTTATAGATTCAATGCCATCCCCATCAAGCTACCAATGACTTTCTTCACAGAATTGGAAAAAACTAAAGCTCATATGGAACCAAAAAAGAGCCTGCATTTCCAAGACAATCCTAAGCAAAAAGAACAAAGCTGGAGGCATCACGCTACCTGACTTCAAAGTATACTACAAGTCTACAGTAACCAAAACAGCATGGTACTGGTACCAAAACAGATATATAGACCAATGGAACAGAACAGAGGCCTCAGAAATAACACCACACATCAACAACTATCTGATCTTTGACAAACCTGACAAAAACAAGAAAGAAGAAAAGGGGAAAGGATTCCCTATTTAATAAATGGTGCTGGGAAAACTGGCTAGCCACATGTAGAAAGCTGAAACTGGATCCCTTCCTTACACCTTATACAAACATTAATTCAAGATGGATTGAAGACTTAAATGTTATACCTAAAACCATAAAAACCCTAGAAGAAAACCTAGGCAATTCCATTCAGGACATAGGCATGGGCAAGGACTTCATGACTAAAACACAAAAAGCAATGGCAACAAAAGCCAAAATAGACAAATAGGATCTAATTAAACTAAAGAGCTTCTGCATGGCAAAAGAAACTACTATCAGAGTGAACAGGCAATCTACAGAATGGGAGAAAATTTTTACAATCTACCCATCTGACAAAGGGCTAATATCCAGAATCTACAAAAACTTAAGCAAATTTGCAAGAAAAAAAACAACCCCATCAAAAAGTGGGCAAAGGATATGAACAGACACCTCTCAAATAAGACATTTACACAGCCAACAGGCACATGTAAAAATGCTCATCGTCATTGGTCATCAGAGAAATGCAAATCAAAACCACAATGGGATACCATTTCATGCCAGTCAGAATGATAATCATTAAAAAGTCAGGAAACAACAGATGCTGGTGAGGATGTGGAGAAATAGGAATGCTTTTACACTGTTGGTGGGAGTGTAAATTAGTTCAACCATTGTGGAAGACAGTGTGACCATTCCTCAAGGATCTAGAACTAGAAATACCATTTGACCCAGCAATCCCATTACTGGGTATATACCCAAAGGATTATAAATCATGCTACTATAAAGACACATGCACACGTATGTTTATTGCAGCACTATTCACAATAGCAAAGACTTGGAACCAATCCAAATTCCATCAATGATAGACTGGATTAAGAAAATGTGGCACATATACACCATGGAATAATATGCAGCCATAAAAAAGATGAGTTCATGTCCTTTTCAGGGACATGGATGCAGCTGGAAATTATCATTCTCAGTAAACTATCGCAAGGACAGAAAACCAAACACCACATGTTCTCACTCATAGGTGGGAATTGAACAATGAGAACACTTGGACACAGGGCGGGGAACATCACACACCAGGGCCTGTCAGGATGTGGGGGCTGGGGGAGGGATAACTTTAGGAGAAATACCTAATGTAACTGACGAGTTGATGGTTGCAGCAAACCAACATGGCACATGTATACCTATGTAACAGACGTGCACATTGTACCCAGGTACCCTAGAACTTAAAGTATAATAATAATAATAATAATAATAATAATAATAATAATAATAATAAAATGTTAGTTGTGGGTTTTTTGTAAGTATCCTTTTTCATGTTGAGGAAGTTTCCTTATATTTCTAGTTTGTTGAATTTTTAAGGAAGTGGTGTTCAATCTTAGAAAGTGTTTCTTCTGCATCAATTGAGATGATTCTTTAGTTTTTTTTTCATTTTATTAATGTTTGATATTTCACTGGTTGCTTTTCCTAAATCATACTTGCATTCCTAGAATAAATTACATTTGGTCAGTATATATAATCTTAATATGCTGTTGGATTCATTTTGCTATAGTTTTCTTCCTTGTAGAGTCTTTGGTTTTGGTATCAGGGAATGCTAGCCACAAGAAATGCTTTAGAAAGTATTCCCACCTCTTTTATGTTTGGAAGGGTTTGAGAAGGATTGTTGTGAATTCTTTAAATGTTTGGTTGGATTCAACAGTGAAGCCATATGGTCCTAGAATTTTCTTTGTTGGAAGGGTTTTGGTTGCTGACTCAATCTGTTCCCTTGCTATAGATTCGTTCAGATTTTCTGTTTCCTTTTCAGTCAGTTCTGGTAGCTTATATGTTTCCAGGAATTTATACATTTCATTTAGGCTATCTATTTTGTGTGTGTGTATAGTTGTTCATAAGTATTATCTCATTGCTCTTTTTATTTCTGTAAGATCTATAGTAATGTTCTCACTTTAATTTCTGATTTTAGTAATTTGAGCCTTTTTTTCGTAGTCAGTGAAGCTAAAAGTTTATACATTTTGTTGGTATTTTCAGATAATTATTGGTTGTGTTGATTCCCTTTATTGCTTTTCTACTCACCTTTTTGTTATATGTTATCTCCTAATTTTTATAATTTCCTTCCTTCTCCTATCTTTGGTTTTATTTTACTTTTTTTCTTGTTCTTATTGTGCAAAGATGATAGGTTATTGATTTTGGATTTCTTTCTTCTTTTTTAATATAGTCACTTACAGCTATAAATTTACCTCTGAGCCTTCTCATGAGTTTTGATGTGTTGTGTTTTCTTTTTCATTTGACTCAAAGTATTTTCTAATTTTACTTTTAATTTCTTCTTCGTTTAATGTTGTTTAATATTTCTATGTTTGTCGGGTTTCCAGTTTCCCTTTTATTATTGAGTTTTAGTTTCATTACATTGTTGTCAGAGAATGTATACGCTTTTATTTTTTTGTGGCCAATATATGGTATATTTTAGAGAAGGTTTAATGTGCATCTGAGGAAAACGGAACAATAGAATAAGCAAAACAATGGTATCCTGCTATTGCTGGTTGTAGCGTCCCATAGATATTAGGTCTAGTTGGTTTAGTGTGGCTTAAACCCTTTATTTTTCTTCTGTCTAGTTATTATATCCATTAATGAAAGTGGGATATTAAAATTTCCAAATATTATTTTAGAACTGTCTACTTGTTCCCTTTAATTCTGTCAGTTTTTCTTCGTAGGTTTGGGGCTCCTTCTTAGGTGCATTTATGTTTATACTTTTCCTAATTTCTTGATAGATTAACCCTTTTATCAATATATAATGTCCTTTGTCTCTTGTCACAATTTCTGTCTTTGTCTATTTTGTCTGATATTAATACAGCCACCTTAGCACTTCCTTTTTTGATTTGCTATTTGCATGGAATATCTTTTGGTATTGTTTTACTTGCAATTTATATGTAAATTTTGATCTAAAGTGAGTTTTTTTGAATTATTTTTGAGTATTGACTTTTTATTATTAGTCACTGTTCATAATTTGTTTCAACCAAAAGACAATACACACAGCAGAATTCTAATGCATCCCATTTTACATCCATTTTATTCCTCACTGACCTCTAAGACTTATCATTTAATTAAAATTTTTTTACATCTCAAAAATATGTCTGTAATAATTAGAGCTTCATTAGCTGTCTCACTTGGAAACAGGTTTTTAATATTTTTACAGTAAAGAAGATGTGAAGGGACATAATGAAAATGTAACTTACAACACTATGAAAGAAAAGGAACTTTACAGGAACACAGTGGGAGTTCATAAAGGAAAGAGTTCAGAAGCTCTTTCCCTTGGGACCCCCAAATATAAAACAAAAACAAAACACACAAAGCACAACCACAGGTTCTTTGAGGAAAACAAAACAAAACCAACTCCAATGTTCCATCTCGAAGCCAGAATCAGCCCCTTGGAAGTTTGTAAAGCAACTGTGTAAGCTGCTTCACCAATTTCTTCTGTTAGAATGTTCCAGGTCCTGGAACCCTGTCGATGGGACCCACTCACTGATATTGCTTGAAAAAGTTATTCACTTCCAGTTCTACAAGCAGCCCCACTCTCCTGAGCCAAAGCTGGTCAAAAGTGTTTTCAACTTCAAGAATTTCTGTGCAATTCTCTCTTCATTGATCCTCTCCACTCCCAAAGTCATGAATATACAGACGTGTAAAATCACTCCCCCAACCACAAAGTTTGTGAACACCCACTTTTTCCTCTCTAGATTTCTCAGTTTAGGACACTGTGGTTAAAATACATACACTAGAAAGAAAATACACATTCAAACTCATTTCCCCTAGTTCTCATGGCCCAAATATTTTTCAATGCAGAAGATAATGAAGTTGAACCTCAAAAGCAGTACTTCCTAACTTCCAATCTCTTCTAGAAGGACATAAAAAAGATGGAAATCATGTTATATCGACCATTAGTGTTGGATAGTTTTAAAAGTCTATTTTCATATATAAATGCAATGAACAAGGGGTATAAATCACACCTTTAAACTAGCAAGAGGAAAGAATCTCTTCCCAAATGTTACACTGAGGAATGTTTCTTTAAATGAGAAAGGCCTTAAAATTAACAGATGATCACTATACACAGCCTAAAAATTCCATGACTGTCCAAAGCACCTCAAGGTAACAGCATCAAAGCACTGTGGGTGAAGCTTCTAGGGGAGAGCACCCCTCCTACAGTTTTTTGAGATTACTTAGATGAATTAATTCTCCTTTAGGATTCCCTCGGATGGGGCAGGGACTAGAATAAAATTGACTCGTGAGGAGGGAAATAATGAGGTACAAGTGCATGTGGAATTGTTGAAGTAAGCATGTGAGAGATCACTGCTTATCACCCCAGGGTTATCAAAACAGCCTTGGAAATTGCTCCTTCCTCATAATGCCTCTGAAATTGTAAATCCATCCAAATTTGCTCCCGCTTGAGTGGTTATACTCGGGAAATGAATTATTAAAATGTGCAAGTATTCACATAAATTGAAACATTTCTCCTTTTAGCTGCAAGGCCAAGTGAAAGGAAAACTAATTCTGATCCTAGAAACTAAGGTACGCTGAAGCTTTCAAAGATCCAATCATTTGAATTAGTCTTCACAACCATCAGTATCCTAGGCAGTTATTTGACTGCTAGTCCTTCAGTATGGTGCTTGCGTTCAGTTTCCGAAATCAATTCATATTCTACGCAGCACCTTTGTGTTAAGGCCATAATATTTTACTCCTAGACAAAGCTTTGGATAATCATAAACTCTACTTCAAAACTATGGTCATCCAAGGAAATGCTCTGTCAGTAGAGTAGACCCTTTCCAGCTCCATTAGCTGACACTGTCTTATAGCATGGTCTTGAACAGATTTCTTCAGAGATTCAACCCAGTTCAAATTAAAATAAAAAACCTGAGCTGGTTAGCTACAAATATAGGAGAGAAAAATAAAGCCTCTATACAAACAGGCTTTATTTTATCTAACAAAGAAGAATGTTAAGACAAATTCTATTCAAGAAATCCACCAACATTATGTTAATCCTATCATGTTTCACAACATTAAGTATCCATCCAATGAAATCAGTCTGCAAAGAAACCCTTAAAGGCTATTTTTCATTGCACAGGCAGAGCAGTTGTCTGAAATATGCACTAGTCCACACTTACATTACTGAAAACTATGGAGGAGATAATATCCTGTGATTGACTCAGTCAACCATTTACCCAGTGGAGTAAGTTTTAGCAGATCTTGCTCATACATACTAATAAGACCAAAACTTTCCCCTGTGGAGCCTTTAGTTAAACTCTAGTTTGTCAAATGTTAGGAATAGTCTAGTATCTGATACAGAGCTATATTTGACGAGACACTGAAGATTTTAAGTAAAGGCTTGGTGAAATGGAGGGGAAAAAAAGGATATTTGTTTCCAGGTTTAAGATTGAAGCCAAAGTAGTCATTATACTGTATTCAATACAGTAACAATTGCAAACATTATAAGAGCAAAGTGGGCCTCACTTTTTCTTTCTTCTTCAGTATATAAGACGTGGTGCCTGAATACTTGAACGTACATAGTACATTCATCATGTACCACAGAGAGAGTCACATCTACTTCATTCCAGTAACTCAGTTTCGAAGTTTAATAACACATGGGTCCTTTCTAAAAAGCACTTGGCACTCTCACTAGTTTAAAAATCTCAAGTCTTTGATGTGGATATTTCTGAGATTTGTCTTAAAAGAGACCAATTTCTCAGACTCAGGAAAGGCTATTCCTACCCTATGGTATCCATAAGACTTCCTCTGACATGGGGGCAAGGAAGCTACAAGGCTTCACTCCGACACCATAAAGTACAATATAGGGAAGATTTCTTTAACCATGTGGTCTTTATTTCAGTGCCAGTGTTAACAGATACAACACAAATGCTCCAGTCAGAAGGAATTCAAATGGAATGCCAAGGTCCAAGCAAGGCTCAGAAATAAAAAGAGAGGTTTGGAGTAATAGATAAGATGACTCCAATATACTCCAGGATGAGTCTGATACTCACTCTTCCTAAGGGCAAAGGTGCTTTTGATACAGAGTCTGATCTTTAAAACTGGTGAGCTACTCTTTCCACCCATTACCATAGCTAAAACAGGCAAGTTATGGGATTAGGAGTACTTCAAAATTTGTAGTGGGAATAGGGCCATTAATAACTATGAATATATCTTTTAGAAAACTTTTTGATCTAAAGTGAGCACATAGATAGAACCTTAAAAAAAACCCCTCCCTCTGCCATATCTGCTTTTTGATTTGAGAATTAAATCCATTTACATAGAAAGCAATTATTGGTAAGAAAGGGTGTAGTTCTGTTATTTCGCTATTTATTTTCTATATGTATTAATCTTTTGCTCTTCATTTCCTCCATTACTTCCTATAAATATAATATATTGTATTACATATGACAATATATATGTAATTACATATTTGGAAGAAGGCTCTTCCACATGTGCACTGGAAGCTGGAGCCAACTGAAGGTCTCCGCATGGGAAAATGGGGAAAGTGAGGGGGAGCTGGATCTGGACACGAGGAGCATTACTTCCATCAGGAGAGATGCAGATGCCAAGGCTATTTTGCTCAAGAATGATAAACTGAAGCTGAGGAGCCAATGATGGCTGCAGAAAATCGAAGCCAAAATTTGGCTGAGCAGAAGTGCAAAGAGCAGAGGCAGAGGGCCACTGTGGTAAGGAACCTGCACCCACTGAGGCACACTCTGGCGGAGCTGCTGAGGCTGGAGGCCAGCACCTAGCACCAGGTTCATGGCAAGGTGAGCAGCAAGCCCAGGTCAACGGAGCTCAGTCAGATGGGTGCAGCCCAGAGAAAGGACCAGGTTTCAGGAGCTCCAGGCCAACAGAGCTATCCCCCTGCTGGCTATAAGGCAGCAACTGGCCCACCAGGTGCACCTGGAAGGTGATGTGGGACACACGTGTAGGCAGAGATGCCAAGAAGATGGCTGGCATCTTTTTTTTTTTTTTTTTTTTTTTTTTTGAGACGGAGTCTCGCTTTGTCGCCCAGGCTGGAGTGCAGTGGCGCGATCTCGGCTCACTGTAAGCTCCACCTCCCGGGTTCACGCCATTCTCCTGCCTCAGCCTCCCAAGTAGCTGGGACTACAGGCGCCCGCCACCACACCCGGCTAATTTTTTGTATTTTTAGTAGAGACGGGGTTTCACCGTGTTAGCCAGGATGGTCTCGATCTCCTGACCTCGTGATCCGCCCGACTCCGCCTCCCAAAGTGCTGGGATTACAGGCATGAGCCACCGCGCCCGGCCGATGGCCGGCATCTTGAAGACCGTGGCCTGAGCCTGGTGGGCACCCTCCTATCTGGTCTTTTTGCCGTGTTAGGGGATGAGTGAAGAAAGCTGTTTGTGAGAACCAATCAAGTGCTCCATGAACTCCTTCCCCTGCGCCTCCAGGGGCTGAACTTCTCCTGTTTATCAGGGCCGGGCCGACTCTGGGAGAACTGCCCTCTCTCCTCTCAGGATGGCAAGCCGTGTGCCCCAAGCTCGGGGCCTCCAAACTCCCATGCAGAGTGAAGATGGCCAACGTGGTGGGTTTGTGGGGGCTACACTTGCAGGAAACTTGGGGCCTGCCAAGTCCTTGATTCTGTCACTAAACAGGTGCAGACGCACCCCACTCCTAGACTGATGTATGGCTTCCTGGCCATGTTGGATGCAGGAATCTGTGTCACTGTATGCGTTATTAACCATGAGAAAGGCGCCTGGGAGGGGACGGCCTGCTGTGCTGGGTTCTGCCACAAACCGCTGTCATTTGCTTCAGCCTGAGTTTCTGCTGGGGCCCTGGTGGGGCCCAGGAGCTCTCAGGCCTGTGGAGTCTGGAGCAGAGGCTGGCTCCGGGCTCTCCCCGCCTTGGGGTCTGCCCCTCAACCCCTTCTCAGTCACCAAGGGTGAAGTTGGCAGTTGTGAGCACCGCCGTTCCAATTGCTTTCTTACTTGTTGTACCCACTCCCTTTGGCTAGGCCTTGCTCCTGCCAGCTCTGAGCCCAGGTCTCTCATGATCTCACTTTCGTGACATCAGAGCGGAGGGTCTTCCTGCACCGAGGAAACGTGGAGCTGGCCCGGTGGTGAAGCCTTTCAGCTGACTCAGAAGCAAGACGGATTGACGTTTGTTGTTAGAAGCCACTGGAATTTGCAGTTTGGTTGTTGGAGTGCAAGTCACTGACTGGTCAGCCCTTGATTTCAGGATATGGAAAGTGAGGGGACAGTGCCTTCCCAACCCCCTGAGGCCCGGCTGGGGCTCCCTCTGCCCCAGTTCTCTACACAGGTGTCCCCCAGTGCTGTGTGGGACTCACTGGCCCATATCCTGCAGGGGGGCCTGGGCAGGACAACTCTCAGCTTTCAGGGTGGGGCCCAGTACCCTAAGCCTTCACAGACTGCCTGGGGGTGGGGTGGCGCTAGGTACCTCAGGACCTCCTGGCTCCAGGATGTGTGCCCGGACCCGTGATGATGTCCCTGTGTCATGGGCCCTCTATGGTCCTGACCTCCTATGGCACATCCACGTGCTCAGGGTTCAGAACCCCAGCAGTGTCCAGCAAAGCTGCCCAATGAGAAGGTGGCCAAGAGGAATCTGAGCCTGTGTTTCCTCCATTCAGTCCTAGGGTCCTGGGCCCCTACCCCACAAGAACAGACTTGGTGGTGTCCACAGACACAGCGTGGACGCCCTCCAAGGCACTTGACAAATAAGAAGGGACAGCAGTGGCTGGCTTGGCTGCCTGGCAAGAGAGCACCAACCCTGTTGACAGAGTAATTCTCACTTAATTGAGAGAAGTAGTTTACAAAGTAGAATTTATGATAAACCCATTTTTGCAATAAAGTGAGTGATGGTAACAAAGCCTGTCAAATGCACAGACAGCACAGCCTGACTGTCAGGGAGGCAGGGTGGGGGTGGTCTTCACTTTCTTCACACTTTTCTGTATAGTCTGAATTTTTTATAGTGGATATGTATTCTGTGTTATTTTAAGAGGAAAACCTTCTAGTTTCCTAGTCTTCAAATGACTTCAGTGTGACTGTTGGCTGGTGTGGCTTGAAACCTCCCTTCTAGGAATGCTCCTGGGCTCAGGAGCTTCTGGCTCCTGTCCAGAAACAGGTGCCTTCCCTTCGGCGTCCTACCTGAGAGAACAGGCCCCATGCAGCAGTGACTGCAGAGTCACGTTGTGGACAATGCTGAGGAAAGAGGAATGTCTGGGCATTGTCAGGGAAGATATTTAAGCAAAGACTTAGAAAAGACAGGGGGCAGCGGGCATCCTGTCGACTGAGATAGACTCAGAATTGTCCCAAGAAAGTAGCCTAAGAAACCACAAATGTTGGGGGACGTCATTCTGGCATTTTTTTGCAAGTGCAAGAAACCCAAACACTCAGCAATGGGCTTGTGCTCAGACAGGCAGGTTCATCCCTGCATCAGAAGACCATTCTTGAGTTTACTTATCATCACTCATGTTAAACATGGTTATTAGCTGAGCACTGCTGTGTTCCAGCCACCATGTAGAGAGAGGGAATCTCTAGATAGAGGATAGGGTAGTCCCATCTTGCCCCAAAACAAATCATGTGCATTCTCTTTGGACAAACATTGGGAGACTCCCTGGAACCAGTAGATCTGAGTGAAGAAAAGTGTAGAATCTTTTCTATATATATACATATTTTTGGTGTGTATTTTCTTATCTTTGTAGCATGAATATGAATTACTTGGTAATATAAGAAAAAATATAAATATATATTTATTTGTGATTATTTTGTTTTGTTTTTAATTTTAAAATTTGTATAAATTTATGGGATGCAAGTGTAATTTTGTTACATGCATAGACAGTGTAGTGGTGAACTCAGGGCTTTTAGGGTAACCATTGCCCAAATAATGTACATTGTACCCACTAAGTAATTTCTCATCATCCACCCCACCCAAAATGTGCTATATGAATTTACTTATCTTTTTTTCAGTATAGTTTTTAAATTTTTTTCTTACACTGGAGATTACAGTTAACATCTTACAATTAACATCTTTTTGTTGACCAGCCTGGGCAATAAAGTAAGACCCTGTCTCAAAAAGCAAACAAATAACAACAACAACAATGCAAAAACAAAAAACAAAGAAACAAAAAACCCCAAAAATGCAGTAACAGGGACTTTTATATTTATCAATGCAGCTACCTTTACCATTGTTCTTTATTTGTTTGTATGATTTTGGGCTACTGTCCAGTGTTCTTTCATTTCAGGTTGAACAATTCCCTTATAATTTCTTTTAGGGTAGGTCTGTTAGTGACAAATTCCCTCGGTTTTCTGTTCCCTGGGAATGTCTGAATTTTGCCTATATTTTTGAAGGACAAAAGTTTTGCTGAATGTAGAATTATTGGTTCATAGTTTTCTTTTTTTTCCTTTGGCCCTTTAAATATATTATGCCCATCTTCTGAAGTCCATGGTTTCTGAAGAGAAATTGATTTGTTTTTCATTGAAGATCCCTTGTTCATTTGCGGAAAGTCACTTTTCTCTTGCTGCTTTCAAGATTCTCTCTTTGTCTTTCGCTTTTTACACTTTGATCATAATTTTTCTCGGTGTGGATGTGTTTTAGTTTTTCCTGCTCAGAGTAAATTATGCTTCTTGGATGTGTAGATTCCTATCTTTCATGATTATTCAAGAAACTTTTGGACATTATTACTTTAAACATTCTTTCACCCATTTATTTTATGTTCCCTTCTGGAGGTTTCATTATTCAAATGTTGGTATGCCTAATGGTTTCCCTCAGGTCTCTGAGGCTCTATTTATTTTTATTTTTATTTTATTTATTTTATTTTATTTTATGTTATTTTATTTTTGAGACGGAGTCTCACTCTGTCGCCCAGGCTGGAGTTCTGTGGCTTGATCTCAGCTCACTGCAAGCTCTGCCTCCTGGGTTCACGCCATTCTCCTGCCTCAGCCTCCTGAGTAGCTGGGACTACTGGCGCCCGCCACCACGCCCGACTAATTTTTTTGTATTTTTAGTAGAGACGGGGTTTCACCATGTTAGCCAGGATGGTCTCAATCTGCTGACCTCATGATCCGCCGGCCTCTGCCTTCCAAAGTGCTGGGATTACAGGAGTGAGCCACCGCGCCCGGCCTATTTTTATTTTTTTCTTTGTATTTCTGTTCCTCTTACTGCACACTCTTATTTGACCTATCTTCAACTTTACTGATTATTTCTTATGCCAGCCCTAATCTACCACTGAGCTCCTCTAGTGAAGTTTTTATTTCTGTTATTTAACTTTTGATCTCCAGATTTCATGTTTGTTTCTTTTTAAGAAATGACTTCTCTTGATTGATATTCTTTATTTGTTGAGACTTTGTTCTCCTGGTTTCCTTTCATTTTTTTTGTCCGTGATTAAAGATGGTAGATTTTTTTTTTTTTTTTTTTTTGAGGTGGAGTCTCACTCCGTCGCCCAGGCTGGAGTGCAGTGGCACGATCTTGGCTCACTGTAACCAACATCCGCCTCCTGGGTTCAAGCAATTCTCTTGCCTCAGCCTCACGAATAGCTGGGACTACAGGTGCGTGCCACTACATCCAGCTAATTTTTTGTATTTTTAGTAGAGACGGGGTTTCACTTGGTTAGCCAGGGTAGTCTCAATCTCCTGACCTCGTGATCCGCCTGCCTCGGCCTCCCAAAGTGCTGGGATTACAGGCGTGAGCCACTGTGCCTGGCCAAAGATAGTAGGTTTAAAGTCTTTGTCCAATGCCTAGCCTTTCTCAGGGAATGTTTCTATTAATTTCTTTTTTTTTTACTGAGTGTGCCTTTGCATGTCTTATAATTTATTGTTGAAATCTGAAATCTGAACATTTTGTATATTATGATGTGGCAGCACTTGGTGTCAGAGTATCCTTGCTCCCCTAAATTTGTTTTGCTGCTTGTTGTTACTTTTTAGTGACTTTTGTAAACCATTTTTTATAAAGCCTGTATTCTTTACCTGTGGCTACTGAAGTCTGCATTCTGTTAGCTTAGTGGACGCTCATGTTTTGAAAGCATTTTCTTAAATGCCTGAAACCCACCCCCGCAAAATACTCTCCCAGTCTTTGAACATAGACACTGTGTTGAGGCCCTCCTTCAATGCTTTGCTTTGAAGTCTATTTTATCTGATATTAATGTTTACATAATATGCATTTTTCCCTAATTTTTGGCATATCTATGTCTTTGTACTTAAGGCGAATTTCTTGTAAACCGTAGTTTTAAACATAATTCCCTCCCCCAAATCTCTCTCTTTTAATTGGTGTATTTAGATGATTTACACATAAGGTAATTATTAATATATTAATGCTTATGTCTGCCACCTTATTATGTGTGCTCTGCTAGTTTTCTTTATTTCTCAATTCTTTTATTTGCCTTTTAATTTTTAACATCTTGTTGGTTAAGTAAAAAATTTGGATTACATCTTGATTTATTTATACCTTTTTTTCTTTCTCTTTAAAATATTACCTGCAACCAACTCACACCATACACTGTTTTTGAGTATACCACTGTGCATAGTTTTCTGTGTAATTGCTTTAGAGATTACCATATGTATACTAACATCTCACTGTATACTGGTATCAAATTTTTAATGCTTCATATTAAATATAGAAACCTTGTTTCACTTAGGTCATTTTATCCTGTGCATTCAAATAAAATATAATTGTCTTAAATACTTACTGTCCATACATTGAGCACCATATCACATAGTGTTATAATTTTTGCTTCAATCTTCAGATAAGATTTAAAAACTCAGGACAAGTAGGATTATCTCTTGCTATTACACCTCTTTTTTGTATTCCTATGTTCTTCCTTTTCTGAAATTCCAAGCCTTCTTCTGTTATAATTTCCTTTCTAAGAAAGTTTAGAGAACTTCCTATAGCTATTTTTTAAGGATAGATTTGCTAGCAACAAATTCTTTTTATTTTTCTTCATCTGAGAATATCTTGATTTACCCTTCATTCCTGACAGATATTTTTGCTAGATATACAATTTGTGTTTGACAAGTCCTTTCTTTCAGTACTTAAAATACGTTATTACTTATTTCTGGCCTTTATGGTTTTAGATGAGAAATACATTTTCATTTGAATTCATATCATCCTACAGGAAATGTGTTGTTTGTCTCTGGCTGCTTTCAAGATGTTTTCTTTATATTTAGTTTTCAGAAGCTAGATATCATGTGTCTTGACATGTGTTTCTTTGGATTTATCCTATTTGCAATTCACTGAATTTCTTGAATCTGTGGGTTTATGTGTTTCACCAAATTTGGGAAGTTTTCAGCCAGTATTTTTTTGAATATTCTTTCAGCCATACTCTGTTTCTCCTTTACTTCTGGAACTCTGGTAATAAGAATGTTAGATTTTTTTTTATATATATTCTCACAAGTCCCTTAGATCCTCTTCTTTAAAAAAATTCTACTTATTCCTGTTGTTAAGATTGAATAAATTCTATTTATCTATCTGTCTTCAAATTTACTGATCCTATCCTCTGTCATCTCTACTATTAAGTCCATCGAGTAATTAAAAAAAATTTTGCTTATTGCATTTTTATGTTCTATAATTTCCATTTATTATTTTAAAATATAACTTGAATTTCTTTTCTGACATTTTCTATTTTTTTTTCATTTATTTCAAGGAAATTTGTAAGTCCTTGTTAAAGCAATTGTGTGATGGATACCTTAAAATCCTTGTCAGGCAATTCTAACATCTCTATCAACTCAGTGTTGGCATCCCTTGATTGTCTTTTCTTATTCAAATTGTGGTTTTCCTGGTTGTTGGTATGATGAGTGATTTTTTATTGTATCTCAAACATTCTGGAAATTATATTGTGAGATGTTTAATTACACTTAACATTATTTTTAAGCACATAGTCTCTATGTTGAAGTAGCACAAGGGCTGGATATGTTCAGGTTCCTGTTGGCCTCACTGACACCAGGGAGTATGGAAGTGGAGCACTGAATCATACCGTTTTGTTGATGCATGGTAAAAATGGAAGCTCAGCTTCTAGTTGGACCCTGCTGACAATGGGGAATGGTGGGGGAGTTGTCTCAGTTTAGGCTGCTATAACAAAGTACTATACACTGTGTGGTTTAAAGAAACAAATGCTCTGAGTGGCAAAAATGTTAGCAGATGAGTTTGGAACTGCATCTAACATTAAGTCATGAGTAAACTGTCTTTCAGTCCTGGGAGGCATTACATCTGTACAACAAAGGCTCAAACTTTATAACAAAGTACCTTCAAATAGTCTGGTTGTTTGCTGTGGAACAACTGTAGCAAAAGAAGGAAAGGAAAAGAAAGTGAACATTGATTTTGAACCTTTCAAACCAATTAATACTTCACTGTATTTGTGTGACAACAAATTCCATACAGAGGCTCTTATAGCACTACTTTCAGATGATAGCAAATTTGGCTTCATTGTAATAGATGGTAGTGGTGCAGTTTTTGGCACACTCCAAGGAAACGCAAGTCCTGCACAAATTCATTGTGGATCTCCCAAAGAAACACGGTAGAGGAGGTCAGTCATCCCTGTGTTTTGCCTCTTTAAGAATGGAAAAGCGATACAACTACGTTTGGAAAGTAGCAGAGACTGCTGTGTAGCTGTTTATTTCTGGAGACAATGTGAATGTGGCTGGTCTAGTTTTAGCTGGATCTGCTGACTTTAAAACTGAACTAAGTCAATTTGATATATTTGATCAAAGGTTGCAATAAAAAGTTTTAAAGTTAGTTTGTATATCCTATGGTGGTGAAAATGGATTCAACCAACCTATTGAGTTATCTACTGAAGTCCTCTCCAATATGAAATTCATTCGAGAGAAGAAATTAATAGGAAGATAGTTTGATGAAGTCAGCCAGGACATGGGCAAGTACTGTTTTGGTGTTGAAGATTCGCTAAAGGCTTTGGAAATGGGAGCTGTAGAGTCTAATAGTCTATGAAAATCTGGATATAATGAGATATGTTCTTCATTGACAAGGCACAGAAGAGGAGAAAATTCTCTATCTAACTCCAGAGCAAGAAAAGGATACATCGGCAGGGCACGGTGGTTCACGCCTGTAATCCCAGCTCTTTGGGAGGCCGAGGCGGGCCTAGGTGGATCACGAGATCAGGAGATCGAGACCATCCTGGCTAACACGGTGAAAATCTGTCTCTACTAAAAAATACAAAAAATTAGCCGGGCGTGGTGGCACGCGCCTGTAGTCGCAGCTACTCGGGAGGCTGAGGCAGGAGAATGGCGTGAACCTGGGAGGCGGAGCTTGCAGTGAGCAGAGATCGCACCACTGCACCCCAGCCTGGGCAAAAGAGCGAGAATCCGTCTCAAAAAAAAAAAAAAAAAAAAAAAGGAAAAGAAAAAGATACATCTCATTTCATAGACAAAGAGACTGGATGGGAACATGAGCTTATTGAGCGCATACCCCTGTTGGAATTGTTTGCTAACAACTATAAAAAATTTGGAGCTATGTTGGAAATTGTCACAGATAAATCACAAGAAATGTCTCAGTTTGTGAAAGGACTTGGTAGAAGTGGAAGTATCTTGTGGTACCGAGTAGATTTCCAGGGAATAGAATACCAGGAGACGATTATTTTTTTTACCTTGGTGACTAGTAGGTAGTCAGCAAAACGTGCCTCACCCTCCAACATCCAACCCAAGGAGCATACCCATGGTGGAATCCAAACAGATCCCTGCCTCACAGTTGGAACATTTCCAGAATTTAATCCATGAGCATTGGATATTGAAAAGAAAACCGAAACAAAACCAGATCCAGTCCTACACTTTGGTTTGTCATGGTGTCAGCACAGCAGCCTACAATTAAGTTCCTAAATGCGACTTTGGAGTAATGTAAAAAGGAATCCCAGTTTTTACTTTTACTCAATGGTGAAATTGGTTGCCCTTGTATTTTATGAAAAAGAAAAAAAGATTTTTTTAACCTTCATACATAGAATCAAAAATACTTTAATTGTTGTAAACTTTCAAAAGTTAATAAAAGTGAGATCAGACTGGTTTGTTTCTTATTTTGATTGGAGAAAAATTAAATTATTGCATTTTGCAGTAACCCATTTACATGGCATTCTCAGCTTAGACTGCATAAGAAGAAATATATGTGGTGAAATGTTGGAACCATTTCTCTCTTGGTCTCTGTTTAATGTTGAAAGGGTGAGCTACTAGGAGGCAATTTCAACTTTACTCCCTCACTCTACCCACTGCCCCACCAGACTGGAAGTTTCAAGGATGTAAATTGCATTGCAAAATCAAACTGACTCCTGAAGCATTTGGGCCAGTGCACTGTTTGCTTCAATTTGTTTGGCAGATACATTTGTGCCTGGCGTTTGGGAGCTCTTTGAATCAATTGTTTTGACAAGGGTCCTTATAAACTTAGCTAGCCTACTAGAAATCAGTTTGGGATGGATATGTTGGGGCTTCTGTCTATTGCCAGGATTGGGAGAAATAAAACATGCAATCTAAGTGGAAGTGAAGAAATTTAAAGATGATTTTATTTTGTTTGATCAGTTCTTGTTTAAAGGAAGGTGGGTGTGTTTTCCTTGTGTTGGATGGCATGAGATTATGTGAATGTTTTGATTTATTAAAATGAACTGCAAGGTTTTTCACAGGAATGACAGACATGTATAACTGCATGTAATTACAAACTCCTGACCTCCTGGTGGGGTTGGGACATCTGTTTCAAATGTGAGACTTACAATCACCTCTCACATGAGCAATTAGGGGCAGGTGGGAAGGGATGGGACACAGCTTCTGGCACCATGGACTTAAGATTATGTTGGATGCAAAAGTTGGCCTGAAATCTTGAAGCTTATGCCTCACATCTGGGCTATAAGTCAGACTTGAACCCAGCTGACATGCATGTCATGCTTGATGTGGTGACAGTGAACAAAGTGTATAGTATGTGTCCAGTGGTAGCAATGGAAAAAAGTATAACGAATGGACTTTGAAGGACCAAAGTCAATTGATATCACTTCCACACTAACTAGGATAGTGGGGTGCATTTGGTTTTCAAATTGGGTAGTTTTAACACTTTAGTGCTGACTGCTGTTCTTTACTGACTTGACTCAGTCACTCGTAGCTTTATTGATCTGAACCAGCATCTTGTTCCCAGGTTACAGACCTGCCTATCTTTCCAATAATCCTATTTCACTTAAATGAAGGGAGTATGTCTTAAATGTAAAGCTTCTGGTTCTCACACTGTACTCTCAGGTCCAAATGACTGTCTGTTAACCTGATGTCTCAACCCCCAGTGAGAGGAGTTGACCCTTTGGTGTTCACCAACATGGGAGACTTGACTGGAACAGGCTTTTTTTTTTTTCTTTGCTTTGGGCTCTGCTATTTGTTTGCAGAACACCCAAGAATGAGTAAAAATGCTCTCTCCACAGTAGTATCTTAGGGTTTTCCCATTGTAAATGGGATTGATGTGATATGACAAGACCAGAGAAATTGGAAGTAAATTTACATTTTTGAATATGTTTGTTGTTTCACATGATACATTTAGGGTATGCAGCTCCTTTTGTAGTTTTAATTTTTACTATTTAAGTTTGGAAAAGATGCCAAATTTTTGTATTTCTTTAATCAGTTTGTTCTCTTTGGTGATATATATTGCATGATATATTGATGTGTGTATCAATATATACTGACATGTATTACACTTACACATACAAACACATAAGAGGGGGTGAAAATTGTAGCCTTTGCATTCTCTATAGCTTTTGCAGAGAGATCCTAAGCAGCGAAATCTTGGTGTTGTGATGTACAGAAATGGAAAAGAGTATTAAATCATATTTAAGAATTAAAAATGCTTATTTCTCACAGTTCTGGAGGCTGGGAGTCTGAGAATAGGGTATCAGTATGGTCGGGTTCTGGTGAGGTCCCTTTTCCAAGTTGTAGACAGTTGACTTCTGCTTGTATCCTCAAATGGTGGAAAAAAAGTGATCTAGTTCTCTGGCCTTTTATAAGAACACTAATCTCACTTGTGTGGGCTCCACCCTCATGACCTAATTACTTCCAGAAGGTGCCACCTCCAAATATCATCAGATTAGAGATTATATGTCAACATATGAATGGTGGCGGAGGACGCAAACATTCAGTACATAACAAGAAAGAACAAGAATTGTCAGTATCCCTGCTTCACACTGCCTTGTTTAGCCTTTTTGCTGTTGGGTGGTTGTATAGGTTTAGCTCTTCACTAGGTCCCAGTGAAACTAGGCATTTGGTGACAGTAGATTGCTGACTAGCACCAACTCTCACTGCTATTTTCAGTCACATGTTGTTGGATTCAGGTGGACAGTCAGCTCTCCATTAGGCCTTAATGACTTGGGGTTGAGAGGGTTAACTGTAGTGATAACTAGCCTCTATGCCTTGAACCACCTCACCTCCTATGTCTCTTTGCTGCTGGGTAGGGTTGAAGTCTCCTGGTTGTTGGATCCCACTGACTGTACCCTGGTGGGAAAATTGAAGCACTGCCTGCTTTTTCCAGGAGAGTTATAGAAGATCAACTCTTCTCTCAGCCGCAACAATATGATCCTGGCAGGGATTTCCATTGCCTTTTGATCCAGAAAACCTTTACTAGGCATACACCTCCAGCAATATACATGCATACATAATGTTAGTCATCTTAGCTTTGTTTGCAATTGAAAATATTACAATCAGCCTAAGTGCTGATAAATAGAAGAATGGTTGAGTAAACTATAGTACATCCACAAAATGAAGTATTATACATTTGTAAAATAAAAAGAATGAGGACTATCTGGATGATCTCTTATGGAGTAATTCTAGAATATATTGTTAATTAAAAAATCAAATTGCAAAGAAACCTATGGAATGCTACTTTATGTTTAAGAAGAAAAAAAAGAAACGGGAATTGAACTCAGCTCTGCATCAAGCGGACCTAATAGACATCTACAGAACTCTCCACCCCAAATCAACAGCATATATATCTTTGTCAGCATCACATGGCACTTATTCCAAAACTGACCACTTAGTTGGAAGTGAAGAAATCCTCAGCAGATGTAAAAGAATAGAAATTATAACAAACTGTCTCTCAGACCACAGTGCGATCAAACTAGAACTCAGGATTAAAAAACTTACTCAAAACCGCTCAACTACATGGAAACTGAACAACCTGTTCCTGAATGACTACTGGGTACATAAAGAAATGAAGGCAGAAATAAGGAAGTTCTTTGAAACCAACGAGAACAAAGACACAACATACCAGAATCTCTGGGACACATTCAAAGCAGTATGTAGAGGGAAATTTATAGCGCTAAATGCCCACAAGAGAAGGCAGGAAAGATCTAAAATTGACACCCTAACATCACAATTAAAAGAACTAGAGAAACAAGAGCAAACACATTCAAAAGCTAGCAGAAGGCAAGAAATAACTAAGATCAGAGCAGAACTGAAGGAGATAGAGACACAAAAAACCCTTCAAAAAATCAATGAATCCAGGAGCTGGTTTTTTGAAAAGATCAACAAAATTGATAGACCGCTATCAAGACTAATAAAGAAGAAAAGAGAGAAGAATCAAATAGACGCAATAAAAAATGATAAAGGGGATATCACCACCGATCCCACAGAAATACAAACTACCATCAGAGAATACTATAAACACCTCTAGGCAAATAAACTAGAAAATCTAGAAGAAATGGATACATTCCTTGAAACTTATACCCTCCCAAAACTAAACCAGGAAGAAGTTGAATCTCTGAATAGACCAATAACAGGATCTGAAATTGAGGCAATAATTAACAGCTTACCAACCAAAAAAACTCAAGGACCAGATGGATTCACAGTCGAATTCTACCAGAGGTACAAGGAGGAGCTGGTACCATTCCTTCTGAAACTATTCCAATCAATAGAAAAAGAGGGAATCCTCCCTAACTCATTTTATGAGGCCAGCATCAACCTGATACCAAATCCAGGCAGAGACACAGCAAAAAAGGAGAATTTTAGACCAATATCCCTGAGGAATATAGATGCAAAAATCCTCAATAAAATACTGGCAAACCGAATCCAGCAACACATCAAAAAGCTTATCCACCATGATCAAGTGGGCTTCATCCCTGGGATGCAAGACTGGTTCAACATATGCAAATCAATAAACGTAATCCAGCATATAAACAGAACCAAAGACAAAAACCACATGATCATCACAATAGATGCAGAAAAGGCCTTTGACAAAATTCAACAGCCCTTCATGCTAAAAACTTTCAATAAATTAGGTATTCATAGGATGTATCTCAAAATAATAAGAGCTATTTATGACAAACCTACAGCCAATATCATACTGAGTGGGCAAAAACTGGAAGCATTCCCTTTGAAAACTGGCACAAGAGAGGGATGCCCTCTCTCACCACTCCTATTCAACATAGTGTTGGATGTTCTGGCCAGGGCAATCAGGCAGGAGAAAGAAATAAAGGGTATTCAATTAGGAAATGAGGAAGTCAAATTGTCCCTGTTTGCAGATGACATGATTATATATTTAGAAAACCCCATCGTCTCAGCCCAAAATCTCCTTAAGCAGATAAACAACTTCAGTGAAGTCTCAGGATACAAAATCAATGTGCAAAAATCACAATCATTCTTATACAGCAATAACATACAAACAGAGAGCCAAATCATAGTGAGCTGTCATTCACAATTGCTTCAAAGAGAATAAAATACCTAGGAATCCAACTTACAAGGGATGGGAATGACCTCTTCAAGGAGAACTACAAACCACTGCTCAATGAAATAAAACAGGATACAAACGAATGGAAGAACATTCCATGCTCATGGATAGGAAGAATTATTATCGTGAAAAAGGCCATATTGCCCAAGGTAATTTATAGATTCAATGCCATCCCCATCAAGCTACCAATGACTTTCTTCACACAACTGGAAAAAACTACTTTAAAGTTCATATGGAACCAAAAAAGAGCCCACATTGCCAAGTCAATCCTAAGCCAAAAGAACAAAGCTGGAGGCATCACACTACCTGACTTCAAACTAAACTACAAGGCTACAGTAACCAAAACAGCATGGTACTGGTACCAAAACAGAGATACAGACCAATGGAACAGAACAGAACCCTCAGAAATAATACTACACATCAACAACTATCTGATCTTTGACAAACCTGACAAAAGCAAGCAATGGGGAAAGGATTCCCTATTTAACGGATGGTGCTAGGAAAACTGGCTAGCCATATGTAGAAAGCTGAAACTGGATCGTTTCTTTACACCTTATACAAAAATTAATTCAAGATGGATTAAAGACTTTTAGACCTAAAACCATAAAAACCCTAGAAGAAAACCTAGGCGTTACCATTCAGGACATAGGCATGGGCAAGGACTTCATGTCTAAAACACCAAAAGCAATGGCAATGAAAGCCAAAATTGACAAATGGGATCTAATTAAACTAAAGAGCTTCTGCACAGCAAAAGAAACAACCGTCAGAGTGAACAGGCAATCTACAGAATGGGAGAAAATTTTTGCAATCTACTCATCTGACAAAGGGCTAATCCAGAATCTTCAAAGAACTCAAACAAATTTAGAAGAAAAAACCAAACAACCCCATCAAAAAGTGGGCAAAGGATATGAACAGACACTTCTCAAAAGAAGACATTTATGCAGCCAACAGATACATGAAAAAATGCTCATCATCACTGGCAGTCAGAGAAATGCAAATCAAAACCACAATGAGATACCATCTCACACCAGTTAGAATGGCAATCATTAAAAAGTCAGGAAACAACAGGTGCTGGAGAGGATGTGGAGAAATAGGAACACTTTTACACCATTGGTGGGACTGTAAACTAGTTCAACCATTGTGGAAGACAGTGGCGATTCCTCAGGGATCTAGAACTAGAAATACCATTTGACCCAGCCATCCCATTACTGGGTATATACCCAAAGGATTATAAATCATGCTGCTATAAAGACACATGCACATAGCAAAGACTTGGAACCAAGCCAAATGTCCAACAATGATAGACTGGATTAAGAAAATGTGGCACATATACACTATGGAATACTATGCAGCCATAAAAAAGGATGAGTTCCTGTCCTTTGTAGGGACATGGATGAAGCTGGAAACCATCATTCTCAGCAAACTATCGCAAGGACGAAAAAACAAACACCTCATGTTCTCACTCATAGGTGGGAATTGAACAATGAGAACACATGGACACAGGAAGGGGAACATCACACACTGGGACCTGTTGTGGGGTGGGGGGAGGGGGGAGGGATAGCATTAGGAGATATACCTAATGTTAAATGACGAGTTAATGGGTGCAGCACACCAATATGGCACATGTATTCATATGTAACTAACCTGCACGTTGTGCACATCTACCCTAAAACTTAAAGTATAATAAAAAAATGCAAAAAAAAAGAAAATGCAGCACATATACACCAAGGAATACTATGCAGCCATAAAAAATAATGCGTTCATGTCCTTTGTAGGGACATGGATGAAGCTGGAAGCCATCATTCTCAGCAAACTATTGCAAGGACAAAAAACCAAACACCGCATGTTCTCACTCATAACTGAACAATGAGAACACTTGGACACAGGAAGGGGAACATCATACACTGGGGTTTGTTGTGAGTTGGGGGGAGGGGGGAGGGATAGCATTAGGAGATATACCTAATGTAAATGACGAGTTAATGGGTGCAGCACACCAAGATGGCTCATGTGTACATATGTAACAAACCTGCATGTTGTGCGCCTGTAACCTAGAACTTAAAGTATTATATATATATATATATATATAAATTGTTATACTTGCTACATTGGTAGTTTGTGGCACTGGATTTGAACAGGAAAATATAATGCAAAAAAAGAAGGAAAAAAGAAAATATATGTACATCTGTTCATTCATGCAAAATGAAACACAGTAAGGATAAACCAGAAATTAATGAGAATGATTACTTATGAAGGTAGGTGAGAATTGGGTGGAAACGATTAGGAATTGGAACAAGATGCAAAGAATGGGGGGCATTTCTCTGAATATAATTTTTTGTATAGTTCTGACCTTTCAAACCATGTTGATGTTTCACATTCTCAAAAATAAAACAAAATTCACAAAGATGCAGGTTTAAAAATGGAATATAAATGAAAACAAATGAATCTAAAAGTATTTCAGATGAATAAAAACACCAGAGTAAACAGGGGGAAAATAAATTAACCCAAGTAAGTTTTGAACATAGTAATTTGACTATATTCTCTATAAATACAAAAAAAGTGTAAACAAATATTGGATTCCAGTTAATAGGTTTGTTTATCAGTTATGCATTAGCAGTCCCAGATTGCTTTGTGTATGTACAAATCACTTTATGAATATGTTGTGGATAATGTAAAATAGTTTTCTCATTCTCAAAGATGGGAATTAAAAATATAGAAAAAGGAAGGCTAAATGAACCTCATGGTGTTGGAATGGAATTGGATATGTAAGAATAGCTTATGGTTTATTTCATACAGATGGCTTACAAAATATATATGTATATACTTAAACACACGTTTTGTGTGTGTGTGTGTATCTGCATGCATGCATATGATAGGGCTGACCACTGAGAATAACTAGGATTGACATCACAGTAGCAATAAGCACACCTTGCACCCACATCTGGATTTCTACATACAGACAGTCCCTCACTTATGATGGTTCAATTTTCCATTTTTGACTTTATGAGGGGCTTACTGGAGTATTAAATGCATTTTTGACTTATGATATTTTTGACTTACAATGGGTTTATTGGGATGTAACCCCATCATAAGTTGAGGGACGTGTATACCATTCTCCCCTAAATTGAACCAGGGATCCTTGGAGAAATGGCTTATTTCAATCCTGGAACAAAGAAAACACAAGAGCCTAGAACATTTTTTTGTGCTAGAAATTAAGGAGTATCAAAGAATGATAAGGGCATGTCAAAAAGACACATGAGCCAGTTTGAAAGGGGTCCCACTGGCCAAATCAAAGATATTTTAAGCATCAAATATATTTTAGAATCTGTTTTCCAAAAATAGCTTGTTGTCATTTGGATTGCATTGAACGTATACATCAAATGGGAGATTTTGACATCTTAACAGTATTGAATCTTCCAATTCATAATCACGAAATTTCTTTCTGTTTATTCTGAAGATGTAAATCTTTTTTATTTCTTCACAAATGTTTTGTAGTTTTTCATTATACACATTATATACATATTTTGTGAGACTTACACATATTTTATCATTTTTATGCTATTCAAAATAGTATTGCTTTAAGATTTTCAAATTCTAACTGTCCTTTGCTTGTATGTAAGAATGAATTTGACAGTTGTGTATTGACCTTGTATCCTGTGACATTGCTATAATTGCTTATATTCACAGGAGAGTTCTGTTTGTAGATCCTTTAGATTTTTCTATACAGAATTATGTTATCTGCAAATAAAGACAATTTTACTTCTTCCTTTCCAATCTGTATATCTTTTATTTCTTTTTCACGTCTTATTGCACTAGCTAGGGCTTCTGGTATAATATTGACGAATAGTGAGAGAGGACATCTTTGCTTTGCCTTAAGGCAAGAGCATACTTGGCAAGTTCATGGAAGAGCAAGGAGACTCTAAAATTGATTGCACATGTAACAATGCCCTGTTTTAATATTTCTTTTTTTGGATCTGGATCTAGTTGCAAGGCTTGATTTAATCTATTTAAATGTGCTCATTTACAGAAAGGGCCTCACCCAGGAACTAGCACAATATGGTGACAATTCTCTTCAATTGCCATTTTAAAAATTAAGCCCATCTTTCACTTTGGGTCTTTTCTGATGCCTATTTCATGTCCCAGATTGAGATCACCTGCAGATATTTAAGTGCTTCTTCCATATTTATATTCAAGTGCAGTATAAGCATGTTTCTCAAATCCAGCCAAATAAAAAATCTTTCAAGTTACCATCAAACAGTTGCCGTCTTTAGATACTGCATTTAACCAGTTACAATGGCACTTGGCTGGTCTTATTGTAGTTTCATATTTCACAAGATTATCCACAAGACTATCTCGAGTTTGTCAAATATCTGGTTTAATTCCCATACAAGTCTTCTCTTGGCAATCCTGTGGAAGAGACTGTCTTTGTCTGATGGGCTGCTATAACAAAATACTATAAGCTGGGTGGCTGGCTTCAACAACAGATATTTATTTCTCACAATTCCGGAGGCTGGGATGTCTGAAATCAGGGTACTAGTATGGTGGGGTCCTGATGAGGGCTCTCTTCCTGGCTTGCAAACAAATGACTGCCTTCTCATTATGTCCTCACATGGGAGGGAGAAAGCCAGGGGAGGGGGTTGGGGAGACAGAACCAATGAATGAGCTCTGTTCTCTTCCTCTTCTAATAAGGGCATTAATTCTGTCATGAAGATTCTGTCCTTATAATCTCATCTAACCTAATTACCTCCAAAGGTCCCATCTCGAAATGTCACTATATTGGAGGGTAGGGCTTCAATATGTAAATTTTGGAGTGACAGAAGCTAGTCCACAACAGGGGTAAATTAGTCTCATCTGACATGTCTGAGTCTCTGCCACAGGGCTCAGACCATTCAGCATAATCCAGTTTCTAAGCATGTCCTGAAAGCCTATGGTAGGGCTGGAAACTGCAGAGATAAGTAGAGGGACCCATGAGCTGGATTATGTGTTAGAATACCTGGGTTACAGCCTTGACTGCTTCAATCTTGCTGGGTAAATTGAGGGAAGTCATGTTGCTGAGCCTCACTTTCTTTGTAAAGGGAATAAGCCATACTTTCCTCAAAGTTGTGAGAATTAAATAAGCAAAGGCTGACTGGCTGAAATCAGTAAGACAAAGTTTGTCATATATAGGTGTAAACTATCACATTTAGATTAAACAATAAATTCTGAAGATGGCTGACTATAAACAGCTAGTATGCACTGTTCTCATATAGAGAAATAGAAGGAGTGAGTAAATACAGCACTTTTAACTGTACTTCCAGGTACATGCATTGGGATTCATCAAGGAAACAAAGCTGGACCAAAGATGGCTGACTAGAAGCAGTGAGGACTCTTGGCTCTCATGGAGAGAAATGAAAGGGGCAAGTAAATACAGCAACTTCAACTGAAACATTCATGTTCTCACATTGAGACTGATCAGGGAAAGAGCTCAACCCATGCAGAAAGGAGAAAAGCAAAGCAGGGCGACAGCCCACTAGGAAAGGACATGGAGCCAAGGGAACCTCTCCCTGCCCAGGCAAACAGTGAATGAATATGTGACCCCTAGCAACCGCACTTCTTCCATGGACCTTTGCAACTCTTGGGTCAGGAGATCCCCTCATGAATCCACTCCACCAAGACTTGGTCTGACACACAAAGCTGCATGAAGTCTCTGCTAAGCAACTGCCCAGGGGTGCACAGAGTCCCAGGAGCTTTACATACTCTGGCCCCAGGATCCCTGGTCAGGGTGATTGCAACTCAGGCCAAGTGGGAGGTTGAACCTCCATATACACCCCTAGGAGGGGAGCTGAAGCCCAGAGGCCAAGTAGCATTGCCCTGTGATTCCCACTTCCTTGGCACCTCACAGGATAAGACCCACTGGTTTGGATTTCCAGCAAGCCCCCTGTTAATGGTGTTGTGCCTACCTGGGATAGGATAGAGTTCCCAGGGGAAGGAGCAAGCCGCTATCTTTTCTGTTTGGACAACTCAGCCATTCCAGCATGTGGGTGTAGGAGAGTCCAAACCACACCAACTGAGAACTGATGGGACCTCCCAGCACAGCACAGCTGCTCTACCAAAACATGGCCAGACTGCTTCTTTAAGTGGGACCTGATCCATTCCTCATCTTAGGGCAGGGCCTCCCAACCAAGGCCTCCAGCCAACCCCACCCATATTCTCTGGCAGACAGAGTTTTGATTTCTCCTTGGGATGGAGTGCCGAGGGGTAGGGACGAGCCACCATCTTTGCTGTTTGGACAACTCAGTCATTCCAGCCTCTTGGCTTAGGAGAGTTCAAACCATCTGAGGGCAGAAGTGGTACCCCAGCATGACACAACTGCTCTACAAAAGCGTGGCAAGACCGCTTCTTTAAGCAGGTCCCTGATCTGTTCCTCCTCACTTGGGAGAACTTCCCAACCAGGGTCTTCAGCCTCTCCCACTGATGTTCTCTGGTTGACAAGGGTTTGAAAGCATCCTGGGACAGAGTTACTAGAGAGAGGGGCAGGCTGCCATCTTTGCTGTTTCTGCAATTTAGCCGTTCCAGCTTTCAGGTTTTGGAGAACCCAACACCATGAGGGGCAGAAATGGTATCCCAGCACAGCTCAGCTGTTCTACAAAAGTGGGGCTAGACTGCTTCTTCAAGCAGGTCCCTGATCCTGTTTCTACTGGCTGGGTGAGACCTCTCAACCAGGGTCTCCATCCACCTCCTACAGGTGTGTTCAGGCTGGCAACAGATTTGTACACCCCTGGGACAGAGCTCCAAGAAGAAGGGGCAGGCTGCCATCTTTGCTGTTTCACAGCCTTAACTGATGATACCTGTAGGTACTAGAAATTCTGAGGTGACTATGTTCTGGAATGGATGCCCAGCAAACCATAGTATCACTACGGTAAAGTGGTGAGACTGTTAAAAAGGAACCCTCCCTTCAAAAACTCCATCCAGAGGCCAGCAACCCCAAAGATTGAAGGTAGATAAGCCCACAAAGATGAAAAAGAATCAGTGCAAGAATGTGGAAAACTCAAAAAGCCAGAGTGCCCTCTCTCCTCCAAATGACCACATCACCTCTCCAGAAAGGGTTCAGAATGGGGTTAAGGCTGACATGGCTGAAATGACAGAAGTAGACCTCAGAATATGGATAAAAATGAACTTCGCTGAGCTAAAGGAGCAAGTTCTAACTCAATGCAAGGGAGCTAAAAATCACAATAAAACATTGCAGGAGCTGACAAAATAGCCAGGATAGAGAAAAGCATAACCAATCTGATGGAGCTGAAAAACACAATACAAGAAATTCATAATGCATTTATATGTATTAATAGCAGAATAAACCAAGTGGAGGAAAGAATCTCAGAGCTTAAAGACTGTCTTTCTGAAATAAGACAGGCAGACAAGGATAGAGAAAAAAAGAATGAAAAGGAATAAACAAAACCTCTGACAAATATGGTATTATGTAAAGAGACCGATTCTATGACTGTTTGGTCATAGATGTTTTCCAAAATATGTTTTCCAAATTGGTTCTGCTCTCCCCTGAAAGAGCTGGGGAGAATGGAACCAATTTGGAAAACATATTTCAGGATATCATCCATAAGAACTTCCCCAACCATGCTAGACAGGCCAACATTCAAATTCAGGAAATGCAGAGAACCCCAGTAAAATATTTCATGAGAAGATTATCCCCAAGACACATAATTATCAGATTGTCCAAAATTGAAATGAAATAAAAAAATGTTAAGGGCAGCCAGAGAGAAAGGCCAGGTCACTTACAAAGGGAAGCCCATCAGACTAATGCATTGAGAAGCAGACTTCTCAGTGGAAACCCTACAAGCCAGAAGACATTGGGGGTCAATATTTAACATTCTTAAAGAAAATCAATTCCAGCCCACAATTTCATATCTGGCCAAACCAAGCTTCATAAGTGAAGGAGAAATAAAATCCTTTTCAGACAAGCAAATGCTGAGGAAATTCACTGCCATCAGACCTGCATTACAAGAGCTCCTTAAGGAATAATAGAAGTGGCATCAGAATGATCAGAATGTGGATAAATATGGAAAGGAAAAACCACTACCAGCCATCAAGAAAATAACTCAACCCATGGAGGATGGAGAAAAACAAGGCAGGATGACTGCCCACCCAGGATCAACACAGAGCCAGAGAAGCCACCCCCACCCAGGAAAGCAATGAGTGAGTGAGTGACCTCGAGGACCCATGCTTCTCCCATGGGTCTTTGCAACTCTTGGGTCAGGAGATTTCCTCATGAACCCACTCCACCAGGGTCTGCAGTCTGATATGCAGAGCTATGTGGAGTCTTGGCACAGCAGATGCTCAGACACACACAAAGCCCTAGGGAGCCTTAGATATCTGGGCTTCCCAGCAAAAGTGGCTACAACTTCAGCAAAGTGGGAGGTTAGACTGCCATACATATCCCTAGGAAAAGGGCTGAATCCAGAAGGCTGAGCAGTGATGGTTTACAGGCCCTGTTTCCATGTCACCTCGCAGAATAAGACCCACTGACTTGGAACTCTAGCCAGCTGCTGGTAGTGGCATTACATCTCTCTGAGACGGAGCTTCCAGAGAGGGGTGGGGCAGGCCACCATCTTTTCTGTTTTGCAGCCTTTGCTGTTGTTGGAGTCACCCTACAGAAAAAGTGGACAGGCTGCTTTTTAATTCGGGTCCCTGATCCTGCTTCTTCTCACTGGGTGAGACCCCCTGACCGAGGTCATCAGCCACTTTTCCTGGTGGCAGTTCTGGGCCTCCTTGGGATGGAGTTCCCAGGGGGAGGGATGGGCAGCCATCTTTGTTGTTTCACTGCCTTAGCTGTTGTTGCCTTCAGGCTCTATGGAGTCTAAGGTGACTAGGGACTGGAGCAGTCCCCCAGCACAGTGCAGCAGCTCTACAGTGAAGTGGCCAGATTGCTTTTTCACGTGGTCCCAGATCCCTTTTTACTTCATTTGGAGGAATCTCCCAGTCAAAGTCTACAACCACCCCCACCAATGTGTTTGGGCCAGGAACAGACCTATACCTCCTTGAGACAGAGCTCCCAGAGGGAGGAGCAGGCTGCCATCTCTGCTGTTTTGCAGCCTTCACTGTTGATATCTCAGGTGCTATAAAATCTGAGGTGACTAGGGACCGGCGTGGACCCCCAGAATACTGTAGCAGCTTTACAGAAAAGTGGACGGACTGTTACATGGGTACCCATTCCCATATCTCCTCACTGGGTGGGTCCTCCCAGCCTGGGTCTCCAGTCACAGCCCACTGGGAATATCAAGCCAGTAGCAGCTTTGCACCTCCTTGAGAGAGAGAGCCCCAGTGGGAGGAGTGGGTTGCTATATTTGCTGTCTTGCAGTGCTCATCCTTGCTGTCTCCAGGCTTTGGAGAGTCCAGGAGAACCAGGGGCCTGTCCAGACTTCCACCTCATGGAAAAGTGGCCAGACTGTTCTCCATGTAGGTCCTGGTCCTCACTTCTCCTTATTGGGCAGGGTCACCCTACCTGGGACCCCAGTACATCCACCCTGCACTTGCCTGACCATTTCAATCAGAGACAGCCCAGTAGTTAAAGAAACACCACAAGCAGAGATGAGAAAGAACCAATGAAATAACTCTGGCAACTCAGATGGCCAGAGTGTCTTATGTCCTCCAAATGATTACACTAGGTCTCCAACAAGGGTTCTTAACCACAATTAGTTTGCTGAAATAATAGAAATAGGATTCAGAGTATGGATAGGAACAAAGATCATCAAGATTTAGGATAGCAAAACCCAATCCAAGGAAACTAAGAATCACAATAAAATGATGCAGGAGTTGACAGACAAAATAGCTAGTATAAAAAAGAACATAACTGATAAGAGAGAGCTGAAAAACACACTACAAGAATTTCAGAATGCAATCAGAAGGTTTTTTTTTTTTTTTTTTTTCCTGAGATGGAGTTTCCCTCTTGTTGCCCAGGCTGGAGTGCAATGGTGCAATTTTGGCTAGCTGCAACCTCCACCTCCCAGTTTCAAGCAATTCTCCTGCCTCAGCCTCCCGAGTAGCTGGGATTATGGGTGCCTGCCACCATGCTCGGCTAATTTCTTTTTGTATTTTTAGTACAGACAGGGTTTCACCATGCTGGCCAGGCTGGTCTCAAACTCCTGACCTCAGGTGATCTACCCACCTCGGCCCCCCAAAATGCTGGGATTACAGGTGTGAGCCACCGCACCCATATTAAAAGCAGAATAGACCAAGCTGAGGAAAGAATATTGCAACTTGTCGACTGGCTCTCTGAAATAAGACAGTCAGACAAAATTAAAGTGAAATGAATGAATAGGAATGAATAAAATATCTGAGAAATATGGGATTATGTAAAAAGGCCAAATCTATGAATCACTGGCATCCCTGAAAGTGATGAGAGAAAACAAACAACTTGGAAAACTTGGTATATTTAAGGATACTATCCATGAAAACTTTCCCAACCTCATTAGAGAGGCCGACAGTCAGATTCAGGAAACACAGAGAACCTCTGCAAGATTCTACACAAAAAAATTACCCCCAAGACACATCACCATCAGATTTTCTAAGGTCGAAATGAAAGAAAAAAATTAAAGACAGCTAGAGAGAAAGGGTAGGTCACCTACAAAAGCAACTCCACCAGGCTAACAGTGAACCACTCAGCAGAAACCCTATAAGCCAGATGAGATTGAGGGCCTATATTCAACATTCTTAGAGAAAAAAAATCTACAACTGAGTATTTCATATTCTGCCCAACTAAGCTTCCTCAGTGAAGAAGAAACAGGATCCTTTTCAGATAAGCAAATGCTGAGAGAGTTTGTTATCACCAGACCCACCTTACAAGAGAGCTTGAAAGGAGCACTAAATATGGAAAGGAATGATTATTACCAGCTGATATGGTTTGGATCTGTGTCCCCACTCAAATCATAAGTTCAATTATAAACCTCAATGCTGGAGGTGGGGCCTGGTGGGAGGTGATTGGATCACTGGAGTGGATCCTTCAGAAATGGTTTAAAACCATCCCTTTGGTGCTGTTTTCATGATGGTGAGCTCTCATAAGATCTGGTTGTTTAAAAGTGTGTGGCACCTCCCATTCTCTCTCTTCCTCCTTATCTGGCCATGTGAAGTGCTGGTTCTCCTTTGCCTCCCACCATGGTTGTAAATTTCCTGAGTCCTCCCCAGAAGCAAAGCAGATGCTGCCATGCTTCCTGTACAGCCTGAAGAACTGTAAGTCAATTAAACTTTTTTCTTTATAAATTTCCCATCTCAGTTGTTTTTTTATAGCAGTTCAAGAACAAGTTAATACAGAACATTGGTATCAGGAGTTAGATATTGCCATAAAGGTACTTGAAAATGTGGAAGCAGCTTTGGAACTGGGTAATGGGCAGAGGTTGGAGGAGTTTGGAGGGCTCAGAAGAAAACAGGAAGATGAGGGAAAGTTTGGAACTTCATAGAGAGTTGTTAAATTTTTGTGGCCAAAATGCTGATAGTGATATGGACAGTGAAGTCCAGGCTCAGGAGGTTTCAGATGGAGATGAGGAACTTATTGAGAACTAGAGTAATGGTCACTCTTGCTATGATTTAGCAAAGAGACTGGCAGCATTGTTCCCCTGCTCTACGGATCTGTGGAACTTTGAACTTGAAAGTGATGATTTAGGGTATCTAGTGGAAGAAATTTCTAAGAAACAAAGTGTTCAAGATGTTTCTTGGCTGCTTCTAACAGCATATGCTCATATGTGGGAGAGCAAAGAGATGATCTGAAATTGGAACTTATATTTGAAAGGGAAGCAGAGCATAAAAGTTTAGAAAATCTGCAGCCTGACCATGTGGTAGAAAAGAAAAACCCATTTTCTGGGGGTAGGAATTCAAGCTAGCTGTAGAAATTTGCATAACTAAAGAAAAGCTGAATGTTAATAGCCAAGACAATTGGGAAATGCCTTGAATGCATTTAAGAGACCTTTGTGGAAGCACCTCCCATCACAGGCCCACAGGCCTAGGAGGGAAGAATGGTTCTGTGAGCTAAGCCCAGAGTCCTAGTGCCCTGCACAACCTTAGGACACTGATCCCTGTGTTCCTGTCACTCCAGGTCCAGCCATGGCTAAAAGATCCCCAGATACGTCTCAGGGTGCTGCTCCAGAGGGCTCAAGCCACAATCCTTGGTGGCTTCCATGTGGTGCTAAGCCTGTGGGTGTACAGAAGGCAAGAGTTGAGGCTTGGGAGGCTCCAACTAGATTTCAGAGGCTGTATGGCAATGTCTAGATGTCCATGCAGAAGTCTGCTGCAGGACAGCCCTCATAGAGAACCTCTTTCAGGGCAGTGAGGAAGGGAAATGTGGGGTTGGATTCCCCACACTGAGTCCCCACTGGGGCACTGCCTAGTGGAGCTGTGAGAAGAAGGCCACTATTTTCCAGACCCCAGAATTGTAGATCCACTGGAAGCTTGCACTCTGTGCCTGGAAAACCTGCAGGCATTCAATGCCAGACCTTGAGAGCAGTGGTGGTGACAACCCTGCAAGGCCACAGGGGCGGGACTGTCCAAGGCCTTGGGAGTCCACCACTTGCACCAGTATGCCCTGAATGTATGACCTGGAGTCAAAGGAGACTATTTTGGGGTTTTAGAATTTAATGGCTCTCTGCTGGGTTTTGGACTTGCATGGGGCTTGTAGCCTTTTTTTTGTCTGATTTTTCCCTCTTGAAATGTGAGTATTTAACCAATGCTTATTCCTCCATTGTATCTTGGAAGTAGGTAGCTTTTTAAAATTTTATGGGCCCATAAGCAGAATGGACTAGCATTGTCTCAGATGAGAGTTTGGACTTTTGAGTTAATGAAGAATGAGTTGAGACTTTGGGAGACTGTTAGAAAGGCATGATAGCATTTTGCAATGTGAGAAGGACATGAGATTTGGAAGAGGTCAGGGGAAGAATGATATGGTTTGGATCTGTGTCTCCACCCAAATCTCATGTTCAATTATAATCCTCAATGTTGGAGGTAGGGCCTGGTGGGAGGTGATTGGATCATGGGGGTGGATCCTGCATGAATGGTTTAACACCATCTCTTTGGTGCTGTTATCATCATGGTGAAATCTGGTTGTTTAAAAAGTGTGTGGCACCTCCCCCCTCTCTTGATTCCTCCTACTCTAACCATGTGAAGTGCTGGCTTCCCCTTTGTCCTCCACCACAACTGTAAGTTTCCTGAGGCCTCCACAGAAGCTGAGCAGATGCTGCCATGCTTCCTGTACAGCCTGAAGAATGGTGAGCAAATTAAACCTTTTTTCTTTATAAATTACCAAGACTCAGGTATTTCTTTATAGTGGTGTGAGAACAGACTAATTCACCAGCCATTATAAAAACACACTTAAGTACACAGACCAGTGACACTATAAAGCAACCACACAAATAAGCTGGCATAGTAACCAGCTGACAACAAAATGACAAGATCCAATCTACCCATATCCATACTAACGTTGAATGTAATGAGCTAAATGCCACATTTAAAAGACATAGAGTGACAAGCTGGACAAAAAAGCAATACCCAATGGTATGCTGTCTTCAAGAGACCCATCTCATGTACAATGGCACACATAGTCTCAAAAGAAAGGGATAGAGGAATATTTATTAAGCAAATGGAAATCAGAGAAAAAGCAGTGCTTGCAATCCTAAATTCAGATAAAATGGACTTTAAATCAACAAAGATTAAAAAGAAAAACAAAAAATGACATTCCATAATGGTAAAAGATTCAATTCAACAAGAAGACTAACTATCCTAAATATATATGTACCCAACACAGGAGTGCCCAGATTTATAAAGAAACTTCTTAGAGACCTAAAAAGAGATGTAGACTGCTGCACAGTAATAATGGGAGACTTCAACACTACACTGACAGTATTAGACAGATCATCAAGGCAGAAAATTAGCAAAGATATTCAGGACCTGAGCTCAAAATTAGACCAAATGGATCTGATAGACCTCTACAGAACATTCCATGCCCAAACAACAGAATATACATTCTTTTCATTGCCCCATGGCACATACTCTAAAATAGACCACACAATTGGACATAAAACAATCCTTAGCAAATGCAGAAGTATCAAAATCATACCAAACACATTTTCAGACCACAGTGCAATAAAACAGAAATAAAGAATAAAAAATGTTCAAAATCATGCAATAACGTGGAAATTAAACAACCTGCTCCTGTATGACTTTTGGGTAAATAATAACATTAAGACAAATCAAGAAGTTCTTTGAAGCTAATGAGAACAAAGATACAACATACCAGAATCTCTGGGACACAGATAAGAAAGAGTTATGAAGAAAATATATAGCAGTAAATGCCCATATCATAAAGTTAGAAAGACCTCAAAATGCTTGCAAACCAAATCCAGCAGCACATCAAAAAGTTAATCCATCATAATCAAGTAGGCTTTATCCCTGGGATGTAAGGTTGGTTCAACATATGCAAGTCAATAAATGTGATTCATTAGTTAAAAAGTACTAAAGACAAAAACCACATTATTATTTCAATAGATGCAAAAATCCTTTTGATAAAATTCAACATCCCTTCATGTTGAAAACTCTCAATAAGCTATTTATTGAAGGAACATATTTCAAAAGAATAAGAGCCATCTATTACAAACTCACATCCAACATCATACTGAATGGGCAAAAGCTAGAAGCATTCCACTTAAAAACCGGCATAAGACAAGGTTGCCCTCTTTCACCACTCCTATGCAGCATACTATTGGAAGTCCTAGACAGAGAAACCAGGTGAGAGAAAGAAATAAAGGGCATTGTATTTGTCAGGGTTCTCTAGAGGCACAGTACTAATAGGATAGATGTATATATGAGAGAGAGTTTGTTAAAGAGTGTTGACTCACACAATCACAAGGTGAAGTCCCATAGTAGGCTGTCTGCAAGCTGAGGAGCAAGGAAGCCAGTCTGAGTCCCAAAACCTCAAAAGTGGGGAAGCCAACAGTGCAGCCTTCAGTCTGTGATCAAAGGCCTGAGAGTCCCTGGCAAACCACTGCTGTAGGTCCAAGAGTCCAAAAGCAGAAGAACTTGGAGTCTGATGTTCTAAGGCAGGAAACATCCAGCATGGGAGAAAGATGGAGGCCAGAAGATTTAGCCATTCAAGTCCTTCCATGTCTTCTCCCTGCTTTTATCCTAGCCATGCTGGCAGCTGATAGATGGTGCCCACCTAGATTGAGGGTGGGTCTGCCTCTCCTAGTCCACTGACTTAAATGTTAATCTCCTTTGCAACACCCTCACAAACCCACCCAAGAACAATACTTTGCATCCTTCAATCCAATCAAGTTGACACTCAATATTAACCATCACAAGCATCCAAATAGGAAGAGAGAAATTCAAACTATTCCTGTTTGCAGACAACATGATTCTATATCTAGAAAACCCCCATAGTCTCAGCCCAAAAGCTCTTTAAGCTAATAAACAACTTCATAAAGTTTCAGAATACTAAATCAATGTACGAAAATCAGTAGCATTCCTATGCAACAACAGTCAAGCTGAGAGCCAAATCAGGAATGCTATCCCATTCACATTTGCCACAATTATAAAATACCTAGGAATACAACTAACCAGTTAGGAGAAAGTTCTCTGTAATGATAATTACAAAACACTGCTCAAAGAAATCAAAAATGACACAAAGGGAAAAACATTCCATGCTTATGGACAGGAGAAATCAGTATCATTAAAATGGCCATACTGCCCAAAGCAATGTACAGAGTCAATACTATATCAAACTACCAATGACATTTTTCACCAAACTAGAAAAAAATATTTTAAGGCCAGATGTGTTGGCTCACACCTGTAATCCCAGCACTTTGGGAGGCTGAGGAGGGTGGATCACCTGAGATCATGAGTTCAAGGCCAGCCTGAACATGGTGAAACCCCCATCTCTACAAAAATACAAAAATTCGCCGGGCGTGATGATGGGTACCTGTAATCCCAGCTACTTGGGAGGCTGAGTTGGAAGAATCACTTGAATCCGGGAGGTGGAGGTTGCAGTGAGCTGAGATCGTGCCTTTGCACTCCAGCCTGGGCAACAGAGCGAGACTCCCTCTCAAAAAACAAAAAAAGAAAGAAAAAGCAAAAACTATTTTAAGATTCATATGGAACCAAAAAAGATCCCAAATAGCCAAGGCAATTCTAAGCAAAAAGAACAAAGCTGGAGGCATCACATCACCAAACTTCAAACTATACTACAGGGCTACAACAACCAAAATAGCATGGTACTCATAGAAAAACAGACACATAGACCAATTAAACAGATTAGAGAGCCCAGAAATAAGGACACACACCTACAACCATCTGAACTTTGACAAAGCTGACAAAAGCAACAGGAAAAGGACTCCCTATTCAATAAATGGTGCTGAGATAACTGGCTAGCACTATGCAGAAGATTGAAACTGGACCTCATCCTTATACAATATATAAAAATCAACTCTAGATGGATTGAAGACTTAAATGTAAATCCCAGAACTATAAAAACCCTGGAAGACAACGTAGGCAATACCATTCTGGACATAAGAACTAGCAAAGAGTTCATGATGAATCCACCAAAAGCAACTGCAACAAAAGCAAAAATTGACAGATGGGAAATAATTAAACTAAAGAGCTTTTGCACAGCAACAGAAACTATCAACAGAGTAAACAGACAACCTACAGAACAGGAGAAAATATTTGCAAACTATGCAACATACAAAGGTCTAACATCCAGCATCTATAAGAAACTTTAACAAATTTCCAAGAAAAAAACAAACAAACAACCCTATTAAAAAGTGGGCAGAGAACATTAATAGACATTTATCAAAAGAAGACATACATGTGGCCAACATGCATATGAAATAAAGCTCAATATTCCTGATGACTAGAGAAATGCAAATCAAAACTACAATGAGAGACCATCTCACAGCAGTCAGAATGGCTATTATTAAAATATCAAAAAAATAAAAGATACTGGCAAGCTTGTGGAGAAAAGAGAACACTTTTTTGTAAAATTAAAATAGAGTTTATTAGCTTTTCTTTTCTATTTTATTTTATTTTATTTTATTTTTGAGACAGAGTCTCACTTTGTCGCCCAGGCTGGAGTGCAGTGGCACCATCTCTGCTCATTGCAACCTCCGCCTCCCGGGTTCAAGCAATTCTCCTGTCTCAGTCCCCCAAGCAGCTGAGACCACAGGTGCACGCTACCACGCCCGGCCAATTTTTGTATTCTTAGTAGAGACGGGGTTTCCCCATGCTGGCCAGGCTGGTCTCGAATTCATGACCTCAGGTAATCTGCCAGCCTTAGCCTCTCAAAGTGCTAGGATTACAGGTGTGAGCTACCACACCCGGCCAGAAATAGATTTCATCTAGTTTAGAACACTAATCTCTTTTTAATATTTCAAATTTAGGTGACTTTGTTATCAGTCTCCTAAAATTATTTGCTCCTTGCCTTTTAAAGCCTGAAGTAAGACTTCCTAAGGGTTATGTAAGTAGTTTCTTAAATAGCAGGACTTAATGGGACACCTACAGCTTGGTAACGTAGGATGATAAAAGAACTGTTCATATCACCTTCTATCATTAGGGTCCATTTCCTTTTATTACATGCTAATTAACACTGCTCTTCAAAATCTTCCTTTACATTAAAGAAACTTTGGTGATCAAAGCATATAGAGCACAACCCTGCAAGTAGCTACTTTTAAAAAGAGGAGGGCATTTTATGGAGATACAAGGTATTCCAAAAGTTTAGTGTAATTTTAAGCTTTGATATATGTAGAAGTATAAATGCTACAAACCACAAACCTTTACAAAAACTTGTTTGAACGTTTTTCTTTTTCTTTTTTTATTTTAGACAGGGTCTGGAAGTTACCCAGGCTGGAGTGCAGTGGCATGATCATGGCTCACTGCAGCCTTGACCTCCTGGGCTCAAGTGATCCTCCGACCTCAGCCTCCAGGGTAGCTAGGACTACAGACACATGCAACCACATCCAGCTAATTATTTTTATTTATTATTATTTTTTTTACAGACAGGGTATCAATATGTTGCCTAGACTGGTCTTGAACACCTGTGCTCAAGCAATCCTCCCACCTCAGCCATGCAAAGTACTGAGATTGTAGGCATGAATCACTATGTCCAGCCCTTTTCTTTCGCATTTAATTTTGCATTTTTTTAAGAGATGTGGTCTCGCTATGTTGTCCAGTTTGGAGTGCAGTAGCAATTCCTATAGGCACCATCATGGTGCACTGCAGCCTCCAATACTTGACCTCAAGCAGTCCTCCAACCCCAGCCCCCCAAGCAGGTGGGATTATAGGCATGCACCACCACACCCAGCTTCATTTTGCAAATTTTTAATATAAAGCTTTTAATTGTTTGCCTCAGTGAAAGTCTGCTATCTTCAAAAGTGACTGAAACAAAAAATTAAACTATTCAGGAGACAAGTGCCAGGTGTGCCTGTAGTCCCAGCCACTCATGTCACTGATGCTAGAGGATGGCTTGAGGTCAGAAGTTCTAGGCTGCAGTGCACCATGATTGCACCTGTGAACAGCCACTGCACTCCAGCCTGGACAACAGAGCAAGACCTCATCTCTTAAAAAAATTTTTTCAAACGATGTTTTTTAAAAGGTTCATAGCATTTATACTCACGCTGCAGTGCCTTCGAGGGCCTGAGCTATATTAAAGCTTAAAACCGCTTTACTTTTTTTTTTCATTGTCACTAAGCCACCATGTTGGTTGGCATTATGAAAATATGTATTAATACACTTATTTAACAAGGGAAAAATTATCAGAAAATGAGAAGCATCATTCTTAGTTCACAAGAAATGCAACATGGACCCCAATAGAAGAAGGAGAAGTCATGCAGCCAACAAAGATATGAAAAAATGCTCATCATCACTGGTCATTAGAGAAATGCAAATCCATGTCATGCCAGTTAGAATGGTGATCTTTAAAAAGTCAGGAAACAGCAGATGCTGGAGAGGATGTGGAGAAATAGGAATGCTTTTACACTGTTGGTAGGAGTGTAATATTAGTTCAACCATTGTGGAAGACAGTGTGGTGATTCCTCAAGGATATAGAGCTAGAAATACCATTTGACCCAGTGATTCCATTACTGGGTATATACCCAAAGGATTATAAATCATGCTACTATAAAGACACATGCACATGTATGTTTATTGCAGCACTATTCACAATAGCAAGACTTGGAACCAACCCAAATGTACATCAGTGATAGACTGGATTATGAAAATGTGGCACATACACACCATGGAATACTATGCAGCCATAAAAAAGGATGAGTTCATGTCCTTTGCTGGGACATGGATGAAGCTGGAAGCCATCATTCTCAGAAAACTATCACAAGAACAGAAAACTAAACACTGCATGTTCTCATTCATAAGTGGGAGTTGAACAATGAGAACACATGGACACAGGGAGGGAAATATCACACACCGAGGCCTGTTGGGGGGTGGGGGGATAGGGGAGGGATAGCATTAGGAGAAATACCTAATATAGGTGACGGGTTGATGGGTGCAGCAAACCACCATGGCACATGTATACCTGTGTAACAAAACTGCACGTTCTGCACATTACCCCAGAACTTAAAGTATAATAAAAAATAAATAAATAAAAGAAGTAGATATCAATAACGATACTTCCTCTGTTTATGACCCCAAACATGCTAAAATGCTAAAGTAATGTTTGCAAAGAATATGAATGACAAATGTTATCCAGCAGGTTTTTGGCTTAAAATGATTGCCTATGACTAGCAGCTTCAATGGTAGGGAGGAAGAATCCTTCATTACCTAACAATGGTGCAGTCTGCTCCTAAGTGTCTTTAGAGTACCATGTTTTAATGATAATACTGCATTGATTCTAAAGGCATATGCAGCAAAATGTGGGGAGGGAGAAAAATTGGAAAAAGCATAAAAGTTATATGGTTAGTGTCTTTAAAGTTTAAAAATTTAAACTATTGTTTAAAAAAACCTTACATAGTTCACAGCTATCAGCCCATATAGTAAGCAAATATCTGTGTGGGAAAGGAACCTTCACTTTGGAGTGTTTTTTGTAACTCTGTTTACATTAAAAAGGACAGAAGAATGTTTTGTTGCATTGACAAGGTCCCATTCTTTTCTATGGAGTACAATCCTTGTTGTCCATGAATCTCTTGAATTCGAGATCTATCCTTTTAATGAAAACACTAATTTTGCTGGGTTTTGAGCAGGAAAGGTGATATTTCTCCAGTCTTTGTAGATAAAGGTCCTGTGACGTTATAACCCCTCATTTCTCCCTTTAAGAGAGGATGGCTTTAGAGTGCTGAATACCAATGAAGTCATCAGTGCTGAAAGACCTTCTCATAGGGCTCTCCACAAGTCTTTGTCTTCACACAATCTAGAAATAGCCTCTAGGTTCTGTGCTCTTTTTTTGCTAAGAGGAGCAAATAGAAAATTCAGGTTATTGTCATCTGCTAAGGAGCGAAGATCAAAGTAGTATTTGGCATAAACACTGGCAGGAACATTAAGATTAAACTGAAGAAGCATCAAAAAATGCCTTTCCATTTCATTCATGTCCTCACCTGTAATGTCCTTGAAGATCTGGCAGTAGTCCATATTCCATACAGCCTGATGGTTCCAAACCTTGGAGGCAAGAATGGCTCGCAGACCAATCCTTTTCCAGTTAGTGGGACAAATGTTGGTTTCAGCATAAGTTAAAAGCTTTTCTAAGTAAACCAAAGTTACTATTGCACATTCAGCTGTTAGCTGTGCAGCACTAAAAGGAGTATGAACAAATCTGTAAATAAATTTGTGCTCAGGATCATGCTTAAACTATTCTTCTGGAACTTTTTCTCGTGTAAGTGGATGTGATCTCTCATCAAAAATATCCAGGGATCTATTTGCATCTCTGTTCTTTATGTGGTGATATATTGCTAAGGTCACACATTTTACTGTGGTTCTAAGGTTAGGCTGGTTGACTGTGCTGTCATATAGAAATATTGTTGAGCATGAGCTATACTTTTTAGTAAGCTGCCCTGGAGATACATGGTTTAAATGGTTGCTCTTCCTCTTTTCTCTCACATCCGTTTGAGATTTGCGCAGGAAAATTGTGCTTGCCCTTGGATGGTCAGAAGGGTTTGACTCCAATGCTAAATCTTTGGGCATCTCGCGGTCGCTGATGTGCTGCAGGTGGTGGCCCTCGCCTTCTCCGAAATCAAACTCGGGAGGCTCCGCAGCAGCAGGCGCTACCGCCACCTCGTCCCCGGACGCCGCCTCGTAGATGTCGGACGCGGGGATCCGGCGCGCCGGCCCAGCTTGGGGCTGGCATTGAGGGACACGCAACAAGTCAGCGTGTTCCCCATGGGGCGCCTCCGCCCCTCTCCGCCGCCTCTGGCGCCTTCGCTTGCGCCCTACTCTGCCTCGCTCAGCAGCAGCCCCCTCCCCCAACAATGGCGCGGGGACACTGAGCAAGCAGAGGCCACCTCGCCCAGGGCTCACCCGCCCGCCCCGCGGCCCTGCTCCGCCAGGGCTCGGTCCTGCGCCACACCCCAGCCGCCACGCTGCCTCCGCCTCCGGTGAGCTGACTTGTCTGCCAAGAGAACACTTATATACTGTTGGTGGGAGTTCAGCCATTGTGGAAAGCAGTGTGGTGATTCCTCAAAGAGCTAAAAACAGAACTACTATTAAACCCAGTAATCCCATTACTGGGTATATACTCAAAACAATATAAATACTTCTACCATAAAGACACATGCATGTGTATATTCACCCCAGCACTATTCACAATACCAAAGACATGGAATCAACCTAAATGCCCATCAATGACAGACTGCATAAAGAAAATGTACATATAAACCATGGAATAATATGCAGCTATAAACAAGAATGAGATCATGTCCTTTGCAGGAACATAGATGGTGCTGGAGGCCATTATCCTTGGCAAACTAATGCATGAACAGCAAACAAAACACCACATGCCCTCACTTATAAGTGGGAGCTAAAAGATTCAAACACATGGACATAGAGAGGGGAACAACGGACACTGGGGCCTACTTGAGGGTGGAGGGTGGGAGAAGAGAGATGATCAGGAAAAATAATTATTGGGTACTAAGCTTAGTACGTATGTGATGGAATAATCTTTACAAAAAAAGTGACACAAGTTTACCTACATAACAAACTTGCACATGTACCCCTGAACCTAAAATAAAAGTTTTTTTTTTTTTTTAATGAATTTCATGAGAAGTAAAGGAGGAGGCCTAGCCTGGCAACTATTTGGTGTCATGATATCTGGGGACTTTAACTAATCACGGTTCAAAGTAAGACAACAAAATATTGTTGCTATGTTGCTGCTAAAAAGAAATTGGAATGTCAGAAAGACCATTTTAGATTTGATGTTAGGATGCAAGGCAAGTTGCAAAATCAGGGAATGAGAAATAGTGTAGGTGAGGGTGTGTGTGCGTGCAGGTATCTTAAGACCAAGGTAGGATGGTGTAGGTTGGTGTATTAGTCCGTTTTCACGCTGCTGATAAAGACAAACCTGAGACTGGGCAATTTACAAAAGAAAAAGGTTTAATTGGACTTACAGTTCCACGTGGCAGGGGAAACCTCACAATCATGGCAGAAGGCAAGGAGGATCAAGTCAGATCTTACATGGACAGCAGTAAGCAGAGAGAATGAGGAAGACGCAAAAGCAGAAATCCCTGATAGAATCATCAGATTTGTGAGACTTATTCACTACCATGGGAACAGTATGGGGGAAACCACCCCCGTGATTCAATTGTCTCCCACTGGGTCCCTCCCATAACATATGGCAATTATGGGAGTACAACTCAGGATGAGATTTGGGTGGGGACACAGAGCCAAACCATATTATTCCACCCCAGCCCCTGCCAAATCTCATGTCCTCACATTTCAAAACCAATCATGCCTTCCCAACAGTCCCCCAAACTCTTAACTCATTTCAGCATTAACCCAAAATTCCACAATTCAAAGTCTCATCTGAGACAAGGCAAGCTCCTTCCACCTATGAGCCTGTAAAATCTGCAGAGAGGTGAACTAACATTTGTACAGCTACTTTTTCTTTGTGGGTATTTTCTGCTTTCTGGTTTGCAGTAGGCTGAAAACACAGACATGGCCCCAGTCAGAAGGCTGCTGCTGAGAGTTAGAGAAACCAACAGAGCTTTTGGTAGTGCCTTGGTGCTGGAGAAACAAAACAGGAGAATATGGCAGAGCACAGTTACATGAGAAAGGCAGAGAGCTGAGCCTATGAATAGCTGGTTTTTGCCTTAAGATGGTTGCCAAATTCTGGAGCTCAGAAGGCTAAAAAGCTAAAGAGAAATGGCCATATTGCCCAAGGTAATTTATCGATTCAATGCCATCCCCATCAAGCTACCAATGACTTTCTTCACAGAATTAGAAAAAACTACTTTAAAGTTCATATGGAACCAAAAAACAGCCCACATCACCAAGTCAATCCTAAGTCAAAAGAACAAAGCTGGAGGCATCATTCTACCTGACTTCAAACTAAACTACAAGGCTACAGTAACCAAAACAGCATGGTACTGGTACCAAAACAGAGATATAGATCAATGGAACAGAACACAGCCCTCAGAAATAACACCGCATATCTACAACTATCTGATCTTTGACAAACCTGATGAAAACAAGCAATGGGGAAAGGATTCCCTATTGAATAAATGTTGCTGGGAAAACTGGCTAGCCATATGCAGAAAGCTGAAACTGGATCCCTTCCTTACACCTTATACAAAAATTAATTCAAGATGGATTAAAGACTTAAACGTTAGACCTAAAACCATAAAAACCCTAGAAGAAAACCTAGGCATTACCATTCAGGACATAGGCATGGGCAAGGGCTTCATGTCCAAAACACCAAAAGCAATGGCAACAAAAGCCAAAATTGACAAATGGGATCTAATTAAACTAAAGAGCTTCTGCATAGCAAAAGAAACTACCATCAGAGTTAACAGGCAACCTACAAAATGGGAGAAAATTTTCGCAACCTACTCATCTGACAAAGAGCTAATATCCAGAATCTACAATGAACTCAAACAAATTTACAAGAAAAAAACAAACAACCCCATCAAAAAGTGGGTGAAGGACATGAACAGACACTTCTCAAAAGAAGACATTTATGCAGCCAAAAAACACATGAAAAAATGCTCACCATCACTGGCCATCAGAGAAATGCAAATCAAAACCACAATGAGATACCATCTCACACCAGTTAGAATGGCAATCATTAAAAAGTCAGGAAACAACAGGTGCTGGAGAGGATGTGGAGAAATAGGAACACTTTTACACTGTTGGTGGGACTGTAAACTAGTTCAACCCTTGTGGAAGTCAGTTTGGTGATTCCTCAGGGATCTAGAACTAGAAATATCATTTGACCCAGCCATCCCAAAGGACTATAAATCATGCTGCTATAAAGACACATGCACACGTATATTTATTGCGGCACTATTCACAATAGCACAGACTTGGAACCAAGCCAAATGTCCAACAATGATAGACTGGATTAAGCAAATGTGGCACATATACACCATGGAATACTATGCAACCATAAAAAAGGATGAGTTCATGTCCTTTGTAGGGACATGGATTAAATTGGAAATCATCATTCTCAGTAAACTATCGCAAGGACAAAAAACCAAACACCGCATATTCTCACTCATAGGTGGGAATTGAACAATGAGAACACATGGACACAGGAAGGGGAACATCACACTCTGGGGACTGTTGTGGGTGGGGGGAGGGGGAGAGGGATCGCTTTAGGAGATATACCTAATGTTAAATGACGAGTTAATGGGTGCAGCACACCAGCATGACACATGTATACATATGTAACTAACCTGCACATTGTGCACATCTACCCTAAAACTTAAAGTATAATAATAATAAAATGAAAAAGAAAAAAAAAGAAAACTTTTGAAAGTAAAGTGCCATTAAACTGTGTCGAGTCAAGTATTAAAATTCTGGACCCATCAAGGGTAAACATGCCAAATTCTCCATTGGAAACCCTGGAGAGCTAACATTCCAAAAACCAGAGGTATTCTGGTTTACCGTGAAAGAGAAAGAGAAAAAATAGCCAATAGAAACAAAACAGACCCATAGATGTTTCAGATATTATTGTTATCAGACAAGGACTTTTAAATAATTATGATTAATATGTTCACAAAAATAGAAAAGAAAAAGAAAAAAGATAGCTAAAATAAGGAGAACTCCAGAGAGCTAAAATCTATTTAAAAGAACCAGATGGGAATTCTAGAAGGAAAAGAGCACACAAATTGAAATAAAGATCTCAACAGATAGATTTAAGAGCAGCTTAGACCATGTAAAAGAAATGATTAGTAAACCAAAAGACATAAATATACCTCTCTCAATAGCTAGCAAAATAAGTAGACAAAAAGCTGGTAGTTGAGATGAGAAAGTTTGATAGGTGATAGTCTGAGCAGATGATCATTGGAAGTGTAATAAGGTATAGTATATGTGGGGTTGCTGGAGATGGGAGGTTGGGTAGGAGAGCTGGCAAAGAGATAGGCAGGACTTCAGTCTTAGAGGGAGCATAGCAGAGTGGAAGTCATATGTGGGTTCAAATCCCAGCCTTATCACTTCAAGGTTATGAGACCTTGGGCACCTTTCTTAACCTTGATTTCTTCATTTGTAAAATGAGGCTTAGAGTATTACCTACTTTAGAGGGTTGTTGTAAAAATCAAATTTAAATGAGACAATGCTTGTAAAGTGTGTAGATGGTGACAAGGCCCATAGAAGTTGCTTGACAAATAGTAGCTGCTAACATTAGATGGCCTGGTATACTATGTAAGTTAGTAGTGTAAGGATTTAGATATCAAGAGACAGGCAAAACTGTTTTCTGCCTAACTTTCCTATTTAACTCCCCATCTAACCTTCTATTTCAGGAGATATAGGGAAAACTGGGACATAGAGGGAAACCTCATCCTTTTCTTCCATAAATCTGGCTTCTCATCTTTGTGGGCACAGAGTGTAAGAAGCAGTTTATGACCCAATATCATTTTTTGCTGGCTTTCAAAGGAACCAGGATAGAGGATAGGACCATGTGCCAGACCTTCTTTTCCAGGGACCCTTCTCTGCAAGCTGCAGGCTTTCTGGTTGACTCACTTGGTTTCTATGGGGATAGGGGTCTTGCTAAGGAGAAAGCCAGAGCACCCTGTGGCTAGAATCAGCTCCTGTTTCTGATTCTGCAGTACCAGGTGGGGGACTCCACTAAATGCTGCAGTGTGAGGTTGGGTTACAGTAGTTTGTTTCTGCTCTAACTCAATGGATTCCATGTTTTCTGAAGAGAGGTTCTGAGGTTTCATATTTTTGTAGGATTTTTTGACAAAGGCAAAGATAGCAGACGTGAAGTAGGGGCCTCTTTTCTCAGGCCAGGTTAAACATCCTCTCAGCTTCAGGACATGACACCAGACTTGATTTTGTCAATCACTTTGACAAAGAGCCTGGTTTCTACAAGGACAGACTTTCTGAGAAGAGTGTGAATATGTTTACAGGTATTCTGTGATTATGTTTATCATTCACAATTAGCTTAAAAGGCATACTAAATACCTAGAATTATTGGGAGTAAACTTGCAAAATCAAAATATTACTATGCCTTTATGATCCAAACAAAAAAAAATAATAATTCCATTAGTAGTTGCAAATTTTAATAACATTGATTGAGTATACATTTTGCTTCTAAGGATATGAAAACACATGGATGATAAATAAAAATTACACATGTTCTTGGGAAGACTTTGTATTGCTGTGACTAATGCACAAACATTAATTCCATGACTGGTTAAAAATCACATCTATTCTCTCAAAAATAATTTCCTTTGTAGACTTTTAGGAAAATGGTGGATAGGAGGCAAGATGCAGGTTTCATTTGGATGGACAGAAGAGCATGTAGACTTTTGCTCCAAGAACTACTGCAGGAGCATACCTGGAAAACCAAAGAATTCGTAGACCCTTTAAAAGAAGCAGTGTGCTGTTGAAAACTCCGAGAAAGAGCTGAAAAACTGAGTGCCCAAAGTGTGAAAGAGGGAAAGTCTGCCTCTGAACACACATCCTCAATGGGGAGCCTGAAAATCCAGATCACAGGAGAAGGATTTAACCTTACCTAGAACTGAAACAAATTTAGAGAGCCAAGCAAAATATAAAAGTAGAAGAAGCAGTGGAAAGGGCCCTGTAGGCACTCCTGGCCCCCAAGGAAGCCCAGGGAACCCATTTCTGATGTTATCTCACAGGGGTTTTTGGGGAGGGTGCCAGTGAAATTGGGGAAAGATCACAGGGAGAAGGAAACTTCCAGCTGAACTTTGTAATAATTTTGACCAAGCACAAATTTTCCAGGGCAGAATCCGGGAGTGGGGGTGAACAAGAAATGCAGATATGAGCACAGAAGCCACAGTGGGGAGGGGCAAAGCTGAAAGCCCTGTTTGCTTTCTCAGCAAGAAAATCCCTGTTTGCTTTCTCAACAAGGATGCTTGTAGCCTGGCTCAAGTTCCAAGCCCTGCTCACCGGCTGCCTGGATATAAACTTGTGCTGTTGGGGGAGTGTGGCAGAAGTAAGATTGGCCTTTCTGTCTGAGTAGGAGCTGGGTGAGGCCTGTCACTGCTGGCTTTCCCCTACTTCCCTGGTGACCTGTATAACACAACAGAGGCAGCCATAATCCCCTGGGAACATAACATCATCTGCCTGGGAAACACACCCCCATCCCCCATAGTGGCTGCAGCAAGCCCCACTCAAGAAGAGTCTAAGGTTAGATATGCCTAACCCTTTCCCCACCTGATGGTCTTTCTCTACCCACGCTGGTAGCCAAAGACAAGAAACATAATCTCTTGGGAGCCGTATGGCCCCATGCAACACCTAAGAAACCCAAGTACTTATCCAGGCAACCCTAGGGTAAGCTTGTATCCTCTCTATACTACCACAGCTGATGCTCTCTTTTGAAAGTGCCACTTCCTAGCTTGGGAACAACCAACTTAAACCACTACAGCAACTCATAACAGAACAAACCTGCCCCATGAGAAGAGAAATCAACAGCTAATCCCACCGCCTGTAACATCCTGGCTAGCCAGAGGTCCTGAGGCTATCCACATGACAATTTTACAGCCAGCACAACCAGCAGTTGAGAAAAACAGCACACTAAACAAAACTACAGTCAAGGTCCCACACAGAGTCCACTTCACTCCTCTGTTACCTCCGCTGGAGTAGGTGCCTGTCTCCACAACTGAGAAACCTGAAGATGGATCACATCACAGAACTTTTTGCAGACACTCCTCAGTACCAGCCCAGTGCCTGATAGCTCCATTGGTGGATAAACCCAGAAGAGAAATAACAATCATGGCAGTCAGGCTCTCAGGAAGCCCCATCCCTAGAGAAAGGGAGAGAGCATCACAACAAGGGAGCACTCTGTGGGACAAAAAAATATGAACAGTAGCCCTTGAACCCCAAATCCTTCCTCTGATATAGTCTACTTAAATGAGAAGGAACCAGAAAAACAATTCGGGTAATATGTCAAAGCAATGTTCCTTAACACCCCTAAAAGATCACACTAGCTCACCATCAATGGGTCCAAACAAATAATGAAACTTTGAATTGCCAGATGAATAATTCAGAAGGTGAATTATTAAGCTACTCAAGGAGGCACAAGAGAAAGGTGAATACCAACTTAAAATTTTTTTTTAGTGTTAGAGGATATGAATAAAAAATCTCCAGAGAAATAGATAGCACAAATAAAAAACAATCACAACTTCTGGAAATGAAGGACACACTTAGAGAAATGCAAAATGCAAATTAAAGTCTCAATAATAAAATTTAAAAAATAGAAGTAAAAACTTTAGAGCTGGAAGACAAGGTTTTGAATTAACCAAATCTGACAAAGATAAAGAAAAAAGAATTTAAAAAAGTAAACAAATCTTCCAAGAATTTTGAGATTATGTTAAATGACCAAACCTAGGAATAACTGGTGTTCCTGAGGAAGAAGAGAAATCTAAAAGTTTGAAAAAACATATTTGAGGGAATAATTGAGGAAAACTTCCTTGGCCTTGCTAGAGATCTAGACATCCAAATACAAGAAGTTCAAAAACACCAAGAAAATATATTGCAAAAAGATTATTGCCTAGGCACATAGTTATCAGAGTATCTAAAGTCAAGATGAAGGAAAGAATCTTAAGAGCTGTGAGGCAAAAGTATCAGGTAACCTATAAAGTAAAACTAATCAGATTAACAGCTGATTTCTCAGCAGAAATCCTACAGGCTAGAAGGGATTGGGGTCCTATCTTTAGCCTTAAACAAAACAATTGTCAGTCAAGAATTTTGTATTCAGTGAAACTAAGCTTCAAAAATGAAGGAAAGACACAGTCTTTTTCAGACAATGCTGAGAGAATCTGCCGCTACCAAGCCAGAACTACAAGAACTGCTAAAAGGACCTCTAAATCTTGAAACAAAAACTCAAAATACACGAAAATAGAACATTCTTAGTCAAAATACACAAAAATAGAACCTTCTTAGAGCATAAATCTCACAAGACCTATAAAACAATAACACAATAAAAAAAACTGAAAGGTATTCAGGCAACAACTAGCATGATGAATAGAATAGTGCCTCACATCTCAGTACTAATGCTGAATGTAAATGGCCTAAATGCTCCACTTAAAAGATACAGAATAGCATAATGGATAAGAATTCACCAACCAAATATCTGCTTTCTTCAAGAGCCTTACTTAATATATAAGGATTTATATAAACTTAAGGTAAAGGGGTGGAAAAAGATATTCCATGCAAATGGACGCCAAAAGCAGTAGCTATTCTTATATCAGACAAAACAAACTTTAAGGAACAACAGTTAAAAAAGACAAAGAGGGATATTATATAATGATAAAAGGTCTATCACAATCTAAATATATATGCATCTAACACTGCAGCTACCAGATTTATTAAACAATTACTGCAAGACCTAAGAACTGAGATAGATGGCAACACAATAATAGTGGGGGACTTCAATACTCCACTGACAGCAGTAGACAGGTAATCAACACAGAAAGTCAACAAAGAAACAATGAACTTAAACTGAATCCTGGCCTACTTTTGAGAGTTGTGGTTTCAACGTTACAAATTTCAGATCCCTTGTATTTCTATTTGGGTCTGTGTAGTTTGTGTGTCACTCAGAGGCCACTCTGAAAGTCTGGATGGCATTCCATACTTTGGTTCAGTTCTCATACATTTTAGATCTTGATTCTGATCAGTTTCATGTTGGGATCTGTCAGGTGTCTGCCCAGTACTTCCTATGCAGGTTTAAAGAGTGTCCATTTCTTTTCCTAGATTCTCCTCTTACTCTCTAGTTGTAAAAGTGAGGGGCATTGCTATCACCACTGAACAGGGGTGAGAGTCCAAACTCTTCACTATGTTTCCTCTGACAATGAGTTATTACAGCTGGGGGGCACCACCCTGGGTCATCTACTGCTTCCAGTTGGGGGAAAGGAGATGGACGTTCTGTTCCTTCTCTATTGACACTGCTGGCATGGGAGGAAAGCACCTGAGCCTGCCTGCTGCTATTGGGTGGAGTATAGGAGTTAGAACTCCCTGTTTGTGTGTGCTGGCACCCTCCTAGCAGAGGGAGAAAGAGCTCACCTGGGCTTGCCTGCTGACTAGGTGAAGAGTGGGAAATAATACTTTCTATCTGATCTCTGCTGGCACTGAAAAAAAGAGGATTGTCCACTGTGTTACGCTGTTGTAAGGCTGGTATTGTTAAAAAAAAAAAAAAAAGGGGTTTCTATCCTGCTTTGCTGTTCCCTTCCCTTTCCTTTGGCTAGAGAGAACAATCCTTTCTTTAGTCTTAACAAAATCTATTCTTACAAAAAATAGACCACAACATATATCTTACAACAACAACAACAACAACAAAATCTATTACTGTTGGAAGTTCTTGGTTGCAGTGCCCAGCCTGGGATACATAGAAGATACAAAAAAAAAAAAAAAAAATTCAGGGAATTCACTGCATTGTCATTCATCAAGACTGAAATATCTAGTCAGTCTGCCTTCCTCTTTTCAACTTTCTGAGTTCTTTTATAATTGTCTGTTGTGTTACTTCCAGGTTTTTAAGTGTAGTAATAGGGAAAGATCAGAGAAATGTGAGTTTATGTTATTTTGATGAGAACCAAAAGCATAAAATTATTTCATTTAAAATCTTTTCAAATGTTGCTTCAATACAGGCTATATGGTATAGTGGTTAAGAGCATGGATTCTAGAACCAGACTGCCTGGATTTAAGGAAGTCCTGGCTCTGCCACTTACTAGATGTGTAACCTTGTGAAAGTTATTTAACCTTTCTCTTTCTCAGTTTTTACATCTATAAAATGAATAATAATAGTACCTACTCCATAGACTTTCTAGGGGATTGAGTTAATATATGTAAAGTGCTTAGAACAGTGTCATAGAAGCTACAATTCTTGCATCCCATATTCCTGTTGAGAAGTTTGAGTTTAATCTGATTCTTGTTCCTTTGGAGATGAGCTTTTTTTTTCTTTAGCTAGCTTTTACATTTTTTCTCTTTCTTTTTAATGTACTTAAATTTTACTACAATGTGTTCAGATGTTTTTCTTTATGTCCCTATTGAGCACTTTGATCGCTATTCATCTGTGGTCTCTTTTCTAGATTCCAGGAAAATGTTTCCTCGTTATTTATTATAATAATTTCTCCTTTTTGCCTCTTATTTTAATACTCCTATTATCTGAGAAAATCAGTCTGTCTAATACGGAGGATAGAAGTGTGAGAAGCTATATTAGGAAACATTAGTCTAGGTGAGAGTTGATGAGGGCCTGACCTATGCATAATGGTGGGGCATGGATGAGAGTGACAGTGGATGTAAGGGAATTATGAGGAGAGAGAAGGAGAATAAGGAGAGGATCAGTCTATGTGCTGTATGCTTGGACCACTGGGAGTTTGAGAGGACCATTAAAGAACACAAAAGTCTGAAAGCAGTGCCAATGATGGGGATAGAAGAGGACTTGTGAAGCCTTTGAATATACTTTTATTTCCATCCCAGCTTGACAGAACTGTCCGGAGCCAGTTTCAATGACATTATGTGGCTGAGAACTGGGAATCCTGGATTTACTCCTCTGTGCCCAACACTCTTCTATTCTGTGGAAAAGGCAAACATAGTTTGATCACTGCAAGTCTGAATTCTCCTATGCTAAATGTGTTTCCCACTTCCAACCAACCACTCTACCAATTATATAACCATTCTTTACCTCACCCCTGTGCACTTCTTTTTATTCCCCAAAGTACTGTTATACACAACCCCTCATTATCACTTCTTATCAGTAATTATCCTCATTACACAGATGAAGAGCAGAGGCATGAAGAAATAAAGTTTCCTATCCAAGATCACACAACACATTAGTTATTATGTTGAATCTTCAGCCACATCCTAGCTGAGTATGTTTATCTCACATGTCCCTATTTAAAATAAAATATACATCACCAAGTTGGCCAGCAAATACTGGCTAATATGTCATTGAGCCCATACTCTGTGCCAGGGGTCCTGTAGTAGCTCTTAAATGTATTACATCATTTAATCCTTGCAATAGTCCTAGATAGTAGTATTAATATCCTCATTTACAAGATAAGGAAACAGGCTGGGTGTAAGTAGATAGCGCAAAGTCAAACAGCTTCAATGCAACAATAACTGATATTTGAATAGAAGCAAGATGGCTCTGGAGCCTGTGTCTTAAATCACTATGCAATACCCCTTCGCAGACTTTGGTTGAAGAAAAAATATCCAGCTTTCTACATATGGCTAGCCAGTTTTCCCAGCACCATTTATTAAATAGGGAATCCTTTCCCCATTGCTTGTTTTTGTCAGGTTTGTCAAAGATTAGATAGTTGTAGATATGCGGCATTATTTCTGAGGGCTCTGTTCTGTTCCATTGATCTATATCTCTGTTTTGGTACCAGTTCCATGCTGTTTTGGTTACTGTAGCCTTGTAGTATAGTTTGAAGTCAGGTAGTGTGATGCCTCTAGCTTTGTTCTTTTGGCTTAGGATTGCCTTGGCGATGCGGGCTCTTTTTTAGTTCCATATGAACTTTAAAGTAGTTTTTTCCAATTCTGTGAAGAAAGTCATTGGTAGCTTGATGGGGATGGCATTGAATCTGTAAATTACCTTGGGCAGTATGGCCATTTTCACGATATTGATTCTTCTTACCCATGAGCATGGAATGTTCTTCCATTTGTTTGTATCCTCTTTTATTTCCTTGAGCAGTGGTTTGTAGTTCTCCTTGAAGAGGTCCTTCACATCCCTTGTAAGTTGGATTCCTAGGTATTTTATTCTCTTTGAAGCAATTGTGAATGGGAGTTCACTCATGATTTGGCTCTCTGTTTGTCTGTTATTGGTGTATAAGAATGCTTGTGATTTTTGTACATTGATTTTATGTCCTGAGACTTTGCTGAAGTTGCTTATCAGCTTAAGAAGATTTTGGGCTGAGACGATGGGGTTTTCTAGATATACAATCATGTCGTCTGCAAACAGGGACAATTTGACTTCCTCTTTTCCTAATTGAATACCCTTTATTTCCTTCTCCTGCCTAATTGCCCTGGCCAGAACTTCCAACACTATGTTGAATAGGAGTGGTGAGAGAGGGCATCCCTGTCTTGTGCCAGTTTTCAAAGGGAATGCTTCCAGTTTTTGCCCATTCAGTATGATATTGGCTGTGGGTTTGTCATAGATAGCTCTTATTATTTTGAGATACGTCCCATCAATACCTAATTTATTGAGAGTTTTTAGCATGAAGGGTTGTTGAATTTTGTCAAAGGCTTTTTCTGCATCTATTGAGATAATCATGTGGTTTTTCTCTTTGGCTCTGTTTATATGCTGGATTACATTTATTGATTTGCGTATATTGTACCAGCCTTGCATCCCAGGGATGAAGCCCACTTGATCATGGTGGATAAGCTTTTTGATGTGCTGCTGGATTCGTTTTGCCAGTATTTTATTGAGGATTTTTGCATCAATGTTCATCAAGGATATTGGTCTAAAATTCTCTTTTTTGGTTGTGTCTCTGCCCGGCTTTGGTATCAGAACGATGCTGGCCTCATAAAATGAGTTAGGGAGGATTCCCTCTTTTTCTATTGATTGGAATAGTTTCAGAAGGAATGGCACCAGTTCCTCCTTGTACCTCTGATCGAATTCGGCTGTGAATCCATGTGGTCATGGACTCTTTTTGGTTGGTAAACTATTGATTATTGCCACAATTTCAGCTCCTGTTATTGGTCTAATCAGAGATTCAACTTCTTCCTGGTTTAGTCTTGGGAGAGTGTATGTGTCTAGGATTTTATCCATTTCTTCTAGATTTTCTAGTTTATTTGAGTAGAGGTGTTTGTAGTATTCTCTGATGGTAGTTTGTATTTCTGTGGGATCGGTGGTGATATCCCCTTTATCATTTTTTATTGCGTCTATTTGATTCTTCTCTCTTTTTTTCTTTATTAGTCTTGCTAGTGGTCTATCAATTTTGTTGATCCTTTCAAAAAACCAGCTCCTGGATTCATTAATTTTTTGAAGGGTTTTTTGTAGAAAGCTGAAACTGGATCCCTTCCTTACACCTTATACAAAAATCAATTCAAGATGGATTAAAGCCTTAAACGTTAGACCTAAAACCATAAAAACCCTAGAAGAAAACCTAGGCATCACCATTCAGGACATAGGCATGGGCAAGGACTTCATGTCCAAAACAACAACAGCAATGGCAACAAAAGACAAAATTGACAAATGGGATCTAATTAAACTAAAGAGCTTCTGCACAGCAAGAGAAACTACCATCAGAGTGAACAGGCAACCTACAAAATGGGAGAAAATTTTTGCAACCTACTCATCTGACAAAGGGCTAATATCCAGAATCTACAATGAACTCAAACAAATTGACAAGAAAAAAACAAACAACCCCATCAAAAAGTGGGCGAAGGACATGAACAGACACTTCTCAAAAGAAGACATTTATGCAGCCAAAGAACACATGAAAAAATGCTCATCATCATTGGCCATCAGAGAAATGCAAATCAAAACCACAATGAGATACCATCTCACACCAGTTAGAATGGCAATCATTAAAAAGTCAGGAAACAACAGGTGCTGGAGAGGATGTGGAGAAATAGGAACAATTTTACACTGTCGGTGGGACTGTAAACTAGTTCAACCATTGTGGAAGTCAGTGTGGTGATTCCTCAGGGATCTAGAACTGGAAATACCATTTGACCCAGCCATCCCATTACTGGGTATATACCCAAAGGACTATAAATCTTGCTGCTATAAAGACACATGCACACGTATGTTTATTGCAGCACTATTCACAATAGCAAAGACTTGGAACCAACCCAAATGTCCAACAATGATAGACTGGATTAAGAAAATATGGCACATATACACCATGGAATACTATGCAGCCATAAAAAATGATGAGTTCCTGTCCTTTGTAAGGACATGGATGAAATTGGAAATCATCATTCTCAGTAAACTATCGCAAGAACAAAAAACCAAACACCGCATATTCTCACTCATAGGAGGGAATTGAACAATGAGATCACATGGACACAGGAAGGGGAATATCACACTCTGGGGACTGTGGTGGGGTGGGGGGAGGGGGGAGGGATAGCATTGGGAGATATACCTAATGCTAGATGACGAGTTAGTGGGTGCAGCGCACCAGCATGGCACATGTATACATATGTAACTAACCTGCACAATGTGCACATGTACCCTAAAACTTAAAGTATAATTAAAAAAAATTAAAAAAAAAGAAAATATTGATCATTAACAGGTTGCTTTAACCCATTCATAATTTTTCTCATAATTTATGTTTTATCTTCTTTCTGATATTTTGCTATTTTCTTATCTGCTTATTTGCTCTGTAAAGGATGTTTTATTTACTTTTAAAATGTACTTTTATTACTTTATTACGGTAATCTTGAAATATAATCTTATTTAAAATTAAAAAAAAATATCCATAATAAAATTATAGAGTCTGGACTACTGGTTTTCAGACCTGGCTCTGCCACTAGAATTAAAATGTGCTATGTGACCCTGGGCCTTCTTCCTCTTCTGTAAGATGCAGATTTTGAACCAACTGGACACTATGGTCTCTTCTAGCAACTAGCCTGTAGTCAAACTGAACAATGGCCATTTCCTACCTGAAACCAAAGTGCCATTCTTGAAGCTGTGGAAACCATTCTGGAAATACCTGTGGTCTACACACTTTATGGGGTAGGGTGGGTGGGGGACACTGGATGCAGAGCAGCTACTCCAAACTTAGCCCCTTTCTCTCTCTTACCTACTTTCTAGTCATGCATGCTTCCAGTTCCAGTCCGTAGAAGGATGAAATGGGCCGGCCTCACCCCTATAGAAGAAGCCAGGTTCTACTAGGGAGCCAGTAGGCATCTGGCACAACAGAAAGGCAGAAAAAGAAGCAAGCCAGCTCCACCAGTATGCCGTTCCATGGTACCCTAAGCCAGGTTCAGGCCCTGCAGCCCTGTGTGGTCCACTTGCCTACCCAACCACAACTGGTGAGATTCTTTGCTAGCTAGCACCCAACAGTTCCAAAAGGATGCCCAGGATTCAGAGTGAGTTGGATACTCCCTTTGCCCATTTAAAATGGACCCTTAAAGACCCTTACATACTCTAGCAAGAGAATGGGTTTTTAACCTCTCTAAGGGTCCTTATGGTCTGAGGTTTTAAATTGCTGAGAAGGCCACCATCAGATAGCAGAGCGGAGCATGTCAAACCTTGCATTGCAGGCATTGACTTGTGCTCTTTCTTGCTCCATTGCCTGAGCAGATGCCTGTGAGGGTTCCCTGGCTGGTTCCATCTATCAACTCAACTTGGAGGAGAAGGCTTTTTGGTGCCTCAGACCCATCTCTGTGGATGAGCTGGACATGATTGACTTGACCTGCAGAATGACAGAAACGTGAGTGTTTGTGGTTCAGTGCTGGCTGGCTTGATTCCTTGGGGCATGCAATAGGTTCTGATGGTGACAGTGCTGTGGTGACTGGCATAGCCTGTACATTTGTTGGCTCAGGCTGCTTTTCAGGTGGCTTGGGCTGTGGCTTGGTTGGCTCACCCAGTTTATGCTGTTCCTGCTCTACTCCTCAGTTGGTTTGGCCTGAGCGTCAGTCACCTCAGCTGGTATCTTAGATACTTCGGTCTGCAGCTCAGCATGCTCTCTGGTCTGCTCTTCAGCTGACTTAGCCTGTGCCTGGCCCAGCTCAGTCTATACCTCACTGAGTTCACCCTGAATCTTATGGGGGTTCAGCCTGCTTCTTTGCCTGGACTTCAGTCAGCTCCACCTGTGCCTCTGCCTGATTCTTACATGGCTCAACTTCCTTCCTGAGTGGTTGAGCCTGCTTGTTGGCTGGTATGGCCTGTTCCTCATATGGCTCAGCTTGTTCCTTGGCTGGTTCAGCCTGTGCCTCAGCCTGCTTTTTATCAGGCTTGGCCTGCTTTTTGGCTTGTTGAGTCTGTACTTTAGCTGGCTTGACGTGTGTCTCAGCCTGTTCCTTGGATGCCTTGGCCAGTGCCTCAGTTTGCACCTGGGATGGTACAGACCGTACTTACACCCTGGATAACTTGGCTTGTGCCTCAGCCTGTTTATTGGCATTTTGGGATTGCTTCTTGGCTAATTTGACCTGTTCTGCTACCTGGTCTTTAGCTGGTTCCTGGGCTGGTTTGATCTGTTATCCAGCAGATTCTGTTTGCTTCTTTGGCAGTTTCCACCTGTGCCTCAGGCTACCCCTGGGCCTGCTGCTCAGCTGCTTTGGCCTGTGACTTAGGCTGCTTATCAGCTAGCTGGGCTTGTTTCTCAGCTACGTTGGCCTGCTCCTTGGCTACTTCAGTCTGTTCCTCAACCTGCACCTCCCATAGTTTGACCCATAACTCAGTGGGTTCAGCCTGCACCTTGACTGGCTTGGCCTGTGACTCAGCTGGTTCAACAAGTGCCGGGGCTAGTTTGACCTTTGCCTTGGGTGAGTTCACCTGTACCTCAGTCAGTTCAGACAGCACCAGAGCCAGCTTGACTTTTGCCTTAGGTGACTTAGCCTGTACCTCAACTGGTTCGGTTAGTGCCAGGGCCATATTGGCTTTTGCATTGGCCTTTGTCTTAGCTTTGTGGTTAGCTTGGTTAGCTTGAACTGCATCTGGGCCAGCATGGCTTTTGCCTCAACTGGTTCAACCTGTGCTTCCATAGGCTCAGCTTGTGCATTGGCCATCTCCTGGGCAAGTTCAGTCTGCATCTCTGCTGGCTGAGCCTGCTTCTTGATCTCCTGGGCTGGCTTGACCTGTGCCTCTGTCTGGGTGGGCGGGGCCTCCACTTTAGTGTCCTTCTGGGCCTCTGCTTCTTTGTCTTCCTCCTCCCGAAGCTGAAACTCATGAAATCCTTTGATGGTCTTCAGCACTGCAAATGAAGATTTGGGCAGAATGAGTCAGTGGGAAGGCGGAAGCAGCATATGGGAAGCAACAGAGGAGCCACATTGGCTTGGCTGTTCCCTACCAAACAAGCTGGAGACAGACCCTGCCTAAGCCCCCATAGTCTTTGTTACCATTTGTCTCCATGCAGGCAGCAATAAACCCTTCCCTTCAGACTCCTGTTCCTTATTCTGTTAACACCCCCAGGCGTTAACACCCCCAAGCTGGAAAGGGGTCGTAGAAACCAAATCTTCCTCCTTGGGGGATTCCAACCTAGACCCTCTAAGAAAGCAGTGGAGGGTGTGAAATGATTTCTGATATTGTAAGAGGAATAGCAGAAATTGCACATTTGCTCACAATAAAGCTGCATCACAAGCTTCACTCAAATATCAATTCTTTTTTGGCTCAGAAGCACAGCTTGTCTCATGGTGATCAAAGGCTCTGACTGGTCTTTATGTGTCTTTGAATAATGAAAAAGTGGGAAATTGGATTATTAAAAAATGCAACCTATTCAACAGAAAAAAATTTCCCAAATATGAGTCCCAGCGCAGGAAAAATGATGAGACGGTCCTGGTGGTGGAGAGGTTGGGGGCCACAGATGTGAGCCAAGCTCTCCTCTCTGTGAGGAAGAAATGATAGCCACCAAGGCCTGGAATGGTTATAGAACTTGCTTAAATTTTCACAGAGTTAGGCCCACAGCCCAGCAAAGTCAAAAACAAGCATAATCAGAAGACATTCATAGCATGGTGATTTTCAACTTGTGTAGACTCAGCTTTTCTTCCAATGATAACACACATGGATGCCTATGAAAGAAATTCAAGTAGAATTATTAAGAATAAAGACTCCAGTCCAAGAAGCTCCCTGATTAATTCTTTATGATCCCTCGCTCTACCTAACGTGCCCCTGAGGAACTCCAGGGTGCTGAGAGCACAGTTTAAAAATTATGAAACCCTGCACTTCCTGCTGATGACACAGATGGGGACTCCTGAAGCCCACTTTAGGGCCAGAGCTAGGTCTAGTACCTAGGTGTACAGCTCCTCAGTTTCGTGGTATCTCCCTGACACCTCACTGCTTTTTCTCTACAGATCATGCCTCACTGGTCAGTGAGATATAACCAAGGTATGGACAACCTGAACTTCCAGATCCTCAAAGGACTGGCTGAATCTTGGACACCTAAATAGTGGATCTCAAATTCTTACTTGTGTTTAATTGTACCCCTCCCAACTCCCCAGCAGTGGGAGGGCTTTCAGCCAAGGTAACCTGCTATGAAGTTGCCTGGGAGGCAGGAAGTGGATTAAAAAATCTTCCTAGTGTCAACTTCTACTCCTTTCTGTATCTCATCACTGCCTAGAAACTTCTAAAGCTTTCAAAAACCTCACCCACCCAACCTCCACAGTGTCCTGCCTTTTTGACTCTCTTTCACTTAATTATCCAGCTAAGTTATAAGCTTCCTGAGAGCAGGGAAAATGTTTGTTTCATTTCTACTTCCCTGATACCTGACACATCATAGACAGGTTTTAATAAACATTTGTTGGCTTGAACTCAACTCTCCCTACTCACATGTAGTACACAAAATGGAGATTATTAATCTCAGGCTCCAAGTAAGTAAATTTAAATTCAGAGAAGGGGAAGTAACTCCCAAGAGCACACAGAAGGTTAAGGATATTGCTAATACTCTGCTTTCCAGCTAACACTGGCCTTCCCATGGGGTACTGGTGAAGGCTGAGGGATTTCTAGGAACCATGGGGAAGGGCCAAATGCAGTGGGAAGAGGAAATTATAAAAGTAGAGAAGTGAGGGAGCTTCTGGGAGAGAGGGCTAGAACTCACTTTGAGTATAGACATGGGTATGAGGGAAGAGGATGGGTCCAGTGGGAGAGGCCCTGGTATTGCAGCTTGAACCTGTGTTTGTACTGTCTCTTTGTGCTCTTTTGCCAGTCTTCCCATCACAGGGTAGGCATCTTGCTAGTAGTTCCCAGGCATTTTCAGTGGATGCCTGTCCCAGAAAAGATAAATGGTAAGAGCACATTGACAGCAAATGCAGAGCCACCTAGAGCCCAGATGGGTCCTTTTAAATTATTAACTCTTGCGGTAACCCACAGAACAGGGGTGGAGAGTCTTTTGGGCCAGGTTGAGTACTCACTTTGGGGTTGACCAATGCAGGGAGGGAGGTGCAGAAGGCCTTAGGATTTGAGCCTACGCTGCCAGTGATCCTTGGCTGTTCTTCAGGAATATATACAGTGGAATGTATGGCCTTCACTGGCTGGGAGAAACAGGAGGAAGGGCTAACAGTGGTTAGTTTGCTTTTTGTTGGGCCCACAGAGGACCAGGATTCTTTGTGTTTGATAGACCCAGTAAATCTAGTGACTGGAATTCTAGCCTCATCTCTCTACCCATCCACTGTTTTGATGGCTGTAGGAACAATGTATGTCCCCAATTTATTTAGCCCTCTCTTCTCTCTGGCTTTTCTTGCCACTGCTGGCTTCTTACCTCGTATCCCATATCCCAATAACTTGGCCTCCCATGCTCTCAGGAAAGAGCTAGATACCCCAATACCTTTTCTGTGGGCTCTCACACTTGGTTACACCCGGGGCATCCCTTATGGGAGGATTTTAGGTGAAGGAGATTCAAGAAGCTCTATGTCCTTTCTTATACTATTATTTCCCACACTATGAGGATATCTTTTGCCTCATCCCTGTCACCTCCTTTACTTACCGAAATCCCCCAACACTCTGGATTCTGCAAACGCGCTTCTGACCTCTCCCTCTATGGGTAAAACAGAAATTAAGAATCTTTTTCCTACCCTATGCCCCAAGTTCAAATACCCCCGGAGAGATCAACATCCCTTCTGTGAGAAACTTCCAGTTATGGAGGAGGCTGTTTTGCTGGTGCTGTCTGGCTCTAAAACCAGAAGCTATAAGGAGGAAGCAGTGAGATCTCAGTAGATTCTGGAATACCTCAAAGGAGGTCTAGTTCTGGGATGAAGATCCCAACTGAGGTGGCATCCCAACTGAACCATACACCAATGTCATTGCTACTTCTGACTTATTCTCTGTACCACCTCAATCCCTCCTTCCATAGCCCTCCTTCCTCCTTCCTATCAGATGATAATTTCCTTGATAAGAGCCTTGAGCTTCACTGAAGGTTTTGGCCACCTGACATCTTAGGGTTTCACTTGTACTGGACTGGGTTAAGTATCACGTGACTCTCCAAAACAGTGATGGGAGCAGGTAATTACTTAAATAAGAAAAGGCCCACCTGCTGAAGGCACTTTTGACCCCATTTCTGTGGACATCAGCATGATAAATACTGTTGAGGATGGCTTGATCTGCCACTTTTAGCTCAGAAGCTTATGACCATGTTGTATAAGTGGTATCCATAGGCTCCAGAGGTCTATGCTGCCCATAGAACATCACGTCATCTAGGCGTGAGTAGTTCTTCAGGGAGTCTGAGGATTAGTTCTAACCTTCCCTTTCTTGGGGATCAGATAGCATGTGATGTGAATGTGGTTAGGCCCTTCCTTGTTCCGACTCCTATTTCAAACATCTTGCTTTGATTAATTTTTTAGCCATTTCCAGGTAGATTTTTCTGCTGCTTTCTGGGGAGTCCTTCTTGGCTTTGAAGGGTGGCTAGTCAGCTACAGTCAGGTGACTTGATTACAGAAGCCCTTGAAGGGCATTATTTTGCTTCCCCTCTGCTTCTATTTAGTGGATGCTTGGGTGCTCAGCATCCTCTAGAATGCTGTAGGCTCCTCCCTGTCACCATTCCTGCCCTCTTCAATTTCCTCAGGACATAGTTGTAGCTTCATATGTGGGTAGGTACTGGGGGCAGTAGTGATCCCTGACTCCTCTAAGATGGATGACATGCTTGGCAGTGTTGAAGGGATCGGAAATGAGGTAGACATGCTCAACTTGAAGAGCAGGGTTAGCACAGTCAGAGGGATGAAGTAAGATGGCTTAGACCACTAGGAAAAGGCATGCTCCAGAGGGTTAACATAGAAGGCAAAAAGGGGGCTGAAGCAGTGGAGATGCTGGTGGGTAATGCTGCCACCTCTGTGTATGTCCCCAGAGACCTAACATGGGCCACCTTCTGAAGACAGTGGGGCTCCAAGCCCTTGCCTAGGAACTTGGGGTGCTAGAGTGGTAGCCATAGGAGCAACCATATGGAAGGTGTCTGGAGTGCAGGTGAGGGTGGCATCAGAGATAGAGGGGTAGACAATGGGATTTTGCCAGGATTAGGGGTACTGGGCTCAGTGGCATAGTGGGTAATCATCTGCTACTCAAGCATCAGGTCCTGCTCAGATTGCTAAGGAAGCCTCCAAGCACCACAATCTCTGTCTCTGCTGGGATCCTGCATGTCCATTCCTACCATGGCCTCTGCTTTGTGGCCTAGATCTACCTCTCAGAGCTAAGTAAAGCCCATAAGTCTTGACATAGGATATGGCCCATGTCTAGGGGAGGAGGGACTGGGGAAGAGTTCTGGATACCATGAAGAACAGGGTCATGAACTCTCAGAAGGCAATGGAGCACGTATTGGGGGCTTATGAGACAGCATTTTCTGGGCTCTGAAATCTATTCTGCCATCAATTTGCTGTGTAACTTCAGGCATAAAGCTGCCTCTCTTAAGGCCCATCTGTAACTTAGGGAGGGAAAATCAGGAATTATAAGGAACCTCCCAGATTTGAAGTTTTATAGAACAGTAGGTAGATGAGACACAGGGTTTAATTCCTTTCAGGGCTTGCTTTGTTCCAGAGTTATGGATGTCTCTTTTTCAACAAGCCCAAACCTTTATTCAGCATTCCAAGAAGGTCAAAGACATAAAGAAGATAGAAATGGAACAGGGGATGGGGGCTCAAAGTCCCACATGCTGAGGACCCTTTTTCTTCTTCACTCAGAGCAGCCTTTTATAGAGAGGTAGAGTGAAAGCAGGGAAGAAGAGAGAACTGTCATGGCTGGGCTCAGTGGCTCACACCTGTAATCCCAACATTTTGGAAGTCTGAGGGGGGCGGATCACTTGAGGTCAGGAGTTCAAGACCAGCCTGGCCAACATGGCAAAACCCCATCTCTACCAAAAGTACAAAAAATTAGCTGGGCGTGGTGGTGTGAGCCTGTAATCCCAGCTACTCAGGAGGCTGAGGCAGGAGAATCGCTTGAACGTAGGAGGCAGAGGTTGTAGTGAGCCCAAATCATGCCACTACACTCCAGCCTGGGCAACAGAGCAAAACTCTGTCTCAATAAAAAGAGAGGGAGAGAGAGAGAGAGAGAGAGAGAGAGAGAGAGAGAGAGAGAGAACTGTCATTTTACTAAGCCCCTGCTAGCAGCCAGCACTGCAGTAGGCACTTTACACTCATCCAATTTAAAAGGCTCACCCACACTTCAGCAAAGTTCTCATTCTCCCCATTTCTCAGACAAGGACACTGAGACTCACTGAGATGATGCCACTTGCCCAAGGTAACGTAGCTAGGACATTTCAGAGCTGGGATTAAAACCCAGGCCATGTTCTGAATAGTGTACCAGGAAAGAAAGTAGAGAGTAATGACTATCTGTTGGGGAAAAGTATCAAGAGTGGGCATCACATTGTAAGAATGAGACCATTAAGAAGGGAGGTGGTAAGCTGAGAAAGAAAATTTACAAATCCTACTATTAGCCATGGGTCAAATAGGCATAGGACTTAGTGGCTCAGGACATACATATATACCCCGTACTGTAATATCTGTGCTGCCTTCGTGTGTGCCTGCGTGGGCATACATATGCATGAGGATATGAGCTCCCTAACTTTCTCTACTCCGAGGACCAACTTCCCCAGCTGTGGGCCATGTGTGAGGCATTGGGGCTGACCACCAGCTGCTGACACTACTCCTGCTACTCCTTCAACTGCTGCCTATGGTTCCCAGTGGAAACACATAAAACTTCTTCTATTTATGCCTCTCTGTCTGTAGGATCAGGGCGCTTTGCAAAGCTGTGCCTCTGTTTACCTGGGTCACAGTGCTTCTCATCACGTCTTTTGGGAGTGAAGAAGCAAAACTAGTAGCGATGGGACTAGAACATGTTTTCTAGGTCAGGCATTCCCTCCACATATCCAGTCACAATTCGTTCCCATTTTGGGCAGCAATTGTGATTTTCCCAATGGCCCACTTGTGAGAAGCAAAGACTCAGAGAAGGAAAGGATCTTTCCCAAGATCCAGTCCCAGTGACACAGATGGGACTGGAACTCAGTTCTGCCCTCCTGGCTTCTAGTCTAATGCTTTTTCCAGCACACTACACATTGAAAACAAAGTTCCCTGGCCCCTGAGGGCTTGAGGGCTACCCTCTTACATGGCATATCTTCAGCACAGCTGGCATTTACAGCCTGTGTTTTCAGTAACAGCAGAAGGGTATATTCTCCAAAGATTTCAGGAGTATTTTCAATCAGGAACTGAACCAGTTGGGTAACCTGAGAGCAAGGCCTGTGGTCAGTGGATGGGCCTGGAGTGAAGCCCCACTATAAGGGGCTGCTCAAGAATTGATGACTCTCTGCTTCCTATCAGATCAAATTCAACTCCCTTAGCCTGGAGAGCCTTGTATACTAGGCAAAAGAACAAGTATTTTTCAGCATATGCATGGCATTTCAAACACTGATTATTTTCATTTGACTAATGTAGACAGAAAAGTAAAGTGACTTATTCAAGATGATACAGTCAGTCACTGATTGGCCCATTTTGCTATACAACATGTATTTTTTCACTTGTCAAATATCCATTAAGAAGTGCTTGCTCTGTGCTTTGTGCTGGGTGAGGGTTTGGAGATCTAAAGGAATAAAACAAGGTCCCTGGTGTCAGGAAATTCATATTCTGGTAGAAGAGGCAAATAAAATCATTTTCCCTTTTATTTGGCTAGTGCTTTAGGGCTTCAAATCCCTTTTATATATGCCATCTATTCTTCCCTCCATAAGGCCCTAATACAAACCTCATTTTAGTGATGAAGAAATGAAGGCTCAGTGAGGTCACATGACTTGTCAGAATTTACATCGCTAGTGAGGAAGGCATTTCTGGTATTGACCCTTGCCCTTGTGATCTTTTCATAACATGGGGCGAGGAAGCATCTATAGGTAAAAGAGAGGTGGCTTGTAGGGCCCGATGGGGAAGGGGCAGTGAACTCTTTACCTTGCCTATATTCTGGCTCTCATCTTCTGGTCTTTTGCAGTTGGATAACCATAGCAAGTTGGGTGCAACACACAGGGCTAGGTTGAAAGCTATTATCTGGTTTGCCTCAGAGTTGGCCACAATGTGGCTCAGGATACCAAAGAGGTACTTTAGCAGCAGGCATTTGCCTTCTGGAAGCTGCACTACTGGTCTTGCCAGTGGGTGACAGATGAAGTCCAGAGGATGGGGGACAATTCAGGAAAGAGGAAGGTCAGTTTAATGTGTCTTTGTATATCTCTGTGGGGGTTGGGGGATAATAGCCATGTAAGGTCTGGCTAATTTTGTCAGAGCACTAGTGCTGATTAGAACTTTGGAGAATCTCCTCACCCTAGTATATAGCAGTGGGGAAATATTGAAGTGTAGAGAAGAGAAGTTACTTGTTTAAGGGCACACAACTGGTTTAAGGTAGAGCTTGAAATAGAAGTATATATGATGCATGAAGAATCCTGGTTGGAAATGTTTGAAGTATTGAGAAGTGACATTCCCTCCCCTTTTCTTCCTTTCTTCATCTGCATAACCGTTTTCACTTTTCTCTCCAAGTCTCAGGTATGAGTCTGGAATTAGGAATCTTACCTCTGGAGAGACTGGACTCTGCTGGCTGGTATGCCCCTCCATGGCTGTCATCCGTTGTCTGTACATGCCTGAGGACAGAATACTGTCAGGAATGCTGCACAGGAATTTCTGAGTGAAATTCACTCTTATAAAATGCACATGTCCTGGACCTAGACCTACACTCACTAAAGGGATAGCTGATGGATAAATAAATGCCCTTCTGGCCCATGCTGTTCTCCTGCCCTATGACCATTAAGCATCTCCACCTGCCACCTGAAGATGTGAAGGTTGGTTCAGGTAATAATAATATGGCTCTCTGTTCACATGAACAGTTCTGAGAAGTTCAGGGCTGTGTGCCTGAGGTAGGGGAGGGAAGTGTCTTGGTTTCTTCCTGGCATTCCCTCGAACCTTGGAGTGGACCACATGTACACAGGCAGACTTACAGTCAAGACAGATGCAGCCACAAACAATGACTCTCTAACCATGGACACCTGGGCCCCAGAATTCGGTTTCTCCTTTATCTCCTTGCAAGTCTTGGCACTGGCTGAGTGGCGGAAGATGCCAGCAGTGGTTGGGCCCTCCTTGTATGACAGCATCAGCATGTTCTTGGAAGATCCCCAGATGTTGGGCAGGTGCCCTCTAATCCAATTTCCAAGGTTTCCTGGGACATGACAATACACTTGCCACAAATTCCCTAGACCCCCATATATCCCCTCTATCCACAGGGTCCTGTAGACTATTCTTTTACCTGCTGCAGAACTCAACTCCACTCTAACATTCCAGATGGGTTTCTCAGTCTTTGCCTGACCACATGATCTTAATGGTGGCAAGTCAGTCACTGTGACTGTATAAGAGATTATGTGGTAAGCAAGGAGCATTGACAATCGCCATCAAAACACATTCTGAAAGCAGTTACCTTTCACATCTAAGCATTAATTGGAGGCTAGGTCTAGCTGGAGAGCTCTTGCCTGAGAAGATGGGTGTGTTCTACTGGGTTGAGGCCACTGGCTTAGCCTGTAGATTGAGACGTATGGGGATTATGCATACGCTGTTAGGATGAGGTACCCTCACTAGTAAGGCAGAGCATAAATGCATGAGGGGGCTGAGCCCTGATCTACAATGGCTTTGGAATCTTAAGCCTAGGCCCAGCCCTTAGGACACAGCTCTTTTGCCTTCAGCCAGAAGTGATTTATCATGATAAGCCTGGGCAGGTGGCTTGTTTGGTACAGTGTAGACAGATCCAGGCCAAAGAGCTTATGATAATTCTCTTCCTGTGGTGAATATACCATGGAACTTTCTAAGGGTAAGGTAGGGTTTCTCTGCAGGGTCCAGTACAGCAGGGACTTTCTTTTTCTTTAGTCTTTTCTTCACTCTAAGTTTTGTGAGTAGAAGTTGGGCGAGATGAAGTTAGGACACAGAGAGTTGGCAGTCCCCCAAAATACACCGGAAGAGTTAGATGGCAGTGAGAGGGATACTAGGAGTAGGGGAGCACTGTGGGGACAGAGGCAGAGGCTGGGAACACCAAGGTAAGAAGAGCAGGGAGGGTGTGGTATAGTATGAAATATATTTGGTCTTTCTCCCTAGTTACTGTCATAGAGCTCCTAAAACCTCTGGATTTTCTGAATGATAGGAGCATTTTTTATTATGCATAATAAGCCCATTTGATACATCCTGAGTTTATGCTAATGAGGTTACTTAGGGTGGGGCCTCTAGGTAGCCTCAGGATGGCACCAGTCACTGGAAAAACCAAGCAATTAGAGGATTAGAGGGTTGAAACTTTCAGCCCCACCTACAGTTCTCTGGGAATGGGGGTGGTTAGAGACCAAGCTCTATGAAAACTGTTGAACAGTAAGATTTGATGAGTTTCTGGGTAGCTGAACACGTGTGGAGTTGCTGGAAGGGTGGTGTGTCCAGGTAAGGCATGGAAGATCCACCCCCATCCCCACTTGCCTTGTCCATTTCTTCTTCTATATCCTTTATAATAAGCTGGAAATTGTAAGAGTTTTCCTGAATTCTGTGAGCCATCCTAGCAAACTGATCAAACCAAAGGAAGAGGTTGTGGGAACCTCAGTTTGTAGCCAGTCTGTCAGAAGTACAGGTCACAACCTGAGACTTGTAATTGATGTCTGAAGTAGGGGGCAGTCTTGTGGGACTGAGCTCTTAAACTGTGGGATCTGACACTATCTACGTGGAGATAGTAATTGACTTACAGGACACCTAGCTGGTGTCTGCTGGAGAACTGTTTGGTGTAAGAAACCCCCACCCCCCAACATCTGATCACAGAAATGTGCTGTGAGTGTGTTGAGCAGAGTAGAGAGAAAAAAATTGTTTTTCCCTTTCAGAGAGGGGCTGGATCAAAGGGCCCGTATACTGTTTCTGTGTCTCTAGGATCCACACAGAGCCTGGCATCAAGGACTCAGCCCTTACCTCTCTCCAATACACTGGGTAGTTTGCTCTTGTGCTTCAAAATAAATTTAAATTGCTTGTCCTCAGGCACCTGACTCAGAGATGTGGGGTCAAGGTAGCCCTGAGTGGTCCTGGAGGTGATTGGCTGGGGCACATGGCACAGGTTTGTTTGGGCAATGTTGTATGAGCTCTCATGGCCTAGAAAGGAAAAAAAAAAACCACTTACACCTTTGCCCCAGCAGAAGGGTACCCATTCCTTGGCTACCCACTGTCACCTGATGTCTTCCTTACCCCATTCAAACATTAGTGACAGGTTCTCTTTAGGGAAGAAGTGGCTGAGAGATTTTCCTTCATTTTCCAGCCCTGATCAATGAGTAGCATGTACTAGGAGAGCTGTATGGAGAAGGATTCTGAGGATGTGTACAGACTCAGAGATAAACAGTATTATGACTAATTTCAGATGTTTGTCATGGGTATAAGACATGGGAACTCATGCTATATGTCTGTCATTTTGCATCTAAGGGCCTAAAAATGATCTTTACAAAACATAGATGGTAAGGCTATGCTGGCACTGAATTCCTTGTGTATCTGGAGGCATACGAATTAACCTTTCTTGGCCCAAGGTTCCCTTTCAGAACCTTGGAGATATCATCAGTCAGGTAATGTCAATCTCTAAGAAATACCTCAGTGGACTCTAGCTATGGAGATGCAAAACAGAGAGCACTGAGACAAATATTTTCATGGGGTCCCAGAACAAAGGCTAAAGTAGCTGGGATTAGTTAGCTTAGTTTAGAGAACTTTAAGGAAAGAGAGTTTGTTTTGCTGTTCTCTTGCCCTGCCTCAATTTTCCTTCCATGGACACTGAAAAATATAGCTACCCAGTTGTCCAGCATGTAGCTGATTCAAGGGATTTGTTGAATTTTATTAGTAAATTTTATAATTTTGCCTTCTGGATGAGGAGAGAAAAGTCTAATTTCTCTTCATGTCACTGTTTTTTCAGCAATTTAAATGATTATTCCCCAAACTGTGTTCTGATTATTTTTGTTGCATGAGGTGGCAATAGCAGTAGCCCTCAGGATTCTCAGAGTTAAACAAATTGGGAAATACTGCATTCTGGACTGGTCCCTTTGTTACACATATTAATACATTCATAGATTAGAGAAATCCTACAGTAAAGAAACACATTTCACTTTCTTTTCTTTTTTTTAAATTATACTTTAAGTTCTAGAGTACATGTGCACAACGTGCAAGTTTGTTACATATGTATACATCTGTCATGTTGGTTTGCTGCACCCATTAACTCGTCATTTACATTAGGTATTTCTCCTAATGCTATTATCCCTTCCCCATCCCCCCACCCTACGACAGGACTAAGTGTGTGATGTTCCCCACCCCGTGTCCAAGTGTTCTCATTGTTCAATTCCCACCTATGAGTGAGAACATGCAGTGTTTGGTTTTCTGTCCTTGTGATAGTTTGCTCAGAATGATGATTTCCAGCTTCATCCATGTCCCTACAAAGGACATGAACTCATCCTTTTTTATGGCTGCATAGTATTCCATGGTGTATATGTGCCACATTTTCTTAATCCAGTCTATCATTGATGGACATTTGGGTTGGTTCCAAGTCTTCACTATTGTGAATAGTGCTGCAATAAACATACATGTTCATGTGTTTTTATAGCAGCATGATTTATAATCCTTTGGGTATATACCCAGTAATGGGATGGCTGGGTCAAATGTTATTTCTAATTCTAGATCCTTGAGGAATCGCCACACTGCCTTCCACAATGGTTGAACTAGTTTACAGTCCCACCAACAGTGTAAAAGTGTTCCTATTTCTCCACATCCTCTCCAGCACCTGTTGTTTCCTGACTTTTTAATGATTGCCATTCTAACTGGTGTGAGATGGTATCTCATTGTGGTTTTGATTTGCATTTTTCTGATGGCCAGTGATGGTGAGCATTTTTTCATGTGTTTTTTGGCTGCATAAATGTCTTCTTTTGAGAAGTGTCTGTTCATACCCTTTGCCCACTTCTGATGGGGTGTTTTGATTTTTTTCTTTAAATTTGTTTAAGTTCTTTGTAGATTCTGGATGTTAGCCCTTTGTCAGATGGGTAAAAATTTTCTCCCATTCTGTAGGTTGCCTATTCACTCAGATGGAAGTTTCTTTTGCTGTGCCGAAGCTCTTTAGTTTAATTAGATCCCATTTGTCTATTTTGGCTTTTGTTGCCATTGCTTTTGGTGTTTTAGTCATGAAGTCCTTGCCCATGCCTATATCCTGAATGGTATTGCCTAGGTTTTCTTCTAGAGTTTTTATGGTTTTAGGTCTAACATTTAAGTCTTTAATCCATCGTGAATTAATTTTTGTATAAGGTGTAAGGAAGGAATCCAGTTTCAGCTTTCTACATATGGCTAACCAGTTTTCCCAGCACCACTTATTCAATAGGGAATCCTTTCCCCATTTCTTGTTTTCATCAGGTTTGTCAAAGATCAGATGGTTGTAGATGTGTGGTATTATTTCTGAGGGCTGTGTTCTGTTCCATTGGTCTTTATATCTGTTTTGGTACCAGTACCATGCTGCTTTGGTTACAGTAGGCTTGTAGTTTAGTTTGAAGTCAGATAGTGTGATGCCTCCGCTTTGTTCTTTTTGCTTAGGATTGTCTTGTCAATGCAGGCTGTTTTTGGGTTCCATATGAGCTTTAGAGTAGTTTTTTCCAATTCTGTGAAGAAAGTCATTGGTAGCTCGATGGGGATGGCATTGAATTTATAAATTACCTTGGGCAGTATGGCCATTTTCATGATATTGATTCTTCCTATCCATGAGCATGGAATGTTCTTCCATTTATTTGTGTCCTCTTTTATTTTGTTGTGCAGTGGTTTCTAATTCTCCTTGAAGAGGTCCTTCACATCCGTTGTAAGTTGGATTCCTAGGTATTTTATTCTCTTTGTAGCAATCGTGAGTCGTAGTTCACTCATGATTTCACTCTCTGTCTGTTACTGGTGTATAAGAATGCTTTTGATTTTTTGCATATTGATTTTGCATCCTGAGACTTTGCTGAAGTTGCTTATCAGCTTAATGAGATTTTGGGCTGAGACGATAGGGTTTTCTAAATATACAATTATGTCATCTGCAGAGACTATTTGACTTCCTCTTTTCCTAGTTGAATACCCTTTATTTCTTTCTCTTGCCTGATTGCCCTGGCCAGAACTTCCAACACTATGTTGAAGAGGAGTGCTGAGAGAGGGCATCCCTGTCTTGTGCCAGTTTTCAAAGGGAATGCTTCCAGTTTTTGCCCATTCAGTATGATATTGGCTGTGGGTTTGTCATAAATAGCTCTTATTATTTTGAGATACATCCCATCAATACCTAGTTTATTGAGAGTTTTTAGCATGAAGCGTTGTTGAATTTTGTCGAAGGTCTTTTCTGCATCTATTGAGATAATCATGTGGTTTTTGTCTTTGGTTCTGTGTATGTGATGGATTACATTTATTGATTTGTGTATGTTGAACCAGCCTTGCATCCCAGGGATGAAGCCAACTTGATCATGGTGGATAAGCTTTTTGATGTGCTGCTGGATTCGATTTGCCAGTATTTTACTGTTGTGTCTCTGCCAGATTTTGGTATCAGGATTATGCTGGCCTCATAAAATGAGTTAGGGAGGATTCCCTCTTTATCTATTGATTGGAATAGTTTCAGAAGGAATGGTACCAGTTCCTCTTTGTACCTCTGGTAGAATTCAACTGTGAATCCATCTGGTCCTGGAATTCTTTTAGTTGGTAAGCTATTAATTATTGCCTCAATTTCAGAGCCTGTTATTGGTCTATTCAGCAATTCAACTTCTTCCTGGTTTAGTCTTGGGAGGGTGTATGTGTCCAGGAAATTATCCATTTCTTCTAGATTTTCTGGTTTATTTGTATAGAGGTGTTTATAGTATTCTCTGATGGTAGTTTGTATTTCTGTGGGATCGGTGGTGATATGGTGATATCCCCTTTATCAGTTTTTATTGTGTCTGTTTGATTCTTCTCTCTTTTCTTCTTTATTAGTAGTGGTGTATCAAGTTTGTTGATCTTTTCAAAAAACAGCTCCTGGATTCATTGATTTTTTGAAGGGGTTTTGTGTCTCTATCTCCTTCAGTTCTGCTCTGATCTTAGTTATTTCTTGCCTTCTACTAGCTTTTGAATGTGTTTGCTCTTGCTTCTCTAGTTCTTTTAATTGTGATGTTGGGGTGTCAATTTTAGATCTTTCCTGCTTTCTCTTGTGGGCATTTAGTGCTATAAATTTCCCTCTACACACTGCTTTAAAGGTGTCCCAGAAATTCTGGTACATTGTTTCTTTGTTCTCGTTGGTTTCAAAGAACTTCTTTATTTCTGCCTTCATTTCATTAGGTACCCAGTAGTCATTCAGGAGCAAGTTGTTCAGTTTCCATATAGTTGTGCGGTTTTCAGTGAGTTTCTTAATGCTGAGTTCTAATTTGATTGCACTGTGGTCTGAGAGACAGTTTGTTGTGATTTCTGTTCTTTTATATTTGCTGAGGAGTGCTTTACTTCCAACGATGTGGTCAATTTTGCAACAAGTGCAAGGTGATGTTAAGAAGAATGTATATTCTGATGATTTGGCATGGAGGGTTCTGTAAATGTCTATTAGGTCTGCTTGGTGCAGAGCTGAGTTCAAGTCCCGGATATCCTTATTAACCTTCTGTTTCCTTGATCTGTCTAATATTGACATTGGGGTGTTAAAGCTTCACATTATCATTGTGTGGGGAGTCTAGGTCTCTTTTTAGGTCTCTCAGGACTTGTTTTATCAATCTGTTTGCTCCTGTATTGGGTGTGGGTGCATATATATTTAGGATAGTTAGCACTTCCTGTTGAACTGATTCCTTTACCATTATGTAATGGCCTTATTTGTCTCTTTTGATCTTTGTTGGTTTAAAATTTGTTTTATCAGAGACTAGGACTGCAACCCTTGCTTTTTTTTTGCTTTCCATTTCCTTGGTACATCTTCCTCCATCCCTTTATTTTGAGCCTATGTGTGTCTTTGCACGTGATATGGGTCTCCTGAATACAGCACACTGATGGGTCTTGACTCTTTATCCAATTTGCCAGTCTGTGTCTTTTAATTGGAGTATTTAGCCCATTTACATTTAAGGTTAATATTGTTATGTGTGAATTTGATCCTGTCATTATGATGTTAGCTATTTATCTTGCCTGTTAGTTGATGCAGTGTCTTCCTAGCATAGATGGTCTTTACAATTAGGCATGTTTTTGCAGTGGCTGGTACTGGTTGTTCCTTTCCAGGTTTAGTGCTTCCTTCAGGAGTTCTTGTAAGGCAGGCCTGGTGGTAACAAAATCTCTCAGCATTTGCTTGTCTGTAAAGGATTTTATTTCTTCTTCACTTATGAAGTTTAGTTTGGCTGGTTATGAAATTCTGGGTTGAAAATTCTTTTCTTTAAGAATGTTGAATATTGGCCTCCACTCTCTTCTGGCTTGCAGGGTTTCTGCTGAGAGATCAGCTGTTAGTCTGAGGGGCTTCCCTTTGTGGGTAACCGGACCTTTCTCTCTGGCTGCCCTTAGCATTTTTTCCTTCATTTCAACCTTAGTGAATCTGACAATTATGTGTCTTGGGGTTGCTCTTCTCGAGGAGTATCTTTGTGGTGTTCTCTGTCTTCCCTGAATTTGAATGTTGACCTTCCTTGATAAGTTGGGGGAGTTCTCCTGAGAATATCCTGAAGAGTGTTTTCGAGCTTGGTTCCATTCTCCCCGTCACTTTCTGTTATACCAGTCAAGCATAGATTTGGTCTTTTCACATAATCTCATATTTCTTGGAGGTTTTGTTCATTTCTTTTTACTCTTTTTTCTCTAAACTTATCTTCTCACTTTATTTCATTAATTTGATCTTCAATCACTGATACCCTTTCTTCCACTTGATCGAATCAGCTACTGAAGCTTGTGTAAGCATCATGTAGTTCTTGTGCCGTGGTTTTCAGCTCCATCAGGTCATTTGAGGTCTTCTCTACACTGTTTATTCTAGCTAGCCATTCGTCTAATCTTTTTTTCAAGGTTTTTAGCTTCCTTGCAATGGCTTCAAGCATCCTCTTTTAGCTCGGAGAAGTTTGTTTTTACCGAGTTCCTGAAGCCTACTTCTGTCAACTTGTCAAAGTCATTCTCCATCCTGCTTTGTTCCATTGCTGGTGTGGAGCTGCAATCCTTTGGAGGAGAAGGGGCACTCTGGTTTCTAGAATTTTCAGCTTTTCTGCTCTGGTTTCTCCCCATCTTTGTGGTTTTATCTACCTTTGGTCTTTGATGATGGTGACCTACAGATGGGGTTTTGGTGTGGATGTCCTTTTTGTTGATGTTGATGCTGTTCCTTTCTGTTTGTTAGTTTTGCTTCTAACAGTCATGTCCCTCAGCTGCAGGTCTGTTGGAGTTTGCTGGAGGTCCACTCCAGACCCTGTTTGCCTGGGTATCACTAGCAGAGACTGCAGAACAGCAAATATTGCAGTACAGCAATTATAGCTGCCTGATCCTTCCTCTGGAAGCTTCGTCTCAGAGGGGCACCCAGCTGTATGAGGTGTCAGTCGGCCCCTACTGGGAGGTGTCTCCAAGTTAGGCTACATGGCGGTCAGGGACCAACTTGAGGAGGTGGTCTGTCAGTTCTCAGAGCTCAAACACTGTGCTTGGAGAACCACTTCTCTCTTCAGAGCTGTCAGACAGGGACGTTTAAGTCTGCAGAAGTTTCTCATGCCTTTTGTTCAGCTATGCCCTGCCCCAAGAGGTGGAGTCTACAGAGGCAGGCGGGCCTCCTTGAGCTGCAGTGGGCTCCACCCAGTTCAAGCTTCCCGGCACTTTGTTTACTTACTCAAGCCTCAGCAATGGTGGATGCCCCTCACCAAGCCAGGTTTGCCGCTTCACAGTTTGATGTTGGACCAGCAGTGAGCAAGGCTCCATGGGCATGGGACCTGCTGAGCCAGTCATGGGATATAATCTCCTGGTGTGCCATTTGATAAGACCATTAGAAAAGCACAGTGTTTAGGTGACAGTGTCCCGATTTTCCCAGTACAGTCTGTCATGGCTTCTCTTGGCTAGGAAAGGGAAATCCCTCAACCTTTGCTCTTCCTGGGTGAGGCGAGGACCCTCCCTGCTTCAGCTCACCCTCCATGGGCTGCAGCCACTTTCCGACCAGTCCCAATGAGATGAACCAGGTACCTCAGTTGGAAATGCAGAAATCACTCGTCTTCTGCTTCGATCATGCTGGGAGCTGCAGACCAGAGCTGTTCCTATTCGGCCATCTTGGAACAGACCCCCACATTTCACTTTCTTAAACCAACACTTCCCAATTCACTCGGCCACTGAACAACCCCCTTTTCCCTACAAAATGACAATGAACAGAAACCCATTCTTTGAAAGTTGGCTTAGGAAACACTGCTTTTAAGTAACAATACTATTCAATAAGTCCTTTGGATATGTCTTTCCAATCCCTGCTGCTAAGATATAAATCCAGTTCTCTTTGTCTTGAATTTGCCTTCTTAGTCTATCAAATACCCACTGAGTAAATCACAGATCTCTCTGTATTTCCAGAGTCCTCTGTAACTCCTGTGGCCTCCCCTTCCTGATCTCCTCTCCCATGTTTAAACCAGTGATCCTTGCAGCTAGGGGCACACTGAACATAGATCCCAAGATGCTGAGATCCTCAGGCCAAAATGGAGCCTATTTCAAGCCCTCATAGAACTCAGGAACCTTACTAATGAGTGGGTAAGACAGGCCTCTTTTGATGAATTCACCCGTAGCAAAAAATCACAGGATTGGCCCTAAGGAAAGTCAAGGACAAGGTAATGATATGAAGAGGAGGCAGGTGTAAGCACATCAGGGTGGAGCCTGGCAAGACTGCCTTCTCCTCACCTTTCACAACCAGGAGACGCCATGGTGTTTCCTGAAAAAAGCAGCCATGTTTTCCCCACATCCTTCCCCACGAGGCTCTGTAGACTGTGGGGGTCTTCATGGAGTACACCAAGCCATGGTCACCAAAGAGAATCAGAGTTGAGGCCAGGAACCACTAAGGAAACCAAGGCAGGGTAGGGCAGGACTACTAGAGGGGGGGCTGGGGTAGGAGCAGGGCAATGCTGAAGGGAAACGTCAAGAATAATATGGAGAGGGAGGAGGACTGGTCAATGCAAAGTGTGGGCAGGGTTTGGGAAAACTCTGAATAGGGAGAGCCCAGGCAATATTGAAGAAGGTTGTATTAGTTTCCTAATGCTTCTCTAAAATATCACCACCAACTTAGTGGCTTGAAACAATGCAAATGCATTCTTTTACAGTTCTGGAAAACAGAAGTCTAAAATGGTTCAGCAGAGCTGCATTCCTTCTTGAAGCTCTAGGGGAAAATAAATTTCCTTGCCTTTTCCAGCGTCTATCGAATGTCTACATTCCTTGACTGCTGCCCCCTTCCTTCATCTTCAGAGGCAAAAGTGTAGCATCTTCCAATCTCTCTGCTCCCTTCCTCCCTCTCTGTCTTCCTCTCTCTGCTTACATCTTCACATTACTTTTTTTCTAACTTTGACTCTCTCGTCTCCCTCTTATAAGGACCCTTGTGATTGCACTGGGCCCACCCAGATAATCCAGGATATCCCCTCATCTCAAGATTCTTAACTTAATCACATCTACAAATTCTCTTTTGCCATGTAAAGTAACATTTTCTTGGGCTCTGGAGATTAGGATAAAGATATATTAGGGAGGCAATTATTCTGTCTACTTTAGTAGTGTTGTGTTAGTGCTGAGAGGAAGAGAACTGGGCCAGTGCTGATAGTCAGGGATGTGACAATGTTAAGGAGAAGGACAAATCTAAAGAAAGAGAGGGCAAGGGGTAAGGGCCTAGGGCCTGTATACTGGCAGGTTACGGTCACTGGTGAGTGGAAGCCAGCTGCCATTGTCCAAGGGAAAACATGTCAAATGCTGACTGAAGCATTCTGACCAGAGATCAACTCCATATTGGGTTTTCCCTACCTCTACCAGTATTTCCCAGCCTGTTCCCCATTTACACATGGTTAATACAATCAGCAATCAGCAGGCTTTCTCCACTGACTAACTGTACCCAGCCATAGTCTGTTTTTTTCTGCAAACCTAATTTACAGAAAGCCTTAGTTCCCCCTATGGGCTTGGAGGTCCCAGAGCAAACTCTCTCAGACCTCAAGTGGACCCGAGAATGTTTTACTTTTCCTATTCTGTTTTGTGAAAGCAAATATTAAAGAAGATGTACATTCCCTCAGCAGCTTGCAGTGGATATAAGTGGGTCAGGAGGGTGGTGGAGGGTATGGAAAAGACCAGTCTGGGAATGAAAATCCATCCTTTGCAATCCAAAAGGGGATGCTCTGCAATTAAAACTTAATTGTGTGTCAAGATACATACTCACATACATGAGAGTAGATGCACACAAATGCAGACAGCAACATGTACATGCAGACAGATAGTTTTTAGACATATTCATAGAACTACGCACATATATCTTCCTACAGGGACCCTCTCATGTACTTCCATATGGGTACATATATTCACATACACACAAACAAGCAAGTACTTGTACACATACACACCTAGGCATTCTATTTATACATGCCTCCACACTGATACACCAGCATATAGGCCATGCAAGTGCATTCTTATGTACACATACTTAGATATATATTAGCAAGGATTCACACATATCCATACAGAAGTGTGCACATGCAAACTAACATACCCCTCAAACATATACACACCAGGGCCTCCTACCAGGGTCTATAAACTGCTTTGAGGTCATAAGATAGAGGAAATTGCTGTCTCAGAGACAGGGTTTGGACTTAATCTAGTTGCTTCTTACTGTCTTTGGATGCCACCTCCACATATTACAGGCCTTTCCCAAGGTGCAACTCCAATCATGTCACTCTCCTGCTCAAAAAGCAGTGGCTTTTTATTGTCTGGCAGATCAAGTTCAATCTTCAACCTCATATTCAGATGCCTATCTTGGTTGAGTCATAAAACTCTCTGATCTTGTTCCTCACAACTCTGGAGTATGTAGTAACATTTCAAATCTACTTGCTTTTCCTCACTTTTACTTCTCATACTTCTTCAACTCTATCTCACTACATAAGTTTCTCTCTCCAGTCAGAATGTCCTTCCCTCCCTTTCTCCTGAAGAAATTCTCCCTGTCCTTTGAGGTTCTGCTCAAATGTCACCTCCTCAAGTAAGCTCTCCCTGACCTGCCCTCCCTCTTACTGCTCCTGAGTCAAAGCTCGTTCTGTGTGGACTTGATTTATTTACCTCCCGCCCTTTCCAGAAAGGACCTAAGGAGCACACTTTAGGGTCAGAACTGACCCATGATTTCTCTATCCATCATCCGCCCCAGCCTCTGGCATAGTGCCTAGTGCATCAGAGGCACTTGCTGAACATTGGGCCTAATTTACTGAAACCAGTATCTACTTACAGAAAGTCCCAGCTGATGCACTGCCCTCCCAATGATCTTCTCAGAAGTCCCAGTATTGGTCACAGTTATTAGAATAGTCTGGGTAAAGATAACACACTGGGCATGGTAGGATTAAGACATAAATTAGTGAAAGGGAGCAAATGGAGTGCCAGGTCAGCCAGCATTGCTGCCATGATCTCCTCGGGGCTGGATGGTAGCATGAATTGAGATGCCACAGACCAGACGCTAGCCTTCCTCATGTACAGAGGCCAATGGGAAGGACCAAGGAAGGACATAAGTCCAGGAGAATTTCTTAGGTGGAGAAATCACAAGCTGATAAATTACTTACAACAGCAAATGTTCTCCAGGGTAAGGTTTTCTTCTGATGAGACCGGGTTAAGGCAAGAAGCAGAAGTTACCATCTCAGAAAACATACCAATGTCACCTTTATGAAGGTGAGAATTGGGGCCCTATGGGGTCTCATGGGGCTGACAGTGTACATGTAGGACCATTCAGGGCACTTGGGAAGGATGTGGAGTTGTTAGCCAGGCATGCATTCCCTGAAGGCATCCCCAAGGCCTCTAATCCCCTGCCCACTAACCTGCTCTTTCAGGGGCACTCACAGGTAGAGAGTCAGTCAGTGGGACTCACTGAGGTAAGTTCATTGACCTCCATCAGCAGAATCCTGAGTCATGTTCTTTGGACAATGATTCTGCTTCTGCTCTTGGATATTACTGTCTGGAGAAGTAGACAAAGGATGGGTGGGGAGAGGTAGGTAGGAATGCAGAAAGCAGGGACTTAGCCAGCAATGCTGACCAAGGGCCTCATAGGGCTGGTCAAGGAGGAGGGCTTTGTGGGGGGCAAAAAATATTTGTTGCCTCCCTAATCCTACCCACCTCACACCTGAACATCAGTTCTTGGGTTATGCCTTGACCTCTGTGGACTCCTCTTGGAAAACACAAATCCTTGGGGCAAATATTTTGAAGGGGGATATATTGCTCATATTTCAGAGTGAAGGTTTCAAAATCTCTATCACCAAACAGAAGGGATGAATATTGGGTTTGAGAGCTAAAGGAAACTAAGATGTGGGATCAAGGCTGTTCTCTGGCTAAAATGTCTCTTTTCATCTGATCCCATAAATCACCACAAATTTCTCACAAATACTGAAAAATTGTTGTTTCCAATGTTTAACTCAGTGAAGACCAGGCCTAAAGATTAACAGTGTTTTAGTCTATTGTGTTTATATAAAGGAGGGAGGTGGCTAGTTTCTCTCTCCAGACACTGTTAGAAAAGAAATGGACTTTGGCTACAGTATGAGGATTTGAGTCAGACTTCAGAATAAACCTATTGAGAGCGAGGGCTGCTAAACTCTTTAGGGGGTTGTGGAATTATCTTTTCTATTAATAAAAACCCTAAAGAGCCAGCATTTATTTATTTTCTCTTACATAGTATATCAAGGGCTAACTGGAGCAGAGTGAGGGATTGCAAAGACCTTTCTGGCTTTGTAGTGAAGGGTCCTGTGAGAGTGCCTAGATCAGAAAAGTAATGCACCACTCGGAGTATGGCACCTGAAGAAAACTGGCCTGGCCGATCCCACTTTGAGGTGAACTTGAGGTAGAGACTGAGAAGGGGAGAGGGAAAGGAGGAAACAACTTACCAGCACAGAGCAGGAAACCAGCAATTCTTGTTTTTTCAGGAAATAATGACAATATACACACACAAAACTAGAATGGTTATCTAAGAAAGAGCACGGAGAGGAGTGATGAGTAACTTTCCTCTTTTGAGATAATTTCTTCTTAAGGAGCAAGAAAACAAAAGAGAAACCTTGGGCATGAGTCTGTATGTAGAACTAATTATGTGAATGTGCTTGTCCATGGAAATGTGTATGTGTGTGTAATAAATAGAAAAAACTCAGGTGTGAGTGTGTAGATGACCATAGGTATGTGTAGGTGTAGGGAATGTGATCACAGGTGTATGTAAGTACATGAGCACGGGTATGTCTAGGAGTGTGGCCGCGCCTATAAATACAGGTGTATATGTGTAAGTGTGTGTGTGGAAATGTACACATGCATGAAATGTGAGTGTGTGTAAAATGTGAGTTAGTATGTGTTGGATATGGTGTGTATATAAGCAGAAGAATATGTATATGTGATTGCATGTACATGTGGGTGAATGTGCGTGGGCATTGATGGAGAGGCATGTGTGTGGGTCAGCGTAGCAGCATGGTATATGTAGGAATATGAGTTATTGTGGGAATAATGTATGAGAAAAATATAAATGGGCATGTATGGGTATGTAGAAACAGAGATGTGTGCATCTACAAGTGTGTATGTGTAAGCATAAGTATGGATATATGTACAATGCAAGTGTGCGTGAGAAGGCACTGAGGTGGTTGGGCTCACATGGGTTTGTTAAGCAGCAGCGTATAGAGTAGGTCTGTGTATTCACATGTGAGACTGCATTTCTGGGTCTCAGTGTATGGCTGTTTCAGTTTTTAATTTCCTAAAAGTATTTATTAAACATCCACTAAGTAAACAGCCTTGGTGGCCACTCAATAAATTAGGTGTGGGTACATGAAGAAAGTCTGTGTAGCCTTTCAAAACCAGCTATCAGTGCAATTTTTTTCATTTTTTTTTTCCTTTTATCTCTGTGTCTTTTCTGGTGCCTGTAATTCCTAAAATCCAGACATGGCAGGACAGAATGTTCAATAAGTGTTCATACCTTGCAGACATTGAGGGATGACGGTTTATATTTCACAATTTGGTAAAAAATAATTTCACAAGAATTTTAAAAGAAGAGATAAGGTAAGAAGGAATGGATAATACAGAAGAAAAGGTAACTCTCATGACTGCCTTACCAGAAGACGACCACAATGTTGGTTGTATGCCAACTGATCATGAAACAGGTGTCTGCACAGATCTCCTTCACTGTCTCTTCTCCTAGGCAGGAGGCAAACCACACCTCACTCAGACGCACCGCTTCTTAAGTTTCAGGTTGGTGGACCTAGGATTTATGCCCATGGCAGGTCAGTCTGAGTCGGCAGAAAGGAGTCTGCTCCCTACTTCCCATGGACCCTGGGATGGGCCTTGGGGTCTTGGGCTAAAAGGTGGCTTTCTGCTTGTTAACTTCCCTCTCCCATCCTGATGAGTGCCTGGAATTGTGCCTCTTCTTCTGTCTTAGGTGTTAGGTTTCCCTCTGTAACTTCCCTGGCTAAAATGGAGTGGTATCTGTATTCTAGACACAAAAGAGATGGAAAATTTGACCTACTGGACTATCGAAGGGCTCCCATAAGCAGCTTTGCCTTACTGCAAAGGCCTCCTATAGAAGGAACCATTCCATCCTCCCCCATCCCTGCCCAATTCCACCATCCTGGGGACCAGAAGTATCCTACTTAGGCTTGGCAATAATGGTACGATTCTCAACAATGACAAGAGTATCATTATTCTCAACAATGATACTCTTATCATTGTTGAGAATAAGGCGTCTTCACTGGATCTGTGTACCATTGTTCAGTTCAGTCTCATCATCCGTGACGAAGGTGGACTGGGCCCATGGAGAGTTCCCATCAGAGCCGCATTGTCTGGCTAACTGGCCTCCCAGAGTTGGTCCCTGGGAGAGGTGAGATGGGAAATGAAAAATCCATATGTCATGAACTGGTGAGATAAACACTGCAGACAACCTCACCTAGAGACCACGTTGTTGATTGTTTCAGATGCATTTCCATCCTCTTTCTAAACCTCAATTCTGATCATGCCTCTCTCCAGTTCAAAATCCCTCAATAGCTCCTCTTTGTTTACAGGATAAAGCCCAAGCTCCTTTGCTGGGCCCTATTCTGCTTTTCCTGATTTATCTCCTGCCCTTTGCCCCCTTGTATCTTGTATTCCAGCTCCTCACTTTTCTTTGAACATGATGTGCTTGGTTCATGCCTCTTGGCCATTGCTCATAGTAGTTCATCAGCCTGGTATGCCTATCTGCTCCCACCTAGTAAATGCCTAATCATTTGCCACCCAGTTCAATTGTCATGTTAAAGCCCTCCCTGGTACTCCTACATACAAATAGTTTATTCTTCCTCTCCCAACACGGGGTCTTTTTCTTGCTGGGCTTTCTCTTCTTTAGACTCTTGGGGCCCTGATTTTTAAAAATTCATTAAACCTCATAAGCTAGATACTATTATCACCCCCATAACTTGCCCCAAGTCTCACATTGTGTTTAGTGATGGAACCAGGATGCAAACCCCGGCAATCTGTCTCTAGCACTTGTAACTTTCTTTTTTCTTTAGAGAAAGGGTCTTGTTTTGTCACTCGGGCTGGAGTGCAGTGATGTGATCATAGCTCACTGCAACCTGAAACTCCTGGGGTTGAATGATCCTCCTGCCTCAGCATCCTGAGCAGTGGGGATTACAGGTGTGAGCAACTGCACTCAGCTTGCATCCCTGATTTTAAGGTTCCCAAAGCATGGAAAGGGTTGGAACCACTGGTGCCCAGCCCAGGGCTCAGTAAGTTGAGATTATCAGAAAAAGAACCCATGTAGGCATGGATCTGAAATTAGGTAGGTAAGGGTACTGTAATAGATGGAGAATAAAAAGGAGAAAGAGCTAGAGCTCTACTCATGGGCATTGAAAGAGTCCTGAAATATGGAGTGGGGAGAGGCATGGTTTCCACATTCCTATTCATGAACAATGGCTGGCAGCTGGTGCTGATGGAAAGGGGTCCTAAAAACAATTATCTTTCTTCCCAAGTTGGCCTTTCCTTCTACCTAGGTTAGATGGTCCTAGTATGAGTCAAAACAAAGCAAAAATCTCCAGTATCTTCCTCATGTGGGAAGCTGCCAGGGTGCTTAGGGGCAAGCAAAGAAGGAGGATTCTTTCTGCCCTAACTTCTCTGAGGATTTTGGTAAATTTCACTGCATATTATCTGTGAAAATGCTTAATCCCCTGCTTCTTCAAACCCTCCCAAGCTGCCTTTCCTATGATGTTTTTCTACTCACCTGGGCTTTCATTTCTTGGGCTCCTTTGGACAGACCTGTAAGCAGGGAAGTCAGGGTGCAGGAGGTAGGGACAAGCATGGTACTCACCTGGAGATACAGTATGACTGGTTGAGGACCAAAATAGTGGACTGCTGTTTGCCACTCTCACTCCCACTGGAACTCAGACACCCACTGGAACTCAGACTCCCAAATGTGCTCAGGCTCAAGCTCCTGAAGGTGTTCAAGCCTTCATTGACACTCAGCTATGATTGACACTGATGTCTTCATTGAAGATCATAGTATTGGCTGCACTTGCAGTTTTGCTGCCAGTCTCAATTCTGCAGGTGCCCACCCCTTCACTGACGCTCATGTCTGCATTGGTGCTTGCTTCTATGCTGGCATTGTTGATGTTGCTGCTGCTTGTGTTCTCAATGGCTACTATGATTTCACTAGCAATGGAGTTTCCACTAGTATTTATGATCTTAGAGCTGCTTGGGCCACTGACACTCCTGGTATCACTGCAGTTGCTGGTGCTACTGTCACTCTTAGTATGATAACTTCTTATGGCACTACTGCCACTTTGAAAGTGTTTTATGGTCAGCTTAATTTTCTGTGGGAGAATGAGGCCTTTAGGCAGGAACCTGGTAGCTCTCCTGCCACCCCTTTGATGCCTTCCATGTCCTAGCACCCTCCTCTGAGAAGAACATACTTTCCTTTCCACTTTGTTGGAATAACAGTAATAGCTAAGTATTAACGAGCACAAGCTATGTACCAAGTAATTTTCTAATTTATTTCAATCCGTTCGTCAGAGCCTCATTAGAATTGTACAATTGTAATTGTACAATATACAATTATTAGCCTGTTAGGTATGAAATCTAACATACAAAGAAAAGTAACTTTCCCAAGGCCACACAGCTAATAGATAGCAAAAACAGACTTTCAGACCATCTTTTTCAAGGCTTGGGCTTTTAACTACTATAGGCCAAAGGGAGAGAAGAATAAGGAAACACATTGCCTATTTATGGTGTAAAATTATAAAGAATAGCAAAGAAATGATTACTGTAAAAACTAGGATAGTAGTTACCTCTAGTGGGGAAAGATGGAGAGGGAAATAGGGAGGAGCACATGAGGTAATGTTGAGGTGTTGGTATTGTTTTATTTCTTGACCTGGTCGTGGTTATGCAAGTGTTTTGCTTCATAGTTATTTATCAAATGCTACTTGTATGGTTCATGTTCTTTTTCTGTATGTATTCTTTAAATCATATTTTCAAGTTAAGGAAAACCTCAGAATAGTACTGCTCATGTCTGTTTTCTTGCTTTGCTTTTTGTTTCCTGTACTGAAGGTCAATCCAGGGCCTGTTTAGGGCTGTGGTTAACTTCTGAGGTACACCTTAGGCAAGATGATGCCTAAGATGAGAGACACCCAGTCCAAGTCATAAAGCCAGTGAAAGACAAGTTTAGTGGTAGCTTGCCTTACAGTGATCTATGTCTTCAGCCAAGCAGCAGCAGTAGTCATGGTGAGAGAGGGTGCTACAGGGGTGGGGCTTTCCAGAAAAGAATGTTGTTGTGGGTATTTCTGAAGGCTAAAGTCATGCTTTCTGAGCCCATAGAATGGTTCTTAAGGGCCTGAAAACTCTGAGTGTTCAGGGAGGGGGCGGGAAGCAAGTATATTCACTTGATTTTTCTTCACTTGCTTTTCCCCTTTCTTTCCTCCCCAAAAGTATTTGCCCTTTATCCAGTTTATACCCTCTTCATCACACATCTCCTCCTCACACATACTGGCTTAGGAATACAGAACTGCAGACTTAGAAGGAGTCTTAAATTTCAGCTATTCCTCCTATTTTTGAAGAAAAAATTATTTCTTTTAGCAAAATTATATGCACAATATATTAAACAGATAATATATCGATAATATATTGATCATCCCACTCTGGCCTTCATATTCTCAGAAACACATCTTAGGAATAGCAAAACATGTTTAAAAAAAATCACTGTTCTAAGCCACCCTTCACCTCCTAATGGTACATAGGGAAATTTATGCCTAGAGAGTAGAAGGGGGCCTGGCTGAGACCACACAGGATATTAGTGTCAGAACTGAAACTGGAGCCAAAAGTAACTTGAGAACCCCCTTACCAGAAGAGGAACACAGCAGAATTGTCAAAAATATATTTTAAAAACTTATGTACCCTGTGAAAAATGACAAATGATTCCATTGCATACAGCAAAAGTGTAAGAACTACAAAAATTTCAAAATAGTGAAAATGATTAGTATTAAACTTAACCAAAGAGGCTAAAGAGTTATACACTGGCTGGGTGCGGTGGCTCATGCCTGTAATCCCAGCACTTTGGGAGGTCAAGGCAGGTGGATAACTTGAGGTCAGGAGTTTGAGACCAGACTGGCCAACATGGAGAAACCCTGTCTCTTCTAAAAATACAACAACAACAAAATTAACTGGGCATGGTGGTGTGTACCTGTAATTCCAGCGACTCGGGAGGCTGAGCTAGGAGAATTGCTTGAACCCAGGAGGTGGAGGTTGCTGTTGCGGTGAGCCAAGATCTTGCTACTGCACTCCAGCCTGGGTGACAGAGTAAGACTCTGTTTCAAAAAAAAAAAAAAAAAAAAAGAAGACTTATATGCTAAAAACTACAAAACATAGCCTAAAGAAATTAAAGACACACATAAATGGAAAGACATTTTAAGCTCATGGATTGGAAGACTTTAATATTATCGAGACGTCAATACTATAAAATGATCTATAGTATCGATGCAATCATGGTCAATATCTCAATGATGTTTTTTGCAGAAATAGGAAAGTCTATGTGAAAATTTATATGAAATCTCAAGGAATTGCAAATAACCAAAACAATCTTTAAAAAGAACAGCAAAATTGGAGGACTCACACTTCCTGGTTTCAAAACTTACTGCAAAGATACAATAATCAAACAATGTGGTTCTGGTATACGGATAGGCATATATATCAGTGGACTACAACTAAGAATCCAGAAATAAACCCATATATCTTCAATACTGATTTTTGATAAGACTGTCAAAACATGTTAATGGGCAAGCATAGTCTTTTAAACAAATGGTGCCGAGGCAACAACATAGCCACATACAAAAGAATAAATTTGGGGCCCTACCTCAAACCACATACAAAAATTAACTCAAAATAGATCAAAGAACTAAATGTAAAAGCTAAAACTATGAAACTCTTAAAAGAAAATACACGGGTAAATCTTAATGAATTGGGTTTGGCAATAGATTCTTAGATATGACGCAAAAAGCACAAGATTAAAAAGGAAAAAAAGATAAGTTGAATTCAATTAAAATTAAAAACCTTTGTGCCTCAAAGGATACTATCAAGAAAGTGAAAAGACAACCTAAGAGTGGGAGATAATATTTGCAAATAATAAATCTGATAAGGGTCACGTATTTAGAATATATAAAGAACTCTTATAATTCAACACACAACCCAATTAAAAATGGGCAAGTAACTTGAATAGAAATTTCTCCAATGATGACATACAAGTGGTCAATGAACACATGAAAAGATGCTAAACATCACTAATCATTAGGAAATACAAATCAAAACCACAATGACATAACACTTCACACTTACTCTTATTAGGATGGCTATTATAAGAAAATCAGAAAACAACAAGTGTTGTCAGTTATGAGGAGAAATTGGAACTCATGCATTGCTTGTGAGGATTTAAAATTCTACAGCTGCCATGGAAAACAGTATGGTGGTTCCTCAAAAAGCTAAACAGAATTAGTGTATGATCCAGCAATTCCACTTCTAGGTGTAATTCCTAAAGGAATTGAAAGCAGCGACTCAAACTGATATTTGTATACCCATGTTCATAGCAGCATTAATCACAAGAACCAAAAAGTGGAAGCACCCAAATGTCCATCAATAGATAAACAAAATGGGGTATATACTTTCAATTGAATATAATTTAATCTTAAAAACAAAGGAAATTCCAACACATGCTACAACATGGATGAGCCTTCAAGACATTATGCTCAGTGAAATAAGCCAGTCAGGAAAGGACAAATATTATACAATTCCACTTATACGAGATACCTATGGTAGTCAAATTCATAGAGACAGAAAGTAGAATAGTGGTTGCCAGAGGCTGGGGTCAGGAGACAATGGAGAGTTATTGTTTAATGAGTGTGGGTTTTCAGTTTTGGATGATGATAAGTTCTGGAGGTGGATGGTGGTGATGTTTGTACAACAATGTGAATGTACTTAATGCCACTGAACTGTACAATTAAAAATGGTTAAAAGGGCAAATTTTATGTTATTCATATTTTACCAAAGTAACAAAATAAATGACAAACATATTAGAGATAGACAGAAGACACTGGAATCCAGGGTTTGAAGAAAGAACCCTGTTCTGGAATGCAGCAAGGAATCAGAAAATGGAGAAAAGTAGTAAAAGTGGCCTGTCTTAATACTTTAGTTTTGTGAAGCATTGGAACCTACAGTTCTTTCTTGCTCACTGCAGTGATTTTCATGCTGTGCTGCTCAGAAGCTGAGGCTTCTGGTGGCAGGGCAGGGGGGTTGTCTCACAACTGACCTAGCAGCAAAAATGTAAATGGCTGGAGGAATCCATGTAACTCTTTTGGTTGTTTCATCTATTGGTTAAGGGTTTGTTAAAAGATAAAAATTAATCAGCTGCTAAAAATTTTGAAAACCAATGCTCATCACAACAAAATTCATATCATATGTCATTTCAAAACTCAATTTATTAGAGACATAAATGCCCTTGGACACATTCTAATTTTTACAACTCGATTTTAATTAAATGAGATAATGCATGTAAAATACCTCGCACAAGGCTTTGCACATGGGAGATGTTCAGAAAATAAAATAATGATGAATTACTTTATTTTCTTCATTGTGTGCTCTTCCTCAGATCACAAGCTAGCTGAAAGGAGAGAATGGGGCCATTTTTTAATGGGCTATTGCAAAATACATGAAACATAAATGTTCACTTTAAAGTTGAAAATATTTTATCCCAAGTTGCGGTCAATTAATAGGCTCAGAAAAAATATTATGGTTGCTGCATTTATTTATTATTTCAATCAGGAAATATTCATGGAGCACTCGCTATGCATTACGCACTGTGCTATGTCCTGAGCATACAAGTCAGACAGTCCCTGCTGTCAAGTAGATCTTCTCATTTGAAGGAAGCAGACAAGTAAGAAAAAAAATCAGTATAAATGAAAACCTAATATACAATAAAGGTTCCACCAAAAATTAATCGGGACAGAATGGATTATTTAGTAGATAATGTTGGAAAAACTGGCTCACTATATTAAGAAAAATAAAACTGAATCCCTGGCTAACACTACATACAAGGATGGATTCAAAATTGATTAAACATCTAAATATTAAAGATGAAACATGTAAAGTTAGTAAAAATTTGTAAAGTTAATTAAAAAAAATTAGGAAAATGTATTTGTGACCTAGGGACAAAAAAGGATTTCCTTGTTTTTTTTTTTATTTCCAACTTTTATTTTAAGTTCAGGGGTACATGTGCAGGATGTACAGGTTTGTTACATAGGTATATGTGTGCTACAGTAGTTTGCTGTACAGATCAGCCCACACCTAGGTATTAAACCCAGCATCCGTTAGCTATTCTTCCTGATGATCTCCCTCCTCCAACCCCCCACCCTCTGAAATGCCCCAGTGTATGTCATTCCCCACTTGTGTCCATGTGTTCTCATCATTCAGCTCCCACTTATAAGTGAGGACACGCAGTACTTGGTTTTCTGTTTCTGGCGTTAGTTTGCTAAGGATAATGGCTTCCAGCTCTATCCATGTCCCTGCAAAGGGCATGATCTCATTCCTTTTTATGGCTGCATAATATTCCACAGTGTGTTTGTACCACATCTTCTTTATCCAGGCTATCATTGATGAGCATTTATGTTAATTCCGTGTCTTTGCTGTTGTGAATAGTGCTGCAATGAACATACACATGCATGTATCTATTATAATTATTATTATAATTATTCTATTATAATAGAATAATTTATATTCCTTTTGGTATATACCCAGTAATGGGATTGATGGCTCAAGTGGTATTTCTAGTTCTAGGTCTTTGAGGAATCGCCACACTGTCTTCCACAATGGTTGAACTAATTTACATTCCCACCAACAGAGTATTTCTCCGCAGGCTTGCCAGCATCTAATTTTTTTTTGTCTTTTTAATAATCACCAGTCTGACTGGCATGAGATGGTATCTCATTGTGGTTTTGATTTGCATTTCTCTAATGATCAGTTATGTTGAGCTTTTTTTCATATGTTTGTTGGATGCATACATGTCTTCTTTTAAGAAGTATCTGTTCATGTTCTTTACTCACTTTTTAATGGGGTTACTTGTTATTTTCTTGTAAATTTGTATAAGTTCCTTGCAGACTCTGGATATTAGACCTCAGTCATATGGATAGATTGCAAAAATTTTCTCCCATTCTGTAAGTGGTCTGTTCACTGTGGTGATAGTTTCTTTGCTGTGCAGAAGCTCTTTAGTTTAATTAGATACCATTTGTGAATTTTTGCTTTTGGCGTTTTCTTTTTTTAAAAAATTTTATTATTATTATACTTTAAGTTTTAGGGTACATGTGCGCAATGTGCAGGTTTGTTACATATGTATACATGTGCCATTTTGGTGTTTCCCCATGCCTATGTCCTGAATGGTATGGCCTAGATTTTCTTCTAAGGTTTTTATAGTTTTGGGTTTTACATTTAAGTCTTTAATCCATCTTGAGTTAATTTTTTTATAAGGTGTAAGGAAGGGATCCAGTTTCAATTTTCTGCATATGGCTAGCCAGTTCTCCCAGTACATTTTATTAAATACGGAATCCTTTTCCTATTGCCTGTTATTGGTCTGTTCAGAGTTCCTATTTCTTCCTGCTTTAATCTAGGAGGGTTGTTTGTTGGCATCCAGCCAGGAGGTAGTGCTTTCAAGAGTGTATCAGCTGCAGAAGTATAGAGAGAAACTTGCCTTGGGGTCGCCTGGTTTAGTATTCAGGTTTCTCAGGTGGTGGGCAGGACCACAGAGCTCCCAAGAGATTATGTCCTTTGTCTTCGTCAACCAAGGCCGGTAGAGAAACACCACCAGGTGGAGCCAGGGATAGGACTACTCGAGCTCACACTGTCCTTGGGCAGGGCTCACTGCGATTGTGTGGTTCCCAGGACAATGGAGTTATAGTCCCAGGGGAATTATGCCTGCCTCTGCTGAGTCATACTGGTAACCAGGGAAGTAGGGGAAATCAGACAGTCACAGGCCTCACCTTGCTCCCAAGGAGCCTGCAGTTCTAAAGGCCAGTCTCACTCCCACTGTGCACACCCACCCCCAACAGCACCGAGTGACCACCAGCATCCTTGCTGAGAAAGCAAGTAGACTCAGTTTTTTGGTATCTCAGGGAGCCTACAGTGGCTCCAGTTCCTTCAGAGGGTCTGTGAATTCTCTCAGTTTTCCTGGTATGTTCCTGCGGTAGTTCTTGGAGCAAAAGTTCATGATGTGAGTCTTCACATGCTGCTCTGTCTGTCTGAGTGGGAGCTGCAAGCTAGTCCTGCCTCCTATCTGCCATCTGAGACCTGTGGGCTTTTCTCTTTTCCATGTTCCCCTACCTAAATCCCTGGCACAATACCTTTCTAATATTCTTCTGCAGTTTTCTGTTCTCTTAGGAACGCTTCTCTTCTTCCTCATGATTCTATGCCTTTTCTGCAGTCCTGTTTCTTTGAGACCCTTCCCTGTATCACTGGTGCTTCATCCATTTTCTGTAATCTTACCTCTTTCCTAGGTTTCTGGGGTTTCTTGGTCTCTTGGAGTTCCCTATCCCCTATGTCCCTGTGGCATCATCTGTTTTTCTAGTATCCTCTCTAGATCTCTGAGGCTTCACCCATTTTTTTCTGGGGTCTAATTTTTTTTCCTGTAGTTTCCCTGTTCAAATCCCCAGAGCTCCACTTTGTTTTCAGATTCTATGTCCCTGCTGGTGTCTCTTTCCACTTTCTTGGCCTCTTTCTCTTCCTGAATTTCTTCAGTCACCTTGGTTTCTCCTCTCTGGTGTTGTTTTTTGGTTTTTTTTTTTGTTTGTTTGTTTTTTCTGGACCTTGTCTGCCAACCCCCACTTTCCTACTAAGCCTGATGCTGAGGTAGCTAATTCAGCATGATTTGTGCTTAGGTGGTGCAGAATCCAACCCCGCAGGAAATGTGCCAGAATTCTATCATTTAAAGGTTGGAGAGTCAAGAGGAAAGAAGTAAAAGTGAGTGCACACTGTCTGCCAAAATCTGTGTTGTGCTTTTTCACATGCATTACCGACTGCAATCCTCACAGTAGCTCTGTGCATGGATTTTGGTATCCCCATTTGACATATGAATAAACTGTGGCTTAGTGGAGAAAAGCTTCTTGGAGCTGGATGGAGCAGAGGGAAATCCTTGCCCTCTCCGAGTGTTAGGTAGGGTAGGGAGTCATCACCTGCATTCTAGAGAGGGGGCTCAGGCGTCTCTGCCCAGGCTGCACCTCTCAGACTAGGGAGAATTCCAGCTCTACAGAGGCCCATGGCAGCCTACTCTCTCAGGATCTGACTCTGCAGGGCGCTCTCCCGGCGTGGCAGGAAAGAAAAAAGTGGTTTTCGCACCTTGGTGGTGGCTTCAACACCTCCAAGTTTGGGGTGTGAAAGTGGGATGTTGGCAGGGCTTCCAAGCTATGAGGGGTGGAGTTGGTCCTGAGGTGCTCCCTCCCTCAGCCCTATCTCCCACCACACCCTTGCATGCATCTTGGTGGCCATAGAGCGCAATGGCCACCTGTTCCTTTCCTACGGCCCCAACTACTTACCTTGCTCGGATCCTTGTTTCAGGTGTCCACGTGCCTTGGCTAACCAGATCTGGGACATGGCTGGCTAGTGCAGGGCTTGTCCTGTGCCGCCTTCACCCGAAGGATGGGGGAGGTGTGCACCACAGGGTTGCAATTCCAGCAGGTGAGAAATCTGCAGTGCCTGCAGCTGGAGCTTTGGTGGGGATGCCACAGCTGCAAAGCTCTCTTTGGCAACCTACTGCCCAGAGTCCCGGTGGCCCCGACTGGTGGGAGTGCCTGGAAGGCCAGGAAGTGAGTGTGGCCTAGGTATCAGGAGAGAGGGAGAGAGAGAAGAGGGCCTACAGCGTTGGAGCACGGCTGCACAGCCTGCTCCTGGACTGTACAACTTACTCCTGGACTGCACAACTTGCTCCTGGACTGCAACCTGGACTGTCACGAAACAGCTCAGTGACCAGAGATGATGTGGTCGGCCTGCTGGCTCTGTTAAAGGGTTTCAAACTTCCCAGTAGCCTGCCTTCTGGCCATCCAGCTAGGCTTCTCCTTGCCTGCTAAATAAGGGCATGAGTCACCTGGGACCCTGCTGCACCAGACTGGAATGTGTTGGTCCCAGTTGGGCTGGGGAGAGCCTCTGGCCCTGAGACCGCTCTGGGGAAGGGCTGTGGGAGAGCTGTAAAGGGGAGGGGAGAGAGTCTGGTGTAAATCCAACAGCACAGTGACAGGGACAGGGGCTGCAGAGAAGGCTCTAGAGAATAAAGCTGTATTGAATTGGGCTGAGAGGAGGCTGAGAGAGGGGAAGAGGTGAGACTGGGGCCATTGTAGAGAGAGGGGCAGGGGCTAGGGGAACCCAGGGGAGACAGACTGGGGTTGGAGGTCCAGAGGAGAGAAAAAGAGAGTCCATGGCAAGACTCTTGGTGAGTCAAGGCTCTAGGTGAGTGATATTAAAGAGAGCCATGATTGAAGGGAGGGGTCACTGAGAGATCAAGACATGGGCTGGCAAGTTTGGGGACAATTTCTGGCCAAACGTGTAGTGACGAATTACATTCCAAGATCACAGGGAAGGACATGAAGCACTGAGGTTTAGAGATCAGTACCTTCTCAATTACTCAGTAAACGTCACTGGATCCCTTCAATCCACACAGCCCTACTATAGTGCTATAGGGAATCCACAAGTGGCGAAAGCACAGAAAATCCCCATTCCGAAGGAAAGAGTGGAAATATCTCACTTAGGAGTGAGTTCAAGCAGCACTCAGAGTATGAGTCAGCAAGGCTATGAGCTAAGAGGCTTAAGCCAAGGGTGAGCACTTTGCGATGAGAGTGTTACTGACAGTGAATCCATATCCATATGAGTCTGCAGCAACCTCAATTCTTGCCTCATCAGATGAAAGAATTCGACTGAGGGCATAACACAGAAGGAGAAACTAAGGCAAGTTCTACAGCAGGAGCGAAAGTTTATTAAAATGATTTAGAACAGGAAGTAAAGTACCCTTGGGAGAGGGCCAAGTGGGCGACTTGAGAGATCAAGTGCACAGTTTGACCTTTTGGCTTGGAGTTGGCATACTTTGGGGGTCTTGCAGCCCTTCTCCCCAGATTCTTCCCTTGGGGTGGGCTATCTGTATGTGCAGTGGCCTACTAGCACTTGGGAGGAGAGCATGCACAGTGTGTTTCCTGGAGTTAACTGCTCCAGTAAACATGCATGCTCACTTGAAGTGTTCTTCCCTTACTAGCTGAATATTCACAGAAGGTCATATACCAGTTAAACGCCACCTTTTTTCCTCTTAATGCACATGCTTGAGCCCACTTGCCCACCTCCTGAGATCTTATCGGGAAGCTGCTGATCACGTTTCAGGAGTTTTTCTATTGGGAGACTGTCTTTCCCTGGAGCTGGCTGCCACCGATTATTATTTTAGAGACACAGTGTAACAATTGCCTGACCATCACCTTATAGTTGTCTGACATTCCTGGTGGAGGTGGTGTCCTCTCCTGCACTGCTCATGTCTGACTAGCTGCCAACTGTAACAAGGAATTAAAAGCAAATATCTGGGTGCTCCGAATGTTTGTCTGTAGAACGGTGATGAGGTCAGGAGAGTAATGTGTAAGGGCCAGATAAGCTTTTGAAAAAAGTGCTGGGTCAAATGGCATTTCTAGTTCTAGATCCCTGAGGAATCGCCAAACTGACTTCTACAATGGTTGAACTAGTTTACAGTCCCACCAACAGTGTAAAAGTGTTTCTATTTCTCCACATCCTCTCCAGCACCTGTTGTTTCCTGACTTTTTAATGATTGCCATTCTAACTGGTGTGAGATGGTATCTCATTGTGGTTTTGATTTGCATTTCTCTGATGGCCAGTGATGGTGAGCATTTTTTCATGTGTTTTTTGGCTGCATAAATGTCTTCTTTTGAGAAGTGTCTGTTCATATCCTTTGCCCACTTTTTGATGGGGTTGTTTTTTTCTTGTGAATTTGTTTGAGTTCATTGTAGATTCTGGATATTAGCCCTTTGTCAGATGAGTAGGTTGTGAAAATTTTCTCCCATTTTGTAGGTTGCCTATTCACTCTGATGGTAGTTTCTTTTGCTGTGCAGAAGCTCTTTAATTTAATTAGGTCCCATTTGTCAACTTTGGCTTTTGTTGCCATTGCTTTTGGTGTTTTAGACATGAAGTCCTTGCCCATGCCTATGTCCTGAATAGTAATGCCTAGGTTTTCTTTTAGGGTTTTTATGGTTTTAGGTCTAACATTTAAGTCTTTAATCCATCTTGAATTGATTTTTGTATAAGGTGTAAGGAAGGGATCCAGTTTCAGCTTTCTACATATGGCTAGCCAGTTTTCCCAGTACCATTTATTCAATAGGGAATCCTTTCCCCATTGCTTGTTTTTGTCAGGTTTGTCAAAGATCAGATAGTTGTAGATATGTGGTGTTATTTCTGAGGGCTCTGTTCTGTTCCATTGATCTATATCTCTGTTTTGGTACCAGTACCATGCTGTTTTGGTTACTGTAGCCTTGTAGTATAGTTTGAAGTCAGGTAGCGTGATGCCTCCAGCTTTGTTCTTTTGGCTTAGGATTGACTTGGCGATGCGGGCTCTTTTTTGGTTCCATATGAACTTTAAAGTAGTTTTTTCCAATTCTGTGAAGAAAGTCATTGGTAGCTTGATGGGGATGGCATTGAATCTGTAAATTACTTTGGGTAGTATGGCCATTTTCATGATATTGATTCTTCCTACCCATGAGCATGAAATGTTCTTCCATTTGTTTGTATCCTCTTTTATTTCCTTGAGCAGTGGTTTGTAGTTCTCCTTGAAGAGGTCCTTCACATCCCTTGTAAGTTGGATTCCTAGGTATTTTATTCTCTTTGAAGCAATTGTGAATGGGAGTTCACTCATGATTTGGCTCTCTGTTTGTCTGTTATTGGTGTATAAGAATGCTTGTGATTTTTGTACATTGATTTTGTATCCTGAGACTTTGCTGAAGCTGCTTATCAGCTTAAGGAGATTTTGACCCAGCCATCCCATTACTGGGTATATACCCAAAGGACTATAAATCATGCTTCTATAAAGACACATGCACACATATGTTTATTGCGGCATTATTCACAATAGCAAAGACTTGGAACCAACCCAAATGTCCAACAATGATAGACTGGATTAAGAAAATGTGGCACATATACACCATGGAATACTATGCAGCCATAGAAAATGATGAGTTCATGTCCTTTGTAGGGACATGGATGAAATTGGAAATCATCATTCTCAGTAAACTATCGCAAGAACAAAAAACCAAACACCGCATATTCTCACTCATAGGTGGGAATTGAACAATGAGAACACATGGACACAGGAAGGGGAACATCACACTCTGGGGACTGTTGTGGGGTGGGGGGAGGGGGGAGGGATAGCATTGGGAGATATACCTAATGCTAGATGACGAGTTAGTGGGTGTAGCGCACCAACATGGCACATGTATACATATGTAACTAACCTGCACATTGTGCACATGTACCCTAAAACTTAAAGTATAATAATAATAAAAAAATAAAAAGAAAAAAGTGCAGGCAGGTCCTGGGTTAGGATGGGGAGCAGTTCTGGAGCAGCTGCTGGAAAGATAAGTGGGGCTAGCTGACTGTGTTTTGGCAGAAACAGGACTGGGGCCAATGCAGTCACTGGTAAAATGGGGCCAGGAGCTTGCTGCTGGCAGACCCCTTGGACACATTTCTTGGGCTCTCATCCTGTTGCCAAGAAACAAGTCGCCACCTGGACAGTGCCCTGAGCTTGAATTCTGTCTGAGGTTGCTCTGTAGTTCCACCCCTACCCCCACTTTCTCCAAAAGGTTCTGTCGGAAACCTGTATCCTGCCTTACTGACAAGATTCTTGTATTTTGACCATTCAGGCTGTTTTACGGTATGACACCTCATACCATCACACACAGACTTGACTCTGCCTACAATACCTTTCTTCCCCTTTGTCACCAAGCCAACTATTTAACCTTTAATATCCTGTTCAAATGTCATCTCCTCTGTGAAGCCTTTCTATAAAACCCTTTTCCCTCAAAACCACAACAAAATATTGCATTTATTCCCTTTTCTACATTTCTACAGAATTTTAGTTTATGCTTCCAACCTAAAGCTTAATGAGGTTTATTTTTTCATTGTTATTTCACATGTGTTCCATAAGTAGATGGAGAGTTTCTTGAAGGTAAGACCATTGTTACCTCTGTGTCTCCATTGACTAGTCTGTTACACAGATAATCATAAGGGGCCAGTAAGTAGGTAACTGTTTGGTACAGAATATATCAGAGTAGTGAGAGATAGGATTCTGGAAAAACAGTTATTACAATAATCCAGATCAGTGGTAATGAGGCTTTAACTTGAGCAGCGCAGATGAAAAGACCCACACTGATGTCAGTCCTGCTGCAGTGGGAGAACTGACAGGGCCCTGTGATTGATTTGATGTGGGCAGCCAAAGGGAGGGAGAAGTGTGAGGTGATTCTTAAGGCTTGGAGTCAGGGTTGGGAGGATGGAGAGATTGTCTATAGAAACTAGGAAATCAAGGAGGTTGAATGAAGGGCATGCTTTAAGCATGTTTAACTTGAGATTTAGGTAAAAATTTGTGTCTGAAGGAGAGGATGGAGCTGGACACAGAAAGGAGCCTCCTCACTTAAATTATGTAGACTCAGAATCTTGAGGACGATCCTGTTAAACTCCCCCTTTTCTCAGACACACCCATTATATAAGTGAAAGCAGATGACATTTTGAGGGTCTGTGTCACAGGATTTATGGACAGCACATGGAGGGGAGTGAGGCGAATTTTGAGCTACCAATGAAGACCTATGTTTGAAAGAAATTTCATCTTTAAGGAGGACTAGACAGGTGTATGGCAACTAAAGCGTGTATATGCTAGGCTGGAATTCTTCCAGAAACTATGTGGCTTCCCAAATGCTGAATAGCCTTCTTAGATGCTGGATAGCAATCTGGACAGCATCTTTCTTTTTTTTAATTTTTTTTTTTTTTTTTTGAGACGGAGTATCACTCTGTCGCCAGGCTGGAGTGCAGTGGCACAATCTTAGCTCACTGCAACCTCCACCTCCAGGGTTCAAGTGATTCTCCTGCCTCAGCCTCCCGAGTAGCTGGGACTACAGGCACCCGCCGCCATGCCTGGCTAATTTTTGTATTTTTAGTAGAGACGGGGTTTCACCATATTGACCAGGATGGTCTCGATCTCTTGACGTCGTAATCCACCCGCTTCAGCCTCCCAAAGTGCTGGGATTACAGGCATGAGCCACCGTGCCTGGCAGACAGCATCCTTCTTTAAAGCACACATTTACTTGTCTTTCCTTCCATTCAAACTCATGTGTCCTGTGACCTCAAGATCCTGTTGTTTGCTAGCTAATCCAATAAAATCTCTCACTTTTCCTTTCCATTCCCACCAAGTTTCCTAGTATGTGTTTTTATTCCATCTAACAGATGTCAACAGCCTTCTATCTTGTGATGGTCCCTAATCTTTTCTCCAATTCATTCTGCATACACCACCTACCATTTTCTCAATTCAGTTAATAAATGCAAACGGCTTAGCACAGAGCTTGGCAAAAAATAAATGCTTGATAAATTGCAGCTATTATTATTCTTTTACATGTCCAGAGAGAGAATAGTGCGGTAGAAAGAACACTAAAATGGGAACCAAGACGGGTCTGCCACTGGCAGTGCGTGACTTAGGCCTCAGTTTATTCCTTAGGAAAATGGGGGTAATGAGCCATGATCTGAATACCCTATAAGGCTGTTATGAGATGCAGGTTTAATGAGATCTTGAGTCCAAGACCAAGCACAAGCATAATAGGCTGCCCATATGGTTCATTATGATAGGTAATGAGAAAAGTGAGAGGACAGTTGAGGAGAGGGATGTGAACAATAATGAGGTCCAATCCTAGAGAAGGCTGTGGTCAGGGCCAATGAATGTAGAGGTGAAATAGAGGGAGTAGTTTCCCTTATTACTGTGCTGTTGCATCATACATATATTTAACTTATAGAAATTTAGTTGTATGCTGCTTGGCAAAAAGACAAACGGTGCTTTATTTACTATGTCATTGTTTCCCCAATTTAGACTGATCTCCACTGACCCAGAGAGAGAAGAGGGGCCATGACAAAAATATGCAGAGAAACAAACAGAAGTTAAATCTTGATTTTTTAGCTTCTAAATGCCTATCTAGGTCCTGGTGATTTAAAAGATTTTCAAGGGAAATTTTGACCAGTCTCAATTTTTGCTTTTGTGCTGACTCTAGAATTCAAATTCCCTTGATTTCACATGGCATGCAACTCTGCTCTTTCTGCACAAGATTCTGATGAACCACTCACTGAGAGTCACTGATACTATACTCTGTCCCTGCCACTCCCACACTCCAAGACATATGGAAGATTTCATGAGAACCCCTGTCTGGAAGGTCCCTAGGCACCTTTTCAGCCTGCACATTCTAGATCCCAGTGATATATTATTACTTCTGAGAACCTGTCACCTGTAAAGTCTTGTGGCTTGAGGCCCCAGATAGTAGTGACAAGTTGGTGACTGAAGAAGACCAAAAGGAAGAGCCCATAGGAGCCATAATATATTGGAAGGTAAGACTTACTCTTACCTGGTCTCTGGAGCTTTGTGGAGCAAAGGGTGCTCTTCAGATATCACATGAAAGAATGATGACCCCTTAGAAAGTCTGTTACCCAGAATTTCCTTCAAACCCTGAAGTCACGATGGCAGGAGTTCATCCTCAAAAAAACTGCTCTGTATCTCTTGTTTTGGTTCCCATTTCTCTTCCGTCCCCCTAAAAGTTGAAAGGAACTTGGGAGGTGTTCTGTAGCTAGCAAGGTCATTTCCATAGCCTGCTAATTTTCCACTTCTTTGCTCATTTCATGGAAAACTCTTGCTATCTCTTCACAGAATGGCCTCCTCCTCTGCTCCATTCACATCCTTCCAGCCAGAGCTGGGAGTATGATTCTATGCAGAGGATGGTGGAGAAGAATGAGGCCCTCATTCCAGGCATAAGTGAAGAGAGAGCTGGAGCAGAAGATCCTATGTAAGGGGCCAGGGAGTGTACCTGTTCAGATTTCATAGACTTGTGGGATGTCCTGGCCAAAAGCACCCTCACAGATAAGGTAATCCAAAGCCCACGTTACAGATGTGGAAGGCACAGATCAGAGAGTACCAAAGATTTACCCAAGGTCACACAGCCCATCACTGGAAGTGCTGAGCCCTATAATGCCTAAGAGGCTCTCCACTTTGCTCTGGTCTAAGAGATATTGCAGGGCAGCTTGAGTCCATTGCTGCTGGGCAGAGCTTCGGAAGTTCAGCTTGGTAGAGGTTGCAGCTTCTCCTTCTCTTCCTACCTGACAATAACAACAAAAGGACCACAGAAAAAGTTCCCAGCTAGACTCCCCTGGAGCATCCCACTCCTTCTCACAATCCTTTTAACTTTCATTACACTGTTATCTGCCTCCAAGCCTACTGAGTACCCTCATCTGTACTGTTACATGACTCACTTGGAATATCCCAGGTTCCACTTATGCATCTAACTAGCCAGTATCATTCTTACCTTGCTTTATTTTTCTTCATAGCATTTTACCCTACTTGAACAAGATAGACAAAGGCCTGACCACATAGACTTTATGTTTTCATGAGGGAAGCAGACAATGAACAATTAAACAAATAACTAAATAAAATACCTATAGATTGTGATACGTGTTATGGAGAAAATAAGTTGCTGTCGAAGAGAATAACAAGGTGGAATCTAATCAGGGAATCAAGTATGGCTTATCTGAGAAGATAAAAATCCAATCATGGAAAGAACAGGAAGAGCAATATGGGTTGGAAGGAAGAAGAGGATGTGGAAAGAATTTCCAAAGCAAGAAGAAATGTATGTGTCAAGTTTCCAAGAATGGGAAAGAGTTTGGCATATTCAAGGAACTGAAGGAAGGCCAGCAGGGAGGAATTAGGGCAACACAGAGTTGAAGAGTAAGGCAGGGTCCAGACGCTATAGCATCATGGTAATGTAGTACTTATCATGTATTTTACTAAGTGGATACACACACACTTGTAATCCTCACTATAACCTTATAAACTACTATAATTATCTCACTTTTTCAGGCACAGAACAATTAAATAACTGCCCAAGGTCACATAACTAGTAAATGGTAGAGCTAGAATCAGAGCTCAGGCAGTCTGATGCCAAAGTCCTTGTTTCTCCCCTCTATCTGGAATTTGGATTTTATGCCAAGTCCAATGGGGACCCACTGGAGGGTTTTAAGAAAGGTGATAACATGATATGACTTACATATTTAAAATATCAATCTGGCAGCTGTGGGAAGAGTGGTTTGATTGGAGGGGGGCAAAAGTGGAAGCAGGAGGCTCAGTGAGAAGCCTATTGCAATTGCCCAGATGAAATATAATGGTGGTTTGGACCAGGGTAGTGGGAACTGAGGTGAAAAGACATGGACAAATTGAAGAGTGCTTTTGAAATCAGTTTCTCACTTGATTCTAGTCTGCCTAACAGGGTTTATCTATTTGATGTGTGTGTCTTGTCATCATCAATTAGACTGGAATTCCTTAAGAGCAGGGAAGAAAAGAGACTCATTTTCACTGGCACCTTCTCCAAGCCATATATCTCTTGCCTCATTAGTGATTTTCAGGATTTTGTTAGGTAGGTATTATTTTCATATTTTACAGCTGAGGAAACTGAACCTCAGAGAAGGGGAGGGACTTGTCTAAGGTCACCCAGCCAGTATGTGACAAAGCTGAAAATTTAAAGCAAGACCTCTTTCACTTTGAAGTCCAAAGTTTCCCCCCTTGTACTATACTGCTTTCTGGGATATGTCTCTTTTGTCATCTTTTCTACAACATTCAATTCATGTGTGGGAACTCCAGAGGTCCTGCTGCAATAAGTCAATAAAGACAGGTAGACCTGTATATTGCTGACAGGCTGACTGACAGATGCTGCATATGAATAATCTGACCCAAATAACTTTCAATGCAGCACAAGGAGAGAATGCATCCAATATTGCCTCCTAAAGAAAAATCCAAGGAGAGTCTTGGCTAGGGACTGTGTTGGCAGTACATTTTTTGGATAATTTATCTCCACTTGAAATAGCACAGGGTGAACTATGAATGACAACTAGCATCTGCACTATACTTTCCATCTACTAAGTACCTATCACACAATGGTCAAAAAACCATCACCATTTACTGTGCAAGTTTGGACAAGACACTAGTACATTCTCTGAACTTCAGTTTCTTCTAAGACTGGAGCCCCCCACCCATTTCTTCTATACTCATGGCTGATCTCAGTACAACTCTTCCCTAATGTGGTTCGCCATCTCTTCTCTTTCTCCCTCTGTCCCTTTTCCTAACCCTCTCTCCCTCTATCATTCACTCCCTCCATTCCTCACCTCTCACTGCCTAGGGCCACACATTCCCCACTCTCTGCCCAGGAAAAAGAGTTCTGTCACACTTACACAGTACTTTGTGGTTTACAAAGCCCTTTTACATCCTTCTCCCTTGATCTGTCAAGCCTCAAATGTGTGTAGAACTTGACAGTTGAACAAGCCTTTGCACATTCATTTTTAAAATCCAGTTTTCAGGCCAGGTGCAGTGGCTCATGCCTGTAATCCCAGCACTTTGCAAGGCCTAGGCAGGAGGATTGCTTAAGGCTAGGAGCTTGAGACCAGCCCGGACAACATGGTGAGACCCTGTTACTGTTTAAGAGAGAGATTGAGAAATAGAGAGAGTGAGAGAGAGAGAAATCTAGGTTTCAGTGTGGTATAGTGGAGTGGTCCGCAAACCTAGCTACATATCAGAATCACCTGGAAAGCTTGTGTGCATTACAGATTCCAGGGCCTCATCTTACCATATGATTCAGAGTCTCTGTAGGTGGTTTTCTTTTAGCATCTCGGTGAAATTCCTTAAACTTGTTTTTGACTCAGCCAAATTAATCTGCCACCCTTGTGAGTAATAGGAATACTGCTCAAACACAGGGCTCTCTGCAAACGGGCAGAGGGAATAGGATTTTCTCTCATACCTCTCTGGATTGAGGGCTTTTCATTTTTCACTTTGATGTTCTTAATATTAGGGTGATGCTCAGGCAACAGGGAAGGGACCAGGGAGCACTGATACATACATGGTAAGAACAGAGGATGACCCTCAACCTGGAAGAAGGCTTTACGAAGCAAGTGGGGGTATGCAGGATTGGGATACTTCTATTTGCCTGGAATCAACTCGCTGTAGCAAGAATGATAATTGGCTTGGCTATAAGGATGGATAAAGTTTCACATCAACAGGTGTAACTGATATTGAATTGGATTTCCTGTAGAAGGCTTTATCAATGTGGGTCAACTTTGCAAATATTTCCACCTGGAAACAATGGAATAGTTACAATTATTTCAATCCCCTTTCCAGTTTGAGTTGTCAATTCATTCGTTGTATGATTAATTGATTCAATATTTTCTGAGCACTTACTGTATATCAGCGTATGCACTGAATTCTGGGGGTAAAATAGTGAAGAAGAAGATCAAAGAAGGTCAAAGTTTTTTTTTTTTTTGTCCTCACAGGGCTCACGGTTTAGTGGGAGATGTAATCACTAACAAATGTATACTTAGTGAAAAGTGCTTGCTATGGTCTGAATGTTTTTGTCCCACCAAAATTCTTGTTAATATCCTAACCCTCAAAGTGATGGTATTAGGAGGTGGAGGCTTCCAAAAGGAGATTAGGTCACAAGGTTGAAACCTTCATGAATGGAATCAGTGCCCTTATAAAATAGGCCCTTGGGAGCTCATTTGCCCCTTCCACCATCTGAGGATGCAGCAGGAAGATGGATTTTTTAAACCAAGAAGTGGGTCCTCACCAGACACTTAATATGCTGGTGGCTTTTTCTTGACTTCTCAGCCTCTAAAACTGTGAGAAATAAATTTGTGTTTTTTATTAGCTACTCCGTTCATGATACTCTGTTATAGCAGCCTGAGCAGACTAAGTGATGTAAAATAAAATTACAGAATAGTGAAAGAAACAAGATACACTCAGATTTCAAAGATGTTAAAATGTTTTTTAAAAGGCACACCTGAAAATTGATGAACTTTCCTAAAAGACTCGTTGTAAATATTAAATGAGTTAATATATGCAAAGCCTAGAGAATAGATCCTGGAACATAATAAGTATTCAATGAATATTAACTAATATTGCCGCCATTCTCTAGGGTTGTTTGGAGGAGTTAATGCAATAAGGTTGGTCAGTACATCTGGTATAGGATTTAGCACCAGGTAGAAAGCCCATGCATGTGAAATGCATTAGGTTGTGTAGGTGTCATGATAGTGTCAGTGGAGGTGTTCTGGCTTGTGTCAGATGATTTGGACAGAATGAGAGGAGAAAATTGTTGAGGGCCCTGTTTCCATGAGTTTATTTCATTGTGAGAACAAGCAATTTAGCTCTTGCCACCTTACTGTGATGTTCCCACTCCTTTCATTGCTCTTCGTTGTGGGTGTCTCATGAAGCTGAGGGCTGGGGCAGGCTGTGGGGCTCCAGAAGACTGACATCTCTTTTCATTTTTTTTTTTTTTTGAGACGGAGTCTCGCTCTGTCGCCCAGGCTGTAGTGCAGTGGCGCGATCTCGGCTCACTACAAGCTCCGCCTCCCGGGTTCATGCCATTCTCCTGCCTCAGCCTCCCGAGTAGCTGGGACTACAGGCGCCTGCCACCACACCCGGCTAATTTTTTTGTATTTTTAGTAGAGACGGGGTTTCACCATGTTAGTCAGGATGGTCTTGTTCTCCTGTCAGTTTTGAGGCTTTCTTTCTCTGCCAAGAAGCAGGTAAGAGCCAGAGAAGACAAGAACATTTTAATGACACAGAAAGCAGGGTGACTGAAGGAGAGGACTAGAGCCAACTCAGGCTGTACTGATGTCTCAGTGGTCTCACAATGTGGTTTGCTTTAAATGGAAATAAAATTTATTCTGCAGCTCTCTGAGCTATTTTCCTGATTTCAGTACTCCCAGTCTGAAGCATCCACTGAAAATCACAGCTCACAAGTTCGCTGGGTTGTCGATGTAATATTCCTGAGATTTACCCCCTCCTGCTATTTCTAGTACCCAAGGAGAAAGATATCTAAGTGCCCTTATAAGGGGCAGCAGAAAAAGACTGGATATGGAATTCAAAATCTTAGATTCCAGCTCTGACCAATTTCAGCTCTGACACCTGTATATGTGCTACCTTGGGCAAACTATTTCAGTTCTTGAAATGTCAGTTTCCTCATCTGCAAAAGAATAGTCCTTCTCTACGTGGGTAAGTCATCCTCTTCAACCAAAGAAAAGTGATGTAAAGGGGATGATGAGAGATAAAAATGATTCAACCTTGAGAGTCAATGCGGTAACAAGATACCATACCTGGAACCCTTTCATATCAGAATGAGATAATGGATGAGAAAATGTATAATAAGCACAAGGGCTGATATGGTAAGTTCTTAAGAATTACTAGTTTTCTTCTTTCTATGCTTTCTTTTTCAGAGGAAAAATAAGTATTTTGGAACCTCTTCCTGACACCTTCCCATGAGAAGCTTGGATAAGGTCATTAAGCTGCTTTATTAGCAGATAGCAGATTAGCTTGTTTGAGTAAAGCAACTCATTAGTGAGGCCAACAGGCCCAATTCATCTCCCCTTTGGGTGATTTATTTTTGCTGTTCTCATTCACCATGGATAATACAAAGGACATTATGTCAGCTTATTTGAACTGGCGGAGATGCATATCAGAGGTGGAAATATACACACTGTCCATGTGAGGGAGGGGCTGGTTTGGTGTTTTCCTTTCTCATTGCTCTTAGAACATCAAAGCTCACCTTATGATGGAGGGGGAGGGATGAGACAGTATTGACTCAGACAACATCAGAATTCAAAGGGACCTCAAATATCGCCCAGCTTAATTCCTTCTCCCTTCATTTGGCAAATAGGGAGATTGTAGCCTAAAGAGAGTTTGGCCCAAGGGTCTCACAAATTGTCAGTGTCAGAGCTGAGACTGTTGACTCCTGGTTAACTACTCATTTCACAGATGCATTGTGCTTCCGTGAAATTATTTTCAGTTCCCAAAATGACACCTCATCGTGTTCTAAGATTATTTTGAGAGTGGAAGCCAAACTCCATGAATTGTATAGTGAGGTGAATGGTGTCCCTGAAAGGGCAGCAATCATTTAATCAAAGAGTCTGATTAGCCTGGAGGAGATCCTTAGGCTCCACAGTCATGGTGTCTTTCTGGCTTTCTGGAATACATTAGCTGTTTGTCTGTTCCTTTTTTCCCCAAGACTGGAGGAAGTATGGCTGCTCTGGCCTGAACTCCACATTCTCCATGTCCTGGCCTCTTGCAGACTAGCTGTCAACTTTGTGGAAGGCCTTCCCTACCCCCACCCAACTATGATGTTGGTACATGCTAGAAAGTTTATACCAACATGGGTAGACCTGGCCAAGAATTGGAGTTTCTTCTACAAAGGAAAAAGAAGAAGACTGTATTGAGCATGAGGGTGTAGATGAACAGATAGTTAAACTGGTGAATAATGAGAAAGACTAAAGAACAAAATAATCTGCAGAAAGATCCACAAAGCAAAGAAACTTGGGTGCAGATTCAGCCCCCATTTTACTTTTGGACTATTATTGTAAAGCACAAGGGCATTCATCTTCTGAATCTTTAAAAGATCCAAAACTTGGCATTCAACACTCTCCATGGAATCACCAACCTACCATGCTCTCCCATAAAACCTATGCCTCAGACCCATTCTATACTACTTATTTTTCTTTTTTTATTATTATACTTTAAGTTCTAGGGTACATGTGTACAACATGCAGGTTTGTTACATAGGCATACATGTGCCATGTTGGTTTGCTGCACCCATCAACTCGTCATTTACATTAGATATTTATCCTAACGCTATCCCTCCCCCAGGCCCCTACCTCCCAACAGGCCCTGGTGTGTGATGATCCCTTCCCTGTGTCCAAGTGTTCTCATTGTTTTACTCCCACTTATGATTGAGTACATGTGGTGTTTGGTTTTCTGTCCTTGTAATATTTTGCTGGGAATGATGGTTTCCAGCTTCATACATGTCCCTGCAAAAGACATGAACTCATCCTTTTTTATGGCTGCATAGTATTCCATGGTGCATATGTGCCACATTTTCTTTATCCAGTCTATCACTGATGGACATTTGGGTTGGTTCAAAGTCTTTGCTATTGTGAATAGTGCCGCAATAAACATGTGTGAGTGTGTCTTTATAGTAGCATGATTTATAATCCTTTGGGTGTATACCCAGTAATGGGATGGCTGGGTCAAATGGTATTTCTGGTTCTAGATCCTTGAGGAATCACCACACTGTCTTCCACAATGGTTGAACTAATTTACACTGCCACCAACAGTGTAAAAGTGTTCCTATTTCTCCACATCCTCTCTAGCATCTGTTCTTTCCTGACTTTTTAATGATCACCATTCTAACTGGTGTGAGATGGTATCTCATCGTGGCTTTGACTTACATTTTTCTGATGACCAGTGATGATGAGCATTTTTTCATATGTCTGTTGGCTGCATAAATGTCATCTTTTGAGAAGTGTCTGCTAATATCTTTGCCCACTTTTTGATCGGGTTGTTTTTTTCTTGTAAATTTGCTTAAGTTCTTTGTAGATTCTGGATATTAGCCCTTTGTCAGATGGATAGATTGCAAAAATTTTCTCCCATTCTGTAGGTTGCCTCTTCACTCTGATGATAGTTTCTTTTGCTGTGCAGAAGCCCTTTAGTTTAATAAGATCCCATTTGTCAATTTTGACTTTTGTTGCCATTGCTTTTGGTGTTTTAGTCATGAAGTCTTTGCCCGTGCCTATGTCCTGAATGGTGTTGCCTAGGTTTTCTTCTAGGGTTTTTTTTTATGGTTTTAGGTCTTACATTTAAGTCTTCAATCCATCTTGAATTAATTTTTGTATAAGGTGTAAGGAAGGGATCCAGTTTCAGCTTTCTACATATGGCTAGCCAGTTTTCTCAGCACCATTTATTAAATAGGGAATCCTTTCCCCATTTCTTGTTTTTGTCAGGCTTTTCAAAGATCAGATGGTTGTAGATGTGTGGTGTTATTTCTGAGGCCTCTATTCTGTTCCATTGGTCTATATATCTGTCTTGGTACCAGAACCATGCTGTTTTGGTTACTGTTGCCTTGTAGTATTGTTTGAAGTCAGGTAGCATGATGCCTCCAGCTTTGTTCTTTTTGCTTAGGATTGTCTCGGCTATGCAGGCTCTTTTTTGGTTCCATATGAACTTTAAAGTAGCTTTTTCCAGTTCTGTGAAGAAAGTCAGTGATAGCTTGATGGGGATAGCATTGAGTCTATAAATTACCTTGGGCAGTATGGCCATTTTCATGATATTGATTCTTCCTATCCATGAGCATGGAATGTTCTTCCATTTGTTTGTGTTCTCTTTTATTTCGTTGAGCAGTGGTTTGTAGTTCTCCTTGAAGAGGTGCTTCACATTCCTTTTAAGTTGGATTCCTAGGTATTTTATTTTCTTTTTAATAATTGTGAATGGGAGTTCATTCATGATTTGGCTCTCTGTCTGTTCTTGGTATATAGGAATGCTTGTGATTTTTGCACATTGATTTTGCATCCTGAGACTTTGCTGAAGTTGCTTATCAACTTAAAGAGATTTTGGTCTGAGACAATGGGGTTTTCTAAATATACAATCATGTCATCTGCAAGCAGAGACAATTTGACCTCCTCTTTTCATAATTGAATGCCCTTTATTTCTTTCCCTTGCCTGATTGCCCTGGCCAGAATTTCCAATACTATGTTGAATAGGAGTGGTGAGAGAGGGCATCCATGTCTTGTGCTGGTTTTCAAAGGGAATGCTTCCAGTTTTTGCCCATTCAGTATGATACTGGCTGTGGGTTTGTCATAAATAGCTCTTATTATTTTGAGATCCGTTCTATCAATACCAAGTTTATTGAGAGTTTTTAGCATGAAAGACTGTTGACTTTTGTCAAAGGCCTTTTCTGCATCTATTGAGATACTCATGTGGTTTTTGTCGTTGGTTCTGTTTGTGTGTTGGAGTATATTTATTGATTTCCATATGTTGAACCAGCCTTGCATCCCAGGGATGAAGCCAACTTGATTTTGGTGGATAAGCTTTTTGATGTGCTGCTGGATTCAGTTTGCCAATATTTTACTGTGGATTTTCACATCCATGTTCATCAGGGATATTGGCCTAAAATTCTCTTGTTTTTGTGTGTCTCTGCCAGGCTTTGGTATCAGGATGATGCTGGCCTCATAAAATGAGTTAGGGAGGATTCCCTCTTTTTCTATTGATTGGAATAGTTTCAGAAGGAATGGTACCAGCTCCAATTTGTACCTCTGGTAGAATTTGGCTGTGAATCTGTCTAGTCCTGGAATTTTTTTTGGTTGGTAAGCTATTAATTATTGCCTCAATTTCAGAACCTGTTATTGGTCTATTCAGAGATTCAACTTCCTTCTGGTTTAGTCTTGGGAGGGTGTATGTGTCGATGAATTTATCCATTTCTTCTAGATTTTCTTTTTTTATTTTATTTTATTTTATTATTATTATACTTTAAGTTTTAGGGTACATGTGCACAATATGCAGGTTAGTTACATATGTATACATGTGCCATGCTGGTGTGCTGCACCCATTAACTCGTCATTTAGCATTAGGTATATCTCCTAATGCTATCCCTCCCCCCTCCCCCCACCCCACAACAGTCCCCAGAGTGTGATGTTCCCCTTCCTGTGTCCATGTGTTCTCACTGTTCAATTCCCACCTATGAGTGAGAACATGCGGTGTTTGGTTTTTTGTCCTTGTGGTAGTTTACTGAGAATGATTTCCAATTTCATCCATGTCCCTACAAAGGACATGAACTCATCATTTTTTATGGCTGCATGGTATTCCATGGTGTATATATGCCATAATTTCTTAATCCAGTCTATCATTGTTGGACATTTGGGTTGGTTCCAAGTCTTTGCTATTGTGAATAGTGTTGCAATAAACATACGTGTGCACATGTCTTTATAGCAGCATGATTTATAGTCCTTTGGGTATATACCCAGTAATGGGATGGCTGGGTCAAATGGTATTTCTAGTTCTAGATCCCTAAGGAATCGCCACACTGACTTCCACAATGTTGGTGGGACTGTAAACTAGTTCAACCATTTCTTCTAGATTTTCTAGTGTATTTGAGTAGAGGTGTTTATAGTATTCTCTGATGGTAGTTTGTGTTTCTGTGAGATCGTTGGTGATATCCCTTTTATCATTTTTTATTGAGCCTATTTGATTCTTCTCTTTTCTTTTTTATTAGCCTTGCTAGCAGTCTATCAATTTTGTTGATCTTTTCAAAAAAACAGCTCGTGCATTCATTGATTAAAAAAAAAATTTTTAATGTTTCTGTCTCCTTCAGTTCTGCTCTCATCTTAGTTGTTTCTTGTCTTCTGCTAGCTTTTGATTGTGTTTGCTCTTGCTTCTCTATTTCTTTTAATTGTGATGTTAGGGTGTCGATTTTAGATCTTTCCTGCTTTCTCTTGTGGGCATTTAGTTCTGTAAATTTCCCTCTACACACTGCTTTAAATGTGTCCCAGAGATTCTGGCACGTTGTATCTTTGTTCTCATTGGTTTCAAAGAACATCTTTATCTCTGCCTGCATTTCATTATTTACCCCGTAATCATTCAGGAACAGGTTGTTCAGTTTCCATATAGTTGTTCAGTTTTGAGTAAGTTTCTTAATCCTGAGTTCTAATTTGGTTGCACTGTGGTCTGAGAGACAGTTTGTTGTGATTTCTGTTCTTTTACATTTGCTGAGGAGTGTTTTACTTCCTATTATGTGGTCAATTTTAGAATAAGTGTGATGTGGTGCTGAGAAGAATGCATACTCTGTTGATTTGGGGTTGAGAGCTCTGTAGATGTCTATTAGGTCCATTTGGTGCAGAGCTGAGTTCCAGCCCTGGATATCCTTGTTAATTTTCTGTTTTGTTGATCTGTCTAATATTGACATTGGGGTGTTAAAGTCTCCCACTATTATTGTGTGGGAGTCTAGGTCTCTTTGTACATCTTTAAGAACTTGCTTTTGAATCTGGGTGCTCCTGTATTAGGTGCATATATATTTATTATAGCTAGCTTTTCTTGTTGAATTGGTCCCTTTACCATTATGTAATGGCCTTCTTTGTCTCTTTTGATCTTTGTTGGTTTGAAGTTTGTTTTATCAGAGACGAGGACTGCAACCCCTGCTTTTTTTTTGCTTTCCATTTGCTTGGTAGATCTTCCTCCATCCCTTCATTTTGAGCCTATGTGTGTCTTTGCACATGAGATGTGTCTCCTGAATACAGCACACTGATGGGTCTTGACTCTTTATCCAATTTGCCAGTCTGTGTCTTTTAATTGGGGCATTTAGCCTGTTGACATTTAAGGTTAATATTGTTATGTGTGAATTTGATCCTGTCATTATGATGTTAGCTGGTTATTTCGCCCATTTATTGATGCATTTTCTCCATAGCATCTACTGTCTTTACAATTTGGCATGTTTTTACAGTGGCTGATACCGGTTGTTCTTTTCATGTTTAGTGCTTCCTTCAGGAGCTCTTGTAAGGCAGTCCTGGTGGTGACAAAATCTCTCACATTTGCTTGTCTATAAAGGATTTTATTTCTCCTTCACTTATGAAGCTTAGTTTGGCTGGATACGAAATTCTGGGTTGAAAATTTTTTTCTTTAAGAATGTTGATTATTGGCCCCCACTCTCTTCTGGCTTGTAGGGTTTCTGCCGAGAGATCTGCTTTTAGTCTAATGGGCTTCCCTTTGTGGGTAACCTGACCTTTCTCTCTGGCTGCCCTTAACTTTTTTTCCTTCATTTCAACCTTGGTGAATCTGACAATTTTGTCTTGGGGTTGCTTTTCTCGAGGAGTATCTTTGTGGTGTTCTCTGTATTTCCTGAATATGAATGTTGGCCTGCCTTGCTAGGTTGGGGAAGTTCTCCTGAGAATATCCTGAAGGCTGTTTTCCAACTTGGTTCCATTCTCCCCGTCACTTTCAGGTACATCAATCAAACGTAGATTTGGTCTTTTCACACAGTCCCTCATTTCTTGGAGGCTTGTTCATTTCATTTTACTCTTTTCTCTCTAAACTTATCTTCTCACTTTATTTCATTAATTTGGTCTTCAATCACTGATATCCTTTCTTCCACTTGATTGAATAAGCTATTGAAGCTTGTGTATGCTTCACGAAGTTGTCATACTGTAATTTTCAGCTCCGTCAGGTCATTTAAGCTCTTCTCTACAGTGGTTATTCTACTTAGCCATTCGTCTAACCTTTTTTCAAGGTTTTTAGCTTTCTTGTGATGGGTTAGAACATGCTCCTTTAGCTCAGAGAAGTTTGTTATTCCTGACCTTCTGAAACCTACTTCTGTCAACTAGTCAAACTCATTCTCCATCCAGTTTTCTTCCCTTTCTGGCAAGGAGTTGTGTTCCTTTGGAGGAGAAGAGGCCATCTCGTCTTTGGAATTTTCAGCCTTACTGCTCTGGTTTCTCCCTATCTTTTTGGTTTTATCTCCCTTCAGTTTTTGATGTTGGTGACCTATGGATGAGGTTTTGGTGTGGATGTCTTTTTTGTTGATGCTGATGCTATTCCTTTCTGTTTGTTAGTTTTCCTTCTAACAGACAGGCCCCTCAGCTGCAGGTCTGTTGGAGTTTGCTGGAGGTCCTCTCCAGGCACTGTTTGCCTGGGTATCACCAGTGGAGTCTGCAGAGCAGCAAATATTGCTGCCTGATTATTCCTCTGGAAGCTTCGTCCCAGGGGGGCATCCACCTGTATGAGGTGTCTGTCGGCCCCTACTGGGAGGTGTCTCCCAGTCAGGCTACACAGGGGTCAGAGACTCACTTGAGGAGGCAGTCTGTCCATTGTTGGAGCTCAAACGCCATGCTGGGAGAACCACTTCTCTCTTCCGAGCTGTCAGGCAGGGACATCTAAGTCTGCAGAAGCTGTCTGCTGCCTTTTGTACAGATATGCCCTGCCCCCAGAGGTGGAATCTAGAGAGGCAGTAGGCCTTGCTGAGCTGTGGTGGGCTCCACCCAGTTTGAGCTTCCCTGCCACTTTGTTTACACCGTGAGCATAGAACTGCCTACTCAAGCGTGAGTAATAGTGGATGCCCCTCCCCTGCCAAGCTCCAGTGTCACAGGTCAATCTCAGACTGCTGCGCTAGCACCAAGCAAGGCTCCGTGGGTGTGGGACCTGCCGAGCCAGGCATGGGGAGGGAATCTCCAAATCTGCTGGTTGCGAAGACCCCTGGGAAAAGTGCAGTATTTGTGCAGGAGTGTACCATTCCTCCAGGTACAGTCATTCATGGCTTCCCTTGGCTAGGAAAGGGAAATCCCCTGACCCCTTGCACTTCCCGGGTGAGGCGATTCCCTGCCCTGCTTCGGCTCACCCTCCATGGGCTGCACCCACTGTCCAACCAGTTCCAATGAGATGAACCAGTTACCTCAGCTGGAAATGCAGAAATCACCCGTCTTCTCTGTTGATCTTGCTGGGAGCTGTAGACTGGAGCTGTTACTATTTGGTCATCTTGGAAGCAACCTAGTTATTTATCATGAAACACATTTATTCTTCTATTCTCAAGAGTCCTCAATAGTGGTGATAGAGTTAGAACTTGAACTCAGGCTTCCTAACTCCAGAATCAGTGTTCTTTACATTTAATTATGCTTCTTGTGTAATTTATTTCTGCTTTTTAATCATGCATGATTACATTGGCAAATAATAATAGCACACAATTATTAATGTTCATGGAGGAATAGCCATGTTCAAAGATCTTGATATTGCATTATCTCATTTAATCTTAACAACATTTCAAAGATATAGGTGTTATTTTCCAGGTGAGGAAGCTGAGGCTCAGAGATATCATGTAATTTGTGCAAAATTTCACAGATAACAAATTGTGAGAACAGGATTCAAATCTCGATGTCTGACTGACTTCAGTGCCTGTGCTCATAAATACTACTTTATTCTGTTGTTTTAAAGGATACTTTTGACCTACCTTGAGTGGAGCATGTGATTTGGCTTGTGTCCCAAGGAAAAGTGACAGTCTCCATAAACAGCAGTACTTTATGACTGACAGAAAGCATCTATGAAATAGATGAATGAAAAGAAGAAAGGCTGTCTGTGTTTGGACAATTTAAATCTTTTTGTTGGAATCAACCTGCTTCCAAGAAAGATGTAACTCATGCCCTAGCCTCACTACCAGATGACCTGGAGGACTTTTTCCAAGTCTGAGACTTACTCTTTTAGAGGAATATTAACAAACTACTATTGGCTCAGAGGACAAAAAGTCAAATTACAAAAGAGCAGGCCACCATAGCCCATGAAGAATGGCAGAAATGGGGCTGTTTGGTGAGAGGAAGTAACTTCAATGTCCAAATTGACATTCTCAGCCAGGCTAGGTGGCTCACACCTGTAATCCCAGCACTTTGGGAGGCCAAGGTGGGTGGATCACCTGAGGTCAGGAGTTCAAGACCAGACTGGCCAACATGGTGAAACCCTGTCTCTACTAAAAATACAAAAATTAGCCCGGTGTGGTGGTGGGTGCCTGTAATCCTAGCTACTTGGGAGGCTGAGGCAGGAGAATCACTTGAACCTGGGAGGTGGTTGCAGTGAGCCGAGATCATTCTACCACACTCCAGCCTGGGTGACAGTGAGACTTCATCTCAAAAAACAAACAAACAAACAAACAAACAACAACAAAAAATTGATATTCTCATTCTTGACTCTTCCCTCTCTCTAATGCCCATGTTCAGTCACCAATCATGTAGTTGTATCTCTTGAATATCTCTCAACTATCTAATAAATATTTGAAGATGATAAAATAAAATAATTCACAAAAAGAAACCTGAATAGTTCATTAGTAAATAAAAATTTATTCAGTTTATTGGTTAACAGAGAAGTATGTGTTAAAACAATGAAAAGCCACTTTACATGGATACGATTGACAAAAAGTAAGAGAAAAACACTAAGTATTGGTGAGCATACCAGGAAATAGGCACTACTCAGGCACTACTGGTGGGAGGGTAATCTGAAGAACAATCTGACAATACTTTGTGAAATTATGTGTGTGTTATTCCTTCCTTCTACTTTCTTTGGGCTTATTATACTTTTCCTTTTATAACTTTTTAAGTTGGATGTTTATACCTTCAATTTTGAGCCTTTTGTCTTTTCTAATGTAAACACTTATAGCCAAAAATTTCTTAACAGATACTGCTTTAGTCTTGTTATGTACTATTTTATTTTTTCAGCTCTAAATATTCTCAGATTTCCCATTGATATCTTCTTTGATTCATGAGTTGTTTAAAAGTATATTTTTTCTATACCTAAATGTCTCTTTAATTATCTTTTTGCTATTAATTTCTAAATTAATTGCATTCTGTTGAGCTGCAGGATACCAATTATTTGCAATTTTTTGAGGTTAACTTTATGGTATAATTTTCACAAATGCTCGTTCATGCCTTAAAATATGTATTCTTCAATGGCTGGGTGCAAAATTCTATAATATGTGTATTATTTCAAATGTGTTCATCATTTTGTTCAAGTTGCCTATATCTTTACTGACTTTTTGTTTGCTTCATCAACACTGAGAAAAAGGTGTGTTATATTTCGTATTTTAGTAGTGTAATTTGTCAATATCTCCTTGCTCTTCCATTTTTAATATATTTTTTGACCTACACAGTTAGATACATATGATTATCCTTGCTATATTTGTTAAATTTTTCCTTTTATTACTATGTAATGACCATTTTTACCCCTACCAATGCTTTTTGCTTTACAATCTATTTTGGCTGATATTAATATAGCCACAAGGGCCTTTTTTTGTTACTGGTACTATTTGTCTGTTATGTTTTCTTCCATACTTTGACATCCACCTTTTTCTCTGCCCTTATGTTTTAGATATATCTAGTGTGAAATTCTTATAGCAAGATTAAAAAAAAAAAGTACGATGACATTTGTCTTTTAACTGGATAAATTTGTGTATTTACACTTGTAATTAGTGGCAATTTTAATTTATTTTATAAACTTATGTCTTTTTCTGTGTGTCCCATTTATTTTATTTATTTATTTTAGTTTTTGAGAGAGGGTCTCAGTCTGTGGCCTAGGCTGGAGTGCAGTGGCAGAAATATGGCTCACTGCAGCCTTGACCTCCTGGACTCAGGCAATCCTCCTGCCTCAGCCTACAACATAGCTGGGACCACAGGCATGCATCAACATGCCTGACTAATTTTTTTTTTAATTGAGTGACCAGGCTAGTATTGAACTCCTGAGCTCAAGTGATCCTCCTACCTCAGCCTCCCAAAGTGCTGGAATTACAGGCATGAGCCACCATGCCCGACTAGTCCCATTTATTGTTTCCTCCTTTTTCCTGCTTTTTTTTCACCATACGTGATGGTTAATTTTAGGTGTCACCTTGCCTGGATTAAGGGATATCCAGATAATTGGTAAAACACTATTTCTGCATATGTCTGTGAGGGTGTTTCCAGAAGAGATTAGCATTTGAATCAGTGGACCAAGGATCACCTGCCCTCGCCTAGTGTGGGCAGGCACTATCCAATTGGTTGGGGGCCCAGATAGAACAAAAAGGCAGAGTAAACAGAGGAAACGGAAATTCAAGCTCTCTGTTTTGGAGCTGAGACACTCATCTTCTCCTGACCTTGGACACCACAATTTTAGATTCTTAGGCTTTTGAACTCTGGGACTTGCACCAGCAGCTCCCCAAGGTTCTTAGGCCTTTGGCCTCAGATTGAGAGTTACGCCATCAGCTCCCTTGGTTCTCAGGCCTTCAGACTTGGACTGAGGTACACCGTTGGCTTCCCTAGTTCTTCTGCTTGCAGATAGCAAATGGTGGAATTTCTCAGCCTCCTTAATTGTACGAGCCAATTATCATAATAAATCATCTCTTATTTATCTTTATATATCTATGTATCCTATCAGTTCTGTTTCTTGGGAGAACCCTGACTAATATAGATTTTGGTATCAGAAGTGGTCTAGAGGAAAAGAATTTCAAGGTTGAGAGTCTTGAATTGTTTTTGGAGTTTCTGAAACTGGCTCTTTAATCTGATTAGACTTAAAGATGCTTAGGAATCTATTTCCAACAGTAGAGAACACTGAGAAACCATGCCATGAACTGTATAGAGAGATATGCAATATATCTACATTGGATACTCCTAATTAACCACTTATAAGAGACAAGGAACATAATGCCTCTGTATATAATAATTTGTACATTCGTAGAAAAGGAAAAAATATAATAATGTTGATTCGTTGCTCCTAACGTTTCTGGGAAAAGTGGTGAAAAAAAAATGAGCTTAGGGTTTTGAATTCCCAACTCAAACACTGCATAAATGACCTAAAAGCTTCTATGTGTGCCCTGAGGGAGAATCTTATCTTTCATAGCCACAGAGTGAAATAGCTGAAAATAAAAAATAAGTCCTCATAGCGCCATTGACTGAATCATGAAAGTTGAACTCTCAGCCTCATAAAGTGTTGTATTAGTCTGTTTTCACACGTAAAGACGTACTTAAGACTGGGAAGAAAAAGGGGTTTAATTGGACTTCGAGTTTCAAATGGCTGGGGAGGATTCAGAATCATGGCGGGAGGTGAAAGGCACTTCTTACATGGTGATGGCAAGAGAAAGTGAGGAAGAAGCAAAAGCAGAAACCCCTGAAAAACCCACCAGATTTCGTGATGCTTAATCACTATCATAAGAATAGCATGGGAAAGACCAGCCCCCCTGTTTCAATTACCTCCCCCTGGGTCCCTCCCACAATAGGTGGGAATTCTGGGAGATACAATTCAAGTTGAGATATGAGGGGGGACACAGCCAAACCATATCATTCTGCCCTGGCCCCTGCAAATCTTATGTCCTCACATTTCAAAACCCATCATGCCTTCCCAACAGTCCCCCAATGTCTTAACTCATTTCAGTATTAACCCCAAAGTCCAAAGTCTCATCTGAGACAAGGCAAGTCCCTTCCACCTTTGAGCCTGTAAAATCAAAAGCAAGCTAGTTATTTACTAGATTCAATGGGGGTACCAGTATTGGGTAAATACAGCTGTTCCTAATGAGAGAAACTGGTCAAAACAAAGGGGTTAAAGGCTCCATGCAAGTCCAAAATCCAGTGGGGTGGTCAAATTTTAAAGCTCCAGAATGTTCTCCTTTGACTCCAGGTCTCACGTCCAGGTCATGCTGTTATAAATTTTAGGATTGTTTTTACTATGTCCATGAAAAATATCATTGGTATTTTGATAGGTATTGCATTGAATCTGTAGATTGCTTTGGGTAGTATTGACATTTTAACAATATTTATTCTTTCAATCCATGAACATGGAATATTTTTCCATTTTATGTTGTCCACTTTAATTTCTTTCATCAGTGTTTTATAGTTCACATTATAGAGACCTTTCACTTCTTTGGTTAACTTAATTCCTAGGTATTTAATATTACGTGTGGTTATTGAAAATGGGATTATATTTTATTTATTTTTATTTATTTTATTTTATTTTTCGAGACTGGATCTTGCTCTGTCATCAGGCTGGAGTGCAGTGGCACAATCTCAGCTCACAGCAACCTCCACCTCCTGGGTTCAAGTAATTCTCCTGTCTCAGCCTCCCAAGTTGTTAGGACTACAGGTGCTCACCACTGCACCCAGCTAATATTTGTATTTTTAGTAGAGATGGGGTTTCACCATGTTGGCCAGGATGGTCTCGATGTCTTGACCTAGTGATCCACCTGCCTTGGCCTCCCAAAGTGCTGGGATTACAGGAGTGAGCCACCATGCCAGGCTGTGATTACATTTTAAATTTATTTTTCACATTGTTCACTGTTGGCATATAGAAATGCTTCTGATTTTTGGGCCAGGCATGGTGGCTCATGCCTGTAATGCCAGTACTTTGGCAGGCTGAAGCTGGTGGATCACTTGAGTCCAGGAGTTTGAGACCAGCCTGGGCACCATAGTGAGACCTCATCTCTCTCTCTCAAAAAAAAAAAAATGCTACTGATTTTTGCATGTTGATTTTGTAACCTGCAACTTTACTAAATTTGTTAATCAGTTCTAATAATTTTCTTGTGGTCTTTAGATTTTTTCCAAATATAAGACTATATCATCTGCAAACAAGGATAATTTGACTTATTCCTTTCAAATTTGGATGCAATTAATATCTTCCTCTTGTCTGATTGCTCTAACTAGGACTTCCACTAATTATATGGTTTGTCTCTGTGCCTTCACCCAAATCTCATCTCAAATTGTAATCCCCATATGTCAAGAGAGGGACCTGGTGGGAGGTGATTGGATCATGGGGGCAGTTTCCTCCATGCTGTTCCCTTGATGTGAGTGAGCTCTCATGAGATCTGATAGTTTAAAACTGTTTGGCAGTCCCCCCATTTCTCTCTCCCACCATCATGTAAGATGTGCCTTGTTTCCCCCTTTGCCTCCTACCATGGTTGTAAGTTTCCTGAGGCCTCCCCAGCCATGTGGAACTGTGTGTCAATTTAAACCTTTTTTGTTTATAAATTGCCTAGTCTCAGGTAGTTCTTTATAACAGTGTGAAAAGGGATTAATATAGAAATTGGTACCGGGAGTGGGGCAGTAACATAAAGATACTTAAAAATGTGGAAGTGACATTGGAATTGCAAAACAGGTAGAGGTTGGAACTGTTTGGAGGGCTCAGAAGCAGACAGGAAGATGTGGTAAAGTATGGAACTTCATAGAGACTTGTTAAAGATGTTAAAGGGAGATAAAGGACATCTTTTTTACAAGAAAAAAGGCAAAGACTTAACATTCAAGCTTACATCTGTAGGATGAGAATGCATCAGTCATGCAGAGAAAGGGAGAAAGGTTTTCTGGTAACATGTGAATACCTGAGATTCAAAAGTGCTTCTTGTGGTTGAAGAACTGAAGGAGGCCTAGGATGAATGAAAATAGTAGGCAAAATAATCAGTATAGAAGCAGCCACACCATTCAGGGCCTTTTAGATTATAGTGTGAAATTTGGATTTCATTCTAAGTACAATGTAAAACCTTTGGAGGTTTTAAACCTGGGAGTGGCATGACGTAATGTAAATTTTAAGTCCTCTCTGTTCCTTGGGTGATGATTGGATTGGGTAGGAGTTATATGCAGAATGGAAAGATCAGTGAGGGAGTTATGGCATAATCTGGGGGAAGATAATGTTGCTTGAACTAGGCAAGTAGCAGTGGTGATGGGAAGAATTAGGAAGATCTGAAATAAGTTTTGCAGATAGAATTGTCAGGACCTACTACTGTGATGGATGTGGATAATATGGGAGATGGTAGAATCAAGAGTGACTCACAGATATCTGGTTTGAGCAATTGCGTGAGTAGTGGTGTTATTTACTACAAGGAGAAAAAACAGGAAGCAACAGATTTGACTAGTCATTTTAAAATTTTTGGTTATGTGGCTTCTTTGATTGATGGCTTCTCATTGCCTACCAAATTAAGTTGAGACTCCTTGGATCAGTCCTTTAGACTCTCCACCATTGGGTCCTTTCTACCTTCTTAGCCATATCTTTCATTATACCTCTTAACACTACAACCTTTCATTCAAACACATTGAATTACTTGTATTTCCCTAAATAAATCTTCTATTAATGAGTAATGTGTGCCTCTACTCACATTCTACTCCTTTCTGGATTGCCAAATGTGCATATCTTGACCTGTTGAAATCATATATATTGTCAAAGAAAAACAAAAGAAATCATATATATTGTCAAAGTCCCAGTGAATATGCCACACTCCCAGAAACTTTCCAATGGCTCAGTTGGCATGAATTTCTTTCGTCTACATGACCATCACACTTTACCTATAATTGTCAAGAAACTTTATCAATTCGTCCTTGTGACTAGATCTCTTACTACACTGTAAGATCCTTGTGTCTAAATTACCGCTGGATCCCCAGTGCTTGGCCCAATGCCAAATAAAGAATAATACAAACACAGTAAATGCTTAATGAAATGCATTGTGCTATGTGACCTTGGAAAAATCTCTTTTCTTCTCTGGGGATCCAGAAATAATTTAGACACTGTCACTGCTAATGATTTCCTCTGTGACACTGAGTCTCCCCTCACCACCTCACCTTCATCATAACCATGCCCTATTTCTCTTTACCTTATGAGTTGCCAAATAAATAAAGGCTTTAATTCCTGTTTGAAAGCAGCAGACCTTTCCCTGTTCTTCCACACTTGTAGATGCTAATAGCTACTACTGCCTCAGTGTGGATTAATTTTGATTTCTTCTTTAGCTTATGAGAGTTGAAGAGAGGGATAGAACAAGATATTCTTGAGTACTTAGAATTGTGGGTAGACAGCAAATCCTGACACTAAAGTGAGAGAAAGTACAGATTTTGAAGCTGGGACCAAAGTTTTAACCAACTTGGCAGAATGGCCCCAGGTCAGGGATGCGTGTAGAGAATGCTGGGAGCAGAGGATGCTGATTTTGAAGTGACTGCTTGGGATGGAGAGGTAACTTAAACTGGAAGCCTTTCCAGGGTGCTCAGGCATAAGATAGCTATCACCCCTGTCCTAGAGCATGTGGACTGTGGCCTGGCTATCAGTGAGCTCATCAGATTGGCTCAGGGAAGGGGACCTGTCCAGGAGGCAAACATAAAGAGGAAATTTCGAGATGAGCTCATCTTGAGGCCAAAAAATAAAAATGAAAAAAATACCAGAGGCACTAAATGGGCAATGAACTAAAGAAACCCAATCTCATAGAAAATCAGATTGTTGGCTGGGTGCGGTGGCTCATGCCTGTAATCCTAGCACTTTGGGAGGCTTAGGGGTGTGGATCATGAGGTCAGGAGTTCAAGACCAGCTTGGCCAACATGATGAAACGCTGTCTCTACTAAAAAATACAAAACAATTAGCTGGGCACGGTGGCGGGCACCTGTAATCCCAGCTACTCGGGAGGCTGAGGCAGGAGAATCACTTGAACCCGGGAGGCAGAGGTTGCAGTGAGCCGAGATCATGCCACTACACTCTAGCCTGGGCAACAGAGGAAGACTCCGTCTAAAAAAAAAAAAGAATACCAGTTTGTTAAAACTTAAAGGTAATTTAGGCTTCACTGGGTCCACTGCCACAGCCACATTTTGGACTGAGGTTCCTGGCACCAACTGGTGACAGCAAGGCAGGGCTCCAAACTTAAAAGAAGAAGATACTAGGCAAGTGCTTGAATCAAGGGACTCATATTCTTGATAGGAAACAAAGATGGAGCACAGAGAAAGAAATATTTATTTTGCAAGGCACCATGCTGGCTATTATTATGATATACATTGTGCTGGCTATTTTATAAATGCCAATATAAGAAGAAAAAAAAGTTCTCATATTTTAACAACACATGAGGAAACTGAGGCTTAGAGAGGGGAAGCAACTTGTTGGAGGTCAGTCAGGTTGTGGTGTATCACAGCTTAGAGCCTAGCTCCCATCATTCCCAAGTTTCCTCAGGTTTCTTCTGCTTCTATTTCCTTGATCTTATCTTGTTTGTGTATTAGAGGGTGGAAATGCCTTCTGTGATTGCAGGTGCTGCCTTTTCTTACCTTGGTTTTTGTAGTTGCTGGCAGCCCAGCAGAGACTCTAGTTTGGGGGAAGATATATAGGGCAATTACGTGCATGTGAGTATGTTCTGTTCCTCCTAGCTCTCAAGATATTGCTGACTAAGCTGTGTGCCTAGATCTTTGAAAACTTTTTTAGCAGGTGAGAGTCCCCTTCCTGAGGTTGGAGCACTGCTCAAAAGCCTAGTGGGAAAGGGACTCATGTGTTTACAGATTCCCTTTGCTGCAGGGGTCAGAGGGAAAGCCAGAGCACTATGGGGCCAAAGGGAAAGCTGGCTGTTCATGTCCTCTGCTCCATCCTGCACCAGAAGCCACCTACCCATGAGGGTTGAAATTAATGAAAATGTAGCCAATATTTTCAATTAGGTCCAGTGTTATTTAAACTTCATTCATTCAAATTGAGTGCAGAGAATCAAGGTCATAGATCCTGGAAAAATTGTGACATATGCAGTCTTATCTGTTCATCTCTCCTCTACCACTTAGCAATTGTGTGGCTTTGGACAAGTCAGTTCTTATTTTCTTCATGTGTAAAATCCTGAATAGGAAGGGTTGGGGAAGGTTGGAATGAATCATCTCCAGATATATAATAATCTTAAAACCAAAGAGTTTTAGTACTACATAATCAAAAAAATTATAATCCTATAATTCTAAACCTACAAACCTATAACTTATAATTTCAAAATCAAGTGTGTCTTCCTTTCCTCTTGTCCTATATTGATCTTTTGTCCTATTCTCAGGACAAAAGATTCTTAATTGTTTCTCAGTTGAGGTACAAGTTTTCAATTAAATACTGTCATTACAATACTGTCATTATCAGTATTGACCTATAATGAAGGCATCATTTGGATATCTGGAAAGGCAGAAGGAGTTAAGAGCATTAATCTTGCTTTTAGACCCGAGGAAACCTAGCATATTTAGTAGTTGGGATAGAATTTAGGTCTACTGGAATGACCTAAAAGGCTCAGAAAAATTTGATATTGTGTGCTTGGGGCCTTAATGTAGAATTTCTTTGTAGTTTAAAGCCATTCAAACATCAACTCCTTTGGATCACATTCCAGATGCCATTTTAGTAGTGTCACAGTGCTATGTACCAGTCACATTTGTCTGCCTTTGCCTACCCGAACTCTGAAATTCAGAGCAAGAAGTTTTCAAGTTTGTTTTTCTCTACCTAGCTTGAGAAGTGTTCTTCCTGACCTGACAAGAATGACTTACTATCTTCTTCTCTCCAGCCTGTTGCCTGCTGAGGTCTAACACACATGGAGTAGTTGGAATGAATTGCAACCTCTCGTGAAAGTAACTCCTCTTATATGAAGCATAGATTTAACAACTATGCTTCATTTTTTTAAAGCTCCAATGTATAAAAAAAAATGTGGACCAGGCATGGTGGAACACACCTGCAATCCCAGTGCTTTGGGAGGCCAAGGCAAGAGGATCACTTGAGGCCAGGAGTTCAAGATCAGCCTGGGCAACATAGTGAGATCCCTGTCTCTATAAAATTTTTAAAATTAGCTGGGCATGGTGGCAGGCACCTGTATTTCTAGCTACTCAGAAGGCTGAGGTGGAAGAATTGCTTGAGCCCAGGTAGTTGAGGTTGCAGTGAACTATCATTGTGCCACTCTCCTCCGGCCTGGGCAACAGAATGAGATCCTGTCTCTAAAAAATACAAAAAAGAGAGAAAAAGATATGATAAATAAACATGCATATAATATGAACAAATAATTAATACCAGAATAAATGCAAATAATAATCAAACACAAAAAATTGATAATGCATAGGCCTCTCTTAAAAAAATTGACTTTCTTGCTGGCCTTGAGAGCCCATGAGTATAATAAAGTCACATTAACATTTGACCCAGATAATGGGGGCCCTTAGCTTGCAGCTGTTTATGCAAAAATTAAGCTTCTGTCAAAATCTTCGCTAGTATTATCCCTTTTTATCTCAGAGTATTGCCTCAAGTGGGTTTAGAAACATACCAACTGAAGTTTTTCCACATCATCTTCACTGCTGCTTCTGCTACCAGTTCCTTTTTTGAAAACACAAATCTTTGCCAAGTTTGTCTCCTGATGTTTGCCATGCCACCAGTCCCCCAAATGCCAAAGTAGTTCTGTGTTCTTGGCAGAAGTGAGCAAAATTGTTCTCTCTTTAATTCTAAGCCATAGATTATCACTGGGGTCCTGCTGCTCGGAAGACCCAGAATTACTAAAAGTATTTCTATTAAAAAGTGCTTAAAAACTAATCCCAGGGACTAGGGACACACACTGTCATTTCCCTCTATCTTCCTGTTCCTCCCTTCTGTCTCTGGTGCTCCAGCACAGACTTCTTCCTTATTCTTTTAGCAAAGAAGAAAAGCCTTCATGCATATCAATTCATGAAGAAAGAAATACAGGAGGGTTATTAATCCCCCACAACATACAGAACTGAATCCTGAGCTAGGATACCTCGCTAAAATAAATAGTAAAAATGCAACAATAGGGCCGGGCGTGGTGGCTCACGTCTGTAATCCCAGCAGTTTGTGAGGCTGAGATGGGTGGATCACCTGAAGCCAGGAGTTCCAGACCGTCTGGCCAACATGGTGAAACCCTGTTTCTACTAAAAATACAAAAATGGTGGCAGGTGCCTGTAATCCCAGCTAGTCGGGAGGCTGAGGCAGGAGAATCGCTTGAACCCGGTTGGCGGAAGTTGGAGTGAGCCGAGATCATGCCATTGCACTCCAGCCTAGGGAATAAGAGCAAAACTCTGCCTCAAAAAACAAAAGCAACAATAATGTTATTAATAATAGTAATATTAACACAGTATTTATGATGTACAGGGCTCTATTATAGGCACTTTACATATATTAATTCATTTAATTCTTACAAAAACCCCATAAGCTAGATACTATTATCACCCTCATAACTTGCCACAAGTCTCAGATTGTGTATTGTGGTGGAGCCAGGATGCTCTAGAACTTGTAACTTTTTTTCTTTAGAGATGGAGTTTTGCTTTGTCACCCAGGCTGAAGTGCAGTGGTGTGATCATAGTTCACTGCAACCTCAAACTCCTGGGCCCAAGTGATCCTCCCTCTTCAGCCTCCCAAGTTGATGGGATTACAGGCATGAGTGAGTGTTTGTGTCCAGCCTCTAGAACTTGTAATCTGAACAGCTATGACACCATTACATTCCAAATTAGGAAGCCTTAGCAAATGGGACATACTGGAATAGATAAAAGAAAAAAAAAGATTTCAGTTCATAATATTCAGTGCTGGTAATGCCGTAGAGAAACAGGTATAGTGACATACTCTTAAACATCTTGTAAATAATCTGTTGGACCCTTGGAAAAGCAGTATGACAATATTCAGTAAGTCATAAGTAAGCTCATACTGTATGATCCAGTAATTCTAATCAACAGAAATTTGTCACAAGAAATGATGCCAAAAGGCACAGAAAAGTTATGTGTACAGGGATGTTAAAGCCTTACTGATGAAGAAATAACAACAAAATTGTCCACCATTGGCCATTTGCCAATGGATTAATGTTGGTGTGTCAACAGAATGGAACATAAGGCAGCCTTGAGAAAAAGTAATTAGGAAGACTGCACAGGTATGTGACAGAATATTTATGACAGAATGGTAAGTGAAAATATCATCACCAAATTCCCCAGCCATCCTGGTTGCAGACCATTTAAATTATGTGTATATATGAAAAAGAATAAGCAAACATGAAGAGAGTGGTATTTAGGTGGTGGAATTATGAGCCACTTTTCTATTTTTATAAGAGTTAGAGATGACCTTTTTATAATTTTTAGAGATGACCTTTTCATTGTAGAGAGAAAAAAAATTATGATAATTTCCTTGTCCCTGGAAGCCAGCTTTCATTTCACAGAGACCCATGGAATTCATTCCTCCACAGCACTGGACTTTGGTTTTCGAAAGGGATAGGACAGATAGTAGAGGACCTGACTATGGACTCTCTATCCACACAGACAGGAAAATCTCCAGGACTTATACTTTTCTTAAGAGGAAGAGTCAGTAAGGCCCTTTCAGCAAATTCTTCCTATTGTGTCACTTAAATTAAGCAGTGTGTATGGTGGCTCATTCCTGGAAAAGGAGTTGGGTAAAGGGTGTAATTCTCTCTTAGGTCTCTGACTTGCTGCGTGACTTCTGGCATCACTTTTTTCATCTTTGAAACAGGTAGGTATGAAGGGGCTTCATAAACTGCACAGCAAATTACAGATGTGAGCTGCAGACACAGCAAAAAACAATTGTATTTTGGATTCAAATATGAAGACTCTGTCCTTCATCTCTTTGAGGCATACTTGAGAAGTATATTTGCTCATAAAGAAAGCTGTTCTACTTTAGTCATCAGCTGATTTGTTTTCTCTTATTGTCTATTATAAATAATGATATAAATATTCAAGTACAAGTTTTTGTGTGGACATGTTTTTAATTCTCTTGAGTATATACTTAGGAGTGAAATTTCTGGATTGTATAATAATTCTGTTTTTTTTTTTTTTTTTTGAGACGGAATCTCGCTGTCGCCCAGGCTGGAGTGCAGTGGCACGATCTCGGCTCACTGCAGGCTCCGTCCCCCAGGGTTCACACCATTCCCCCGCCTCAGCCTCCCGAGTAGCTGGGACTACAGGCACCCACCACCTCGCCCGGCTAATTTTTTGTATTTTCAGTAGAGACGGGGTTTCACCGTGTTAGCCAAGATGGTCTCGATCTCCTGACCTCGTGATCCGCCCGCCTCTGCCTTCCAAAGTGCTGGGATTACAGGGGTGAGCCACTGCGCCCGGCCAATAATTCTATGTTTAACTTTTTGAGAAACTGCCAGACTGTTTTCTAAATTGGCTGCACCATTTTACATTTCTACCAGCAGTCTATATTTTAAGAGGCATCTTCTTAGAGAACACCCTGGGGATTACAATTAACATCTTAATTTATAAAAATCTAGTTCAGATTAATACCAAATTGACTTCAACAAATACATGCAATGACTTGCTCCTATGTGGCTCATTTCTCTCTGCCCTCCTTTGAACTATTATTGTCCTACAAATTACATTATTATACATTATCAACCCATCAATATTTATACATATTGTTTTATGCAGTTATTTTAAACAGATTACAGAAAGGTGTTTCAAGTAAAAATATGTTTATACTCTCTTTTATTTACCTGTGTAGTTACCTTCTGTGGTACTCTTTATTAATGGGTGTGGATCCGTATGACTGCCTAGTGTCTTCATTTCAGCATGAAGGGACTGCCTTTAGTATTTTTTGTAGGCAGGCAGTCTTCTAGTGATGAACTCTCTCTATCTCTCTCTCTCTCTCTCTCTCTCTCTCTCTCTCTCTCTCTCTCTATATATATATATATATATATATATATATATATACACACACACACACACATATATATAAAATCAGGGAGGTGTCTTATTTCTTTTTTTTGTTTGAAAAATATTTTTTATTTGCTATTGGGCTAATTTCATAACTGACTTTTGCTAGACTGCATAAGCTATACATCTGTACACATTTTTGGTTTGTATAGGGAGACTGGGTTTTAATATCTACCCCACCCTCAATACTACTCAACTTTTGTCCTTTTATTTTTTTCCCTTTTTATGGAGATAAAATTCCCATAATATAAAATTAGCAATTTTAAAGTATACATTAATTGGCATTTAGTATATTCAAAATATTTTGTAGGCCAGCCATAGTGGCTAACACCTGTAATCCCGGTACTTTGCGAAGCTGAGGTGGGTAGATTCCTTGAGCCCAGAAGTTCAAGACTAGCCTTGGCAACATGGCAAAACCCTGTCTCTACAAAAACTACAAAAATTAACCAGATGTGGTGGCACACACCTGTAGTCCCAGCTAATTGGGAGGCTGAGGTGGGAGGGTCTCTTGAACCTGGGAAGTTGAGGCTGCAGTGAGCCGTTATCATGCCACTGCACTCCAGCCTGAGTGACAGAGTGAGACCTGTCTCAAACAAAACAAGACAAAACAAAAAAATTTGTGCAAACACCAACTCTGTCTACTTCCAAAATATTTTTATTACCCTAAAAATAAGCCCTGTACTCATTAAGTAGTCACTCCCATTTCCCCAATCCTCTGGTCCCTACAAACCAGGAACCTGCTTTCTATTTCTATGGTTTACCTATTTTGGATGACAGTCTATATAAATGGAATCATACAATATATAACCATTTGTGTATGATTTCTTTCATTTAGCATAATGATTTCAAGATTAATCCATACTGTAACATTCATTCTTTTGATTGCTAGATAATATTCCATTGTATGGGTATACCACATGTTATTTATCCATTCATTGGTCAATGGACATTTGGGTTGTATCTACATTCTGGCTATTAGGAATAATAATGCTATAATCAATTGTGTAAAACTTTTTGTGTGGATATATGTTTTTAATTCGCTTAAAAATATGACTGAGAGTGAAATGGCTAAGTCATATAGTTAGTGTAGGTTTAACTTCCTGAGGAAGTGCCAAACTCTTTTCTAAAGTGGCTGCCCAATTGTACTCTCCCATCAGCAATATACAAGGGTTGCATTTTGTCCACGTCCTTACCAATACTCATTGTTTTCTGTTTTATTTTTAAATTTATAGTTATCCTTGTGGGTGTAAAGTAGTATCTCATTGTTGTTATAATTTGCATGTCCCTAATGACTAATGACACTGAGCATCTTTTTATATGTTTGTTGGCCATTTGTATGCCTTCTTTGGAGAACTGCTTATTCAATTACTATGCCCATTTTTAATTGGGTTGTTTTCCTTTTTTTTGGAGACTAGTCTCACTCTGTTGTCTAGGAGTGCAGTGATGTGATCTAGGTTCACTGCAACCTCTGTCTCCAGGTTCAAGTGATCCTCCTGCCTCAGCCTCCTGAGTAGCTGGGACTATAGGTGCACACTACCACACCTGGCTAATTTTTTTGGTATTTTCAGTAAAGAAAAAGGTTTTGCCATATTACCCTTAACCTGATCTTAAAGTCCTGGACTCAAGTGATCACCCCACCTTGGCCTCCCAAAGTGCTGGGATTGTAGGCATGAGCCAAAGCACCCGGCTTTTTGTTGTTGTTGTTGTTCTTGAGTTTTAAGAGTTATTTATATATCAGATTACTAATACTAATCTAGATTAATAACACTAGGTTATTTGCAAATACTTTCTTCCATTCTGTAGATTGTTTTATCGCTTTGTTGTTGTTAGAGATGTTGCCTCACTCTGTCATCAAGGCTGTAGTGCAGTGATGCAATCATAGGTCACTGCAGACTTGAACTCTTGTATTTAAATGATGTTCCTGCTTCGGCCTCCTGAGTAACTGTGATTATAGGCACAAGCCACCACACATGGCTCACTTTCTTGATAGTGTCCTTTGAGGCATGAAAGTTTTTAATTTTGATGAATCCAAGTTATTTTTCTTTGATACTTGTGGTTTTGGTGTCACATTTAAGAATCCATTGCCAAACCCAAGATTATGAAAATGCATTCCACTTTTTCTTTTAAGAGTTTAAGACTTTTTTTTTTATAGTTTAAGTCTTTGATCCTAGCTTTTTCTAAATGTCTGCCTGCAAAATTCTCTTACTGTTAACATCTTTCCCATTGAATGGTCTTGGTAGCTTGTCAAAAATCAATGACCAAAAACGTTTGGGTTTATTTCTGGATTCTTGATTGTATTTCACTGATCTAAATGCCTATTTTTATACTAGTACTACACTGTTTTGATTACTGTAGATTTGTAGTAAGTTTTGAAACTGGGAAGAGTGAGCCCTCCAATTTTGTTTTTCTATTCCAAGATTGTTGTGGTTATTTGGAATTCCTTGCAATTTTATATGAATTCATATTAATCAGTTTTAGGATCATCTTTTCCACTTGTGCAAAAAGTTCATTGATATTTTTATAGGAATTGAATTGAATTGGCAGATTGCTTTGGGCAGTACTACCATCTTCAGAATATTATGTCATTTAATCCATGAACATGGAATGCCTTTCTATTTATTCAGGCCTTCTTTAATTTCTTTCAGCAATAGTTTTCAATGTACATGTCTTGAACCTCTTTGGTTAAATTTATTACTAAGTATTTTATTATTCTTTATAGTATTGTAAGTGGAATTGTTTTCTTAATATCACTTCTGGATTATTCGTTGCTAGTGTACAGAAATACAATTAATTTTTGCATATTAATCTTGTTTCTTGAAACTTTACTGAATTTATTTATAAACTCTGATAGATTTTTTGATGTATCCATTAAGATTTTCTAAATATGATATAATATCATGTGTGAACAGAGAGAATTTTACTTCTTCTTTTTCAATTTGAATACATTTTACTCCTTTGTTTTGCCTAATTATTCTGGCTAAAACTTCCATACAATTTTGAATTGAAGTGGTTAAAGTAAACCATGCCATGTCACTTTAAACAAACATCCTTGTCATGTTTCTGACTACAAAGGGAAAACATTCAGTCATTGACCATTGAGTATGATGGCTGTTGGTTTTCTTTTTCCTTTTTTTAATGTTTAAGTTCAGGGATACATGTGCAGCATGTGCAGGTTTGTTACATAGTTAAATGTGTGTTATGGTGGTTTGCTGCACAGATTATCCCATCACTTAAGTATTAAGCCCAGAATCCATCATTGATTCTTCCTGATCCTCTCCCTCTTCCCACCTACCACTCTCTGACAGTCCCCAGTGTGTGTTGTTCCCTGCCTCCTGCAATGTGTCCATGTGTTCTCATCATTAAGCTCCCACTTATAAGTGAGAACATGCAGAGTTTGGTTTTCTTTTCCTGCATTAGTTTCCCAATAATAATGGCCTTCAGCTCCATCCATGTCCCTGCAAAAGACATTATCTCTTTTTTATGGCTGCATAGTATTTCATGGTGTATATGTACCACATTTTCTTTATCCCGTCTATCATTGATGGGCACTTAGGTTGATTCCATGTCTTTCTTTGCTATTGTGAGTAGTACTACAATGAACATATGAGTGCATGTGTCTTTATAATAGAACAAATTATACTCTTTTGGGGATGTACCCAGTAATGGGATTGCTGGGTCAAATGGTATTTATGTCTGTAGGTCTTTGAGAAATTGCCAAACTGTTTTTCACAATGGCTGAACTAATTTACACTCACATCAACCAGTGTGGGAGCATTCCTTTTACTCCACAACCTCACAAGCACCTGTTGTTTTTTGACTTTTTAATAATAGCCATTCTGACTATATGAGATGGTTCCTCATTCTGGATTTGATTTGCATTTCCCTGATGTTGAGCTTTTTTTCATATGTTTGTTGGCCATATGTATGTCTTTTTTTGAAAAGTGTCTGTTCATGTTCTTTACCCACTTCTTAATGAGGTTGTCTGTTTTGTTCTTGCAAAGCTGTTTAAATTCCTTGTAGATGCTGGATATTAGATCTTAGATCGATAGACTGCAAAAGTTTTCTCGCTGACTGTAAGACTGTCTGTAAAACTTTGTTGATAGTTTTTTTTTTCTGTGTAGAAGCTCTTTAGTTTAATTGGATACCATTTGTCAATTTTTAGTTTTGGTGCAATTGCTTTTGTCACGTTTGTCATGAAATCTTTGTCCATGCCTATGTCCTAAATGGTATTGCCTAGGTTTTCTTCCAGGGTTTTTGTAGTTTTGGGTTTTACATTTAAGTCTTTACTTCATCTTGAGTTAATTTTTCTATAGGGTGTAAGGAAGTGGTCCAGTTTCAGTTTTCTGTGAATGGCTAGCCAGTTCTCCCATCACTATTTATTAAATAGGGAATCCTTTCCCCATTGCTTGTTTTTGTCAGGTTTGTCAAAGATCAGATGGTTGTAGGTGTGCAGTCTTATTTCTTGGTTCTCTATTCTGTTCCATTTGTCTATGCGTCTGTTCTTGTACCAGTACCATACTTTTTTTGTTACTGTAGTCCTGTAGTATAGTTTGAAGTCGGGTAGCATGATGCCTTCAGCTTTGTTCTTTTTGCTTAAGATTGTCTTGGCTATTTGGGCTCATTTTTGGTTCCATATAAATTTTAAAATTTTTCCTAATACTGTGAAGAATGTCAGTGGCAGTTTAATGGGAATAGCATTGAATCTGTAAATTCCCTAGGCAGTATGGCCATTTTCACAATATTGATTCTTTCTATCCATGAGTGTGGAAAACTTTTTTAATTGTTTGTGTCCTCTTTTATTTCGTTGATCAGTGGTTTGTAGTTCTCCTTGAAGAGACACTATATTTCACTTGTTAGCTGTATTTCTAGGTATTTTTTTTGTGTTTGGCAATTGTAAATAGGAGTTCATTCGTGATTTGGCTCTCAGCTTGCCTATTGTTGATGTGTAAAAGTGCTATTAATTTTTGCATATTGATTTTATATCCTGAGACTGCTGAAGTTGCTTATTGCCTAAGAAGCTTTTGGGCTGAAATGATGGGGTTTTCTAGATATAGGATCATGTCATCTACAAACTAGGATAGTTTGACTTCCCCTCTTCCTTTTCGAATACGCCTTATTTCTTTCTCTTGCCTGATTTCCCTGGCCAGAAATCCCACTACTATGTTGAACAGGAGTGGTGAGAAAGGGCATTTTTGTCTTGTGCTGATTTTCAAGGGAAATGCTTCCAGCTTTTGCCCATTCAGTATAATATTGGCTGTGGGGTTGTCATATGTGGCTCTTACTATTTTAAGGTATGTTCCTTCAATACCTAGTTTATTGAGAGTTTTTAACAGGAAGGGATGTTGAATTTTATGAAAGGCCTTTTCTGCATTTATTGAGATAGTCATGTAGTTTTTTCTTTAGTTCTGTTTATGTGATGAGACACATTTTATTTTATTTTATTTTATTTTAGTAGGTTTTTGAGGAAGAGATTGTGTTTGATTACATGAATAATTTCTTTAGTGGTGATTTCTGAGACTTTGGTACACCCATTACCCAAGCAGTATACACTTTCCTCATGGTTTAGCTTCCACTTATTCATGAGAACATATGATATTTGATTTTTAATTTCTGAGTTAATTCACTTAGAATAATGGTCTCTAACTCAATCCAGGTTGCTGTGAATGCCATTATTTTGTTCCTCTTTATGCCTGAGTAGTATTCCATGGTGTATACATATACACAAAATTTCCTTTATCCACTCATTGACACATGCACATTTGTGCTGGTTTCATATTTTTACAGTTGTGAATTGTGATGCTATAAACATGTGTGTGCACCTGTCTTTTTCGTATAATGACTTCTTTTTTCTCTGTGTAGACACCCAGTAGTGGGATTGCTGGATATAACCATAGATCTACTTTTAGTTATTTAAGGAATCTCCACATTGTTTCCCATAGTGGTTGTACTAGTTTACATTATCCCCAGCAGTGTAAAAGTGTTCCCTTTCACTACATTTATGCCAACATCTATTATGTTTTTATTTTTAAGTTATAACCATTCTTTCAAGAATAAAGTGGTATTGCATTGTGGCTTTGATGTGCATCTCCCTGATAATTAGTGATGTTGAACATTTTTTCATATATTTGTTGGCCATTTGTATACCTTCTTTTGAGAATTGTCTATTCATGCCCTTAGCCCACTTTTTGATGGGATTGTTTTTTTTTCTTGCTGACTTGTTTGTGTTCCTTGTAGAATCTAGATATTACTCTTTTGTTGGATGCATAGTTTGCAAAGATTTTCCCCCACTTGGTGTGTTGTCTCTTTAATCTGCTGATTATTTCTTTTGCTGTGTAGGAGTATTTTAGTTTAATTAAGTTCCATCTATTTATCTTTGTTTTTGTTGCATTTACTTTTGGGTTCCTGGTCATGAAGTCTTTGCCTAAGCCAATGTCTAGAAGGGTTTTTTTTTAAATATTATCTTCTAGAATTTTTATGGCTTCTGGTCTTAGATTTAGGTCTTTGATCCCTCTTGAGTTGATTTTGTATAAGGTGAAATATGAGGATCCAGTTTCGTTCTTCTACATGTGGCTTGCCAGTTATCTCAGCACCATTTGTTAAATAGGGCATCCTTTCCTCACTTTATGTTTCTGTTTGTGTTGTTGAAGATCAATTGGCTGTAAGTATTTTGGGTTCTCTATTCTGTTCCATTGGTCTATGTGCCTATTTTTGTGCCAGTACTATGCTTTTTTGGTGACTATAACCTTGTAGTATAGTTTGAATTTGGGTAATGTGATGCCTCCATACTTGCTCTTTTTGCTTAGTCTTGCTTTGGCTATGTGGGCTCTTTTTTAGTTCCAAATAAATTTTAGAATTGTTTCTTATAGTTCTGTGAAAAATGATGATGGAATTTTGATGGAAATTGCATTATGTTTATAAATTACTTTTGGCAGTATGGTCATTTTCACAATATTGATTCTACCCATCTATGAGCATGGGATGTGTTTCCATGTGTTTGTGTCATCTATGATTTATTTCAGCAGTGTTTTGTAGTTTTTCTCATAGAGGTCTTTCGCATCCTAAGTTAGGTATATTCCTAAGTATTTTTTTGTAGCTATTGTAAAAGGGATTGAGTTCTTTATTTGATTCTCAGCTAGGTCACTGTTGGTATATAGAAGAGCTACTGGTTTGTGTATATTAATTTTGTTTCCTAAAACTTTGCTGAATCCATTTACCAGTTCTAGGAGCTTTTTGGATGAGTCTTTAGGGTTTTTTAGGTATACAATCACATCATCAGCAAACAGGAACAGTTTAACTTCCCCTCTACCAGTTATCCAAACTGGCCCTTTATTTCTTTCTCTTGTTTGGTTGCTCTGGCTAGGACTTCCACTAGTTTGTGAAATAGAAGTGGTGAACTATGGTATCCTTGTCTTGTGACAGTTCTTAAGGGGAATGTTTTCAACTTTTCCCCATTCAGTATACTGTTTGCTGTGGGTTTCTCATAGATGGCTTTTATTACCTTATGTCATTTCTATGCCGATTTTGTTGAGGGCTTTAGTCATAAAGCATTGCTGGACTTTGTCAAATGCTCTTTCTGCACCTACTGAGATGATCATGTGATTTTTGTTTTTAATTCCGTTCTTGTGATGTATCACATTTATTGACTTATGTATGTTAAACCATCCCTGCATCTCTGGCATGAAACCCACTTGATCATGGTGGATTATCTTTTTGATATGTTGTTGGATTTGGTCAGCTAGAATTTTGTTGAGAATTTTTGCATCTATGTTGACCAGGGATAGTGGTCTGTGGTTTTCATTTTTTGTTATGTCCTTTCCTGGTTTTGGTATTAGGGTGATACTGGCTTTACAGAATGATTTAGGGAGGATTCCCTCTTTCTCTATCTTTTGGAATAGTGTCAATAGGATTGGTACCAATTTTTCCTTGAATGTCTGATGGAATTCAGCTGTGAATCCATCTGTTCCTGCACTTTTTTTTTTTGGCAATTTTTAAATTACCATTTCAATCTAACTACTTCTTATTGGTCTTTTCAGAGTTTCTTTTTCTTCCTGGTTTAATCCTGGAGAGTTGTATATTTTCAGGAATTTATTCTTCTCTTCTAGGTTTTTTAGTTTATGCACATAAAGTATTTCATAGTAGCCTTGAATGATGTTTTGTATTTCTGTGGTATCAGTTGTAATATTTCCTGTTTCATTTCTAATTGAGCTTATTTGGATCTTCTCTCTTCTTTTCTTGGATAATCTCACTAATGGTCTGTCAATTTTGTTTTTCTTTTCAAAGAATCAGCTCTTTGTTTCATTTATCTTTTGTTTTTTTTTTTTTTCAATTTCCTTTAGTTCTGCTGTCATATTTGTTATTTCTTTTCTTCTGCTGGCTTTGGGTTTGGTTTGTTTTTGTTTCTTTAGTTTCTTGAGGTGTGACCATAGATTGTCTATTCATGCTCTTTCAGACTTTTGATATAGGCATTTAATGCCATAAACTTTCCTCACAGCACTGCTTTTACTGTATCTCGGAAGTTTTGATAGGTTTCTTGTTTTGTTTTGTTTTGTTTTGTTTTTTACTATTATCATTCAGTCAATTTTTTTCATTTCCTTCTTGATTTTATTCTTGACCCAACAATCATTCAGAAGCAAGTTATTTAATTTCCGTGTATTTGCATGGTTTTGAGGGTTATTCTCAGTGTTGATTTCCTATGTTATTCCACAGTGGTCTGAGAGAGTACTTGATATAATTTCGATTTTTAAAAATTTGTTGAGACTTCTTTTGTGGCCTATCATGTAGTCTGTCTTGGCGAATGTTCCATGTGCTGATGAATAGAAGGTATATTCTGCAGTTGTTAGGTAGAATGTTCTGTAAATATCTGTTAAGTCCATTTATTGTAGGGTATAGTTTAAGTCCATTGTTTCTTTGCTGACTTTCTGTGGTGATGACCTGGCTAGTGCTCTGAGTGGAGTTTTGAAGTCCCTCACTATTACTGCATTGCTGCCCATCTTGTTTCTTAGGTTTAGTGTTCATTGTTTTATAAATTTTGGAGCTCCAGTGTTAGGTGCATATATATTTCCAATTGTGATATTTTCCTGTTGGTTTAATCCTTTTATCATTATATAATGTCCCTCTTTGTCTTTTTTAATTGTTGTTTTATGTCTTTTTTTTCGGATATAAGAATAGCTACTCCTGCTTACTTTCGGTTTCCATTTGCATGGAATGTTTGTTTTCCATGCTTTTACCTTAAGATTATTTGAGTCCTCATGTGTTAGGTCAGTCTCTCAAGGAAAACAAATACTTGGTTGATGAATTCTTATCCATTCTGCTGTTCTGTATCTATTGAGTGGAGCATTTAGGCCACTTAAATTCAGTGTCAGTATTGAGATGTGATAGAATACTATTCTATTCATTGTGCTAGGTTTTTTTTTCATTGTGCTATTGTTTTATAGGTTCTGTAAGATTTATGCTCTAAGAAGGTTCTATTTTGGTGTACTTTGAGGTTTTGTTTCAAGATTAGAGCTCCTTTTAACAGCTCTTGTAATACTGGCTTGATAGTGGTGAATTCTCTCAGTATTTATTTGTCTGAAAAAGACTGTACCTTTCCTTCATTTATAAAGCTTAGTTTTGCTGGATATAAAATTATTGCCTGACAACTGCTTTGTTTAAAGAGGCTAAAAATAGGACCCCAATCACTTACAGGCTTTAGGGTTTCTGCTGAGAAATCTGTTGTTAATCTAAAAGGTGTTTTTAAATAGGTTACCTGATGCTTTTGCCTCACAGCTCTTAAGAACTTTTCTTCATCTTCTCTTTAGATAACCTGAGAACTATGTGCCTAGGCAATGATCTTTTTGAGATGAATTTCCCAGGTGTTCTTTGAGCTTCTTGTATTTGGATGTCTGGATCTCTAGCAAGGCCAGGGAAGTTTCCTTCAATTATTCCCTCCAATATGCTTTCCAAACGTTTAGCTTTCTCTTCCTCCTCAAGAACACCAATTATTCCTAAGTTTGTTCATTTAACACAATCCCAAACTTCTTGGAGGGTTTGTTTATATTTTAAAATTATTTTTTCTTTATCTCTGTTTGATTGGGTTAATTCAAAAGCCTTGTCTTCAAGTTCTGAAGTTCTTTCTACTTGTTCCATTTTATTGTTGAGTTTTTCCCGTGTATTTTGCATTTCTCTAAATGTGTCTTTCATTTCCAGAAGTTGTGATTGTTTTAAATTTATGCCATCTATTCTTCTGGAGATTTTTTCATTCATACACTGTATCATTTAAAACATTTCTTTAGGCCAAACGTGGTGGCTCATGCCTGTAATCCCAGCACTTTGGGAGGTCGAGGCCAGTGGATCACGAGGTCAGGGGATAGAGACCATCCTGGCTAACAGGGTGAAACCCTGTCTCTACTAAAAAATACAAAAAATTAGCCAGGTGTGGTGGTGGGCACCTGTAGTCCCAGCTACTCGGGAGGCTGAGGCAAGAGAATGGCATGAACCTAGGAGGCCGAGCTTGCAGTGAGCCCAGATCGCGCCACTGCACTCCAGCCTGGGCAATAGAGCGAGACTCCATCTCAAAAAAACAAAAAACAAAACATTTCTTTAAGTTGATATTTACCTTTCTCTGGTGCCTTCTTGAGTAGCTTAATAATTGACTTTCTTAATTCTTTTTCTGGCAATTCAGAGATGTATTCTTTGTTTGGATCCATTGCTGGTGAGCTAGTGTGATCTTTTCTGCGTGTTAAAGAAGCTTGTTTTCTTATATTACCAGAATTGTTTTTCCGGTTCCTTCTCATTTAGATATACTATTTCAGAGGAAAGATCTGGGGCTCCCAGGTAGCTCTTCAGATTCTCTTGTCCCATAGGGTGATCCCTTGATGTGGTGCCCTTCCGCTTCCCTTAGGGATGGGGCTTCCTAAGAACCAGACTGCAATGATTGTTATTTCTTTTCTGGGTTTAGTCACTCAGCATAGCTACTGTGCTCTGGGCTGGTACAGGGGAGTATTTGCAAAAAGTCCTGTGATGTGATCTGTCTTCAGTTCTCTCAGCCATGGATACCTGCACCTGCTCCAGTGGAGGTATCAGGGCAGTGAAGCGCACTCTGTGTGGGACCTTGGTTGTAGTTTTATTTACTGTGCTGGTTTTCTCAAGTGCTGGTTGTGCTGGCAGTAAAATTGTCATGTCGATAGACTCAGGACCTCTGGTTAGTCAGGATGTTACAGGCAGTGGAGTTAGCTGTTGATTTCTTTTCTCGGGATAAAATTTTTCTGTCATGAATTGCTGTAAGGGTTCAATTTGCCTGGCCTCCAGCCAGGAGGTGGTGCTTTCAAGAGAGCATCAGCTGCTGTAGTATAGGGAGAATACAAGCTTGCCCTAGGGTTGCCTGGATAAATATTCAGGTTTCTCAGATAGTGGGAAAGGCCATAGAGCTCCCAGGAGATTATGTCTTTTGTCTTTTGCTATGGTGGGGGTTGGGGAGGCTTGTAGAGAAAGACCATCAGGTCGGGTCAGGTTTAGGCATGTCTGAGCTCAGACTCTCCTTGGGTGAGGCTTCCTGCAGCTGCTGTGGGGAGTGGAGTTGTATTTCAGTGGAGTTGTATTTCTCAGGCTGATGGAGTTACATTCCTGGGGTATTATGGCTGCCTCTGCTGCATCATACAGGTTTCCTGGGAAGTGTGAAAAAAACTGGCAGTGACAAGTCTCACCCAGCTTCCACATAGCCAGAACAACAAGTCTCACTCCTGCTATGCTTCCCCAACAGAATTGAGTTTATATCCAGGCAGCCAGTGAGCAGGGCTGGGAACTTGCTCTAGGCTACAAGCCTCCCCAGTGAGAAAGCAAGCAGGGCTTCACTCCTTTCCACCTTCTGTGGCTTCCATGCTCATGACTGCACTTCCTGTTCAACTCCCCCTGTCCCCCAATTCTCTCCAGGTAAATTCACATTTGGTAGAAATATTACAAAGTTCAGCTGAAAGTTTCCTTCTCCCTGTGTTCTTTCTCCAATTTACTGGCAGCTCTCCCCAAGGGCTTCTATGTGATAAAGTCAGAAATGGCTTCTTTAGGCTTTTTTGGGTGCCAAGAGTGCCTACAGTTCTGTTCCCATTGCTTCTTTTACTTTTATATTTCCTTCTGCTCTCTAAATTCATTTCATCTCTAAGTAAGGTTAAATTCTTCTTTTGTGACCAGGATTTTCAGGTTTCCTGGTGAGGATGTGTGTTTGGAGGTGTACTTTCTTTGTCTCACGCTTTGGGCACTCAAAGTTTTTTGGCTGTCTCACGGAGTTGCAGTGACAAGCCTCTTTCAAATGGCCTGTTAATTCTTTTGTTTTTTTCTCATGTGTTCCTGTGGTAGTTCCTGGAGCAAAAGTTCAAGATGTGAGTCTCCACATGCTGTTCTGTATGTCTGAGCAGGAGCTGCAAGTTAGTACTGCCTCCTATCCACCATCTTCCTCCTGAATTACATTTATTGATTTGCATATGTTGAACCTATCTTGCATCCTGGGGATGAAGCCTACCTCATCATGGTGAATATGCTTTTCAATGTGCTGTTGGATTTGGTTTGCCAGTAGTTTTTTGAGGATTTTTTCATCAATATTAATCAGAGATATTGGCCTGAAGTTTTATTTTTTTGTTGTGTCTCTGATGGGTTTTGGTATCAGGATGATGCTGGCCATATAGAATGAATTAGAGAGGAGTCTCTCCTTTTCATTTTTCTGGGATAGTTTTAGTAAGAAAGATACCAGCTCTTCTGTGTACCACAGGTAAAATTCAGCTGTGAATCCATCTGGTCTTGGGCTTTTTTTGGTTGGTAGACTATTTATTACTGCCTCAATTTCAAAACTCGTTATTGGTTTTTTTCAGAAATTTAATTTCTTCCTGGTTCAATCTTGGGAGGGTGTATGTGTCCAGGAATTCATCAATTTCTTCTAGATTTTTTAGTTTATGTGCATAGAGATGTTTATAATATTCTCTGATGGTTTTTTTTTAATTTCTGTGGAGTCAGTGGTGATATTCCCCTTATCATTTCTGATTGTGTTTATTTGAATTTTCTGTCTTTAGTCTATCTTACTATTTTTTTCAAAAAGCCAACTCCTAGATTCGTTGATTTTTTTTGAAGGTTTCTTTGTGTCTAGCTCCTTCAGTTCTGCTCTGATGTTCGTTATTTCTGGTCTTCTGCTAGCTTTGGGATTTGTTTGCTCTTGGTTATCTAGTTCTTTTGGCTGTGATGTTACGTTGTTAACTTGAGATCTTTCTAGCTTTTTGGTGTGGATATTTATTGCTATACATTTCCCTCATCACTGCTTAGCTGCATCCCAGACATTCTGGTACGTTGTCTCTTTGTTCTCATTAGTTTCAAAGAACTTCTTGATTTCTGCCTTAATTTTTTATTTACCTAGGAGTTATTCAGTAGTATGTTGTTCAATTTCCATGTAGTTGTGTGATTTTGAATGAATTTCTTAATTTTAAGTTCTTATTTGAAGATGCTGTGGTCTGAGAGACTGTTATGATCTCAGCTATTTTGCATTTGCTGGGGAGTGTTTTACTTCTAATTATGTAATTAATTTTAGACTAAGTACCACTTGGAAATGAGAAGAATGTATATTCTTTTGTTTTGGGGTGGAGAGTCCTGTAAATATTTATCAAGTCCACTTGATCCAGAACTAACTTCAGGTCCTGAATGTCTTTGTTAATTTTCTGTCTCGATCTGTCTGATATTGTCACCGGGGTGTTAAAGTCTCCCATTATTATTGTATGGGAGTCTAAGTCTCTTTGAATTTCTCTAAGAACTTGCTTAAAGAATGTAGGTGCTCCTGTATTGGGAGCATATGTACTTAGAATAGTTAGCTCTTCTTGTTGAATGGAATCCTTTACCATTATGTAATACCTTTCTTTGTCTTTTTTGATCTTTGTTGGTTTAAACTCTGTTTTGTCAGAAACTAGGATTGAAACTTCTGCTTTTTTTCTGTTTTGCATTTGCTTGGTAAATTTTCCTTTATTCCTTTATTTTGAGCCTGTGTGTGTCTTTGCATGTAAGATGGGTTCCTTGAAGACAGTGTACTGATGGGTTTTGGTTCTTTATCCAGCTTGCCATTCTGCGTCTTCTAATTGGAGCATTTACCCCATTGCCATTTAAAGTTAGTATTGTTATGTGTAGATTTGATCCTGTCATCTTGAGGCTAGCTTGTTATTTTGCAGACTTGTTTTTGTGGTTGCTTCATAGTGCCACTTGTCTGTGTACTTCAGTGTGTTTTTGTAATAGCTGCTAATGGTTTTTCTTTTTCACATTTTGCACTTCCTTCGGGAGCTCTTACAAGGCAGGTCTTGTGATGAATTCCCTCAGCATTTGCTTCTCTGAAAAGGATCTTATTTCTCCTTTGTTTATGAAGCTTATTTTGGCCAGGTATGATACTCTGGATTGAAAATTTTTATGTATTTATTATTTTACTTTATTTTATTTGTTTAGAATGTTGAATATTGACCCTCAATCTCTTCTGGCTTGTAGGGTTTCCACTGACAGGTCTGCTTTTAGTCAGGCTTCCCTTTGAGGGTGATCTGGCCTTTCTCTCTGGCTGCCCTTAACATTTTTTTCCTTTCATTTCCTCCTTGAAAATCTGATAACTATGTGTCTTGAGAATGATCTTCTCTTGGGAACATGTTACTGAGGCTCTGCACATTTTCTGAATTTGAATTGTTGGCCTGTCTTGCTAGGTTGGATACTTCCTTTTGGATGATATTCTCAAATATGTTTTCCAGATTGGTTCCATTATCACTGTCTTTTCCAGGTACCCCAATCAGTCATAAATTTTGTCTCTTTACATAATCCCATATTTCTCAGAGGTTTTGTTCATTCTTTCTAATTATTTTCTCTATTCTTGTCTGTCTGTGTTATTTCAGAAAGACAGCCTTCAAACTGATATATTTTCCTCCACTTGGTCTATTCTGCTATTAATACATGTGATTGCATTGTGAAGTTCTCCTAGTGTGTTTTTTAGCTCTGTCAGGTTGGTTATGTTTCTCTCTATACTGGCTATTTTGGTTGTCAGCTTCTGCATTCTTTTATTTTGCTTCTTACTTTCTTTGTGTTGAATTACAACATGCTTTTTTTTTTTTTTTTTTTTTAGCTCAGCAAAGTTCATTTTTATCCACATTCTGAATCCTACTTCTGTTATTTCAGCCATTTCATCCTCAGCCCAGTTCTGAACCCTTGCTGGAGAGGTGTTGTAGTCATTGGGACGAAAGGGGATACTCTAGAGTTTTGAGTTTTCAGCATTTTTGCACTGATTCCTTTTCATCTTTGTGAGATTATCTACCTTTGATCTATGAGGTTGCTGTCTTTTGGATGGGGTTTTTTTGGGGGATTTTGTTTTTGTTGTTTGTTTGTTTTTGGCAGCCTGGCTACTCTTCCATAGGGCTGTTCTGGTTCATTGGGGGCCCACTCCCGACCCCTAGTCCTCAGTTTTTCCCATACCTGGAGGTATCACAAGTGAAGTCTACAAAGCAACAGAGATGGAAGCGTGCCCCTTTCTCTGAAATCTCCATCCTAGTGGGGCACTGACATGTTGGCTGCCCAAATGTGCCTGTAGGAAGTGGCTAGAGATCCCCGTTGGGAGGTCTCATCCAGTCAGGAGGAAAGGATAAGGGACCCACTTAAGAAAGCAATCTGGCTGATTTTTGGTAGAGCAGCTGTGGTGTGTTGGGGATCCCTTCAGCCCCTGAGCAATTTGGGCTCCCCAAGGCCCACAGGCTTGACTGGCTTAGATATCCAAACAGCCAATGTGGAGGTCTGCCCTGCCCCCTGGGCACTCCATCCCAGGGAGATATCAGAACTCTGTTCTTAGAATATGGAAGAGGATAGATGGAGGCCCCAGCTGGGAGGATATGCCCTATAAGGGGAAGTGGATCAGGTTTCCATTTAAAAAAGAAGTCTGACCATGCCTTGACAAAACTGCCTTGTCATGCTGCAGAACCGCCTCTGCCCCTATTGACTTGGACTCTCCAAAACCCTCTGGCTGGAATGGCTGTCATCAAGTCTTCCAAACAACCAACGTGGTGGCCTGCCCTGCCCTCAGGCACTCCACCCTAGGGAGAGATCAGAGCTCTGTTCATAGAATATGAGTAAGTGGGGGTGACTGGAGGCACCAGCTGGGAAGTCTCACCCATTGAGGAGGAATGAATCGGAGTCCCTGTTAAAGAAGCAGTCTGACCACACCTTGGGAAAACAGTGATGCCATGCTGGGGCACTGCCTCTGATCTTGTCAGCTTGGGCCCTTCAAAGCCTGCAGACTGGGATGGCTGAGTTGTCCAAACCACCAAGGTGGTGGTTCACCCCTCCCTCTGGGCACTTCATTCCAGGGTGAGATCAGAGTTCTTTCCATAGAATATAGATGGGTAGGGGTAGCTGGAGGCCCCATCTGGGAAGTACCACCCAGTGAAGAGAAATGAACCAGGATCTTGCTTAAAGAAGCAGTCTGGCCACATTCTATCAAAGCAGCTGTGCTGTGCTGGGGGAACCCTTCCTCATTCGAACTCTTTGGGCACTTCAAAGCCTGCAGGCTAGAATGGCTGAGTTGACAAAACAGCAGAGATGGTGGCCCACTTTTCCCTAGGGGCTGTATCCTGTCTCAGGCAGTCTCCATCCTATTGCTATTATCTGGCTAAGCCAGTGGTCTTATCTTGTGAGGTCCTGTGGAAGTGGGCCCGCAGACTGATACTGCGTGGCTCCCTGGATTCAGCCCCCTTCCTAAGGGTATGTACCAATCTCCCACCTTGCTTGAGTTGCACTCACCTTTGTTGAGGATTCCAGGGCCGGAGTATGTAAAGCTCCTGGTGATATAACTCAGATGAGTGGAGGAACACCAGGGTTCTTCGTCTCGAATTGAATTGGATAAAATGACATGAACACACGTGAAGTGGTTTTAAGGAATGGAGAGTTTAATAGGCAAGAAAGAAGGAAGAAGCTCCCCCATACAGAGACCAAGGGAGTGGGGCTCCAAAGATGGGAGAGGAAACATTGAGTGCAATGGAAATCAGCTAGTTATATGAGGAGGCTGGAGGAGGCAGTGTCTGGTTTGCATAAGGCTCAGGGGATTGGTTTGACCAGGCATGTCATCATGTAGCCCATAAAAAACTGGCCCTCCCACCCTAGCTTTTAAATATGCAAATGCAGGGCACCATGATGTTCTACACACGTGGGGATATGTGGGGGCAGCCATGTTGCCAGGCACATGTCGGGGCAAGGGCAAGAGGACAACTGTGGGAATCGCCATGTTTGGGTGGACCCAGTTTCTAGTGGCTTGCATTTGCATATCAAAGGTTTCCTGCCCAGCTCTAAGAGTCGGAGCTTTCCTTCTAGACAGGAAGCATTTCTGCTTTCTATATTTAAGCAGGAGCTGCTTAAAAAGAAACAAAAACTTCCCAAGGACCCCTTTTCCTCTCTATCTGCCTAAAATAATTTCTTAATAACTCCTATAACACTGGGTTTCTGTGTGTGGCTGAGAAGCTGCTCTGCTGAGACTCCACACAGTTCTGTGTGTTAGGCACAAGGCTCATGAGGGGATCTTCTAATTTGAGGGTAGCAAAGATCTGTAGGAGAAGTGTGGTTTCCTGGGGTTGCATATTCACTCACCACTTCCCTTGGCTAGGGGTGGGGGTTCCCTTGGCTCCATGTCACTGCAGGGTGGGCTGTTGCCCTGCCCTGCTTTTGTTCTCTGTGGGTCAAGTTGTTTCCCTGATTAGTTCCAATGAGAGTACCTGGATACTTCAGTTGAAAGTGTGTATTTACTCACCCCTTTCATTCCTCTCCTTGAGTGCCATGGACCACAGTTGCTTCTAATCTACCATCTTGGTCTGGGACCCTGGGTTTTTTTAAGACAGGGTCTGGCTCTGTCATCCAGGCTGTAGTGCTGCAACATTCCCTTGTGGATTTTCAATTAATGCCCTTCATTATATTGAAGAATTTACCTTTTATTCCTAGTTTATTGAATGCATTCTTTAAGTTACCAAATGGTTTGGATTTGTCAAGTGCTTTTTTTTTTTACATTGATTGAGATGATTATGTTTTTTTAAAATCATTCAAATAATGTGGCATTTTACTGTTATAAATAAAGTTTCAGTGCCACAAAATAAATAGCACTTGAATATAAAATTTTCTTTTTAATTCTCAGCAAGGCAATGTACTTCTATAGAAGGGTGCAGCCTTACAGATGGAGCAATGGTGAGCACACATCTGGACAAGGGAGGGGAAGGGGTTCTTATTCCAGACACACTTGTCCCCTGCTGCTGTGTCATTCCCCTATTGGCTAGGGTTAGAATGCACAGGCTAAACTAATTCCGATTGGTTAATTTAAAGAGAGTAACAGGGTGAGTGGTTTGGCGGGAAAAATGGTTATGGCAGAGCAGGAAATTGGAATGAGTCAGGGTGGAGAATGAGTCAGGGTGGAGCAGGTAATTGGAATGAGTCAGGGTGGAGCAGGTACTCGAAAAAGGTTGCTTTAAGAAGAAGTTAAGTTTAAAAGTAGAAGGCAAATAATTGAACATACTGACATCTTGATTCTTTGAAGAGAAATTTAGAACTCATATCTAACAACCCCTCCTCTTGCATTTCCTTACAGCTCTTTCTCTTCAAACTTCTTTAACATGTCTTGGCTTAGTTGTTCTGCTTGATTTTCCAAAAGAAGCTTCTCTGGATAAGGTGGAGGATAGTTAAGGGAGGTATCAGTAAGTGTCATTTTTTGAGCCTTTGCACCAACCCATGGATGCATGGTGTGACACGGCACCTGACAAGAATAAGTACACCCATTACGGCTGCAAGGGAAGTAAGAATTGAGGCTACTATTCTTTTCCATTTACTGAACCACTTTTCTAGTCATCTTGTAAAGGGGCCATTTACCCCTGAGTTGTTGGCTAACTCATTGGACAGAGCAGTCAGACCTTGCAATGCCTTTGTTATACTTCCCTCAGGGGCGGAGTTGTTTGGGATGAAGGTACAACATTGAGTTTTAATTATGATGCAAACTCCTCCCTTTTCTGCTAATATCATGTCTAAGGTTATCCTATTTTTCCGAAGCCATCTGGCTAGTAGCCCCTAATTGCTCAGCTATTCCTTTAACAGCATCTCTAGTGTAGTTAATAGATCACTGTTGGTTGTAATAGATGTAGTTTATCCAATTTACATTTTATTAATTGTCACCCACCAAAATATTGACTCAAATCCTGCAGCTATTTGATTTTGGGCTTTAAATTGATCTGGTATTCCCTGTGGGACTCTAATTGTGTCTAAATAGATATGAGAGTCAAAAGACCCATAAGGGGCTTCTTTTGCTTTATGATGTCTTATTTTTTTTTCTTTCTCTGGTTGATGAAATGCCAGGGCGAAAGGGTTAGCCAACTGGACTAAAGCATAAGTACCACTTCAGTTACTTGGCAGAGTGTCCAGTAAAGGTCCACCATAATACCACTACACATCTCCTCAGGGATGAATAAGGGCTGACTAATTGGTAAGCTTTTGAAAATTTTAAGCTCACTGCCTCCCTTCAGGTCTCCAAGGAATGTTAAGCTTCCTCCCTGTCGTGAGAGACACGAAGTGAACTTAGTTCTGAGAGATCAAAGCTGGATGGCCCCCAGGGGCTGAGCCACAGGGTGTCAAACTTCGGGATATAGCAGAGAGAGAGCTTGGCATGACATGTTACCCCACGCTGTAGAATCCTGGAAAAGAGCTACCATACAGCCCAAGCCCAGTCAATTGGAGGACCACCCTAGTGGAAAAGGGACAATCTGGGCCTCTGGCCTGCCGTGCACACAAGCATAACAATTGTCTTAGTTTAACTTGTGGGTGGAATATTGAATCCATTTTGACCAGGCATTTACATCTTTATACTCTGTTTCAATGGCTATGGTTTGCCTTAGTCCTCCTATTTCTACTACTGAGAACTTGCTTGTTTCATTTGGCATGAGGCAAGTCATAGTTTGATTTCACAGGTTTGGGAAAGGGGCAGCCATAGGAGGTGGAGTAGGGAGAACAAAGCACACCTTAAAGAAGCCTGTAGGATCCTTTCCAGTGACCTCTGCTCCAAAACCATAGAAGTGCTTTAAAGTGGGGTTAGAGTTGCTAGTGGTAGGAATAGTAATGGATATAAGCACTGGGTAAGGAAAGGAAAGGAAAAGATAGACTAAGCTTTCCTTAGGTTTAATTTGGTAGGGCTTGATCCAGGAACAATGGTCCATGATTCTGAGGATAATGACATTGCTTGACTTGGGTGTGTTGTACCCATCCCTTTCCACTGTACGAGCAGCAGTCTCATGGTTAGCAGCACAAGGTAGGGTCCTCCCCAGGCTGGCTTGACTTTCCCTTCTTTCCACCCTTTGATGAGAACACGATCCCCAGGCTGATGCTGATGTACTGGAAACCCCAAAGGTGGTGCCTGTGCTAAAAGATCTCTTGTTTTAAGGGAAGAGAAGGTGGAGGATAAACCAAGTATATAATTTCTAAGAAACTAATCTTTTGTTTTAAATGTGGGGACATCAACAGTGGACTTTATAGTCCTTGGTGCCTTCTTGTTGATAAATTTTGTTTAGCACCTATTTTTATTAGTTTTTAGACCAAAGAAAGCCAAACACCATTTTATATTTAACAATGCTTCCTGTATTATTTTTATACCAGATAAGCTAAATTTCACCTTCATATTAGTGTGTTATTAATGTTAAGCTTAATTTTAATAAAACCTTGTAGACATATTTATTCAATTTTTAATGTCTGACCATAAGGTAAGATTTTTATAGACTCTTTTTAGTCTTTTATAATTTTTGTTAAAGAGCAAGTTAGTGCTTTAAGAAAAACCTGTTGTGCTTTTATTTTAATGTCCAGTTCACAGAGAAACCAGATGATACACCTTTAACTTTAGCCAATATGTTTACACACACAATTTCCTTTACAATTAACTTTTCAAAACTTGCTTAAACCTTTAAAACAAAATATTTTTTAACCTTTTAATGTAGGTAAAAATACACATTCTTATGCCTCCTTATAATCCTTTTACCAAAAGTATATTTTACTTTCCTTACACACATTGCACACTCTTTCTTCAATAGTTTACATTCAGGAGGCCTAATTACTTTTAAATTATACAACATTTCTTGCATAAATTCCCTTTTATAACTTTTTTTCACGACTTTCAAAGACAATTCTTTGACATGCCTCAACTTTCTGACTTGTTGCAAACATCCCTTTCTTTAAACAACCATTTAATTTATTTTAGGACAAGAATTTACCATATAACATTCTTTTTTACATAAATTCTCCCCCCCGCCTTTTTTTCCTCAAGGATGATAGCCATTCTTTTCCAAAGTGGACCTCCTTCATGTCTGTGGACTAGACTGTGCAAGGCCACAAGATTACAAGTTAGGATAATACATGTTACACTGTTAACTTCTAGCAAACTTTACTTTTGTTGAAAACCTTGTAAGTTTGGGATTTCAATTATTCTTTGCTATTAATAAGACCTTGTTCAGTTCAAATTAACTTAGAATTGGTATAGATGGCTCCTTCCTGATTCTGTAAGTACGTTAAGGTTCAGCTTATTGCAAACAACTTGCAAGTTTGAGCAGACCAATTATTGGGCCGTTTTCCTAACTCTGCTTCTACAAGAGTTTCCTTATCACTTACTGAATACCCATTGTGTCTTTTTCCCTCAGTCACCCAGGAGGAACCATCTATCGCCTGTTCTGAAGGGAGTACCTCCTAGGTCTGGTCGAACCTTTGGATGGTAATTAAGATTTAGATCCTCTGTTAGGAAACATGCTGGGTTAAGGGAATTTTCAGTGTTTAATGTTAAATCATCTTTTTCTAACAGAGTAGCCTCATACTTTAAAATTATTGAGTCAGTAAGCTACCTTTTTATTTTTCCGACTTAGGATAGTTCTGACTTGATGAGGTGTGCTCACAATGAAGTTTCCTCTAAAAGTTATTTTTCTACTTTCTTCTGTTAGCAAAGCAGTTGCCACTACAGATTGAATGCATTTGGGCCATCCGCGGGTTACTGGGTTAAAGATTTTTTATTAGAAAGGCTACGGGTTGTCACTGGCCTCAGTGTTTTCAGGCTATGCCCTTGTTTACACTGATGACAAGATGGTATTGGAGTGTTATAGGATCACGGAGAAGACCTTCAATTATTAATTATAGGTTTTAAATTTACCCTGGCTTTTAAAGGAATAGGGTACACTGCTTCCTCTTTACTACTTCTATCTCTCTTTCTCTCTCTCTCTTTCTCTCTGTTTCTCTCTCTCTCTCTTTCTCTGTCTCTCTTTGACTCCCTCTTTGTCTTTCTCTCTCTCTCTCTTTTTCTCTGCCTCTGCTGGCCACTTATGCTACTGTTCTCCACTCTCCTTCCCCTTCCCCTAGGGGAGGGATAGGCGGGAGTGGAGCTACTCTTTCTTCCCCTGAGAAGAAAGGAAAGGGGAGTTCTGAATATTTTTCTTACTACTGGAGTTTTGTGTGAGGTTCAGCCCCCTGAAATTTGCAGAAGTCTCAACCCCTCAATCCAGGGGTGTCTTGTCTTGCCTGTCCTGGAAGCCTCAATCCCTCAAACCAGGGATGTCTCACCTTGTCTGCCCTGAAAGCCTCAACCCCTCAAACCAGGGATGTCTTGCCTTGCCTGTTCCGGAAGGCCTAACCCCTCAAACCAGGAGGTATCTTGCCTTGCTGCTCTGGAAAGTTGACCTCTTTCCTCCTTTTCCCCCTCTGAATGTCCCTTGCCCACTTCCCACTCATGTTGTCCTCTCTGGCTGCTCCCTCGGGGCCCCTCTTAGTGTTGGCATGCTGGTATAAATCCCATGGCAGGATCCACCTTAAGCCATATGAGGTAGCTATAGAACTGTGGAGAGGACCCACTCATTCCATCCAGCAGTAGGACTTGTCACCATCTACATGAACAACACCACAAGCAGGGTTGTTTGTGATCATTCATGTACACACACATTTAGCCCTCCAGAGTCTGACCACCAAGGAAGTACTTTACTGGCTCACATGGCTTCTCCTTCCTTGGTCTGTGCACAGAGTTGTTGCCACAGTAGGTGAGGACCCTTTAAGCTAGGTTGCTGGCCAGTTTCTTTCTGCGTTGCTGAGATCTCAGGTTATTCCTCGCACTGAGTGGGTGCTGATTCCTAAGCCCTGAGGTCGCCACAAGGGGGCGGGGCACGCCTCCTCACGAGGGAGAACCAGAGACTGTCCCTGGAGGGGAATGTAATCATGGGCGAGCCCCTAAGTTGTTACAAATAAAATTTTGGTGCTGCAAAAGAAATAGCATTCAAATATAATTTTTTTTTTTTAATTCTCAGCAAGGCAATGTACTTCTATAAAAGGGCCCACCCTTACAGATGGAGCAATGGTGAGTGCACACCTGGACAAGGGAGGGGGAGGGGTTCTTATTCCTGACACATGTGGTCCCTGCTGCTGTTGTTCCCCTATTGGCTAGGGTTAGACTGAACAGGCTAAACTAATTCTGATTGGCTAATTTAAAGAGAGTGACAAGGTGAGTGGTTTGGCGGGAAAAAATGGTTATGGCAGATCAGGAAATCAGAATGAGTCAGGGTGGAGAATGAGTCAGGGCAGAGCAGGTAATTGGAATGAGTCCGGGTGGAGCAAACAATCAGAATGAGTCAGGGCAGAGCAGGTAATTGGAATGAGTCAGGGTGGAGCAGGTAATGAGTATGAGTCAGAGTGGAGAAGGTAATGGGAATGAGTCAGGATGGAGCAGGTAATTGAAAAAGGTTGCTTTACGAGGAAGTTAAGTTTAAAAGTAGAAGGCAAAGAATTGAACATACTGACATATTGATCCTTTCAAGAGAAATTTAGAACTCACATCTAACATTACATTGATTGGTATTTTTATACAGTCATGTATCACTTTATGATTGAGACATATTCTAAACAATGCACTGTTAAGTGATTTTCTTTTTGTGAGAGCAATATAGAATGTATTTTCATGAACCTAGATGGCATAGCCTATTACATACCTAGTTTCTGTAGTGTAGCCTATTGCTCCTAGGCTACAAACCTGTAAAGTATGTGACTGTACTGAATAATGTAGGCAATTGTAGGACAATAATATGTATTTGTGTATCTAAATATAGAAAAGGTACAGTAAAATTCAACATAAAAAATAAAAACAGTACACCTGTATATAATACTTGCCATGAATGAAGCTTGCGGAACCGGAAGTTGCTCTGGATGAGTCAGTGAGTGAATGGTTAGTAAATGTGAAGGCCTAGGACATTACTGAACCCTACTATAAATTTTATAAACACTGTACACTCAGGCTGCATGAAATTTACAAAAAAAGTTTTTTTCTTCATTAATAAATTAATCTCAGCTTATTGTAACTTTTTCACTTAAAAAGCTTTTTAATTTTTTAATATTTTTGATTCTTTTGTAATAATACTTGCTTTAAAACACATACACATTGTACAGCTGTACAAAAATATTTTTTCTTCATATCCTTATTCTATAAGCTTTTTCTACTTTTAAATTTTTAATATTTTAAATACTTTTAAAACTTTTTTTCTTAAAAACTAAGACATGAAAACACACATTAGCCTAGGCCTGTCCAGATTCAGGGTGATCAATATCACTGTCTTTCACCTCCATGTCTTCTTTTACTGGAAGATCCTTGGGAGCAGCAACACACAAAGCTTTAATCTTCTATGGAAATAATGCCTTCTTTTGGAATAGCTCCTGAAGAACCTGCTTAAGGTTGTTTTAGAGTGAACTTTTCATAAATAGAAGGAGTACATTCTAAAATAAAGATGAAAATATAGTATGATATCTACATAAGCCAGTAACAGAGTTGTTTATTATTAATACTAGGTTTGTATACACCATAATCACCACAAATATGTGAGTAGTGTATTGTGCTACAATGCTATGACAACTAAGTCACTAGGCAATAAACATTTTTCAGCTTCATTATACTCTTATGAGACCACTGTCATTTATGTGGTCCATCATTGATAAAAAAATTTATGAGGCCCATTACTGTATTGCATTTCTGGAATAAATCATTTAGTCAAGATATTTAATTCTTTTCTTTATTTTATTATTATTATACTTTAAGTTTTAGGGTACATGTGCACAGTGTGCAGGTAAGTTACATATGTATACATGTGCCATGCTGGTGGGCTGCACCCATTAACTCATCATTTAGCATTAGGTATATCTCCTAATGCTATCCCTCCCCTCTCCCCACACCCCACAACAGTCCCCAGAGTGTGATGTTCCCCTTCCTGTGTTCATGTGTTCTCATTGTTCAATTCACACCTATGAGTGAGAACACGTGGTGTTTGGTTTTTTGTCCTTGCGATAGTTTACTGAGAATGATGATTTCCAATTTCATCCATGTCCCTACAAAGGACATGAACTCATCATTTTTTATGGCTGCATAGTATTCCATGGTGTATATGTGCCACATTTTCTTAATCCACTCTATCATTGTTGGACATTTGACTTGGTTCCAAGTCTTTGCTATTGTGAATAGTGCCACAATAAACATACATGTGCATACGTCTTTATAGCAGCATGATTTATAGTCCTTTGGGTATATACCCAGTAATGGGATAGCTGGGTCAAATGGTAATTTTAGTTCTAGATCCCTGAGGAATCACCAAACTGACTTGCACAATGGTTGAACTAGTTTACAGTCCCACCAACAGTGTAAAAGTGTTCCTATTTCTCCACATCCTCTCCAGCACCTGTTGTTTCCTGACTTTTTAATGATTGCCAGTCTAACTGGTGTGAGATGGTATCTCATTGTGGTTTTGATTTGCATTTCTCTGATGGCCAGTGATGGTGAGCATTTTTTCATGTGTTTTTTGGCTGCATAAATGTCTTCTTTTGAGAAGTGTCTGTTCATATCCTTTGCCCACTTTTTGATGGGGTTGTTTGTTTTTTTCTTGTAAATTTGTTTGAGTTCATTGTAGATTCTAGATATTATCCCTTTGTCAGATGAGTAGGTTGCGAAAATTTTCTCCCATTTTGTAGGTGGCCTGTTCACTCTGATGGTAGTTTCTTTTGCTGTGCAGAAGCTCTTTAGTTTAATTAGACCCCATTTGTCAATTTTGGCTTTTGTTGCCATTGCTTTTGGTGTTTTAGACATGAAGTCCTTGCCCATGCCTATGTCCTGAATGGTAATGCCTAGGTTTTCTTCTAGGGTTTTTATGGTTTTAGATCTAACGTTTAAGTCTTTAATCCATCTTGAATTAATTTTTGTATAAGGTGTAAGGAAGGGATCCAGTTTCAGCTTTCTACATATGGCTAGCCAGTTTTCCCAGTACCATTTATTAAACAGGGAATCCCTTCCCCATTGCTTGTTTTTGTCAGGTTTGTCAAAGATCAGATAGTTGTAGATATGTGGCATTATTTCTCAGGGCTCTATTCTGTTCCATTGATCTATATCACTGTTTTGGTAACAGTACCATGCTATTTTGGTTACTGTAGCCTTGTAGTATAGTTTGAAGTCAGGTAGTGTGATGCCTCCAGCTTCGTTCTTTTGGCTTAGGATTGACTTGGCAATATGGGCTGTTTTTTGGTTCCATATGAACTTTAAAGAATTTTTTTCCAAATCTGTGAAGAAAGTCATTGGTAGCTTGATGGGGATGGCATTGAATCTATAAATCACCTTGGGCAGTATGGCCATTTTCACGATGTTGATTCTTCCTACCCATGAGCATGGAATGTTCTTCCATTTCTTTGTATCCTCTTTTATTTCCTTGAGCAGTGGTTTGTAGTTCTCCTTGAAGAGGTTCTTCACGTCCCTTGTAAGTTGGATTCCTAGGTATTTTATTCTCTTTGAAGCAATTGTGAATGGGAGTTCACTCATGATTTGGCTCTGTGTTTGTCTGTTATTGGTGTATAAGAATGCTTGTGATTTTTGTACATTGATTTTGTATCCTGAGACTTTGCTGAAGTTGCTTATCAGCTTAAGGAGATTTTGGGCTGAGACAATGGGGTTTTCTAGATATACAATCATGTCATCTGCAAACAGGGAGAATTTGACTTCCTCTTTTCCTAATTGAATACCTTTTATTTCCTTCTCCTGCCTCATTACCCTGGCCAGAATTTCCAACACTATGTTGAATAGGAGTGGTGAGAGAGGGCATCCCTGTCTTGTGCCAGTTGTCAAAGGGAATGCTTCCAGTTTTTGCTCATTCACTATGATATTGGCTGTGGGTTTGTCATAGATAGCTCATATTATTTTGAGACACGTCCCATCAATACCTAATTTATTGAGAGTTTTTAGCATGAAGGGTTGTTGAATTTTGTCAAAGGCCTTTTCTGCATCTATTGAGATAATCATGTGGTTTTCGTCTTTGGTTCTGTTTATATGCTGGATTACGTTTCTTGATTTGTGTATATTGAACCAGCCTTTGCGGTTCACGAAAGTCCACTGTTCTGCAGCCACCACTGCTGATACCCAGGCAAACAGGGTCTGGAGTGGACCTCTAGCAAACTCCAAGAGACCTGCAGCTGAGGGTCCTGTCTGTTAGAAGGAAAACTAACAAACAGAAAGGACATCCACACCGAAAACCCATCTGTACATCACCATGATCAAAGAACAAAAGTAGATTAAACCACAAAGATGGGGAAAAAACAGAGCAGAAAAACTGGAAACTCTAAGAAGCGAAGTGCCCCACCTCCTCCAAAGGAATGCAGTTCCTCACCAGCAGTGGAACAAAGCTGGATGGAGAATGACTTTGACGAGTTGAGAGAAGAAGGCTTCAGATGATCAAACTACTATGAGCTACAGGAGGAAATTCAAACCAAAGGCAAAGAAGTTAAAAACTTGAGAAAAGTTTAGATGAATGTATACCTAGAATAATCAATACAGAGAAGTGCTTAAAGGACCTGATGGAGCTGAAAGCCAAGGCTCGAGAACTACGTGAAGAATGCAGAAGCCTCAGGAGCCGATGCGATCAACTGGAAGAAAGGGTATCAGTGATGGAAGATGAAATGAATGAAATGAAGTGAAAAGGGAAGTTTAGAGAAAAAAGAATAAAAAGAAATGAACAAACCCTCCAAGAAATATGGGACTATGTGAAAAGACCAAATCTACATCTGATTGGTGTACCTGAAAGTGACGGGGAGAATGGAACCAAGTTGGAAAACACTCTGCAGGATATTATTCAGGAGAACTTCCCCAATCTAGCAAGGCAGGCCAACATTCAGATTCAGGAAATACAGAGAATGCCACAAAGATACTCCTCGAGAAGAGCAACTCCAAGACACATAATTGTCACATTCACCAACGTTGAAATGCAGGAAAAAATGTTAAGGGCAACCAAAGAGAAAGGTCGGGTTACCCACAAAGGGAAGCTGATCAGACTAACAGCGGATCTCTCGGCAGAAACTCTACAAGCCAGAAGAGAGTGGGGGCCAATGTTCAACATTCTTAAAGAAAAGAATTTTCAACCCAGAATTTCATATCCAGCCAAACTAAGCTTCATAAGTGAAGGAGAAATAAAATCCTTTACAGACAAGCAAATGCTGAGAGATTTTGTCACCACCAGGCCTGCCCTAAAAGAGCTCCTGAAGGAAGCACTAAACATGGAAAGGAACAACTGGTACCAGCCACTGCAAAATCATGCCAAATTGTAAAGACCATCGAGGCTAGGAAAAAACTGCATCAACCAGCGAGCAAAATAACCAGCTAACATTATACTGTCAGGATCAAATTCACACATAACAATATTATCTTTAAATGTAAATGGATAAATGCTCCAATTAAAAGACACAGACTGGCAAATTGGATAAACAGTCAAGACCCATCAGTGTGCTTTATTAAGGAAACCCATCTCACGTACAGAGACACACATAGTCTCAAAATAAAAGGATGGAGGAAGATCTACCAAGAAAATGGAAAATAAAAAAAGGCAGGGGTTGCAATCCTAGTCTCTGTTAAAACAGACTTTAAACCAACAAAGATCAAAAGAGACAAAGAAGGCCATTACATAATGGTAAAGGGATCAATTCAACAAGAAGAGCTAACTATCCTAAATATATATGCACCCAATACAGGAGCACCCAGATTCATAAAGCAAGTCCTGAGTGACCTACAAAGAGACGTAGACTCCCACACAATAATAATGGGAGACTTTAACATCCCACTGTCAACATTAGAGAGATCAATGAGACAGAAAGTTCACAAGGATATCCAGGAATTGAACTCAGCTCTGCACCAAGCAGGCCTAATAGACATCTACAGAACTCTCCACCCCAAATCAACAGAATATACATTTTTTTTCAGCACCACACCACACCTATTCCAAAATTGACCACATACTTGGAAGTAAAGCTCTTCTCAGCAAATGTAAAAGAACAGAAATTATAACAAACTGTCTCTCAGACCACAGTGCAATCAAACTAGAACTCAGGATTAAGAAACTCACTCAAAACCGCTCAACTACATGGAAACTGAACAACCTGCTCCTGAATGACTACTGGGTACATAACGAAATGAAGGCAGAAATAAAGATGTTCTTTGAAACCAATGAGAACAAAGACACAACATACCAGAATCTCTGGGACACATTCAAAGCAGTGTGTGGAGGGAAATTTATAGCATTAAATGCCCACAAGAGAAAGCAGGAAAGATCCAAAATTGACACCCTAACATCACAATTAAAAGAACTAGAAAAGCAAGAGCAAACACATTCAAAAGCTAGCAGAAGGCAAGAAATAACTAAAATCAGAGCAGAACTGAAGGAAATAGAGACACAAAAAACCCTTCAAAAAATTAATTAATCCAGGAGCTGGTTTTTTGAAAGGATCAACAAAATTGATAGACTGCTAGCAAGACTAATAAAGAAGAAAAGAGAGAAGAATCAAATAGACACAATAGAAAATGATAAAGGGGATATCACGACCGATCCCACAGAAATACAAACTACCATCAGAGAATACTACAAACACCTCTACACAAATAAACTAGAAAATCTAGAAGAAATGGATAAATTCCTCGACACATACACCCTCTCAAGACTAAACCAGGAAGAAGTTGAATCTTTGAATAGACTAATAACAGGCTCTGAAATTGTGGCAATAATCAATAGCTTACCAACAAAAAAGAGTCCAGGACCAGATGGATTCACAGCCGAATTCTACCAAAAATACAAGGAGGAGCTGGTACCATTCCTTCTGAAACTATTCCAATCAATAGAAAAAGAGGGAATCCTCCCTAACTCATTTTATGAGGCCAGCATCATCCTGGTACCAAAGCGGGGCAGAGACACAACCAAAAAAGAGAATTTAAGACCAATATGCTTGATGAACATTGATGCAAAAATCCTCAATAAAATACTGGCAAACCGAATCCAGCAGCACATCAAAAAGCTTATCCACCATGATCAAGTGGGCTTCATCCCTGGGATGATATTTAATTCTTTATGATGCTGATGTATTCAGTTTGGTAGTAGTTTGTTAAAAATTTTTACATCAATATTCATAAAGAATATTGGTTTACAGTTTTTTGTAGGATCTTTATCTGTTTTTGGTATTAATGTAATGCTAACCTCAGAATAAATTATCAACTATTCCACTTTCTTTTGTTTGTTTGTTGTTTTTTAAATAGTTTTTTTTTTTTTTTTTTGAAATGAAGTCTCACTCTGTTGCCCAGGCTGGAGTGCAGTGACACAACCTCAGCTTACTGCAAACTTCCCCTCCTGGGTTCAAGTGATTTTCATGCCTCAGCCTCCTGAGTAGTGGGATTACAGGCACATGCGACCACTCGTGGCTAATTTTTGTTTTTTCAGTAGAGATAGGGTTTCACCATGTTAGTAGAGACAGGGTTTCACCATGTTGTCCAGGCTGGTCTCAAACTCCTGACTTCAGGTGATCCACCTGCCTCAGCCTCCCAAAGTGCTGGGATTACAGGCATGAGACCCCACATCTAGCCTGAAAGAGTTTGAGAAAGATTGCTACTAATTACTCTTTAAATATTTAATAAAATTTGCCAGACAAGCCATCTGGTCTTAGAATTCTCTTTTATTGGAAGGTCTTTGACTACTGATTCAATTTCTTCACCTGTTTGTCTGTCCAAACGTGGGATTTCTCCTTAAGTCAATTTTGATTGCTTTAAAAATAGAAATTTGGCTATTTCATATAATTTATGTAGTTTGTTGATGTATAATTATCCATAGTATCCTCATTTTATTTTAAACATTATGAATAATGTCTCAACTTTTATTTCTGATTTAAGTAATTTGCATTTTCTCTCTTTTTTTCTTGGTCAGGCTAAGTAAAGTTTTGCCAATTTTTTTTTCAAAGAACCAGTTTTTGATTTTATTGATTTTCTCTATTACTTATTGATTCTATTCTATATTTCATCAATATTTTCTCTAATCTTTATTATTTCCTTCCTTCTACTTGCTTTAGGTGTAGTTCTATCTCTTGTTCCAGTTTCTTATAGAAGATGTTTGGGTTATTGATTTTAGATTTTCTTTCCTTATTAACATATGTGTATTAGTGTGCTAGGGCTGACATAACATCATACCACAGACTTATATCTTAAACAACAGAAATTTATTTTCTCACAATTCTAGAGGTTGAAAATCCAAGATCAAAGTGCCATCAGGTTTGGTGTTGGTAAGGTCTGTCTTCCTGGCTAGCAGATTCTCACCATGTCCTCATTTGCCCTCTCTTCTGTGCATGTGGAGAAAGGGAGGGAGAGAGAGTGCATCACATAAATTTTAGTATGTTCTTCCTTAATTTTCATTTGTCTCAAGATATTATCGGATTTTCTCTTTTTGATTTCTTTTTTCACTTATTTATTATGTTGTTTAATTTATGTGTTTCCCCAATTTTTTCCTGCTATTGATTTCTAATGTTATTCCAGTTTGTTCAGAGAAGATACTTTGTATTATGTCTATCCTTTTAAATTTATTGAGATCTGCTTTATGGTCCAGCATATGATCTATCTTGTGGAATGTTCCATGAAAACTTGAAAATAATGTATATTCTTCATTTTGTGATATAGTGTTCTATAGACGTCTGTTAGGTCTAGTTGGTTCATAATGTTGTACAAGTTCTCTATTTCCTTATTTTTTTGACTAGATCTATGCATTATTGAAAGTGAGTTACTGAGGATGGGCACAGTGGCTCATGCCTGTGATCCCAGCACTTTGAGAGACTGAGGTGGGTGGATCACTTGAGGTGAGGTGTTTGAGACCAGCTTGGCCAACATGGTGAAACCCCATCTCTACTAAAAATACAAAAACTAGCTGGACGTGGTCACATGTGCCTGTAATCCCAGCTACTCAAGAATGCGGGCAAGAGAATCGCTTGAACCTGGGAGGCAGAGGTTGCAATGGGTGGAGATCATGCCACTGCACTCCATCCTGGGTGACTGAGAGAGACTCTGACTCAAAAAAAAAAAAGTGAGTTAATCTTTAACTATTACTGTATGGTTAAATTGTATCTTTCTCCCTTTATGTCTATCAATTTTTCCTTCAAGTGTTTTGGTGTTGTGTTACTAGGTGCATTGTTTTATCTTCTTGATGTATTTTTTTTATCTTCCTGGTGGATTAACCCTTTTATCATTATAAAATGGTTCTGTTTGTCTTTAGTAACTTTTATTGTTTTAAAGTCTATCTTGTCCAACATCATTATAGCCACTACAACTTTCTTGTGGTTGCTATTTTCATGATATATCTTTGTTTCCATTCTTTTGCTTTTAGTTTATTTGTATCTTTGAATCTAGAGTGTCTCCTATAGAAAGAATATAGTTGGATCTTGTTTTATATGCAGCATGTTAGTCTCTGCCTTTGATTGGATTATTTAATCCTCTCACATTTAGTGTTATTGATACAGTTGAATTTATGTCAGCTTTTTTACGTTTTGGTTTTTATATGTCTCATGTTTTTTTTTTCTCTATCATTCTGCTGCTTTCTTTCACATCAAATGAATATTTTCTTTTTTTTCTTAAAGTTTATTTTTATTTATATAGACTCAGGGGTACATGTTCAGGTTTATTACATGGATATATTGAATAGTGGTGGGTTTGGTCTTCTAGTGTACCAAACACCCAAATAGTAAACACTGTACCCAATAGGTTATTTTTCCATCCTCACCCTCCTCCCACCATCCACCCTCAAGTAGGGTCCAGTGTCTGTTGTTTTCTTCTTTGTGTCCACATGTACTCAATGTTTAGCTTCCACTTATAAGTGAGAACAGGCAGTATTTACTTTTCTGCTCCTGTGTTATTTCATTTAAGATAATGGCCTCCTGCTCCACCCATGTTGCTGCAAAGGACATAATCTACTTCTTTTACATGGCTTTGTAGTATTCCATGGAGTATATGTACCACATTTTCTTTATCCAGTCTACTGTTGATGTGACTTTAGGTTGACTCCATGTTTTTGCTATTGTGAATAATGCTGTGATGCACATACACATTCATGTGTTTTTATGGTAGAACAATTCATGTTCCTTTGGGTGTATGCCCAATAATTGGATTGCTAAGTTAAATAGTACATCTATTTTAAGCCATTTGAAAAATCACCAAACTGCTTTCCACAATGGCAGAACTAATTTATATTCCCACCAGCAGTGTATAAGCAGTCCCTTTTCTCCAAAACCTTGCCAGCATATGTTATATTTTGCCTTTTTACTAATAGCCATTCTGACTAATGTGAGATGATACCTCATTTTGGTTTTGATTTGCATTTCTCTAATGATTAGTGATGTTGAGCATTTTTTCCATATGCCTGTTAGCCGCACGTATGTCTTTTTTTTTGAAAACTCCCTGTTCAAGTCTTTTGCTTGCTTTTTAATGGAGTTGTTTGGTTTTTGCTTGTTAATTTGTTTAATTTCCTTATAGATTATGGATATTAGACCCTTTTTCAATTCATGGTTTGAAAATATTTTCTCCCATTCTGTAGGTTGTCTGTTTATTCTGTTGATAGGTTCTTTTGCTGTGCAGAAAAACTTTAGTTTAATTATGTCTCATTTATTTATTTTATTTTTATTTTTATTTTTTTGCAATTGCTTTTGGTGTCTTCATCACAAAATCGTTGCCAAGTCCTATGTCTGAAGTAGTATCTCCTAGGTTATCTTTCAGGGCATTTATACCTTTAGGTTTTATATTTAAGTCTTTAATCTATCTTGAGCTGATTTGTGTATATGATATAAGGAAGAGGTCCAGTTTTAATATTCTTCATATAGCTAGCCAGTTATCACTGCACCATTTATTGAATAGGGAGTCCTTTCCCCATTGCTTCTTTTTGTCCACTTTGTCAAAGATCAGATGGTTAGAGAAGTGCAGCTTTATTTCTGGGCGCTCTATGCTGTTCCATTGGTCTATGTGTCTATTTTTGTACCAATACCATGCTGTTTTAACTACTGTAGTTTTGTAATATAGATTGAAGTCAGGTAATGTGGTGCCTCCAGCTTTGTTCTATTTTCTTAGGATTGTTTTGGCTATTCAGGCTCTTTTTTGGCTTTACATACATTTAAATTTTTTTTTCTAATTATGTGAAGAATGTAATTGGTAGTTTGATAGGAACAGCATTAAACATTTGAATTGCTTTGGGAAGTATGACCATTTTAACAATACTGATTTCTCTTATTTATGAACACAGAGTATTTTTCTATTTGTTTTGGTCATCTCTGATTTCTTTGAACAGTGTTTCATCATTCTGGCTCTCGAGATCTTTCCCTTCCCTGGTGAGTTGTATACCTAGCTATTTCATTCTTTTTGTGGCTGTTGTGAAAGAGACTTTTCTTAATTTGGCACTCAGCCTGGATGTTGTTGGTGTATAGAAATGCTACTGATTATTGTACATTGATTTTGTATTCTGAAACTTTACTAAAGTTGTTTATCAGATCTTGGAGCTTTTGGGCAAAGACTGTCAAGTTTTCTAGATACAGAATGACATCATCTGTGAAGAGAGATAGTTTGACTATTGTATTAGTCCATTATCATGCTGCTAATAAAGACTTACCTGAGACTGAGTAATTTACAAAGAAAAGAGGCTTAATTAACTCACAGTTCAGCATGGCTGGGGAGATCTCAGGAAACTTACAGTCATGGCGGAAGGGGAAGCAAACACATCCCTCTTCACAGGGCGGCAGGAAGAGGTATGAGAGCCAAGTGAAGGGGGAAGCCCCATTAAAACCATCAGACCTCAAGAGAAGTCACTCATTAGCACAAGAACAGCATGATCAGCATGGGAGTAACCGCCCCCATCATTAAATTACCTCCCACCAGGTGCCTCCCACAACACATGGGGATTATGGGAACTACAATTCGAGATGAGATTTGGGTGAGGACACAGCCAAACAATATCGATGATCTTTCTTCCTATTTTGATGCCTTTTATTTCTTTCTCTTGCCCAATTGCTCTGGCTAGAACTTCCAGTACTATGTTGAACAGGAGTTGTGACAGTAGGAATCCTTGTCTTGTTCTGGTTATCAAGGAGAATGCTTCCATTCAGTATGATGTTGGCTGTGGGTTTGTCATAGAAGGCTCTAATTTTTTCAAGGTATGTTTGTTCCTTCAATGTCTAGTTTGTTGAGGATTTTTAACATGAAGGGATGTTGAATTTTATCAAAACCCTTTTCTGCATCCATTGAGATGATTATGTAGACTTTGTTTTTAGTTCTCTTATGTAATGAATTACATTTATTGATTTGTGTATGTTGAACCATTCCAGGGATAAAGCCTGGTGTATTAACCATTTGATGTGATGCTGGATTTGGTTTGCCAGTATTTTGTTCAGGATTTTTGCATCTATGTTCATCAAGGGTACTGTCCTGAAGTTTTCCTTTTTGGTTGTGTCTCTGCCAGGTTTTGATGTCAGCATGATGCTGGACTCATAGAATGAGTTAGGGAGGAGTCCTTCTTCTTCAAGTTTTTGGAGCAGTTTGGAGTAGGAATGGTGCCAGGTCTTCTTTATACAGCTGGTGGTTTAATCTTGAAATGGTGAATGTTATCAGGAATTTATCAATTTCTTTTACGATGTCTAGTTTCTGTGCATAGAGGTGTTCATACTAGTCTCTGAGGTTTTTTTGTATTTCTGTGGGGTCAGTGGTAATACCCTCTTTGTCGTTTCTAATTGTGTTTATTCGGATCTTCTCCCTTTTCTTCTTTATTAGTCTAGCTAGCAGCATATCAATCCTATTTATTCCTTCCAAGAACCAACTTGTGGTTTGTCGAGCTTTTGTATGGTTTTTCACAATTCAATTTCATTCAGTTGTGCTCTGATTTTGGTTACTTCTTGTCTTCTGCTAACTTTGGGGTTGGTTTGATCTTGTGTTTCTAGTTCTTGTAGGAGTGATGTTAAGTTGTTAATTTGAGATCTTTCCAACTTTTTGATGTGGGAGTTTCATGCCATACATTTTCCTCTTAACACTGCTTTATCTTTGTTTGAGAGATTCTGGTATGTTGCATCTTTGTTCTCATTCAAAGAATTTGCCTCAATTAAAAGACACTACGTGGCAAGTTGGATCAAGGTGCAAAATCCAAATGTCAAAGAATTTCTTGATTTTCTAGTTAATTTCATTTTTTACTCAAAAGTCATTCAGAAGCAGATTGTTTAATTTTCATGTAATTGTATCATTTTGAGCAATCTTCTTAGTATTGATTTTAATTTTTATTGCACTGTTGACTGAGAGTGTGGTTGGTATGATTTGAGTGTTTTTGATTTTGCTGAGAATTGTTTTATGGCTAATTGTATGGTTGATTTTAGAGTGTTTGTCATGTGCAGAGGAGAAGAATGTATATTCTATTCTTGTTGGGTGGAGTGTTCTGTCATATGTCTGTTAGGTCCAGTTAATCAAGTGTTGAGTGTAAGTTTAGAATATCTTTTTCAGTTTTCCATTTCAATGATAATCTAATAATGTCAGTGGAGTGTTGAAGTCTCCTATTATTATTGTGTGGTTATCTAAGTCTCTTTGCAGGCCTCTTAGAACTTGTTTTATGAACCTAGCTTCTTCTATGTTAGGTGCATACATATTTAAGATAGTTAGATCTTCTTGTTGAATTGAACCCTTTACCATTATGGAATGCCTGTCTTTGTCTTTTTGGATCATTGTTGGTTTCAACTCTATTTTGTCTGAAATTAGAATAGCAACCCCTGCTTTTTTCTGTTTTTCATTTGCTTGGTCAATTTTTCTCTATCCCTTTACTTTAAGATATGGATGTCATTACATGTGTGATGGATCTCTTAAAGACAGCATAGATTTGGGTTTTGCTTCTTGATCCAACTTGCTACTCAGTGTCTTTTAATTGAGGCATTTAGCTCATCTACATTCAAGGTTAATATTGATATTTGCAGATTTGATACTGTCATGTTGTTAGCTGGTTATTATGCAGACTTGATTTTGTAGTTGTTTTGTAGTGTCAATGGTCTATGTACTGAAGTGTGTTTAACACTCCCTTAAGGGTCTCTTGTAAGGCAGGTCTGATAGTAATGAATTTCCTTAGCATTTGCTTGTATGGAAAGTATCTTATTTCTTTTTCACTTATGAAGCTTAATTTGGCTGGATATAAAATTATTGGTTTGAATTAATTTTCTTTAGGAATGATAAATATGGGCCCCCAATCTTTTCCAGTTTCTAGAGTTTCTGTTGAAAGATCAGCTGTTAGCCTAATGGTATTGTTTTTGTAGGTGACCCGCCCCTTCTCTCTAGCTGCCTTTAACATTTTTTCTTCCATTTCAACCTTGGAGAATTTGATGACTATGTGTCTTCGGGATGATCATCATGTCATACAGTCTGGAGTCTTGCCCTGACACTCTCTAAAGCAGCTTTCTTTACCAGCTCAAGTGTCCACTGGGGTCATGAGGTCTCCTGCTGATAGGATTCCAGAGGTGTGTAGTGAGAGTGGGCCACTCCTTGCCTGTTCAACTCACCCCTTTCTTAGGAGTCTCTGGGAGCCAAGAATGAGTCCCAGTACTCCTCAGCCCCCTGCAGGGTTCCCAACTTCTTCTCCCATTGGCCCAGTGTCTATATCCTCCCCCGCATCCATTCTTAATGCCTTCCCTCCAAAGATCTGCTTGAAGTGTGCCAGTCTTTCTGATATCCCAGTCTCTCAGTGGGAGATGTTTCTCCTGGCTGTTTCTAGTTGACCATCTTGAATCCTGGATGTACAGCTACTGTCTTCTCTATTGTTACATTCCAGGTCTCTTTACTTTGCTCCAGACAGGTGATTAGGTGTGGCTTAGAGACAGCGAAACCGTTTTCCAGCTTCTGAAGGGCCCCAGCATCCCCCTATGTGTCTCTGAGTACCTGCTGATCACAGAGCAATAGAACCTGTGACAGAATCACCTGGGCCTCCTTTAACAGAAGACATGAAGCAGTGAAGACAACTCAACTAAATATTTTCTAATGTAGCATTTTAAATTAAATTTTTTTTTTTTGCTATATGTTTTTGAAGAATTTGTAAGTGTTGCTTTAGGGTATGCCATATAAATATTAACTTATAGAATCCACTTCAAACTTATACTAGCATAATTCAGAAATGCTACTTATAGATAGCTCTATTATCTTTTCCTCATTTTGTGGGATTATTGTTCTATGTATGACATTAATTAATGCTACAAACCCGGTAACATATTGTTATGATTATTATTTTATCATTGGTAATTATTTCTTTAGCCCAGCACAGCTTTACTTTTGCCAACCTCCTTTGTGCTGTTAGTGACAAATATAATACATATATATTACATTTCTATAAGTTAAAGGCCCAAAAATACATTACATACATATTATCGTACACAATTGCTTTTTAAATCAAATGAAGAAAAAAATACAAAACCTATGCATTTACACTGTCTTTTGTAGTTACAAAATTTCCTTTACCAGTGCTCTTTCTTTTTTTGTGTGGATTTGAATTACCAAATGGGATTACTGGTGTTCATCCTGAAGATTTCCTTTACTATTTTCTATAAGGCAGATTTGCTAGCAACAAATTTTTCTAGTTTTTGCTTTTCTAGTTTCCATTTCTATTAATGTTTGAATGATAGTTTGGTTGGCTATAGAATGCCTGGTGGATAGAATTTTTTTCGGAATAATTTCAATGCTTTCCCACTGCCTTATTGATCTCCATAGTTTCTTCTGAGGAGTCAGCTGTTAATACTATTAGAGTTCCCTTCTAAATAATAAGCTGTTTTTCTCTTGTTGCTTTCAGAATTTTCTTCTTGAATTTGACTTTCAGAAGTTTTACTATGATGATGTATTTATTTGTAGATCTCTTTGTGTTTATCCTATTTGAAGTTCATTAAACATCCTGAATGTGTATGCTGTTTTTTGATAACCTTGTGAGGTTTTAAGACATTATTTCTTCACATATGTTTTTCTGCTTCTTCCCCTTTTCTTCTTCTGATACTGACATTACACATATGTTGGTGCACTTAATGATGACCCACATTACTCTGACAGTGTTCATTTTTCTCTATTGTTTTTTCTCTCTGTTCTTTGGCTTGCATATCTATCACTCTATCTTCAAGTTCACTTATTCCTTCTTCTGGCAGTTCAATCAATGTCTCCTCCAGTGGATTTTAAATTTTAATTATTTTGCTTTTCAACTTCAGTGCTTTCATTAGGCTCTTCTTTTTTTTTGTATAAATTTACAGGATGCAAGTATAGTTTCATTACATGGAGGGATTACATAGTAGTGAAGTTAGGGCTTTTAGGGTATCCATCACCTGAATAATGTACATTGTAACATTAAGTAATTTCTTATCCACTCCAAGCCCCCCACTTCTATTTTTCCAAGTTTCCATTGTCTGTTATCCCACACTGTACATCCATGTGTACTCCTTATTTAGCTTTTACTTTCAAATGCGAACATATTGTATTTGTCTTTCTGTATCTCAGTTATTTCACTCAGGAGAATGGCTTCCACTTCTATGCATGCTGCTGCAAAAGACATGAGTTCATTCTTCTTATGGCTGAACAGTATTCGATTGTGCAGATATACCACATTTTTAATCCAAGCATTGACTGATGGACACAGAATGATATCATATCTTTGTTATTGCAAATAGTGCTATGATTAACATGCAAGTTATCTTAAAATATTTCTGTCTTTCTGCTGATATTCTCAGTTTGATATGACATTATCATATCTTGTTTTACTTCTGTAATCATGGTTTCTTCAGTTCTATGAGCATGTTTATAATTGCTACTTTAAAGTCATTCTGATAAATCCAACATCTGATTCTTCTCATTAGCAGTTGCTTTTTTAGTGTACAGATTATAATTTCTTCTTTGTATTCCTCATAATTTTATGTTAAAAACCAGAATATTTTTATTTTTATTTTTAGAGATAGAGATAGGGTCTCACTATATGCTGGGATGACAGGTGTGAGCCACTGTGTTCAGCCAGATCATTTTCACGGGTGTCCAGCCCTTTGAATTCGGGGATTTTTTGCTTATCTATGGTGGTGTAGATCACACAAATTATGCACTGACTTTCCTTTTTCTCATGAGCAATCATTAGTGTTCATGTTAGCAAAGACAATTTTTCTTCTTCCAGTGTGGCCCAGGGAAGCCAAAAGGCTAGACACGTGGGTTTTAAGTAATATTTTGTAGTAACTCTGAGTACTGGTGGTCCACCCTCTAGAGTTTGTTAATGCTTTTGGCTTGTTTAGTGACTTACTGGATTACTTTAGTGTTGTCTATCCCTCTCTTCCTCACGTAGTGTTAAGCATTTGATGTCGCTCCTCATAGAGGCACAGCTTTGGGCACTTCCACAGTCATCCTAGAATAACAGTGGTTTTGGTAGGGCTCTCTTTCTCCCCCTGACCACACAGCTCCTAAATTCTATTAATTGCAGAAAGACTTCTCTATTGCTTTCAGTGGTGCTCTGGGACATATATTGCTCTACAAATTAGTTAAATTTTGGGTTGTTTTGAAAGAGAGATTTCTGAGGTTAGTGTTTGATACTTGTTCTGACTCCAGAAGCATTCCTCCTAGATTTTTTTTTTTTTATGAAGTCTCCCTCTGTCACCCAGGCTGGAGGGCAGTGGTGTGATCTCGGCTCACTGCAACCTCCACCTCCTGGGTTCAAGCAATTCTCTGCCTCAGCCTCCTGAGTAGCTGGAATTACAGGCACCCACCACCACGCCCCGCTAATTTTTGTATTATTAGTAGAGACGGGATTTCACCATCTTGGCCAGGCTGGTCTTGAACTCCTGACCTCTTGACCCACCTGTCTTGGCCTCCCAGAGTGCTGGGATTACGCACCTGGCCTGCTCAGCAGTCTTATTAGCAGGTTCTCCTCTGCAAACTAAGTGGCCTAAAGTTTAGCCTGTGTCTTGATTCTCATCCTCATTCACTTTCCTGATATCCTCCACTGTTCTTAAAAGTGATCAAAAGCTTGAATTTATTCACAACCTTTTGCAAATTATGTCAGTTCCTTTGAAAAGAGATTAAGAGCTATTTATTTTACAGCTTAAATCTCTCCCCAGGAAAAACCTTTGATTTAGGGATCTGGAACTGGGCTTGGAGACAATGGAAAGCTATTCACTGATTTCTTCTTCAGTAGCTGAGCTCTTAATGGTGGTGGGTGGCAGCAGCCTAAGGTCTTCTCGGATTGTCTCTTGGGTATGAAAATCTCACTTCATGAGCTAGGACAAAGGCAATCAGGGCCCTAATATTATCAGAATGTTAACTGAAAGCTAGAGCCTCAATCCCATGAGAGGGAGCTGGGTGGAAGAAGGGAGCCCCTACTTCTTGACTGCACTCACTTGAGATTAAGGATGAGAAATGCTGACATCCTGCTTCTCCCAGAAAGAAAACCCTCTTATTAAGAGCTGTAAGAGAGAGTGTCCTGTGTTTTGGGGTGCCGTAGTTTTGAGTGGAGTCTTTACCTGGTTAAGCTCGGAGGAGGAAGGGAAGGAGTAGTCTTAGTTCAAGTATCACAAATTATTGCCTTTCTTACCAAATAGTCATAGATTTTCTTGAACAGATGTTACTTCATTTTCAGAGGGTTTAAATGGTTGCTTTCTCATAATTTTCATCAGTTTTGTTTATTTCAAGTCAGTGGATCTCCTCATGCTGTCATGCTGGAAGTAAATCTCCTTAACCTGTTATATACAATTTTTAACTGAAAAATAAGTCTATCATCATTTTATGTCACTAAATATAGATTTATACCAACATTTGTAATGTCTGTCATATTTTTATTTCCATAGGTTATTGGGGAAAGGTGGTGTTTGGTTACATAAGTAAGTTCTTTAGTGGTGATTTGTGATATTTTGGTGCACCCATCACCCGAGCAGTACACACTGCATCATATTTGTAGTCTTTTATTCCTCATCTCCTTCCCACTCCCTCAGAGTCCCCAAAGTCCATTGTGTCATTCTTTTGTCTTTGCATCGTCGTAGCTTAGCTCTCACTTATAACTGAAAACATATAATGTTTGGTTTTCCGTTCTTGAGTTACTTCACTTAGAATAATAGTCTCCAATCTCACCCAGGTCGCTGCAAATGCCATTGATTCTTTCCTTCCTATGGCTGAGAGTTATTCCATATATATCATATATATTACAGTTTCTTTATCCATTCATTGATTGATGGGCATTTGGGTTGATTCCACGTTTTTGCAATTGTGAATTGTGCTGCTATAAACATGTGTGTGCAAGTATCTTTTTTGTATAATGACTTCTTTTCTCCTGGGTAGATACCGGTTGCTGGGATTGCTGAATCAAACAGTAGTTTTATTTTTAGTTAATTAAGGAAAACACTGTTTTCCACAGTGGTTGTACTAGTTTACATTCCCACCAGCAGTGTAGAAGTGTTCCCTGTTCACCGCATCTATGCCAACATCTACAATTTTTTTTTCATTTTTTGATTATGGCCATTCTTGTAGGAGTAAGGTGGTATTGCACTGTGGTTTTGATTTGCATTTCTCTGATCATAAGTGATGTTGAGCATTTTTTCATATGTTTGTGTGTCATTTGTATATCTTCTTTTGAGAATTGTCTATTCATGTCCTTAGCCCACTTTTTGATGAGATTGTTTGTTTCTTCTTGCTGATTTGTTTGAGTTCATTGTAGATTCTGGGTATTAGTCCTTTGTCAGATGTATAGATTTTGAAGATTTTCTCCTATGCTGTGGTTTTTCTGTTTACTCTGCTGACTGTTCCTTTTGCTGTGCAAAAGTTCTTTGGTTTAATTAAGTCTCAGCTATTTATCTTTGTTTTCACTGCATTTGCTTTTGGGTTCTTGGTCATGAAATCTTTGCCTAAGCCAATGTCTAGAAGGGTTTTTCCAATGTTATCTTCTAGAATTTTTAGTTTCAGATCTTAGATTTTAAGACCTTTATCCATCTTGAGTTGATTTTTGTATAAGGTGAGAGATGGGGATCCAGTTTCATTCTCCTATATGTGGCTTGCCAATTAAACCAGCACAATTTGTTGAAAAGGGTGTCCTTTCTCCACTTTATGTTTTTGTTTGCTTTGTCAAAGATCAGTTGGTTGTAAGTATTTGGGTTTATTTCTGGGTTCTCTATTCTGTTCCATTTGTCTATGTGCCTATTTTTATACAAGTACCATGCTGCTTTGGTGACTATGGACTTATAGTATAGTTTGAAATCAGGTAATGTGATGCCTCCAGATTTGCTTTATTTGCTTAGTCTTGCTTTGGCTATGTGAGCTCTTTTTTTTGTTCTATATGAATTTTAGGAATTTTTTTTCTAATTCTGTGAAGAATGATGGTGGTATTTTGATGGGAATTGCGTTCAATTTGTAGATTGCTTCTGGAAGTATGGTCATTTTCTTTTTATCTTTTTTCTTTCTTTTCTTTTTCCTTTTTTTTTTGAGATGGATTGTTGCCCAGGCTGTAATGCAGTGCAGTGGCACAGTCTCGGCTTACTGCAACCTCCGCCTCCCAGATTCAAGTGATTCTTCTGCCTCAGCCTCTCCAGTAGCTGGGACTACAGGCATACACCACCATGCCTAGCTAACTTTTGTATTTTTAGTAGAGACAGGATTTCACCATGTTGGCCAGGCTGGTCTTGAGTGCTCCTGATCTCAAGTGATCTGTCCACCTTAGCCTCCCAAAGTGCTGGGATTACAGGTGTGAACCACCACACCTGGCTAAGTATGGTCATTTGCACAACATTGATTTTACCCATTCATGAGCAAGCGATGTGTTTCAGTTCTTTGCGTCATCTATAATTTCTTTCAGCAGTGTTTTGTAGTTTTTCTTGTAGACGTCTTTCACCTCCTTGGTTAGGTATATTCCTAAGTATTTTATTTGTTTTGCAGCTATTGTAAAAGGGATTGAGTTCTTTATTTGATTCTCTGCTTGGTCACTGTTAGTGCATAAAAAAGCTACTGATTTGTGTACATTAATTTTGCATCCGGAAACTCTGCGGAATTCTTTTATCATTTCTAGGAGCTTTCTGGAAAAGTCTCTAGGGTTTTCTAGGTAAATAATCATATCATCAGCAAACAGCAACAGTTTGACTTCCTCTTTACTGATTTGGATGCCCTTTATTTCTTTATCTTGTCTGATAGCTCTGGCTAGGACTTCCAGTACTATGTAGAAGAGGGGTGGTGAGAGTGGGAATTCTTGTGTTGTTCCACTTCTCAGAGGGAATGCTTTCCACATTTTCCCATTCAGAATTATGTTGGCTTTGTGTTTGTCATTGATGACTTTTAGTGCATTGAGGTATGTTCCTTTTATACTAATTTTGTTGAGAGTTTTTAACCATAAAGCGATGCTGGATTTTGTTGAATGCTTTTTCTGCATATATTGAGATGATCTTGTGATTTTTGTTTTGGATTCTTCTTATGTGATGTATCACATTTATTGACTTGTGTATGTTAAACCATCCCTGAATCCCTGGTATGAAACTCACTTAAACATGGTGGATTATCTTTTTGATATGTTGTTGCATTAAGTCAGCTAATATTTTGTTAAGGACTTTTTACATCTATGTTCATCAGGGATATTGGTCTGTAGTTTTCTTTTTTGATTATGTCCTTTCCTGGTTTGGGTATTAGGGTGGTAGTGGCTTCATAGAATGATTTACAGAGGGTTTCCTCTTTCTCTATATTGTGAAATGGTGTCAAAAGCATTGGTACCAATTCTTCTTTGAATGTCTGGTAGAATTCTGCTGTGAATCTGTCTGGTCCTGGACTTCTCTTTGTTGGTTATTTATTTATTTATTTATTTATTTATTTATTTATTTATTTTGAGAGGGAGTCTCGCTCTGTCACCCAGGCTGGAGTGCAGTAGCACTATCTCCACTCACTGCAAGCTCTGCCTCCCAGGTTCATGCCATTCTCCTGCCTCAGCCTCCCAAGTAGCTGAGACTACAGGTACCTGCCACCATGCCCAGCTAATTTTTTGTATTTTTTAATACAGACGGGGTTTCACTGTGTTAGCCCAGGATAGTCTCGATCTCCTGACCTCGTGATCCGCCCGCCTTGGCCTCCCAAAGTGCTGGGATTACAGGTGTGAGCCACTGCGCCCGGCTGTAATTTTTTATTACCATTTCAATCTCACTGCTTGTTATTGGTCTACCCAGTGTATGTAATTCTTCCTGATTTAAGCTAGGAAGGTTGTATCTTTCCAGGAATTTATTCATCTCCTCTAGGTTTTCTAGTTTATATGCATAAAAGTGTTCGTAGTTGCCTTGAATGATCTTTTGTATTTCTGTGATGTCAGTTGTAATATCTCCCGTTTTGTTTCATTTTTTTTTTTTTTTTTTTTTTTTGAGACAGAGTCTTGCTCTCTCACCCAGGCTGGAGTGCAGTGGTGCGATCTCGGCTCACTGCAACCTCCACCTTCCGGGTTCAAGCTATTCTTCTGCCTCTGCTTCCTAAGTAGCTGGCATTACAGATACTCGCCACCACACCCGACTAATTTGTATATTTTTAGTAGAGATGGGGTTTCACCATGTTGGTCAGGCTGCTCTCAAACTCCTGACTTTGTGATCCGCCTGCCTCAGCCACTCAAAGTGCTGGGATTACAGGTGTCAGCCATCATGGCCAGCCCCATTTTGTTTCTTATAGAGGTTATTTGGATTTTTATCTCTTCTTTTCTTGGTGAATCTTGCTAATAGTTTATCAGTTTTACTTATTTATTCAAAGAACCAGTTTTTTGTTTCCTTTATCTTTTTGTTTTGTTTTGTTTCAATCTTGTTTACTTACTTATGATTTGATCTTGCTTATTTCATTTCTTCTGCTGGGTTTGGGTATGGTTTGTTCTTGTTTCTCTAGTTCCTTGAGGTGCGAATGCCTCTTTGTGCTCTTTCAGATTTTTTGATGTAGGCATTTAGGGCTATGAACTTTCCTCTTAGTATTGCCTTTGCTGTATCCCAGAGGTAAAAATCTAATTTTAAATCAAATTCCTTACTGATGTGCATTTGAGTTTTCTTATCGCAACTTTTTGCTGTCACAATTCACATTTTTTTCTTTTTTTTTTTTGTTTTTGTTGGTTTTGGCCAAACATTTTATTTAGTATTCTTAGTTGTTTAGCACACACTTAAATGGTCTTATTGGGGGAGGGGAAAGGGGAGGTTCTTGCAGATTCCCAAGGAAATGTCAGAAAGGCAGAATGGCCAGCATTATCCATTTGCTTTTTTGGGTTTACTGGGTGAATAGGCATGCGATTTCAGGTTTTTCATACTAAGAACATTGAGATTTCAGTTGGAAGACACCCTGAAATCTTATGAGTAGCATATCCCAACCACCCTCTAATAGCTAGCTTGTTTGTGTAGGTAGAATGATTCATCTCTCCATTTTAGATGGCTAGATGTTTTGTGGAAGATCTTAGAATTGCCTGCCTCATTTACTGGGAAAAATCAGATAGGAAGTGGCCTTTAGGGATACTTTTACTTGGAAAGTTACAACACTAGTATAAGTCTTAACACATTTAACATTTGCTTGTTGAAAAGCAATGCAAAAGTCAAATAAAATTAAACATGTTTTACTTTTTTTCCTCACAAGAACATAAAAATTATGGAGGGGAGCTTAACAGGGAATTTTAAAAAAGGTAACACAATTTTTCCTTTTAGTAGTTCTTGGGTAGTTATGATAGAATAGTTTCCACTTTTTGTTTCTTTGAACTGGGATTTTGGTACAAAGTTTTGTTTGTTTCTAGTATCTGCTTCTGCCTCCCCCTCTATCAGATCGGCTTCCTCCACGGCCACCACCTCTTGGTGTTCCACGGCTTGAACTGCTGTAGGAATCACGTGGAGGAGGGTACCCCCTTTCCATAGAAGGGGGAAGCCCTCTTTCTTGTCTGCCAACCTGATCACGACCACTTGAGTAGAGATCACTTCGACTGCTTGAGTAACTGTCTCGACTTCCACCATATCCGTCACGTGAGCTGCTGTAATCATCATAGCGACTGCTTCCACCATAAGATGGGGGCGCCCTCGTGTAGGTGGAGCTCTCTACAAGAGGGCAGCGATTCCCTTCGAGGTGGACCTCGGTAACTATCTCTTCCACGTGATACAGGAGCTCTTCCTCCCATTCCACTGCTACTGCGAACTGGTCCTGAAGGTGCAGATCTCTTAGGAGGAAGACCCCCACTTCTTGGTGGTGGTCCTCTTTTTACTGGGAGTGGTCCCCTGGAAGAACTCATGTTAAAATTCATGGAATATCCACCAGTCATCCATGTGTCCTCCCCGTGAGGGAGGTTCCCTGGTTCCTCCACTTCCTCCTCTTCCACCTCTAAGAACTCTTGGAGGGCCTCTACTTCTTGGAGGTGGAGGCGGTCCACGTCTACCACTTTCAAATGACGGTTTGGTGGCTTGTTCCACCTTGATGGCTTTTCCATCTAATGACTTTCCATTCATGTCTCTGGCTGCATCCTTAGCGTCTGCTGGTCTTTCAAAGGTGATAAAAGCAAATCCTCTTGATTTGTTGGTTTCACAGTCTTTCATCAAGTGTACTTCCACTATTTGTCCATATTTGCCAAATACTGCTTCAAGAGCTTTCTTATTTGTTTCCGTATTAAGCCCACCAATGAAAAACTTTCCTAGGCGATCTGCTTCACCCATTTTTTGTTTTTTCCGGTGAGTCGGAGGAGTGACAATGGGTTCAAGCTCCAAAGAGCTCGCCGATAGGGGCTTCCTAGCAGCTCAGCACCAGTGGTGGCTGCCGGGTCCGAGGACCGAACCGCGAAGCTGCTAGCACTACTGTGCAACCTCAATTCACATTTCAATGGACATTCTGGTACGGACATATATACACCTTCACACATTTCTCACATTATTTCCTTAGGATAAATCCCTAGAAAAGAAATTGCTGGCTGTAAATTGCATTTTATTTTAACATTATGCCAATTCAGATTATTCACTAAGTTCCACTGACCTAGCTCTTTTTCTTCAGTCTAGAGCAGCTCAATTTCTCAGGTTGATCACAAGCAGCCTGTCACTGGTCTCCTCTTCTGCACACTGCTCTCTTTAAAACGCTCTCCTAGTTTCACCTTCCAAAATTCCCCATCTTTCCTTCCAAATTCATAATGCCCATTCTACCCCCAGCTTGCCTGGAGGGAAGTTCAATTCATGTAAAAATTGATTTGAGTGTATAATCTGGAGTTAGGTAGTGTGGGTTCATATTACACCTTGGATACTGATTAGCTGTGAGATGTGATCAAGATACTTAATATTTTGATGTTCCACTTTCTTTATCTCAAAAGTAAAGATGATACCTACATTATAAACAAATTGGGAAGATTATATCAGCCAATGAACATATGTAGAAGGAGCATTGACTACTAGCCTGGGCAACATAGTGAGACCTCCATCTCTACAAAAAAAAAAAAAAATAGTTGGGTGTGGTGGTGTGCACCTGTAGTCCCAGATACTTGGGAGCCTGAAGTAGGAGAATCACTTGAGTTCAGGAGAGTGAGCCTACAATGAGCCATAATCATGCCACTGTACTCCAGCCTGGATGACAGAGCAAGACTCTGTCTCAAAAACAAACAAACAAAGAAACAAATAAGAAAACAAGAAATATTGCCTAGTTCATAGTGAGTGTTTAATAATTGATATATTATTAGTTGTATTTCCTCTTAATGAATGACTAGAATGAGTCATATTCCAGAACATATTTCTATGTTTTAGGGAGACTTATGTCCCAGTCTGAGGGAAGTTTAAGTCTCATTTCACCTGAATAGTAGCTAAAGTATTATCTGAATTGTGTTTTCCTTCTTGTTTTGGTCTTGCTCAGGTGTCAGAGAAATCTCTGAGTAAATTAAATTATGAAAACATTTGCTTTAGAATTACTCTTGTTGGTTACTCATGGGCCATATCACATTGAACTTTCAACAAGTTTACATATAGCACTAGCAGTTTTCTGTGAGTTCTCTAACAAATGGATTTTCAATTAGCATTTCATTGTCAGTTTGAGCTCAGTCTTATGTAATACAATCCTTTTGACATTTTATCATCAGTAACAGGAGCATAATGTAAAATAAAAAACACTAGCTAAAAATTAAAACAATTGAACTCATGGAGATATCAAGTAGAATGATGGCTACCAGAAGCTGGGAAGGGTAGTGGGGAGGAAGGATTAGGGATAATTAATGGATACAAAAATGTAGTTAGATAGAATAAATGATATCTAGTATTTGACAGCACAACAGGATGACTACAGTCAACAACAATTTATTGTACATTGAAAAATAACTAAAAACATACAATTGAAATGTTTGTAACACAAAAATTAATTATAAATGCTTGAGGTGATGGATACTTCATTTACCCTGATGTGATTATTACACTTTGTATGCCTCTATAAAAATATTTCAGGTATTCCACATATATACTACGTACTCATAGGAAAAATCAAAAAACAAAACAAACCATGTTGGGGAATACACTTTAATAGAAATTTATATGCAACTGTTTCCGTATACACATTGGGATCAAATTGTGTATATATAAATATATATATACACACACACATATATATGTGTATATATATATGTGTATGTGTATTTATGTATACACATATATATACCACATATATACACACATATATACACATATATATACATATATATACATATATATACACATACACATATATATATATATATACACATATAGTTACCTACTTTTATTATTTAACAATTAAACATTTTTCAATGTCTGTAAAGGTTTTATGTGTGATTTTAATGGCCATATTTTAATCAAATTATTTACTTATTTTTATTGAACCAGTCCTCTTTTGTAGAGTATTAAGGTTGTTCCCAATTGTTCAATGATAAGAAATGCAGCAATAAACATTTGTGTACATATATTTCTTGAATGATTCTGAATATTTCCTTAGGGTAAATTCTTAGAAGTAAAATTGTTGGGTAAGAAGGATGCACATTTAGATTTTTTTTTGATGATATTGCCAAATTGCCATTCAGAAAGGTTACACTTAATTTTTACTCCCACTCAGTATCTGTTTTCCTATACTCACCCAAACACTGGGTATTAGCACTTACGAATTCTTTACTAATTTAATAATCTCTGTCTCCAGATGATATATCACTTTAATTTGTACTTTTTGGATTACTAACATATTTTAAATTGTTTAACAACATGGCTCATACCTGCAATCCCAACATTTTGGGAGGCCTAGGAGGGAGGATTGCTTGAGGCCAGGAATTCAAGACCAGCCTGGGCAACATACACAGACCCCATCTCGACAAAAAAATTAAAAAAATAGCTGGGCGTGGTGGCATGAACCTGTAGCTCTAGCAACTTGGGAGACTGGGGCAGGAGGATCATTTGAGCCCAGGAGTTCAAGGCTGTAGTGAGCTGTGACTGTGCACTGAACTCCAGCCTGGGCAACAGAGCAAGACCCTGTCTCTTAAAAAAAAAGTGAAGCTCAGTGCAGAGGATGTCAAGATTTGCACTCAGGTACCAAAAACTGACTGAAGAACAGGCTGCTGTAGATGTGGCTGTAAAGCAGCTTATGTGGAAACTTTTCAGGGTTTTAGTTGACAGTCAATTCAGTATAAGCCAACAGTGTGATATGGTTGCCAATAAAGCTAATTTAAATTTAGGAGGGCATTAATAAAAGTTTAGCATCTTGGACAAGAGAGGCGACAGTCTTACTTTATTTCTCTTAAATCAGTCTGCACCTGGGACACAGCCCACACAAGCTGTAGGTCCAGATGATTAACTGTGGCTCAAACAGTTCAAAGTATATCCAGAAGAGAATGAGCAGTCTGGAGAAAGAAGAGGAAATGTGACCTATGAAGAGTGGCTGAATTATCTTAGAAGAAAAGAAGACTGAGGGGACTGTGGCCTCTGTTTTCAGAGCTTGGAGCAATCATGGGGCAGAGTGAGTAGGTACATTTTGGGTGGTGACAGGGTGCAAAGCAGGATACAAGGGTAAATATCATGGGAAGAATAATTTCAGCTCAACCCAAAGAATCCCATTCTAAAAGTGATCTTGGAAAGGTCAGCCTGGAGTGATCGATTCTCATTATCAGAGTTATCCCATCAGTGGCTGGATGACTACTTAGCAGGTAGTCATTTGAGAGGTTCAAACATGGGACAGAGGCTTGCACTAGATTCTTTTAACCTCCATCTCAGTCCTGATGTTCTAGGTCTCCATAAATGCTACTGCTCCTAATCACCTTACTCAGAGCCATAGGTCCAACAGCTTTGTTGGGGGAGAAGAAGACTTGTAAAGCAGTGTGTCTCAAATTTAAAATGCATGCTAAATACTTGTTAAAAAGTAGGTTCAGATTCAGTAGATCATGAATGGGGCCTGAGATTCTGCATTTCTATCAAATTCTAAGTGAAGGTAACAAGTCGTTAGCATGAATTTTAAATTGGGATGATATAGTCCCCCAAAGGGTACAAATTTACTCTTGGTGTGGGGATGGAGGAATCTTAGCTATTACCCTGGTTTGTGGACCTCCAAAGGGCCACAGTATATAAACAGTTATATATTAAATGCGTGATATTAACATTTTATGGGTGAGATAATTTGGAAAAAAAATTTAGAAACAATAAAAAAGGCCAAGAAATACTATATTGGAGAGTCATCTAGAGCAATGGCTTTCAATCTTGACTCAACGTTAGAATAATTTGGGGAGTTTTAATATTTTGGATTCCTGGACTACACCCTTCGAGAGTCCCTCCTTATTGGGCTGGCGTATGCCTTGGACATTGGTTTTTGTTAAAGCTCCCTAGATGATTCTAATGTGTGACCAAGCTCAAGAACCACTGGTCTAGAGAGAGGGTAAGAGGGTAAGATGCAGAGATGAGAGAAAAGGTGTGTGAGGCATGTGGGAGCTGAGGATGGGCATGGATTATTGAAAAAATGGAAGACCCCCTAGAATATTCAACAGGAACCATTTCATGTTAAGAGCCTTGGGAAAGTGTCAGAATGTCCCTTGTCCTGTTATTGGGTGGGAAAAAACAACATAAAAAACAAGGAACCAAGGCAGAAAGAGGAGAAGAACACCGCATGGAGTGGCAATTAAAAGGGTAGAGTCTGCAATAGAGTGATACAGAAGCTGGGTCAAATGGCAGTTTTGTTTTTAGGTCTTTGAGGAATCGTCACACTGTATTCCACAATGGTTGAACTAATTCACATTCCAACCAACAGAGTAAAAGTGTTCCTATCTCTCTGTAGCCTCACAAGCATCTGTTGTGTTTTTGTCTTTTTAACAATTGCCATTCTGACTGGCATGAGATGGTATCTCATTGTGGTTTTGATTTGCATTTCTCTAATTATCAGTGATGTTGAGCTTCTTTCCGTATGTTTTTTGGTTGCATAAATGTCGTCTTTTGAGAAGTTCCTGTTCATGTCCTTTGCCCATTCTTAAATAGGGTTATTTTTTTCTTGTAAATTTATTTAAATTCCTCTTAGACTCTGAATATTAGACCTTGTCAGCTGGACAGGCTGCAAACATTTTGGCTAGATCAGTTGACTGTATTTTTGTGGATTTATTGCTGGGCCCCCTATTCTGTTCCATTGGTCTACATGTCTACCTTTATGAGGCTCTGTCTCAAAAAAAATTGTACTTTAATTATCTCTGTTTTTCCAAGGCATAGCATAATTTCTGCAACAAAGTGGTTAGTCAACAAATGTTTATTCAAACTAAGCCAAAAGTTATGGAAATTTAACATCTTGGCAATTATGGGATGAATGGTTGCTAAATCTCTAGCTATACCACAGGGCGGGCCTGGGCCCATGACTGGCACTTCCAAGTGCCAGGTAGAAGGCAGAATATGACTTCAACTTAAAAAAGAGGAGCCATGGGAGCCAAATTACTGGGGTCTGTAGACAGGAAATAGTGAGAACCAGGTATTGTCAGTCTAGATTCCTTTTCAGCAGAAGGTTTCCTGGGTTGACCAACATGATAGAGATGCTCCAAGCCATGACTGCTAAAATGTAGCAAGTAGAAAACACTTCAATTTACTCTAAAATCCCGTAACTTATCTTTCTCTCTCAAGTATCTCTCCTATTTAATCCATCTACACTGCCACCAGAATTGTCTTCCCCAATACCTCTTAACTTTCCCTCTTATCATAAACCTTCAGATGATCCCTATTATGTCATATTCATCCACCCTTCTCAGCCTGACCATATAAGCTCTTTTGTAACCTGACATCAACCTCTCTGAGCAAAGTAGACAGCCATTCTCATATAGCACCTACTTTCTTGTCCTTCACACACACTTCAGACAAATGGGTCTTAAACTTGAGAACATATCAGAATCTCTTGGAATGCCTGTTACAAAATGCATATATACTTCTCCTCTAAATTCTGACTTAATAGGCCTGAAGTGAGGCCTTCAAATTACTTATTTTTAAACACTCATACCAGATGATTCTGAGACAAGTGGTCCAGAGACCACATCTGGAGAACTACCAAAGACAGTCAACCTCTATTATTTTGCCAAGAGGTGACATCTGCTTTAAGAGTTATCTGACTGGCTTATTACACCTTGATGTGGATGCATTTCAGCTTATCAGGTTCTGTCTGCCCAGACACCTACTAGCCAGATATTCCTAATGTCCTGCCTCAGACTGATGGGGTCTGCTGCCATAGATATCATTCACATGGCATTTATTATTTCTGAGTCTATAATCAGCTGCCAGTCCAACGTCTGGGGTTTGCTGCTGACCTTTATCTAGGACTTGGCTCCGAAGATTTTTTGACTTGCTTTAACCTGATGTTCAGGGCTAATATTCAGGCAGTTTACACCTGTATGGCAGTGCCAGTTCCTAAATACTGAAATACTTCCATACCAGTTGGTAAATAGTAACTACACTAAGCCCCTTGTGTGCCCCCCATTGTTCCAGTCCCTCACTTTCTACTCCCATACCTTCCTGGAATCCAGCAACTAAAGGGGTAATACCTCCAGAACTCTGCTCCAGTATTACAGGCCTATATCCCTTCAGATGGATTGCAGCAGTATTATACAGTGTACTAGCCTGTTCTCATGCTGCTAATAAAGACATACCCAAGACTGGGTAATTTAAAAAGAAAAAGAAGTTTAATGGACTCACTGTTCAACATGGCTGGTAAGGCCTCACAATTATGGCAGAAGGTGAAGGTGGAGCAAAGTCACATCTTACATGGTGGCAGGCAAAAGAGAATATGCAGGGGAACTCCCCTTAATAAAATCATCAGATCTCATGAGACTTATTCACTATCAAGAGAACAGCACAGGAAAGACCCACCACCATGATTCAATTACCTCCCACCACTTGCCTCCCACAACAGTGGGAATTATGGGAGCTACAATTCAAGATAACATTTGGGTGGGGAAACAGCCAAACTATATCATACAGGACAGTAAGTATTTTGAATATTACTTCTATGTGTGCCCAATCTTTTTATTTTTTCCAAGACAGAGTCTTGCTTTGTCGCCCAGGCTGGAGTTCAATGGCACAATCTCCACTCACTGCAACCTCCACTTCCTGGGTACAAGCAATTCCCCCACTTCAGCCTCCCTCATAACTGGAATTACAGGCACCCGCCATTATGCCCGGCTAATTTTTGTATTTTTGTAGAGACAGAGTTTCACCATATTGGCCAGGCTGTTCTTGAATTCCTGACCTCAGGTGATCTGCCCACCTTGGCCTCCCAAAGTGCTGGGATTACAGGTGTGAACCACTGCATCTGGCCTCTGCCCAATCTTTTAGATCTTTCCTGACTACTCGGGATCCTGATTTGCTCCCAGGTGTTAGTTCCACTGTCTGATCTTAACTTCTCCAGATGTTTGCATTCAAAGGCCAGCAGCAGCCCAGTTACTGGGTAGATAATGAAATGAAGCCAGAAATAAAGATGTTCTTTGAAACCAATGAGAACAAAGACACAACATACCAGAATCTCTGGGACACATTTAAGCAGTGAGTAGGAAGAAATTTATAGCACGAAATGCCCATAAGAGAAAGCAGGAAAGATCTAAAATTGACACCCTAACATCACAATGAAAAGAACTAGAGAAGCAAGAGCAAACACATTCAAAAGCTAGCAGAAGGCAAGAAATAACTAAGATCAGGGCAGAACTGAAAGAGATAGAGACACAAAAAACCCTTCAAAAAATCAATGAATCCAGGAGCTGGTTTTTTGAAAAGATCGACAAAATTGATAGACTGCTAGCAAGACTAATAAAGAAGAAAAGAGAGAAGAATCAAATAGATGCAATAAAAAATGATAAAAGGGAGATCACCACCTATCCCACAGAAATACAAACTACCATCAGAGAATACTATAAATACCTCTATGCAAATAAACTAGAAAATCTAGAAGAAATGGATAAATTCTTGAACACATACACCCTCCCAAGACTAAACCAGGAAGAAGTTGAATTCCTGAATAAACCAATAACAGGCTCTGAAATAGAGGCAATAATTAGTAGCCTACCAATCAAAAAAAGTCCAGGACCAGATGGATCCAAAGCCAAATTCTACGAGAGGTACAAGGAGGAGCTGGTACCATACCTTCTGAAACTATTCCAATCAATAGAAAAAGAGGGAATCCTCCCTAACTCATTTTATGAGGCCAGCATCACCCTGATACCAAAGCCTGGCAGAGACACAACAAAAAAAGAGAATTTTAGACCAATATCCCTGATGAACATCAATGCAAAAATCCTCAATAAAATACTGGCAAACCAAATCCAGCAGCACGTCAAAGAGCTTAACCACCATGATCAAGTGGGCTTCATCCCTGGGATGCAAGGCTGCTTCAACATATGCAAATCAATAAATGTAATCCAGCATATAAACAGAACCAACGACAAAAACCACATGATTATCTCAATAGATGCAGAAAAGGCCTTTGACAAAATTCAACAACACTTCATGCTAAAAACTCTCAATAAACTAGGTATTGATGGATGTATCTCAAAATAATAAGAGCTATTTATGACAAACCCACAGCCAATATCATACTGAATGGGCAAAAACTGGAAGCATTCCCTTTGAAAACTGGCACAAGACAGGGATGCCCATTCTCACCACTCCTATTCAACATAGTGTTGGAAGTTCTGGCCAGGGCAATCAGGCAGGAGAAAGAAATAAAGGGTATTCAATTAGGAAAAGAGGAAGTCAAATTGTCCCTGTTAGCAGATGACATGACTGTATATTTAGAAAACCCCATTGTCTTATCCCAAAATCTCCTTAAGCTGATAAGCAACTTCAGCAAAGTCTCAGGATACAAAATCAATGTGCGAAAGTCACAAGCATTCTTATACACCAATAACAGACAAACAGAGAGCCAAATCATGAGTGAACTCCCATTCACAATTGCTTCAAAGAGAATAAAATATCTAGGAATCCAACTGACAGGGGATGTGAAGGACCTCTTCAAGGAGAACTACAAACCATTGCTCAATGAATTAAAAGAGGACACAAACAAATGGAATAACATTCCATGCTCATGGACAGGAAGAATCAATATCGTGAAAATGGCCATACTGCCCAAGGTAATTTATAGATTCAATGCCATCCCCATCAAGCTACCAATGACTTTCTTCACAGAATTGGAAAAAACTACTTTAAAGTTCATAAGGAACCAAAAAAGAGCCTGCATTGCCAAGACTATCCTAAGCCAAAAGAACAAAGCTGGAGGCATCACACTACCTGACTTCAAATTATACTACAAGGCTACAGTAACCAAAACAGCATGGTACTGGTACCAAAACAGAGATATAGACCAATGGAACGGAACAGAGCCCTCAGAAATAATACCACACATCTACAACCATTTGATCGTTGACAAACCTGACAAAAACAAGAAATGGGGAAAGGATTCCCTATTTAATAAATGGTGCTGGGAAAACTGGCTAGCCATATGTAGAAAGCTGAAACTGGATCCCTTCCTTACACCTTATACAAAAATTAATTCAAGATGGATTAGCAACTTAAATGTTAGACCTAAAACCATAAAAATCCTAGAAGAAAACCTAGGCAATACCATTCAGGACATAGGCATAGGCAAGGACTTCATGTCTAAAACACTAAAAGCAATGGCAACAAAAGCCAAAATTGACAAATGGGATCTAATTAAACTAAAGAGCTTCTGCACAGCAAAAGAAACTACCATCAGAGTGAACAGGCAACCTACAGAATGGGAAAAAATTTTTGCAATCTACTCATCTGACAAAGGCCTAATATCCAGAATCTACAATGAACTCCAACAAATTCACACAAAAAAACAAACAACCCCATCAAATGTGGGCGAAGGATGTGAACAGACACTTCTCAAAAGGAGACATTTATGCAGCCAACAGACACATGAGAAAATGCTCATCATCACTGGCCATCAGAGAAATGTAAATCAAAACCAGAATGAGATACCATCTCACACCAGTTAGAATGGCAATCATTAAAAAGTCAGGAAACAACAGGTGCTGGAGAGGATGTGGAGAAATAGGAACACTTTTACACTGTTGGTGGGACTGTAAACTAGTTCAACCATTGTGGAAGACAGTGTGGCGATTCCTCAAGGATCTAGAACTAGAAATACCATTTGACCCAGCTATCCCATTACTGGCTATATACCCTAAGGATTATAAATCATGCTGCTATAAAGACACATGCACACGTATGTTTATTGAGGCACTATTCACAATAGCAAAGACTTGGAGCCAACCCAAATGTCCATCAATGATAGACTGGATGAAGAAAATGTGGCACATATACACCATGGAATACTATGCAGCCATAAAAAAGGATGAGTTCATGTCCTTTGTAGGGACATGGATGAAGCTGCAAACCACCATTCTCAGCAAACTATCACAAGGACAAAAATCCAAACACCATGGGTTCTCACTCATAGGTGGGAATCGAACAATGAGAACACTTGGACATAGGGTGGGGAATATCACACACCGGGGCCTGTTGTGGGGTGGGGGAGAGGGGAGTGATAGCATTAGGAGATACACCTAATGTAAATGACGAGTTAATGAGTGCAGCACACCAACATGGCACATGTACACGTATGTAACAAACCTGCACGTTGTGCACAAGTACCCTAGAAGTTAAAGTATATATATAAAAGAAAGGTTTTGTAGCCTGTATAAGGAATTCCAGGCAGGTGGGAGGGGCTTAAGATGGTGAGTGTCTATTGCTGTCTTTGAAATCATACTACACCTATATATAAGGCCACCCAAGTGTTAAACCAAGCTGAGATTTTAGGGTATAATAGGTTAGCTTTGTCATCAGATGGACTTAAGTTTGAGGGTAGACTCTGTTATATATCAATTATGTGACCTTAGGCAAGTCACTTAATTCTCTGAGTCTGTTTTCTTGTCTATAAAATTGAGATAATGCCACCATAACAAGGTTGTTATATGAAATAAATTTATTAGCCCAACAAATATTGAGTGTCTTCTCTGTGCCAGGCACTCTTCTAGATATTTGTTCCTCAAAGTGTGTTCTATGTACTAGCAACATTGGCATCACCTGGGAGCTTATGGGAAATGTGGAGTCTTAGTATACTTAGAATCTACATTTTAACAAGAAAATCAATTGACGTTAACATTTGAGAAGCACTCTTCTAGACAGGCCACATTTATTGAATATGAATGTGACCATTCCAAGAGAAAAAATAAAAACCTGTTTGAGGGCATGGACATTTTGGGTTTTGTCTCCTGAATCTGTGAAGTGGTAAAAAAATGATAGAGAACTCTGAAGAGCAGGGGCCACTATTTGAATGCCTGCCCAGGAAAGGAAGGATACGTTAGGCAGGGGCTGTGCCTCTAATACCTGCACCCAGCTCCAGCTGATTGTTGCAGTATGTGAATGCCAGCCCAGGACTGCCAGACCTTCTGATTTTTTCAAGAGAAGCTGGAAATGCAGAAGATCATGGAGAAGGGGATGTGCTTCACTCAGACAGATACCAAATTCTTTCACTCCTATCTAGAGACCTCTACTGTTGTGCTATCAATTTGTGGTCTAGGCTAGCAGCATCTGCATCATCTAGGAGCTGTTTGAAATGCTGAATCTCAGGCTGCATTCCAGACCTTCTGAATTAGAATCTGTATTTAAACAAGAGCTTGAGGTTGTTTGTATGCACAATAAACTCTGAGAAGCACTGCTTAGGTGCGGGGGATACAGTAGTGAACAAGGCAGCCAAGGCCTCTCTTTCTCACAGAGCTTACATTGTAGTGGAAAGAGACAATACAATAGACCTGTAATCTGATAAACAAGACAATTTTAGATGGTGATAAGTACTGTGAAGAAAATAAAATGCGCAGGATGGCTTCTTCACTCACATGGATGGTGCTTAAGCTGGGCCCACAGATGAACTAGGAGAACCTAAACTGGGATGGCTAGATACTCTGGAAACTCGCTGGACATCTCTCTCTTCATGTGACTTCTCTACATGGGTAGCATGGGCTTCTTCATAGCATGATGTTCTTAGGGTAGTCACACTTGTTACAAAGTGGTTGGCTTTCCTCAGGACAAGCATTTCAAGAGACCAATGAGGAAACTCATTAGTCCAACAGAAAATGAAGGCCTACTCTGTGCCAGGCACTGTTCCCAGGTTCTTGTTACAAGTGCTCTTCTGATTTAGCCTCTGAAGCTTTACAGCATTACTTCTGCCACTTTCTACTGGTTAAAAGGGAGTTAGAGGACCAGCTCAGATTCAAGAATATAAACTACATAAGGATGTGAATAATGGTGGTATGATTCCTTGGGGAGTCTCACCTTTGAAGACTAGCTACCAGAGGAAGTAATATTTGAGCTGAGACCTGAATGGTGCAAAGGAGCCAACAATACCAGGTTCTGGGCAAAAAGCACTGCAGATAGAAAAAGCAGGCTGCTAAGGCCCTGAGATAGGAGCAAGGTTGAAATATTCAAGAGACATAAGGAGGACAATGTTGTTAAAGCATAGCGTGTAAAGGGAAGAGTCATAGAACACGAAACTGGAGAGGTAAGCAGAAGCCACATTATAAGTGAGGAGTTTGGATTTTACTCTAATCACAATGGGAAAGAATTGGAACATTTAAAGCAGGGAAGCAATGTGGCCTATCTTCTACATTAAAAGAGACCTACAACATTCTGTAAGCCAGTTGTCCTGGAGTCTTCAAAAATATCAGTTGTGAAAAACAAAAAAGGGTGTGTGTGGGGACATTCTAGATTTAAAAGGACTGAAGAGACATGACACAAAATTTATAGACATCAATGGGTTTCCAGATAGAGAACAAAGAGTAAATCTAAAAAGCAAATTTTTTAAACAACTGAGGAAATTAGAAGGTAGAATGCATATTAGTTAACATTGAATCAACACTTACTTTTTAAAGTTTGATAATACCACTGTGATTATATAGGAGACTATTCATGTTTTGGAGATACAGGCTGAAGTGTCCGTGAGTGAAATTTTATGATGTCTGCAATTAACTCTTTAAATGGTTTAACAACAATCGTGTGTGTGTGTGTGTGTGTGTAGATAGATGGATGGAAAAGAAGTATTCATTGCACTTTCTTTTTAGAATGTGTGCTATTTTTTCAACTTATCTGTAAGCTTGAAGATTTCCAGAATTAAAATCTGGGAAGTGAAGGGGAAGGACCTGTAAATTGCATTCTACAGTGTTTGGTATATGATAGATGGTCAATAAATACTGTTGAGGAGGAAGTCTGCCAGGCAGATCTGGTTGTGGGTGACACTGTACTGCAGAAGAGCATAATCGGACATTTTATAAAGAATAAATAGCTATATGCTTTATAGCTATTTTAGGAAAGTTAACAACTCTTAACATTATTTTCTTCATCTGTAGAGTGAGAGTGTTAACCCCCATATTTCCTTCAGGGTAGTTGAGAAGCTCAGTTTGAAAAGTAGTAAGTCCTTTCTAGGCATAAAGTATGGAAGTCTCACATGCTGAGCACACAAATATTATCATCTATTTAATGAGTGCTACTCTATGCCTGTGCATCAAAGTGAGGTAGCTTTGTCTCCTGGGTTAGCAGGAGAAATTAACAAAATGTAGGGAGCTTAAAATTCTAGAGGTTGATGCTAATACAGTAGAGGCGTCCACTACTCCCTCCTTCAACTACAAAAGGTGTTAAGAGTTTGAATTTTCCTTGATGGATGGTAGGAGCACCATAAGGCTGGGCTCCAAGGGCAACTAAGTTCAATTATTTTGAATCTTCACAAGTCAATCACTCTGCTCCTACTTGAACAACACCAGGTTTGGAGAATTCATTTTCTTTCAAGGCAGCCTGTTCTTCATTCAGGGGACTCCGATTTTAGAAAGTTCTACATTATACTGAACTGGAATTTGCTTTCAGGTCTGCTCCACCTGATCCCTTCATAACTCTGAAGACAGAAACCCATTCTCCTGTGGCTTCTTGGATTCAAGATAAATAGTCCCTCTCCTCAGACCCTTTTACCTGAGACCTGGATTCCAGCCTCCAGTTTAGATTCTAGGTATTTCTCAGAATTCAGATGCACAGAGCCAGACCCAATCCTCTGATGCTTCCAATACCCATGACTGAGGAAGTAGTACATCAACTGTTTTTCTTGTGGAGTCCAAGACCTAACTTGGGTAGAAAAAGTGACTCTGAAACCAGAGAGCGGCATGCCTATATTATGTGCCTTTTGCCTGCCTCCTTCCCTCAGGACCAGCCTCTGGAAACAGAAAGTGGTGGCGGCATCGTGCATGCGTCTGTCGCAGAGCCCCGAATGTGCCACGGCATCACCCCCTCGCCCAGCAGCGCTTCCTGGTTAGGTCCTAGGGGCCCTGAGGCTTCTGCCGGGCTGCAGTCTCTTTCTTGTCTGCGGGGCGGACGGCAGGGGCTGTCCCTGAGCACCAGCGACCAGCCGCAGAGTGCTATGCCTCTAGGGTGGGCTCACCCATGGTAGGTGAATCCCCAACTCTTCCTCCCCACTGAGTCCTGTTAGCTTAGCGCCTCTCCTTCCTCTTGTATTGTTCTTGTTAAAAAGAGGAGGAGGAGAGATAGGGAAGCAACTCTGCTTTCTCACCCTGGCTCAGAATACCCTGGTTAAAATGGGAAGAGGGTGCAGGAAGCAGCTCTAAGTTAGGGAGAAACAATTATACATTTGCTTCTGTACTTTCTCTGCTTGAGTTGTGCTACCAGTCACAAACATTTAGGGAGCACATAAAACAAGAGAGAGATAAGGAAGACTTCATTTATTTTTTCAAACATTTCACAGCAAAGGATAGCGGGACTGAGGGAATAACAGATATGCACACTAATCAATTAGAATACAGTATAATCAATCTTCTTAAAGATGGATGAACTGCCATTTAGGAGGAGGCAGCTAATTTACGCTGGGAAAGTTGGGGAAGATTTAACACTTAATATGATATTCGCAGTGGGTTTTTTAAATTGAGCTTGCTAAGCACAGAAGTAGGGATACAACATGCTGGTATACTGAGGGAACAAACATCATGTGCAAAGAGACAGGTGAATGAAAGGAGATAGCAAATTGATAGTAATTTGTAATTGCTTCAGGTTAGGGCATGTATCCAAGGGAAGAGGCATCAGGATATAAAGAGTAAGAAGAGAAAGGAAGTTTGGGATCTAGTTTTGATGCTACACTGAGAAGTTGGTCTCACCCTGTTGATTGGGAATTGTTAAATTTTTATCAGAAAAGTGACATGAACAGAAATGTAGAGGATTAATAGGAAGTTGAAATTGTGAAAGGAAATTTTGTTAAAAATTAAAGAAAAAAAGAAATAAGTACATAAATGATAAATACATGAAAACAGATAAATGAGAAGAGTAGAGACTGTCTGTCTAAAGAACTAAATTATAGTCCCAGATTGCTTTGGTTGCTCTAATCCCTGGCTGTGTAGACCCTGAGCAGGTGGTAGAAGTGGGTTCTTTGATTCAGACAACCAAAACATATTGAGAAACTATTATATACCTGGGAACATGCTGTGCAATTTTACATACATTATATTTTTCCATTTGGTTTCTGAATATCAGATTTGATTGTTCCCCTATACCAGGTTACTAGTCATCTCTCTTCTGCGTCTCTTGCCCCAACCTGGATGTAGGAACAAAAGTACTAGACCAAGAATCAGAAGGCCAATGATCTAGTCCCAGTTATTAATCTAATCTGCTATGTGACCCTGGGCAATCCCTTTTCCCCTCTTTTGGCTCCACTTTTCCTCATCAGTACAAAAAAGGGCTTGGATTAGTCTCCAAGGACACTTCCCACCCTGTTATACAATTTCCTGAAAAAGGGATACAGATGCAGTGAATGCTACATAGATTATAAGCAGGAGAATAACCCTATTGGCTGGGATGGTCAAGAAAGACATCTTGAAGGAGGTAAAACATGAACAGGACCTGGTAGAAAGCTAGGTGTGTCTTTCATAGATTATTTTCCAATTCCTAGAGCTGAAGGGCAGGGACACTTATAATAACAGTATACTGTCATGGCAAAAACATAGATTTGGAGTTGGGCCTGGAGAGAAATACTGGCTCTGCCACTATTATGTGACTTTTCAGATTATTTTCTATAAAAGCAGTATAGTAATAATAACTCCTTGAGAGGGTTTCTGAGAGTAAATTTATAAATGGTGGTACTTAACCTATCACCTAGAGTAGATGCCCAAATGCGGTTTTTCTCTTCCTTGCTCCTTTCCTGAGCTTCTCTGCTCCATGGTTTATGCTGATACAGGGGGCACCTAGCAAGCTGTCTGTCAATGCTGGTTTGTTCGTAATTCAGTTTGATTGCTGAGTCTGCAGTCAAGCCTCTGGAGGTACCTAAAATGTTTTTGAACTGGTAAGTGGTTGTGTGGTTCAGAGTGTAAATGTCCTCCCAGTACCATAACATTAATTCATCAAATTAATCAATTCATCACATAAACAAATTCCCTGCTGTTGCTCATGGCTTAGCAGAGACTGGGAGTTCTTGCTAGCAGGAGAAAGATGATCATAACAACTAATTGAAATTCATATAACCTGGAACCGAAAGTACGACCCTTTGTGATATTTTTTTAAATAATGGCAGCAATTTCATACAACTATAACATCCCATTGAGAAGGGGATATGACCCTGTGGCCATGTTTTGCTCCCCGAGCTACTGGATTCAAAAGGAGTTGTGCTGGAAAAAAACAAATAGCAACAGCAATAATTACACAGGTAGGTTTTCTACTCTTTGAGTATAAATAGTTGTAGGGCTGAAGTCATGTTGCACTCTGGAGGACATGAGGGATTGTGGGAGAAATTCCGTGAAACATAGGTGTCCCCACCCAACCATATATGTACATAGTCCCCGTCTCCACCTCAACAGAGAGACATGTATGTATGCACATATGTACTGCCCTATTTCAAAGAAATAGATGTGCACATAGATGTAGATGACAGAAAGCAGGGACTTTGCCACTGCACAAGAGAGGGAAGCTGATTGGCCGAAACGTCCCGATCCTGGTGCCAATGTGCAACTGTCATCTGATTCTTTTCATTCCTATCTCTGATCCAGAACAGAAGATAAACCTGGAAGGGTCTCTAAGTGGTTGACTGCAAGCATCTCATTGTACATATGGGGCAACTGGAGTCCAGAGAGGGAAAAGGATTTGCCTAAGGAAACAGAGAATCAGTGGCAGGGCCGAGACAGGAAGAATCCAAACCCTGACTACAATATGTAGCCCAACAGTGTTTCCTAAATTGTTGTACCAGCACCACTGGTCTGTGATAAGCAAGACAATTTTAGGTGGTACATAGATGACTTTTTAATTTTGATAGTTATGTATATCTATTTGTAATGTATTTAGAAAAACTCACTAGCAGATCAGAGCAATGATTTCATGGATAGTATTGTTTAAGATATGGTAGAAATCATGAAGGTAGTATACTAATAGTTGTGGTTGGTGAAACACTGTGGTGGTATAAAGGGTCTTGGGGCCAGCAAAGCCTGGGTTTGAACCTAACTCAGATGCTTCCTACTATCATGGATTCTTGGTCAAGTTTTCTTCTCTCTCTAAGCTTCCGATTCCTCATCTATAAAATAGAGATACTCATAGCTACCTCTAAGGTAACTGTGAGGATTAAGAATAAGCATGTACAAATACCTACTAAAGTTAAATATCTTTTTTTATTTTTTATTTTTATTTTTATTTTTTTTAGTATTTATTGATCATTCTTGGGTGTTCTCGGAGAGGGGGATTTGGCAGGGTCATAGGACAATAGTGGAGGGAAGGTCAGCAGATAAACATGTGAACAAGGGTCTCTGGTTTTCCTAGGCAGAGGACCCTGCGGCCTTCCCCAGTGTTTGTGTCCCTGGGTACTTGAGATTAGGGAGTTGTGATGACTCTTAACGAGCATGCTGCCTTCAAGCATCTGTTTAACAAAGCACATCTTGCACCGCCCTTAATCTATTTAACCCTGAGTGGACACAGCACATGTTTCAGAGAGCACGGGGTTGGGGGTAAGGTTATAGATTAACAGCATCCCAAGGCAGAAGAATTTTTCCCAGCACAGAACAAAATGGACTCTCCTATGTCTAGTTCTTTCTACACAGACACAGTAACAATCTGATTTCTCTTTCTTTTCCCCACATTTCCCCCTTTTCTATTCGACAAAACCACCATCGTCATCATGGCCTGTTCTCAATGAGCTGTTGGGTACACCTCACCTCCCAGACGGGGTGGCGGCGGGGCAGAGGGGCTCCTCACTTCCCAGACGGGGTGGCTGGGCAGAGGTGCCCCCCACCTCCCGGACGGGGCAGCGGCCGGGCGGGGGCTGCCCCCCACCTCCCTCCCGGATGGGTTGGCTGGCCGGGCGGGGTCTGCCCCCCACCTCCCTGATGGGGCGGCTGCCGGGCGGAGGGGCTCCTCACTTCCCAGACGGGGCGGCTGCCGGGCGGAGGGACTCCTCACTTCTCAGATGGGGCGGCTGGGCAGAGACGCTCCTCACCTCCCAGATGGGGCGGCTGTCGGGCAGAGACACTCTTCAGTTCCCAGACAGGGTCGCCACCAGGCAGAGGCGCTCCTCACATCCCAGACGATGGGCGGCCGGGCTGAGACGCTCCTCACTTCCCAGACGGGGTGGCGGCCAGGCAGAGGCTGCAATCTCGGCACTTTGGGAGGCCAAGGCAGGCGGCTGGGAGGTGGAGGTTGTGGCGAGCCGAGATCACGCCATTGCACTCCAGCCTGGGCAACATTGAGCACTGAGTGAGTGAGACTCCGTCTGCAATCCCAGCACCTCGGGAGGCCGAGGCGGGCAGATCACTCGCGGTCAGGAGCTGGAGACCAGCCTGGCCAACACAGCAAAACCCCGTCTCCACCAAAAAATACAAAAAACAGTCAGGCGTGGTGGTATGCGCCTGCAATCCCAGGCACTCGGCAGGCTGAGGCAGGAGAATCAGGCAGGGAGGTTGCAGTGAGCCGAGATGGCGGCAGTACAGTCCAGCCTCAGCTGGGCATCAGAGGGAGACCGTGGAGAGAGAGGGAGAGGGAGAGGGAGACCGTGGAGAGGGAGAGGGAGAGGGACAGGGAGAGGGAGAGGGAGAGGGAGAGGGAGATAAAGCTAAATATACATGCTATCTATGACCCAGAGATCCCCAGGAGTAGTCCTGGGGATGCACTCAATTCAAGTGAGTGTTTATAGCTCCATTGATAATACATTTTCAATAGGCAGCAGGAAAGTGAGGTCCTCAGTCAGCAGCCTGCATGTAACTGAATGTTGCTATTAACTACATGAGTTTGGAAGTGGATATTTTCCTGTTCCCAGTTGAGACCACAGCCCTTGCCAATATCTTGATTTCAGCTTTATATCCTGAAGCAGAAGACCCAGCCAAGCCATGAACAGACTCCTGACCCACAGAAACTATGAGATAATAGATGTCTGTTATTTTAATGTGCTAAGTTTCTGGTAATATTGTTACACAGAAATAGATGACTAATAAAATGGAACAATATAAATGGATTTCAAAAACATGCTTAGTGAAAGAGACCAGACCCAAAAGTACACATATTGTGTGATTACATTTATATGAAGTTCAGGCATTATATATTTATACATTATATGAACAACAGGCAAAACTAATCCAAAGTGATAAAACTCAGAAAAAGGATTACCTCTAGGAAGTTATCAAATGGAAGGGGCATTAAGGGAGCATCTGGGAACGATGGAAATATTCTATATCTTGACCTGGATGTTGACCCCCAGGTGTATATTTTAATCAAAACTCATCAAATGTACAGTTGAAATTAATGCAATTTACTTACCATATAGGTATTTTAGAACTTCAGAAGAAAATAAACAAAATGCCCTTTTTAGGGGTTGGAATTCAAACAAAAATGCAAGCATAGTCTTTAAGTGGTAAGCAAAATATGGGCTTTTTTTTTAAATTAAAAACACGTTATTGCTAAAAATGCTAACAATCATCAGAGCCTTCAGCAAGTTATAATCTTTTTGCAGTGGAGGGCCTTGCCTCGATGTTTTTAGGTTCAGGAGTACATATACAGATGTGTTATATAGGTAAACTTGTGTCTTGGGGGTTTGTTGTACAGATTATTTTATCACCTAGGTATTAAGCCTAGTATCCATTAGTTATTTTTCCTGATACTCTCCCTCCTCCCACCCTCCAACCTCTAATAGGTCCCAGTGTGTGTTGTTTCCCTCTATGTGTCCATGTGTTCTCATCATTTATCTTCCACTTGTAAATGAGAATATGCAGTATTGAGTATTTGGTTTTCTGTTCCTGTATTAGTTTGCTAAGGATAATGACCTCCAGCTCCATCCATGTCCCGGAAAAGGACACAATCTTGTTCTTTTTTAAGGCTGCATAGTATTCCATGGTGTATATGTACCACTTTTTTTTTTAATCCACTCTACCATTGATGGGCATTTAGGTTGATTCCATGTCTTTGCTACTGTGAATAGTGTGGCAACAAACATAAGCATGCATGAGTTTTTATAATAGAATGATTTATATTTCTTTGGGTATATACCCAGTAATGAGATTGCTGGGTCGAGTGGTATGTCTGTCTTTAGGTCTTTAAGGAATTGCTACACTGTCTTCCACGATGGCTGAACTAATTTACATTCCCACCAACAGTGTATAAGCCTTCCTTTTTCTCTGTAACCTCACCAGCATCTGTTATTTTTTGACTTTTTAGTAGCCATTCTGACGGGTGTAAGATGGTATCTCATTGTGATTTTGATTTGCATTTCTCTAACGGTCAGTGATGTTGAGCTGTTTTCATATGGTTGATGGCTGTATGTATGTCTTCTGAGAAGTGTGTTCATGTACTTTGCCCATTTTTTAATGGGATTGTTTGCTTTTTTGCTTGTAAATCTGTTTAAGTTCCTTATAGATGCTGGATATTAGAACTTTGTCAGATGAATATTTTGCAAAAATTTTCTTCCATGCTGTATGTTGTTTGTTTATTGATAGTTTTTTTTTCTGTGCAGAAGCTCTTTAGTTTAATTAGATTCCATTTGTCAATTTTTGCTTTTCTTACAATTGCTTTTGGCATCTTCATCATGAAATCTTTGCCTGTGTCTATGTCCTGAATGATATAGCCTAGGTTGTCTCCCAGGGTTTTCATAGTTTTTGGTTTTACATTTAAGTCTTTAATCCATTTCGAGTTAATTTTTATGTATGGTATAAGGAAGGGGTCCAGTTTCAATCTTCTGCATATGGCTAGCCAGTTATCAAAGCATCATTTATTGAATAGGGAATCCTTTCTCTATTGATTGTTTTTGTCAGGTTTGTCGAAGATCAGATGGCTGTAGGTGTGTGATTTTATTTCTGGTTTCTCTATTCTGCTCCATTGGTCTATGTGTCTATTTTTGTGCCAGTATGCTGTTTTGGTTATTGTAGCCCTGTAGTATACTTTGAAGTCGGGTAGAGCGATGCCTCCAGTTTTGTTCTTTTTGCTTAGGATTGTCTCAGCTATTTGGTTTCTTTTTTTGTTCCATAAGAATTTTAAAATAGTTTTTTCTAGTTCTGTGAAGAATCTCAATGGTAGTTTAATAGGAATAGCATTGGGTGTATAAATGTGTTTGGGCAGTATGGCCATTTTAATGATATTGGTTCTGTCTACCCATGCGCAAGGAATGTTTTTCCATTTGTTTGTGTCATCTCTGATTTCTTTGAGCAGTGATTTGTAGCTCTCCTTGTAGAGATCTTTCACCTCCATTGTAAGCTGTATTTCTAGATATTTTATTCTTTTTGTGGCAATTGTGAATGGGAGATCATTCCTGATTTGGCTCTCAGCTTGACTGTTGTTGGTGAAAATATGGGCTTTTGATATGTGCCCTGGTCTCTCCTTGCCCAGGGCTCATTCTACCACTTCGAGCTGTTTTCTATCTCTTCCTGAAATGTCTAAGGGGTAGTGGGATAGATGGGGTAATCTATGGAGAATTAATCTGGAGAGGCCTTATTATTTTTGGTTGGAGTTTCAGGCCACTCACGGGTGTTTCATCCATCCTGCCCTTTTGTTTACAGCTCTGAAAACCACCTGTACTCTCACTCTGGGTAATGAGTGGCTGAAAGATGTGCTAAACACAGCAAGGTGAAATATCTAAAGTTGAAAAATCTCAGACCACTGGAGCCAAGTATATCAACCTTCCACACCATTCACCCTGGCTGGCCTCACACTCAGCCACATATGGAAGCAGACGCCTGACACCACACACACACACACACACACACACACACAGTTGCCCAGCCAAATTCCTTTGGATTTTGATATAAATCAACAGGATAAATATTTCCTTTTGGACTTGCTTGATGCTCAACTCTGTATAAGGATCAGTGGGGGACTTCAAACCTCACTTTTGTCACACTGACCTTTAAGCATGGTTGGTAAAATCTTTTGAGATAATAGTTGGGGAAACACCTGAAAAACTGGGATATGAGATAGAAAGACATGTGAGCAGCAAATCCTTGTGCATATTAAGTGCTTGAGTAAGGTTTTTACAAACCAAAAGAATTGAGAACTGGTGTCCCTGCCAGTTTTTTTGTGAAGTACCTGGTAATGATGCCTCCCTGTTTCTGTTCTGCCAGCTTCTGAGTATAAATCCAGCTGAGGTTCAAGCCAACATTTAAGTTAATTCCTCCACAGTGATATCGTCCAGCTGTTAAATTACCTCCAGTCTTAGAGTCCTTCAAATTCTCAAGACACTGTGAAACAGAGACAAGCCATCTCCACTGTACCCTATTCCAATTCTTTGCCCACAGAAACCATGAGCATGATAAAATGGTTGCTTTATATCTCTCTAGTTTTGAGGTGGTTTGTTAAGCGGCAATAGATAAATACCTTCTCCACTAACCTGAGGGATCCTTGTATTCAGTGACTGTCATCTCTGTAACTTTGATGCCTAGTGAAAGGCCTGGCATGCATTCATAGTCGGTAATGTTTGATGAACTAATTTGGATTGAAATGGTTTTTGGATGGATAAATGAATGGAAGAGATAATGAATGAAGAAAACCATGCCAAGGGAGTGGTGAGCAGCAAAGCATAAGTGAAGCTGGTGATAGGAAGAGGCAGGACATAAGAGAGGTAATTGGAAGTGTCCAGTCTCCCAGGGAAAGACACACTTGAGAAATAGAGGAAGGGTCAGATTGCCACAATAATTAAATGGTGCTGGATTAGGTTTTGGGCAAGCACTTATGATAGGTTAGAGTAATAAGGATGCATCGCGCATCCTACTAGAACCAGCAAACTTCAAGCCAAAAAATTCTGAAAGGGCTTAGATGTCTCTGTGTAGTGTTGGGGCAAGAGGCTGGTCCTTATTTACTGAGACCTACACGGAGACTCAGATGGAAGCTCATCTGGGTACCAGACAGGGCTCAGGCAACAAAGCAGATTCAAAGAGAGGCTCATATTATCTCAGTGAGATGCTAATAGAAATTGTGTGCTGCCTCTCACACAACTCTGCTCTTCTTGCTATACAAAGATGATGTTATATATGATTTTACCTCTGTGTGTCTCATCATGATCCCCCCAATCCAACTCCACCACCACTGTTGTAGTTCAGATTTTTATCTTCTCTCACCTAGCCTATTGTTATAGGAACTGCATTTTCCTAATTGAAAATCTACCTAGCCACAGAATCTGACATGGAGACTAACACTTGAACTGAAATAAAAACAAACAGAACATATAAAATTAGGATTGCTTTGGAAAATTCAGACTAAACGAGGACCTTCATTGTTTATATAAATCCTTAGCCAACACAGTATCCACCTTTCATTTATTTATTTGAACACTCATTTATTCATTTCTTCAACATAGACTTATTGATCATCTATTAACTTTCATGAACTGTGGTAGGAACTGGATGGAGAAAGAATGAAGAAATAAAAAAGAAAAAAGTTATAGGATCTAAGGAACTGATAATTTCTCAGTGAGCATACACATTTAAACAAATTGTCTTTATTGACTTTTTAGTCTTTGGTGAGTTATCTAAATGCAGTTAACCAATAGATATTTGGAAATAGAGAAGAGACTCTGGAGTGATACAAAGCTAAAGGAAGAGACATGGGACTCCTTTGAAAATAAGTAAAAACTAATACAATAGGAATAATGGGAGGGCCAGGAAATAGGTTTAGAGAAAAGATGGGGGCCAAGGAGAGAACTTTGAGATGTGCCTACGTTTTCAAAAAGGGAATGCACCAGTAAAAGATAAAAGGTGCAGTCAGAAAAATTGGTGAATGACAGGGAAATGAACATTTATTGAGAGTCTATCACTTACTTGGGATTTTGTCCTTTTTTTTTTTAACTAACCCTATGCAACAGGGCTTTATCTGCCCCATTTTATACATGAGGAAACTGAAGTTCAGAGAGCCTAAATGACTTGCCTGACATCACAGGATAAACAGTAGGGATTTCATACCCCTACGTCCATTCTTAGAACTTATCTAATTTTTAGCCTGCTGTTAGAAGGAAGCTCACCTGTCTGGGTTCAAGACCTTGATAAGATATCCCAAAAACTCCATTAATTTGCTATCATACTCATTTCATTCTCTCTGACTTCCTTGGCCCAAGCACTAAGAGGTGTATGATTCAGGCATACTTATCCATGGTGCTAGTGAAATAACAGATTTAGGACGTGAATTTTATCCGGGGACCATAAGATCTTATTTTGTTTTTGAAAATGACCCTAGAAACTGTCTTTCAGATCACCACACATATAATTATGTGTGTGTGTGTGTGTTTGTGTGTGTGTGTGTGTGTCTACATTTGTTTATTGTGGGAGAAGTCAAGGAAGTCACCAAGATGGTCACCTGCACCAGATAAACATGGAATTCTGGAAGAAGAAAGAGAGAAACAGGAGAAATGTGCTAGAATAAGGGATCTTCAGATTCACAAGTGTTTCCTTTCCCAGAAGGCTTGGGGAATAAGCAAGAATGTTGAACAGCATTTGGTGTCATGGAAGGAGCAATCAATTTGGAATCAGAACTCAAATGTTCCTATCTTCTCTGTAACAAACGAGTGAACTGGGGTACATCTTGTCACTACTCTGAACTTCAATTTTCTCCCTATAAAATGGGGAAGAACAACTGATTTCCAAAGTTCCATATGAGGAAGAACCTGTTTAAAAATTTTGCTCACAATTGTATGGGATCCAGGTTCAGGGAACGTAGGGAATTTTTATCTTGGCTAGAATAACTCAGTCTCTGGTGCTCTTGTTAAACTGTGATGAGAATTTGGCTTAGATTTGCTTAAAAAACAAAAACATATCTGTCAGTTCAAGCCCTTGTATAGTATTTCACAGCCCCAATCGTCTCTATCCCTGCTCTTCCAAACAGCTCCATTTCTACTCCAAACCAATGTCTTAACATCGAGGCCTGGTAGTTTCTGGTACCCAGCTGCTTTTCCTCTGCCCAGCTCAGCCTCAATGCCCTCTGATCTCAGAGCTTCTGAAAGATGGCCTTTCAACTTCCACAAAGAAAACCACTGTCTGGAAATTATTATATATGTTTTATTTTCTTCTTTCTTTTACCCTTTGACAGCAGTAGGGAAGAAGGGGAAGAGACAAATGGAGGGAGTGGAGAAACTTTTCTCTGGGTAGTTACAAATTGCTTAGAGGTTTCAGAGAAGCTCATTGGTTATTATTCTTGTTGCTAAGACAAACGTTCCAGGCTATGAAAAGACTTATGCAAAAGCATACATGTTGGAGATGAAGATTAAACAACAAATGATGTCAGATGGAGGCCTGTTTATTCTCTAAAGTGAAGAATAATCACTTGTTAGCTAATGCAAGGCATGATGTCTTGATTACAGAGAATGTATTCAATTCTCACCAAATATCTTATGAGTTTAGGCCCAGGTCTGGCTCCAGATCTATGATCATGGACCAGTCACTTTTCCTCTTTGAGTCTCAGTCTCCTCAGGTATACAGTGAGATCTGGATCTTCCTTAGTGTTCCTTTTCAAACCAACATGCCAGAGACATATGTCAGATCTCTACTGTTAGAAGTCTCAGCCACAATGAAGACTGTTGACAGTTTTGAGATATGAGATGTAGAGGAGTTAAAAGAACATGGAACTTTAAGTACCTGGTCTTAGTTCTTACAATAGAAACTGGGTGACTGCAATTGCTACAAGAAGAATACAATACCAGCGAAGACAGCTAACAAGAGATGTGAAGGACCTCCTAATGAAATACAAACCACTGCTCAAGGAAATAAGAGAGGACACAAACAAATGGAAAAACATTCCACCCTCGTGGATAGGAAAAATCAATATTGTGAAAGTGGCCATACTGCCCAAAGTAATTTATAGATTCAATGCTATTCCCATGAAACTCCCATTGGCATTCTTCACAGAATTAGAAAAATCTACTTTAAAATTCATATGGAACCAAAAAAGTGCCCTTATAGCCAAGACGATCCTAAACAAAAAGAACAAAGCTGGAGGCATCACACTACCTGACTTCACACTATACGACAAGGCTACAGTAACCAAAACATCATGGTGCTGGTACCAAAAGAGACACATAGACCAATGGAACAGAATAGAGATCTCAGAAATAAGACCACACATGTACAACCATCTGATCTTCAATGAACCTGACAAAAACAAGCAATCAGGAAAGGATTCCGTATTTAATAAATGGTGCTGGGAAAACTGACTAGCCATATGCGGAAAACTGAAACTGGACCCCTTTCTTATACCTTACACAAAAATTAACTCAAGATGGATCAAAGACTTAAATGTAAAACCCAAAACCATAGAAAAAAATGTAAGCAATACCATTCAGGACATAGGCATGGGCAAAGACATCATGACGAAAACTCCAAAAGCAATTTCAACAAAAGCCAAAATTGACAAATGGGATCTAATTAAACTAAAGAGCTTCTGCACATCAAAATAAACTATCATCACAGTGAGAAGGCAACCTACAGAATGGGAGAAAATTTTTGCAATCTGCCCATCTGACAAAGGTCTAATATCCAGAATTTACAAGGAACTTAAATAAATTTAGAAGAAAATAAACAACCCCATTAAAAGTGGGCAAAGGACATGAACAGACACTTCTCAAAAGAAGACATTTATGCGGCCAAAAAACATATGAAAAAAATCTCAACATCATTGATCATTAGAGAATTGCAAATCGAAACCACAATGAGATACCATCTCACACCAGTCAGAATCACGATTATTAAAAAGTCAAGAAACAACATATGCTGGCAAGGCTGTGGAGAAATAGGAATGTTTTTACACCATTGGTGGGAATGTAAATTAGTTAAACCATTGTGGAAGACAGTGTGGTGATTCCTCAAGGATCTGAAACCAGAAATACCATTTGGCCCAACAATCCCATTACTGGGTATATACCCAAAGGAACAGAAATCATTCTGTTTTAATGATACATGCTCACATATGTTTATTGCAGCACTATTCACAATAGCAAATACATGAAATCAACCCAAATGCCCATCAATGGTAGCCTGGATAAAGAAAATGAGGTACATATATACCATGGAATACTATGCAGCCCAAACAAAACAAAACAAAACAAAACAAAACAAAACATGAGATAATGTCCTTTGCAGTAACATGGATCAACCTGGAAGCCATCATCCTCAGCAAACTAACACAGGAACAGAAAACCAAACACAGAATGTTCTCACTCATATGTGGGAGCTGAACAGTGAAAACACATGGACACAGGGAGGGAAACAACACACACGGGGTCCTGTCAGGAGGGTGGGGAGAGACGGCATCAGGATAAATAGCTAATGCATGCTGAGCTTAATACTTAGGTGATGAGTTGATAGGTACAGCAAACCACCATGGCACACGTTTACCTATGTAACAAACCTGCACGTTCTGCACATGTTTCCTGAAATTTAAAATATAATAATTTTTTTAAAAAGAAGAAAAAGAAACTGGTTGACTGAAAAAAACCCACTTCATTTCTCATAGTTTCCCTTTCTCATTTGTAGAACAAAGACTAGATAATCCTTAAAGTCTCTTCCAATCTGGAAACTCCGCAAATGCATAAACTTTCAATAACAAAGGCCCTGTTCCAGATGACATGGGGGCATAATTTGGTAAGACAAAATTCTTGCTCCCAAGCAACTTCACATTTAGTAGGGAAAATAGACATGTATTGTAATTGCCCCTCTTATCTCCTCTGGAATCCTTGGCCCAATTCACAAATCCTTGGCCCACTCTCCAATTAAAAACTCCCTTATAATGCCGCATTTTCTACTGGATAGAGTCAATACTTATTGACATGCTAAGTATTTGATAGAGCAGTTATCTGAAGATACACTCTCTGTCTTCTTATCTATCTCTTTTTTTTTTGGCATTCCAGTATGGCTCCAATCTAGCTTCCTCAATCCTTTGATGTGCCTTTGTTATCACGTAACATGCGCAAAACTAATGTGGTGTTATATATCTGTCATTCTCTAGTTTGACACTTAGATCCTGGAGAGCCAGAATTAAGCCTTAATCTTTTATGAGTCCTTCACATGGGAACTGATATAAAATATACAACCAATATATGTTAAGCAAAAGAATAAATAAGTAAATAAATTAAACAAATCTAACATAAGGTAGAATGTGATCAATGCCATAAGTGAAAGGCATAGATAAAGCACAGACGAGTCTCAAGCATCTGATAATTTGTGACTAGTAGAATTAGGAAAGCTTCTATGGGAATAATGTTGTGTGACAATGTCATTAAAGATAATTAAGGTTTCATCTCATGGAAGATTCCAATGGACGGAGCCAAGTCAAGTCAATAGAACTATGCAGAGGATATGTTCAGAGACTAGGGAACAGTCCAGCCTGGCTGCTCCACGGAGGTTGATGAAAGGGCAAAGAGGGACACTGGTAAAGTTTGTTGGTACCAGATTATAATAAACCTTTAGAACCAGGCTGAAAGTTTTGAATTTTCTTTAGGAGGCAATGAAGAGCACCAGGTGGCTTCTGAGCAGGTAAACACTGTAATCCAATGTGTGCTTGATGGAAAGGAGTAAAAACATGGTGCCCGGGAGGGTCTTAGAGTTTGTGTAGTGATGCAAGACAGCCTGACAGGCAAGAAGACAGACTCTAGACCCTGCTGTGAGGAGGAAGAAGTGTGGCATTCCAGCATGTTTATGAGAACTCAAACACATTGTAACTTAGTGATAGACGCTAACAATCTCAAGCAGCCTTATTCTAACAAATAATGACTCACTCTTACCATTTGTGAATACTAGGCAGCTGTGGCTCTTATATATGTCAGTCATCTGGGGTGCGACATACCAAACCTAACAGGGGATTCACAGTTCTGACTGAGCTCCATCAGGACTGGCTCCTGTGTGACCTGGCCCATCCAGTTGTGGGTTGTTCCCTTTGTTACTAGGGAAAATTTCCCTGCGTTAACATTGCCCTCTAGTGGTTTTTGTTTCCTACAACCGGAGGTACACTTACCCCAACCTTAAACTTTTCCCTTTCTCAGAGATTGCAGTTTTCTTTTCTGTCTCTTTGTTTTCTCTTTCATCTCTACCTTCTCTTATTTCTCCCTCCCTTATTCCATGCAGTGGAGTGAGTGAAGCAGACAGGCCTAGAGAGAATTAGCCCAGTGTTACAGATAAGGAAACTGAGGCTTAGAAATGTGAAGTTAATTTGCTCTACACATTCAGCTACAAAGCATCTTAACTACAAAGTGACTGGATTAGAATTCAAACCATATATCTGAACTTGGAATTCTGGTTTTTATCCAATTCACTTTCCTCCCTTCTTCCTTTCTGTTCTCCCTCATTCCATCTCTCCCTTTTCATTCACCCTCCCTTCCATAAATGCCAGTTGACAATTCTGTGGTAGGAATAGTGTTAAGACATAGAAATAAATAGATACTGTCTTTGAGGGAACTCCCAGTCTCTTATGACAGAGAGACAAAAATAATTATAACCCAATGTGATTATATTGTTGATAGAGTCATGTTGGATGTGCTGGATCATCAAGGATATAGGGTAATTTACCTGTTATAGAAGAGGGAGAAGGGAAGATTATTTCAGGACAAGGAACCAGTCAGCACTAAGGTATAGGTATGGGGAAATAATAAGACATTTTCAGATAAAGAGTAAGGGGATGAAGGAGTTGGGGGAGTGGGGCCTGGAGCCAGATTGTGGCAGCCTTTGTGTGCCAGGCAGAGTATTCTGGACTTTAGCCTCATTCTCTCTTTTTACACAATTTCTGAAGCTTATAAGTAAATACATTTTCTAGGCTATTACCATACCCCCACATACTAAGTTGTTTAGTTTATTTGTCAAGCAGGCCAAAAAATAACAAAATAAACTATTTTTAAGCCTGTCCAGGGGTATAATATGAGTCCAAGACCAAATGGGAATGAAACCCTGGTCTCCTGCCTTCTAGGCCTTCGGATGATAAAAATGAGGAGGGGGAGAAAGGTGGAGAAATTAACTGAAAAATAATGGGATAGATTCCAGACATCTGGACCAGCCTCAAACAAATCAACATGCAGACTATGTCCTGTTTGCTCTGCCTTCCTCTTTACTTACAGGCCTAGAGATTGGGTAGGAAGCAAATGTTTGTTTATCAAAGTATATTTATCCACTGACCTCCAGAATATTTTCAGGGATGGTTGCTGTTCCATGAAAAACATGCAGGTCACAATACATTGGCCTCAAATCACACAGGTATTCTCATAATACTTCCAAATAGTGCTCCTTCTTTCCCCACATCTTATTTGGGTGCATGTATTAATAATTATCAGCCTCCTAACTTTACTTCCTCACATGTATAAGGCTTCCCTTGAACAAAGACTTCTCACGAGCGTTGGGTTCTTCGGCAACCCTAGGAGAGAAGTAAGGAGGTGAAATCAGGTCCTCATTTTTCAGAAGAAGAAACAAAGGTTCAGAGATGAACTTGCCCCCAACTAGGGGAAGGAGGCAGAGTAGGATTCCAAGTTCAGTGCTTTTGCTACCAGTTCCTGTTAGGAAGTGTACTTAAAGAAGCACTAAAGCCACAAGCTTAGTGAAGGCTCATTAACAACACTTTCATTAGCATACTTCATGGTTAATTTCCATTTCCTGCACAATTTCTCCAGACTCAGGGTCCTGAGAGCTAGAGGAGTCACACTGAGCCATTGTTCTGGTCAGTGTGACATGTTTCCATTCTGAGCCAAATTTTCAATAAAGGTCCTCTTTTTTTTTTTTTTTTTTTTTTTTTTTTTCCAGACAGAGTCTCATTCCCTCACCTAGGTTGAAGTGCAGTGGTGCGATCTGGGCTCATTGCAACCTCTGCCTCCTGGGTTTAAGCAATTCTCCTGCCTCTGGCTCCCAAGTAGCTGGGACTACAGGCATGCACCACCATGCCTGGCTAATTTTTGTATTTTCAGTAGAGACAAGGTTTCGCCATATTAGCCAGGCTGGACTCAAACTCTTGACCTCAAGTGATCTTCCCGCCTCAGCCTCCCAAAGTGCTGGGATTATAGGCATAAGCCACTGCACCCAGTCAAAGGTCATTCTTACTCTACAAAATAGGGTTATTCGGGAATAAAGAGAACCCTCGGAAATGCATGGCAAGTTGAACAACATTTATGCTTATGGATTCAGGAACTGGAAATATACCAAATAATTAATGTAGTTTTTCTTACCAGATAAAACAGTCCTTGCAGCTTCTTCTGCCATTAGCTGCTTTTCTTTGATAACTGACTTTCTCTTTGTCTGATGACAGGGGATGAACCTCAATTTTATATATATATATATATATATATACACACACACATATTTATTTATATATATAATTTTCCTTTAAATCTTCACAAAACACTATGAGTTAGGTGTGTAGCATTATTATCCTTTTTAACAGATGAGGAAACTGAGGCCCAAAAAGGTTAAATTGCTTGCACAGCATCATATGGTTTGTAAGTGGCAGATCTGAACCCAGACAGTCTGATTTTAGAGCCAGTATACTAAGGTGCCATTCATTTTGTCTTGCTTTTAATTTCAGCATTCAGGGCCTTTCACTCCTTACATCTTGCCCCAGTCAGTTACCCTAGGGAACTAGGTTTATTCCATTCCTTATATCTTTGCTTAAGCCGCAACCCCCACCCCACCCTCACCTGTGCAGCGATTTGGAGGTTTAATTCAAAGTTCTCCACAAAGCCTTTTCTTAATACTCCAAAACACCTACATTTTTATCATGGTTAGCACGGAATACTCGAATGCCTTTTCATTGTCTCTTTTTATTCAGGGATAAATATCTTTTCAATTCTATTTTCACTGTTTCAAGAGCAGAGACACTTCTTTGGTGACACTCACATACCTTTAGTGCAATATCTAGGCACATATTTCAAATGAATCTATTTTCCAAATGTAAATAAATACGGGTTTGACAATAGGTCACATTATCTGAATCTGGAATAAATGGTCCCAGTCCACAGGGTAGACTTTGGCTTGTGTAACAAACACTGGCTCAATTAAATAATTATTTGCCTTATCAGTTAATCATCTCAAGCTTACCAGAATGTTATCAGCAGATTGAACTACAATATTAAGTGTTTACTACATGCCAAGCACTGCACTGGGCAATATTAAAAATCCTTTTTATAAAAAACCCTCACACCATCCCTGAGAATGAATTCCCACTTACAGAATTAGATAATTTTTATGACTTGCATGCAAAAGCACTGTTACATGTCAGGACACTTTCCATGGCAACAGGTCTCACCAGGGTCAATCTTTAATGGGAGTTCTCCAAAGCAGAAGAGTTGAATTCTCTTAGTATGGAAGGGTAAGAATTCTAAGCTCATCTCCTTCTAAACAGTTGCAGACTAAGCTGGTGCCTTATTATAAATTAGAACTAAGGTTGGAAGAGGACTTTTAGTGGAATCATTAAACTAGCAAAAGGGCCTGAGGGGTTTTTTGTTTGTTTGTTTGTTTGTTTTTTATTAAGTGCTTTAGAGAAGGAGAGATAAAGAGAAGGATAGATAGGAAGGTGTAATTTAACTTATTTAAAGACTCTTTATAAAGGAAATTATTTAAGAATTATCTAGACAGATAAATGATAGATAGATGATAGATATTTTAATGGATCACATTAAAATGTTCTGATGAGTGGCTAAATAAGTGTGGTATAACTAAATAAGTGTGGTAAGAGATATTATGCAGCCATTAAAAGCCATGGCTTCAAAGAATATTTAGCAACATGGGGAAACGTCAATTTTATGGTGTTAAGTGAATAAAGGAGAACACAAAATAGTATGAAAAGTAAGATCTCAATTAGGATGAAACAAAATACACACGCACACTCAAAAAAAGGTCTAGAAAGAAAAGCATCAAAAATATTAACTGTGATTGCCTCTGGGTTATAGGATTATGATGGATTGTTTTTCTTTACATATATTTTGCTCCCTATCCTTTCAAAGTTTTCTGCTCCCAGCAAGTTTTAATTCTGTAATAGCAAGGGAAAATATAAGTATTTTTTAAAAAAGAAAGGTTTGTGTGTGTACGTTTGCCTGGGAGTAAGGGTAGAAAAATACCAAGAGTGGATAAAGAAAATAGGATTATTCCTGGGGCTAGGAAACAGGGAGCTGAAAGAGAAGGAATAGGTTAGAGTAGCTCACTGAAAGTTAGAAGTAGCTATTTAGAAGACTCAGAGCTTCTTTGTTGCTTTTCAGAAGGAATTTAGAACCTGTAATGGATGTGTTGGAAATTATTTTTCTGTATTTGTATGTTCTGTTAACAGTGGGGGCTGAGGAGAGAGGGAATGGGTGTCTGGGTAAGGTGATTGCAGTGGGAAGTACACTGAAGGAGCCTCAAGCACAAGTTCAACTTTAGGGCAGGGATTTGGATGTAGTTCTGCCACTCCCACTCCAGTCCCCATGCTCTGTACAGGACCTGACAGAATAAGCTGTTCAGTGTTTGCTGACCAGAACTTTGAGTAGCACAGAGACAAAGGCCCTTCTACCCAGAGCAGAGATTTCCATCTAGCCATCTAGGATTTTCCTCTGCTTCACTTTGTGTGTGTGTGTTAAGGGAGGGTAGGGGTGGGGAGTGCTATTTCCTTATTTAGGCAAACTCAGTGACTATCATACTGTTTAAACTTATTATTTTTATTATAAAGACATTACATATTTATTATAGAAAAATGCAAAAATGCAGGTAAGTAAATTTTAAAAATAAAATTATCTACAATTCTACCACCATCACGACCCAAAGATAAACCTGCAAACATTTTGGTGTACATTCCTTCAGACATTTTTCTGTGTGTATATTTATTCTTTTTTAGAAAATTTTTCTACCAAGTTTTTTACTCTTGAAATGTGTATATTTATTCTTATAATATGATCATGCTGTTTTGTAAGCTATTTCTTTTCACTTAGCAATTTAATATAAACATCTTTCCAGGTTATTTAATATTTTTATTTTTGGATATTTTAAAAGTCACTTTTAGGTACTCAAATAATACATTATCCTTGTAAAATTTGAAATATACAAAACTTACAGATAAGATTAATGTCACTTTTGATCACCTGTCATACCCCTACCTCAATCCTGGTCCCCTCCCCACTTATGAGAAATAACCACTATTATTATCTGTCATGTATTCTTATATGTGGTTCTCTAAAGATTTCCATACACATACATGTATTCATAGGAGATGTATGACATTATTTTGGGTGGTAGGTATGGTGTTTATCTTCTGTATAAATGGTATCATACTGTACATATTAATCTGAAACTTGCTTTTTTATTCAATAACATGAATATCTAGATATATCTCATTCTATTTAACCAATGCATAGTATTGTGTAGTATAGATACATCATTGTTTATTCAATCATGTCACTATTGATGTAGATTTAAGTCATATCCAATTTTTCACTATTACAAATAGCATTGGAGTAAATATTTTTGTCATGACTCCTTGTGCATATGTGTGAGAATGTTCCTTTAGTATAGACAGCAAGGAGAAAAATTAGTAGGTCATAGGATGTATATTTTTTATTATATTGCTTTAAAAAATCTTTAAAGATGTATTTGATTTAGACCAACATATTCAGAATACTGTTTCAACTGATAATATAAAAATGAAATACATTTTTTGTAATAAATGTGGAAATTTTCAAATACATGTTTTAAAAGTACAAAATTTTATAATGAACCCACATACATACTAAAAATTAGATTCAACAATTATCAATACACGGCCAATCTTGTTTCATTTATACTCTATTTACACTCCCCCTGGAATACATTGGATTACCCTGAAGCAAGTCATATCATTTGGATGCACATTTTAAAATTTAGTATATCTTGAAAAAGTGTCTCCAGAATGATTGTTCCAATTTATACTTTCATCAGCAGTGTTTCAGATTACCTATTTTCCATGCCTTTGCCAAACTTAAAACTATTTAAATTTTTTGCTAATCAGAAAGAGCATTTTATTTTTTCAATTTGCATTTCTCTGACTATTAGCAAAATTGGGCATCTTTTCAGATCCTTAACAAATATTTGTATTTCTCCTTCTGCAAACTGCCTGTTCAAATCCTTTGCCCATTTTTCCACTTTGGTTATCCTTTTCGCCCACTTTTCTACCTTGTTGTTTTTTAATCACATTAGATGTTTATAAATGAAATGCCACTAAGTAAATATGCACAGTGTTAGCTTGTGTTAACATTCTGAATGTTATTAGGAAAGTGGGCTTTACTTGGCATCCATTTTATTCATATATTTGTTGAATGCCTGGTACCTGCCAAACTCCTGAGGATACAATGTTGAGCAAAAGAGAGATAGTTCCTTTCCCGTTGAAACTGATAATCAGCCAAGTCGGCAAGATGAACATTGATTAAACAATCACACATATAAATACACTATTACAAATAGTTATAAGTGTTGTGAAAGAAAAGTACCTTGAACAAAAAGCTTGAGGTAGCCGGGCCGCTGGATCGTTGGGTATACTGGACTAGAGAAAGGGTGAGTAGCAGATGCTCTTATTCAAAGGGCCATAGCCAATAAGAAAGGGTCTCATCTCTGATACTCCTTCCCTAAGGAATATTAGCTTTGGGATCACAATCTGCTTGAAAGATAATCTTTTATGAAATGGAGTAAGCTATAAAAACACTGGCCAAACACTTCAATATTAATCTCTGGCCAAAAATGCAGAGGTAGAGACTATCCTCTGTATCCCCAATGGCTTGTAATCCCAGTGCCACAATTGCTCTAGGAAAACCACAAGAAACGTGATGGATAGGCCAAGTGTCTTCTAAAGAAACATGGAAAGCTATGACTTGGGGAAATCTAGTGGGACTGTGCACTCCATTAGAGCACTATCAACCCCGGCAAGAGCAGCAAAAGAAACATTAGCAACATCAAAACCAGAGCAATGGAAAGAATATCAAGGTCCAGAAGAACAAAAGCAACAACATAAACAAGAGTGAAAATAACATGAACCACATCAACAGGCCGTATCAGAAGAGAGGATGATACAGACAGCACCTCAGACTTTTTGTACCTACTCTTTCAAGAAGACAGTAACACTATGCTCAAGAAAACTCACCACCTCAGAATTCTTCAGAAACCACCTTCAACCTCAAGAAATGTATTAATAGAATGGAGAATAAAGTGTGGTCTCAGAGTGTGATCTATCACATTCCAATTGATTCACTGGAGAGACATCATTCACCATGAAAAATATCACAATACTGAGCAAGAACTGCTTGAAATAATTATATAAGGACAGATCCACAGAATTTGGGGAAGTGGTCCAGTTAATCTATTTTGTACCCCAATGTTTCCACCCTTTTCATGATTGACTATGAGATCCCCACCTAGGCTTGGAACCCAGGAAAGCCTTTCTAAGGCCAAAAAGGGTTTGGACTGCGGGTTGCTACTTACAATGCTTTATAACAAAACAGAATGGCCTTTACTTGAATTGACTAGTTATTTTAAGCTCCCAAAGCTAGAGAGGCATGAGAACATAAGATCCTCAATTATTTAGAATTCATGGCTCCTGATATGGCTCAAGACTGGGTGACAAACAGGGTTGGGCTGTGATGACTCTGGAGGCTAGGGCTGCTCCAGAGGGAGGTTTGAACACACAGCCATCTGTAGGGAAATGTGGGGGCGGGGGCTGTCTCACTTTGTCAGTGTTCTTCTCGGAGTGTGTTGCCTAGAAGGGAAAGTATTCTATTTGTGATCTGGCCAATGCTAAGTAGAGCAGGATTGTCACCTCCCTGGTTCTGAACACTGCATTTTTATGATTACTGTTAAAGATAGCATTAGGTTTTTGCCACCCTACCTCATAACTGACACATATTGAGCTCACTGTCCTCCCAAATCCCTAGACTGTACTACACTTGCTGCTTCTAAGCCACATCTTCTCCATCCTGGATGTGTATGTGTGTGTGTGTGTGTGTGTGTGTGTGTGTAGCAAGAAGGAGAGAACCGGGAAGAATTCAGAACTGAGTAAGAACTTCTGATCCAGAGGGGTTCAAACAAATTAATCAAGTGTTTTTACCAATAGATGACTACAGGCAGGGAGTAGGCCTCAGAGGGAGATCACCATAAGTTCAAGGTCTGAATTCAACTTGGTGAGACCAGAAACTTAATTATCACCTCATCTAGAATTGGTCAGGCACAGGGAAACTAATTTCCATTCTCCAGAAACAAAGTTGAATTACCCACACCTGTTATTCATCCAAGCTGCCCTGTCCTAGGGTGAGTCTGCTCAGATGTCAGACTTGAGAGCACAGGGGTGTTTGAAGAATGGAAAAGTAAGGCAAAATGGCTTGGATGGCATTCTGGAACATTTTCTTAAAGCTAGGGTAGCTGGATGAATTAGCTTTTAGGAGACTTCTGTCTCTGTGGAGCAGGTTGATCCATAGACTCAGTGGCCCCTCTCTTTGAAGAGTGTCAGAGGAACATTAACATATTCTTTTGTTTTTGTCTCCTCTTTCTCTAACCTCCATGGAGACACCTCCACCCACCAGCCAGCCAATCACTCTTCTGTTATGACAACACAACAGTAACCTCAGCCAAGTCACAACATAATTGAGTAGGTTTCTGTTTTCTGTACACCAAATTCTATTCCTCCTATATCTTACTAAAGATTGGACTTGGGACACAACGTGGTGCCTTGATGGAGACTTGAGACACATCCAATTCCCATCTCATTAGTAATATGTGTCCAAATTCTTTCTCAGGCTCAACTCTTTCTGCAAAGGGCTGAGCTCATAGGTTCCTTGTTGATTTGGATTTGGTCAGTTTGCAAGAGCCGTGTGGTCTAACTTGACCTCTCCGTGAGCAACTAGAGGAGGTGGGGTTGGATGGAGGGTGTGCCTCTTGTGGGATTTGGCACATTATCACAATAACTATCCAAGGCTCAACTCAGAACTGATAATAATCAGCTCTTACATATCATTTAATGTAGTCACCATAAGATATCAATGAGATATATATTGTCTCCCTGTTTGTGAATAATAATAAAACCAATGTTCAGAGAGAGAAAGGACTTTGTTTAAGTTACATGACTAATTATGAGCAGAGCTGAATCCAGGTCTCTTAATTAAGAATCCAGAACTTTTCTGCTTTTTCCTGTGTCTTTACCTAAAAATTGGTAGGAACTCCCATCAATGCTACTCTTGCCAGGGCTTTCCTGTTTCTGACCATTTCTGGTGACCTCACAGAGGGGAGAAACCTGCCAGTGACAAAATCACTTGCCACCTTTCCCAGACATAAAGTAGAAGATACAGGAAGCTGGCTTCACTGCTCAAGCTCTGCTGCCCATGAAGTGACCCGGTCATAGTGGTTAAAGAGGAGGAGAAAGACCATACTAGACACTAAGAAGACCTCCCTTTGCCAGGAAGGGCAGGCCTAAGAAGGGCATCAGTGGACAGAGAACTTAAAAAATGGCCTTTGTGTGTACTACTTTTCTAGGGCTACAATAACAAAATGCCACACACTGGGTGGCTTAAACAATAGAAATTTATTTTCTCACAGTTCTGGAGGCCAGAAGTCCAAGATTAGGTGTCAGCCAGTTTGTTTTTTTCTGATACCTCTCTTGTTGGCTTGCAGATGGCCACCTTCTCATTGTGTTCTCAAATGGTCTGCTCTGTGCCTGTGCATCCTTGGCTTCTTTTTGTGCCCCAATTTTTTCTTGTTATAAAGATAACAGTCAGATTGCATTAGGGACTACCCTAACAACCTCATTTTAACTTAATAACCTCTTTAAAGGCCCTGCCTCCAAATACAGTTACATTCTGATGTACTAGGGGTTAGGGTTTCAACATATGAATTTGGGCAGCGGAACACTGTCCTTTGTTTCTTAGCACATGGGCTGAAACTAGTTAACTTTTTAGGCCTAAATAAATAGAGAACAGCTGGATAAAGAGACAAATAAATGAGATACTTTTGAGATGAAGGTGATTGCGTATAATATTAATTGCCATCTAGTACTTGCATCTCTTCTCTATCCACACCCCATGCTGTGTCAGCTCCCTCATCCATGGCAAGTCTAGAGTTTCACGGTTTCTTGGTAAACACCCATTGTCTGCTTGCTAGCAGAATCTTTGGTTTTCTGCTAAACTGGCACTTTCCTTCTTTATGGCTAATATCTGTTCTTTTTAGAAAAGTTTGGGCTCTTGACATTCTAGAGGCAAGTATGCAAAATGGGAATTCTGACTGTATCTACAGATCTTTGATCCAAAAATGGACAAGTTTTGTCTTTAAGCAGTGGTGGTAATAAATATGGTGAATATAGATATCAGATTTCCCAGCATAGTCCAGGTTCAAATATTTGGTCTTATTGCTTCTGTAACCACATGCACATTTGTTAGACTGGTTGTTCTAATGTGGGTCCAGAAAACATACTTTGGAGTGTGCTGAATGGGTTTAAGTATTCCCATCAATTACTTTCCATTGTTTTGGAGACAAATTCTAAACTCACCATAGAATTAAAAGTCCTCAGTAATGCAGACTTCCACATCTAGCCAGCTTCATCTCCTACCACTATTCAAGATAAGTCATGTACTCAAACCATACAGAATTTTAGTCACCAAACTTGCCTGTCCATTTTATATATTCATGCTTTTGCACATGCTGTGTTAGGACACGCTTCTAGAATACCTATGATGATTTTGCCACTGTTACCTGTAAACTGCCTAATATTCTGTTAATCCTTCAAGTTTCAGTTCAAATCTCTGTGAAACTGTTCCTGACATCCCTAGAAAGTCAATCACTCCTTCTGTTTTGCCACTGTAGCTTATATATACTATATTATATATTATACTTGAACATGTTATAATGGTGAACATATTGGGCTAACTGGAACACCATTTTATTTGGCTATCTTCCCCAGTAGACAGGGACCTGACTTATAATAAGTACCCATGTGTTTGTTAAATGAATGAAAGAAATAATAGGAAAAGGACATTGCCAAGGATGAGCATCTGCATCTCTCCATCTTCTAACATAATTAACTCAATTTCTTTCTTTATTATTTTTGAGGCAGCATTTCATTCTGTTGCCCAGGCCAGAGTTCAGTTGTGTGATCTCAGCTCACTGCAGCTTTGACCTTCTAGGTTCAAGTGATCCTCCTATTTCAGCCTCCCGAGTAGCTGGGACTACAGGTATGCACCACCATGTCTGGCTAATTTTTTTAGTTTTATAGAGATGGGGTTTCACCATGTTGTCCAGGGTGGAATTTCTTATGATTAAGAGGATGAGATGAGAGTGAGGTAGGGCTAGCATCTGGTTTATATAGCTCAGACTAGTCTTCTACTTTGTTTACAGGTTTTGGGACCTGATCTGATCTAAACTAAATTTCCAGTGCTGGGCCCCAAAAAGACTAATCCCACTTGTCAGATTAACATAAACCCTCGAAGGTATAAGTAGTTGTGGGAGGGCAGGATGACCTGACAGACATGTTCCTGGCAGACCAGTTATCATGTTGAGGTGCCCAGAGAACCTGGTTCCTCCCACATAGGAGGACACCACCCTAGGGTCCCTGAGCAAACTATGGGAGACCAGAATATTGCCACATTGATGGAGAAATGTCAGCCTGAAAATTGCCACACATAGTCTTTGGGGAGGCAGTATGGGAATGGGGTAGGGGACAGAATGACACAGAGAGGCTGATGCAAAAACCAACCGTCATTCTTGAGCAACTGAGGAGGTATGGGCTAGAAGTCCAGACTGTTGCTGCTGGGACTTCCCTTCCACAATGACTCTGCAGTCCAGAAGCTGGGGAGGCAGTTACAGAGGCCACTTCAGGCCAAGCCTGGGGTAGAGGTGGTGGCAGATAAGCCACCCACCCATGAGTTCCCTCCCCATCCTACTTTCCTTTTTCACATCTTTCTTACATCAGATATGACAATAGCCCCATGATATAGGCAGGGCAAAGATTATGACCTCTGTTTTACACTCAAGTATGTCAAGTTCCAGAAAAGTAAACCATGAGGCAGTCTCTTTCCAAACTCAACTGCTCAGTTGCCCTTACCTAGTGGCCCCTCCATGTATAGAGTGTGAGCCTTGCCCTGACTAGTCTTATATTCATTCAACTTAATAGCTCATAAGCCTTTCCATGCCTTCAACTTCTTAATTTCAACTCAATCATAACATTGACCTAGTGATGCGAACTCCTCCCATCCTAACTTATGTTGTGTCAGAGGCACCATTTACTCACTGAATATTATTTAATACCTCCTACCACGTGCCAAGTACTAAGCTAAGCAATATCCAATACAGCAGTGAACAAACAGTCTCTGTTTATGTCACAGAGCTACCAATCACAAAAATGCAGTGTTTAGAGCCAGGGAGGTGATCAGCAGTAAACATATAAATTGATCAAAAAACCAATTATTCCGAATGGTAAGGTGTGCTATTAAGAAAATCAGTAGGGTTCCAAGCATATGAGGGAAAAGGGGTAAGAAGAGCTATTTTATCTTGGTTTGGCAGGGAAGACATTCCATAGAGAGAATATTTTAAGCTAAGACCTGAAGAATGAATGAGAAGGAGAAGGAGTCAGCCATGGGTTGAAGGGAATTTCAAAGACCCTGAGATAAGAAAGTGCCAATGGTGCACATAGTCAAGCCAACTAGGATTCATAGCCATCTTAAGGCAGTGTGGTATACAGGAAAGGTGAAAGGCATTGAATGCAACCTTAGGAATCCCCTTGTATTTTTGACCCATCCCTGCTAAGAGGTCAGAAGGGAACTGGCATGTACTGTGTGTCTTTTTTTTTTTTTTTTTTGGCAGGTTCTCGCTCTGTTGTCTAGGCTGGAGTACAGTGGCATTGTAACAGCCCACTGCAGTCTCGACCTCCCATGCTCAAAAGATTCTATTACCTCAGCCTCCTGAGTAGCTGGAACTACAGGTGCACACTACCATGCCAGGCTAATTTTTGTATTTTTTTGTAGCGACAGGGTTTTACCATGTTGCCCAGGGTAGTCTTGAACTCCTGGGCTCAAGTAATCTTCCCACTTCAGGCTCCTGAAGTACTGGGATTACAGTCACTGTACCTAGCCTACTATGTATCATGTCCAGCCAGGCACAAGCTAGTCCCTTTCTCACATGGATTTTTTTTTTATTATTTCCCTGAGCCTCAGCATTCTTATAGGTGTAACAAGGAAGTGAGACTTTTTGGCCTCTAAAAGCTTTTATAACTTGGAGAGATTAGTTGATCTAATCTATGACCCCATCCTCCAGTTAGGAAGCTGAGGTCCTGGAAGACAAAGTGCTTTTATCTCAGGTTGCCCAATGGATAAGTACATTACTTTTTAACTCTATGCCTGATTGACCAAGGTAAAGCTGAAAGAGTCTCATCTGAACTATAACCCAAGTGGGTAAGCCAGTCCCTTGGCACTGCCCAGGAAGAAGATATGGATGGGAGGACTACTCCTTCTTGAATGCAGAGGATAAAAGTTATCTGGGAGCTCTTTTACGGTATGGTTGTGCCTTTGAATATGAGCAAAGCTTCTCCTAGCTGCAGATATTTTCAGGAAGAGCAGAAACTGCACCACAGTGTTTTGGGTAGATAAGGCTTACCCTGGTGGGGAGAGAGGTCCTGGAAGGGGGTGAGCCCAAAATCTATATGCTTTCCTGGGAGGGGACCTGGTGTTTTAAATCCATTTTTAGAATTTTTTTTTTATTGCTGCAAGAACTGGAGAGAGATCAAATCCATTTTCATTTGTTTCCAATAGCCCTTTTTTGCTGCTGCTGCTGCTGCTGCTGCTGCTGCTGTTTGTTCTGTTCCTCCTCCTCCTCCTCTTTCTCGTCCTTTTTTTCCTTCTTCCTTCTCTTTTTCTTCTGGCTTTTGCAACTTAGAATGCACATGGTGGCTAGATACAGTTAAAAACCCAGTTCCATGCTCAGGCTCATCCTAGCACTGGTTCTAATATCTATTCCAGATTGTTGGAGAAGATAGGAGAAAGTGAAGAAGGGAAGAAGAGAAAAAAACAGAGAAGAAAGAAGGAAAAGAAGATAGAGGGACAAGTAGAAGAAGGAAAGGAAAGGAAAAGCAAGGAAAAAGGATAACCTGTCCTCTTTGACTAGTAGGCTCACCAACTCTTCTTTACCATGGAAGGGATTTCAGTAGGACCAAAGGCTTTTCCCATGAAATAGTATTTTATCTTGATAAGAACCTAGCACATTGGTTACCAACCTCCTTAAATTGATTCCCTCAAAAGGAAGAAAGTGTATCTGGAAATCCTCTGAAACTTCCAGAGTCCCCCAAGCCCAGTGCTATTTCTACCAGGGGAGAAAGCAGAGCTCTTTGTATATATGGGTAGGAGCAAAGTAAGATTCTCCTCCCCCTTTCCCCACAACCCGAAGCAGAAGTTTCTCCTGAGATTTCAACCAGTAAAATCACCATATAATAGATTAGGCATCCTGAGAAGTTCTTAATGGAACGAGAGCTCTCACTAATCAAAGCAGGAAAGAACAGGGCCTTGAAGAAATCAGAAATCTAATTAAGGTGGAATTTCAAGAGATCTGACTGAATGTTAAATAAGTTGTAGAAGCCTCATCAAAAGGATTAACTCAGCTGCAGAGACAACGCAGAAGTGCAGGTGGGGATTCTGCATGAAGACTGGAAAAAAAAACAGTGACAAGAACTGAAAGTGGTCATTGTGTTCATGGTGTGTCTAAAGGACAGATAAAAGAAAGAGGTGCCCCTGACCCCTCCTTTCATCCCATCTTAGTTGATGAGGTTTGGGGAAAAGAAGAGTTTGTTAAGCTCATTTAATCTGTTTTGTCTTGTCCATGTTTTCATCAAGCAACTTTCTGATTAATTTGGCTTTTAGAATATATTTTTCCAAGCAAGACAGAGATTGTTATTCAGCCAACATGAGCATTCCCAGCTGTTTTTGGGTTATATTAGCTCTGGAATTAAAACAAAACCAAACAAAAAAGCCTCTCTGTGTTATATCTGCTTTCTGTGAGTTTGACTTGCATGGGTCAGTTCATGGAGTATGATCAGGTCAACTCCAGGTGTCTTCTCAAAACTGAACTGCATGGGTTCTGTAAAACTAAACCGTGTGGTCCATAGTAAGAGGTCTCTGCTTGAGAAGTAAGCCATATCCTTGAAGGGCATTTCTATCTCACTCCTTTTGTTATGCAAAGAAGCTTAGTCCTTTATTTTGCACATGGGGACACTGAAGCCCAGAGAAGCCCAGAGAAGGGAAGAAACTTGTCTAATTTTCCATAGTGGATCAGTGGTAAAGCCAGGATCTAAGTGTAGGTCATAACCTGGTCCTACACAGGCTCTTGTCCTACAACATTCTATGTCTAGATTTTGTAGTCTCTTTCTTGGCCTCTGTGAGAGATGTGTGTGTGTGTGTGTGTGTGTGTGTGTGTGTGTAGGTTTTCATCCACAGTTCCTTTAGGCCTCAGAAGCAGGCCTCAGAAAACAGAATCTCTCTCTGTGAGAGATGTGTGTGTGTGTGTGTGTGTGTAGGTTTTCATCCACAGTTCCTTTAGGCCTCAGAAGCAGGCCTCAGAAAACAGAATCTCTCTCTCTCTGATATTGTCCTGCTCTCCTTTCACTTGTCCAAGGCAGCATTCTAATCTGATTGTGGATCCTAAGACCCTCATTCCAGAGAGGGTCCTGACTCATACCTAGGAGGAAAGAATGCTGTGTAGAGAGGCCAAGAAGAATCTGAATAGATAAACCTTGCTGGCTTCCCTGACCCAGTCTGTTAGTATGATATAATACCCTTTTTATCCAATCACATTTATACATGAGTGTCAATCATGCTTAGGTAATGAAGCCTCCATAAAAACCCAAAAGGACAGAGTTTGGAGAGCTTCTGGATAGCTGAAGATGTGAAGGTTCCTGCAGAGTGGTGTGCCCTGGGAGAGTATGGAAGCTCCACACCACTTCCTCCATACCCCACCATATGCATCTCTTTATCTGTACCCTTTGTAATATTCTCTATAGTAAAACTGTAAATGTGTTTCCCTGAGTTCTGTGAGCCACTCTAGCAAATTAATTGAACTCAAAAAGAGAGTTATGGGTACCCCAGCTTGATACTGCCCAGTCAGAAGTTCTGGAGGCCTGGACTTGGGACTGATGTCTTTGGTGAAGGGAAGTCTTGGGAAATAAGCCCTCAACTTGTGAGACCTGAGGCTATCTTTAGGTAGATGGTGTTGGAATTGAATTAGAGGACACTCAGCTGGTGTCTGCTGCTTTGTGTGTGGGGGAAACTATCCCACACATTTGGCTGCAGAAATCTTCCATGTTGATTGTTGTGTTGATGTGAAAGCAGAGGAAAAAAATGGTTTGGGGTTTTTCCCAAACAACCCTCAATTCAGGATCATGAGTTTTATGAACTCTCTGAAAAGCAATCTTTAAATCAATTGAACTTAACTTCACTAGTAATTCTCTAAAGGGCTGAGGTTTATTTTCAGCTTCGCTTTTTGATATTTACAACAGATTTCCTCCCTCCAGCCCACGCAGCTTTGTCGCCTCTCTGATTTTCATTTCCTCTTCTTCCTTACCTAAGGTGACAGGAATGCAACCCTGGTTGCAATTGTGTTTTTCTCTATTCAAATTTTGTCTCATTATGTCCATAGGAAGAAAACAGAGGTTTAGAAGACATTACTGGCTGGGCGGGGTGGCTAACACCTGTAATCCTAGCACTTTGGGAGGCCGAGGTGGGCAGATCATGAGGTCAGGAGTTCGAGACCAGCGTGGCCAACATGGTGAAATCCCGTCTGTACTAAAAATACAGAAATTAGCCGGCATGGTGGCACACATCTGTAATCCCAGCTACTGGGGAGGCTGAGGCAGGAGAATTGCTTGAACCCAGGAGACAGAGGTTGCAGTTAGCTGAGATTGCACCATGGCACTCCAGCCTGGGCAACAGAGCAAGACTCCACCTCAAAAAAAAAAAAAAAAAAAGAAGACATTACTCATCAACCCGATTGCTGTGCTGGCCTATGTTCACCTCCAAACACATCTTGATTTCAAATGGTTCACTAAAAGCCTACTGTGTTCTAGGTATGGAGCCTAAGAAATGACTCACCCCTGCCATCTGAAGAGATTTTAACTCGGGCAGAATTGGAGTTGTGGACTTAACATGTGTGGAAAGTATCCATAAGTCAAGATGGAGTCAGATTATATAGCACAAATATTAATATTTATTTCAGCAGGCATTTTAGTCAGATTTAACCAACATTTACAGAAAAGCTACTTCATGTTAGAACTTAACCTAGGATCTGGGAATCCAAAAATTATTAAGTTAAAGCCAGTGCCTGGTAGAGCACACTTTGTAACTATGTAAACAGGTATTCTAAATACAATGTAATCAGGCTGTAATTTAGGTGCATACAACGCACAGAAGAATTTGTCTAGGACAATTAAAAGAGGTTTCCCAGAGGAGATGACAATTGAGCTGGGTCTGAAGAAGAAACACAAGGTCTCCTGACAGAATAGATGTGAAGGGAATAGGAAGCTTTCCAGGTCCACAGAGAGGCATGTGTAAAGGCTGGAGGTATACTAGAATATAGGGCATGCAGTAGTCAGAATATAGGATGGGAAGAGAACAGTGAAGACATAGGCTGTGTACAGATTGTGAAAGATCCTGATCACTTAGCTGACAAATTTTGAACTTTAAGCTTAAAACAATGAAGAGCCACTCATCTTTTCTGAGCAGTGCAATAACACCACTAGAGTTGTGTTATTAAAAGATCATCCTGGCAATAAATATCAAACTTTAAGGATAAAAACATTCCTGGATGAAAATGAACATCATTTTCATCTTTTTTTTTCTATATTCTTCTTCATCATTAGGAACAAAATCATTCTCTTCCTCAAATACAAGCACTCTGGGAGCTGACCTCATCACCCTTTATTAATTTAGCTAACAATTGCTAACACTAAGGCCCCTTACTATGTGCCAAACACTGGTGATACAGAAATCAATTTAAACAGAGATACTTTTTCTTGAGGGAACTACAGGCTACTCATGAGAAAAAGGCATGGACAAAAAATATCACACTTTAAGGTCATAAGTGTTATAATCAGAATATTAGTAAAAATATATAATGATGATCAACGATGATTGATATTTCTAACTTGGATTTTCTCCATGGAGATAAGAAACACAGTATTATGACCAAGTTTGTTTGAGGTGTAGGGTCTAGGGCATGAGGACTTAGACATTCAGGGAGATATGTTCAATATTAGATTGAATCTACTGATCTGGAGGTAGGGAAGATAGAAAGAGAGTAAGGAAGTGTGCAGAGACACAACAAAAAGACAAAAGTACAGAGTATTTGGAAACACATTTAATAAAGAACAGGAAAGAAAGAGACGTCGTTAAGAGAACCAAAGAGAATGGTTAGGAAGATAGGTGAATCAGAGGAGTATAGGTAAATTCAACAATTCTCACTGAGCACTATTGGGATCAGGTGTTCTGCTAGGTATCAGGGACACAAATGGAGAAGACAGTCTCTGCAATTGGCTATGATCCTCTGGCATGAATTTGATCTTTACATCTCATCTGAACCATACTTCTGTGGTTCTGGTGATCAAATTCAGTCTGGAGAGGGAGGGTATTCTCTAAACCATTTGATGACAGGTTTTAGGAAAGAAGAAATGGCTGACAGTCACCTGTTGCAGAGACATTGAAGGGAGTGAGGGCTAGTAGAGAGGCTTTTGGTTTTGTTGATTAAGAGTTCATGGTAATTTTGTGACAACAGTTACCAAGGTTAGTGCAGAAATGAGAATAAAGACAAAAAGCTAAATTATGGTAGATTAGGAGGTTAAACAGTGAGGTAATCTATGGAACCTACTTTTTAGAGTGATCTGAAGAATGATGTGGTGGTCACTAGAAAGATTTTTTTTTTAAATTTGGTTAAGATGTGATTATATGTACAGGCTCAGAGATCAACAGATGAGGGACAAAACAGGACAGTGTCTGAGAACAGGCTATTTGGTTGATGATCTTTGTGAGAACAGAGCCAATGGAGTAGTAAGAAGCAAGTGAAGTGGAGTAGTAGATTCCAGTTCTAAAACCCCTTTGCTTAGCTTAGGGGTAAAATGAGAGGTTCCTGAGAGGTTTCAGGCTGCAGCTTGCAGCTCAGAGAAGAATGTTCAGAAGAAAAGTAGGATAAAGGAAGAGGAAGTTGACTTAAACCACAATAGGCCTGGTTCAGATTAGATGGGAGGTTCAACTTCCTGCCAGAGGAGCACCAGTTCATGTGAAGAGAAGTGAGAGAATTTCCTTATTTGTGATCCCCAAAACTTAGATATAATTCTCCTGCTTTGGAGTAAAAATTGATATGTTCCAGCCTGAAGACAGCGAAAGACATTAAAATGGACCTTCCAAGTGGCATGTGGTATGGAAGACAGTAGAAAAATAATTGGTTTGAACTCCAGCTTAGCTGATTAATAAATTACTTGAAGTAAGTCATTTGAGCACTCTGAGATTCAATTTCCTTATCAGTGAAAGATACGACAATTCTCACCTTGTAGAGTTGTTATGAAGATTACATAAGCGGATGTACATAAAGCATCTAGCTTGGGACAGAGTAGCCTTTCTTCAACTGTTGTCTCTCTTCCCCCACTTCCTCTGGTTCCCTAGCCCTATCAACACAGTGTACTGGAGTCTCCAGTCCTGCTGGAGATAATGAGATAATGAGAAGATGGGAAAGTTTGTGTATGCTGGGAATTTATGCCACAATGTCCAAGAACTGATCATCTCCTGGATAGTCAAGGTTGCTAGAGAGACCCATAGAGCTTCTTCCCCTTTTCTGTCGGCCTCCAGTGCCAAGATTTGCAGATAAGCCAGGCAGCTTCTAAGACATCTTTTATCACTAGTGGCTGAGGCAAATGAGCTTAATATATGGTTAGAGGTAGTTCCAGGCTCCAAAATATATCTTTCCTTGTCAGCGATAGATTATATCTACTTTGTACCAATAAGTGCACCAGCAGGTCGCCCTACAAATCCCAAGGGGACTCAGATTCAGGTTCAGGTCCAGTCTCAAAGAAACCTTCATTGAGGGCCACCCATGGAGGTCCAAAACAGGTCAAAAGAAATCCCTAGACAAATGAGAAAATTCATCCCTCACAGTTGTATTATCACTTTGCAGTTTAGAAAGCTTTTTTCACATGTTAGGTGAGTATATATATATATATATATATATATATGTATATATATATATATATATGTATATATATATATAATATAAATAATGTTTATAATATCACTATAAATTATAGTATATAGTGATATATATATTATATATTACATAGTATCACTATGTTATGTACAACAAATAATCATATTCATTATAATAATGAAAAATTAGGTAACTAGTAATATAAATATAGTATAATTAATATTAATATTATGTATGTACACATATATACAAGGCCTGAGAACTTTACTTAGTCTAGATCATTCTTTAGGTCTTAAATATTTTTTGAAGAAAGTCTTCCCTAAACTCTCATACCAGATTAGGTTTACTATTATTTGCTCTTATAATACTCTATATTTATCCTGTATAATACTTATATTTTCATCCTGACATACTTTGGCAAGTGCCTGTGTCCCTCATTTGAATATGAGTTCCAGGAAGGCAGGGCCTTGGTCAGTCTTGCTATCTTTGACACCCTTGTTACCTAGACCACTTGACCAATCTGTGAATGGGAGAGAGAAGAGGGCCCTTCAAAGACCATACAGTTCACCCTATTTAGAAATGGAGAGTGAGGGAGTGATATAGTTTGGATATGTGTCCCCACCCAAATCTCATGTTGAAATGTAATCCCCAATGTTGGAGGTGGGGCCTGGTGGGACATAATTGGATCATGGGGGTGGTTTCTCATGAATGGTTTAACTCCATCCCCCTTGGTACTGTTGTTGCAAAAGTGATTAAGTTCTCATGAGATCTGGTTGTTTAAAAGTGTGTAACACCTCCCTCCTTTCTCCTTGATCTCTCTTACCATGTGATGTGCCTGCACCCCTTTGTCTTCCACCATGGGAAGCTTCCTGAGGCCTCCCCAGAAGCAGATGCTGCTATGCTTCCTGTACAGCCTGCAGAACTATGTGCCAATTAAACTTTTTAAAAATATATAAATTGCCCAGTCTCAGGTATTTCTTTACAGCAATATGAGAATGAACTGATACAGGGAGACCAATACCCAGAGCAAAAAGAAAACTTCCCAAGGTCATGTTATAAGCCATGACACAGCTGGGCCTGGAACTCAGGTCTCCTGACACTCTGCCTAGAGCTATTTTCAATGAACCTTCAAACCTGATGGCTTCCAGGAACCAGGTCATCAGGAACCAGAGTCCAAGGAAGGTCAAAGCTTTCAGTATTCAGATATTACCTCATTTTCTGGTCTTGCAGAACAGGAAGATTTTTTTTTCATGAACAAATATTTGCTGAGAACCTACTATTATAAACAAGACAGCTCTAGCACTAGGGATATAGTTAAGAATAAAATAAAATAACTACCCTCATGGAGCTTACACTCTAGTAGGGGACATAAACAATAAACAAAACTATAACATGGTAGAAGCAAAGTCAAAAGGCAAATGACAAACTAGTGGAAATAATTACAATTCTCATTACATACAAAGGAAAAATTTCTCTAACATACAAAGTACACCCAAAATCAATTAAGAAAAAGAAATCAGCAGTCTAATTGAAAACTGGGTATGACAGACATGGTTCCTGCTCTCATGGAGTTTGCAATTGAGTGGAATAAACCCCTTTTTTCTTTAAGGCTACGGGAAACAGCTAGGCAGCAGGGTTTGAGGGGGCCAAAGGATATGGTGAGTCATTGAGTAGCCTCTCTTATGCCATCTTAGCAATAAACTTCTTAATTTTAGAATTTGGAATTCTAAATTCTGACAAAATTATAAATCTCAGCTTTGCCACTTACTAAATATGTGACGTTGAAGGAAGTTGCTTAATTTCTTCATGCTTCAATGCCTACATTTGCGAAATAGAAATGATTCCTATTTTATAAGGTTATTGAGAGTAATAAGTGATATAATAGAGAGTGAGAGTAGGTGGTACATAATAAGTACTCAACAAAAGTGTTTTTCTTCCAATTCCCACTTCCTATTTTATAAGGTTATTGAGAGTAATAAGTGATGTAATAGAGAGTGAGAGTAGGTGGTACATAATAAGTACTCAACAAAAGTGTTTTTCTTCCAATTCCCACTTCCTATTCTGCCTAGAACCGATAATAGAAGGCAGTGTCCCTTCTGATGCCAATATGAAGCTTTTCTGCTTCTTACCTTGCATTATCTGGCCTTTACAGGAGCTCTCAGGATTCCACTTTGTAACCCCATGAGGTATCAATTTTTTAGGGATTGACTGATTCCTGAATCAGTGCCAAATCTAGTTCTAGCAAATGTTTAGCTGTGGTGAAAGCTCAAGGGTCTGTTCTAAATTTTCTTTTTGTTTCCCAAAAGGCACAATTCTTGCCCTTCCTTTACTCAGAAGACAAACTAAGAAGATGAAAATAGTCTGTGTGTGCCAAGTCAATGATATCACGGGCAACTACCCCAGTCTGAATTAGGAAATATCTCTATACTGATATATAGATACATACAGATATATAGATATATTCATTTAATTTTTTATTGTAAATTTATAATTGTATTTGTGGGATACAAAGTGATGTTATGATTTATGAATACAATGTGGAGTAATTAAATTTAATATATCCATTGTCTCAAATACTTATAATTTGTTGAATAATTTGAAATGTACTCTCTTAGCAATTCTGAAACATGCAATATACTATTATTAACTGTATTCACCATGCTGTGCAATAGATCTCAAAAAAACCCTATTCCTTCTGTCTGAAACTTTGTACCCTTTGAAAATTATCTCCCCATTCCACCCACCCCCAAGCCTCTGTAACCGTCATTCTACTCTCCGCTTCTATAACTTTCATTATCTTAGAATCCACCTGTAAGTGAGATTATGTGGCATTTGTCTTCCTGTGCCTGGCTTATTTCACTTCACGTAATCTCCAATTCCATTTATGTTGTTGAAAATGACAGAATTTCCTCTTATTTATTTATTTTTTGAGACAAGGTTTTCCTCTGTTGCCTAGGCTGGAGTGCAGTGGCTATTCACAGGTGACCATAGTGCACTACAGCCTTGAACTCCTGGGCTCAAGTGATCCTCCTGCTTCAGCCTCCCCAGTAGCTGGGACTACAGGTGTGATGTGAATAGTGGGAGTGAGAGACAGACTAGAGTGAGAATATATATTTTAAATAAATACATGTTTGTTCCTTCCAAATATACTATTTACAATAGGCTATTGAAAGTTGATTCCTCATTCATTTCTTCATTGTCCATTTAAAATTTTTCCCAAGGGAGTGTATATTTAGGGCAACTCGAATCTATGCTCCTGAGTTGCAGCTCTCAAGCTTGGCCCAGATAAACTCTTTACTCATTTTAAGAAAAAAACAAACAAACAAAACAAAAACAGCTACTGCTTAGTAAAAACCTTTAGGTGGGCCATTATAGGAAATAGATTAAAATGGTTGATTAGGGTCACTTCAGTTATTTCTGCCATAGATGGAAGGTTCTGAAGGACTCTAAGTGGGAGTGAGGTATGGGTAGTAAGTAGAACCAGTTTGGTTTTCTGTCTTTAAACAACTCCCTGGAACTCCTATTTTATTTACTTCATTTATTTTGTCTTTCTAAGAAGCTAAACAAAAGCTTCAGCTCAGACTTATCTAACAATCATAAATTGGAAATTAATGAGGTTTTCTTGGAAAAAACTGCCCTTAAAGACTGAGATGATAACTGACTTGAATTTGACATTTTCCAGCCAGAGACATATTGTATATTTTTTTGTAGATTGCTCCAAAATTTCTACCTTTCATAAATTGTTGCATGATATTTATATCCTACATCTGCCATTTAATAGGTAATTATAGTATCTCCCTCATAAGGTTGTTGTTAGGATTACATAAACTAACATATGTAAAGGGCTTCAAACAGTGCCTGGCACTTAGTAAGCTCACAATACTTGTTAATTATTGTTATTCCAGTACAAAATGGATCTCCTGATAGGTCGAACCTCTTTGCCAGGTTTCCTCCAGAGCACATTTGGTGTGTTGGATAGGCCTTTGGGCTACTATTATTCTACGATATCTATAGATACTTAAAAATGCTCTCAGGCTTATATTTGCCATTTTGTATCGGTAGTCTCCCTATTCACACAAGCTCACCATATTCTTTCCTATCTCTGCACCTTTACTTGGGTTCTTTCCTCTGCCTGAAATGCCTTTCTCTGATTATTGATCCTGTTATCCTTCAAGGCTCTTTTAAAATTCGGCCTCTTCTGTGAAGTCTCTAATCCAACCAGTTGAAATTAACTTTTTTTTCCTGTTTGTTGCCATAGTCTGGACCCCTAAAATCCTAGGCTTGAATATAGAAGGGCACTGCATCACATATATACACTTTCTGGCTTCTCATGTCTCAAACGCCCAACATAGCATACAAGTCCTTTCTTAGTTTGGCCCCCGGCTTAACTCTTCTATTTGCTTTGTGCTATTTTTTCCTTTGCTCACTCTTTTTCAAGCCATACCAGCCTTTTATCTTCTTGGAATATGCCACATTATTCTCCATCTCAGAACCTTTATACATGTTGCTTCTTCTGCTTGGAATTGCCTTGCACCCATTATCCACTTGGCTCACTACTTTTCATTTTTCCGTCTCACTTTAAAAGTTACTTCCTTAGAGAAGTTTTCTTGACCTATCCAAGTCTGGTGGATTATGTTATCCTGTTACGTGTTCTCCCTGCTCTCTGATCTTCCCCCTTTCTTGACATATTTAAAAAATTTGTTTAATGGCTATTTTCCACCACACGGTATATGTCAAGAAGGCAAGCGTTTTATATGTCTTTTTCACTTCTGCATCTTGAGTACCTTGCACCATGCCTGACACTTAGAACACATTCAACTTGTATTTGTTTTGTGAATAAATTTAATCAGACTTATTGTAGAGATGGAAATTTGGAGGCCCAGAAAGGGAGAGGGATTTGCTCAAGGTCACACAGAGAATTAGTGGCAGAGAAAAGACTGTAGCCCAGATCTCCTGACCCTCAGTACAGTTCTCTTTTCCATACATGCACCTCCACTATTGTACTCATTTTTTGAACATGCTTATGTAGCACTCTGTTTTCTGGACTAGATTGTGAATTCCTAGAGGGTAGGGACCATGTCTTATACCTGTTCTGGTCAATACAGTAGCCACTAGCCACAGATGGCAATTTAACACTAGAAATATGGCAAGTTCAAATTGAGATGTACTGTTTGCATAAAATACATACTACATTTTGAATAATGTAAAATATCTTATTAACAAATACTTACATTGTTTACAGGTTGAAATAACATTGTGGATGTATTGAGCTAAACAAAATATATTATTAAAATTAGTTTCACTTAAAAATTTTTCATGTGGTTATTATAATAATTGTGGCTCGCATTACATTTGTATTAGATTGTTGTATATTTCTGTTCTGTTGTATGTTTATTTTTTCCCCTTTTGCCAAGCATAGAGCTTTGTAGCCAGTAGGTGCTCAACACACCCTTGCTGAATATACTTAAGCTGTAGTTATTGGGTTAATTGCTGCCATTTATCTTGTCAGTGTCACTGTTTTGTGGCAGCCTCACAGTGAAACCTCTGTCCCTAGGCCCAGGTGTACAAAAAGTTCTTTAGTCCTGGCCTGCGGGTGCCCTACACATTGCATCAGCCTTTGTATTTCCTTTCAGAGGAAACCCCAATGCAATCCTATGCATAGCAATCACTAGGGTTGAGGTAGAGTGTGTGGACACAAGCCACTTGCACAGGAAGTGGCCTTAGCTTTGCAATTTTCCCTGGGGCCTCTTCTTGAAAGTCTTCTGAAAGGAGGTGGGGGTGAGTGAACAGGAAGATAAACTCAAAGTGAAGGGTGGGGGCTTCTCAGCTCCTTCATGGAGGTTGGGTAAGCTAAGCAATGTGGGGACATTGGGCTATGAGGTCTCTTTCTTTTGCTTATGCATTGACTCATTCACTTATTCACCTCACAGTTCTGGGATAACTAGTTTATTCCTAGGCCTAAGAAGACAGTAAAGATCAAACATAGTTCCTACTTTGGGCAGTGCTTGGTCTTCTGGGAGAGACTGACACCTAAGTGCTGTGTGGATGTTTTTCAAGAGTAGAGGAGGGCAAGGTGGGAAGCAACTAATTTTGCAGGTGGTTGTCAGAGAAGGCTTTCCAGAGACAGTGAGCATCATTTTTTTCCTCTCTATCCCTTAAGATGTAGCCAAAATCTTATTCTTCTGAGAACCTTTCCAGTTACCATCACCTTCTCATCTTCTGCCCTGGGAGAATCTTATATACGTATCTGACGGCACTTCATGACTTTGTCAAATTACTTATCATATTCTGTAGGGTGACATAGCTCTTGGGGTGCACACCTGTCTTCCATTTCCCTTTAGCCTGAGAATCCTTCAATCTGATGTGAGGACTAAGGCTCAGACAGGCTGTGTGTGATTGTTCAAGGTCACATAATCAATAAGTTACAGAGCTTGGTCTATAACCCAGGGTCTAAGATGCAGGGACTCTGATTCAGTGTTCTTTCCATTCCAGTACTGCGGAAACAAATGAGTGTGTCTGCAGTGTGGGACCCCAGCACTGCCTGCTTGCTCCGCTTGTCAACTATTTTCCCTTCTTTCTCATCTCCCTTCACAAGCACAGGCAAGGCAGAAATCATACAAAATGGGAAAACTTTGTGACTTTTGGTTGCTCTCTGCAGAAGCCTGGACAACAGATCAAAAAGAAGAAGCCCCTTTGTGCTGTTATTGGAAACTTGGCCCTTCCCAGCATACTTTGTGTTTGTGGGCTAAAGAGGAACTCTGAGCACAGTTCCCTTTTCTCGCATTCAGGCCATATGCATAGGTAGTATGATTTTCAGAGCCTTCTGTTTCCTAATGCTCTCTTTTATTGCCCTGTCTTTGGACTCAAAATAGATACCATTAATTACTACTTTAGGTAAACACATTGTCTCCAGAAACCCCTGTTAAAAGGCCAGTAGAGTACCCTAATTGATAGGGAAGAAAAAAACGTGTGTAGCTAAACTTAATCTCTATGGTATGCGTAGGAAGAAGGGGGTCCCATTTTAGCAAAGTGCCCGCAGGACTACCCTACTTCCGCTCCAAGCTTTAGTCAGAAACCAAAAGAAACAAGAACTGAATCTTTCTAGAAGCTAGATCTGGGGTCTTGAGGCCTGAGCCAATAAATTATTCTGGTAGAAGGAAGTTTTCTACAGAGTGATGTTAGTGCAAGTGAATCCCTATTTCAGGCTTTCACAGAGCCTCAGGTCCTGCAACCATGGGGAAGCCCACAGTGAGTAACGAAGAGCCACAAAGGAACCAGGGAATGTTTGAGTTGGAGTGGTCTCCAAGACCATTTAGTCCAACCTCTGTTGATTAAAGGAGAAACTAATGCCCAGGGAGGTAGTAGAGTGGGGACTAGGGCCCAGGGCTCTTGGCTCGCAGAATGTGGTCTTTCTTTTGAGCCTGAGTATATAAGAATGTACATAGCTTGAAAAGATTATTTACCACGGCTTGACTATCACTCAGGGCCATACTTCCACTAGTGTAGACAGAGGACTGTGACTTGGGCACTGCAGTCATTGAAAGCTATCAAAGTATAACCTGAAAGCATTGCCCCTCCCATCCTTCATGCCATCAGAATTCATGGTGGAGGGCACTGCATGATGGGAATTCATCATCTTCCTGGCTGTTAGTGGGGACTTCCAGGAGACTGCAAACATGAGGCATTAAGAAACCATCCACCTTCTTTTCACACCTTTCATGTCCCTCATTAGCCTGAAGGTCACAGTTGAACTTAGGGGTCTGGCACTAATTTTTCTTTCTCAAAGTCAACTACTTTCTTCTCCCTTCCTTGTAGCCAATGTGGGAAAGTAGACGAAAACCTCAACATTTGGAGTTAGACCTGAGTGAAAAATCTGCCTTCTCTATTATTTTCTAGTTTTGTTTCCTTAGACAGGTCACTTTATTTCTGTGTGCCTCAGTTTCCTCACCTATAAATAAGAATAATAATACCATACCAGAGAGTTGTTGAATAAATTAGATAATACACATGAAAGAATATCATAAGTACTCCAATAAATGTGAATTTCCTTATTTATTTCCTTCAGCAAGCCCCAAGATGACAGAATGTGGCTTGTGGTCATAACTGTGCCCCAGAGCCAGCTTCATAGGCATATGACTTGTACAGCTTCACAGGGCTCCATGCTTAGAAGGACCCCACACTTAGTTTAATGTTCTGCTGTCATCATCTTGATATTCTTAATTTTTAAATAAAGGGCCTATCGTTTTCATTTTTTACTGGGCCTTGCAAATTATGTAGCTGGTTCTGTATGCCAGGAGAGAAGTTGGAAGTAAAATGGTATTCCAGGACCAGGAGGCATTCTGGCAGAGTGAAAGAACATGTGATTTGGAGTCCATGGGGATGGGTTTAAATTTCAGCTTTCCACTAATTTGCTTTGTGATACTGAGTATTTCCTTTTATCCCTCAGAGGCTCTGTTTCTCAATTTTGACTACGGGTTTTTTCATTAGATAATGTCTCAGTTCTGGTATTCCAGGTTTCCCTCAATTATTCTGGGAAAACCTCCTTGACCCACAGGCAGAGCCTAGGGCAGCCAGGTGCTTTCTACTCTCTCTCTCTCTGCAGCTTGGAAAGTTAGTGTCTGTTGAAGGTCAGCTGGGAGTTGGTGGAGGCAGGGCAGTGGCCTGCTACTATTGCTGCAGTAGCAGACCCTTTCACAACAGCATTGTTTTGTCATTTTGCATCCAGATTTCCGTTGGCTAACCTCAGTCTTATCTTCCTCATTTCTGTTTCCTGTTGAAGACACCAAGGGCCCTTCAAAACACAGAAGCTTCTTGCTCACGGCAGAAAGCCCAATTCCATCTGGCCCCTGCAGGTTGGCTCAGCACTGGGGAATCAGAGTCCCCTCCATGACCAAGGCACCACTCCACTGACAGGTATGGTATCCATTTGCCCTCTCTTCTTGGATTCTCAAGCTGGGGCAGAGTCCATGGCAGCCAAGGGTGGCTTGGATCTGCCCATCCCATTCTCTTCAGACCCTCCTCAGGGATTAAGGTCAAAGGTGGGAGGAAGAAGGCTTCCATTGGCCTTTTATCCTAGAGGTTCTAATGGAGGGGAAAAGGGGATAGGATATTTTCTATCCAATCAGGATGTTTAGGAGATAGTCACATGGAAGTGGAATGGCCTTTGGACCCAGGAGTCAGGAAACCTGAGTAGCAGTCCTGGTTTTACCATTTACCCAATGTGTATCTTTGGGTAAGTCCTTTCTCCAATCTAGGACACAGTTTTTTCACCCCTTTTGCAAAATAAAAAAGTAAAAAGAGGAAAAGAATGATTAGATAGATGCTGTCTAGAGACCCATGGTTATTAGATTCCTAATTTTCATGATTGTCAGCCCTCTGTCAAGAAAGAAGATGAGAGTAATCTTTGCATATGTAACTGTGGGTGGGGCTGAACACATTCAAGAGGAGAGTGCTGGTGGTAATCCATATAGCACTCTCTGAGAGGCATGACTCAAAGATGAAAGCCTCTTTTCTAGTCCAATCTTTGACTCCTAGAGATTCAAAATTGAAAGACTCTTAGAGACTAGGTACATATGGAAGAAACTGAGGTCCAGAAAGAGGAAGAAAGGGACTTGCCCAAAGTCATACAGAGAATCTGTAGCACAGCTGGGTCTGGGCTCCCAGGTCAGTCCTCTTTTTGCTCTATCCTAGGAGGACTGAGACATCAAGCAGCAGGACCTGTCCTGTAACTGACCCAGGACAGGTCCTGCTCATACTAGAGGCAGTCTGGGATTTTTAGGCATGGTCCTGAGGACTTCTTCTTTTCTTCTATTTTTCTTTCAGGTACTTGGCTCACTCTGAGTGTTCAGAGATTCCTAGACACCTACTTACCCCTAATTCTTCTGGTCTATTCCCTCCAATTCCCTCCATAAAAACTGACCCATCCTTTGCATCAACAATAGTGGCTTGATGACGCTCTTCAGTAGAGGATTTTGCATTTCATATGGGGAAAAATGATGTTATTCTAAGTAATATAACAGACCAAGAGAAGAGCTTTCAAATTCCCTTAATATCATCCCATATAGATATTTATGTCTTCTTTCTATGGGTCTGGTGAACATTTCTCAACTGAATGTGATTTTCTTACATACACTCCATTGGAGAGGCATACCAGTCTAGTTTCAGCTCAACCACTAACTCCTTCCATTAATACTGAAGCAATGTTGTCTATAAGGCTCCACAAATTTCAAAGTACTAATAATTTTTAGCCCCTTTCATGCCTCCTTTCCAGCCTTTCTGGAGGTGAATAAAGTCAGAAAGTGCATTCAAAAGGCTGTGAACACCTCCAGCTTATCTAGGTCTTCTTACTGGAGCTGACAGCCAATGAGTGTAATGATACAAAAAAGGTAACAATCCATTTCTTTTTCTCCTGCCATCCCCAACTCAGACTCTGTTAATCAGCTTGCTTGGCTGGCCTCCAACCATAGGTCCAGGGGCTGAGACAAGGTCCTTTTGAGCTCCTATGTGGGAGGCTCTGGAAAGCTTAGCAACACTTTCCAACAACTTTGCCAGGTAAGTAGGTAAGTCTCCTTGTTCTCATTTCCAGAGAAGACAACTGAAACCCAAAGAAAGACTTGCCCAAGCCATGATTGGCTAGTTGATGGCCAAGACAGCATTAGAACACAAGTTTGTCGATTCTGTCATGCCATATTTGGTGACCATGACTGCTGCTTTTGCTGCTGGGTGGATTAGGCTGAATTGGGTAGGTAGAAAAGGAAGTGAGGGAGTGAAAGAGCTTTAGTTTTGAGATGACTGCCAGAACTTAAATTGAAGGAGTATGTTACCTTCTTAACATTCAATTAAAAGAATAGAGCAAGAAAAGACACTGATTGTTTTCTTGCTGAAAGACAAGGCTGAATCCCTCTGTCTTACCTGGGCTGGGACAGGGCTTTCCGGCCTCATGGGGGCAGTTTACCATTTCTGGTAACCTTGTGATGTTTGCCACTTTTCATGACAATATTTAATGTAGACCAGCTACCTGCTCACAGATCAACTGCCACAGCTGGTAAGGGCAGTAATTTGACACCAGCAACCTGGGATTTTTAGCAACAGGATCTGATTGTTGCCAAGGGAATTCTCCCAGAAGTTTCAGACCTGACCCTGCTCCTGGCAGCTTCCTTATTGCCCTGGTGGCTTGTGGGTTCAGTGATCCCAAATGTTGCATTACAAAGCTATTGCCTGTTTTTGCCCTCTTTGTTGATGTGTCTTCCCTTTCCCAGAGGGATATACAGAGAAGGGAGGCAAAATAACCAATGAGGAAAGCTGTATAAGGCATACTGCTGAACTGTAAAAAATTTATTGTATAAACTTTACAAGTCTCCTCCCCAACAGGAGCCTTTGTTATCTCATTTATAACCTAAGTGAGTGAGACTAGATGATCTTTAAGGGCACTTTAATAGCTGCCATTCTTGAGTCCCTATGGGACAAGAGGATCATGTTAGGCAAGGCTGAGACCACAAGAAATCAATGTCACACCTGTCCAGATCCTGCTAAATCAATTGCCAATAGCTCTTTCTTTCATTTTGGTCACACAACCACTACTTTTTGAGCATTTGTTATGTATTGAATACTGAACCAAAGGCTTTACATGCATTATCTCCTGTCATTCTCACAATAACCTTATGAGGTAGGTATTATACTTACATACATTTTGTGGGTGTAGAAAACTTGAGCTCAGAGAGGTGAAATGATGTATCCAAGGTTGCCTAACTAGCTAATGGAAGAACTAGGATTTAAGCTCATGTTTAACCTCAAAGCCTATGTGCATAACCACAACACTGAAAACACAGCTTGGGAGAATTGAGAAGAGGGAGCAAGGATGCTGACTCTAGGGTCTGGTACTTTCCTCAAGTCAGGGAGGCAGGATGATGACCAAATTTTCCCCTCTCTGCTGCATAGAGGAACCCACTGAAGCTTGGGACCCCTAGAAATGCCATAGCTACAGGACTCAGGCCTGATGAGCTTCCAGCTGAGCACTGGGTGTCACTCGGGCTTTACCTGCTTATCTTCAGGATCTCTCTTCTGGTTAGGAACCCTATGCCTATTTTGCTCACTTCCCTATTCTGGTGCTTTGGTTGGTCCTTTGAGCAAGATCCCCGGGGCTAAGGGTGTGACTTCATCATTCCTTTCTCTCTCTTTCCCTCTAGGGTCACATCTCCCAGGAAGATCTCACTTCCCCACAGAAGCTCTTGGCCTGGCCTCCTGCAGTGCCACGCTCCGTGTATTTGACAAGCTGAGTTGGACACTCCATGTGGTAGAGTGTCAGTTTGTCAAATACCCCAAGTGCGGCACATGCTTACCAGCTCTAGGCCAGGGCAGATGGGATATGACGAATGGACTGCCAGCTGGATACAAGGATGCTCACCAAGCACCAAGTTCTCACAAGTTATTTTATGTGACTTTGCAGGAACTGAGGCATTATATCTGAGGACACCAGGGGAAAAGTGTGGCATCTCAGGGAAATACAGCCCTGGGCTGTGTCTACACACACCATGAGAGTGCTGATGGGGGCGCAATAGTCTTGAAAATGTATAAAGTGTCCAGGAATGGAAGTGCTCTTTGATTCATTATTATTTTCTTCCTTCATATTCCCCTCCCAGAGTCTCCTATCTAGGACATCAGCATTCTCACACAAGCCTAATGGCTTATCTGAGTAAGCAGGGCTTAGAAATTCACTTTCTTGATACTCAGTCTTGCCTTCTAAACACTCCTTGATCTTGCCTACCTCTCCCCTTTTCCACATGTCTTTTCCTGTAGGAACACTTTCTCCATTTATTCCTGCCTATCCAATTCTTCCCTATATTTCCTGGACCAGCTAAAGTCCAGTGTTTCCAGAGACTTTTGAAAGTCAACTTACACTTTTTCCTTCTTCATTCACAAAGCTCTTCTTCCCTGGGCCCTGGTATGTATGCCTTTCTCTCCTACTGTCTAATAGCACCTCGTAAATTGTCAATGAACTTTTCTAAGGGGTATTCTTGAATTCCCAACTAGATTGTGAGCTTCTGGAAGACAAGGCTATGTCTTTGATTGTTGTCTCCCCTACCACAGCCCAGTACTTTAGTTACAGAAAATAATAAATATTTACTGATTGATTGACTTTCCTCTTGTCCACTAGCTTTAGGTTTGGGGGCCAAATTCTACCCTGGATTTTGAAAAATTCAAACTGTGAACACCACAATGTTATAGAGCATATGAGGTAGTAGCCAGCATGAAGGATGTTTTCTTCCTGAGAAACAGTGTCAAGGGCTGGAGGAAGAGGGCAAAATAGCAGACTCAGAGGGCAAATAAATTTTGGTATTACTTGGTCACACAAGGTTATACAGGTGTTTTCTTGTAGGATTTTTCAGAGCCTTTAATAGTCTAATGTTGCATTGAGAATCTCAAAGAGGAAACCATAGAATGAGGCATTTGCCATACCTATCTGATCATGAATTTTCTTTTCCCCCACAGCCTTCTCCTGTGTCAATGTCCAATGAAGCACGATTTGGGAAACTGTCCTAGAGAAACTTTATACCTTCCCGCTCTTCTGGAGATCTTTTCCTCTTTTCATTCATCTACTTTCCCCAACCAGCCATCTGCCTAAGAAAGGTCACATGTTATCATCTCATTTTTGTTTAGCCTCTGCAGCTGTGGACTATCTTTATTACATAGGAATTCTTTACTAGCTTGTCCTGTATTTAAAAATATTCTAAGTTTTGAGGCAAAGAAGATCCAGATGCTGCAATAAATATATGCACTGAGGAGTTCACAGGCCTGACTTTTGGTCTCCTTTCTACCACTAACTGTGTTTTTGTTCCTCTCTGAGCTTCATTTTCTCATCTCCAATACGGAAGTATTAGAATCAGTGATCTCTAGGCTCTTTAAGATTAATGACTTTGAGATATCCCTGGGAGTCCTTAGCTCTTATGGAGCAGCGTCCCTGGATGTGTGGCTCCTTTTACCAGTGAAAATGCAACCAGGATTCTCTTCCCAACACCTAAAACTCACTTTTTCTATGGGTAGTAGGGAAAGATAATGGGTATTTTCAAAGGCTGTAGGGTCTGGACGCAGAGTTGTTTCATGAAGGAAGTTGGGGTTTCCACTGGGTGGAGGCCCTATTTCAGAGGCTTGTAAGCACGATGGGGAAGAAAGAGTTGTTCCTTTCGCCAACTAGGAGAAGCTAGCGTCTGGAATGAGGAAAATGTTGAGGTTTTTACCCTGGATTTGGCATGTTGGGTGGCGGTGAAGTGGAGGACTCCTTTTTGTTACTTTCGTGTACTATTTTGACTTCTGTAATCATTGCAAAAGGGGAGCAGCTCCTTGTGAAACATGAGCTGACCTAGGGGCTGCATGGGAACCAGAAATAGCAACATGGCAGCTTCCTTGAAGAGTGCAGAAGTTGATTTGACATTAATTACATCGAGAAAATAAAACTGTGTCAACCTGGGTCAGAACAGGTCCTCACAGCGGAGCCTGATTTAAAGGTGTAGGAACTTATGTACACATACAAACTCTCTCTCTCTCTCTCTGTCGTGCGCACACACACACACACACACACACACACACTCCTAGCCCTATTCCTCCTTGAAGAGAAAGGCTTTCTTGCTCTTATCCCCACCTCACATTGTAAGAAGGGGCCAGGAGCTAAAGAAGATAACATATGAAAAATGCAACTACCCCCAGGATTTTAAGATTCAAAGAAGTGGAAATCCTTGGGAGTGGTGCATCCATACTTGGGAAAGAAGGAAATCCCTTCATCTCTGCATTCATAGTCCCCTGAGACAGAAAGACTTTTTCTTTCTTAGGCTTCCAGTTGATGTGGGAAGAATCATCCAGGTGGACCTGGCAGGATGACAGGTTGGGTAATGGAAGCCAGGGGAGTACTGTTTAATCAAGTATTCACTGTTCTCCAGCTGGGCTTACCAGTGGAGTGAAGTAGGAGTGGCATGTGTGGGAAGGGGAAAGACCAAAAAAGCAAAAGTGACATCCATATTCTCGGGCCCCAGCCATCTTAACTAGTCTCACTTTAATTACTTTTAGTAGGTCCTACCATACTGTGAGAGAAGACCAACACAACTGAAGTTGCTGTTATGATTAGATATTTATTGAGCACCAGGAGAGAGTCAGAACATTAGACTTATAGTGGAGGAGCAGAACTGAACCCTGGCCTGTGAAATAACAATTTCAATTAAAAGCTGTCTGGCCCTGAAGAAAGAGAAATGATCCTGGATATAGCTGGTCCTCTGAGCTGGCAGAGCTGAGCCTCCCTCGGGTCTTCTGGTGGCAAGATGCCAAAGTTGAATAGTGTCTGTAGGCATGATGACCAAGTCCTAGTGCTATGGGCATCTTCCCTCTGGTATTTAGAGAGGAGTACCAGAAGCCCCCGGCAGAGATACTAGAAGGGCCCAGAGCCAAATCCAGCAGCTGGCTTACTTGAGATGCATCTGGCAAATTCCAGGGCAAAGCCAGTGACTCCCAGCGGCTCCAGTGTTGGTAGGCGGACACTTTGGGCTATCCAGGAAGAGAGGTAGCAGGGAAGAAGGCCATGCAGAAGGCAAGGACTGACTAGGCAATTATGTCAGCAGATCCTGGCCTAATGGGGCATTTTTAACAGACACTTTTGCCCTCAGTGGCCAGAAACTCATAATCCAGAGGAACTGTGTCCAGCAGGCGGGCGTAGTTGCCATTGATCTGGGCGATGATCTGGTACTCCTGTCCTATGCAGGGCTCATCAGAGTAGTTGTTGCCCAGATTCTGGGAAGTTGGCTCATCACTGGAGCAGCCACTTGCGAAGATGGCCACCCTCATGGTTTCTCCAGAGTCGTTGGCCTCTCTGGCATGTGCCCTATGGCCCAAGAGCCCACCACCCATAAGAAGGGACTTGGGGCTGTGGTCCTGGTTTCCCACCCTTCTGCCTCAATTCTTGCCAATTAATTATCAGGATCCTACCACCCAGGGATTCTGGAAGCAGAAGGCAGATGGATCTAAATTATCCTTTGTGTTCAGAGGGCCAAAACAACCTCAGAAGGTGCCTGAGAGAGGGAAGGCAGCTATGTCCTGACCCTGAAGGCCTCCGGCCTTAGGATTGGGTCTGTGCCACACCCCCCTTCCTCCACATTTCCTGCCAGTAATCAAAATTGAGGGCAGGGACGGGGTCAAAAATGGAAGAGGAGAGACTTTCTTACCTGGCTGCTTCGTAGACATGCTCTAGAAAAAAAGGAGGAATCATGTCAGAAGTTTTCATGGCAAGTGGACAAAGGTCAATCATGGATCCTGGGTACCAGTCAAAAGATGAGGGAAGGGTACAGAGGAGGGGATTTTAATATGTCTTAGCTTTCCAACAACTGGGAGGTATTGGGGAGGTGAATTGAAACACAGAGATGCAAATTTATCAGGTAAAAGAAGGGGAAGCACATTTGGTCACTATCCTTTTTGTCATCTTGGACTCAGGATATTGGGCTGGAGCAGTTTCTCGGTATGGGTTGGGGGAGGGCACTAGAACTGGACTTGCTCTTTACCCAGGAATCTCCCCCAAGGATCCCCAGAGAGTCCTTGTGGGAAACTTGACTGTCAGGCCACATACCAGGAAGAAGGGACTGGATTAGCCTGATGCTGATGGCCGTGACCCAAGACATTCCCAAATGCACTCACCCCCACTATATACCCAGGAAAAACCATGGTATTGGTTACCATTGCCCCCTAGTGTCTGTGGAGGAGGAGTGTCCTATATTCCGTACAGGCTCAAAGGCTTAGGTTGGTGCAAAGACAGATATTTCTTTGTACTGCCCTCTAGGTGCTTATAATTTTTCAGGGATGCAACTGGAAATGCAAGCATTAAATGACAACAAAGTAAACAAGGGAAGCCACAGGACTTCTGCCTTATGGTAGAGCCCTGCATTTCTGTGTCTTACTCGCCCATTGGCCTATGAGCACCTGTACCGCAAGGGTCGTGTCTTTTTCATCTTAATATGCTCAGCACCTGTCACACAATAGGTGCTCAGTAATTATGTTAAATTAAATTGATGCTCTGAGGCTGTCTCCCTTATACAGAGATAGGAAAGAGGAATTTTTGGAAATGAGACTAGGTATAAGGAAGTGGTGGGTTGAGAAAATTGGCTAGACCCACATCACAGAGAGCCTTGAATAGAATGCTACATTTTGACCTTTATCCCCTGGGCCATAAGAAGCCATGGAAGGTTTTTGAGAGAGAAACAATTTAATGTGGTTACCGCTTATGCCCAGCCTCATCAAGGCTATATGCAAATGCTTTCATTTTAGTGCCCCTGGGGTTTGTAGTCATGTGCTATCAAGTTCAGCCTCATGGTGATAAACATGCTAACTGGCAAAAGCCAGAGCTTATAATTGAAACCTGGGAGAAGGAGATACTCAAGGCTCCCTTCTGGTGATGGAAATCCATCAGATCCATGGTAGTAACCAGGCTATTTGGGAGTAAGAGATACTACAGAGAATAAGACAAATTGATGCTAGGCAACATGACTAGTGCACTGGGCATTGAGAGACAGCTAGTATTTTTTTCTTTTAGAAACAAGCATCCCAATTTTTTTCCTCCTCGGTTGGTTCATAGTTTTTAAATGGCTCTGACAACTGTGCTGTCATTATGCCACTTCCATGCTTGAAAAATTTGGTAAATTTAGTGCCCTTGCAAGGCCTAGTGAAGAAAGTCCAAATTATTTAACCTGGCATTTAAGGCCTTCTATAATCAGGAATAAGCTTTCATTTCCCACTGTACTTCCCTGTTGCCCATCTACAGAAATTTTCTTTATTGATGACCCCACTCTCAGTTGTCTTTTAGGCCCTAACAACTATGCTGATGTAGTTCTCTCTTCCTGAAATACTGTCTCCTTACAACTTGTTTTCATCCTCCAAAATGTGGTCTAAGATATTCTTCCTTCTGAAATCCCTTGCTAATTACCCAAGCCTTAAATTACTCTCTTCTCCTCTGGATCCCTTTAGCATTAATTGTCTTCTCTAGTTTTTGAGCTCATAGCCTCTATTGCTATGTATTGTCATTGATAAATTCCATGTTTCTACCTTGAATCTCCTAAATAAATTGTGAGCAACTTGAGGCCAGGGATTGTGACTTCTCCTTCTCTTGCATCATTACAAGATGACTCGTTAGAAAGATGGCTGTACTTCACTGAGTACCAAAGCCTAGTGCATTTAGTTCTGTAAGTCTTATGCCATTGTTTGCTCGAACATCTGCCTCCCTGCACCCCAACCTTAACTCCCAAACTAGGCTGGGAGCTTCTTGAAGTGCCTAACACAATGCCTGATACAGAATTTAGGCTCAAGTATACTGACAGAAAGAACAAATGAGCCAAAGCCACCTTCTCATATTCATCACTAACCTTGTTGGGATGTCTTCCGACAGAGCATGATATAGGCCATGGTAAAAACCACCATACAGCACAAGGAGATGATGAGGATGATGGCAAAGACAGGCAGGCTCTTTCCTAGAGGGTAAAACAAGATCAAGTGGTATTTGATTGAAAATAAGGCCAGAAACAAAAACTCTAAGAAACAGCCTAGACTAAGCCAGGCCTTTTTCTTTTTCATTTTCCATATTCTCCTAACCTTCTTAGCTAGCCAGAGAGAAAAAACTCCAGTCCCATGAGAAAGACTTGAGAAAGAGATGCCATGTGTAAACAGGTTCTTCCAGACTCACTGGTGGGCTGATTGGCCTGGGCATTTGAGCTAGTTGTCTATGCTTTCTATAGGGCCAAGACAGAAGGTTTTCACCTTCCCTTAGAAAAAAGAAAATAATATCCTGACTTTCCAGCTTCACCAAAAATGCTACATACCTTATTAAGATTCTGGTCAGTTACTTCTAGCCACAAAGATTCTTCCCATCACACGCTCTGGTCAAGTCCCCAGCTTCCTTCTTTCTCAAAACATATTTCCACTGAGCCACTTGAGACACATATTCCCATTATGCCTAAAAGCTGAAAGAATCAACTGGACTTGGCTTCCAGTCCTAGATCTGTTATTTACTTTCTGTATGACTATGGTAGGCAGAATAATGGTCCTCTAAAGATATTCACATCCAAATTCCTGGAACCTGTCAGTATGTTAGTTTACATAGTAAAAAGGAACAGAGATTTGAGAATGCTACATTGTTAGTTTTGAAAATGGAGGAAGGGGGCCATGAGCCAAAGAACGTGGGTAGCTTCTAGAAGCCAGAAAAGAAAGACAAGGAAATTAATTCTTCTCCAAACCCTCCAAAGGGAACATAGCCTTGCTGACTGACATTTTGATTTTAGCTCAGTGATAATTGTGTCAGACTTATTTCCAGAAGTGGAAGATAATATATTTATGCTGTTTTAAGATACTAGGTTTGGGGTAAGTTTTTACAGCAGCCATGGAAAAATGAATACAGTGACCTTAGACAAAACTTTGACTGTCACTAGGCCTTAGTTACCCCATAAGTTCAATGAAAAGATTGGATGATGTCTAAAGCACTTTTAGCTATAATATTCTGAATCTAAGATGCTAGGTCAGGGGGGATAGAGAGGCGTGAGGAAAGGAACCTCAGTGTACTTAGGATTTGTTGCTGCAACTGGCTTGTTTTCATGAGACTCTAAGATATCGTGTCCTAGGAATCCAGTATTTGTGGTCCTCAGAGTGTCTTGTTGGGACTGAGAGAGCTCAAGTTATAAGCTGGTACAAATCGAAGAAATATTCTCTTTTGAAGAGAGTCAAGTACTAAAAAACTTGGTAGAGAAAATAGGGCGCAGACCCAACATCTAATAACTTTGCCCAAGGTTATTTTCTCATTTTTCCAAACCAACTCCCTATGAGGCAATTTCTAACTTCTCTTCTCCCAGTAGATGTTCTTCTCGGAGAGGAACGGAGCTATGGAAATCTTGAAGCCAAAGATGGCAATGCAAATGTGGAACATAAAACAGGTTTGAGTGCTGCCAAGGGATAGCCAAAAAACTCTGCAATCAGGAATGGAGAGTTACAAAGAGCATTTGGAAGTCCACTCTCTCAATTATACACAGGCAGAGAATGAGTACCAGGAGTGATAGTTATCAAACTATTTAATTCCAACCAGTCACAACAGATGCCTACTGTAGACTTGGAGTCTTAGAGATTCCTTGGTATACCTTTTGTTGCATGACCATGGGGGTGGTCTAGAGAGTTCTGAGGAATGGGACAAGGCAGCCCCAGGTAATAATGGAGGGCTCAGGGGTTAAGGGGAGCAGCTAATTATCAATTGGTGTGAGAGTGTTCTATTATTTCAACAGTCAATGTAGTCATGTGAAGGCATACCAACTGACTATCAGATGCAGGTGAAACACAAAAGATTTATTTGGGATTTGAATCTCTGAGACCCTGACTTGGGAATTTTCAAGGCTTTGGAGGAATCAGAAATCAGCTTCAAGCGGCTTGAAGAGCCCTGGTTAAGAGCTCAAGCAATGACACTCAGCCATTATCCTTACCTGGTTGAGGTCATGATGTCATAATGTCCCTATCCATATTCTTGCTCAGAATGTTTGGAAAGCATATTACTATGACAACAGAGAACTAAATAAAGGGCACATTTATCACTCCCCTTAACCTCACTCTGACTTTGCTCATCTCTGGATCTGTATCTCTCTCTCTACATCCTACCCACTTTACCCATCCTCAGTGCCCTTGACCATTGCTTGGCACATAGCAGGTAATGATTTGCAGATTTCAATGCTGTAGAACAGTGTGCATAAGGGAAAGTTTTGGTCACAAAGCTTAGAGTCAAGAAGAAAAGATAGAAATCCTGACAATATTCCTACCTGGCCCAGCACTGGTCTCTCCAAGGTAGCCATCCATGTCAGTGGTCCAGTCCCAGGACTGCTTCACTGTAGATGTTGCTATGAATATAGAGAATAGGGTCAGAGATGTCTCTCTTCTTTCAAAAAGTTGAGAGATAGGAGATGGTTGCAAAGGTTGGAGTCCTTCCCTGGCCATTTGTGCTGTACTTTCCAGGGTACCTGACCATGTTATCAACCACTAGTACCATGAGATAAGGCATCTTCATTTCTTACTGTTAGGTGTGGGCAGTGAGAAGAATTCCCATCGAGGGGAGGTAATGTACCCAAAGTCACACAGCAAGTCAAACTAGGAGCAGAATAGAATTTAGTGTTCTTGTTTTTTGTATTTCCAATGGGAGTAATTCTAACCCTCTCTTTCCTTTTGCCTCAGAAGTTTTCACAAAAAAAGAGTATATATTCATCATTGTTACCTTTCTTTTGTTTCCATTCCTTTACTGCTATGTTCTCTCTGAGGAACCAAGTGACTGTTTATTAGCCATTCCATGGCATTGTGATTCCTTTCTTGGCTACGATGACACCATTTTGAACCTCTACTACTTCCTCAGACTCTAGCAAAACTCACCTTTCAAGGGGTATGTCATGGTTGTAGGTGCCTCAGTCTTGGTCTTGAGTAGCTTTGAGGAGTCTGCAAGGAAAAGGGAACCGATTGAAGGGACCTGGTACCCTTTGGTGAATAGTTTAATGCCCTAGGGAAATAGGAAGTAAGTAAAGGCCATTCAGGTCCATACTTGGACCTGCCTCAACACTTCTGTCATGATGCTGGTAAGTCCTGTGTTGCTTGTTCATCTTTCATACATCAATCAAGGACAGAGTTTTTAACCCAGGATTAATAGATCTCGAAGGAACCTGTAGCTAGAGTTCAGAGAGTCAGTCAACTTGGATGGGAAAATATATTTTATTTTTACTAACTTCTAACTGAGACCTAGTAATTAATTCTCTTGAGAGAAACTTGGGAAGTATCATAAAGAAAGTGGCAATGGGTGACATCAGTGAAAATGGTGACATAATAACCTCCAGAAATTTACCCTTTAACAACATCAGTGAAATAATGCAAAATTTGACGTAATCAACTTTTTTTTTTTTTTTTTTTTTTTTTTAGAATTTTGCAAAATAGCCAAAGGTTTGCAGCACCTTAGACAGGATTTATGGAAGAAAAATATCCCAGTTTTGGTAAGAACAGCAAGCTTTGTGCTGTTTTAACTTCTCCTAGTCCCCTTACCCCTTCTACCTCAGAGGTAATCTTGAACATACAACCCCATTCCAGGTGCTGGAGTGAGCCCAACAAACTTCATTTTTGAATAATTGCCATTATTTGGCCTGTCTGGTGGTTCCCTGAAAGACCTGACTCAAAAGACTTGTTTTATTGGTCACCCAGTGCTAAGAGCCTCTCCCCAGGGATGGGGTAGCATTTGTCACACAGCTGCCTGAGGCAATGGATAATAGGCGAGAAAACAAAAAAAACTAACCAAAATAGCCTTAAAAATGGTTGAGGAATAAGATTTCCATAGGGATTTTGAAGAGTTCTGACACAGTTCTGGGAAACTAGGAGGCCACACACAAGCACAGGGCCATGTACCTGCTCAGAAAAGACATGAGAAAACCATAAGCTTCTCCCTCTTGCTAGCAGAGGAAACAGCATGCTCCGTTTTAGATGTGGCGAAACATATTAGTAGATAAGTCTGGATAGGTAGGCTGAAAACAGACTAAAAGGGTTTGGGCTTTGTTCTTTAGTTGGAAAGATCCATGGGGTGTAACAGAAGGTTACACCTTTTGAGAAAGGTTTACTTCCTTTTGAGAAAGGAAGCAAAAATTGTTCAGTCTATTTTTTTTGGAAATAATTCTGACAACAGTGTGGTAGGATTTTCAAAGGTAAGGCAATAGCATATTTTCCCCATTCATTAACAAATACAGTATTCATCTAGTGTCTAGTGTCTTCTTTGTGCCAGATACTTTGCTGGGCTCTGAAAAACAGCAATGAAGTAGACAGGTAGAATTCTGCACTCTTGAATTTTATAATCTAGTGACATAAAATATATACTCAATAAATATTGAATAAGTTGATGACTTCGTAAGAATGTATGAACATGGGGAGAACATTTAGAAGATGATTGAAATTGTTTTTTAAAAAAGAATATGAGACCATGAGGGTATAGGAAGAGAAAGAAAGAGCCTAATAAGGTATCTGATTCAGTAGGTGAATTCACAGCACTTGGTAATATTGATGATTATTTGACGATGCGAGGTAAAAGAGAAGGAGGAGTCAAAGGTACTGCTATGTTTTCTAACAGGTTTGAGGAACAGGTTTGGTGAGTAAAAGGTACGATCAGTTTTGAACACGCTGAAATTAGAAATGAAGCTGTCCAGAAGGTAACTAGACACTGGGATCTAGCAGTCAGGAAAAAATAAATACAGATAATATTATGGTTGGAGAGTCATCAGACTACAGGTGATATTTGAAGCCACAGAAGTAAATAAAATCTCCTGATAATATAGAAATACATGCAGAGATGAATAAGAATTGAGTCTTTGAGAACATTTACAATTAAGGAGTGAATGAAAAAAGAGCCAACAAAGGTGTCTCAGAAGGATCATTCAGGAAGGTCTTAGAAGAACCAAGATAAGTTGGTGTCATCAATAGCAGTGATTAAAAGAATATTGAGGTGGAAGAAATGGCCAACAGGATCCACTGCTACACAGATGTTGAGGAGGAAAAGTATGAATGGAGAGGTCTTGGGATTTGGTGATATGGAGGTTAATGATGACCCCAAATTACAAAGTTATGTTGTGGTGAATGAATTGAGAGGTTCAGCTGGTGGAAGCTACCTTCGTGAGAAGGTTGGTAGTGAACATAGGAGAGATGAGGTGGCAGATGGAGAGAAAGATTTTTGAAAAATAACATATATATATGTATGTATTAGGCTTGCATACTGACATATATACATATATTATACATGCATATCTATTTGGCTTAGGTAGAGGATAAAGGGTATTGCAGGGCATTGGAGTAGCTGATGTTAAGAGTTCAGGAGGAGGGGCTTGTTGTGGAGAGGAGCAAAGCATACCTTACTCTGAGCCAAGAGGAAATGGATAGGGAAATATCAAGGCAGAGAGGAGGGTAGTTGATAAAATTCACATATGAAGAGGGTCTGGACCTTCTTACAGAGGAAGGAAGTTACCTTATCTTTTAGGAGCAAGGCTGGGGGCCTGAAATAAGGTAGAAATGTGCTGAAAAGCTGCTATGAGGAATGAGACAAAGATAAGCAAATAGACACACGGCATGGGGTCAGGCAGTACATATCGCAGAGCATAAAATTCAAGTGGAGTCAATTCATATCTGTGTTTTGTTTTGTTCGTCAGCAAAGCTCAGCAGTCCAAGAACATGAGCAAAAGCAGGGCCTCCAGAGTCATTCTAGAACTAAAGAACAGTGCAGAGTGAGGTGGAAGGGTGAAAGGGCTGAGAGTTCCGTAGGGCAGAGGTGAAATAGGGGGTCAGACTCAGGGGACAAGGTTGGGTGGACAGGGAGGCAGGTAGAGGTAGCCAGGAAAGATTACGTTGGCTCACAGAGCAGGGAAGAGTGGAAGGCTGAGAATAACTTCCCTGAGCCTCAGTTTTCCTATCTGTCAGTAGGGGGCAATGGCGAGCACTGCTTAACAGCACTGTAATAAGCATTGACTGTGAGAAGGAATAAACAGGAGGGTTTACTGTGAGCAAGTTCTTGCCTAGGTGGTCTGAGAAGTAACTCACAGAAAGGCAAGAATGTTCAATTAGTCTCTTTATGAAGTATACATTCTTGGGCTTTCTGGTCACGCCCTGCCCTCTCTGCTTGACCAGACTGTCAGCTCTTAGAGAACTGGGACACTGTTCATATAACTTTCAGGGCGGACCACTCTTGTTCCTCCCAAAACTAACAAACCATGATCTACAGCACACACATCCTCACTACAGCTTAACTTTGGGAAACAAATTCCTCCAGGCAAACACAAGAGTCTCAAACCAACATCAGTCTCCTAGCCCAAATGGTAATAAGCCATTTGGGCTAGGTTTACGCCCTCTCCTTACACAGAACTATCCTCAGAAGACAATAATTTTCAGATGGTTCTGAGGGCAATTCCCTAAAATCAGTTAGTTTCCAACATGTTTTGGGCAATGGTAACCTTGTTGGGGTGTCTTTCTTTCCAAGGAGATCTCTTGAAAGCTAAGAAAACTCATCTGGACATATCACTGCTGGACTCTTCATTTAAGCCTCAGCTTACAGTCTTTATATGCATAGTTTGTAGTGCTCCCAGGACAGTGCTGTAAGAAATAGTCAGATCTTGATTAACAAGAGCCCATCTTAAAGGATACTTCAACCAGAACTTGTATTTGGGTTTACAATGAAGTGGGGGAGGGAAGTTAAAAGAAAGCATGTAGATATATTAGATCAAGCCTAATCAAACAAGCAAAACAATAACCAAACAAACAGAACACACAAACAAAAAACAACAGCTTTCAAAGGGTGCCCAGGATCTGATATAGATTCAACCATGAGAAACAATCAGACATAGTAGGAAGAGCATGAAATCTGAGTACAAATCCAGATTTATACTTCCTTGCTGTGAGACCATGGGCAAGTAGATTCCCCTTTCTGACTCTGTTTCCTCTTCTGTAAAGTAAGAGTAATGATAACTATCTCATGGGACAGTTGTGGGGATTCAATGAGAAAATGTGTGTCAAGTTATTGTACTTTGTATCTGGCAAATACAATGTGCTAGTAAATCTCTCTTTCCTTTACCGTCTTTATCTACTTAACCTATGGCATGATAGGCAATGTCTCTATCCCTGTTGTCCCCAGTCCAAGTTTTTTTTCTTTGTGATTGTACAACCATTGCCTGCTTGGGATCCTCCTCTCCCAATTCTTCTTTTGCATAAGGGCACCTTTTGAGGTATCTTTGTTTCAAGCTTGTGTGTTAAGATGCTCACCAGGAAAGAGGGCCGCTCACCTTTGACCACAAACTTCACAATGTCGCTGTGCTGCTCAGAGCCAACCTGGCCCTTGGCAGTGCAGAAATAGGAGCCTGAGTCGGCTATCACCGCAGGCTTGAAGAGTAAGGTACTTAGGGTTGCTACTTTGATGGGTTCCTGGTTATTAGTCTGTTGCTTATACCAAATATAACTGATGGGAGGAGAACCCCGAGCCTGGCATTGAAGGCTAATCCTCATTCCCTGGGGCACCGTGAAGCCATAACCGCTGCCAGTTGTCACTGTGGGCTTGGAGACAGAGACTGCAAAGAAAAGACAAGACAGGAAACTCTGGGCAGTCATAAGGATATGGGACCAAAAGGCTGAATCATTCTTGTTGGGCGTAAGGGCATGCATATATCTGCAACTGGAACTAAAGGGGGCTTCTGACTTTGGAGGAAATAAGAAGGAAAGGGCAATACAAATAAAATGGCTTCCTTTGAAGGTAGGTACTTTTTGGTATTACCCGGGGTTTTGGAATACTTGGAAGTAAAAATCAACTGACCTTTAAAATTAATGTAGTTTGTTCTGGGGCTCAAGTAGAGCTTTTGATTACCTGCAGTTGTGGATTATCAGGGCCAGACTTTTGTAAAATTGTCCAGCAAGCAAACTTATCCTGGCTAACCTCTGCCTCCCTTTCCCCAGAGCTTCTCTATCAGCATCTATCTACAAATTAAATGTACTCATTTTTGAGTTGTAAAGCCCAGAGCCCAAGGAGGGTAACTAGTCCATGGATACTGGCATTTCTGGGACACTCGAAGGGATAGAGATTTGCAGGTCAGGAACCCTTCCCAGCACTTCCTAAATTTAACTATGGGAATGCTGACCCTAAGAATCCTCTGCCTGTCCACTTCCTCTGATAAGCACATATACCTGTGGAGAGCCTCTGTATAAACGAAGGCCTCTGGATTTTTCAGGCTTTTCTAGAATTACATCCACTATTGATTCATTGATTATCAGTGCTTTCCTACCCCCATAGTGACTCACGTTTCTGGACACGGAGCTCAGTAATCTTATCTCTCACGACTTGGTTGCCATCAGGAGTCTGCCAGGTGACTTCACACGTGTAGTGGCTCCGGTCATCCATCTCCAGGGTGCTCAATTGGAGGGATACATCTCCTGGAACCTTGTGGCTCACATGCAGGCGGCCCTGGTACTTTGCCTGCTGGATATGGTCTCCAGAAGAGTCACGTAGAAAGATGGTGACAGGGTCTGAGCCACGTTGTACCAGCCACTTCACCAAGACTTGGGTGTAGCCTTGCAGGGGGTCATAGGTGCAGGGAAGATTCACATCCCCTTTCCAAGGTCCTGTTACACTCTCTGGCACTTCCAGGATGGGACGGCCTGAAGAGGCGGAACAGAGGAAAGAAGCAAACGTAGATGGCATACCTACTTGGCAACTAAGGTGACAGTGACAAACCTCAAAAGGTTTCTGAGAAATGCCACTCAACTTTCTTTCTATCACACTTTTGTGTACCTGTGCCCTTTTGCTCTTTGCCAGCCTTCTCATCAATCAGAACCAGTCTTCAGAATGAAAGCCTTTAACATTGTTTAGATCTTGTGAGTTTCAAGTCCTTTTTATGTTACTGTCTTGCTATGAAGGTGATCCTAGGTAAGTCACCTTCTTACCGTGGAAGATTCATTTACTTCATCTATAATGTGGAGAGTTTGGGTGGTAGGTGCTCTAGATATTCTATCAAATCTGTCATTCTGCAAATCCATGAAAAAATTTTCTTTTCACATTTTCCAAAAGAGATGTGGAAGCAAAAATGCTAAGCATTTGGGTCTGGACTATTTCATTTTGTGTAAATTTGCACCTGGAGAAAGGTGGAGGCTTTTGAGATCAGCAAGAAAGGGCCCTCTGCCCTGTTATCTTCTCTTGTTCCCTTAGAAATCCTCAGTGAGTGGGGTCCCAACCCTAAGATGTTCTCTGGAAGACAGGCAAAAGGAAATACTGAGGGTGGAACCAAGTGTGAGGAAGAAGTCTGGATACACATTCCTGTTTAACAAAATCATTAGCTATTGTTAAATTCAAAACCTGCACTTTGTAAACCTGACTTTTTTTCTGATTTCTTTTGTTTATTTTCCTTTTGGTTTCTCTTAGTTCTTAGCAAGGATACATAGGAAAATTTCATCTTGAGGGGGAAAAGATTGCATCCATTTTTGGTCTAGAGAGGAAAAGGTTCTGAGTGAAATCCTGAAGCTGGCTGTAGTAGGGGTGGTGATAGAAGCAATGGGAGATTGCTCCTTGGCGTGTTTGAGAAGGAAACCCTTGGGGATGGGGGTGGGGGTGGGGAAGGAGGTGGGGATGTTGAAACAGCCATTGCCTCCCATCAGAATTTTCCATCCATAAGCTCTTATTTAGAAGATTTTTTGTTTTATTTAGCTGGGGCCAGGAGTGTGGGGTGGGTATATTTAGGCAATATATTCATGTCTCTCCTAAGAGAGGTGGTTTCAAAGATATGAGGTATTCCTGAATAAAAGTCTTTTATTGAGCCTAGAAATCCCAGTATTCAGTCAAGCGGATGGAAGATGACATCTTTTGGATGGGTTGAGTGTATGCGTTCTAACTCCCAGAATATACTGTCCAGCATCAGGACTTCTGTTAATAGAGATATAAAATCAAGCCTCTAGCCTGTGCCCTCACCAGGGACCCTTAGAACATCAATAGCATATTTTAGTCAAGAAAAAGCCCTTGAGTAGAAAAGAATAAATAACATAAGTCCATGTTGCTAGATCCACTACATACTCTCTGGAATGCTTCGAATTTGGCAGAGAGCAGAACTCAGACCTACGAATGGGAATACAAGAGGGGCAGATTTTGGTTTGCTCTATTTTCCTAATTCTATTTCTTTTTATGTTATTCTTGTCTGCTTTTCACATCGCAGAACAGATGGTTTGCCTTAGAACGAACTTTGTGATTAATCAGAGCTGTCTATGGATGGATTAAACTGTCTGGGGGAAGTTCTAGGCTTTGTTTGGGTCTTAGCCTTGCTCTTTAAGGTCCCTTCTAATCTTAGGTGGTCAAGTGTTAATAGGCTATAATAGAAATAGAAGTTATGTAATTATAGGTTCCAGCTGGTGGTGAATTTTCACCAGGTAGTGGGTTTCACTGTGCCATAGATAGTTCACACCTCCATGTGATTGCAGATACAGCTTTTCATTATCATGGACTCACATGCCCATACATATTTTTGGCCACATGCAAGCACAAACATACCATGCTTAAACCCCATGAAAACTATCTGAGCCTCTTGGTTTAATAGGCTATTTCCCATTAATCTTCCTCTGGACTTTCCCAATGTCCCTCCTCTTCTCTGAAAAGCATTCTCACATTCCCCTCTTGGGCAACAAAGCAGCATTCTGCTGTGAGTTGAAAATGCCTTTGTCTATGCATATGCAGGTCTTCCTTCTGACCTTAGGGGAGCTGAAAGGCCTGGGTTGTGTTTTTCCTCCCTGGGAATTTGCTGGAAATTCTCACAAAGCTCAGTCTGGCCTATCAAGAAAATTGCTAGATAGTCTCAATTTCTCAGTTTTGAAAATCACTTCTGGAAGTAGGTCAGGCTTAACTCCTCCATCCCAGAATGAATAGGACAGAGTTGGTAACTAGACTTCCCAAAATGGCATGTTTTTTCCCCTTTTACTTTTTTTTTCCTCTCCCTTCTTCCTCCTTTATTTCTTCCACTCATTGTTCCATTATGCTTCCGTTCCTTTTTTCTTCCTTCTTCTTTTTCTTATTCTTATCTCCTCTTCCTCCTCCTGCTTCATTAGTTGCATAAAGAGACTGGATTATAGGTACAGGACATCACAAGAAAAATGACATTGTACTATTCCTCATGTTTTCTGATCTCCAAAGTGAAGTAAACCACAATACCACTGACTTGTACCTTCTACCTTTCCTTGTAGTTCCCCTAGAATCAAGTAGGAGCCCCTAATGAGAGCAGGAGGGTAATGAAGGACTGTATGATGTAGTAGGAATAACACTGATCTAAGCGCAAGGTCTGCCTTACCACATATCTCTCTGTGTGACCTTGGGTAAATTACTAAACCTATCTGAACTTTGAGTCACTATCAGTAAAGTGGAAGTAATAATAAAGGAAGTAATATTATAATATAATAAAAATATAATATAATATATTTATAATATAGATAATATTTTAATAATATAATATATAATATAATATAATATATATAATACGATATATTATTAATATATTATAATTATATAATATATATATTATATAATTATAATATATTAATAATATATAATATAATATAATATATATTATATTATATTATATATAATATAATATATTATATAATATTATATATTATTATATATATAATATGTTATATAATATATTATATATATAATAATATATTATATTATATATTATATTATATATTTTATTATATAATATATTATATGATATATTATATTATATGATATATTATATGATATATTATATTATATTATATAATATATAATATAATATATCATATAATATAATATATCATATAATATATCATATAATATAATATATAATGTAATATAATATATCATATAATATATATTATATAATAATATAATATATCATATAATATATATTATATAATAATATAATATAATATAAAATATTATATAATAATATAATATAATATATAATATATATTATATAATAATATAATATAATATATAATATATAATATATAATAATATAATATAATATATAATATATATTATATAATAATATAATATAATATATAATATATATTATATAATAATATAATATAATATATAATATATATTATATAATAATATAATATATAATATATATTATATAATAATATAATATAATATATAATATATATTATATAATAATATAATATAATATATAATATATATTATGTAATAATATTAATATATAATATATATCATATAATAATATAATATATAATATAATTATATAATAATATAATATATATAATAATTATATAATACAATATATAATATATATTATATAATAATAATATAATATAATATATTCATAATATATTATATTATATTATATATTTATATACTTATTATATTATATTACTTCCTTTATTATTACTTCCACTTTACTGATAATTACTTATATATAATATATAATAATTATATAATTATTACTGATAATTACTTATATATAATATATAACATTATATTATATTATACTTATTACTGATAAGTATATATACTTATTACTAAGTATATAAACTTATTACTGATACGTATATATACTTATTGCTGATAAGTATATATACTTATTGCTGATAAGTATATATACAGTATTGAGCTTAATGTGGTCCTGAGACCCAGCCTTATAAAAGCAAATGTCTGATGCCTGTGTAATGGCACTGAAGAAAAGAAAGGTTGAATTTACTAGGTGTGTGCTCCTTTATAAGACCCATTCTAGGTCTCTTTCTGAATCCCCTTCCTCCCATCATCACAAAGAGGTTGACATTTTCCATATCTCTATCCCATTCCCCCACATGACTGGCTTCTCTCCCTTTCCTGGAATGCCTCCTGGATGGAGGATTAACTTATATAATAGATGTTTATAAAATGTTTCTGAAATGTTTAAAATGTATATAAAATGTGAATATTAGAAATTTTTTAAATTTTGATTATCTTGACATATCTCTTAGCCCCACAGGAAGAGGCTAGCAGCTTACTCTGGCCGCTACAGGGTTTTTAGCAGTGAAGCTGCAGTCCCACAGAGTTGTCCAGCTGAGAAACCCCTTTAAGACCAGTCAAGTCAACCTCCTCACTGTACAGATGGGCTAGGAACAATGAGGTCCAGGGAGAGGGAAGGTATTATTTGCAGCTCAGCATAACCTGAGCCTGAGGTCTATAGTATAAGATCCTGTGTACAAATGGAAGGCCTGCTTCCAGGTCTGGAAAAGCTCATAGGCTGGGGAAGGAACAAGACACATGAGTGCTCTCTCTCTCTCTCACACACACACACACACACACACACATGAATGCACACACACATACACACACACAAACAAAGGATTTAAATTTAACATTTCTAAAATGCTCCCTCAAGCCCCAGGCTTAAGCCCTAGCTCAAACCAACAGACTTGGAGAAGGTAGAGAGATACATTATAAAACCTGCTAGAGAATGGAAATGTGGTAGTTATAGAAAGAAAAATGTTTTTTCAGGAGCATTAACTCTGCCACTAATGCTCTTTGGCTTGGGGGCAAATTATTTTTTCTCTTGGTTGACTTAATTCAGAGTCTTTTCTAACTCTGAGGTTCCAGAGTGTGATGGGTCACAGAGCCCCAGGATAGGGTAACCTAATCAGAGTCAGCTACGGAAAGCTGGATTCTTTCTGACCTAACAAGTGACACCAAGCTAACACCTATCCAGCCTTTTTCTCTAGGGATGATAGGGAAGCAGCAAAATCCCCCTTTACCCTATATTGGATCTCACTTAGCTGTTACCCAGGTTGAGTTTCCTGAAAATCCATCTCACTTCTCAGGAGTGTAGATGAGGATAGAGCTTCCCAAGCTCCAAGGAAATAATGCCACTATGGAATAGTCCATCCTCCTTTGGGATTTGTATCCAGCCCATAAATAGCCCAGACAAATTGAGCCATGTCTATAGGGAAGTGAGTTATCCCAGGAATGGGTAAGAAACCAAGTCCTATGAAGACCAGTTGAAAAAGCTGGGGCTGTTCAGCTTGGAGGAGAGAAGAGTCAAGGAGACATAGTACTTGTCCTCAGGGCTTTGAAGGGCTATCACAGGGCAAGGAAGCATCTATGTTCTGTGTAGCCCCAAGAAGCAAAGCTGGGGTTTTTGGATGGAAGTCAGAGGGAACTGGATTTAGTTCAACACAAATAAGAACTTTCTAACAGTTGGAGCTGCTCCTGGATGGACTAGATGGTCTGGGGAGGTAGTGAACAGTGAAATCTCAATCACTACTGGATGTTTCTGAGCACTTATTCATGACAATGAAGGGTGGTATAGGTTACTTCTATAGTCCTATCCAACTCTTAGAAAACACTCCTTCTTCGGGGGCTGTATATTTTAACAGAGACCAAAGCTTGGAAGCAGAGTGGTTAAGTCCAATTGTAGAATTTTAGATGAGAGACAGCAGATGGAGGAAAGATTCGGATGTCATTGGGAACCTTCTTGATGCCCCTGAGATACAAGCCCTAGAAAATAATGCAGATGTTTTCCAAGAGAAAAATCCTTTTTCAATTTCTGCCCAAACTTGCCTTCTGGCTTCTTCAGCAGCCTTCAACTACATCCATCCGTTTTGCTCAAGGCTGAGAGAGCCTGCAGAGTTTGGCTGAGAAGACTCACCTGCCCAGTAGGAATAGGCTTTCCATAGTAGACATTAAACACCAACCCTCTAGCCTTTTGCCTAAGCCAGCAATGGCAGCCAGGCCCCCCTTTCTGCCTTACCATAAGTGTCCACTGTTAGGTGCCCCAGGAGTAGCAGGCCCAGTAAGATCCCCATCACAGCCAGAGCTACTTCTGTCCTTTCTTCCAGCCTCCTGCTACCAAAGAGGCTCAAACTTCTGGTGGCCGCCAGCGTCTGTGACTGCTTACTTCCCTTCCTTCCCTATATCTCTCACTCAAACTCCTAGTCCCATCACACATTCCCCTTCCTTCCCTATTTCAGTACAGGTCATGTGGGGTGCCCCCCTTCCCCCACCTCCTTGGGGTTGGAGGTTCCAGGATGAGTGAAGCAATTCTTCCCCCTGCTAGGGTATTGACTTGACTTTCCTTGGAGCCAATGGGGCTTTCTGGTCTTTGATCTCCTAGGCTGTATTTATTTTGAGTCTCCTCCACAAGATTCAGAGGTTGTGGGGGCGACCTTTGGGATGAGTCTTCCCACTCCAGTATGGCGGTGTTTTCCTTTGTGGTGAGCCCAGGGAGAAGAGATCAACTTTGCTGACCTACCCAATTTTCATTAGTTGTACTGTTAACCCTTGCCTGTGCAGCCTATGCAACTGGACAGGGTGTTGGGCCCGGGGTGCTTTTGGGCTTAAGAGTACAAGAGTTTAGTGTATTAAAGGGCTTTCTACACATCAAAGCTTGAATAATTGACAAGCCAATGGATAAGGCTGTTATGGGTGAATATGCCTCATATCTCATATTGGGGAAGCTCTTTGAATCACTTTCTACAATGGCTCCACCTCTCTGATGGTAAGGGAGAATTCATTTTCATTAATGTTCTCCATGCTTTTTCATAAGGAATTTATTTTTTACTTCTTTTAAGGGAAATTTAAGCCTAGCCTCCAGTGCAGCAGCCCATTAGTGGTATGCTGTATTAGGTTGAATTTTTCATTGACTTCCAATTGGTACAGGCCCTTGACCTACAAGAGAGTAATATTATGCCTCCTAGCAAAGCTCAACTGCTCCAGAAATTGCTCCTCTTCACAGGCCCCAGAGTGACTGTAATTTCATCAGCAGTCTAACTAGGTTTGGCACTGCGCTTTGTCTACTAAGCTTTGAAACAATAAGCACTTTCAAAAGCACAAATACATCCCAAAAATTCATACTGCACTGTAAGTAACAGCTAAGCTTAGTTTACTCTTTGATTGGAGGGATAGGAAAGGACTTGGTCAGGGGAGGGAGGAGTTTGTGCAGAGATGGGGAGTGGGAATATAAAGAAACATACTTGCCAAGGGGTGGCTGCATGCAGATGATTTGGAGCTGTGCACGGGCTAAGGAGACATTCCAGCATTTCAGGACACATTATTACATGGAATTCTATCAATCACCTCTGCCTCTAGGGCCCAATCCCCCTTGGCTGGTTGTTCCTTGTTTTTTGAGTACTGCACTCATTCCATCTCACTGGAAATTTCAGCCATTTTTTCCCACCGGGTCCTCACTCAGGAAACCCTGAACTTCACAGAACCCTCCTTTGATATTTTTCAACCAACACCCTATCACCACTACACCACCACCACCGCACAGACACACACACACACACACACACACACACGCACACACATACACACACACACACCCCTCCCCTTCCCCGCTAAAAAGCCCACTGGACAGATGTAAATTTCTGCCTGGCCAGGTGATTGTGTGTTTTGTGCTACCTCTTGCATTTTATTAGGACCTCCTGGATCTGAAGATAAATAAATGTCCTGGGGAGTATGCACAACATTACTTCAAGGCTGGGAAAGACTTCCAGTCTTGCAGTAGGCTCAGTAGCCCTCTTGATTAGTAAAAGAATTGGATGAGAAGTCAGAAACCTGGAGATAAGCCTGGCTCTGTGTCTACTTCATTCTGAGATCTTGAACAAGTCAAATCTCTCTGAACCTCAGCTTCCCTAATTGTAACATGAACATAATTATACTTGATGCTTGTATCTTTTCAGATTTATAAAAATCAAACTATACTATACATACAATAACAACTATATAATGATAGTTGCTATTTAAAATCTTTTACTCTTCCAGTCACTGAATTAAGCACCTTGCATGGGTTATTTCCCTTGGTTCTTACAACCCCTCAGGTGGGTATTATTGCACATACTCTTGTATCTCTCCCTACCACTCTATACTCCCTTACACTACTTTTCTTTTTCATTGTAGAGCCCACATATTTGTTGAATGAATGAATTCAATATATCCCCATTTTACAAATGTGTCTAAAACCCAGAATGGTGAAATCACTTACTTTTATAGAGGGTGCCTAGACAAGATTCAAACTCCTAGCTATATGCCTCCAGAAATGATACTGTTAAGTAACACACTATTCTGCTTCATTCACACCTTTAATGACCACTTCTACAATAGTTCCAGGTCTTTTCTGGATGTTGTGAGGGAGAGAAAAGAAATGTTAGGTATGGTCCCTGTATAAGTGAGATTTTAGTGTAAAGGAAAGACAAACACATATGAACCACTAATACAAGGTGAATTATTAACTGAGCTGTAAAACTTGTGGTTTGGGCAGTATTTAGTGAAGGAAATAGTAGCGTGGGAAGGCTTCCCAGGTAAAGTGATACTAAAACTACCATTTGTAGAACTCCTGCTCTGTGCTGTGCACATTATCCCTAGGCCTTACCTCACAAGGAAGACATTATGAATAACCTTTCCTTATTGAGAGAACTGAGGTCTGGAGGTACCGTGGAACCTGCCCATGGTCACACAACTGATAAATGACAGAAGTGTAATTTACCATCCAAGTTGGTGTTTCAAAAAATTGTACCTTTGATACTCCATGCACCAGGGCATGAGCCAGAAAAGATGAAGTGGTTGAAGAGGAGAGAGATGGATAGTTACTTTAATTCAAGGGGTCCACGTTTTTCTTATTTTCAAGCTCAGTGCTTCATGAGATGATACTGTGCATGTGGTAGGAGTTCACAGAATGTGGGTGAGCAGCAGAGAAAATGACTCACACCCTTTGAGGCCCAATATTCAGAGGTCACTGTGGCTCTGTGTCTATTTCTACCCCCATAGCCCACCTTTCTAGACAAAGGTTGAAAGGTCAGGTTGGAGAAATTTATCAATGTGTAAACATTATCTGAGACCCTCCTGTGTGTATGTGCACCTTGGGCTTACTGAGTTGGAGGGAAGCAGTGGTACAAAGAGTAAATCCACACAGGCCCTGCTCAAGGACACACACACACACACACACACACACACACACACACACCCCTATAAGTACTACAAATAAACATAAATGCACAGATACATATGGTCACACATTTGTGTATAGCTATACATATGTATATAATATGGCCTTAAGCACAAACGTGAGCACATTGATGTACAACACACAAAATATACACACAGAGACATGTAAGCACAGACACACAAAATATGCATGCAAACACACAAATACACATAGACCTGCACATAGACATGAGAAAACAAGCAATGAAACACAGATTCATACACTTAAGCAGGACATAGGTAGATAATACATGCATATAAACATATGAACACTTAAATAAAAACACAGATATAACATACATATACAGAGAAATACACATATAAACATCAACCTAAAAATACATAGAAAGATAAACATGAGGGTTTAGAAGAAAACTAACAATAACAGGCCTTACATATTAAGGGACAAAGGAATGGCAGAAACTGTTTTGTACAATGGGAGTTGAGAAGTGGTAGCAATCCCTATGGACTTCAGTGGTTTAGGAAAGCTTTCTAGAGGAGCTGGAGTGTGGGCTGGGATGTGAGATTTGGTTAGCATTGGATAGGCAAAGAGGATGGGGAAAAATTCCAGGTAAGTGGTAGAGAAAGAGCCAAAGTCCAGAGGCAATCAAAGGCAAGAATGATTCTGATGAACAGGGAGAGTCAGTTGGACTTTAGCTTGGTGTATATTTAGAAAGGCAGGAGAAGAAAAAGCTAAGCCAGATTGTGGAGGGTATTGAAAATAAGGCCAAAATGCCTAGACTTGATCTTAAAGACTTCTATGGGAGCCGTAGAAACTTCTATGGTGAAACGGGGGCCTGCTGCGGTTGAAAGCAGCTTCTTAGGACCAAATCTGTTTGCAGAATATCAATGGAATAGGATGGGGAAATTGGAAGCAGAAAACTGAGAGACTAATTAGACTATTGGTTGTATAATGCAGTGGAAAGAGCATGGGAATGGGCATTAGGAGACCCGGGTTCATTCACCTCTCTAGGCCTCAGTGTTCCCATCTATACTCTAAAGGTGTCATATTCACCCATGGATTTTCAACCTATGTTCTGGGGATCCCTAGGAGTTCTGTAGCAGGGAAGAGGAAGGGAATAGACAGAAATTTAGGTGACTGGATTTCAACCAATGGTGTACTAGAGACAACTTAAATTCTAAGAGCTGATTGTGTGAATTTATTCCTAACTCTGTGTTTAGTGACATTGTGTTGGTAGTTTGAAAGAAGCCATGATGAAGATATTTACAAGACCCTAGACGTAAGACCAGGCATATAATAGGTATTGAATAAATGCATATAATGCACTTTTGATGTTTCTGACACTGTTCTAGGTCCTGGGGGATATAGTAATAAAGAAACAGACATGAAACTTAAATTTTAATAGAAAGAAAAAAGTTTAAAAAACAACCAAGCAAATATCAAAAGGAAAATCAATCATTATATAATTATATATTATATGGCTCAGCCATGATATACCAGTAACATAAACACTGAATCTTGCTCTCACCACCAACATTGTCTATAAATAATTTATTTATTAATAATAAGTTGTGGAATATGAAGACAGGAAATACTCATATATGTATGTGCAGGACTTGGGTGAATAGAGGTGAGGGAGTGAATTAGAGCTAGATTTTTAAGAATAACAATAGCAATATGAGCATGTTATTCAGAGATATGAAGTCAAACACTGGCCAAAAAAAAAAAAAAAAAACAGCTAACAAAGTTGAAAATGATTGTCTTGGGGAAGGGGAAATATTTTAACAAGCTTCATAGAAAGATTTGATTTTCTTGATTATGTCTATCTAGCTAACAAATATGTATATTGTATATAATATGTCAAATGTTGATGAGTACCATGAAGTAAAATAAAGCAGAGCTATGGGATAGACAGTGTAAGAGTGTGATAGGCAGAGTACTAAACCCCCAAAGATGTCCGTATACTAATCCCCAGAACCTGTGAATAAGTTAGGTTACATGGCAAAGGAGAATTAAATTTGCAGATGGAGTTAAGGTTGCAAATCAATTGACCTTAACATAGGGAGATTATTTTGGATTACCCAGGTGGGTCCACTGCAATCACAAGAGTCCTTAAAAGTGGAAAAGGGAGGCAGAGGAGTCAGTTAGGTAGGGGGAAATGTGACTATGGGAGAAAGGCACAAATAGGTGTAACACTGCTAACTTTGAAGATGGAGGAAGGGAAAACATGTGTCAAGGAAAAGGGGTGGCCTCTAGAAGCTTGAGAGAACAAATAAATGGATTCTGCCCTAGACCCTAGAGAAAGGAATGCAGTCCTCTGACATCTTCATTGTAGCTCAATATGATTCATGGCAGACTTCTGACCTCCAGGACTGTATGATGGTTAATTTATGTTGCTTTAAGCCAGTAAAGTTGTTCTAATTTGTTATGACAGTGATGTAACACTAATACAGAGAGTAACGAGATAGCATGTATTCTCAGAGGAAATAATATTTGAACAAACCTGAATGAAATATGAGAGTAGGCTTAGCAGATATCTGAGGAAAGATAATTCCAGGCATGGAGGACTGCAAGCGCAAAGACTTTGAGGCAAGAACATGCCTAGAATGTTCAAAGAGGTGGGTTTGGAGCAGAGGGAGTGAAGGAGAAAATTGGGAGAAGATAAGATGGGAACGGAAAAGGGTGAGGGAGAGTATATTATGCAGGTTCTTGTAGGGCATTTAAATGATTTTAACTTTTATTCTGAGATAAGGAACAATTGGAGGGATCTGAACAGGAGGATGAGACAATCTTATTTGTGTTTTAAAAGGATTGCCCTTACTTCTCTATTGTAGAATATAGATGAGCAAGAGTAGAAGCAGGGGTACCAGTCTGGATTTGCAACAAATGAGTAAATGCAGGACAGTGACAGTGAAATCAGAGTATAAGGGGTGGATGCCAGAGACTGTGGAAAGAAGAGTGACTAGGTTTTGGTTATGTGGCAGAGTGAATCATGGCTAAGTGGAAAGCATAAATACTACTCATGTTGTAGATATGGCTGTCCTGGGCAACAATAAGGCCATAAACAGAGCTCAGAAAGTGTTCAAGGGGAGGGGTTATTTTTAGCAGAAGACAGTTTGGGATTAGCCATGTGGAAACAGAGATGATGGGACTCCTGCAGTGAGATGTCCTCATAGGGTGAAGAAGGTAGGACTGGAGTTCAGGGGAGATCATGCCTAGAGGGAGAACTTTGACAATCATTCAAAGACATGTGATGGTGAAGCCATGGGAGATTGTCATATCCCTCAGTATAGGAAAGTGCAGAAAGAAGCAGGTATCTAAGGATGGAGAGCTGAGAGTTCTATGTGGCACTCAACTCTCTCCTTCACCACCAATTCTAGATCCATACTTAAAATCACAGAAAGTCAGAGCCTACAGGACCCTTTGAGACCACAATGAGTCCTCCTCCTTCGCCTTGACTTCACAGGGGAAAAACATGAAGCTTAGTGATGGAATAGAATGTGTTTAATGATACACAGTGAAGATCAGTGGCAGAGGTAGGACTAGAACCCAGACTACCTTTATTTACATCACACTGCCACTCGTGCTGCTACATCCTCTAATTATGCAGGTTCTAAGAAATTACCCTCAAAAATGCATTTGGGAGAGGCCATTTCTAGACTGGACAGAGTGGAGCTGCTTTGTCCTTACTGAGCCCTAGTTGCTCTCTCTGAAGTGAAAAGCTAATAGTATTAATCAGTCAACTAAAACAACCAAGAGTGTACTTGAAAATCAAGCTGGGATCCATTGGTTACATGCATGCATGCAGAATGGAAAACAAACAAAAAATAAACTATATGCCACCGCCCTTATTTTTGATTGAACAATAAGAAGCAGTGTTTTTTGAGCTCTGGTTTTTAAGGTGACAGAAAAAGAGGAAGTGAGACAGTTGTGGCTGTGAGTGGGTGGATGTGATACATAAACTGAAAAAATTTTGTCATTTTCCTACTTCCACCCACTCTACCTACTGACTTGGAGAGTTCAACAAACAACAGCCTAGGAAGATCCCTGGTAGGCTAAGCCTGCAAGCCTTTTTCCTGGTTCCTCTTAAATGGACTTTCAATTTAAATCCAATTAATTTCATCAAAAGACTCGAGTACTTACTGTGTATGTCAGGCTTGTGTTAGGGACCTTACAAAAATTTTCTCCTTCATTCCTTCATAGTAGCTTTATGAGAAAGGTACTAATTTATTCACATTTTACAAAGCGTGTAAGGCTCAAGGCCTGGGCTCCAAATTTAATTTGAAATGGAGCTGGGAATTGAACCTATACGGTTTAAGGATAGAGTCCATGTTCTGGCTACCACTATCCAATACTGACTCTTGTACTATGAGTTTTATCTCTGTAACTCTAGGCCCAGCCAAGGGACTCATATGTGTCAGGTTCCGTCTGTTAGGTATAACCAAATTGAATGTAGAAGGTACTATCCTAGGAGGTTAAACTAATATAAAACTACAAGGAAACAAAGATCCAAATTCCCCTCAGAGTCAGGAAAGGCTTTGAGGGGGTAGGTCATGGCATTTCCAGTATACTTTGAGGATTGGGTAGGTCTTTTTCCTTTTCCATTTTTTTTTTTTTGAGACAGAACCTCCCTCTTTTTCCCAGGCTGGAGTGCAGTGTCATGACCACCGCTCACTCCAGCCTCAAACTCCTAGGCTCAGCAATCCTCCTCCCTCAGCCTCCTGAGTACCTGGGACTATGCACACCATCAGTGTAGGTCTTTTATAGGAAGAATTAAGAGCAAATAAGGAGGTTGTTCCAAATGGAAGTTCAGGGTGAAGCAGGACGACTTTTGTACAGTTGAATAACTTCATTTTTAGCATCTCTAGCCTTGACTAGTTTGCTAGACTGCAGACCCCAGATGTGAGGCAGCTGTTTTCTTCAGGACAGGATTTGACCTATGCTATACCCAAATGCATGTAATACAAAAAATGTAATAACATTTCTGCTGTACTAATCTTATGTTTGCTTTCCCTAAGCACATACTATCTGGAGGATTTCAAGGCATCCATGCCCATATTAGTAGGTGGAAACAAATAAGCCAGCATTAAAAGTTCTCCAAAAAATAGGCAAATTAATCTAGAGTCATAAAGTAGGTTTATTGCTGCATGGGGTTAGGATAAATTTCTGCTTAGGGCCAGTGAAAAAATGGGAAGTGACTGCTAATGGGTATAAGATTTCTTTCTGGAGTTGTGAAAATATTCTAAAATTGATTATGGCAAAGGTTACACAGCTCTGTGAATATACTAAAAACCACTGAACTGTACACTTTAAGTGGGTAAAGTTTATGTTCTATAAATTATATCTCAATGAAGCTGTTGAAAAATTCATTACAGTTTTGGAAAAAGTTTTAATGGCTTGGGAAAAAGTTTAAGTAATAAACTTTTAAGTAATAAACTGTTAAGTAATAAAGCAGAATATGAAATTGTACATAAGCCATAATCCAAACTAGGTTAAAAGTATGACGAGCTTGCAGATAATGTTTAATTTTTTTCTTATAATTTTTTGTATTTTCAAATTTTTCTAATAATCATATATTTTCTTTAATAATTTATTTTTATAATTTTCTTCAAGTATGCATCAGATATATATTTTAATTGGTAGACCTAAAATAATTTTTCTTTTGTACTTTTTACTTTGTTCCATTTTCTGATTTTCTACAATTAAAATGTACAATTTTAATAATCAGACAAAACGAATGCATTTGAAAATACCATAAAATATCCATTATACATTATAGCATCTACAAATAAGTAAGAATAATTTAAGTCAACTAATGAAAGAATGAACACTCAGGAGACAATTTGCACCAGAAGTAATATGTTTGGCTAGTGAACACATAGAAATATGCTAAACCTCACTTATAATAGCCAAAGTATAAAAACAATTGATGCTGCCCATTTTTGTTGAAGGTGTAGGGAAAAAGACACTTTCATACAGGGATGGTTGGAGTTTAGACTGTTGCCACCACTCTAGAAAGTAATTTGATAATACCTATTAAGATAAAAAAATTTTACTGAGCAATTAAAGTTTTAGGATGTTATTCAACAGAAACATTTACACTAGTGTATGATGAAATACAAGATGTTTATTGCATCATCGATGGTAATATGGAAAACTTAGAAGCAACTTAAATGCCTATCAATAAAAGATCGCTTAAATAAATGTTAGTTCATCAATATACTGAAGAATACTACAAAGCTATTAAAAAGAATGGGGGTAGTTTTATATGTACACATACAGAAAGATGCCTACAACATATTATAGATGAAGAAAGTAAAATTTAAACAAGAATGTATGAGTCCATTTTTGTTGAAAAATATAGGTTAATATATGCATAGAAAAATTCTGTGAAGGGCAGACAACAAATTGTTTTCTGTGGGGTAGGTTTATGGGGGACTTTCAGTTTCAACAAAAAAGGAAAACTGAGTTTTAATCCTAGATTTTCTAATTACTAAGGCATGAGGCCTTATATAAGTTGGTTTCCATTTTCTCATATGTAATGGGGCTAAAATTTGTATGTATTTCATAAAGTTACCTTGAAGATAACTAATGTAACTAATAAATATCAGTTATTTAAAATGTAAGCAATAAATATCAGTTATTTTGCTTTATACTACAATTTTTAATAATTTTTACACATTGTTTCTAAAATCAGAAGAGAAGGTAAGAAGATTGACAATCCACGTTCAAATAATGGTTTGGTGACTTTGTCAGAGTAGCAAGTAAGATGAGCAGAAACTGTATTAAACCTCCCCATGAGGAACAGAATATCTGGTAACCTACAAAGGAGCTCCCCAGATAGGGAAAGCCTTAGATCTCTATTCTTAAAATTTACTGGAAACTGAAGCATTTTTACATGCATTATCCCAAATCTGTCAGTTATTATTACTCTATAGATAAAGCAGAGTCTCTGAAGTTAACTAACTTCCCCAAAGTCACACATCGTGGAACCATGAATCTTACCAGGTTCTGTGTGACTCCAAATTTGTGCTCTTTCATATTGCACAACACTGTCCAGATTAATTCAAGTGGAGAGTGAACTTTTTCTGGTACATCCCTTAGTCTCTTGCACAGCCATTGCCTTTCACACACCCAGACTGTTTCTTTGCTTTAGGGACTGGAAAGTGGAAGTGGAACCCCCTATGTTCTGTCCTGGGATATTTCCGGGGTGAGCCAAGAGTAGCTGTGTGTCCTGCTAGGTCATGGACTTTCACTGACCACAGAAGTTGAGAACCCTTGAGCAAACTAAATTCTTATATCTTACTGGTTTGGGAGCAAAGCAGAAGTGGCAAAAGCTGACAAAACCCAGCTGGAGCAGGAATGTTGAAATGGACACAAATAAACATACCCTGTGGACACAATCAATATAAATGTTCTAAATTTACTTCTGCTCCTATGCTTATACTTTCTGTTACCTTGTAGCTAATCTTGGAGGTACTAGATACTCTTCCCTTCTCTTTTGCCCCATCTTTCAGGTGCCTAATTGTGCTATTCTCCTCTTCATCTTCATAGTCAAATTTCTCATTGAGGGTCTGTGTAGCTCACAGCTGGACTACTACAAATGTCTTCTCTTGGGCCTACCTATCTCAAATTTATGTTTAAATGTGTCCCAAACACTCTATTTTGATTATCTTTTCTCAGTCCTCAAAATGCTTCATCAACTCCTCCTCATGATCTGGCTTTATTATCTGGGGACTTAAACCTGGACTTATGCAGTAGACGGGCAGATAAAAGTAGGAAACATAAATATAATTTACTTCTAATTTTTACTATCTGCTAGAATATAAGCTTTATGAGGTAGAGATTTTGTGTATTTCATTTACTGGTATGTTGCAAGTGCCTAGAAATAGGCTTGAAACCTTGGGAGCTCAACAAATATTTATTGAATGGGTGAATGTATAAACATTCTAAGATCTTGTAGTTAATTTTCTTCCTTTGTAGTACTCAAATAGGAGTCAAATCTGCCATGTAAAATTTAGAGGTCATATATTCCAAGGAATAAGACTCTACAAGTTTTCTTGAAAGCACTGTCCAATTTATAAAACTGCTCACTGCTAGGGAATGTATTCTTTTGTTCATGTTATTCATTTAGTTCCCACATGCCTACTCTGTGCCTGACCCTGAGCTGGCACTGGAAATACAAAAATGAGTACAAAACATTACTGCTTTCAGGAAACCCAAAATCCAGAGTAAAACACAGACACATGACAACTAACTAGAATTTTAGGCCACACATAGTAAGTGCCCTGTAATATATACTAAATAGTCCAGGGGTAGAAAGGAGAGAGATCACCTTCAATTTTGGAATCAGAAAAATCCCGCTGGGCGTGGTGGCTCACACCTGTAATCCTAGAAATTTGGAAGGCCTAGGCAGGCTGATTGCCTGAGCTCAGGAGTTCAAGACCAGCCTGGGCAACATGATGAAACCTCATCTCTACTAAAATACAAAAAAAAAAAAAAAAAAAAATTAGCCGGGCATGTTTGCATGTGCCTGTAGTCCTAGCTACTCTGGAGGCTGAACCTGGGAGGCAGAGGTTGCAGTGAGCCGAGATCGTGCCACTGCACTCCAGCCTGGGCAACAGAGCAAGACTCCAACTCAAAAAAAAAAAAAAAGCCTCCCAGTGTAGGTCATCTATCCATGGCAACTAAGCCCATTATAGTCTTAGCAGGTGCCAAATAAGGTGTTGTTTGGCATAGCTTCCAATATTACAGACTGCAAAGATATCCCCTTCCCCAAGTACTCCCTCCCCAAGTCCTTCTTCTCTGTAGTATATAATCCCAGTTCCATTAGCCTTATTTTACAGATCGTGGTCTCATGGCCCAGAACACTTTTTGAGAGTACTTACTAGGTTTTCTTCCTAAGTACTAACTATTCTAGTAAGCTGTTATAGTCAACCCCATGACTGCGGAGTTGGGAAATTCAAGCACTCACTGAGGGTGTGCTGACTTAGGTGGAAAAATGTCCTGAATAACCTAATAGTGAAATCAGCCCTTCACTCCCATGGAGCAACTAGGGTGGTGTAGCAATGTGTGTAACTGTGGAACAGAGAAGACATGTGGAAATAAACAAGACAGACTTACAAGGAGTCACCAAAGTGCCAGAGTTGCAGAGGTCACCACCATTTGCACATCGTTCATTGACTTGGTCACTGTCACCTAGATGAAGAGTGTTGACATTAAATATTAAATTTAATTAATATGATTCTTTGTAAGACTTTGTAAGACTGTTCCTGGCTGGCACTACTGAGGTTGTGCCAGCAGATCTAAACAGGCATGCAGATCTAAAGGCCGAGATACCTGGGGCAAACTGGCTTAATGGAACTGTACTGATGCTGAGCCATGTGAGGAGGTGCAAAGTGTCAAACAGTAGATGCTACCTTTTCAATATACATGAATCACTTAACTCAAATGCAGCTGCTGCTCATCTCCATTTTGGAAGCTATTCCAAGGAAAAATTCAGTTAATAGTATTTTCATCTGGCTGTCTTCCTTTGCTATAATCTCTTGAAGTGAGAGTTATATATCACTGATATGTAAAACATATATGTTACATATATATATGTGACATTTTCAAGAGCACTTCATTTTTCCAAAGGCCTGATAAACACTTTATATCTTTCTGGTACTTGGAAGAAATGTGTACTTCTCATGCTATGTTGGGCACATGTCCATGCTGCTGCTGGTTGATGGAGCTTTAAGGGTTGGTTTGGTTCCTACTACTTCAGGGTAGGTTCTCAAATTTATGGATCCAAGCAGTCACCATTATCAATTCTGATGGTGTCAAATTAATCAAAGGTGTAAAACAGTGTCTCTCAGTCTTGGCTACACTTTATTTTTTATTTTATTTTATTTTATTTTATTTTATTTTATTTTATTTTATTTTATTTTATTTTATTTTTTACCAACAGGAGATGCAGTTTATTTACAAAAGCAGCCATGGGGGCAGAGGGAATACATAGCATTTACAGAGTTAGCTACCTGTACAGAATGAATTACATATGCAAAAATAAAAGTCTCAAGATGACAGGACAGCGTAAGCTCCACTCCCCTCCCTCAATCACCCCAGCATGTGGTAATGCCAGGCCGGTGGCCCCTGAGTATGTGGGGGTGGGGGGGTGGGAGTGATGCCTGGAAGGAAAAGCCACTGGCCATGGAAATTAGCACATAATCATACCCCCAACCCCTCCCCCGCCCCCCCCCACACACACACTCAGACACATGATAGGATACAGACAAAGGGCAGATGACACCTAGCTGGGATGGGAAGGATAGGAATTGAAGTCTACACAGCCTGCTGTAAGAGGGAGGGGAGTGGGAAGCTCCTAGCCACTGTTCAACTACATGGTAAGGGGGAATTCTTTTTTCCGAAGGAAAAGGGTTTGTTCCCTCAGGGTCCCTGCTGGAGCAAGCCCATTTCTTACCCAGCCTAGGCAGGGGACTCTGCCCTGAGGGTGGGCCAAGAAACAATGGGGAAGTTTATGTGGACAAACCAGTTCCCAAACTACTTCCCACTTCTCCCTCCTCTAACCAGAAGGGGGAAAAAGAGGAAAGAGGAGAGAAAAGGGTGTATTATGGCCTGAGTTGCAGCTGCCTTTCAGAAGGGAGAGTAACCCATAGCCTTCCTCCCTTCACCTTCAGCCTACTCCCAAGACTGCATCTGGAAGGAGGCTGGAGGGCTGGTGAGATTCTCCTCTATCTCTGGCCTCCCTCGGAGGTAGAAGGCTATGGGGCCAAGAACAGAGGAGCCCAGGCCCCAGGATTTATTCTAACTTCCGCTAAAATCTGTTTTTTAAAAAATAATCACAATTTGTGGGTAAAAAACTGATTTGTAACCAGGCATCAGACACCATCAGAATCACCCTAGGGGGACAGTGGGGTTCCAAACAGGGCGCTGTAGCCCCATCTCTGTTGTTCCCTTAACCCTCTAGGATCCCTAACCTGATCAGTCCAACCAATCCTGGGTACTAACTACCCAAATGTAGGATGACTCCTCTTGGGAAGAGGGCAGGGGACATGTCCAGCAAGTGCCAGAGAACTTGGCTCAGGATCACCTCTACCCATGTCAGTCAGCTCTGCTCTCAGCCCAGGTTGTGGTCCTCCAGCTTGGCTCCTGGGAGTAGTGGTGCCCGCATAGAGGGGGGATGGAATATCTCTTCAGGATGTAGACAAGGCAGGTGGGCACACTGGCATTTGACAGTCCCACAGAAGGGCAATGATACCCCTTCCCCTCCACTGACAACCCAGAACACAGAGGCCACCCTCTCTTCCCACATAACTCCTAGCAAAGGGGGAAGAGGCACGAGATTAAGATTTCCCTCAGAGTCTCAAACCACAAGTACAGAATAAACAACTTAAAAGCACTAAGGAAGAGAAATGGGGGGCTTTCGAGGCAGGAGCACTGAGATAGGAAGACAAGCCAGTCAAGGTGAAGCGGGTTGGCAAGCAGCAGTTGGGGACTTGGGCTGCCCTGGTAGGGCAGTGGGGCAGGGTGGGTAGGAGGAACACAGGGCCACCCCAGGAGAGTGAGGCTGGGCCCCTTCCTGGGGCAGGGAATGAGGTAAGAAAACATTGCAAATAAAGCAACACAGTTCCCTCTCACCTTGGGGCAGCACTCCTCACCAGCCCTGGGTCAGGGAGGAGAGTCATGGGGAATAATTCTGACACAGCTCCCTCTTCATATCCTCTGTTTCCCATTCCTTGAAGCTGTAGAGGCTGGAGGCCCTTTCTTGACACCCAACAACAAAAGGACAGCTCCTGCTGCCAAGGAAGCCCATGGGGACTAAGGGGAAAGGGCTGTCCCTGTGAAGGGAGGGTAAGGTGGTGGCAATTCCGGATGCTCACCTCAGCAGAGAGTACTCTGTGCCTGCCCACCCCTGGGACTGGGGACATTTGATAGGACTCTTCTCACAGACAGGGCATGCCCATCCTTGCCCCTCAGCTCCAAGTACTGGATCCATTCACATTGCTGAGGGCAACGAGGGCAGGCCCCCTCCAGGCTCAGCTTCCAACCCACAGCCTCCCGGGCCACTACATTGCTCCTCAGCAGGGCTTAGTCCAGTTCCTATGGTGGGAGATAGGCAGTGCCCTGGCACAGTGCCCAGTTCAGGCCCCTGGCCTAGCTGGACATTCAGTAACTCACAGAATAAATAGAAAAACCGCCTCCCCACCACACTTATGTCCAAAGCATCATATGTCCAGGTCTGAGTCCTGCATGCCGAGGAGTTGTGCTCCATTGTAGAGGACCTTGACATCCCCCAGGGGCACATAATCAGATCCTCTGCCTGCCTGGCCCACCGAGTTTCCCAAGCCCCAACCCCCAGCAGCCATCCATTTGCCAGGCTATGGCACCTGGGTGGGGATCAGGAGAGAGGGCTCTGCTCAGCCAAAGGCTATCTCTTGCACTGAAGTCAGTTGATGTCATCATAGATGCTGGCCGTCGGGGGTATCGGTAGCTTTGGCTTCTTCCTGTTGGAGCCCAGGTCGGAGGAAGTCCCTACCAGGCTCAGATGGGATTTCTTTTTCTTGGTTTTCTGTGTCTCAGAGCTGTTGGTACCTAGACCCCATCCCTGATTTTCGCTCGTCTTGGGGGAGCCTGAATCACAGGGTGAGAGATCAGAGGAGCAGACCCACTGAAGCTGGCTGATCAGGGCCTGGCTGTCAGTCATGTCAAAGCTGTCATTATCCTGGGAGCTCTCCACCTCTGGATGGACAGCTGAGGCCCTGAAGAAATACATCTGCAAGGTTCACTTCTGCTCAACTGTGTGCTGTGGGCAGTGCAGGGACTTTGTGCACATCTTCTTGGTATCTTCAGAAATCATCCTACATTGCATGCTTAGCAGGATATGAAGCTCCTCTGGCCCCAGGTTTCGTAGCTGATCCCAGTTGAGTTGTTATACTTACAAAAAATCAAATCACAAAGTTCCCCATTTTTGTGTTTCAAAGACTCAGATCTTCGAGGGGAATCGGGGTTCTTGCCTGATTTTCTCTTCTTGGCTTTATTCTCTGAGCCATAGGACCAGTCATTGTCATTGATGTCATCATTATCCTCTTGGTCACTCTCAGACTTGCCCATATTGTTGCTATTGGCAATCCAGTGGATGGCGATTCGGCCGCTATTCCCACCCATTCCCAGGCACCTATCCAGATGGGGAGCAAAACGGGAGGCAGGAATGCTACAGTTGCAGTTGGGGCAAACACACTCTTTGCTCTTCCACTGGTTGAAAACCAATATCCTTCATGCTATTAGGGTCTGTGTCATCCAGAAAGAGGTAGCCACACATGACAGCCTGGTGTACCTCAAAGCAGAATCCCGAACAAGAATTCTAGACTAGGTCCGCTTATATCTCCCGAGCTATGGCCTCTAGTTTGCTGTTATTCAGGCCAGACAAAGACATTTCCTCCATTTTCTTTTGTAAACTCTTGTGGAGAGGGCGCTCTGACTGTTGATAGCACAGCAGGCGGGCGGGGGTGGGGGGTGAAGGAGGGATGGGGAGTGGGGAGAAGGAGAGGGGTGGTCAGGTAGCCTCTCAGGGAAGCATTCTCTGGGGGTGGCTGCTCAAGAACCCTATGTCCTTTGGTCCATTCTCACCTCTCCCTGGGGCCCGAGGCCCAGCTGGGGGTTTGGCCTCCTTTCTGCCTCACCACCTCACCGGGCAGCCATGGCCTCTTCCCCTCCCTTCTTATCCAATCACCGCCTCCTCCTCACCTACCCCGTCCCCGCACAGTCCTCTGGGCCATCTTGGCTACACTTTAGAGTCACCTGGAAAACTTTTAAAAGTTCAAATATCCAGATATTACCTCAGACAAATTAAATCAAAGTCTTTAGGAGTAGGTCCCGGACATCAGTATTCTTAGAGCTCTGTATTAGTCTGTTCTCATGCTGCTAACAAAGACCTACCTGAGACTGGGTACTTTATAAAGGAAACGGGTTTAATTAACTCACAGTTCCACATGGCTGGGGAGGCCTCACAATCATGGTGGAAGGCAAAGGAGAAGCAAAGGCACGTCTTACACAGCAGCAGGCAAGAGGGCATATGCAGGGGAATTCCCTTTTATAAAACCATCAGACCTCATGAGACTTATTCACTATCAGGAGGACAGTACAGACCTGCCCCCATGATTCAATTACCTCCCACAACGCTTGGGGATTATTACAATTCGAGGTGAGATTTGGGTGGGGACACAGAGCCAAACCATATCAAGCCCGCCATCTGATTTCAATGTGCAGCCAAGGTTAAGAACCACCTAGATGCCATTTGAGTTACTGTGATGAGAGATATAACTAGCAACATTTGCAGAAATTACCATTTCTTCTTCCTTTCCACTTGTTGGTATGGGCATACGTAATATTATTCTGGGAAATCAAACTTAAATACTATCCTTGATGAGTGTGTGATCAAATGTAGGGTCAGGGACTCGCCAGGCATAGGAAGAATTCTTATGATTTGAAACAGTGCCTAAATGGGATAAAGGGTAAGGAGAGAGCCTGAAATTAGATAACAGATACAAAATACCCTCCCACCCCAGCAGGCCCTATTATTTGGACGTAATACTATCCAGTATTCAAAGGGAAACCATCATATTACTTGATTCTTTGATAAGTTTCCTACCCTATGAATTCCTTCTGTTATTTATTTTTTTAATGGGAACCAATGTTACCTAAAGTTTTATTTTAATAAATTTAATGTTATAGGCAACTTTGTTGGAATCTATACATCTCATAAAACAAGCAATAAATATATTTATTAGGCTAAGATAAAAAAACATTAGAATGGGAAATGTCTGGCAATATTCCGATTGAGTTGTCACTTTTGCAGGTCAGCACAGCAGTGTGGAACAAATATGTATATATATTTAAAGAAAGAAATTAGTATTGGAAGACTGGAAAAAATATGAAATTGTTAATAGAATTTCAGTTATACAAACAAAGGTAGACTGTTTTGTCTAGCCTGCACATGGCTTCCAAAATAAAATAGGTTCAGGCTCTCCAAAAGGATAGGTTCAGGCTCTCTAGAAGAAGTACAATAGACTCTTGCTTTATTTCAGGCACTTGCCTTAGGCATATTTCTTGGTTCTAAGTGGAATAATCCAAAATGAGCATCTGTCTTAGAAATTTCATTGATGGAGAGGCATTTCTTTGTCTCAAGATTTTGTAGTTGGCTGGGCATGGTGGCTCACGCCTGTAATCCCAGCACTTTGGGAGGCCGAAGTGGGCAGATCACCTGGGATCAGGAGTTTGAGACCAGCCTGGCAAACATGGTGAAACCCTGTCTCTACTAAGAATACAAAAATTAGCCATGCATGGTGGCATGTGCCTGTAATCCCAGCTACCCAGGAGGCTGAGGCAGGAGACTCCTGGGAGGCAGAGGCTGCAGCAAGCCGAGATCACGCCACTGCACTCTAGCCTGGGTGACAGAGCAAGACTCGGTCTCAAAAAAAAAAAAAAAAAAAAAAAATTGGTAGTTTTATCCAACCACTATGAAATGTTTCCCTCTACTCAACAGATAGTTGATTGATCATTTATCCATTTTTTCATTCAATAAACATATATTGAGGGACTGACTACTATGTTCTAGGCACTGATGATACAAAAGTAGAAAAGGGAACACGACAAAATACTTGCTCTTTGAACTTACAGTCTGGTTAAGAACTGACAATGAATAAGTAAATCTCCTTTTTCACCTTTTCTCTTTGCACTTAAAACAATTATATATTTGTGTTGACTCCTTTTAGAGACTAAAATTCATGAGGTATGGGACCCTGTTATGTTCACCACTATATTTCCAGTTCTTGGTGCAGAGTAGGCACTCAACAAATATTTGTTAAATGAAAGAACTCAGAGCAATAGAAAAGCAAATGGTGGTTTGTTACATTTTGAGTTCTTGAGTTTTACTACTTTCTTCATTGTACTCTGTCTTGGACAATAGCTCAACAGTCAAGCAGTCAGCAAAGACTAATTTTTGCCTAAAGAGCTTGTGTCTTGGAAAAGGCATGGAGATCTTCCTCCATTGTTCTAAAATCACATCTACCAGTACTCATTTCTGAAGGGCAGTGCCATGAGCACAGGCAAAGTAAAATGAGCTAAAGCATTTGTTTGAAAGCTTTCCATTTTATGAGATGAATTCTTTCATAATTCTGAATTATAGGGGCAGCTGTTAGTAGCTTCCTAGTCTTCACTAAGAAAGTTGGTTAATAATATATTTTATTTATACTTTTCAGAATGTACATAGTGTTTCTAATTTGGGGGAAGTTACAGCCCACTGCATAACTGAGTTTTTGTCCAATGGATTATTTTACCTTTTCTCAGACATATGCCCAGATAAGAACGTCCATGAAAGACGTTGGTACTTGCTTGGCTTAGGAGAAGGGACCATGGCTCTTCAGGGGAGAAGAGAAGCAAGGCCTACATTATTGAAACTTACTTAGTGATCTGGCACCAGGACGATTTACCCAGATTACTTTGTGGTGGTCATACCATTCAGCACCGTGATTGCTTTTTCTTCTATAGGCTGTCTAAAGCAATGTAGTGATAGGATTTGGAAAAAAATATTTCCCAAACAAGGAAAAGCCAAGGTTTAATATTCACTTGGTAAACATTAAGACTCCTCAGTCATTTGGTTTGAGGCTAGTAGCAAATTATGCTGATTATTTCATTACCTTTTTAGTATGGGCTGTGGGCCCTAGGAAAACACAGAACATTTGGTAGACTTATAAATGTTTGATTCTTAAAGCTATCCAAACTACAGTCTGATTATTTATATAGCATGGCAGTTTGATATCATTTTACTCCTCAGATCTTCTTGACTGCTTTCTACTGATACAGATCTAACTAACTGTCCCAAGAAACCCTGGAATGATGTAACTCATTTGCTATATCAAGTCCTCCTGAACTATGGACTTAGAGATACCACCTTAGTTGGCCTAATTCATCCACCTCTTTGATCCTATTTGTAGCTCCTGCTCCAGCTATGCTATTCTCACCTTTAGTGCTTTCTCTGTTATGTCTTTAAAACTCTCCACAGCCTTTAAAGGCTAAGTTTAATGTCTACTTCTCTGGTTATCATAGAACTACCTATAAATCCAGATCACTTTTGCTCATGCTACTTTGTGATACATATGACTCTGTGATGTTTTTACCATAAAACCACAGGGCACTCAGTCTAGGAGATTTTTTCTGAAGTGCAAAAAATAATTAAAACACAAGTTCATACATATGTCTGTTTTACAGTCTCTATACCTACATGAACATGTGATCTAGAAGCTGTATTCCTTTTTTTTCACAGGGTCCAGTCTATCCAAAAGAAGAGGACCCTATGAAATGCATGCTAAGTTCTTTGTTAACTTTATGTAACATGTTGAAGCAACACTGTAGTGACAACATAGTTCTTTCAATTTTTGAAGTATGCTAGGTTCATTCCTGCATATCAAAAGCTCAGTCCTGGGTAAATTGAAGCCTGGACTTTCTTGAGAATTTTAAACATTGTGTAAACATTATATTTAAGTGAATGTGTTTTTTATAAGATATACTGACTGAAAGCAATGACAAAATCCTTCCTTTCCTTTGAAGTTTATTGGAGAGGCTATGGAAGCACATGTAGAACTTCGTGAAATAAAAGGAGAATAAAATGAGTAAACATGTAAGGGGAGTTTAGCAGGTGGAAGTAAAAGAGTGGGGAAGCAGTACAAACTGATCTCTTTGAAAACAGCTTGAAGTTTTGTATTCATTTTATGTTATTTAATTTTAATTCTTATCTTTTAAAGTTTTTTTTCCATAAGTTATTGGGGTACAGGTGGTATTTGGTTACATGAGTAAGTTCTTTAGTGGTGATTTGTGAGATTTTGGTGCACCCATCACCTGAGCAGTATACATTGATCATGGTGGATTATCTTTTGGATATGTTGCTGGATTCGGTCAGCTAGTATTTTGTTAAGGATTTTAGCATCTATGTTCATCAAGAATATCGGTCTGTAGTTTTCTTTTTTGGTTATGTCCCTTCCTGGTTTTGGTATTAGGGTGATGCTGGCTTCATAGAACGAATTAAGGAGAGTTCCTTCTTTCTCTATCTTGTGAAATAGTGTCAAAAGATTTGGTACCAATTATTTGAATGTCTGGTAGAATTCTGCTGTGAGTCTGTCTGGTCCTGGATTTCTGTTTGTTGGTAATTTTTAAATTACCATTTCAATCTCTTTGCTTGTTATTGGTCTGTTCAGGGTATCTAATTCTTCCTGATTTAAGGTAGTATGGTTGTATTTTTACAGGAATTTATCCACCTGTTCTGAGTTTTCTAGTTTATGTGCATAAAGGTGTTCATAGTAGCCTTGAACAATCTTTTGTATTGTCAGCTGTAATATCTCCTGTTTCGTTTCTTAATGAGGTTATTTGGATTTTCTCTCTACTTTTCTTGGTTAATCTTGCTAATGGTCTATCAATTTTATTTATCTTTTCAAAGAACCAGCTTTTTTGTTTCATTTATCTTTTGTATTTTTTTTTGTTTCAATTTCCTTTAGTTCAGCTCTGAACTTGCTTATTTCCTTTCTTCTGCTGGGTTTGGGTTTGGTTTGTTCTTGTTTCTCTAGTTCCTTGAGGTGTGACCTTAGAATGTCAGTTTGTGCTCTTTTGGTCTTTTTGATACAGGCATTTAGGGCGATAAACTTTCCTCTTAGCACCAACTTTGATGTATCCCAGAAATTTTGATAGGTTGTGTCATTATTGTCATTCAGCTTGAAGAATTTTTTAATTTTCATCTTCATTTCGTCTTTGAACCAATGCTCATTCAGGATCAGATTATTTAATTTCCATAGTTTTGAAGGTTCCTTTTGGAGTTGATTTGCAGTTTTATTCCACTGTGATCTGAGAGACTGCTTGATATAATTTGAATTTTCTTAAATTTATTAAGCCTTGTTTTATGGCCTATCATATGGTCTATCTTGGAGAAAGTTCCATGCACTGTTGAATAGAATGTGTAATCTGTGGTTGTTGAATGAAATGTTCTGTATATATCTGTTAATTCTATTTGTTCCAAGGTATAGTTTAAATCCATTGTTTCTTTGTTGACTTTCTGTCTTGATGACCTGTTTAGTGCTGTCAGTGCAGTATTAAAGTCCCCCACCATTATGGTGTTGCTATCTATCTCATTTCTTAGGTCTATTAGTAATTGTTTCATAAATTTGGGAGCTCCAGTGTTAGGTGCATAGATGTTTAGGATTGTGGTATTTTTTCTTTTGGTCAAGGCCTTTTATCATTATACAATGTCTCTCTTTGTCTCTCTTAACTGCTGTTACTTAAAAGTTTGTTTTGTCTGATATAAGAATAGCTACCCCTGCTCACTTTTGGTGCCCATTTTCATGAAATGCCTTTTTCCACCCCTTTATTTTAAGTTTATGTGAGTCCTTATGTGTTAGGTGTGTCTCTAGAAGCCAGCAAATAGTTGGCTGGTGAGTTCTTATCCATTCAGCAGTTCTGTATTTTTTTAAGTGGATCATTTAGGCCATTTACATTCAATGTTAGTATTGAGATGCAAGGTACCATTGCATTCATCATGCTATTTGTTGCCTGTGTACTTTGGTTTTTTGTTCATTGTTTTTGCTTTTTAACTTGTATTTTTGCTTAATAGGTCTTATGTGATTTATGCTTTAAAGAGGTTCTGTTTTGATGTGTTTCCAAGATTGGTTTGAAGATTTAGAGCTCCTTTTAGCAGCTCTTGTAGTGGTGGCTTGGTAGTGGCAAATTCTCTCAGCATTTGTTTGTCTGAAAAAGGCTGTATCTTTCCTTCATATATGATGCTTAGTTTCACTGTGTACAAAATTCTTGGCTGATAATTGTTTTGTTTGAGGAGGCTGAAGACAGGGTCCCAATCCCTTCTAGCTTGTAGAAATCTGCTGTTAATCTGATAGGTTTTCCTTCACAAGTTACCTGGTGCTTCTGTCTCACAGCTCTTAAGATTCTTTCCTTCTTTGTCTTAACTTTAGCTAACCTGATGACAATGTGCCTAGGTGATGATATTTTTGCAATGAATTTTCCAGGTGTTCTTTGTGCTTCTTGTTTTTGGATGTCTAGGTCTCTAGCAAGGCCAGGGAATCTTTCCTCAATTATTCTCCCAAATATGTTTTCCAAGCTTTTAGAATTCTCTTCTTCCTCAGGAACACTGAGCATTCTTAGTTTTGATTGTTTAGCAAAATCCCAGACTTTTTGGAGGCTTTGTTCATATTTTCTTATTCTTTTTTCTTTGTCTTTGTTGGATTGTGTTAATTTGAAGACCTTGTCTTCGAACTCTGAATTCCTTTCTTCTAGTTGTACAATTCTATTGCTGAGACTTTCCAGACCATTTTGCATTTCTGTTAGTGTGTTCAATGTTTTCTGAATTTTTTGTTTTTCTTTAAGCTGTCTATTTCCTTGAACATTTCTCCCTTTAATTCTTGTGCTATTTTTTTTGTATTTCCTTGCATTGGGCTTTGCCTTTCTCTGCTGCCTCTCTGATTAGCCTAATAACTAACCTCCCGAATTTTTTTTTTCTGGTAAATCAGGGATTTCTTCTTGGTTTGGATCCATTGCTGGTAAACTAGTGTGATTTTTTGGGGGGTGTTGAAGAGTCTTGTTTTGTCATATTACCAGAGTTGGTTTTCTGGTTCCTTCTCATTTGGGTAGGCTTTGTCAGAGGGAAGGTCTAGGGCTTAAGGCTGTTGTTCAGATTCTTTTGTTCCATGGAGTGTGTTTTTGATGTAGTACTCTCCCCCTTTTCCTATGGATGTGGCTTTCTGTGAGCCAAACTACAGTGATTGTTGTCTGTCTTCTGGGTCTTTCAACCCAGCAAGTCTACCTGGCTCTGGGCTGGTACTGGGGGTTGTCTGCATAGAGTCCTGTGATGTGAACCATCTATGGGTCTCTCAGCCATGGATACCAGTGCCTGCTCTGGTGGAGGTGGCAGGGGGGTGCAATGGACTCCATGAACGTTCTTAGGTTTGGTGGTTTAATGCTCTATTATTGTGCTGGTTGTCCTTCAGCCGGGAGGTGGCACTTTCCAGAGAGCATCAGCAAGGGAACCAGCCTCGAGGGGGGAGCCTAGAATTCCGAAGATTATATGCCCTTTGTCTTTAGCTACCAGGGTGTGTAGGGAAAGACGATTAGATGGGGGCAGGGTTAGGCACTTCTGAGCTCAGACTCTCCTTGGGCTGGTCTTACTGTGGCCCTGTGGGCGATGGGGATGAGGCTCCCAGGTCAATGGAGTTGTGTACATAGGAGGATTATGGCTGCTTCTGCTGACTCATGCAAGTTGACACAGAAGTGGGGGAAAGCTCATAGTCACAGTCCTCACCCAGCTCCCATGCAAACCAAAGGGCTGGTCTCACTCCCACCGTGCCCCCTCTAGCAACCCCAAGTCTGTTTCCAGGCGGTGGGTGAGCCAGGCACTTGCCCCAGGCTACCCACCTCCCAGCTACAAAAGAAAAGGGCTTGGTTCTTCCTCCACCTGTGGAGTCTGCACACCGGATTCACACCCTTCCCTGAGTTCTGGCCAGGAGGTTTCTCGCCCTATCCAAATTGTTATGAAGTTCAGCTGGAGATTTCCTTCTCCTTGTGGTGTTTTCCTCACCATCTGGTCCCGCTCCTCTGGCCACCCTCCCGATGGATCCCTGTGGTCCCAGGCAGGAATGGCCTGCTTGGGGACCCAGCAAGCTCCCAGAGCCTTTGTGCTGCTTCCTCTACCCCTGTATTTTGCTTGGATCTCTAAATTGACTCAGCTCCAGGTAAGGTCAGAAACTTCTTTCGAAAACAGACATTCCATTTCTCCAGGGGTGTGTGTTTGGGAGAGGAGGTTCCCCCTTTCCCACTTCTGCCTTTGGGGGACTCACAATATTTGGGGTGTCTCCCAGGTCCTGCAGGAACAGTCTGCTTCCTTCAGCAGATCTGTGGCTCCTTTGGGATTGCTGTTTTATTCTTTCAGTCAATCTGGAGCTAAAATTCACAATGCGAGCCTTTGCACACTGCTCTGTCCGTCAGAGTCTGAACTGCAATCTAGTCCTTCCTCCCATCTGCCATGATGATCTATACCTTGTATTCATTTTCAAAACTTAAAATCTTGCACATTTGCAAGTATTCCCTATACTAAATAAGTGTATTCTATGATGTTCAAACAATGACAAAATAGCTTAACAATGGATTTCTCAGAATGTATCCCTGTTGTTAAGTGACACGTGACTATTAACAAAAAACTTTCTTTCCTTCCTTCCTTCATTCTTTCTTTCCTTCTCTTTCTTTCTTTCTTTCTTTCCTTTCTTTTCTTTCTTTCTTTTTTGCTTTTTGTTTTTTTTGAGGTAGGCGTCTTCTTATGTTGCCCAGGTTCCTCTTGAGCTCCTGGACTCAAGTGATCCTCCTGCTTCAGCCTCTTAAGTAGCTTGGATTGCAAGTGTGAGCCACTACTGCTTTCCAAAAACAGATCTAACTGTCCCAAGAAACCTTGGAATGATATAGCTCATTTGCTAGAAGCAAAATCAAGCTACATGGATTTGCCAATTATTTAGAAAACTGCTATAACATATGGTATTTAACAGAAATTTTGGTTCTAGACTCAAATAAGGTATTGGAAGAATGTTGATTTAAAACGTTTTTTAAATCCCCTCCAACTTTGAGGTATTCCTAACCTTCTATATATGGTCTGAATTTCATCCCAGCCATGAAAACTTGTTGTGGTACCAGGAGGTAACAATTTTAACTACAATTTTTAAAGTACAGAGGTTAAGAAATGGAGGGAAATACATTAGACACTCAAAGATAGTTGAGTCCTGTGTATTTTCCAGAAGGAAGCTGGATTGGGAGGAGGATCTAAAAATAAATTCAAACAGATGGGTCAATTTTAGTAGACTCCTCAATAAAGTTGGCAAGAGGGTTGAGAAAGAGCAAAGGGAATAGCTGGTTTCTGTGGCTAATTGGGGCTTGAAGCTTTCAATAGGATTTGCAACACCTAGTGTTGAAAATGTTATTGAATCTGTAAATTACCTTGGGCAAAGCTACCAATGACTTTCTTCACAGAATTGGAAAAAACTACTTTAAAGTTCATATGGAACCAAAAAAGAGCCCGCATCGCCAAGTCAATCCTAAGCCAAAAGAACAAAGCTGGAGTCATCACACTACCTGACTTCAAACTACACTACAAGGCTACAGTAACCAAAACAGCATGGTACTGGTACCAAAACAGAGATATAGATCAATGGAACAGCACAGAGCCCTCAGAAATAACGCCGCATACCTACAACTATCTGATCTTTGACAAACCTGACAAAAACAAGCAATGGGGAAAGGATTCCCTATTTAATAAATGGTGCTGGGAAAACTGGCTAGCCAGATGTAGAAAGCTGAAAATGGATCCCTTCCTTACACCTTATACAAAAATCAATTCAAGATGGATTAAAGATTTAAACGTTAGACCTAAAACCATAAAAACCCTAGAAGAAAACCTAGGCATTACCATTCAGGACATAGGCGTGGGCAAGGACTTCATGTCCAAAACACCAAAAGCAATGGCAACAAAAGCCAAAATTGACAAATGGGATCTAATTAAACTCAAGAGCTTCTGCACAGCAAAAGAAACTACCATCAGAGTGAACAGGCAACCTACAAAGTGGGAGAAAATTTTCGCAACCCACTCATCTGACAAAGAGCTAATATCCAGAATCTACAATGAACTCAAACAAATTTACAAGAAAAAAACAAACAACCCCATCAAAAAGTGGGCGAAGGACATGAACAGACACTTCTCAAAAGAAGACATTTATGCAGCCAAAAAATACATGAAAAAATGCTCATCATCACTGGCCATCAGAGAAATGCAAATCAAAACCACTATGAGATATCATCTCACACCAGTTAGAATGGCAATCATTAAAAAGTCAGGAAACAACAGGTGCTGGAGAGGATGTGGAGAAATAGGAACACTTTTACACTGTTGGTGGGACTGTAAACTAGTTCAACCATTGTGGAAGTCAGTGTGGCGATTCCTCAGGGATCTAGAACTAGAAATACCATTTGACCCAGCCATCCCATTACTGGGTATATACCCAAATGACTATAAATCATGCTGCTATAAAGACACATGCACACGTATGTTTATTGCGGCATTATTCACAATAGCAAAGACTTGGAACCAACCCAAATGTCCAACAATGATAGACTGGATTAAGAAAATGTGGCACATATACACCATGGAATACTATGCAGCCATAAAAAATGATGAGTTCATGTCCTTTGTAGGGACATGGATGAAATTGGAAACCATCACTCTCAGTAAACTATCACAAGAACAAAAAACCAAACACCGCATATTCTCACTCATGGGTGGGAATTGAACAATGAGATCACATGGACACAGGAAGGGGAATATCACACTCTGGGGACTGTGGTGGGGTGGGGGGAGGGGGGAGGGATAGCATTGGGAGATATACCTAATGCTAGATGATGAGTTAGTGGGTGCAGCACACCAGCATGGCACATGTATACATATGTAACTAACCTGCACAATGTGCACATGTACCCTAAAACTTAAAGTATAATAAAAAAAAAAAAAGAAAATGTTAGGTGACCATGATTATACAGGCCTAAATGTTTGGCAAGAAATATTTAGGCCTGTATAATCATGGTCACCTAAATCTGATGAGACATCTTATGGGTTCTTCAGATCATCCAAAAGAAGGTCATTAGAGTTTCAAAGTTTTTATCCAGAGTTTCTTATTAGCACCTCATCTAACAGGGAAGGCAGGAGAGTTTTCATGTTTTGTACCATCTGCTTGTCTGTGGAGGCAGTGTTGTGTTATACATGATGTGGAAGGACAGGGAATAAGACAAAGTATAATTCACAAGTCTTACACTGTTAAATACATCACAGCATTATGGAGGAATGTCTTTTTAAAACCTTATTTTACTTTCTTTTTTCCCCAAGTATGTCAGAGGCTAATACATTTTTTGAAAAATAATAATTGTACATATTTGTGGGGTACATAGTGATGTTTTGATACATATAATGTATTGTGATCAGATCAGGGTAATTAGCATATCTATCATCTCAAACATTTATCATTTATTTGTGTTGGGAAAGTTCAAGATCCTCCTTCTAGCTATTTGAAACTAAACAATGTGTTATTGTTAACTGTAGTCATCCTACAGTGGTATAGAACACTAGAACTTATTCCTCCTATCTAGCTACCTTGTATCCCTTACAAAATCTCTCCCTATCTGGAAGGACATTTTAACTATGAATAATGCACTCTTGCCTCTGGTCTTAGATGCTACTATCAGCCTTCCTTAATATATCTACTATTTCAACTCTTTTGATGCTTCTATAGGAGAAGAATAAAGATCTGTGATATAGTTATGTCAAAATCTTGTTTTGGATTTAGGAATAGCATTAACATCTTAGAATATAGATCTTTGCAGGATGCACTTCTTATAAAAATCTAAAGCTGACTGTGGAGGACTAGGCTTAGTAAATAACAAAGGAACTATTTTCTGAGACAGAACTTCTTTGGATGTCATGTGAAAAACCCAACATCATTTTACAGTACATCTGTTTGATTATTTTATTTTTCTAATTTTTGTCTTAAAATCAGAGACATGATAATATGTTATCTTTTAAGTTTATATAGTAGTTTTCAGGCCTTTTCATATTCTACTTTACTTAATATTCACAAAAGCTCACAAAGCAAGAAAAGCAGTTAGTATTATCATTGGTTTACACAAGAGTAGATTTGGGTTCAGATAGTTTAGTGACTTGCCCAGGGTCATCTGGATAGTAAACCATGCAGTTGGGACTAAGACATAAGTCTTCTGATTCCTCCACAAGTATGCTTTTGTACCTCTTTTTCCTTTGGCTTCAAGTGGAGTTTTCTCTCCTTCATTTTTCTTTAAACTTAGACTCTAGATAGGAAGAGAAAACACTGATGTCTTTTTCAGCCAATCATTCTTAGAGATTAAGTTAAACACTTTAGGTAAAAAAAAAAACGTATATCTTGAAAGATTAACAAAATTGAGAAAAGGATGTTTATACTTTTTAAAATTTTGTACAGGCTGTAGCTGTCTTTGCTAACTGATCTTTAGACAAGAGGCAGAAAATCAATTAATAGTACAGCGAGAGCCAACTTTACAATATGGATCCAGTTGTCATTTAGCTTGAACTAATATTGACCAATATTTTCTTCCAAGACTGAAGCAAATGTAGTAAATATTGGATTTAAACACAAGTGTTTGAATCTGAATGATGTGACTCATCAAACATGCCTAGTCTGTCTGGCAGAAAGAAAAGAACACTTCTTTCAAGTCATCTTGGCTAAACAATTTAACAAGAATCAATGCCTATCAGGGTCTAGTCCCATTACTTATTGGTCAATGACAAAAAAAAAAAAAAGATTCCATCTGGAGATCTTTTATAACCGGAGAAAACAGTTGTGGGGAAGTAGAAGGGTTTTATTCTTTGTCTTAAAATAGCAACACCAATAATAATACCTCACTAAGCTAAGAAAGAGATTTGTAAGAACAGTATTAAAGACAATTATCTGCTATGAATTAGAGTGCCTTTCTATTTCAGGAGGTGGAGGAAGAGCTTAATAAAGACAGTTTTACAAAGCAGATGCCCTATTCTTTTTGATACTCTTACAATTTCCAGTCATAATTATGGCTATTTACTATCTGACTCAGTCCAGTCAGAATGCATGATTTCTTCATATGGCTAAAATTTGGTTACCTATCCAATATTTAGACAGTAGTACATTTAATGTTTAGACACTTATCCATGTCACAGTCTAAAATGTAAAGATTCTCCATTTATCAAATATTTTCATTTAAATGTAACCCATAGCCATAAAATTATGGTATGAAAAGATGGTAAAAATTATGGTATATAAAGATACCCTAGGATATAAAGTAATATTAGAGAAAATCAAGCAGATGAATAATGTGGTAATGCTAATGATTAATCCATTCATATTTTTTTTGACTGACAAGTCCCTTAAAATATTTCCTTAAGTACTCTCTACAGTCTCCTTGGCCACATGTTTTAAGAAAGTTCTCTTATTCAACACAGTAACTAAAGTAAAAGCCCAGTGAATCAGACATATATTCCAGTTTGTGATCTTATAGTCAGAGATAGAATAAGATTCATCTTTGTATAGTTTATAAAGAAAGCAACTGCCAAAAAAAACAACAGTTTACTTAAGAGAAGAATATTTTAACTACTTCATCAGTAGCCATTTGCAAATGTGTGAACAAAGAATTTCTACTTCACCAAACAGGTCTCTGACATATCTTGTATGCATAGCAAAACAATTAAATATTGAAAAAAATTTTTACTAATTGAGACGACTTTAATTGGTCAATCTTAAGGCAGAGGAGAAAAAGCATGAGTAAAGCAATAAGAAGATATGGATGGCATACCATAAGTCATCTGACTTCATTCACTTAACTGAAAAGTTATCCGACGAATAACCTGCCATTACCTCAATCTTCATTGTACAGGTACAATACAGGGCCTTACAACTAGGTGATATATAAAAAAGCAATAAAGAAAAGTAGAAAAATGGATCTTACACATCTATTTCTGTCATGACATTCATATTGAGTAAAGTTTCAGCTTCCTTTGTCATCAAACTTGGAAGTTCAGAACTGACTGGCTAAAAAGAAAAAAAAAGAGAAAGAATTATAAACAAAATCCTCTAAATACCACAACTTAAATTCTAAGCCTTAGGTTACTTAGGGAGAAAAGGCTTTGTACACAATATTGAGGGATAATACAACAAGAAGAGGAACTTTGGATACATGAAGAACTATTAGCAAAAGCATTACAATTCTACACAATGGCTCATTTCATTTTGGCAAATTTTAAGTGGAGCAAAGGAAAACGCCACATAACAAATAAATTGTGATATTACTATGGGAAAGAGGGATATAATAACTTCTTCCATTTTAGTTCAGAAAGCCAAGACAGAGACACCATATACACGAAATCAGTAGAAAAGCTGAGGTAAGAATTCAAGTATTCTTGAATTCCAGGATGAATAATATCCTCAGTGTCAGTGGTCATATACCATTCTTCTTTTGGAGTAATACACACAAGTACAGTAAAGTCTCAGAAATAAGCTTACCTCACTGACATGGTAAGAATCATAATTCACTTTCTTCCTAGACAGCAATGACTAGCTCTGCCAGATTAGCTTCCAATACAGAGCCTGTGCATCTCATCCTGTAAATGAAAAGCAAAGGGGTGGGAAATCAACAAGCACTGCTGCCAGCAGGATGAAGGTGAATTGAAAAAATGGTAATCTAGCAGCCAGGAGACAATCTTTGAAAAAATACCACAGACAATACATTTCTTAGATTATGGCAGGTCCTTGACCAAGAAAACACAAACCATATAGTATTTTCCAGTTATAGATATTTCACTTCCAGACTATAAAGCTTACTGCTATTCAGAAGATTTCAGTATGTAATTAACTTGTTATAGTTTAGCCAGAGTGGACCACAGTCGAGTAAAATACCAGAGTTTTCAAATTGAAGAGGTCCAGAAAAGAAGGATAAAGGCAAAACCAGATTACTCTGTTCCCTAGGAATCCTGAATAGGAAGCACTCTTCAACCTGGGAAAACTTTCAGCCCACAAGATGCCTTTTTGCCTATGTGGTGCCAGGTAAAGATGATAAATCACTTCACTGTCCCTAATCAGAAATGAAATGTGAGATATTGCAACAACGTAACTGGCTAGTCCAAATGACCTCTAGGGTCCTTCTATCTATGAGATTCTGTATATATGCAACCTAGGCTTTGAAATGACTGTATTCCTCCTAGTGAACAGCACTCAGTCTGAATCTCATCAGTAGATGAGAGCCACAAGACTTGGGGAGTGGGACCTACATCAATTGTCAGAGTGTAAAAAATTTGCATATTTTTACCTTACCCCATGATATAGATCTTGACTTCATTTTATAGTGCCATTCATTATTAAAAGGAGGTGCTGTGAGGACCATTTATGGTATTATTATCAACTATTATTTAACCTGATTTAAAGAGCTCAAAATGCCAGTAAATTCTAATAGGTCAGGAGCCTTTGGTCTTCCCTGTAGCTTTCTCAGTCTAGTAGAACTTGAACTCAGCTTTGATGGCCAACTAATAATCATCCCAAACTAGTTGCCTTCTGAGGCAACTCAGTGCCCTGAAGAGTGACGATTATTTTGCTGCTTAAAGTAGTACATTTTGGCACAGGTTCGAGGGGCTGGTCCACACTTAAGTTTGACATTAGGCTAAGGAAGCTCACATGGCCCCCTTTTGGGTGTGTTTGTTTGTTTGTTTGTTTGTTTGTTTCTCTCTCTCTCTTTTGAACTTGAAAGATCATATTTATTTGGAGAAAACAAAAAACCCACAACACAAAAGATGGGATTTTACATCTCAAGGCATCTCCCAGGTAATAAGTCTACAGATTACAAATTATTTTCATAGAAGATATTTTTCTACAAATTTTGCATGTATTCAGGAGCAGGCCATTAATTAATTCCCATTTCTTTTTTAACAGGGAGGCAAGGTAGAGGAGAGGGAAAAAGTTTTGGATACAACTATTTGGAAGGAGAGTAGACATGAAGATGGCAAATTCTAGCTTTTCATTACCTAAAATCAATGTTTTTTTTCTTTTAAAAACCTTCCAATCTTCAGTATATCTTTAAAAGCCCACTTCTTAGCTACTAGCCAATCCACACCAATTATTTAAATTCACTTGGTAGACACCTTTGTGTGCTGGCTAAATTATATTCATTATGCCCACTGCTGAAGCATGCATAAACCAACACCCCTGCATGGCTGAACAGGGCCTAATCTAGGACTGATGGGAGAAGGGCTTGTAAACAAAGATCAAGATGTCTTTTCTCTGGTGATACTGTCTACCAAGCTGATCCCTACAAAAATTCACATAAAAGCAGGCAAGTTTAGCTACTGTGTTGCAAGAGAAACCAGGAACTTGTTAAATAGTTCTCTCCATTACCATTTATTCTCTCAAGGGAAGCTTAAAAAAAAAAAAAGAAAAAGAAAAAGAAAGAACAACACATTAGTCTGACCACCTCATAAATCCAACAAGCATTGGTGTGGCATTTCAGTGGAGAAGAAAACTTGGGGGAAAAAACCCCATCAAGGTTGTAAGAAAGGCTCCCAATTTAACTGTCCCTGTCCCTATTTATCCACCTTTATTCACCACCCAAGACCATCCATTATTCTAGAGCACTCTGATCTATAAAAGGGGTCAAAGCATCAGGAGCAGGCAGGGTGTGAGAACCAAAAGGCAAGAAACTGATTTGCTTGAGAAAAGCAGAGATTCTTCCTTTCACAGCTCTCCATGGCTGAGAGAGAGAATGCCCAAGAGATCATCTCTGTGACTTAGAGACTGCTTTTTGGGAGGTTAAGAGTCGCATGAAGAACTTAAGATGATGACAAGAGCCTAAATTTTTAAAGTTTCAAGGTTTCAACAGAACGTAGATATATTTGAACTTTCAAAAAGCAGAGTGTTTAGAAAGGGAAAACCAGGACACACAAAACATTGGGAATTACTATGACTCCCAAGTGCTTCTGGCTCCAGGAAATAACCATTCATGTGTTTGCTGGAGGTCACACAATTTTTCCCTATTACCTGGTGCAAAATGACTCATCACCTCCCAAAAGCTTCTTTTCAAACCACGATTTTCCCATTTATTTTGGTCGAATGCAGTCCTATTCGTTATGGCCTATAGACTCACTCCCAACTCCTGGGTGGTAAAAAAAAAAAAAAAAAAAAAAAAAAAAATGAGGGAATTCCCCCTAGGCTGGCCTCCAAAGTCAGGATTAAATAGGAGGAGCTGCTGGCAGCCTGCTGGAGACTAAAACAACTTGAGGCTAAATCTACCTTTCCAAGAGTGGAAAATTTATTCAGATAATGTTTGAGAATTCATATATGCCACAATAGGATAGAAACGAAACAGTAGAAATCTCACACTTTCCCTTATACCTCCCTCCTCTACTGCCCAATCAGACTCCAAATGTTATATCACTGTCTTTACCATTTCTGCTAAATTGAGGCCCCTAGGCACTAATCACACTGGCAACTGCATGGTGACATAATGCACCACAACTTTTCCACTAAAAATCTCTAGTCTCTTTCTCTCTGGCTATATTGGTGATTCTCCAGTTACTTCAGTACTTTAAAGGCTGCAGCAGCATGAATAAGAATTTCCTTTAAAAAAAATTAGGTAAGAAAGGTCTCCAGGAGATGGTGAGTTTTATTTTGTCTTGTCTGGATAGAGGTTTGATTTGCTCTCGAATGTTCCAGGGTGGAGAGAAACTAGGAGAAAGCACAGGATGTTGAGGTCTCTGTGGCTTAATCTTCTCCCTCATTTTCATCTTCACCATCAATGGAGAGAGCAGCATACTTCCTTGCAGAACTGAACTTGGAAGCTGGATTTTCCTCAGGTTTCTTTGGCTCAGGTGCAGATCTGGAGTCTTTATCCTTTTTGTCATCTTTCCTATCTGACTCCTTCCAGTGGTCTTTGTTCCCTCCCTCTCCTGGACCATGGCTAGAGTTCCCAGTTTGGCCTTTTGGGATATTCATCCCATCTCCTTCATTTTCGTCTTTCCTTGCTAGTCCTTACTCAGATGGTTGAGCTGGAGCTACTTTACCCCACCAATTGTAGGGGATTGCTGCTCTGTGTCTGAGCTCTGAGATTGAGCAGGAGGGTTAGAACTTCACTTCACCCAACCATTCTCCTTTGGTGGAGGGGCTGGCATTACCTTTAGGGACTGATCAGGTTTGGGAGGTTTAGAAGTTGGAGAGTGACAGTCTTCCTCCTTATTGAGTGTTTCATTTTCTAGTGACTTCTCACTCACTCTCCTTCGTGCATTTCTGCCGGATGTGGCGGAGGTCCCAGTCTGCAATGACTCACTTCCTGTCCTCAACTGTTCCCGTTCCTGAGTTTCTTCACTTTGTCAGCTTGGGTGTCTCTCCCGAGGCCGTCGTTCTAGTTTTGGCTCATCCAGCTGAAGCTGCAACTTCTCGTGTTCCTTCTGTAGCTGTTCTTCTACTTCTCTTTCTCTAGCAGCTGTGTCAACGGGCTTTGCCCCTCCAAAGACAGAAGCATCTCTACTGGACTGGGAGGTACTAGCAGTGGAATCATCTCCTTAGGAGCACTCCGAGGCTTTAGATTCAGTTTGGGTCTTTGGGAGGGACCTCTATCATCACCCATATAATCATCCCGAGAGTAATCATCTCTGGAGCTCCATGACCGATCATCCTGTCTGTCTTATTGGTCTTCATAGCCAGTCCCGCCTCCTCTATAGTCATCATCCCTGTGGCACCCACTGCCAAATGCCCTTCTGCCACTGCCTATCCGGGAATCATAGCGTCTATCATAGTCTCTGCTGCCTTGGTCATCATAGCGATCCCGGCTGCCACATCAATCCATATCCCAGTGTGGGCCATCCCAATACCCATCCTGATACCCATCGTGATACCGGTCTGAATCATAACTATCTCGATACTTGTCTCCAAAGCTATCATCACTTCTTAGTCATCAAAGCTGTCTGTGGCAGGACGAGCCCTCCAGTCTGTATCTGTTTTGTCAGAATCCCGATTTCTATCATGGCCAAAAGAACGATCCTCCCTGTCTTTCCCCTGTGCTTGATCAGCAACGTCCACTTGAATTTTCCTGTTACCTAGAGACTCTTCATTGAGACTCATGGAACTGAGCAGGAAATCTAGGTCCTCAATTTCAGCATAATCAAAACCTTTCAACCTCTCTGGATTGCTGGGTTTACGTGACAAACGCACTGCACTGATATTTAATCCTCGAAAGAGTTCCTTAATTGACTCTTCTGTCATATCATAGGATAGGTTCCCTAGAAAAGCAGTGTAGGGTGGTGATTTGGGAAGACGGTCGATATTGGGTTCCCGAGCAGCCCGTGGAGCAGTGGGAAGGATGGAACGGTCAATTGGAGGCACCCTATACACTTCATCATCATTACTGTGCCAAGTTGTTGAAACATCTCCTTCCAGGTCATCTGTTTCATCAGCCCAGGGTACTGGTTTGGAAACATAGGTGCTTCCTCCACCAATCCTCCCATCCTCAGCCAGAAAGTATGTTAGGGAGAGTCTTCTCCTTCTTCTTCTTTTTTGCTGAGGCCACCATGTTGGGAGAGGGAAAGAGTTTTGGGTGTGTTTCTCAGGAAGCTTTTCTCACTGGGGTTGGGCAATAAATGAGGGTCAGTAGCAGGGAATAACACAAATATAAAATGATAAAGCATGTAAACAGACAAATGTAAGCACTGCTGATGAAGGTGAAATTCAGGCAGACTCCCTTCCTCCACATGGTACTCAAGGTTTTCATGGGTAGAGATTTGCTGACAATAGTGACTTTGTGGCTCCAATTTAGTAGTATTTCTGCTGAAGCACCCACAACCTCCTAGTTTCGGGAAATGAAGACTTTTTTTTTCTTCCTATAGTTTTGTGCCAAGCAAGAGGTTTCACCCTACTTACAGAGTTAATTTCAGATATAAGATGGGGAGGGGGGGATTTTACACTACCAATGCCTGGCTTTCATTTTTAGAAGATCGCAAAAGAACAAATACCAAATATATTGTCAAAGAGTGCATCTGTGGTATATGAGAACCAATGATAATACGTGGGAGTGCAAGTACAGGGAAAATGTTTCCTTAATTATGTTTTGTTCCCCTCACTATAATATTATATTATACTTTGGACTAAGAAGAACCCTTCCCTTCCCTTTTTCTCTTCCCTTCCCTTTTTCCCTTCCTTCCCTTCCCTTCTTTCCTTCCCTTCTTCCCTTTCCTTCCCTTCTTCCCTTCCCTTCCCTTCTTCCCTTCCCTTCCCTTCCCTTCTTCCCTTCCCTTCCCTTCTTCCCTTCCCTTCCCTTCTTCCCTTCCCTTCTTCCCTTCCCTTCTTCCCTTCCCTCCCCTTCTTTTCCCTTCTTCCCTTCCCTCCCCTCCTTCCCTTCCATTCTTCCCTTCCCTTCCCTCCTTCCCTTCCCTCCTTCCCCTCCCTCCTTCCCTTCCCTCCTTCCCTCCCCTCCTTCCCTTCCCTCCTTCCCTTCTCTCCTTCTCTCCCCTCCCCTCCCCTCCCCTTCCCTTCCCTTCCCAATAGGGTCTCACTCTGTCATCCAGGCTGGAGTGCAGTGGCACAATCACAGCTCACTGCAGCCTTTACCTCCCTGGGCTCAAGCAATCCTCCCACCTCAGCCTCCTGGGTAGCTGGGACTACACATGCACACCACCATGACCAGCTAATTTTTGTGTTTTTAGTAGAGACAGCATTTTGTTATGCTCAGGCTGGTCTCAAACTCCTGAACTCAAGCAATCCTCCTGCCTTGGCCTCCCAAACTGCTGGGATAACAGGCATGAGCTACTGCACCTGGCCACAAGTAATTTTCTAACCTCAGAAGAATATGCCTGAAAATATACAGATTTCTTCAGAAACACAAATCATACATCAGACCTAAGACCCGGTATAAGATATTGATCATAATTTAGTTTTCTCCTAAAAAATGTCTGATTGGTTAAGGTTTCAAAGTAAACATTGAATCAATATTCAAATGTACAATCAGGGATGTATGATAGAATTATGCTACTTCTCAGCTAGATTTGAGGTTCACTAGCTATATACTTGGATTTCCAAATCCCAATCACCATCGTAAATAGTGTTTCTTGGTTTATCAGAAAGGAAAGTGAAAGAGTGTGCAGAGGTACCCTTCAAAGTCTCTGCAAGCTTCTGTTGATATATTCCTGCCTTTCTTCCACTCTATCCAAAGTGATTTCCAGATTATGAAAAAAATTACAAAGTAAGCATTCTCTTTAAAAACATGTGGAGAACCCCCTAGTTTAAAGAAGAAAGAGATTTTGTACCTGTTCATTATAACATTACATTGAGTATCTGGTTTGTCTTCAATCAAGATTGGAGCATTGACATGGAAAGGAGAAAACACCAACTCCAAAGAAATATTTATAGTTGCCTCTCCAAATAATTCCTGGATCATTAGTTCTTGGAAATCTGGTACCACTAAATCCAAACCAATGGCCAGTGAATCTTCACTCATAGGTACATCCTGAATTGATATTTTGGGGTATTTCCTGAGAAATAATCAACACAGGAAAATATTAATCCTACATGTTGCAAGAGCTCAAATTATATGGGCTGTAGCATATCTATTAGTTACATAATATCAACAGATGATTTGCAGTGTTTAGGTCAACTAACGAATAGTGTGCCCACAAATTCTCCTTTCATTTTATTTGAATATTATATAATACAACATCCAAACATTCTCACAGGACAACAATTCTATCACTTCAATTTAATGAAAAAAAAAGACATCACACCTGGAATAGCTATTACAAAAGAGACAGACAAGTGTTGGTGAGGATGTGAAAAAAATAGGAACCCCTATACGTTGCTGAAATAAATAAATGTGAAATGGTATATCCACTTTGGAAAATAGTTTAGCTATTTCTTAAAAAGTTAAGCATAATGTTTTCCACTCAATTCCAATTACTTCCAGCAATTCCATTTTTGGTATCTATGCAAAATAATTGCAAACACATTTCCACATAAAGATTTTCCTGTGAATGTTCATAGCAGCATCATTTATAATAGCAAAGAATTGGAAAATAACAGAAGTGTCCATTAACTGATTAATGTGTTAAGTGAAATGTAGTATATCTATATAATGAAATATTATTCAGCAATACAAAGAGTTGAAGTAATGATCTATGCCACAGCATAGATGAAAACACTATGCTATGTGAAATACGCCAGACACAAAAGACCACTTGTATTATTCCATTCATATGAAATGGCCAGAAGAGTAAAATCTATAGAGACAGCAAGTAGATTAGTAAATGGCCCTGAGGGGTCTTATTAGATTGATGAAAATCTTCTAAGATGGGATTATGGTGATGGTGACACAATTCAGTAAATCCACTACAAATTGAATTCTACCCTTAAAATCGGACAAATTTTATGATATATAAATTATCTTTCTCTCCTTTTTTTTTTTTTTTTTTTTGGATGTAGAGTTTTACTCTGTCGCCCAGGCTGGAGTGCAGTTGTGTCTTCTTGGCTCACTGCAACCTCCACCTCCCGGGTTCAAACTATTTTCCTGCCTCAAACTCTGTAGTAGCAGGAATTACAGGTATGTGCCACCACACTTGGCTAATTTTTGTATTTTTAGTAGAGACGGGGTTTCACTGTGTTGGCCAGGCCAGTCTCAAACTCCTGACCTCAAATGATCTGCCCGCCTTGGCCTCCCAAAGTGCTGGGATTACAGGTGTGAGCCACCCTGCCCGGCCTATAAATTATTATCTCTATAAAGTTGTTTATATATACACATATAAATTTTAGCTATATATAATGTGTGTATATATGTAAATATACATACATGACTTTTTATCAATATATATGTATCATTTAGAGAGATTGTATAGCATGTAGCAAATAACACAGCAATGTAATAGTACCTCAAGGGTCAGGATTTACAGCTCACAGGCCATGTTTCCATTCTGTGGTGCAGGGATTAAACAGACACCTCAGTTTCGACTGGGAAAGAAGTAGAATTGGACAATGATTTGCTTTTCAGGTAAAGGAGGAAGTCTTAAGAGAACTCAAATAATTCCCAGATTGTTTCTCATATTTTTGACGAACTTAAATTGTGTGAGGGCTCTGTAAAAAAGAAGAATAAAAAAGCTAAACTGTAGCTTAAAATTTCCACTGAAATAGCATACAGATACAGCAGAGGTTAATTTTATCATAGGATTAAATTTTCGTTTTTCAAACAACCCCATCAAAAAGTGGGCGAAGGACATGAACAGACACTTCTCAAAAGAAGACATTTATGCAGCCAAAAAACACATGAAAAAATGCTCATCATCACTGGCCATCAGAGAAATGCAAATCAAAACCACTATGAGATATCATCTCACACCAGTTAGAATGGCAATCATTAAAAAGTCAGGAAACAACAGGTGCTGGAGAGGATGTGGAGAAATAGGAACACTTTTACACTGTTGGTGGGACTGTAAACTAGTTCAACCATTGTGGAAGTCAGTGTGGCGATTCCTCAGGGATCTAGAACTAGAAATACCATTTGACCCAGCCATCCCATTACTGGGTATATACCCAAACGACTATAAATCATGCTGCTATAAAGACACATGCACACGTATGTTTATTGCGGCATTATTCACAATAGCAAAGATTTGGAACCAACCCAAATGTCCAACAACGATAGACTGGATTAAGAAAATGTGGCACATATACACCATGGAATACTATGCAGCCATAAAAAATGATGAGTTCATGTCCTTTGTAGGGACATGGATGAAATTGGAAACCATCATTCTCAGTAAACTATCGCAAGAACAAAAAACCAAACACCGCATATTCTCACTCATAGGTGGGAATTGAACAATGAGATCACATGGACACAGGAAGGGGAATATCACACTCTGGGGACTGTGGTGGGGTGGGGGGAGGGGGGAGGGATAGCATTGGGAGATATACCTAATGCTAGATGACGAGTTAGTGGGTGCAGCGCACCAGCATGGCACATGTATACATATGTAACTAACCTGCACAATGTGCACATGTACCCTAAAACTTAAAGTATAATAAAATAAATAAATAAATAAATTTTCGTTTTCAATAGGATAATTAATTTAGATAACCACATTTTTCCACATTCTTTTTGAATTTATATTTTAGAAAACTGTCAAACACATGTAACTGGACAGCTTCTCTAACAGTTGAATTGTTAATTTAGATTCTAAGATTTAATGTGTAGTTGTTTAATTATCATTTATTACTGTAGTTTACAATAATCTATTGTGTATTTCTTTTATATTTTCCAGATACAGGGTCTTGCTCTGTAGCTCAGGCTGGAGTGCAATGGTACAATCATGGCTCACTGTATCCTCAACCTCCCAGGTTTAAGCGATCCTCCTACGTCAGCATCCTGAGTATCTGGGACCACAGGTACTCCGTGTCTGGCTAATTAAAGAAAAAATGTTTTGTAGAGTTGGGGGTTCACCTATGTTTCCTGGGCTGGTCTCAAATTCCTGGGCTCAGGTTATTCACTCACCTCAGCCTCCCAAAGCTCTGGGAGTACTTACAATTGTGAGCCACTGTACCTGGCCTTGTGTATCTCAAAATACCTGGAAGAGGCTGAGGTGGGTTGGTCACGCCTGTACTCCCAGCTACTTGAGAAGCAGAGGTGGGAGGATCACTTGAGCCCAGGAGTTTGAGTCTAGAGTGAGCTATGATCATGCCACTGCACTTCAGCCTGGGTGACAGAATGAGACCCTGTCTCAAAAAAAAAAAAAAAATTCTGTCTAAGAATGACAATAAAAAATACATAGAAGAGAATAATTCAAATGTTCTTAGCATAAAGAAAACTATTTAAAATAATGGATATCCCAATTACACTGATTTGATCTTTACAAGTTATATGAGTTTATTAAATTACCACAGGTACTCCAAAAATATATACCTCTATGATGTATCAATAAAAATAAAATTAAAAAACAAATAACACTTATTACAACATTCTAGATGTCATGAAGTCTGAGATCCTCAAACTTCTTTCTGGTGTCTTTAGGAAAGCTTTTCTGGTGCACTGTTTTTCAGATGTGCCTATTGCTAGCATTCTGCACCTCTGTTCAGTTGATGGATGTGATGAAGACAACACATGTATGCCACTCTTCTGGGCCAACACCCAGGTAGATGGCGTTTATGCTGTTGGCTTTAGCAGCCAATACCTGTAAACATTTAATTCATGAACAGAAGTTTACCATTCATACCTCCTTCTCCAATAATATGTCCTTCCCATTGTCTTGCTTCTTAAACACCTCAGCTCCCAGATACAATTGATTTAATGGCTTAGTTCTCTTTATAGTACCCAGGCTTTAGGATATCCCTGCTTACATCTGTAATTACCATTCCCTCAAACACATTAACTCTCCCAAAAGATTCTAGCTCTTCAGGTTTCCTCTTTATACCCTCAAAATATATTTCAGAATATTCTGCCTCCTAAATGATCTTCCACTGGAAGTCTTCTCCAGCCATTTCCTTCTCAGATTTCCTCTTCTAAAACTTCCACCTCCCTGACCAGACTTAATGATTCTTCACTTGGCCCTTCCTTCTACCCAAATAGGCATCACTGAGACATAGACGTCTAAACAGGTAACTCTCCTCAGAAGATACCCAAATATCTGCCATCCATAAAATACACTTGAAAATGATATACATGTTTATTCTCCTATTTCCTTTAACAATTATAGAAAATCTCAAATTTGCAGACCAACGTTTTTCCCCAAATAGTTACTCTATATTTCTTATTACATTTATAGTATTTGCTAATTTAAACTTTTGTTGTTTGGGGGAAAGGAATTTTCACTAGAATTTTAACTAGTCATTGTTTATTGCAAAAGTGTTAATTTTATACATATATTTTATATTAAGTAAGCTTTGTTTCAATATCTTATTTCTTCAATCATCATACTACTGAATATATTTTTAATGGGCTGGTTGTCATCGTTCTATTCTTTAGCCACAAAATAACAGGTCAGACTAGTTATTTTGCAAGTGTGTTTTGGTGGTCATAAAGGGAACTGAACAAGAATATAGAGAGCAGTAGCATTGCCACCACTAAGAAAAAAACTCAAATGCATAATATACTGGCAGAGTACCAATAAATTTATTTTTGTAATTGAAGGAAAGCATTATTTGTTTAGTTAAAAATAAGACATGCCCTCACATTTTAACATAGCTGTAACCCCTATTAAATTACCAACACATTGCCGACAAGACTGCTTACCCATCGTCTCCATCTTCTGGGTTCATAGATGAAACTAAGTTTTTGGATTCATCTTTCAAATAGGTAAGACACTGTCAAGGAGACTTTCATTTTTGTCTTCAACAAGTGCATGATCATTTTTAAATATTTCCATCTAAATAGGAGTGTTAGAGGAAATGATACTTGATTATGTACCTGTTCATACATCTGGTCTTTCTCAGATCATATTTGATGTGATTCCTATTGAGAATATTTAACAATGGTATGAGAAATAATAGCAACAAGCATGGTAAATTTTTTTTTTACCCATCCTCCACCATATTATCTCAGAATGTTACAGCATCTCCTCCGCTGGAATATGGAAATATTGATGAGCACATTTGAAAGCTGAAGCCCCAGATGTGACTGGTAATGACCTGCAATGAGACACACATTTTATTGTCATTAGCTACCTGAGTGTTGCAATGGCCAAAAAACTTTGTTGTAAAAAACAAAACCAAATTTAATTATCCTTTGTCAGAAAGGTTTTCACTAAACATAAATATTTTAGGAGCTCAACATCAAAGTGGAAAAAGAAAAAGACCCAGTGCATTTAAATGGGAGGTTTAGAAGAATTAGTGACAAGTTGGAATTGTCCCTATGTTTTAGCTTCTGAGTATCTACATTAAGACATTCTAAAAGCTTGGTGTTTCAAGTATACACTGGGTCAGATAAAACTGAAGAGCAAATGGGAAAACCAACCTCTTGGGAATAATGCCTGATTCCAGGGCTGGGCAGGCAAAGTACAAATTGAGCCTGAAACATCCTATTATGACAAAAGTAAATGCTCAAAATAATGAGGATATATCTATCAATGGGTACAGTCTAGTAATGAATTATAACCCTTTGAGTTAAATAAGAATCAATGATTCCATGCTGATATAAATAAATAAACAGGGAAGAATGAAAAGCTCTTCCTTGTAATAGAACGCAAAATAAAAACACAGAAGAATGATGTAACTAGAAAATTACTGTTGTACAACCATCACAGTAATACATGATTCAGTTAAGAGTCCTCAATACATACTAAAATTAATGGGTAAAATTTTGAGTAATTTATATGGACTCAAAAGTATCTCCCTACTATTATTAATTACAAAGAAAAAATAGTAAGAGTGGATAAACTTGGAATATATCTTATTCCATAAGTATATCTTATGAATACATCACCTTAAACAAATGATCAAAGTTAACATCACCAGTAATAAGACAAACTGACATCGGGTGCCTCTGATATTATGCAGCAAGAACACAGCATCATGTCTTTATATTACTGTCAAAAACATACAGTCTGATTCTACCCATGACACCACACTAAACTCAAAGTGAGGAACACTCTACAAAACATACTGGCCTGTACTCCTCAAAAATATTGCAGTCATGGAAGACAAACACAGGCTGAGGAACTCTTCCATATTAAAAGAGAATTAAGAGACATAACAACAAAATGTTGTGTATGATCCTGACTTGAACCCTAGATTGAGAACAGGGGAGAGGGTGTGGTTGTGGCTATAATATTAGTGAGACAATTGCTGAAATTGCTGAAATTTGAATGTGGATTAGGAATTAGAAAATAGGGATTAGAAATAGGAATTAAGACATAGTATTAAGTCAATGCTAAGTTTCCTGATTTTGATATTGTACAGTGGTTATGTAAGAATATGTCATTGTTATTAGAAAACACGCGTTAACCTATTTAGGGGTAAACAGGCACCATGTCTACAACTCACTCTCAAAAAGTTCATAAAGAAGTGTTTGTATGTGTCAGCGGAGGATGGAGAGAGAGAGAAAAAAATGATAAATAAATGTTAAAATTGGAGAATTTAGGTAAAGGCTATATGGGAGTCCTTTGTAGAATTCTCATAAATGTTCTATTTCAATTATATCAAAATTAAAAGTTAACAAAAAAATCAAAAGTGGGAAGGAGGGCCGACTCAAATGCGAGGCAAAGCTCTGTAGTCAATGACTTTACTACCTGGGTTTGAATTTTGAGTCTATCATATATTAACTATGTGACCTTGTACAAAACAGTTAAACTTGCCGTAACTCAACTCCCTCATTTGTGAAATGAGAATAATATTAGAGCCTATCTAATAGAAATACTTTCTGAAAATTAAATAAGATCATCCATGTAAGGCACTTAGTACAGTATCCAGCACATTGTAAGTACTCAATAAACACCAGCCATTAATTATTATCTATTGGTTCTAAGTTGTTTAATCAAGTCTGAGGAGTCAAGCCAATAACTTAAGAGTTCCTGTCTGAGGTATACCTAGATAGCATCCTGCAAGAAAATTGTTTATGATTAGATATTCTGTCTTCTTCACTCATAGGTGGGAATTGAACAATGAGAACACATGGACACAGGAAGGGGAACATCACACACCGGGGCCTGTTGTGGGGTGGGGGGAGCGGGGAGGGATAGCATTAGGAGATATACCTAATGTTAAATAACGAGTTATTGGGTGAAGCACACCAACATGGCACATGTATACATATGTAACTAACCTGCACATTGTGCACATGTACCCTAAAACTTAAAGTATAATAAAAAAAAAAGATATTCTGTCTTCTAAGGACTTAAAACAAAAACCCTACAATCTTAAGTTGCAAGAGGCCAGTAAAGATGGAACTGGGAGCTCCTAATTATAACAGAAATCATACGTGAAATGGTTTTGTTCCCTCTGGCCAGTCTAATCTTTTGCATAAAGAACCTCTATGGAAGATCCATGGCGCTTTAGCAAGGTGGAGCTGAGAGATTTCTTCCAATTTATTCTAGGAGAATCCCAGGGGAGGTGTAAGTTCTATTAGGCTACTTAGAGCCTTAGAATAACTGGTATTTTTCCTATATTAGTTCTCAATGACATCGCTGGAACCACCTTAAGGATACAGACAGAAGTAACCTGCAACCAACAGCCAGCAACTAGGGTGCACCTATCATGATCGTGCCACAGCAAGTTAGCCTGTTATCATTTTAAAAGTATAAAAACAAAAGAAAACACAATATATACTGAACTGATGATATGTTCGGCTTTCCTTGGCAGCTATCTTTTTTATTCTGACACACAATTTATACATGCTGTCTAACTGCTCTGACCTAAAAGATAAGAATAAACTTGGAAAGAGAACAATTATGGGACATGAGCATAGATGGGGCATCTATATGCCAGAAAATACGCGGAATCAATAAATACATCTTTTTCTATTCATGTCTACTACATAATTTCCACTTGTCAAACTCAATACAAACTGGAGAATCTAACAAATCATAGAGAACACTTTAATAAGGACATCATGCTCAGTATTTAAGGAAACCAATAAAGAGGAATGTTATAAGAGATACAACTAAGCACAATGATAATTAATACATTTTTCTTTTGACCTTCATGGGACTATATATTATAATCATTTTATATCTAGCCAAGAATGTTATAGAATAGCTATAATTAATAATTTACAGAAAAGAAAGAATAAAAACTCTTCGAAAGACTGAACTGGCACCTATGTTAATAGCTGCTGTTGCTTGCAGTACTTTTGTCTTAGGTTTGTTATTTCAAGGCTAAGGTTGCATATTCCCAGCAACATTTACATATTGTCAAAATGAAGCAAGACAGAAAGATGTCTGTAGAATTTTGAAGACACATCTAATAATATATTGACCTCTATGAGTTAACATTTTTAATTTTCTTCATAAGAATTATCCCATTACTCTGATTATTCCAAACTTAAAATTTAACTCCTTTTAATCTTTCCATCAGTCAATAGTCCATACAGGTATCACGGTAACATTTTGGAAATACAGACTAATAGTCTTCTAAACTTTAGAGTATAAGAATCTTTGCAAACCAAGATAATACAAATGCAGATTCCTTACTAACAATCAAAGGGGTAGAAAAATACTTCATAGAAGGCTGACAGAACAACTAAGTCTCTAGGCCAGTGGGTGTATATCAAACTAACATATCTATACTTCCTTTGAAGGACATGGAAAGAGACATCTTGTATCAGATTAATAAACTACAAACTTCATATATAGAATTAACTTTAAGTATGATCTAATATAATCCAAATTCCACAGTGGGAAAGTATCACCAATATTTGGCTAGAAGGAAACTCTGAAGGCCATCTAGTTTGCTATTAACAAAGTTTTTGGTCTGATTTACCTATAAAACCAACCAGAACCCACTGGAGCATCATTAACCACATGATATCTATGTATGTAATGGTTAACATTCAACAACAGACTGATGTCCAGAATTAACATGAAGGGTTGGCTCATGGTCAATGTCAATGAAAATCTTGGCTTATATTCAATGTTGATGAAAATTCAAGAAAAATACTTCTTTCTACTTCACCCTCTCTCTCTTTTATTCCTTGTGGATGTGAAAAGTTTAATTTGTTAAGTCAATTACAAAAGAGAACTCATAAAATTAAAAATACATTTGTACTTCATTGAAAGATTGGCAGGCGAGCCCAAGTTTAATTTGAATATTAATGAACATTTGTTAGAACAAATGCATGCTTATCTCCTCTAAGGTAAATTATAGGTTATAACCTTTTCTCACAGGAATTATTGTGAAATGGTTTAACCATTTAAATTTTGCCTTTGTGACGCTGTGGAGAGAAAAGAATGCTTATGCACTATTTGTGGGAATGTAAATTAGCTTAGCCACTGTGGAAAGCAGTTTGGCGATTTCTCAAAGAAGTTACATTTTTTTTTTTAATTTCCATAGGTTATTGAGGAACAGATGGTGTTTGGTTACATAAGTAAGATCTTTCGTGGTGATTTGTGAGATTCTGGTGCACTCATCACACGAACAGTATATACTGTACCCTATTTGTAGTCTTTTATCCCTCACCCCCTTCCCACCCTTTCCCCCAAAGTCGTCAAAATCCATTGTGTCATTTTTATGCTTTTGCATCCTCATAGCTTAGATCCCACATATGAGTGAGAACATATGATGTTTGGTTTTCCATTCCTGAGTTACTTCACTTAGAATAATAGTCTCCAGTCTCATCCAGGTTGCTGTAAATGCCATTAATTCATTCTTTTTTATGGCTGAGTAGTATTCCATCTCATATACATATATATATATGTAGTATTCCATTATATATATAGATATATATATATATAGTATTCCATTATATATATATAGTAGTATTCCATTATATATATAGTATTAGTATTCCATTATATATATAGTATTCCATTACATATAAATCACAGTATTCCATGTATATATATATATATATATATATATATATATATATATATATACATGGAATACTGTGATATATATATATATATATATCACAGTTTCTTTATTCACTCGCTGATTGATGAGCATTTGGGTTGGTTCCACGTTTTTGCAATTGCAAATTGTGCTGCTATAAACATGTATGTACAAGTATCTTTTCATATAATGACATTTTTTCCTCTGGGAAGATACCCAGTAGTGGGATTGCTGGATTGAGTGGTAGTTCTACTTTTAGTTCTTTAAGGAATCTCCACATTATATTTCATGGTGGTTGTACTAGTTTACATTCCCACCAGCAGTGTAGAAGTGTTCCCTGTTCACCGCATTCATGCCAACATCTATTTTTTTTTATTTTTTTATTATGGCCATTCTTGCAAGAGTAAGGTAGTATCACATTGTGGTTTTGATTTGCATTTCCCTGATTATTAGTGATTTTGAGCATTTTTTCATATGTTTGTTGGCTATTTGTATATCTTCTTTTGAGAATTTTCTATTTATGTCCTTAACCCATTTTTGATGGTATTATTTGTTTGTTTTTTCTTGCTGATTTGTTTGAGTTCATTGTAGATTCTGGATATTAGTACTTTGTCAGATGTATAGATTGTGAAGACTCCCACTCTGTGGGTTGTCTGTGTACTCTGCTGACTGCTCCTTTTGCCACACAAAAGCACTTTAGTTTAATAAAGTCCTAGTTATTTATCTTTGTTTTTATTGCATTTGCTTTTGGGTTCTTGGTCATAAAATCCTTGCCTAAGCCAATGTTTATAAGGTTTTTTCCAATGTTATCTTCTAGAATTTTTATAGTTTCAGGTCTTAGATTTAAGTCCTAAATCCATCTTGAGTTGAAAGAGTATAAAGTTAGAGAAGAGGACTCAGTTTCATTATCTTACATGTGGCTAGCCAATTATCCCAGCACCATTTGTTGAAAAGGGTGTCCTTTCCCCACTTTATATTTTTGTTTGCTTTGTCAAAGACCAGCTGGCTGTATTTGGGTTTATTTCTGAGTTCTCTGTTCTGTTTTGTTGGGCTATGTGCCTATTTTTATGCCAGTACCATACTGTTTTGGTGTCTATAGCCCTATAGTATAGTTTAAAATCAGGTAATGTAATGCCTTCAGATTTGTTCTTTTTGCTTAGTCTTGCTTTGGCTCTATTTTGTTTCCATATGAATTTTAGAATTGTTTGAAGAATGATGGTGGTATATTGAGGGGAATTGCATTGAATTTGTAGACTGCTTTTGGCAGCGTGGTCATTTTCATGATATTGATTCTATCCATTCATGCACATGGGATGTGTTTCCATTTGTTTGAGATTTCTTTTTTCTTTTTTTTTTTTTTTTTTTTGAGATGGAGTTTCACTCTTGTTGCCCAGGCTGGAGTGCAGTGGCCTGACCTCAGCTCACTGCAACATCCGCCTCCCAGGCTCAAGGGATTCTCCTGCCTCGGCCTCCCAAGTAGCTGGGATTACAGGCACCTGCCACCACTCCTGGCTAATTTTTTGTATTTTTAGTAAAGAAGGGGTTTCATAATTTTGGTTAGGCTGGTCTTGAACTCCTGACCACAGGTGATCCACTCACCTCGGCCTCCCAAAGTGTTGAGATTACAGGCGTGAACCACTGTGCCCAGTCTGTTTGTGATTTCTTTCAGCAGTGTTTTGTAGTTTTCCTTGCAGAGAACTTTCAACTCCTTAGTTGGGTATATTCCTAAGTATTTTATTTGTTTTACAGCTATTGTAAAAGGGGTTGAGTTCTTGATGTGATTCTCTGCTTGGTCACTGTTGGTGTATAGAAGAGCTACTGATTTGTGTACATTAATTTTGTATTGGGAAACTGCTGAATTCTTTGATCAGTTCTAGGAGCTTTCTGGAGAATTCTTTAGGGTTTTCTAGGTAATCAATCATATCTTCAGCAAACAGGAACAGTTTGACTTCCTCTTTACTGATTTGGATGCCATTTTTTTCTTTCTTTTGTCTGATTGCTCTGGCTAGGACTTCCAGTACTATGTTGAAGAGGAGTGGTGAGAGTGGGCATCCTTGTCTTGTTCCAGTTCTCAGAGGAAATGCTTTCAATCTTTCCCCATCATTATCATCTTTTCTGTGGGTTTGTCATAGATGGCTTTTATTACATTGAAGTATATCCCTTGTATGTCGATTTTGCTGAGAGTTTTAATCATAAAGCAATGCTGGATTTTGTCAAATGCTTTCTCTGCAACTATTAAAATGATCATGTAATTTTAAAAACATTCTGTTTCTGTGGTGTATCACATTTATTGACTTACTCAAGTTAAACCATCCCTGCTTCCCTGGTATGAAACCCACTTGATCGTGGTGGATTATACATTTGATATGTTGTTAGATACGGTTAGCTAGAATTTTGTTAAAAATTTTAGCATCTATATTCATCAGGGATGTTGGTTTATAGTTTTCTTTTTTGGTTATGTCCTTTCCTAGTTTTGGCATTAGGTTGATACTGACTTCATAGAATGATACGGAGGGTTCCCTCTTTCTCTATCTTGTGGAATAGTGTCAATAGCATTGGTACCAATTATTCTTTGAATGTTTGGTAGAATTCTGGTGTGCATACTTCTGGTCCTAGACATTTTTTGTTGTTGGTAATTTTTAAATTACCATTTCAAACCTTGGTCTCTTCAAGGTTTCTAATTCTTCCTGATTTAAGCTAGGAGGGTTGTATCTTTCCAAGAATTTATCCATCTCTTCTAGGTTTTCTAGTTTATGTGCATAAAGGTGTTCATAGCAGCCTTGAATGATCTTTTGTATTTCTATGGTGTCAGTTGTAATATCTCCCATTTCATTTCGTATTAAGGTTACTTGGATTTTCTCTCTTCTTTTCTTTGTTAATTTTGCTTATGATCTATCAGTTTTATTTATCTTTTCAAAGAACCAGCTTTTTCTTTTATTTATCTTTTGTATTGTTTTATTTTGTTTCAATTTCATTTAGTTCTATTCTGATCTTAATTATTTCCTTTCTTCTGCTGGGTTTGGGTTTGGTTTGTTCTTGTTTCTCTAGTCCTTGAGGTGTGACCTTAGATTGTCTGTTTGTGCTCTTTCAGACTTTTTGATATAGGTGTTTAGGGCTATGACCTTTCCTCTTAGCACTGCCTTTGCTTTATCTCAGAGGTTTTGATAGGTTGTGTCACTATTGTTAAGTTTGGAGAATTTTTTAATTTTTATTTTGATTTCATTTTTGACCCAATAATCATTCAGTAGCAGGTTATTTAATTTTTATGTATTTGCATGGTTTTGAAGGTTCCTTTTGGAGTTGATTTCCAATTTTATTCCACTGTGGTCCAAGAGATTGCTTGATATAATTTCAATTTTTAAAAATTTATTGAGGCTCATTTTGTGGCCTATCATGTGGTCTATCTTGGAGAAAGTTCCATGCACTGTTGAATAGAATATATATTCTGTGGTTATTGGATGGAATGTTCTGTATATATCTGTATTTGTTCCAAGGTATAGTTTAAATCCACTGTTTCTTTGTTGCCTTTCTGTCTTGATAACCTGTCTATTGCTGCCAGTGGATTTTTGAAGTCCTCCACTATTAGTGTGTTGCTGTTTATCTCATTTCTTAGGTCTATTAGTAATTATTTCATAAATTTGGGAGCTCCAGTGTCAGGTGCATATATGTTTAGGATTGTGATATTTTTCTGTTGGACAAGGCCTTTTATCATTATATAATGTCCCTCTTTGTCTTTTTTAACTGCTGTTGCTTTAAAGTTTGTTTTGTCTGATGTAAGAATAGCTACCCCTGCTCACTTTTGGTGTCCATTTGCATGAAATGTATTTTTCCACTAGTTTACCATAAGTTTATATGGGTCCTTATGTGTTAGGTGAGTATCTGGAAGGCAGCAGATGGTTGCTAAATTCTTATCCATTCTGCAATTCTATACCTTTTAAGTGAAGTAGTTAGGCCATTTACAGTCAATGTTAGTATTGAGATGTGAGGTCCCATTCTGTTAGTCATGCTATTTGTTGCCTGTATACCTTGGTTTTTTGTTTTTGTTTTTTAACTTGTATTTTTGTTTTATAGGTCCTGTGTGACTTATGCTTTAAAGAGATTCTGTTTAGATGTGTTTCAAGAATTGGTTTCAAGATTTAGAGCTCCTTTTAGCAGTTCTTGTAGTGGTGGCTTGGTAGGGGCGAATTCTCTCAGCATTTGTTTGTCTGAAAAAGACAAACAAATTCATCATATATGAAGCTTAGTTTCGTTGGATACAAAATTTTTGGCTGATAATTGTTTTGTTTGAGGAGGCTGAAAATAGGGCCCCAATCCCTTCTAGCTCATAGTGTTTCTGTTGAGAAATCTACTGTTTATCTGGTAGTTTTTTTTTTTTTGTTACCTCGTATTTTTGTCTCACAGCTCTTAAGATTATTTCCTTCATCTTAACTTTAGATAACCTGATGACAATATGCCTGGGTGATGAACTTTCTGCTATGTATTTTCCAGGTGTTCTTTGTCCTTCTTGTTTTTGGATGTCTATGTCTCTAACAAGGCCAAGGGAGTTTTCCTTGATTATTCCCCCAAATATGTTTTCCAAACTTTTAGATTTCTCTTATTCTTCAGGAATACCAATTATTCTTAGATTTGGTCATTTAACATAATCCCAGACTTCTTGGAGGCTTTCTTCGCATTTTATTATTCTTTTTTTCCTTTGTGTTTGTTGGATTGTGTTAATTTGAAAACCTTGCCTTCGAGCTCTGAATATCTTCTACTTGTTAGATTTTATTGTTGAGACTTTCCAGAGCATTTTGCATTTCTATAACTGTGTCCATTGTTTCCTGAAGTTTTGATTGTTTTTTCTTTATGCTCTCTATTTCTTTGAATATTTCCCCCTTCTCTTCTTGTATCTTTTTTTTTTTTTAATTTTCTTACATGGGGCTTCGCCTTTCTCTAGTGCCTCCTTGATTAGCTTAATAACTAACCTCCTGAATTATTTTTCATGTAAATCAGGGGTTTCTTCTTGGTTTAGATCTATTGCTGGCGAGCTAGTGTGATTTTTGGGGAGTCTTTAAGAACCTTGTTTTGTCATGTTACCTGAGTTGATTTTCTCGTTCCTTCTCATTTGGGTAGGCTCGTCAGAGGGAATGTCTAGGGCTGAAGGCTGTTGTTCAGATTCTTTTGTCTCACAGGGTGTGTTTTCGATGTAGTGCCCACCCCCTTTTTCTACAGATGTGGCTCCCTTAGAGCCAAGCTGTAGTGATTGTTATCTCTATTTTGGATCTAGCCACCCAGCAAGTCTATCCAGCTCTGGGCTGGAACTGGGGGTTGTCTGCACAGAGTCCTGTGATGTGAACAATCTGTGGGTCTCTCAGCCATGGATACCAGCACAGTATTTGGGGTATATCCCAGGTCCTGCAAGAGCAATCCTCTTCCTTCAGAGAGTCTGTGGTTCCTCTTGTGTTTCTTGATTTATTTCTTCAGTTGTTCTGGAGCAAAAATTTACGATGTGGGCCTCCACACTCTGCTCTGTTCATCTGAGTAACAGCTGCAATCTAGTCCTTCCTCAAGTCTGCCATGATCCCTCCCTCCCATCTGCCATAATCCTCTTAAAGAACTTAAAACAAAACAACCATTTGACCCAGCAATCCCATTACTGACTATGTATCTACAAGACAACATATTGTTCTACCAAAAGGTCATGTATTCACATGTTCATGGCCACACTATTCACAATAGCAAAGACATTGAATCGACCTAGGTGCCCATCAACGGTAAACCAGATAAAGAAAATATGCTACATATACACCATGAAATGCTATGCAGCCATAAAAGAATGAAATCAGATTCTTTGCAGCAAAATGAATTTAGCTGGAGGCCATTATCCTAAGCAAATTGACAAAATAAAATACCACATGTTCTCACTTATAAATAGGGGCTAAACGTTGAGTACTTATGGATATAAAGACAGCAACAATAGAAACTGAAGGCTACTAGAGGGAGGAGAGGGGGAGATGGGCAAGGGTTGAAAAATAATTACTGGGACATGTTCTGAAATTGAGGCAGTAATTAAAAGCCTACAAACCAAAACAAAACAAAACATAAAAGCCCAGGAGTGAACAGATTCACAGCCAAATTCTACCACAGGTACAAAGAAGAGCTTGTAACATTCCTTCTGAAACTATTCCAAACAAACAATTGAAAAGGAGGGACTCCTCCCTAACTCATTTTATGAAGCCAGCATCATCCTGATACCAAAACCGGGAAGAGACACAACAAAGAACACTTCAGGCCAATATCTCTGATAAATATCAATGCAAATATCCCCAATAAAATACTGGCAAATTGAACCAGCAGCACACCAAAAAACTTGTCCATCATGATTGAGTTGGCTTCATCCCTGTGATGCAAGGCTGGTTCAACATATGCAAATCAATAAACATAATCCATCACATAAACAGAACCAAAGACAAAAACCACATGATTAACTCAACAGATGAGGAAAAGGCCTTTGATAAAATTCAACATCCCTTCATGTTAAAAACTCTTGATAAACTATGTATTGATGGAACATATCACAAAATAATAGGGAGTCTTTATGACAAACCCACAGCCGATATATTGAATGAGCAAAAGCTGGAAGCATTCACTTTGAAAAAGATTAAAAAAAAAAAAAAAAAAAGAAAACCAGTACAAGACAAGGATGGTCTCTCTAAACACTCCTATTCAACATTGTATTGGAAGTTCTGGCCAGAGCAATCACACAAAGAAATAAAGAGTATTCGAATAGGAAGAGAGGAAGTCAAATTGTCTCTGTTTGCAGACGACATGATTTTATATTTAGCAAACCCTATCATCTCAGCCCCAAAACTTCTTAAATTAATAAGCAACTTTAGCAAAGTCTTAGGGTACAAAATTAATGTGCAAAAATCACAAGCATTCCTTTGCACTAATAATAAACAAGCAGAGAGCCAAATCATGAATGAACTCCCATTCAGAATTGCTACAAAAAGAATACCTAGGAATGCAGCTAGCAAGGGATGTGAAGGACCTCATCAAGGACAACTACAAACCACTGCTCGAGGAAATAAGAGAGGACACAAACAAATGGAAAAACATTTCATCCTCATGTATAGGAAGAATCAATATCATGAAAATGACCATACTGCCCAAAGTAATTTGTAGATTCAGTGCTATTCCCATCAAACTACCATTAACATTGTTCACAGAATTAGAAAAAAAAAATACTTTAAGTTTCATGTGGAATTAAAGAAGACCATGTATAGCCAAGACAATCTTAAGCAAAAAGAACAAAGCTGGAGGTATCATGCTACCTGACTTCAAACTATACTCCAAGGCTACGGTAAACAAAACAGCATGGCACTGGTACCAAAACAGACATATAGGCCAATTGAACAGAACAAAGACCTCAGAAATAACACTACACATCTACACCATCTGATTTTCTACAAACCTGGCAAAAACAAGCAATGGGGAAAGGATCTCCTATTCAATAAATGGTGCTGGGAAAACTGGTTAGCCACATTCAGAAAATGGAAACTGGATCCCTTCCTTACACCTTATACAAAAATTAACTCAAGATGGATTAAATACTTAAACCACAAAAACCCTAGAAGAAAACCTAGGCAATAGCTTTCAGGACATAGGCATGGACAAAGACTTCATGATGAAAATGCCAAAAGCAATTTCAACAAAAGTCAAAATTGACAAATGGGATCTAACTAAACTAAAGAGCTTCTGCACAGCAAAAGAGTGAACAGGCAACCTACATCATCAGAGTGAACAGGCAACCTACAGAATGGGAGAAAAGTTTTTCAATCTACCCATCTGACAAAGGTCTAATATCCAGAATTTACAAGACACTTAAACAAATGTACAACAAAAAAAACCCCATCAAAAAGTGGGCAAAGGATATGAACAGACACTTCTCAAAAGAAGACATTTATGCAGCCAACAAATATATGGAAAAAAAACTCAAAATCACTGATATTAGAGAAATGCAAATCAAAACCACAAGATACCATCTCACACCAGTCAGAATGGCAATTATTAAAAAGTCAATAAAAAAACAGATGCTGGTGAGGCTGTGGAGAAATAGGAATGCTTTTGGGAATGTAAATCAGTTCAACCACTGTGGCAGACAGTGTGGCAATTGCTCAAGGATCTAGAATCAGAAATACCTTTTGACCCAGCAATCCCATTACTAGGTATACACCCGAAGGAATATAAATCATCCTACTATAAAGACACATGCACACATATGTTTATTGCAGCATTATTTAGAATAAAAATCAAAGGAATATAAATCATTCTATGAAGACACATGCACACACATGTTTATTGCAGCATTATTTACAATATCAGTGTCATGGAACTAACCCAAATGCCGATCAATAATAGATTGAATAAAGAAAATGTGATATACATACACCATGAAATACTACGCAGCCATACAAATTAATGAGATCATGTCCTTTGCAGGAGCATGGATGAAGCTGGAAACAATCATCCTCAGCAAACTAATACAGGAACAGATAAGAAAATATTGCATGTTCTCACTCATAAGTGGGAGTTTAACAATGAGAATACATGGACACAGGGAGGGGAACAACACACACCAGGGACTGTTTGGGGGTGGAGGGTGAGGGGAAGGAACTTAGAGGACAGGTCAATAGGTGCAGCAAACCACCATGGCACATGTATAGCTATGTAACAAACCTGCACACTCTGCACATGTATCCCAGAACTTATAGTAAAATATATATGTATATATATACACATATATATACATATATACACATATATACGCGTATATATGTATATATACATATGCGTATATATACGTATACGCATATATGCGTATATATACGTATACGCATATATGCGTATATATACGTATACGCATATATGCGTACGTATACGCATATATGCGTATATATACGTATACACATATGCACATATGTGTATATATGTATATATGCACATATGTGTATATATGTATGTACATATACACATATATGTATGTATATATACACATATATGTATATATGTATACATGTATATATACACATATATGTATATATGTATACATGTATATATGTATATACACACATATGTGTATATGTGTATATGTGTATATGTGTATATACACACATATGTGTATATGTGTATATGTGTATATACACATATGTGTATATGTGTATATATGTGTGTGTATATGTATACATACACACATATGCATATATGTGTGTGTATATGTATACATACATATATGCATATATGTGTATATATGTATACATATATATGCATATATGTGTATATACGTATATACACACATACATGTATATGTGTATATATGTATATACACATATACATGTATATGTGTTTATATGTATATACACATATACATGTATGTGTGTATATATATGTAAATAAGGACATTAAAGACAGTGCAGATAAATGGAATGATATTCCAAGTTTATGAATTAGAAGGATTAATTAGCTTCATTATGATAATTTTAAAACATGTGTGTGTACCAAATTGTCATGTTGTAAACCTTAAATGTATGCTCTTTAACTGGAGAGTATTACTCAATAAAAATTGAAATAGAAAAAACAAACCCAACTAACTACTGGGTACTAAGCTCACTATCTGAGTGATGGGATCATTCATACCCTACACCTTAGCCTCATACAATATACCCAAGTAACAATCCTGCACATGTATCCCCCCGAATCTAAAATAGAAGTTTAAAAAAATAAATTTTGCCTTTGAATGCTACTGCCTGAGCAAATACCCTAATATTAGATCCATTGTATGCTGCATTATGCACTATATGGTTCTTTATAAAGCATTGAAAAATATCTTAAAGTATCCATTTTATAGACAAAGTTAAAAAACATCTTCAGAGAAAGGAATCATAGATTATCCTTGAAGCTACCAAGAATTAGCAAATAAGCCATGAATGTAGGTTAGAGTACTTAAATTCAGAACGTATACATTTAACATCCTTTCCTGTTTTTGTAGTGTCAAATAGAAACTGCTATCTGCTATATTATTCATACCTGAATGGCTGTCTTGGATGCTGGTGACTTCATTTCTGATTTATACAGTGGTCTACTAGTCAGCCAGAGTTATATGATCCAAGCCATTGGAACATGAACAGCAGTCCAAGCACTAAAGCATTTGATTCCGTGCTGTGGTTTTACTTAAAAGAAGTAAAACTCACTAATGTGCCATGGAAAACAAGAGTTCAGTTTCTAAACTCAGAGGCAATCAAACTTAAAAACTTTGGAAATAAGCACCAGAAATCTTGATAATAATAAGCACTTCTTCAGTTCTGCAAATTTGGCATCCATGTTGCTCTGCTTCTCTCTCATCTCTTGTACTTCAGCCATCATTCTCTGGAACACATTAGGGTAGATTCTGATATCCTCAATTTTAATTGTTGGCACCTAAAATGGAAACAGTACACTTGTATTGGTTAGAAATTTCACATACCGTCGGCTCTCCATTATGGGTACTAATGAAAGAGAAGAGGCATTATTAACCTAAAACAATAGACTAAATTTTACAAATGTACCTCTTTTATAGCACTAAGAAAAGAATGCCTCATAATAGTTATTACATACTTTCTCATCTCTCCTACTAATTTAAAAGAGGATTACAAATATAGTCTCTCCCATCCTTCCCCCCAATTCCCAGAACAATACCTTACATATAGTAGACCAACAATAAATGTTTACTTAATTAAGCATATATTTTTGAGTAAATTTTACACATTAAGAACTGTGAGGGGACTGCAAGGATTAATATGTCATAGTTTCTATCCCGAAATAATTGAAAATATCCTACAGTGAGAGAATATATATAATTACAGAAGATAGTAAAGAAATTAGATGTGACTTTTACAGGCAGGGAAGTGCATTATTTAGAAACAAACCTCATTCTGTTTAGACTTGACCTCTGACCTTTTCCCAGCTCTTCCCTTTTGGAAGTGATTATGAGTGGTGTTGGAGAGGAGGCTTTATCTCATGGGATAATCTACAGTGTGGTTAATTCTCAGAAACAATCCTAAGTATCCAAAGTAGGCTACAGTTTCATTTTATAGGCTAAGTAGGTTAGGAACATATTGAACTACGTGTTTCATAAAACGAAGCATCATGCTAGAGTTCTACAGTTAAATGCAGAATAATATCTGTAACAATGATGTAATTATTTCCACAGGTGGTGACTAAGCAGGCTTTAATGATTTGGACCTGCACTGCTTGAGTATGCCTATAAGATGCAATATTGTTACATTTAATAAATCTTTTAAAACGTCTTATTTTTTCAGAATCCCATGGTATAGGCAGAACAAAAATTTTCATTTAGTAAGTACAGATAAGTAACAACAATAAAACTTTAACAGAATAAAACAACACATCGCATTATCATATAATACTCTAACTTGAAAGCTTTACATTTTTCAACTACTGTAAGTAAGCCTAGGTTCTAGCTAGCAAATAACTATAGACTATAGGTACCTCAAATTTGAATGGGAAATGGAAATGGAAAATTCTAACTTGTTTTCATCTGCTGTAAATGTGTCTGTAGAATAAGCTCATCTGTCAAAGATCCCTCATGGAGTTAACATATCGGGAATGAAGGTTAGATATTTAGACATAAAAAGATGACTATATCTGAAAAGCAGTATGTAATAAATGACAAATGAATAGCACAGATAATAAATTTTATCAGCATTAAAAAGAGAGAGCAATCCCATTTGGAATGAACTAGATGTCTGTTTTGATTCTGTGATAATGAAATAATTGCCTGTAATCTGTTTAGGCCAGAGACCACTCCTTTATTTTGTAGAAGGCATATACCATTTCCCAAATATCAGTAAACAAATGGGCACAAAAGCTAACCAGCCAATGCAATACTAGAAAAAGCATTTGAAGTTTTTGTTTTCTTCTACAAGAAAATAGAAGAAAAATCTGGTATCTCCTTTAGTATGCTGATGGTCACTTGCACTTACTAATCGGATATGAAAATCATTGTTTCATATTTGGAAGCTTTAAACTCAAATTAAATATTGGTCAGTTCATATGTCTAAATATTATTCTCAGTGAGACCAACAAGATGAAGAGCTACGTAGACTCAGAGATGTCTGTACATGGCTCCTTTTTCAATGGGAATGGATAATGATTCATCTTAGTTACGTTTCTCCTTCTTCTTCTACCTCACATAATGAAGAAGGTTATTACAAGGTCACAACAACTAAAACAAAGACCATAATGCTTTTGTATTATGAAAAAAGTGCACTGTGAACCAAGTTTCGTCTATTCCAGTGGTTCTTCACTCTTTGGTCTTATGGCCCCTTAACACTCTTAAAACTTTTTAGGAACTCCAAAAACTGTGTTTATATGGGTTGTATCTATCAATATTTACAATATTAAAATTTAAAACTAATAAAAATTTTGAATACAAATTTCTTTAAAAATTATAATAATATGAACATTATATGTTAACATTAGAATTACATTATAAGACATTATGTATCCTTTGGAAAATTCTACTGTACTTATTAGAGAATGAAGAGTGATAAAAGGCTACTGATGTCTTGGTATTATTATAAAAATAATTCTGAACTCACATATCCCATGAAATGTCTTGAGACCCCCATGGGTTCACAAATCATGCTTTGAGAACCACTGATCTAATTTATATTCCAAATACTTCCGGTTTTGCTTTTTGTCTCTAACTTCCAATACATAGACATCATCTGAATATAAGGTTCATGCAAAATATCAACATACACAGACATCTCATAAGTGAAAAACTGTGTTACTATTGACTTATAAGCAGCTCTGGGGGTGGGCAGGCAGGTTCAGCAGATATTTTGCTTATTAAGAAAAATATCAAAATAAAGTTATGGCTTCATAACTATTCCTAGTCTCATATGCCTACATTTTTCTTTTTCTTTTTCTTTTTTCTTTTTTTTTTTTTGAGACAGAATCTCACTCTGTCGCCCAGGCTGGAGTGCAGTAGCACTATTTTGGCTCACTGCAAACTCTGCTTCCTGATTTTAAGTGATTCTTGAGCCTCAGCCTCCCAAGTAGCTGAGATTACAGGCATGTGCCACCAAGCCCAGCTAATTTTTGTATTTTTAGTAGAGATGAGATTTCGCCATGTTGTCCAGGCTGTTCCAGAACTCCTGGTCTCAAGTGATCCACCCGCCTTGGCCTCCCAAAGTGCTGGGATTACAAGCGTGAGCCACCGTGGCCGGCCCTGCCTACTTTCTAAAATATTATATCCCCATCTACATGGGAATACGACAGGTGATAAAATGTGCCTTTGGAAGAGTGGTCATAAATTTTTGGATAAATTGATATCTAAAGGTCATCTTTCCAGAGAACTAGAAATGAATTTCCAGCTAGTGCCAGTGACTTGACGCTTAAGACTTAGAGAAATAGTAAAATGTTTAGATGAAGGAAAGACCTGGCTGCAACCCAAATGCTATGGAAAAAATGTTTGTTAAGAGTCCCCCTACCTCGTGCTTGATATTTTGCAGAAGGCTGGTTTCCTCCATTTTGAAGAATGGATGCTGAAATTCCATTAGTTACTTTCTTCCGGCCAGTTGCACCATTTTCCAATGCAATCACTTTTCAGAAACCACGTAATAAAACAAAAATGAAAACAAAACAAAAAAACAACAAAAATAACAAAGGTAATAAAATAGACTGTTGACAGGAGAGCTAAAAAGATCAGAATAAATAAGTCATACTGAAAAATATTTGACTGCTACAAAGTACTAAATTTGTGCTTAATAATAGTCAAACTAATTTCAAATTTGGAAACTAAGATCACAGTAACTTATAATTGAAATGTATGTATAATCCTTAAGCCTTATTTTACCCAATAGCTTCAACTTTCTGCAACACCCACTATACTACATTTCATCTAAGGATTATGGAGTGTGAACAAAATTAACTGATTTGAATTCCTTTTTTTGTTTTTGTTTTTATTTTTTATTATACTTTAACTTCTAGGGTACATGTGCACAACGTACAGGATTGTTACATATGTATACATGTGCCGTGTTGGTTTCCTACATCCATTAACTCGTCATTTACATTAGGTATTTCTCCTAATGCTCTCCCTCTCCTATCCACCCACCCTATGAAAGGCCCCAGTGTGTGATGTTCCCTGCCCTGTGTCCAAGTGTTCTCATTGTTCAATTTCCAACTATGAGTGAGAACATGCAGTGTTTGGTTTTCTGTCCTTGTGATAGTTTGCTGAGAATGATGGTTTCCAGCTTCATCCATGTTGCTACAAAGGACATGAACTCATCCTTTTTTATGGCTGCATAGTATTCCATGGTGTATATGTGCCACATTTTCTTAATCCAGTCTATCATTGAGGGACATTTGGGTTGGTTCCAGGTCTTTGCTATTGTGTATAGTGCCACAATAAACATACGTGTGCACGTGTCTTTATAGTGGTATGATTCATAATCCTTTGGGTATATACCCAGTAATGGGATGGCTGGGTCAAATGGTATTTCTAGTTCTAGATCCTTAAGGAATTGCCACATTGTCTTCCACAATGGTTGAACTAGTTTACAGTCCCACCAACAGTGTAAAAGTGTTCCTATTTCTCCACAACCTCTCCAGCATCTGTTGTTTCCTGACATTTTAATGATCGCCATTCTAACTGGGGCGACATGGTATCTCACTGTGGTTTTGATTTGCGTTTCTCTGATGATCAGTGATGATGAGCATTTTTTCATGTGTCTGTTGGCTGCATAAATGTCTTCTTTTGAGAAGTGTCTGTTCATATCCTTTGCCCACTTTTTGATGGGGTTGTTTGAATTTTTCTTGTAAATTTGTTTGAGTTCTTTGTAGATTCTGGATATTAGCCCTTTGTCAGATGAGTAGGTTGCAAAAATTTTCTCCCATTTTGTAGGTTGCCTGTTCACTCTGATGGTAGTTTCTTTTGCTGTGCAGAAGCTCTTTAGTTTAATTAGATCCCATTTGTCTATTTTGGCTTTTGTTGCCATTGCTTTTGGTGTTTTAGACATGAAGTCCTTGCCCATGCCTATGTCCTGAATGGTATTGCCTAGGTTTTCTTCTAGGGTTTTTATGGTTTTAGGGCTAACATTTAAGTCTTTAATCCATCTTGAGTTAATTTTAGTATAAGGTGTAAGGAAGGGATCCAGTTTCAGCTTTCTACATATGGCTAGCCAGTTTTCCCAGCACCATTTATTAAATAGGGAATCCTTTCCCCATTGCTTGTTTTTGTCAGGTTTGCCAAAGATCAGATGGTTGTAGATGTGTGGCGTTATTTCTGAGGCCTCTGTTTTGTTCCATTGATCTATATCTCTGTTTTGGTACCAGTACCATGCTGTTTTGTTTACTGTAGCCTTTTAGTATAGTTTGAAGTCAGGGTAGTGTGATGCCTCCAGCTTTGTTCTTTTGGCTTAGGATTGTCTTGGCAATGCGGGCTCCTTTTTGGTTCCATATGAACTTTAAAGTAGTTTTTTCCAATTCTGTTGAAGAAAGTCATTGGTAGCTTGATGGGGATGGCATTGAATCTATAAATTATTTTGGGCAGTATGGCCATTTTCATGATATTGATTCTTCCTATCCATGACCATGGAATGTTCTTCCATTTGTTTGTGTCCTCTTTTACTTCATTGAGCAGTGGTTTTTAGTTTTCCTTGAAGAAGTCCTTCACATCCCTTGTAAGTTGGATTCCTAGGTATTTTATTCTGTTTGAAGCAATTGTGAATGGGAGTTCACTCATGATTTGGCTTTCTGTTTGTCTATTATTGGTATATAAGAATGCTTGTGATTTTTGAACATTGATTTGGAACCTGAGACTGCTGAAGTTGCTTATCAGCTTAATGAGATTTTGGGCTGAGATGATGGTGTTTTCTAAATATGCAATCATGTCATCTGCAAACAGGGACAATTTGACTTCCTCTTTTCCTATTTGAATACCCTTTATTCAATCAGGCAATCAGAATTGCCTGATTGCCCTGGCCCGAACTTCCAACACTATGTTGAATAGTAGTGGTGAGAGAGGGCATCCCTCTCTTGTGTCAGTTTTCAAAGAGAATGCTTCCAGTTTTTGCCCATTCAGTGTGATACTGGCTGTGGGTTTGTCAGAAATAGCTCTTCTTATTTTGAGATACAATCCATCAATACCTAGTTTATTGAGAGTTTTTAGCATGAAGGGCTGTTGAATTTTATCGAAGGCCTTTTCTGCATCTATGGAGATAATCATGTGGTTTTTGTCTTTGGTTCTGCTTATGTGATGGATTACATTTATTGATTTGCATATGTTGAATCAGCCTTGCATCCCAGGGTGAAGCCAACTTGATCTTGGTGGATAAGCTTTTTGATGTGCTGCTGGATTTGGTTTGCCAGTATTTTATTGAGGATTTTTACATTGATGTTCATCAGGGATATTGGTCTAAAATTCTCTTTTTTTTGTTGTGTCTCTGCCAGGCTTTGGTATCAGGATGATGCTGGGCTCATAAAATGAGTTAGGGAGGATTCTCTCTTTTTCTATCGATTGGAATACTTTCAGAAGGAATGGTACTGGCTCCTGTTTGTACATCTGGTAGTATTCGGCTGTGGATCCATCTGGTCCTGGACTTTTTTTGGGTGGTAGGCTACTAATTATTGCCTCAATTTCAGAGCCTGCTGTTGGTCTATTCAGTGATTCAACTTCTTCCTGGCTTAGTGTTGGGAGGGTGTATGTGTCCAGGAATTTATCCATTTCTTCTAGATTTTCTAGTTTATTTGTACAGAGGTGTTTATAGTATTTTCTGATGGTAGTTTGTATTTCTGTGGGATCGGTGGTGATATCCCCTTTATCATTTTCTATTGTGTCTATTTGATTCTTCTCTCTTTTTTTCTTTATTAGTCTTGATAGCGATCTATTTTGTTGATCTTTTCAAAAAAATAGCTCCTGGATTCATTGATTTTTTTTTGAAGGGTTTTTTGTCTCTATTTCCTTCAATTCTGCTCTGATCTTAGTTATTTCTTGCCTTCTACTAGCTTTTGAATTTGTTTGCTCTTGCTTCTCTAGTTCTTTTAATTGTGATGTTAGGGTGTCAATTTTAGATCTTTCCTGCTTTCTCTTGTGGGCATTTAGTGCTATAAATTTCCCTCTACACACTGCTTTAAATGTGTCCCAGAGATTTTGGAATGTTTTGTCTTTGTTCTCATTGGTTTCAAAGAACATATTTATTTCTGCCTTCATTTCTTTATTTACCCAGTAGTCATTCAGGTGCAGGTTGTTCAGTTTCCATGTTGTTGTGCGGTATTGACTGAGTTTCTTAATCCTGAGTTCTAATTTGATTGCACTGTGATCTGAGAGACAGTTTGTTGTGATTTCTGTTCTTTTACATTAGCTGAGGAGAGCTTTACTTCCAACTATGTGGTCAATTTTGGAGTAAGTGTGATGTGGTGCTGAGAAGAGTGTGTATTCTGTTGATTTGGGGTGGAGAGTTCTGTAGATGTCTATTAGGTCCGCTTGGTGCAGAGCTGAGTTCAAGTTCTGGATATCCTTGTTAACCTTCTGTCTCATTGATCTGTCTAATATTGACAGTGAGGTGTTCAAGTCTCCCATTATTATTGTGTGGGAGTCTAAGTCTCTTTGTAGGTCTCTCAGAACTTGCTTTATGAATCTGGGTGCTCTTGTATGGGGTGCATATATATTTAGGATAGTTAGCTCTTCTTGTTGAATTGATCCCTTTACCATTATGTAATGGCCTTCTTTGTCTCTTTTGATCTTGGTTGGTTTAAAGTCTGTTTTATCAGAGACTAGGATTGCAACCCCTGCATTTTTTTGCTTTCCATTTGCTTGGTAGATCTTCCTCCATCCCTTTATTTTGAGCCTATGTGTGTCTCTGCATGTGAGATGGGTCTCCTGAATACAGCACACTGATGAGTCTTGACCCTTTATCCAATTTGCCATTCTGTGTCTTTTAATTGGGGTGTTTAGCCCATTTACATTTAAGGTTAGTATTGTTATGTGTGAATTTTAACCTGTCATTATGATGTTAGCTAGTTATTTTGCCCATTAGTTGATGCAGTTTCTTCCTAGCCTCGATGGTCTTTACAATTTGGCATGTTTTTGCAGTGGCTGGTACTGGTTATTCCTTTCCATGTTTAGTGCTTCCTTCGGAAGCTCTTGTGAGGCAGGCCTGGTGGTGACAAAATCTCTCAGCATTTGCTTGTCTGTAAAGTATTTTATTTCTCCTTCACTTTTGAAGCTTAGTTTGGCTGGTTATGAAATTCTGGGTTGAAAATTATTTTCTCTAGAATGTTGAATATTGGACCCCACTCTCTTCTGGTTTGTAGGGTTTCTGCTGAGAGATCCGCTGTTAGTCTGATGGGCGTCCCTTTGTGGGTAACCCAACCTTTATCTCTGGCTGCCTTTAACTTTTTTTCCTTCATTTCAACCTTGGTGAGTCTGACAATTATGTGTCTTGGTGTTGTTCTTCTCAAGGAGTATCTTTCTGGCATTCTCTGTATTTCCTTAATTTCAGTGTTGACCTGCTTGGTTGGGGAAGTTCTCCTGAATAATATCCTGAAGAGTGTTTTTCAGCTTGGTTCCATTCTCCTCGTCACTTTCACGTACACCAATCAAACGTAGATTTGATCTTTTCACATAGTCCCATATTTCTTGGAGGCTTTGTTCATTTCTTTTTATTCTTTTTTCTCTAAACTTCTCTTCTCACTTCATTTCATTCATTTGATCTTCCATCACTGATACCCTTTCTTCCACGTGATTGAATTGGCTACTGAAGCTTGTGCATGCATCACATATTTCTTGGACCACGGTTTTCAGCTCCACCAGGTCATTTAAGGCCTTCTCTACACTGTTTACTCTGGTTAGCCATTCATATAATCTTTTTTTCAAGGTTTTTAGCTTCCTTGTGATGGGTTCAAACATTCTCCTTTAGCTGGGGGAAGTTTGTTATTACCGACTTTCTGAAGCCTACTTCTGGGAATTCATCAAAGTCATTCTCTGTCCTACTTTGTTCCGTTGCTGGTGAGGAGCTGTGATCCTTTGGAGGGGAGGGGTGCTCTGCATTTTAGGATTTTCAGCTTTTCTGCTCTGGTTTCTCCCCATCTTTGTGGTTTTATCTACCTTTGGTCTTTGATGATGGTGACCTACAGATGGACTTTTGGTGTGGATATCCTTTTTGTTGATGTTGATGCTATTCCTTTCTGTTTGTTAGTTTTCCTTCTAACAGTCAGGACCCTCAGCTGCAGGTCTGTTGGAGTTTGCTGGAGGTCCACTCCAGACCATGTTTGCCTGGGTATCACCAGTGGAGGCTGCAGAATAGGAAATATTGTTGCCTGATCCTTCCTCTGGAAGCTTCGTCTCAGAGAGGCACCCAGTTGTATGAGGTGTGAGTCAGCCCCTACTGGCAGGTGTCTCCCAGTTAGGCTACACGGGGGTCGGTGACCCACTTGAGGAGGCAGTCCGTCCGTTCTCAGAGCTCAAACTCTATGCTGGGAGAACCACTGCTCTCTTCATAACTGTCAGACAAGGACGTTTAAGTCTGCAGAGGTTTCTGCTGCATTTTTTTCAGCTATGCCCTGCCCCCAGAGGTGGAGTCTACAGAGGCAGGCAGGCCTCGTTGAGCTGAGGTGAGCTCCACCCAGTTCGAGCTTCCTGGTGGCTTTGTTTACCTACTCAAGCCTCAGCAATGGCAGATGCCCCTCCCCCAACCCCGGCTGCTGCCTGCAGTTCAATCTTGGATTGCTGCACTAGCAGTGAGCAGGCTCTGGGTGTGGGACCCCCCACCCCGGGCCAGGCATGGGATATAATCTCCTGGTGTGCCATTTGCTAAGACCATTGGAAAAGCACAGTATTAGGGTGGGAGTGTCCAGATTTTCCAGGTACCATCTGTCACAGCTTCCCTTGGCTAGGAAAGGGAAATCCCTGACCCCTTGCACTTCCTGGATGAGGTGACACCCCACCCTGCTTCACCTCACCCTCAGTGGGCTTCACCCACTGTGCAACCAGTCCCAGTGAGAAGAACCAGGTACCTCAGTTGGAAATGCAGAAATCACCCACCTTCTGTGTCGATCATACTGGGAGCTGCAGACTGGAGCTGTTCCTATTCAGCCATCTTGGAACCCAAAGCGTGACTTAACTGATTTGAATTTCATCTCCTTTTAATGCTCTGCTCACTCTTTGGAAATGATGTAAATAAAGGTAGTATGAGAAAGAAGAAACAAAGAGACTTGAAGAGATGACAATCTAGATCACCTGCCTCTGAATAAACAAGAATTGGAGGCATTGCATATGCATATGTATGTATTTTAATGTAAGAAGAAAGTCACAACAATGACTACATAACTAATCCAGAGAAAGCTAAGTGGGTATCAGTAAGATACTTCTTAAAATGCAAGGAACTGCTACTTTCCAGGTGCAGTCTGGTTTATCTTAAGAGTGAGTCAGGAAAGGATGGTAACCAAGCATAATGAGGTACTTTGAAATGTTTGTTGAAACTAGATGTGGCTTACCTATCCTGTTCCTTTAAGCTCATGTAGGAATCTGGATTAATGAACACACACAGAGTTTCATAGTTCACAGAAACTAAGTAAGGAAAGAAGCAAAGTATACCAGTAGCTGTTAGCCAGAGTATGTATACATGAAAATACTATTTCAGAAATATTGTTTCTTCATGTGTTAAGAAGTCTAACTTTCCCTTTGTGCCTTCTCTCAGGAAGGCATTGGTTTCCAAAGACATGCAGGGAGATTCTGTCTTATTCCGGTTTATGAGCAGTGTTTTTTAAATGCCCTGATGAGGATATGAATCACATTCTTTATACCATCATAATCTAGCAACAAAACTTGGCATAGAATTCTTCTTCTTGGGCTTAAAATACCACTCATAACTGTTTTTGCTGAAAATTAAAAGGGAACTTTTTATCTCATATTTGAAACATAAGTCACAAGAATGACTAACATTTATGCTTTAAATTATTAATCCTAGTTTTCAGAATTTTATTATTATAAAGATCACTGTACTTTAAGTGATAAGATATTAAACTTACTCTGTGTCGAGCATGAGGAATCTCAATGTACTTTGCTAGGAAGAAAGCTACAGCTGAATTCTAACCAAAAGCAACCTCAACTTTATAAGTACTTCCTTTGAAATATTAGACACTAGGCCTTCATGTGTCAATTCATGTGAGTAGTGACTACTTTCTTTCTGGGGCGTAATCAGCTTCTATTTCCTGGATAACCTAGGGCAATAAATAAAATGTTCTTGCTATGGAAAAAGCTACAAATGAGACTACATTGTTCAATCTTCAAATTCCTCCAGAGACTCAAACTGGATATGGGAAGAAAACGTATTTTTTTCTTTGATCTTTTATTAGGTTCTATATCACTCTATCTCTTTTTCTTATTTTTCTTTAGTAGTTTTCCCCCTTTTATCTTTAAACATAAACCCCTCTATCTTCTCTACATTTATTTGAGCTACCTCGTATGCAATACTTTAAACACATGCGTGAGAATTCCTCTCTGAATTTTGAATTCTTGAATCCTATCCAACTTATATTTTGTCCCAAGGAGATATTACAGTCTACTCACTCTCTTTGGTACCCCGCCCTTCCAAAGGACGGTCAGGATCCTCCTGAATAGATCATACACTTTTGGTCTGAAGTTTGTATGCATACTCTATCTGATTATACTTCCCTGAAATATACCGTGGGGCATTTTCTAGAGGGCATCTGTCCTACATGATAAAGCATGTTATGCGTAGTCCAGGCACCCTGCTGATATTCACTAAGAATAATAATTTCATGGGAATTTTCTAGTCTAGGAAAATCATAATTTGCTTTTTAATAAAAACTCTCCCTCAGGTTTTCTTGACACATGTGTCAAAGGTAAAAATACTTTAGGTAAACAGAGCCCGACATCCCGCACCCCCAGCTTTGGGGTGAAAGGGGTTAAACAAGGGCAGCTGCAAATCTATGCCTAACCAATAGGGGGAGTTGCCAGAATATATTTTATAAGGGGACATATTTCTTTCAGGAATTACTTTCTGAAGCATTACTTCTCCCCCATGTGGTGAAAGGTTTAACTTTCATTTCTAATTCCCGCATCCTCTATTAGAGGAGATAATATAAAAGTTATGACTTAGGATTCTTTTTTTTTATTGAAGATCCACTTTTTAAAAATAAAGATATATTATTTCTCAATTTAGAATACATTTAAAACCAAACAAGCTAACATATATCCCCATGGCCATTCCACTCTAAAACTTTTAATTTTCTTATTTATCCATTTAACAAACATTTACTGAACACAACTCCATCTCAGGTAGTTGGCTAGGCTCTGTGGAGGATGAACAGGCCAATGAGATGCAATTTCTGTCTTCAAGAAGCTAATAATTTAGCAGGAAATACAAATACCTTCATGACTACTGTTAACACAACATGATTGAATACTGGAGTAAGGACCATAAAAAGTGTTTGGGAGAATACAGGAGGAAATAGTGAATTATGCCTGCGGTGGTTGGGGATATATCATATATCTCCACAAGAAACCTCACAAAATAGAAAAATTCAGACTTGTTTTTCTAGAAAACTTGTCACAGGAATAAAAATTCTCCCACAGAATTCCATAGGAAGAAAATGTGCATCAGGATATTTGATGAATCTCATATATATTGCTTTATTAAAAAAAAACCCTGCTAACCTGTTGAACACAGAAAATGAAAAAAAATGAAAAAGGCTAACTCATTTGAGAGTGAATGATCATCAGCCGATGTAGTTTTCCTTAACATCTGTACATTCCCAGAGAATAAAGCCATGAGAAATAAATGCTGCTATTGAAGAAAGGTGATTCTAAAGCAGAGGTTTCTGAAACTTGTCTATAACATTCAACAAATGATTTGTCTGTAACTTATCTATAAAACAGACAATTCAATGATTAGCAAATGTGTGATAAATATTATAAAAACAACACTGTAGCCTATCTACACTCCTTCATAGTTCCTGCTTTAGAGATGAGTAACGTCCCCTTGCCAATATCCCTCTTCTAAGAATATGCAACTTTTTAAAAGGGAGACATACATATCCAAATAACCACAATAAAGTCAGGCTATAATAAAGTGTGGAGTGGGGGAAATGGGGTGTCATTGCTAATCAGCAGGGGATTTCCTTTGGTGTGATGGAAATATTCTAGAATTAGATTGTAATTATGGTTGCACCACTGTGTGTATACTAAATATGATAGAATTGACCACTTTAAATGGGTGAATTGTATAGTATGTGAATTAAATCTCAGTAAAAAAATCAGGCTGTGATAAGCACTGTGTTTGTCTTATAAATGAAGCACGGTGGGCATTTGTGAAAAGAGATTAATTCTGACTGGGGTATATGAGACTTCTAGAGGGAGGTAAAATTTGAGCTGGGACTTGAAAGATGAAAACTCTGGTAAGCAAATACTAGGAATGAAGTTGGGAAGAAAGGGCAGTCCAGGAAAGGAAATGGCTTGATGAAAGGCATTGATATAGGAAAGTTAATGGCAGTGTTATACAAATTGTGGTCCGTGGAATGATGCTTGTCTGCAAACCATTTGTTATTGGTTGTTGATCACATAAGTATAAAAACTGAGAGTAGTTCCTTAGAAACTTATATAGTAACGTGACATTGTTGTTACATCCAAACATCATCATTTTTTCTAATAATCCATTCTTATATTTCATAAAGTATTGATTTGTGATAGATCAGAACTTAAAAAAAATGTCCTTCACCATAGTCAGTTTGAGAAACAATGGTATAAGGCATGAAAAGAGAATAACTACCCTGTGTGGTGAAAAGATGTGTGTGTGTCTGTAACACACACACACACACACACACACACACACGCAACATGAATGAGAACAGAGGTGAGGTAAGAAGGAATAAAAAACAGAGGATAAGGCTGAACTGTCGAAGAATGTAAATGTCAGATACAGATGCTGGACTTATTTCATGTACTGTGGTGGGAATCAGCTGAGAGTTTTGAATAAGAATGACACAGTCTGGTCAGGTGCAGTGGCTCACACCTGTAATCACAACACCTTGGAGGCCAAGGCAGGAGGATAGCTTGAGCCCAGGAGTTTAAGGCCAGCCTGGGCAACATAGTGAGACCCCCATCCCTACAAAAAATTAAAAGTAAAAAAACAAACCTATGGTCCCAGCTACTCGGGAGGCTGAGGCAGGAGGATCACTTGAGTACTAGAGGTGGATGCTGCAGTCAGCTGTGATTGTGCTATTGCATTCCAGCTTGGGCTACAGAACAAGACTCTGTCTCAAAAATAAAAAAAAAATAGAAAAGAAACAGATTATATTTTGAAAAGTTAAAACAGACAGTAATAGGTATCACTAATTAGAACAAGCAATATTTATAATTTATTAGAAAGGGTTAAAGGTTGGAATACTAAGAAACTACTCTTGGACAGTGAGAAAGTGGAAAGGAGGGGCACAAGGAAAAATAGGAGCTTGCTAATCTTTCCTACATAAGCACTAAGAAAATTAGACTATATAAAACATCAATAAGCAGTTGACTGGATTCTAAGAATATGGATGACTTCCCCCCTCCTTTTGTGGTTTTATTTTCTAAATTTTCTTAACTGGTCATATGTCAACTTTACACACACACACACACGCACACACACACACACACAGTAATCTTTAAAGAGAAGACTATTACATTTCTTACTGACTATCCTATTAGTCAAGCTGCATTTTCTTACCATTGACCTCGACTAATTTACTGTAATTTCTCATTCTTAAAATAGTGGGGAGTATTTTTTCTATCTATGAGCCACAACAATAACCACTGAATTCAAAAATTTTATAAAAAGAATATATGTTACTATAAAACAAATTAGTTTAGAAATGTGAAATATTATGGAAGAGTAAGAATTCAATGCACTATTTCTATTTGAAGCTTCTATTAATTTGGTATATATACTTTTATGTATTTCTCAATTATTTGTAATGGTAACACAAAAATCATGTATTAATAGAAAAAAGGGGTTTTGGGCAGCAGTAGAACTCATATATGTGCAGTGTCAGACCTTAAATTCCGAAGATCTGAGAGAGGAAGATAATTCACTTTTACTCAAAGTAATGGAGTCCAGACCTGACTTCTCTAGCATTATGACCTGGCACAAGTATATTTAATCTTCTTGGGCTCCATTCCTAAGCTGTAATATAACAGAATAGAACTTGATAAATTCAGTTCCATTCAGCTCTAAGATTCTATAACTCAAAAGGATTAATGCAGATCTTTTTCCAGAAATATTTTTTTTTCTTTATTTCTTCTAAAAAAAGAAAGGGTGGGGGGATACATGTGCAGAGCGTGAGGGTTTGTTACATAGGTATTTGTGTGCCATGCTGGTTTGCTGCACCTATTGACCTGTCCTCTAAGTTCTCTCTCCTCATCCCCCACCCCACAGCAGGTCCTGGTGTGTGTTATTCCACTTTCTGTGTCAATGTGTTCTCATTGTTCAAGTCCCACTTATGTGAGAACATGCGGTGTTTGGTTTTCTATTCGTGTTTGCTGAGGATGAAAGGAAATTTTTGTTTGGAACCCCAATCACTAAAATTGGTTTCCCAATCGATAAACCAAACTAAGTAGAATTTCAATAATAAACTGTTGTAATAGCCCCCACTCAACTCAGAGTGATATTCATATGTTTAAAAAAACAGTTAACTTTTCTGCAATATTCCACTGAATTATAATAATGCTTGCAGAAATAAAACAGTCATACTTACACATGTTGAGCTGTCGGAAGCTGGTCATATTATTTTGCTTCAAATATTTTGGAAAGTCTTTGGCAAAGGTTTGTTCATTCATAATATGAAAGCTCTGACCATACTAGAAATAAGGGAACACCAAACAATGGTCTTGAAATGTTGCAATGAAGTTTCAACAAAGCAACAATTCAACAACAATGCATCAGAAGCCATAAACTTCAAAGACTTGTGCAAATGTATAGCCAAAAATTGTTATCAAAATACTCTCCTATAGAGACAGAATTTGCCACAGAGAAAAACCATTAAAAAATGTAATGGATTTGACCACAAAAAAAACCTATGTACATGAATACCATAAATTAAAAAATAAAATATAAACAAAATTAAAAGGTAAAATACAAAATGGGGAAATATTTTCAACACATATAACAAAGAACTACTATTGTTAGCATGCAATAAGCTCTTATAAATTACTAAAAGACAAAAACTCCATTAGAAAAAAAAAATGGACAAAGACATAGAGAGGCAATTCAAATAATCAGCCAGTTAAGGTTTGGGAAAACGTGGTCAAAATGCAAGTTGTAACAGCAATGAGCTATAATCCTTTGCATATCAAATTGGCAAAGATTGAAAACAATGTTAATCTCCAGTGTTGGCACATTGGTGAGAGTTCAAATAAACAGGCAACCACACTCTAGTGGTGGGAATTTAACATCTCTAACAATATTTATATAAAACCTTAAGATATTCAATCTTTGGCTTAGAAACCTCATTTCAAGTATGTATGGGGACTAATTATGGATATGTGTCAAGATTCAGCTATAAGCTATTACTTACTTAAATAGTTGTATGTAATATGAAAAACTGGAAACAACCTAAATACTATAAAATTAGTTGCATGAAAAATACTATAAAATTAGTTGCATGAAAAATTAAGCTGTATAAGAATGCTAATGAATGTCAATATTCATAATATATTTTAAGTAAAAAAAGAAACTTTCCAGGTAGTATAAAATAAAATAAATTATTTTATAAATAAAAATACCCACATTCACAAAGTAATAGGACACAAAATGTTGACAGTGGTTATCACTAGATGATAATATAAACATTAATATTTTTTGCTTACTTCGATTTTCTAAATTTTCTACAACAAGCATATAATACTGTGATAAAAACCTATTTTAAAAGTAGGCAAAGTGATTATATACACACATATGGTACATATTGCTCATTCTCTTAAATTATAAATTTAATATATTTGAAATTATAATGAAATAAAATGACAAATATTATGTTGTGTAAATTTCATTGTCCACTTGAATTAAGATTAAAAAAAAACAGCTTATCTGTCACTTCTCCATATTACCTAACATAACATTTAGTTATGTCTTTACAGGTTAAATGGATCATCATAATCCCAAAAGGCACCAGAGGACAAATCCAGGATTTTTTAAATTTCATTAGTTTTGGGGGTACAGGTGGTTTTTGGTTACATGAATGAGTTCTTTAGTGGTGAATGCTGAAATTTTACTATACCCGTCATCTGAGAAGCACACACTATGCCCGATATATAGTCTTTCATCCCATATCCCCTTTCCAAACTCCACCCCTACGAGGCTCCAAAGTCCAGTATATCACTCTGTATGTCTTTGCATCCTCATAGCTTAGCTCCCACTTATAAGTGAGAATATACAGTATTTGGTTTTCCATTTCTGAGTTACTTCACTTAGAATAATGGCCTTCAGCTCCATCCAAGTTGTTGCAAATGACATTATTCCATTCCTTTTTATGGCTGAGTAGTATTTCATGGTGTATATACACTACATTTTCTTTATCCACTCCTTGGTTGATAGGCACTTAGGTTGGTTCTATATCTTTGCCATTGTGAATTGTGCTGCTATAAACATGCGTGTACATATGTCTTTTTCACGTGTAATGACTTATTTTTCTTTGGGTAGATACCTAGTTGTGGGATTGCTGGATCGAAAGATAATTCTGCTTTAATTTTTAAAGGAATCTCCATAGTGTTTTCTATAGTAGTTGTACAAACTTACATTCCCACCAGCAGTGTAAAAGTGTTTTATTTTCACCACATCCACACCAACATCTATTGTTTTTTTGACTTTTTAATTATGGCCATTCTTGCAGGAGTGAAGTGGTATCACACTGTGGTTTTGAATTGTATTTCCCTGATGATTAGTGATGTTGAGTATTTTTTTCATATGTTTGTTGGCTGCTTGTTTATCTTCTTTTGACAAATGTCTATTCATGTTCTTTGCCCACTTTTGGGTGGGATTTTTTGTTGTTGTTGTTGCTGGTTTGTTTGAGTTCCTTGTAGATTCTGTTTTTTTTTTTTTTTTTTTTTTTTTTTTTTTTTTTTTTTTTTCAGATGCATACTTTCTGAATATTTTCTCCCACTCTGTGGGTTGTCCCACTCTCTGGGTTGTATACTCTTTTGATTACTTCTTTTCCTGTGCAGAAGCTTTGTAGTTTAATTAGGTCCCAATTATTTATTTTTGTTTTTGTTGCATTTGCTTTTGATATCTTAGTCATTAATTATTTGCCTAAGGCAATGTCTAGAATAATTTTTCCAATGTAATCTTCTAGAATTTTTGTGGTTTCATGTCTTAGATTTAAGTCTTTGATCCATCTTGAGTTGATTTTTGTGTAAGGTGAGAGATGAAGATATAGTTTCATTCTTCTACTTGTGGCTTGCCAGTTTTCCCAGCACCGTTTTTTAACTGTGTACAGAAAAGTTGTTGCCAAATACATATATATCTATTTTCAAGATGATTAAATGATGGAAAAATCCTCATGACTCTTAAATTGAAGTTTGTGTATAGATGTGATGTAAAATGAGTACAATGTTATAGGGACAACTTACTTTGGCAGTAATTCAGTACAGAGAAAGCTAGAATACAGAGCAGAAAAAAGAGTGGCCTGGCAACAAGGAGACCATGGTTGCTTCTAATGCTAGACCAACTCCTTTCTTTTTCTGGGGGCTCAGTTCCCTTCCAGGTACAAAGGGTTTGTGACCACTAGGTAATCTGAAGGCTGCTCTTTTGAGGCCACTCCTTCTACCTTTTGGTAAGCTTTATATAATCCTTTTGGAGTTGTGGTATCTTTATCTCTTCATAAAATTAAGTCTCTAATGAACTTTTTCATTCACTCTCAGCACAGTGACGCATATGTAGTAGTCACTCAATACGTGTTTGTTAACTGCTGCTTTTGTTAGTATTTAGCTCTCACAAAGCTCATTTTGATGTCTAAACTCTTTGGTCTGTAGATAGGCAAACTGTCTTCTCTTTGGTCCTTACTGGATACATCAGCCTATTCTATTCATGTCAAACATGACACTTCTTTTAAAATTACCTTATGGATTCTGTTTTACTGTCTATACTTTCATCATCTTGACCTTTTTGTAGAGATCTTCTCTACTTGTATTTATTTTAGAATAAACAAGTGTTTATATTAGTATCTTAATTGGTTTGGTCACCACTGAGTCCCTTAATTGGGGATTACTCATGTCAGTCCATCTACTGTAGAGGTGCTCCAGGCATCTCTCTGGGGTCTATTCCCTCATCTCTGAGTTAAGTTAGAGCAGGACTTGCAATTGGAGGATGATTAACAAGATGACCTAATAGCCCTGGTTCAGACTTGGCTAGAAAATTCCCAAGTTTCACATGTACCACTCATGTTTCATTGATTTTTATTTTCAAAAGCAATAACTAAAAAATACAAATGCAGTCAATAAATATTTGTAGAAATTTTTATACAGTTGATCATTTGCATTAAGAATCACGTTTAGAATAGTCTGAATTTTCTCAAGGACTTAATGATCATATCTTTGGTGGGAGATGACAACCACCCCGCACTCCCTTACACACATACACTGGGTTTCTGGGGCAAGAAAATTGACTGATTACTCATTGTCTAGAAGTGCAATATTGTCAATGCTTGAGACTACCAAGAACATTCAGTAAAACTTGTTTGCAATACTGTTGACTATTGAGAAGGGAGAGTATGTTAGTTTTCTAAGGATGCTGTAACAAATTTCCACAAACTGTGTGACTTAAAATAACATAAATTTATTCTTCACAGTTCTGGAGGTTAGAAGTGTGAAATCAAGGTGTCAACATGCCCTCTTTGAAGGCTTTAGGAAATAGTCCTTATTCATCTCTGCTAGCTTCTGGGGGCTGTTGGCAATTCTTTCTAATATCTGGCTTTTAGATGCATCATCACTTCAATCTCTGCCTCTGACTTCACATTGCATTTTTTCCTATGTGTCAGTGTCTCTGTGTCTGGGTTAGGGCTACCAGTCATTGGGTTAGGGCCTACTCTAATCCAGTATTACCTTAATTTACTTTATCATGTCTGCAAAAACTCTATTTTCAAATAAGGTCATATTCACAGGTTCTAGGGAGATATGAATTTATTGGAACACTAGTCAAACCAATACAGACAGCTTAGTATATTGTGAAGTTGAATTAAGTAGAATGCAAGGATATTGTTGCTGGGAAAATACAGCTGGGTGACTATCAGTGAGTCACTTAACCTTTCTTGAGAAATAATACCTTCTGTCAAGATTAGTTATCTGTAGCCATTCATTGGCCTTAAAATATTCGAATGGAACTGTAGAATTGGCTTAATTTTTTGGACATGACTTGATAGTGTAGGCCCTTTTAACCTGTTTGTGTATAGTAGTATTACAAATGGAAACACAGCCTTCCCCTTTCAAGTGTGTTAGCCATGTATTGGGTTGATAACAGACCTAAACCCCAGCCTTTCACCACAACATTTACATTGATGCATAAAATGTTTTTATCGGCCGGATGCAGTGGCTGACACCTGTAATCCCAGCACTTTCAGAGGCCAAGGCAGGCGGATCACCTGAGGTCAGGCATTCAAGACCAGCCTGACCAACATCATGAATCCCCGTCTCCACTAAAAATACAAAAATTAGCCAGCTGTGGTGGCGCACACCTGTAATCTCAGCTACTCAGGAAGCTGAGTCAGGAGAATCACTTGAACCTGGGAGGCGGAGATGGCAGTGAGCCGAGATTGTGCCATTGCACTTCAGCCTGGTTGACAGAGCAAGACTCCATCTCAAAAAAAAAAAAATGTCTTTATTAAGAGATAACACATTTTATCTGAGAATAAGAGATGATCACCAGAAAAGAGATCAAGTAATTCTGGAAAAGGAGATATCTATATAATGGTGTAAATGAATAATACAACAGATCCTGTCCTAAGGAAAGATTTTGATATGCAGCAGGAGTTTGGGTGGGAACTTAAAAATTATGGATGACAAAAGGAAAGCAAAGATGAAAGAAAAAGGCATAGAAGAGGAGAATTGGTGGTAATGGCAGGAGTGGAGGTGGGGATACATAGAGTAACAACAACAATCACTATCAGCACCATGTGCCACACACTTCTCTCAATGTTTCACATGTGTTATTTCATTTCTTCCTTGCAAAAACCCTATGAAGTAACTGTTAATATTATTTTCATCTTCTTGAATGTGTGTGTGCATTCTCTTTTATTTCACACATTCATATTAAATTTAGCAGATGTGAGAAGCAATTTGTAAATACACACGCATATCTATAACAGTCTCAGGAAAGCTTTTCTCAAGGAAAAGACACTTGTAAGATTATTGCAAATCAAATAAACTCTTAACATATTTTCATATTTTGACAACAAACATCTGTTGTGTCAGCCAGTATGCTGTCACAGAGGTTAAGAAATGGATAAGAAAATATCCCATACTATCCATTAACCCCACATGGATCTCAAGTCCATTCATTCTATCTTCTTTCCATTTTCCCTCACCTGCTGATATCCTGACTCCATGCCTTGCCTCACTAATATTCTCTGGTTTATCATTATAATCACCTTTTTTTTAAAACCTTTACTTATTTTCCCTTGCTGTTTTGTTGTTGTTGTTGTTGTTGTTGTTGTTGTTCCAGGTTTGGCAGAACTAGAAGGATTGTAGGTTTCAAAGGTGTATGCATTTGCTGAGTTAGAATGAAATGTTTAGTGTCACATTTTTGTGTAGCTATGAAAACTTTGATTTGATTTCCCTGATCATTAGTGATGTGGAGCATCTTTTCATAGGCAATTTATATATCTTCTTTTGAGTATTGTCTATTCATATCCTTAGCCCACTTTTTAGTGGGATTGTTTGTTTTTTTCTTGCTGACTTGTTTGAGTTCTTTGTAGATTATGGATATTACTCCTTTGTTGGATGTATAGATTGTAATTTTCTCCCACTCTGTGAGTTGTCTCTTAACTCTGCTGATTATTTCTTTTGCTGTGCAGAAGATTTTTAATTTAATTAATTCCCATCTATTTATCTTCGTTTTTGTTGCATTTGCTTTTGGCTCTTTGGTCATGAAATCTTTGCCTAAGCTAATGTCTAGAAGAGTTTTTCCAATGTTATCTTCTAGAATCCTTATGGTTTTAGGTCTTAGATTTAAGTCTTTGATCAATCTTGAGTTGATTTTTGTAAAAGTTCAGAGATGAGGATCAAGTTTCATTCTCCTACATGTGGCTTGCCAATTATCTGAGTACCATTTGTTGAACAGGGTGTCCTATCCCCACTTTATGTTTTTGTTTGCTTTGTCAAAGCTGAGTTGGTTGTGAGTATTTGGCTTTATTTCTGGGTTCTCTATTCTGTTCCATTGGTCTATGTGCCTATTTTTATACCAGTACCATGCTGTTTTGGTGACTATGGCCTTCCAGTAAAGTTTGAAGTTGGCTAATGTGATGCCTCCAGATTTGTTCTTTTTGCTTAGTCTTTCTTTGGCTACACAGGCTCTTTTTTGGTTCCATATGAGTTTTAGGATTTTTTTTCTAGTTCCATGAAGAATGATGACGGTATTTTGATGGGAATTGCATTAAATTTGTAGACTGCTTTTGGCAGTATGGTCATTTTCACAATATTGATTCTACTCATCTATGAGCATGGGATGTGTTTCCATTTGTTGGTGTAATCTGTCGTTTCTTTTAGCAGTGTCTTGTCATTTTCCTTGTAGAGGTCTTTCACCTCCTTGGTTACGTATATTCTGAAGTATTTTATATATTTTGTTTTGCAGGTATTATAAAAGGGCTTGAGTTCTTTTTTATTTCTTTTTTTAAATGATGGAACAGGTAATTAGGTGTATCTTATTTTATTTTATTTTTTATACTTTAAGTTCTAGGGTGCATGTGCACAATGTGGAGGTTTGTTACATATGTATACATGTGCCATGTTGGTGTGCTGCACCCATTAACTCATCATTTACATTAGTTATATCTCCTAATACTATCCCTCCCTGCTCCCCCTACCCCACAACAGGCCCCGGTGTGTGATGTTCCCCTTCCTGTGTCCAAGTGTTCTCATTGTTCAATTCTCACCTATGAGTGACAACATGTGGTGTTTGGTTTTCTGTCCTTGTGATAGTTTGCTGAGAATGATGGTTTCCAGCTTCATCCATGTCCCTACAAAGGACATGAACTCATCCTTTTTTATGGCTGCATAGTATTCCATGGTGTATATGTGCCACATTTTCTTAATGCAGTCTGTCATTGATGGACATTTGGGTTGGTTCCAAGTCTTTGCTATTGTGAATAGTACCGTTGTATTTTTTTTTAAATTTTACTTTAAGTTCTGGGATACATGTGCAGAACATGCAGGTTTGTTACATATGTATACATGTGCCATGGTGGTTTTCTGCACCTATGAACATGGCATCTAGGTTTTAAGCCCTGCATGCATTAGCTATTTGTCCTAATGCTCTCCCTCCCCTTGCCCCCTCAGGGGGTCCCTGAGAGGCCCTGGTGTGTAATGTTCTCCTCCCTGTGTCCATGTGTTCTACTTGTTCAACTCCCATCAATAAGTGAGAAGATATGGTGTTTGGTTTTCTGTTCCTGTGTTAGTTTGCTGAGAATGATGGCTTCTAGCTTCATCCATGTCCCTGCAAAGGACATTAACTCATTATTTTATGTGACTGCATAGTATTCCATGGTGTATATGTGCCACATTTTCTTTATCCAGCCTATCATTGATGAGCATTTGGGTTGGTTACAAGTCTTTGCTATTGTAAATAATGCTGCAGTAAACATACGTTTGTAGGAGATCAGTCAGGGTGTTGGGAGAAAGTGTAGGAAAAGAAGCAGACCTTCTTGGAAGGCCAGGTGGTTTTGCAAAAGCTTCAAAAGATAATTTGGCTGAAGGCAGCTGAATTTTCTGAGTAGATAACAAGAAAGTGTAAGGGAATTGATCTAGATAAGTTCGTTTACTTAGGCCTTGGAACCTGGCCTTTAATCATCTGCACAGGATTGCTCTCTGGGGGTGGGGGTGAGGGGGTGGGGGGGGGCGACCATGTTAATTACATGCAAGTGTGTTGATTCAAGGCCTTTGTCATTAAATCTGTACAGAATAAATGCCCGCAGTGCCGGCTTGTCGGGCCACGGCTGCTACAACTCTTTCTGTGAGCGGCCTGGTCCCCTAGTCCACTCTTTCACTGGTTACATGTATCTGAGTGCATTTTTTCATCCGTCTTTCAGCCAGGGTCTGTGGGTCAGATCTGGCAGTGTGATGCCTCCAGCTTTGTTCTTTTGCTTAGGATGGTTTTGGCTATACAAACTTTTTTGGTTCCATATTAATTTTGTAGTAGTTTTTTTTTTCCTAATTCTGCAGGGAAAGTCAATGTAGCTTAATGGGAATAGCATTGATCTACAAATTACTTTGGGAATTATGGCCATTTTCATGATATTGATTCTTCCTATCCATGAGCATGGAATGTTTTTCCATTTGCTTGTGTCCTCTCTTATTTCATTGAGCAGTAGTTTGTAGTTCTCCTTGAAGAGATCCCTCACGTCCCTTGTAAGTTGTATTCCTAGGTATTTTATTCTCTTTTTCACAATTGTGAATGGGAGTTTACTCATGATTTGGCTCTCTGCTTGTCTATTGTTGGGGTGTGGGAATGCTTGTGATTTTTGCACATTGATTTTGTATCCTGAGATTTTGCTGAAGTTTCTTATCAGCTTAAAAATTTTTTGGGCTGAGACGATGGGGTTTTCTAAATATACAATCATGTCTTCTGCAAACAGAGACAATTTCACTTCCTCTCTTTCTATATGAATATCTTTATTTCTTTCTCTTTCTTGATTGCCCTGTCCAGAACTTCCAACACTATGTTGAATAGGAGTGGTAAGAGAGGGCATCCTTGTCTTGTGCTCATTTTTAAAGGGAATGCTTTCAGCTTTTGCCCATTCAGTGTGATGTTGGCATGGGTTTGTCATAAGTAGCTCTTATTATGTTGAGATATGTTCCATCAATACCTAGTTTATTAAGAGTTTTTAGCATGAAGCACTGTGAATTTTATCAAAGGCCTTTTCTGTATAATTGAGATAATCATTTTTTTTGTCATTGGTTCTGTTTACATGATGAAGTATGTTTATTGATTTGCACATGTTGAACAAGCCTTGTATCCCATTGATGAAGCCGACTTGATTGTGTTGATAAGCTTTTTGATGTGCTGCTGGATTAGGTTTGCCAGTATTTTTATTGAGGATTTCTGCATTGATGTTCATCAGGGATATTGGCCTAAATTTTTCTTTTTTTGTTGTGTCTCTGCCAGCTTTTGGTATCAGGATGATGCTGGCCTCATAAAATGAGTTTGGGAGTAGTCCTTCTTTTTCTATCATTTGAAATAGTTTCAGAAAGAATGGTACCAGCTCCTCTTTGTACCTCTGGTAGAATTTGGCTGTGAATCCCTCAGGTCCTGGGCTTTTTTTGGATTGGTAGGCTATTAATTACTGCCTCAATTTCAGAACTTGTTTTTGGTCTATTCAGGAATTTCACTTCTTTCTGGGTTAGTCTTGGGAGGGTATATGTGTCCAGGAATTTATCCACCTCTTCTAGATTTTCTAGTTTATTTGCATAGAGGTGTTTATAGTACTCTCTGATGGTAGTTTGTATTTCTGTGGGATCAGTGGTGATACCTTCTTTATCATTTTTTATTGTGTTTATTTGATTCTTCTCTTGTTTCTTGTTTATTAGTCTAGCTAGAGGTCTATTTATTTTGTTAACTTTTTCAAAAAACAAACTCCTGGATTCATTGATTGTTTTTGAAGTGTATTTCATGTCTCTGTCTCCTTCAGTTCTACTCTGATCTTAGTTATATCTTGTCTTCTGCTAGCTTTTGAATTTGTTTGCTCTTGCTTCTCGATTTCTTTCAATTGTGATGTTAGGGTGTTGATTTCAGATCTTGCCAGCTTTCTAATATGGGCATTTAGTGCTATAAATTTTCCTCTTAACCCTGCTTTAGCTGTGTCTCAGAGATTCTGGTATGTTGTCTCTTTGTTCTCATTGGTTTTGAAGATCTTCTTTATTTCTGCCTTAATTTCATTATTTACCCAGAAGTCACTCAGGAATGGGTTGTTCAATTTCCATGTAGTTGTGAGGTTTTGAGTGAGTTTCTTAATCCTGAGTTCTAATTTGATTGCACTGTTGTCTAAGAGACTGTTTGTTATGACTTCCATATTTTTTGCATTTGCTGAGGGGTGTTTTACTTCCAATTATGTGGTCAATTTTAGAATAAGTGCCATGTGGCACTGAGAAGTATGTATATTCTGTTGATTTGTTTGAAGAGTTCTGTAGATGTCTATTAAGTCTACTTGATACAGAGCTGAGTTGAAGTCCCAAATATTCTTGTTAATTTTCTGTTTCATTGATCTTTCTAATATTGACAGTGGCATGTTAAAATCTCCACTATTATTATGTGAGAGTCTAAGTCTTTTTGTAGGTCTCTAGGAACTTGTTTTATGAATCTGGGTGCTCCTGTATTGAGTGGATCTATATTTAGGATAGTTAACACTTCTTGTTGCCTTTATCCCTTTACCATTATATAATGCCCTCCTTTGTCTTTTTTTTTTTTTTTATCTTTGTTGGTTTAAAGTCTGTTTTATCAGAGACTAGGATTGCAACCCCTCCTTTTTTTTTTTTTTTTGCTTTACATTTGCTTGGTAAATATTCCTCCATCCCTTCATTTTGAGCATATGTGTGTCTTTGTACATGAGATGGGTCTCCTGAATACAATACACTAATGGGTCTTGACTCTTTATCCAATTTGCCATCCTGTGTCTTAATTGGGGCATTTAGCCCATTTACATTTAAGATTAATATTGTTATGTGTGAATTTGATCCTGTCATCATGATGCTAGCTGGTTATTTTGCACATTAGTTGCAGTTTCTTCATAGTGCTTTTGCTCTTTATATTTTAGTGTGTTTTGCAGTGGCTTGTACTGATTTTTTTTTCTTCCATAGTTAGTGCTTCCTTCAGAAGCTCTTGTAAGGCAGGACTGGTGGTGACAAAATCTCTCAGCATTTGCTTGTCTGAAAAGGATTTCATTTCTCCTTCACTTATGCAGCTTAGTTTGGCTGGATATGAAATTTTGGGTTGAACATTCTTTTCTTGAAGAATGTTGAATATTGGCCCCCAATCTCTTCTAGCTTGTAGGGTTTCTGCAGAAAGACCTACTGTTAGTTTGATGGGCTTCCCTTTGTAGGTGACCTGACCTTTCTCTCTGGCTGCACTTAACATTTTTTCCTTCATTTCAACCTTGAAGAATCTGATGATTATGTATCTTGGGGTTGTTCTTCTCGAGTAGTATCTTAGTGGTGTTCTCTGTATTTCCTGAATCTGAATGTTGACCTGTCTTGCTAGGTTGGGGAAGTTCTCCTGGATAATATCCTGAAATGTGTTTTCCAACTTCCTTCCGTTCTTCACATCACTTTCAGGCACACTAGTCAGTCTTAGGTTTGGTCTTTTCACATAGTCTCATATTCCTTGAAGTCTCGTTTTCATTCTTTTTTCTCTAATCTTGTCTTCCCACCTTATTTCAGCAAGCTGATCTTCAATCTCGATATTCTTTCTTCCACTTGATCAATTCAGCTATTGATACTTGTGTATGCTTTATGAAGTTCTCATGCTGTGTTTTTCAGCTCCGTCAGGTCATTTATGTTCCTCTCTAAACTGGTTATTCTAGTTAGCAGTTTCCGTAACATTTTATCAATGTTCTTAGCTTCCTTGCATTGGGTTAGAACATGCTCCTTTAGCTCAGAAGAGTTTGTTATTACCCACTTTCAGAAGCCTACTTCTTTCAATTCATCAATGTCATTCTCTGTCCTTGCTGGAGAGAAGTTGCGATCATTTGGAGCAGAAGACTCATTCTGGTTTTTTGAATTTTCAGCGTCTTTGCACTGGCATTTCCTCATCTTTGTGGATTTATCTACTTTTGATTTTTGAGGCTGATGACCTTTAGATGGGGTCTTTGTGTGGGTGTCTTTTTTGTTGATGTTGATGTTGTTGCTTTCTGTTTATTATTTTATGTTTTAACAGTCAGATCTCTCTTCTGCAGATCTGCTGCAGTTTGCTGGTGGTCCACTCCTGAACCTGTTCACCTTGGTATCACCAGTGGAGGCTGCAGAACAGCAAAGATTGCTGCCTGCTCCTTCCTCTGGAAGCTTAGTCCCAGAGGGACACTGGCCTGATGCCAGCTGGAGCTCTCCTGTAAGAGGTGTCTTTTGACCCCTGTTGGGAAGTCTCTCCCAGTCATGAGGCACAAGTGTCAGGGACCCACTTGAGGAGGCAGTCTGTCCCTTAGCAGAGTTGGTGTGCTGTGCTGGAAGAATCCCCCTTGTCAGGATCAGCTGCTCTCTTCAGCACTGGCAGGCAAAAAAGATTAAGTCCACTGAAGCTGTGCCCACAGCTGCCCCTCCCCGCTCTGTCTCAGGGAGATTAAAGTTTTATCTGTAACCCCCTGACTGGGACTGCTGCATTTGCTTCAGAGATGCCCTGCCAAGTGAGAAGGAATCTAGAGAAGCAATCTGGCCACAGCTGCTTTATTGTGCTGTGGTAAATTATGCTCAGTCCAAACCTCCCAGTCTCCCTAGCACGGTCGGGTGGGAACCACCTACTAAAGCATCAGTAATGGCAGATGCCCCTCTCCCACCAAGCTCAATCATCCCAGGTCAACTCCAGACTGCTGTCCTGGGATTGAGAATTTCAAGCCAGTGGATCTTAGCTTGCTGGGATCTGTGGGGGTGGGATCCACTGAGCTATACCCCTTGGCTCCCTGGCTTCAGCCCCCTTTCCAGGGGAGTGAATGGTTCTGTCTCACTGGGCTTCCAGGCACCACTGGGGTATGAAAAAAACTCCTGCAGCTAGCTCAGTGTCTGCCCAAACAGTCACTCAGTTTTGTGTTTGAAACCCAGGGCCCTGGTGATATAGATGGTATAGGCTCATGAGGGAATCTCCTGATCTGTAGATTGCAGAAAACCGTGGGAAAAGAGTATTACCCAGGCCAGGTAGTACAGTCCCTCATGGCTTCTCTTGGCTGGCGGAGGGAGGTCCCCTCACTCCTTGCACTTCTCTGGTGAAGTAACGCCCCACACTGCTTCTGCTCACTTTCCATGGGCTGTACCCACTGCCTAACCAGTCCCAATGAGATGAACTGGGTACCTCAGTTGGAAAGGCTGAAATCACCCACCTTCTGCATTGGTCTCACTGGGAGCTGCAGACCACAGCTATTTCTATTTGGCCATATTGGCCCCTCTGGGGTTGAGTTCTTGATTTGATTCTTAGCTTAATTGCTGTTGGTGTACAGCAGAGCTACTGATTTGCATACATTAATTTTGTATCCTGAAACTTTGCTGAATTCATTTACCAATTCTAGGAGCTTTTTGAATGAGTATTTAGGGTTTCCTAGGTATATGACCATATCATCAGCAAGCAGTGACAGTTTGACTTCCTCTTTCCTGATTTGGATGCCACTGATTTCTTTCTCTTGTATGATTGCTCTGGCTAGGACTTCCAGTAGTATGATAAATAAAAGTGGTGAAAGTAGGCATCTTTGTCATGTTCCAGTCCTCAGGGGGAATGCTTTCAACTTTTTCTCATTTAGTACAATGTTGGCTGCGGGTTTGTCATAGGTGGCTTTTATTACCTTAAGATGTGTCCCTTCTATGCCAATTTCACTGAGGGTTTTAATCATAAAAGGATGCTGGATTTTGTCAAATGCTTTTTCACAGATGACTTTTGTCATAGATGGCTTTTATTACCTTAAGATATGTCCCCTGTATGCCGATTTCACTGAAGGGTTTTAATCATAAAAGGATGCTGGATTTCGTTAAATGCTTTTTCTGTGTCTATTGAGATAATAAGGTGATTTTTGTTAATTCTGTTTATGTGGTCTATCACGTTTATTGACTTGTGTATGTTAAACCATCCCTGCATCTCTGGCATAAAACTTAGTTGATCATGGTGGATTATCTTTTGGATATGCTGTTGGAGTTTGTTAGCTAGTATTTTGTTGAGATTTTTTCATCTATGTTCATCAGGGATATTGGTCTGTAGTTTTCTTTTTTTGTTATGTCCTTCCCTGGTTTTGGTATTAGGGTAATACTGGCTTCGTAGAATGACTTAGGGAGGATTCTCTGTTTATCTTTTGGAACAGTGTCAATAGGATAGTACCAATTCTTTGAATGTCTGATAGAATTCAGCCATGAATCATTCTGGTCCTGGGCTTTTGTTGTTGTTGTTCTTGGCAATTTTTTTTTTTACCATTTCAATCTCGCTCCTTGTTATTGGTATGTTCAGATATTCTATATTTTCCTGGTTTAATGTAGGAGGGTTGTATCTTTCCAGAAATTTACCCATCTCCTCTGTTTTCTAGTTTATGCACATAAAGCTGTTCATAGTAGCCTTGAATAATCTTTTATATTTCTGTTATCAGTTGTAATATCTCGTTTCATTTCTATTATAATTTAGCTTATTTTGATCTTCTCTCTTCTTGGTTAATCTTGCTAATGGTCTATCAATTTTATTTATCTTTTCAAAGAAACATCTTCTGTTTCATTTATCTTTTGCAAATTTTTTGTTTCAATTTTATTTAATTCTGCTCTGATCTTCCTTTTTTCTTTTTTTCTGCTTGGTTTGGGCTTGGATTGATACTGTTTCCCAGTTCCTTGAAGTGTGACTTTAGATTGTCTATTTGTATTCTTTCAGACTTTTGATGTAGTGCTGTGAACTTTTCTCTTAGCACATATTTTGCTGTATCCTAGAGATTTTGATAGGTTGTGTCACTATTATCACTCAGTTCAAAGAATTTTTAAATTTCCATCATGATTTCATTGTTGACCCAATGATCACTCAGAAGCAAGTTATTTAATTTCCATGTATTTGCATGATTTTGACGGTTCTTTTGGAATTGATTTCCAATTTTATTCCACTGTGGTCTGACAGAGTACTTGATATAATTTTGACTTTCTTAAATTTACTGAGACTTGTTTTGTGGCCTATCATATGGTGTATCTTGGAGAATATTCCATGTGCTGATGAATATAATGTATATTCTGCAGTTGTTGTGTAGAATGTTCTGTAAATATCCATTAAGTCCACTTGTTCTAAGGTATAGTTTAAGTCCATTTTTTCTTTGTTGACTTTCTGTCTTGACCTGTCTAGTGCTGTCAGTGGAATATTTAATTCCTCCACTATTATCGTGTGGCTGTCTATCTCATTTCTTATGACTAGTACTAATTGTTTTATAAATTTGGGAGCTCCAGGTAGGTGCATATATACTTAGAATTGTGATATTTTCCTGTTAGACTAGTTCTTTTATTATTAGATAATGTCTCTGTCTTTTTTAAACTGCTGTTACTTTAATATTTGTTTTGTCTCATATAAGATTAGCCACCCCTGTCTGGGCACGGTGGCTCACACCTGTAATCCCAGCACTTGGGGAGACTGAGGCGGGTGGATCATGAGGTCAGGAGAGTTTGAGATCAGCCTGGCCAAGATGGTGAAACCCTGTCTCAAATAAAAATATAAAAATTAGCTGGGCATAGTGGTGGGTGCCTGTAATCCAAGCTACTCAGGAGGCTGAGGCAGGAGAATTGCTTGAACCAAGGAGGTGGAGGTTGCAGTTAGCCAAGATCTAAGATCGTGCCACTGCACTCTAGCCTGAGCAACAGAGCTAGACTCCTTCTCAAAACAAAACAAACCCCAAAAACAAAAACAACAACAGAAGAACCAAAAACAGCAACAACAACAACAACAACAACAAAAAAAAACTAGCTACTCTTGCTTGCTTTTGGTGTCCATTTGCATGGAATATCTTTTTCTACCCCTTTACCTAAAGTTTATATGGGTACTTATGTGTTAGGTGAGTCTTGTGAAGACAGCAGTAATTTGGAACAGTTAGGCCATTTAAATTAAATGTTAGTATTGAGATGTGAGGTACTATTCTATTGATCGTGCTATTTGTTGCCTGATTACCTTGTGTTTTTCATCATTGTGTTATTGTTATATAGATCCTGTGAGATTTATGCTTTAAGGAGGTTCTATTTTGGTGTATTTTGAGGTTTGGTTTCAAGATTTAGAGCTCCTTTTAGCAGTTCTTGTTGTTCTGGCTTGGTAGTGATGAATTCTTTCACTATTAGTCTGAAAAAGACTATCTTTCCTTCACTTTTGAAGCTTAGTTTCACTGGATACCAAATTTTTGGCTGATAATTGTTTTAAGGAGGCTAAAAATAGAACAGCAATACCCTCTAGCTTGTAGGGTTTCTGCTGACAACTCTTCTGTTACTCTGATTTGTTTTCCTTTATAGGTTACCTAATGCTTTTGCCTCACAGCTCTTAAGATTCTTTTCTTAGTCTTGACTTTAGATAACCTGATGGCTGTGAGCCTAGGCACTGATCCTGTTGTGATGAATTTCCCAGGTGTTTTTTGAGCTTATTGTATTTGGATGACTAGATCTCTAGCAAAGCAAGGGAAGTTTTCCTCGATTATTTCCTTGAATATGTTTTCCAGACTTTCAGATTTCTCTTCTCCCTTGGGAACACCAATTATTCTTCAGTTTGGATGTTTAAAGTAGTCCCAAACTTCCTGGATTATGGCTGCCTCTCCTGAGTCAAACAGGTCTCCAGGGAAGTGAGGAAAAACCGACAGTCACAGGCCTCACCCTGCTCACAAGCAGCTCACGGTCCTAGAAGCCAGTCTCACTCCCACTGTGCCCTCCCAACAGCACCGAGTGTACTTCCAGGTAGCCGGTGACCAGGGCTGAGAGCTTGCCTCAGACCATGAGCCTCCCCATTGAGAAAGTAAGCCAACTCACAGTATTTCTGGCATCACAGGGAGCCTGCAACAGTGATCCAGTTCCTTGAAAGGGTCTGTGGATTGTTTTGGCTTTCCTGGCATGTTCCTGCAGTAGTTCTTGGAGCAAAAGTTTGCAGTGTGAGTCTCCACATGCTGCTCTGCCTTTCCAAGTGGGAGCTGCAAGCTAGTCCTGCCTCCTGTCTGCCATCTTAATCCGACATTCCCTCCTTCTTTTTAAAGGCTGAATGATATAAATAAATAAATATATATATAATAAAATATACATGAAAAATGTGATATACATCACATTTTATTTATCCATTCATTTGTCAATAGAAGCCTAGGTTGATTTCATATCTTGGCTATTGTGAATAGTGTGCTACAATAAACATAGGACTGCAGATATCTCTCTGAGATCAAGATTTTCCTTTTTTTTTTTTTTTTCGGATATATACCCAGAAATGGGGTTGCTGTATCATATGGTAGTTATGTGTTTATTTTTTGAGAAACTTTAATAATGTTTTTCGTACTGTCTGTAATAAAGTATATTTCCACAGATAGCATATAAGTTTCCCCTTTTTACCAAATCCTTGCCAACATTTGTTAACTTTGGTCTTTTTTTATAATATCCATTCTAACAAGTATGAGTTGTATCTCATTGTGCTTTTACTTTATATTTCCCTGGTGATTAGTGATGTTGAGCATTTTTTCAAATACTTGTAGGTCATTTGTCTTCTTTTGAGAAATGTTTATTCAGGTCCTTTGCCCATGTATTAATCAGGTTATTAGTTTTCTTACTATTGAGTTGTTTGTGATATCAACCCCCTATCAGATGTATGGTTTGCACACATATTCTCCATTCTGTGGGTTGTTTCCTCACTCTGTTTATTGTTTTCTTTGCTGTTCATAAGCATTTAAGTTTGATGTAATCTCATTTGTCTATTTTTTTCTTTTGCTACCTGTATTTTGTGGGTCATATCAAGAAAAATCATTTTCTAGAAGTATGTCAAAAAGTATTTTTCTATATTTCCTTTTAGTAGTTTTACAGTTTAAAAATATTATTTTTAGGTCTTTACTTTGAATTTATTTTTATTTATTTTTAATTTTTAAATTTTTAGGCTGGGCACAGTGGCTCACTTGTGTAATCCCAGCACTTTGGGAGGCTGAGGCAGGTGGATTACCTGTGGCTGGGAGTTCAAGACCACCTGACCAACATGGAGAAACCCCATCTCTACTAAAAATACGAAATTAGCTGGGCGTGGTGACAGATGCTTGTAATCCCAGCTACTCGGGAGGCTGAGGCAAGAGATTCACTTGAACCTCTGAGGTGGAGGTTGCAGTGAGCCGAGATTGCACCATTGCACTCCAGCCTGGGCAACAAGAGCAAAACTCTGTCTCAAAAAAAATTAATTTTTGTGGCTACATAGTAGGTGTACATATGGGGTACATGAGATGTTTTGATACAGTCATGCAATGTGAAATAAGCACATCATGAAGAATAGTGCATCTATCCCCTTAAGCATTTATCCACTGAGTAGTAAACAATCTATCTAATTACATTCTTTATTTTCGATTGTACAGTTACATTATTACTGACTGTAGGCAACCTATGGTGCTGTCAAATAGTAGGTCTTATCCATTCTTTTTTTTTTTTTTTTTTTTTTTGGACACATTAAGCATTCCAACCTCTCTGACAGCCCCTCACTACCTTTCTTAGCCTCTGGTAACTATCCTTCTACTCTCTATGTACATGAGTTTAATTGTTTTGATTTTCAAATTCCACAAATAAGTGAGAACATGTGATGTTTGTCTTCCTGTCTTCCTGTGCCTAGCTTATTTCACTTAACACAATGATCTCCAGTTCCATCTATGTTGTTGAAAATTACTGGATCTCATTCTTTTATGGATGAATAGAACTCCATCCTGTATATGTACCACATTGTCTTTATCTATTCATCTGTAGATGGACACTTAGGTTGCTTCCAAATCTCAGTTACTGTAAACAGTGCTGCAACAAACATAGAAGTGTAGATATCTCTTTGATACATTAGTTTCCTTTTTTTGGGGGGTGGGGTGCAGTGGAGTATATACCCAGCAGTGGGATTGTTGGATCATATGGTAGTTCAATTTTTAGTTTGCTGAGGAACCTCCAAACTGTTCTCCATTGTGGTTATACTAATTTGCATTCCCACCAAGAAAGTATAAGCATTCTCTTTTCTTCACATCCTCACCAGCATTTGTTATTGCTTGTCTTTTGGATAAAAGCCATTTTAACTGGGGTGAGATGATATCTCATTGTAGTTTTGATTTACATTTCTCTGATGACCAATGATGTTGAGCACCTTTTTCTATGACTGTCATTTGTATCTCTTTTTTTGAGGGATTTCAATTGAAATCTTTTGCTCATCTTTTGATCAGATGATTAGATTTTTTTTTTCTAGAGAGTACTTTGAGCTCCTTATATATTTTGGTTATTAATCCCTTGTCAGATGGATAGTTTGAAAATATTTTCTTCAATTATGTGGATTGTCTCTTCACTTTGTTGATTGTATCTTTTGCTGTGCAGAAGCTTTTTAACTTTATTTCATTCCATTTGTCCATTTTTGCTTTGATTGCCTCTGCTTGTGGGGTGTTACTCAATAAATTTTTGCCTAGACCAAGGTCCTGGGGGATTTCCCCTAATGATTTCTTGTAGCAGTTTCATGGTTTGCTGTCTTAGATCTAAGTCTTTAATTAATTTTGATTTGATATTTTTATATGGAGAGAAATATGGGTCTAGTTTTATTCTTTTACATGTGCGTATACAGTTTTTCCAGCACCAGCTATTGAAGAGACTGCACTTTCCCCAATGTATGCTCTTGGTACCTTTGTCAAAAATGAGCTCACTGTAGATGAATGTGGATTTATATCTGGGTTGTCTATTCTAATCCACTGATCCATGTGTCTGTTTTTATACAAGCACCATGTCATTTTTGTTACAAGAGCTCTGTAGTATAATTTAAAGTCAGGCAATGTGATTCCTCCAGTTTTGTTCTTTTTGCTCTGGATAGCATGGCTATTTTGGGTCTTTTGTGATTCCATATACATTTTAAGATTGTTTTTTCTATTTTTGTGAAGAATGCCATTGGTATTTTGATAGGAATTGCCCTGAATCTGTAGATTGCTTTGGGTAGTATGGACATTTTAACTATTGATTCTTTCAATCCATGAATATAGAATATTTTTCCATTTTTGGTGCCCTCTTTAATTTTTTTCATCATTGTTATATAATTTTCATTATAGAGATCTTTCACTTCTTTGGTTAAGTTAATTCCTAGATATTTACTTTTATGCATCACTATTGTAAATGGGATTGCTTTTAAAATTATTTTTTCACATTGTTCACTGTTGGCATGTAGAAATGCTACTGATTTTTTTATGTTGATTTTTGTGTCCTACAACTTGACTGAACATATCAGTTCTCATAGTTTTCCTGTGGAGTCTTTAGGTTTTCCCAAATATAAGATTATATCGTCTGCAAACAAGGATAATTTGACATCTTTCTTTCTAATTTGAATGCCCCTTTATATCTTTCTTTTTGTCTGATTGCTATAACTAGGACTTCCAGTACTCTGTTGAATAACAGTAGTAAAAGTGGGCATCCTTGTTGTATTACAGATTTTAGAGGAAAGGCTTTTAGTATTCCCCCATTCAGTGTGATACTAGCTGTGGGTCTGTTGTAAGTAGCTTTTATTATGTTGAGGTATGCCCCCACTGTACAGTTGTTTGAGGATTTTTATCATTCATGAAGGGATGTTGCATTTTATCGAATGTCTTTTAAGCATCAATTGAAGTGATCATATGGTTTTTATGCTTCATTCTATCAATATGATGTATCACATTGATTTATTTGTGTATGTTAAACCATACTTGCATCCCAGGGATAAATCACACTTGGCATGATGAATAATCTTTTTTTTTATTATTATACTTTAAGTTCTGGGGTACATGTGTAGAACATCCAGTTTTGTTACATAGGTTTATATGTGCCATTGTGGTTTGCTGCACGCATCAACCCACCATCTACATTAAGTATTTCTCCTAATGCTATCTCTCCCCTAGCAGCCCACCCCCCCGACACGCCCCAGTGTGTGATGTTCCCCTCCCTGTGTCCATGTGTCATTATTCACCTCCCACTTATGAGTGAGAATATGTGGTGTTTGGTTTCCTGTTCTTGAGTTAGTTTGCTGAGAATGACAGTTTCCAGTTTCATCCATGTCCCTGCAAAGGACATGAACTCATCCTTTTTGATGGCTGCATAGTATTCCATGGTGTATATGAGCCAAATTTTCTTTATCCAGTTTATTATTGATTGGCATTTGGATTGGTTCCAAGTCTTTGCTATTGTGAATAGTGCTGCAATAAACATACGTGTGTATGTGTTTTTATAGTAGAATGATTTATAATCGTTTGGGTATATAACCAGTAATGGGATTGCTGGGTCAAATGGTATTTCTGGTTCTAGATCCTTGAGGATTCACCACACTGTCTTCCACAATGGTTGAACTAATTTGCACCTCCATCAACAGTGTAAAAGCTTTCCTATTTCTCCACATCCTCTCCAGCATCTATTGTTTCCTGACATTTTAATGATCGCCATTCTAACTGGTGTGTAATGGTATCCCATTGCGGTTTTGATTTGCATTTCTCTAATGACCAGTGATGATGAGCCTTTTTTATATAGTTGTTGGCCATATAAATGTCTTCGTTTGAGAAGTGTCTGTTTATATTCTTCACCAACTTTTTGATGGGTTTGTTTGTTTCTTGTAAATTTGTTTATGTTCTTTGTAGATTCTGGATATTAGCCCTTTGTCAGATGGGGAGATTGCAAAAATGTTATCCCATTCTCTAGGTTGCCTGTTCACTCTGATAATAGTTTCTTTTGCTGTGCAGAAACTACTTAGTTTGATCAGATCACATTCTTTTAAAAGTATTGTTGAATTCTGTTTGCTAGTATTTTGTTGAGAATATTTGCATCAATATTAACCTGAAATATTGGCTGTAGCTTTCTTTTTTTGATGTGTCTTTGTCTGGTTTTCATAGCAGGGTAATACTGGCCTCATAGAATGAGTTTCGAAGTATTCCCTCCTTCTCTATTTTTTGGAATCATTTGAGTAAAATTGGTATTATTTCTTCTTTAAATGTTTGGTAGAATTAAGCAGTGAAGCCATCAGGTTTCAGGCTCTTCTTTACTGGGAGACTTTGTATGACAGCTTTGATCTTGTTACTTGTTATTGGCCTGCTCAGGTTTTGGATTTATACCTGGTTAATCTTGGTAGGTTGTATGTATCTAGGAATTTGTCTATTTCATCTAGATTTTCCAATTTATTGGCACATAGTTGCTCTTAGTAGCCACTGATGGTTATTTTAATGTCTGCTATATCAGTTGTAATGTCTCCTTTTGCATTTCTGATTTTATTTCGATCTTCTCTCTTTTTTTCATAGCTAGTCTAGCTAAAGGTTTGCTATTTTTTAACTTTTCAAAAAAAAAAACTCTTAGTTTCAGTGATCTTCTATTTTTTCTTTGCTTTTTTTTTCTTTTTTCATTGATCTTTTTTTTTTTTTTTTTGGAGATTTAAATCTACTTTATTATTTTTAAAAGAAAATACAATAAAAAATAATTCTTCATTCCAGCCTCCTAGTCCTTCTCCTTAGATGCAATTGCTATTGACAAATTTTGGCATGTGGACACACATTTTTTCTATGCATCTGCAATCAGGTGTTTTTTTTTTTTTTTTTTTTTTTTTATTATACTCTAAGTTTTAGGGTACATGTGCACATTGTGCAGGTTAGTTACATATGTATACATGTGCCATGCTGGTGCGCTGCACCCACTAATGTGTCATCTAGCATTAGGTATATCTTCCAATGCTATCCCTCCCCCTTCCCCCGACCCCACCACAGTCCCCAGAGTGTGATATTCCCCTTCCTGTGTCCATGTGATCTCATTGTTCAATTCCCACCTATGAGTGAGAATATGCGGTGTTTGGTTTTTTGTTCTTGCGATAGTTTACTGAGAATGATGGTTTCCAATTTCATCCATGTCCCTACAAAGGACATGAACTCATCATTTTTTATGGCTGCATAGTATTCCATGGTGTATATGTGCCACATTTTCTTAATCCAGTCTATCATTGTTGGACATTTGGGTTGGTTCCAAGTCTTTGCTATTGTGAATAGTGCCACAATAAACATACGTGTGCATGTGTCTTTATAGCAGCATGATTTATAGTCCTTTGGGTATATACCCAGTAATGGGATGGCTGGGTCAAATGGTATTTCTAGTTCTAGATCCCTGAGGAATCGCCACACTGACTTCCACAATGGTTGAACTAGTTTACAGTCCCACCAACAGTGTAAAAGTGTTCCTATTTCTCCACATCCTCTCCAGCACCTGTTGTTTCCTGACTTTTTAATGATTGCCATTCTAACTGGTGTGAGATGATATCTCATAGTGGTTTTGATTTGCATTTCTCTGATGGCCAGTGATGATGAGCATTTCTTCATGTGTTTTTTGGCTGCATAAATGTCTTCTTTTGAGAAGTGTCTGTTCATGTCCTTCGCCCACTTTTTGATGATCTTTGACAAACCTGAGAAAAACAAGCAATGGGGAAAGGATTCCCTATTTAATAAATGGTGCTGGGAAAACTGGCTAGCCATATGTAGAAAGCTGAAACTGGATCCCTTCCTTACACCTTATACAAAAATCAATTCAAGATGGATTAAAGATTTAAACGTTAGACCTAAAACCATAAAAACCCTAGAAGAAAACCTAGGCATTACCATTCAGGACATAGGCGTGGGCAAGGACTTCATGTCCAAAACACCAAAAGCAATGGCAACAAAAACCAAAATTGACAAATGGGATCTAATTAAACTAAAGAGCTTCTGCACAGCAAAAGAAACTACCATCAGAGTGAACAGGCAACCTACAACATGGGAGAAAATTTTCGCAACCTACTCATCTGACAAAGGGCTAATATCCAGAATCTACAATGAACTCATTGATCTTTTATATATATTTTTACATTTCAGTTTTATTTATTTCTACTATTATCTTTATTTTCTTCTACTGATTGTGGGTTTGGTTTTCTCTTGCTTTTCTAGTTAATTAAGATGCATTATTGGATTGTTTATTTGAAAATTTTCCATTTTCTGTGTAGGCACCTCTAACTATAAACTTCTGTCTTACTACTGCTTTTGTTACATACTGTAGGTTTTGGTATGATGTGTTTCCATTATCATTTGTTTCAAGAAATTATTTAATTTTCTTCTTAATTTCATTGACCTACTCATCATTCAGGGGCATATTGTTTAATTTCCATGTATTTGTATAGTTTCCAAAATTCATTTTGTTATTAATTTTTAGTTTATTCTCTTGTGGTAAGAGAAGATGCTTGATATAATTTCAGTTTTTTGAATGTTTTTATAACTTGTTTTGTCACTTAGCATATGGCTTATCCTTGAGAATAATCCATGTGCTGAGGAAAAAATGTATATTCTCTAGCCATTGGATGAAATGCTCTGTAAATATCCATTAGATACATTTGGTCTATTGTGCAGATTAAGTCTGAAATTTCACTGTTGATTTTCTGTCTGCAGGATCTGTCCAATGCTGAGAGTAGGGTGTTGACATCTCCAGCTATTATAGCACTTGAGCTTATCTGTCTCTTTAGCTCAAATAATATTTCCTTTATATATCTGGGTGCTTTAGTGTTAGGTGCATATATACTTAAAATTCTTGTATCCTTTTGCTGAATTGATCCCTTTATCATTACATTTTGACCTCCTTTGCTTCTTCTTGTAGTTTTTGTCTTGAAATCTATTTTGTCTGATATAAATATAGCAATTTTGATGCTTTTTTTTGGTTTCCATTGGCAGGGAATATTTTTTACATATTTTTATTTTCAGTTTATGTGTATTTTTCATAGATTCAGTGTGTTTATTGTAGGAAACATATCAATAGGTCTTGTTTTTTTTTTTTTCATCCATTCATCCAGTCTATGTCTTTCGACTGGAGAGTTTAATCCATTTATATTCATATTATTGATAAGTAAGGACTTACTGCTGCCATTTTGTTATTTGTTTTCTAGTCTTCTCTTCCTTCTTTCTTTTCTTTCTGTCTTAAGTTTTGTGAAGGTGATTTTATCTGGTGATATGATTAGTTTCTTGCCTTCTATATTTTTATATCTCCATTGTACATTTTTTGGATTGAGGTAACAATGAGGCTAGAAACTATTACTTTATAACCCAACATTTTAACCTGTTAACTACTTAACACTGTTTGCACAAACAAACAAAGGAAAACTAATAAAAACTCTATGCCTTAACTTTGTTCCCCCATTTTCAACTTTTTGATATTTCTGTTTATACCTTTGTGTACTGACTATGTCTTGAAAAGTTGTTGTAATTATTATTCATGATTAGTTAATTAGTCATTCTACTTAGGAAAAGTGTAGTTTTAAGGCCAGAGTTACAGTGTTGTAATATTCTGTTTTTCTGTGTACTTACTATTACCATTGAGTTTTGTACCTTAAAGTGATTACTTATTTTTCATTAATGTTATTTTCTTTCTGATCGAAGTATTCTCTTTAACATTTTTTGTAGGACAGGTCTTCTGTTGATTAAATACCTTACTTTTGTTATTCTGGTAAGACTTTATTTCTCCATGTTTGAAAGATATTTTTACTGGATATACTATTCTAGGGTAAAAGTTTTTATTTATTTTTTCCTTCAAGATTTTAAATAAGCCATTCCACTTCTCTTTTCAGTGAAAACCTTACAGACCTAATTTCCACAGAAAAGTCTGCTGCCAAATGTATTGGAGCTCCATTGTGTGTTGTTTCTTTTCTTTTGCTGCTTTTAGGATCCCTTCTTAAATCCTTGATCTTTGAGGGTTTGATTATTAAACACCTTGAGGTAGTCTTTCTTGGGTTAAGTCGGCTTGGTGTTCTATAACCTTCTTGTACTTGGATATTGGTATCTTTCTTTAGGTTTAGGAAGTTTTCTATTACCATTCCTTTCAATAGGCATCCTACCCTTATTTGTTTCTCTACCTCCTCTTTAAGGAAAACAACTAGGCTATTTTCTAAGTCCTTGTAGGTGTCCTTTATTGTTTTTTATTTTTTTCTGTTTTGTCTTCTCTGACTGTGTATTTCCAAATAGCATGCCTTTAAGCTGTTTTTTTTTTTTTTTTTTTTTTTTTTTTTTTTTTTTTTTTTTTTTGAGATGGAGTCTCGCTCTGTCACCAGGCTGGAGTGCAGTGGCGCAATCTCGGCTCACTGAAACCTCTGCCTCCTGGGTTCAAGTGATTCTCCTGCCTCAGCCTCCTGAGTAGCTGGGACTACAGGTGTGCGCCACCACGCCCAGTTAATTTTTGTATTTTTAGTAGAAATGGGGTTTCACCATGTTGGCCAAGATGGTCTCAATCTCTTGAGCTCAAAGCTCACTATATTTTTTTAAGACAGGGTATGACTCTGTTGCCCAGGCTGGAGTGCAGTAGCATGATGTTGGCTCACTGTAACCTCCACCTCCAGGGCTTAAACCATTCTCTTACCTCAGCCTTCCAAGTAGCTGGGACTACAGGCATGTGTCAACACACCCAGCTAATTTATGTATTTTTAGTAGAGATGGGTTTTCACCATGTTGCCCAGGCTGGTCTCAAACTCGTGAGTTCAAGTGATCCATCCACCTCAGCCTCCCAAAGTGCTGGGAATGCAGGCATGAGCCACTGCACTGGACCTTTAAAAATTTCTATTTTAGGTTTTAAGGTACATGTGAAGGTTTGTTACATAGGTAAACTTGTGTCACAGGGGTTGGTGGGGGGTTGTTACGCAGATTATTTTATCACCCAGGTATTAAACCCAGTACTTAATAGTTATTGTTCTGTTCCTCTCTCTCCTCCCACCCTCCACCTTCAAATAGACCCCAGTTTCTGTCGTTTCCTTCTTTGTGTTCATGAGTTCTCATCATTTAGCTCCCACTTATCAGTGAGAACATGCGGTACTTGGTTTTCTGTTCCTGTGTTAGTTTCCTAAGGATAGTAGCCTCCAGCTCCATCCATGTTCCTGCAAAAGACAAAATCTCATTCTTTTTTATGGCTGCATATATTCCATGGTGTATATGTACCACATTTTCTTTATCCAGTCTACTATTGATAGGTATGTAGGTTGATTCTATGTCTTTGTTATTGTGAATAGTGTTGCAATGATCATTCACGTGCATGTCTTTATGGTAGAATGATTTATATTCCTCTGGGTATATACCCAGAAATGGGATTGCTGGGTTAAATGGTAGTTCTGCTTTTCGCTCTTTGAGGAATTGCCACACTGCTTTCCACAATGGTTGAACTAATTTACAATCCCACCAAAAGCATATAAGCATTCCTTTTTCTCCACAATCTTGCTAGCATCTGTTACGTTTCGGCTTTTTCATAATAGCCATTCTGACTGGTGTGAGATGGTAACTCACTGTGGTTTTGATTTGTGTTTCTCTAATGATCAGTGATATTGAGATTTTTTTTTCCATATGCTTGTTGGCTGTATGTATGCTTCTTTTAAAAAGTGTCCTTGTTTTTTGCCCACTTTTTATTGGGGTTGTTTGTTTTACTTTCGTACATTGGTTTAAGCTCTTTATAGATGCTGGATATTAGACCTTCATCAGATACATAGTTTGCAAAATTTTTCTCCCATTATGTATGTTGTCTGATTGCCCTGTTGACAATTTCTTTTGCTGTGCCGAAGTTTTTAAGTTTAATTCAAGCTCACTAATTCTTTTATTCTGCTTGATAAATTCTGCTATTAAAGGACTTCAATGCATTCAGTATACCAATTGCATTTTTCAGCTCCAACATTTTTGTTTGCTTCTTCTTTACTATTTTAATCTCTTTGTTAAATTTATCTGATAGAATTCTGAATTCCTTCTCTGTGTTATCTTGAATTTCTTTGTGTTTCCTCAACAGAGTTGTTTTGAATTTTCTGTTTGAAAGGTCATATATCTCTGTTTTTGATTGGTCACTGGTGCTTTATATAGTTCCTTTGGTGAGATCATATTTTTCTTGCAGGCTCATTGAGGTACTGCCTTGACTGTCTTGGACAGAATCAGTGAGAATTATCTGGATTACTGACAGATTCTTGTTCTCTTCTCTTACTTCTTCCCAAATAAACAGAGTATTTATCTCTCTGTTCTGAACCATATAAACCTGGGGGTAGAGTGACATGAGCACTCTGTGGCCACCACCATTATGCTTGCTGTGGTTCAGACCTGAAGCCAGTATAGCACTGGGTCTCACACAAGGCCTGTTTTAACCACTTCCTGGCTATGTTTGCTCAAGACCTTGGGGCTCTGCAACAAGCAGGTGGCAATGCCAGCCAAGACTGTTTCCTTTCCTTCAGGATGGAGAGGTCCCCTAGGCCCCAGGAGTGTCCAGAAATGCCATCCGGGAGTCAGGGACTACAGTCACAAACTTTAGAAGTCTACCTTATGTTCTATTGCACTGCAGCTCAGCTGACACTCAAACCATAAGATACAGTCCTTCCCATTCTTCCCTCACCTTTGCAAAGGCAGAGAAGCATCCCCCAGTAGCTACCACCATCCCAGAGCATGAGAAGTACTGCCAGACTCCTAAAGGTTCAAGGGCTATTAATTCAGCTTGTGAATGCTGCCTTGCCTGGGACTCACCATTCACAGCAGTGGGCTCCCTTGTGGCCTAGCACATGTCCGGAATGCTGTCCAATAGCCAGGGTCTGAATTGCATACTCCAAGAGCCCACCTGATTCTCTACTACTGTGTGTCTGAGCTGGTACCTAAGGTATAAAATAAAGTCTCCTTTACATTTCTCTCTGCTTTTCTCAAGCAGAAGGAGTTTTGCCCCATAGCCACCACAGCTGGGAATGTGCTGAGTCTCACGTGAAACCAGCAAGTCTCAGAGTCTTACCTAAGGCTCATGGCCTACTACCTGGGTATTACTCTTTGTTATTCAGGGCTGAAAGTTTTTTTGGTCAGCAGGTGATGGGTTCTCCCAAGACTGTATCCTTCTGTCTAAGGCAGTGGGTTCCCTTCTGGCCCAGCATATTTCTAGAAATGTTGTCTAGTAGTTAGGGCCTGGAAAAGGGGCCACATGACTCTGACTGTTGCCCCAAACTACTGTGGCTGAGCTGGTGTCAAAGATGCAATATAAAGTCTTTACTCATCTCTCTTCTCTTCTAAAGTGGAGGGAAAAGGTATCTTTTGGAGCCAAAAGCTGGGGGTTTGGGGGAAGGTGGCACAAGGCCCCCTTAGCTGTTCCAGCTAGTATTTGCACATTTGAGAAAATAGCCACCTCCTTTAGTCTTTTCAGGCTGGCTATGGCAGGTAAATGACTTTTTCTGTCAGCCTGTTTAGAAATTCTGGGTGGACTGGCTGGTGGAGTGTACAGGAGGGCCTGTTGCTGGAATCCCCAGCAACAGGCCCATGTCAGTGGTGTTGGGCCTGGCACCTGGTTCCACAGCAACTGACTTCATGCCTGGGTCCACAAGCTGTGGCCTGGGTGTGAATTCTTAACCTAGTGCCTGGGGCCATGGGCACTGGCCTTATTCTAGGGTCAGCCCAGATCCTGGGTCTGCAGGGGCTAGTCTGGAGACTCGGGCTATTATAGGCTGGGCTAGCCTAGTGCTAGAGTAGGCCTGGAACTTGGAACTATGGGAGTCAGTCTAGAGGCTGGGTCTACAGAGCCTGTCCTGTTGCTGAGGTAGACCTGAAGCCTGTGGCCATGGGGAATGGCCTGGTGCTATAGTTCACAGAAGCTGGTGTGCCTGTTTCTGGGGTCCATGGTAAAGTTGAGTGTCCACTTTACTCCTCTTCTCTCACAGGGAGGGTGTCTCCGCAGTGTGCTGTATGGGCTTGGGGGAAGGGAGAAGTGGGTAGTGTGAAACTGTCCTTTCTACATTATTCTACATTATTCCAATACCCTTTTTTATTTCCATGCTCTATCTAGGTACTGTAATCTTTCATCAAGATTCCTTAGCTTTTGTGAAAGGATTTTCAGGCATGGATGTGAGACAGTCAGGTGAAAAGGGCTCCCTGGCAGAGGCTCCGACTAACCTGCACACTGGGAGGAGCATACACAGTGGCAGAGCCACAGAAGTTCTTGCCATTTGCAGTGGGGAAGAGCCCGGCCCCTCCTCTTCCTGTGTGGAATCTGGGATTCAAGCTGCAAGGCAGTAAACACACTAGCAGGAACTATGACCTTGCAGAGAGTGCCTGTTTCCCCATGCTCTATCTAGGTACTGTAATCTTTCACCAAGATTCCTTAGCTTTTGTGAAAGGATTTTCAGGCATGGATGTGAGACAGTCAGGTGAAAGGGCTCCCTGGCAGAGGCTCCAACTGACCTGCACACTGGAAGGAGCATACACTGTGGCAGAGCCACAGAAGTTCTTGCCATTTGCAGTGGGAGGAGCCCGGCCCCTCCTCTTCCTGTGTGGAATCTGGGATTCAAGCTGCAAGGCAGGAAACACACTAGCAGGAACTCTGACCTTGCGGAGAATGCCTGTTCCCCCAACCATTTTTTTTTCCATTTCACCCAATAAAACCCTGCCTTACTCAATCTTTAAATAGTCTGCAAGCCTAAATTCTGATGGCCATGGGACAAGGACCTGTCTTTAGGTGAACTGAGGAAAAATCCTGCAATAGATAGTTGTTGAAATTGATGTTTCTGTGAGGGAACTAGCACTGAAAACACCTATTCTACAATTTTGTTGACTTCACTCCCCTATTTTCACTATCTAAGTGAGAAATCTGAGAGTATTTGAGTAGGCCACACTTATATCAATATAAGAAGAAGATAATTTGTGAGTTCTTACACTAGAAGATGGAGTTTTTTTTTCATGTAGACTGGAAACTCCAGGGTTGTCTCAAGATAAAACTGAAGCTCCACAGGAAGTCAAAGAGCTTGTATCTTTATATTTTTCCTATTTCAATCTTATTAACTATTAGAGAGCCAGGAAGGCTCTGCATTAGTTGGAAAAAAAGTACTATGGAATCCTCAGAAGAGTTCTATCCAGAGGGCTAAATTTAGTATTACTTAATTTTTTTGACAAACCAATTAAAATCAGGTATTATGAGGATAGTCCCAGATTGGGGAGATGTCACACACTAACTTAACTGGACTTTCCCATACTTCTTATTTCAAAATTTCAGGTTTTGTTTGATTGGACTGAAACAGCACTTATTTTCTTGTTTTTGTTTTTAACAAACAAATGTATTGGCATATACATTCAGAAAAGTGCACAGTGCATAGATCATAGATGTGAAGCTCAGTAAATTTTCACAAAGCAATTTTCACAAACCTATAGAAGCATTAGGCATATCAAGAAACAGAATACTTTCAGCATTTCCAGAACCCTGGAAGCCCTTCTTGTGTGCCCTTCTAATCACTACCCCCCATCTTTTTTTCATTGCATTATTTTCCTTTTTGTCTCCATTATTGAATTTTAATAGTTGTTTGTATAGATATTCTAGATACAAGTCTCTTATCAGATATATGATTCATAAAAGTTTTCTTCCATTCTGTGGGTTATCTTTTCACTTATTGATGGGGTCCTTTGAAGTACAGCATGTTTTAATTTTGATGACGTTCAATGTACCTACTATTTTCTTTTCTCTCTTGTGCTTTGTCTTATTTAAGAAGTGGCTGACTGATCCAAAGTCATGAAAATTTAAGCCCATGTTTTCTTCTAAGGGTTTTATAGTTTTATCTCATATATTTAGGTCTTTGATTCATTTTGGGTTAATTTTTGTATATGGTATTGGTTAATTGTTATTATAAGTTATTTTGCATATGAATATCTAGCTGTCTCAACAACCTTCATTGTAAAGACTATCCTTCCCTCACTGAATTTCCGTGGTACTTAGTTGAAAATCAACTGGAGAGATAGATTGTAGATAGATAGATAGGAAGGGAGTTTAGTCCATTTTTACCCCTTGCAGCCCTTCTGCCTTGTGAGGACACAGCATTCTTCCCCTCCAGAATCTGCAGCAACAAAGCACCATCTTGTAAGCAGAGATGGGGCTCTCACCAGACACCAAACTTGCTGGTGCCTTGATCTCAAAATTGCAACCTCCAGAACTGTGAGAGATAAATTTCTGTTCTTGTCAATTACCCAGTCACAGGTATTTTGTTATAGCAGAACAAATGGACTAAAACAAATGTGTAGATCAATTCTGGGGAGTTTTGCCTTCTTAAAATATTATATATTGTGATCAGTATGGGATGTTTTTCTGTTTATTTAGGTCTTTAATTTTTTGACAATTTTGTTGTTTCAGGGTATAAGTTTTGCACTCCTTTTGTTAAATTAATTCTTAACTTTTTAATGATATTGTAAGTGGAATTTTTAAAATTTTATTTTACACTTGTTTACTGCTATTCGATCTCCCTCCATCTCATTCTTCCTCCTTGGTGTTCGGTGGCATTGACACTACCCTGGTGAGGGAATCAGTCAAGTACTGCTTGCTTCCTTCAGGCAGAAGTGGAAGATCAGCTCCCTGATGGGCCCTATTGGCAGCACTAAATGAGAGAATCCCAGATCTTCTGCTCCTGTCAAGTGGAGATGGAACACCAGTCTCCTGTTCAGGAGATAAGAAGATTAGCTCCCTGCTTGGCCCTGCTGTATCATCTGCTTCTTTGGGGGGTAGTAAAGATGGTGCAGTGGGCTGGAATATCAGCTGGAAGTAGAGCTGTGTATTTTTCATTGATTTTTTGCTAGAGTAGGGTGGGAATTGTCAGAAATATTTCCTTTTGTTAGATTATTATTTCCCTAGGTCTTTGAATGTGGGAAACAGACTTTTCTGGTAGCATTTCTATGCCTGCCCATTGATGGTTCTAGGTAGGAGGCTTTTGGAGTGGCTTGTTTAGAATATGTGGGGACAGTCAGCAAACCCAGGAAACTTGTCACCTTGTCATTCATCAAGTCCCGAGGTCCTTAGCAGCCTACCTTCTTCTTTCTATCTTTCAGAGCCTTCCTATGCTTGTTCGTTATTAGGTCCAGGATTTTTTGGTTGTAAGTAGGAGGGCCTAGGAGAAATGGGTTACTCAATCTTGGCAGAATTGGAAGTTATCTTTACCATTTTCTAGGAAAAACTGTTTCATTGCATCCTTATAATTGGTAGGCAACAGGTCCTGAAAGGAAAACCAAAAATCAATTTAACTAAAATGCTTCATCTTGTCATTAACTCATAGAACTTCCAGGCTGAAGGGGGGTCTTACATAATCTAGTCTCACTTTCTCATTTTACAGTAGAAAAAACAAGGTTCAAAATAAATGGTAAGAGTTGCTCTAAATCACACAGCAAATTGGAAATGGTACCAAAACTAGAAACTAGACGTTTGAACCCCCAGCCCTTTTCACTAAGCCATTCTGCCTCTCATCAACATTCTTTATTATCTTCAAATGTCAATATGTTTATTAAAAAAAACTCATTTGTGTTGTTTGTCTTAGAATGTACGTGATCAGAGGGAACTTACATCTGTACCAGGTTTGACATGGCACCAGGAAGAACAAGATGTATCAAGACGTATAATTGTTGCTTTCTAATAATGATGGCAACACACCTTTAAGGGAAAGGAAGAAAAAAGAACAAAAGCTTATTACCTTTCTAACATCACTTTGAGGAAGCCATTTCCTAACCAGCAACCAATTAATCAAAATCAAAGTCATCAGGGAGAAATTCAGTATTTCAGCCTTGGATGTGGATTCAGGTTTGAACATATGTTCAGCTCAGAGTTCACCATTGGTTCCATTTCAAAATCCTTTCATTCAATCTCTATGATGGTGAACCGTAAGTTTTAGGTAAAAATCTTAAACTCTTTCTCAGTTGAGTGAGTTATCAGAAGAATCCTGAACCTCTGTATAAAGGTCTTTAGGCCTTCCAATAACATTTTCATATCCATGATCTCATCTGATCTTGAGAGACCCCAGGATGTGGGTCTGGTGGCCAGGATGTTTTATTTCTTATTTAGCAGATGAGGATTTCAAGGCCATTGCTATTAAGTGAAAGTTCTGAGATCATAAAAAGAAGAAAAAAATTGTGCCAAACCAAGATCAAATCCAGGCCACCCAACTTTTCACTATTGTATCATGTCACAGAAAAAAGAAAATGAAACAGAAATGCCCAGAATCATATTTCCTTAGAATTTGTTCAGTCCTTTGAAGCAGTCTTACTGAGTGATTTGGTCCAGCCTGGGCAGCTATTTCCTGCTCTGCTGTTGCAACACCCAGAGCAATTCCATTTAGTGTCGTCAACTTTGCAAGAATATGAAGTTAATTTTCTAGAGAGAAATTATTTAAAAATCACCATAAGGCTGGGGATGGTGGCTCACACCTGTCATCCCAGCACTTTGAGAGACTGAGGTGGGTGGATCACAAGGTCAGGAAATCGAGACCATCCTGGCTAACACAGTGAAACCCAGTCTCTACTAAAAATACAAAAAATTAGGCAGGTGTGGTGGCGGGCACCTGTAGTCCCAGCTACTCGGGAGGCTGAGGCAGGAGAATGGCGTCAACCCGGGAGGTGGAGGTTGCAGTGAGCCGAGATCATGCCACTGCACTCCAGCCCAGGCGACAGTGTGAGACTCCATCTCAAAAAAAAAAATCACCATAAATAAGAGCAAGTGGCTCTATGAGGCATGAAGATTGCCATAAAACCCTACAAACTGATGAAAAGTTACATTTTAGAGAGTTTGAGGAATAACATTCATAGTGAGTAGTCTAGCATGAGAGATTTGAGCTCAGTTGCAGTTGTGTTAAAGAGAAAGTAAGTAACAGATAAGGAGAGACAGAGACCACCAAAGATGCAGAGAGACAAAGGCAGAGACACATACAGAAGCTGGAAATAGAAAAAGAAGAGAGTTGTGAGACAAATAAGGAAGACTGAAATAGAAAAAAATTGAAGAAGAGAAAAATGGGAATGAGGAGTGAGGGAGAAGAGAATAAAGATGAAGAGAAAAGAAAATGTGAGTAGAAAATGGTACAAGGACAAGGAAATGGACTTAATAGGAGAGGGAGAGAAGTGAATGAGAAAAAAAGGAGAGGAGACAGATGAAGAAAGAAGAAAAAATTTTAAGTAAGAGACCATAAGACACACACACAAAAGCAGTTATCTTAGTTATTTTTACTTTTATTTTTTGATGCATTTCAGACATGGAGCTGTGTAATCAGGTACTGAGTTGTGGTCATAACCATGGCTACAGAAGGGCATATAGGCAACTGATGGTAGTGAGCAGTGGAAGAATTCTTACAAAAGTCTCTTGCATTTACGTATCTCTTTAAGTTATCACTTTTAAATTTACAAAGCCCCTCAAATACATTATCTCATAGAAATGACTTATTTAGGGTGCCCAGACTTTATAACCTTTTTCCTTTATTCTTTTCTAGCTAACTCTGAAACAAAAAGTGAATTTACAGGGACCTTGTAAGAAAACTAGTATAAAAATGCAAGTCATGGTTTACATGTATTTAAACACTATATTACTATTTTTTCTCTCAGTCTCCTAATGGAATGAAGTGTTTTCTTTAGCAATAAGCCATTTCAGTGCATGATGGAATTTAGATTCTGTATTTTACTCTCATGAATTTACCTGTATCAGATCACATAACAGGGCCCTTCTTTCCAGAAAGTTCCCTTGTTGATCAAAAATACCACATAATGGGTTGAGCCTCACTCCTAGAAATTTCACTTTATTCATCAAGACTTCTATTGATCAAGATTTATGTAGTAAAAAGTCTTTGTTTTTAAAAGAGTGTAGCTAAGTCTTCGCTTTTCCTGAAACCAAGTTTTTTTGTTTTTTGCCAGAAGAGCCATTTAAATCTAAGCATTCATCAGGTGATTAGATTTTGGTGGATCTACTTTATACTTTTTGTAGTGTGTGCCAGCATTACTATTCCTTGATGCATCTATCCAACAGATATTTACTTATCTGCAGAACATTATGCCAGGCTGTAAGAGATCCCAGTAATAAACCCAGTAATCCTGCTTTTAAATAATACTCATATTTTCATTCACATTGGGCTTGGGAATCAGACTTCTAAGTGTCTGCAATAGCCACTGCTCTTCTTTCCACTGCCAGAATGAGTAAGGAAGGAAAGATAACATGCCATGTGAGTCATGTATTTTGGTCCTGGTGATTAGGGAGATGATAGATATCTCAGTGAGGTCACTCTCACACCTAAGACAAAACTCCCACATTGAATTGCCAGAAAGTATTTTAAGAGGTTATTGAACTAAAAGCTATGCTGCTTGATACCAATTAAAAAATGCTCTAGGATTTTGGAGGAGAAAGTAGTTCATGAAGGCTGGAGTTTTCAGAGAAGACTTTCTGGACAAGGTGGGACTTCAATTTGTCCTTGAAAGATAGGAAAGACTTGTATTAATGGAAATTGAGGAAAAGAGCATTCTAAGTAGAATGGGGGTGATGAGTCAAATATGTTTATACCCCTAAACTAGGCTCTGGGCATAAACTGACATTGCCTTTTGGCATCTATAATGTTCTTTTGCCTTACATTATTTTTACATCTAACCATTGCCGGAGATAAAAAATGTCCAAAAAAGTTCTTATAAAAATTGAAATAAATCAGAGAAGCAGAATGATAACTTTCCTTGACTAAAACATAGCAGTCAGAACTCTTGGTCAAAATTATGGAGACTTCACAGATAATGCTAGCTTACATTTGGTATTTAGAGAATGATTACATATATGTATTTTATTGACAAATCATAGTTATATGCATTTATGGGGTACCATATGATGTTTTGATATATATATACAATAAAAACATAATTAAATCAAGCTAATTAACATATCCATCATCATGCTTACCTATCGTTTTTTATGGTTACACATTTGAAATTTACTCAGTTATTTTTAATTATATATAATACATTATTATTGACTATTGTCTCCTTACTGTTCAATAGACCTCAAAACCTATTCTACCTGTCTATATAAAACTTTGTAGCCTTTGATCAATAGCTCCCCAGTCCCTCTACCCCACCCCAGACTCTGGTAACCATCGTTCGCCTTTTCGCTTCCATGAGTTCAACTTTATTAGATTCCTCACATAAGAGAGATCATGCCATATTTGTCTTTATGAGCCTGGCTTATTTCACTTAGCATAATGTCTTACAGATTAATCCATGGTGTCACAAATAACAGGATCCCACCCCCCTTTTAAAAGTAAAAGCTGTTTAGTGTTCCATTGTGTATATATACCACATCCACATTTTCTTTTTCTTTTTTTTTTTTTTTTTTTTTTTTTTTTTTTTTAGACTGAGTCTCATACTGTTGCCTGGGCTCGTGTGCAGTGGTGCAATCTCGGCTCACTGCAACCTCTGCCTCCCAGGTTCAAATGATTCTGCTGCCTCAGCCTTCCGAGTAGCTAGGATTACAGGCTCCCATCCCCACACCTGGCTAATTTTTTTTTTTTGTATTTTTAGTAGAGATGGGGTTTCACTATGTTGGCCGGGCTGGTCTCAAACTCCTGACCTCGCAACCCGCCTCCTCAGCTTCCCAAAGTGCTGGGATTACAGGCCTGAGACACCGCGCCAGGCCTATACCACATTTTCTTTATCCACTCATACATTGATGAACAATCGAGTTTTTTTCATATCTTGGCTACTGTGAGTAATGCTGCAATGACCATGAGAGTGCAGATATCCCTTTGACATGTTGATTTCAGTTATTTTGGTTATACGCCCAGACGTGGGATTACTGGGTTGTATGGTATTTCTTTTTTAGTTTTTTTGAGGAACTGCCATACTGTTTTCCGTAATGGCTCTATTAATTTACATTCCCACCAACAACGTATAAGAGTTTCCTTTTCTCTGCATCCTCTCCAACTCTTATCTTTCATCTTTTTGATAAAAACTATTCCAGCAGTTGTGAATTAATATCTTATTGTGATTTTAATTTGCATTTCCTTAATGATTAGTGATTTTAAGGATTTTTTTTCACATACCTATTGGCCATTCATAGGTCTTCTTTGGAGTAATGTCTGCTCAGATCTTTTTCCCTTTTAAAAATCAGGTTCTTTTTTTTTCTTGCTATTTAGTTGTTGAGGTTTTTATATATTTTGGATATTAATCCTTTATCAAATGTATGGTTTGCAAATATTTTCTCCCATTCTGGAAGTAATGTCTTCACTTTGTTGATTGATTCCTTTGCTGTGCAAAGGCTTTTTAGTTGATTCCTTTGCTGTGCAAAGGGTTTTTAGTTTGATGCCATTCCATTTGTCTATTTTTGCTTTTGTTGTCTGTGCTTTTAGGGTCATATCCAAAAAATCATTTCCCAGACAAATATTGTGAAGGCTTTTCTCCTATGTTTTATTCTAGTAGTTTTACAGTTTCGGGTCTTATATCTAAGTCTTTAATTCATTTTGAGTTAATTTTTGTATATGGCATAAGGGTCTAATTTCATTATTCTTTATGTGGATATCCACATTTTTCAACACCACTTATTGAAGAGACTGTTCTTCCCCCCATTGTGTGCTCTTGGTACCTTTGTTGAAGTAAGTTGATGGTAAATGCATGGATTTATTTTTATGTTCTATATTCTATTCCATTGGTTTATGTATATGTTTTTATGCCAGTACTATGCTATTTTGATTGCAATCACTTCATTATATGTTTTGAAATTAATGAGTGTGATGCATCCAGATTTGTTCTTTCTGTAAAGATTGTTTCCACTGTGGGAGGCTGAGGCAGGTGGATCACGAGGTCAGGAGATCGAGACTATCCTGGCTAACACGGTGAAACCCCGACTCTATTAAAAATGCAAATAATTAGCCGGGCGTGGTAGCAGGTGCCTGTAGTCCCAGTTGCTTGGGAGGCTGAGGAAGGAGAATGGCGTGAACCTGGGAGGTGGAGCTTGCAGCGAGCCGAGATCTTGCCACTGCACTCCAGCCTGGGCGACTGTGCGAGACTCCATCTCAAAAACAAAAACAAAAAAGGTTGTTTCTTTTATTCAGGGTTTTTTGGATTGTTTTTTCTTTTCTTTAAAAATAAAATTGGAATTTCCATAAGGATTGCATTGAATCTGTAGATCATTTTGGGTAGTACGGACAGTTTCACAATATTAACTAGGTAACCTAGAAAAATGGATAAATCCCTAGACAGATATAACCTATTAAGGCTGAATCATAAAAGAAATAGAAAATCTGAACAAAGAATAAGGAGATGGAATTGGCAATAAAATGTTTTCCACCAGGGAAACGCCCAGAACCAGACAGCTTCACTGCTAAATTCTACCAAACATTTAAAGAAGAATTAATGCCAATTCTTCTCAAACACTTCCAAAAAAATTACAATAAAGGTAAGACTTTCAAACTCATTGTAAGAGGCTAGAATTACTCTGATATCAAAGCCAGACAGGGACACTACAAGAAAAGAAAATGATAGGCCAATATCCCTAATGAACATAGATGCAAAAATCCTCAACAAAGTACTAGCAAAGTGAATTCAAGAACACATTAAAAATAATCATTTCATGATCAAACAGGATTTATCTCGGGGATACAAAGGCAGTTCAACAAATGCTAATCAACAATTGTAATACACAATATAGAAAAAAATAAAGGATAAAAATCATATGATCATCTCAATAGAAAAAAAATGGAAAAAATCCAATATCCTTTCAAGATAAAAACTTACAACAGATTACATATAGAGGGAATGTACCTCAACACAAGAAAGGCCTTATGTGACAAACCTGTAGATAACATCATTCTCAACAGTAAAAAGTTGAAATATTTTCCTCTAAGATACGTTCCTTTAAGGAACAGGACAAGGATGCTCACTCTCACCACTTCTTTTTAACATAGTACTAGAAGTTCTAGCTGAGCAATTAGGCAAGAGAAAGAAGTAAAATGCACCTTAATAGGAAAACAAGAAGTCAGATTGTCTCTATTTGCTGGTGACACGATCTTATATAGAGAAAACACTAAAGACTCTACTAAAACACTATTAGAACTGAATCCAGTGAAGTTGCAGAATACAAAGTCAGCATACAAAAAGCAGTAATGTTTCTATATAGTAATAATGAACAATACAAAAAGGAAATTAAGAAAGCAATCCCATTTACAATAGAAACAAAACATTAAATACTTAGGTGTAAAACTGAGAACTATAAAACACTGATGAAAGAAATAGAAAAAAAAGCACAGATAAATGGAAAGATATTCATATTCCATGTTCACGAATTAGAATTAATGTTTTGTTTTTATTTTTAAAGTAATTTCTGGTAACATTAGTTTTGTAAACTATTAAAACATTACAGATTTAATGATACACAGACAGTGTATATACATACACTCTCTTCTACCCCTTAGGTTCTTTACATGATTTTACTAGTTTGTGTCTTTGTATGTGTGTACTTCTGTGTATGTTTTACATAAATGACATATCTTGTGTAATGGAATGTGTAATTATGCAGTTTTATGTATTGTTTCATAGCTGTACAATTATGTATGTTTATAGTTGTACACGTACATATGTTTTACCTAAAGAAAATATGCAATATTAATTAGCATATTTTTGAACATAAGTGGTATATCATTTTGTGCCTGCTCCAGTCAGTCTGAAATGTATATCTTTGTAACACAAAATTGACTTATTGTTTTTCGTTGTTGATGCTGTTTTTTAATCTAATCAGCATATTATTTTTTCCTATTATTCTATTATGAAAAATTTCAACAAACAGCAAGCTTGAAAGAATCTTACAGGGAATGTCCATATACATATTGCGTAGATTCTACCATTAACATTTTACTATGCTTCCTTTATCACATCTATGAATCTATGAATTGCTGTATTTAGCCATAAATCCATCTTAAATTTTTTGCCTTGTTTTAAACTGTCACATAGCATTTTGTAGAATTGTGGTAACATGGTTTGTCTGAGGTTTATTTCTATTACATACAATGCTGCAATTAATATTCTTGTCTATTTGTGCCCATTTCAGTGAATAATTAGGAGCAGGAATTTCTGTAATATACATAGTAAATATATTTTAAATATTTAGTAGATACTAACACATTACTTTCCACAGTAGTTCTACCAATTTATAGTTCTCATTAGAGTATGAGAGGCTTGTTTCCTCACTTACTTTCACACGCCTTCGTCAATTTCTAAAATGTTTTAAAAATGCCCGTCAATGTAGTGGATTGGCGATGGATTTTGCTACTTTTATTTGCAATTTGTATTTCTATGATTACTAGTGATTTGAGCTTCTTTCCATGTTTGATTGTCCACTTTGGTTTTTGTTTTCATTCTTATCCTTTGACTATAATTTCACTGGGTTATCTTTTTCACATATATTCTGAATAGTAATTATCTGTTATATATGTGGTGAATAATTTTCCTTGTTTATTGCTCATCTTTCCACTTTACTTACGTTTTTGTGTACAGAACTATTCCATTTTACATTTATATGGCCCTTTTAGTTGATCTTCAGGACAACCTGTGAAGTTAACAAGCAAGATGGTTTTATCCTCATTTTATAGGACTCTAAATTGTAGAGAGATTTTTTAAAAAAAATCCTGTCCAATAACAAGCAGCTAGTGTGTGTCAATAGCAGGACTCAGAGTTAGGTCTGTTGACCCCTGTGTTAGTTTCCTATTGCTACTATAATAAATTAGTAAAAACCTGGTTTCTTAAAATAACATATGTTTATTTATTTGGGTTTTTTCTTCAACTTTATTTTAAGTTCAGGGGTACATATGCAGGATGTGCAGGTTTGTTACATTGGTACATGGTGGTCTGCTGCACAGATCATCCAATCACTTAGGTATTAAGCCCAGAATCCATTGACTATTCTTCCTGATGCTCTTCCTCCCCCTACCCGTCCCTACCTCCTCCAACAGGCCCCAGTATGTGTTGTTTCCCTCCCATGTGTCCATGTAACAGCATGTATTTTTTATCTTATAGTTTTAATAGGTTAGAAGTCTAAAATGGGTCTCACTGTGGTTACTTCTGGAGTATCCAGGGACAATCTATTTACTTGACTTTTCTAGCTTCTAGAGACCTAAATTCCCCACTTCATGGCCCTCTTCCTCTATCTTCAAAGCTAGAAACAGTGAATTGAGTACTTCTCATACTTCATTACTCCAACCTTCTCTCCTATTTCTCTCTTCTACTTTAAATAACCTTTGTAATGATACTGGACCTACCCAGACAATCCAGGATACTCTTTCCATTTTAAGAACAGCTGATTATTAATGTTAATTTCCCTTTGCTATGTAATATAACACATTCACATGTTCCAGGGATTGGAACATGAACATTTTTGGGAGAGGCGTTATTCTGTCTACCTCAACCCTCAATCCACTGTCTTTTTCACTTAACAGACTAACAAGTAGCCAGAGGAGTAGTAGGGCTAAGATCAATAGGTTTGGAAAGTAGGGTTGAGAAGGGACACAACTGCCACTACCTAGGATATACCTTTTATTGTGTTCACATTTCTTAGAAGAGCAGTTGTATTTTAAGAATGTCTGGGTGTTCTGTATATGAACAGAGTCAGGGTTTGAAATTGCACACAATTCATTTTTTCATAATGGTGAACTTTCCATAGAGTCTCTCATGCAAACACAGAGTCTGTAAGTTGTGATCAGACACTTATGCATGCCTTCTGGATGTCTGTGGGTTCTAATCCAAAAGCCTGAGTCACAGAACCTTGAAATATGAGAGCTGAAAGGGACCTCAAAGGCCAGCTAACACAAGGCTCTTATTTTCCATGTGAGAGGACTGAAGTCCAAAGAAGGGAAATAGCCTACTCCAGGTAACACATAGGTTTGTGGCAGAGAGGACTGGAATGAAGTCCTCACTATTGTGCCCAATTATATCAAACTAAGTTGTCATTTTGGAGAGGAAGCATGGGATTTTTTTAGTCCCTTAAATAATATCATGAACATGATCACTTCCTTCAACCAGTGATTAGGCCAGCCATCATAGAAGCATTTTCTAACACGGTTCTGTGGGGATGAAGAAAGTATTGGGCATGACAACAAAGAAAAATGGGGTTCGAAAGTCAGAACTGCATTGTAGGTGCCCAAGGAAAAAAAACACTCTCCAAAAGACAGCTACTTCTTTTGCTGTGAGAGGAGGGCGAGACGGCACTAACTGGCATTTTTGCTGAGGAGTTCTAAATTCACTAGAAAAAGGAACCAATGAACAGAAGGTAGAAGGCAGCATATATTTGGCTATTTAATATGGGAAAAGATAATCTAGAGTTGCCTTGAGAGATAATTGAGTGAGTTCTCAGTTATTACATGTATCCAAGCAAGAGTTCATATAGCCATTTGGAAATGATGCTGTGGATATATTTGGGAGTTTTCAAGTTAATTTTACCAAAATTTATTCCTTCAAATGAAAGGCTATGTGGCTGCATTTACCCATTTAATGTGTATCCATTCTATTAAATGGATAAATGAAGCCTTCTGAAGAGCCCTATGAGGCAACATAATTTGAAAGCAAATGACAACCATGCCTTCTGAGGCTTCATTTTGTTCACTATTCTTCTAACCCAAGGTAACCAAGGATAATTTGGGGGTTAGGTGCTTAGAGGAATAGGACTGGGCCAGTGGATGGATTGATTGGAAAAGTACAGGGGTTGGTAGTGACATACACACAGTCCTTTTAGAAACAAACTTGGTCAAACAATGGAACTGTCAGGTACAATCAAGTCAACCTTTTAACTAGAAAAGCCTCAAGTCATCTTCTGAAATGTGAAGTTAACACGCACTTTTTTTTCTAGTAGGATCTTGCTGACCTTGAAGGTCAGCTCTAAGGCTGCTGTCTTATTCTTTCACTAATCATTCATGTATTCATTCATCCAGCAAATATTTATTGAGCACCAACTCTGTATCAAGTGCTGTGCTAGGCATTGAGGCTACAGTAGGGAGCAAGAAAAATGTAATCCCTGACCCCACAGAGCTTCCATTATACGGTGAGGAGAGAGTTAAGCAAACAATTTCAACAAATTGTTGTTAGATGTACGGGGTGACTTGGGAGCACATCACAGGAGGACCTCACCCAGAAGCATAGAAAGTCAGGGAAAACCTCTTAGAGGAAGGGACTTCTAAACTGAGACCCAAAAAATGAGTGGGTGAATGAATAGGTGAAAAAGTGATTGAGGCAGATGAAACAACATATCAGAATCTGTTGGAGGGAAGAGAGAGCACCATGCACATTGGAAACTGACAAACTGACAGACCTCTGGCATGGGTGGGACGCATTGAGTGTGAGGAGAGGAAGGGCAAGCAGTGACCTAGAAAGATTAGGAAGGGCTGGGCCATAAAAATGCCATATAGGCCATGTTAAGAAGTTTGATCTTTATCCTAGTGAAATAATAAGGAATTAATTTTCTTAATGTAACAGATATGAGTTTCTTGAGAGAATAGAAATACAAAGAAGACAACAAAAGTGGCTTCATATTCACTTTCCAAGTGACCTTTTTTTAAAAACAAAAGTAACTAATATATAAGGCTTGAAAATCTAAACAGTTCAAAACGAAAAATGAAAGTCACGCTTCCCCCAACCAAGTTACTCTCCCCAAGGAAAACCACCATTAAGAATATTTTGTGTTATTTCCAGAAGAAATATTCATTGTCCCCTCATGTAAGTATGTATATATGTGTGTGTGTGTGTGTGTGTGTGTGGAGATATCTATATCTCTATGTATGACCAATCACAATATGCTCACTCTTTTGCACCTTGCTTTTTATTTAATGACATATATTGAAAATATTTTCATATGTGCATTCACACACACACACACACACACACATATACGAAATATTTCATCAGTTTGAGTGTCATCCTTACTAGAGAGTCTTACTAATATCATTATTATTCCAACTTTAGTCAATAAGGGAGGCATTGCTGGGGGATTTTAAGCAATAAGGATTTACAACCACTTTTGTGTTATGGGAAAAATAGCTTTGACTGTTATTTGAAGACCAGATTATGGGGGGTCAAGAGTGGAGTCATAAAGAATTATAAGGAGGCTATTACGCTGGTCCAATTAAAAGATTATGGTGACTTAGACCAAGTCCATGGCGGTGGAGATAGAGAGAAGTGGGTGCATTGAGAAAAAGATGTAAAATATAAATATGACAGGACATATCAATGAAATGGTTGTAGAGAGTGAGAGAGAAGAGAGTAATCTCAGATGACATTCAAGTCTCTGGCTTGGTATATAGGAATGAGAATGCTAATTATGTCATGCAGTCGTTCAGGAGGCTTATTCTGAATGATATTCACCCATTGAAAATATCCTCTCCCTACTCTAAAATGTTATATCACATTGTAGAGACCTCTATTCTCTTACTTACTATGTCTATTTATAGTAATGAAACATTTTATTTGTACATTGTTTTAGCCTTCTTACATGCTATGTACTCCTTAGTAGTGTGGCTGGAAGTAGGCAGGTATGAGGAAAATAGAGGAAGAAAAAAAAAGACTAACATTTACTGATCATTTACTATGTAACAGGTGTTACACAGGGCCATTTTTCAGACATTGCATTTTATTTTCACAGCCTGATTTTACAAATAACAAAATGGAGGCTCAGAGCACTCAAGTGACTTCCCCAAGATCATACATTTTAGGGAGAGACAGAGCTAAGATTCAAACCAAGTTTGTCCATGCCCAGGGCCCACCATCAGGAAGCCAAATGAGAAAGTATAGAAGAGTTGGGAGGAACAGCTGATGCCATGTATAGAGCTGCTCCAGGCAGGCAACAGAGAGGAAAGCATGTTAATTGCACAGGGAGAGGAGAGGAAGCTTCACCCAGGCAAGCAGAAAGATTCTTGGGCAAAGGGAGTGGGGAAATAGGTGTTGGGAGGACTCTCAGGGAGACGCCACATGAATGAGGTACCAGGAAGCTGAATAAAATATATTTTTGACCTAGGGCCAAAGAGTGAATACTCAAAGACCAGGTGAGTCTGGAGCTAAAGAATCAGTCTGCAGATGCAAGTAAGCTGGTGGTGGTGGGAGGTTGGGGGGTGAGCTTCAGAGCAAGCATCCCTTACAGCAGTGGTCCTCAAACCAGCAGTGGTCCTCAAACCAGCAGCAGCAGCATCCCCTGGGAACTTGCCAGAAATGCAAGTTCCTGGGCCTCACCCAAGACTTACTGAAGCAAAAACTCAATGCCTTAACAAATCCTATAAGGGATTCTGGTACATGTTCAAGTTTGAGGCCTACAGCCTTGGAGGACTAGGGAAAGCAGCAAGTGGAGTTCAAGAGCCAGAGTACAAGAACCAAACAGTGTACCCAGAGCAAGCCTAGGGCTGTCACACATCACAGCAATGCAGAGCAACCTTTCCAAAGCATAACAGAGTCTGCTGGTCAGAAGTGGTGGTGGGGAGTGGCTTCAGAGATGTGGTTTCTGGGGGACAACCCCCTCTTCCCTGCACCCCTCCACCTTTCCCCAGAGGTCTTCTTTTTAAGAAACTGCTAAGGGCAAGCTCATCAGAGGATCCTGAGGTAAAGGGGTTAGACTGTCTGTGCCAAGGCACTGCCCATGGCTTTTAATTTTCTCCTGGTACCTGATACTGTCACAAAATTTAACTGTGGAAAATATAGGAAGGAAAACAACATTTACTGGGGGTCTGAACATGCTGAGCACTGTGCTAAGGGTTCACACAAATGCCAGCTGATTTAATCCTCACAATATTTCAGTCATGGAAGTGTTATTATTCCTGTTCTGCAGATGAGGGACCAGAGGCTCGAAAAAGTTAAGTGATTTGCCCGAGGTCACATAGCTCAGAAAAAGGCAGCCAAGATACAATCCTTAGTCTTTCTGACTCCAAATGCCATGCTTCTCACCCTAGACCATGTTGACTCTAATGTGAAGGTCCCTGGGGTCCTCTCCTCTTTGTAGCCACCCCAGGGCCATGTGTTATTGATGGCCCATAGATGAGTAACCTGGAAATATTGGTTGAATGAATAAACGAAAAGATGTTCTAGTGACAGAGTTTAACACATGAAGGACCCTTAAGGATATTCTGGTCTTACGGTTTTCCAATCTGTTTTTAGTGTCCTAGACATTTCTTACTGGTGCTCCAGACACAATCACATTGTCTAGGAAACCAGTCATACCCAGTGGACAGGTTCCTCTGTCTCTTCACCCTTGCCCATTTCTATCTCCTTCCCTGCCTTACCTAGAACAAATCACTTTCATCTTCCATAAGTAGTGGGTGTTTACTAAGATTCTGTTTGGGGAAAGGGTTCTGCTGCCAAAATTAATTTTGAGAAACCCAAATCTAGACCACCTTTTTCATGTTATAGGTGAAGAAACTGAGTGATAGAAAGGCAAAAAGACTTGTCCAGGGTCACTGTGTGCTCTTTAGTAGCATAACTAGAATGTGAAGCCAGGATTCTTGAAACATTCTTCTTTTTTGACACAAGTTAATACAGTTTGTGTCCTAACGAGGAAATAATTATTTAGATTTCAACAATTATTTAGAATTGAAAAATTAAAAATTATAACTCTAATTTTTGCCTTTACTATGTTCCAGTTATTGTGCTAAATAGTTAATACGTATAGCCTTATTTAAGTTCTTATAACAGTCTTATAAAATAGGTAATATTATTATCTCCATTTGAAAACTGAGGTTTAGGGGGATTAAATTACTTTAATCATAGAATCAGGAAATGGCAGAGTTGGGATTTCAGTTCAGAATATCTGATTTCAGTTTTCATGCTCTTAACAGTGATGCCATATTGCAAATGTCTATATTGAAAAAAAAGTCTATTTAGCCTGCTGCTTGTTTTGTAAATTAATTTTTATTGGCACAATGATATACCTTGAGAGCTACAAAGACAAATTTGTGTAGTTATGGCAAACAGAAACTGTATGCTCTGGAAATAAATGATTTAGTAGCTAGCCCTTTATAGAAAAAATCTGCCAACCTCTGGTCTGTAGACACCAACTTTAAAATGTTTTTCAAGTGACCTCCAGGAGAAGGAACCAGAAATGTACCCCGGATTTGCAGAAAAGGTGGGTGCTGTTTGTACTCTCAGTGAAATTGGTGAATGAATAATACAAACCTGGAAACCTGGCCTACCTGGCCTCCTGCAGTCTTCACTGTGTTGATTCAAGTCTATTATGACCTGTTCTTGTTGTCTTTCATGAGTCAGAGCAGAGGCCTTATCCCTTCCCCTCCCTGTCATAAATGCCTTAGAGCTTGGACTTGGATCTCAGCTTAATCAGTTTTGTCTCCACTTCCCCTTTCTTGCTTCAAGGTTCACATGTGTGCGAGGCAGATAATTCTAGGGGCTGCCATGGCTTGGCTAAGCTTCCCTTGACCACTGAGCATTTCTAAGGGAGTTGAGGCTGGTGGCTCCTCCTTCCTTCCTACTGGTGCTTCCACCTGCCTTGGTCTGAGTTGCAGTCCATGGGGCAGCGCCTAAGTGTCTGAGCACACTTAAGAATCTCTAGTGGTTTATGACCCAGACTTTGCCCTACCACCTCAGTCTTCTGAATGTTCTCTTCCCTGGACCCTGCTCCAGACACTTTAAATTCAGAAGAGGAAAATGTGCCCAGCCTGCCTGGAGAAAAGTGTCTGCTCCTAGCCAAGATCTCCTCATCACAAAGTAAGAATATCAGGTGGTGGAACCCCCATCATACCTGTCCCCTTCCTATACCTGGGTCTGTTGGGTAGATGCAGTCCTTTTTAGAGAGGCATAGTATTCTCAGACCTGTCGCCACAAATTGCTCCCCACTCATTCTTTCCCTATACTTTGTGTCTTTGAAACCTCTTTATCTTCTATGTTTAATATCTAGACTATACTTTCTTCATGGAATTCTAGATGTGTAAATTTACAGGGCTGGGAGGGTCCATATCTAGTTTAAGACCCTCATTGTAGAAATAGAAAGAGGCCCAGAGAAGAGAAGGGAGTGGGCCAAATCCACAAAATCCACATAGCTGATTACTCCTAGAGCAAGTGGGGCGAGAACCTTGGTCACTTGACTCAGGACAGTGACTTTTCACTCTTCTCTCTTTCCACCAGGAATGGGAATGACCTTTGACTTTAAACAAATCCAGACTCCAGTTTTACCCTGAATTGTTGGGGGAACATTTTGTTTTTTTTTTCTTTTTAGTATTTTCAATTCTTCCATGTCTTAGTTTTTAGGGTGTTGACCTGTGTTAATCCAGGCTATCTTCTAGCTATATCTGGTTTCCTCAGGTGGAAAATGTTAAATATAGTTAATATAAAATTTCACTCTAGAATCTGCTAGAAATGACGGAGGCAAAGTTAATGTATATATAAAAAAATCCACCAGTGACTGGTGGCCAGTAGGCTTTCAATAATTGTGAAGTCCCTTCTACCCCCTTGAAAGTACTGTGTTTCTCCCCTAAGCAGCACATTGTGTGTGGTGGTTTCATGGTTAAAAGTTTAGACAGACCCAGCAAATCTCTCTTCTCTTTTACTTCCTAAGTGTGTGACCTTGGACAAGTTACCTTCCCTCTCAGAGCTGAATTTTCCTCAGTTGTAAAATAGAGAGAATTAGAGTATTCATCTCACAGGATAATTGTGAGACTTAAATAAGAGAATGCATGTAAAATGGTTAACATAGGGCTTAGAATGTAGAAAAAAAGTCCTTTGTTTTATTGCCAATTTTATTTTTACTTATGACTAAGCAGCCATGACCTCAGAATAATAGTCAGGGCTGACAATTGTGCTTCAGAGCAAGAAGGGGAAGAGGTGGTGAGATGGAGGCTCTTTCAATTTCTACCTCATTTCTTAAATGGAGCTGTTGAAATCTACCCATGAGCTTTGGCTGGCCACACTGACAGTGTTCTCCTCTCAGCAAAGACCAATTAGCAAGTCCTGATAACAGAAGTACAACCCACCCCCTTGTAATTCCTCCTGAGATCCTAACCAGGATTTGTAAAACACCCGGATATGGGTAAAGAACCATCCCGGGTTTTGTATCAAACCAGGCCCCAGAGGAACAGGACATTCCAGTAGTTTTGTTTCTGGAAAAGAGGGCACCCAGCCCTTCCCCCTCCCTCATCCTCCCATCCCAGTAAACCCTGCCAAATTGGAATCCTGGACTTAATTTAGGAGAAAGGCCCTGTAACCAAGATACTGACTGAACATGGCTGGCGGACTCAGGCTGGGGTCTGCAGTGCAGCATTAATGGGCCGCTGACATGAATATGGAGTAGTTTTCTCTAGCAAAGGTAAGCTTTCTTTTCTCTCTTTTCAAACTCTACCTCACCTGCCTTCCTGTGCAAAAACGTTTATTTAGCTGGGTTTAAGGGAGTCCTGGCCACTAGGAGAAAAAGTCAGTGGCCAAAAAGTTGGAGGAGGTTTGGCTGATGTGCAGGAAAGTTAAAGGAGACAATAGGCTCCTTTTGTTCCTCTCGCCAAAATAGCCAGGACTACACTGGCTTGTCTGTTTCAGGGCCAATCCTGGAGCCATACAGAATAGTTCATTTTCCTGTCGAAATAGCTTGCTCATCTTCTGTTTCACAGGTTGAGGAATTTATTGAGGTGATGGATCTGAGGATTATGTAAGTGGGAACTCAGTTACTTAAAAATAACCATGTTTGGTTTCATATTTTGAGACCAGATTGGCACAGAGTAAGCCAATAAATGATAGCTTAACTAAGCTAAACATCTGAATTTGAGTAGTCTTAGTTTCTACATAGCAAAAATCTTTTAGAAATCATTGGTTCAAATTCTGGCTATTTTTAACAACTGGCTGCGTGACTTTGAGCAAATCCTTGCACCTCTCTGGTATCAGTTTTTTATACATCAAATGAGGGTGATTGAAAAAGATGGTTTCTAAAGGTTTCATGCATGTGTGAATCTATAACACGTTCAGTTTTTCATTACTCAGCATCTATTATATGACAAGCAATCCTTTTGCTAGGGACTCAAATATCCATGGTTTTATTTGGGCCTCAAGACAATCCTGTGAAAAAAATATCATCCCATTTTTTGGATGAGATGACTAAGGCTAAAATAATTTATTGAAAGGTCACATAGCTATCACAGACAAGAGATAGGATTTGAATCAAGGTCTTTAACTTCAAATCGGTATGTTTTCTATCACAGAGTTAAGAAAGCAGAGGACCAAAAGGTGAATTTTGATGGAGGGTTTATTAGGAAGGCTGCTGAGAGATTGAAGACAGGGCCCCAAAGATGGCTCAGCATTCCTTTATTCAGTTGAGTAATCCTTTGTTTAGGATGAGCCTGTCTAGCCCAAAGTAGTATAACTGAGAAAGGGAGATGGAGGGAGAGAAAAGAGCATTGTCGCAATAAAGGAACAGTTTGCAAATTCTAGGGAACACAGCAATGCAAATTGTTATGAATAATAGGGACCAGACCCAGGTGACACTGGGATGGCAGGAAGGTAAGGTAAAGGTAAGGGAGGCTTAACTTTATATTGGCTGATCTTCTCTCCAGGTTGGCACAAGGTTTCAGTATATCTTAACTAAACTATCCAAATAGCCTAGAATTTTTCTTTCTTTTTTCCTTCCTTTGAGTGCCTATTCCTTCTGCCTTCCTTTTTATTTTGTATTTTTTACTTTTTTCCAGGATTCTTTCTCAACTTACTTATTTCATTTCTCCTTTTATTTCTTCCTGTTCTTTTTCCTCATCAGTCTGGTTCTTCTCTATGGGCTTAGCTGAGAAAAAAAATATCCTTGCCCAAGTGAAAAGCTTACACAGGGCTTTCACATCTTTCATATTATTTGACCTTTATTACAAACTAATGAGGGGCCCAAAGTAGAGACAATCCTCATTTAAGACATGAGGAAACTGAGGCTCAGGAAGTTAGGGACTTGTTCAAGGTTATATAACCAATAAATGATGAATCCAGAGCTAGAACTTACTATTTTCTGGTGCCTGAACGCTTTCCACTGTACCATGAAATATCTAAGTGGTTATATTTTATTTTATTTATTTATTTTTTGAGACCCGTGTTTCACTCTTGTTGCCCAGGCTGGAGTGCAATGGTGCGATTTCGGCTCACCACAACCTCCGCCTCCCAGGTTCAAGCGATTCTCCTGCCTCAGCCTCCCGAGTAGCTGGGATTACAGGCATGCACCACCATGCCCAGCTAATTTTTTGTATTTTTAATAGAGATAGGGTTTCTCCATATTGGTCAGGCTGGTCTTGAACTCCCGATCTCAGGTGATCCACCCACCTCGGCCTCCCAAAGTGCTGGCATTACAGGCGTGAGCCACTGTGCCTGGCCTAACATCTAAGTGGTTATAAAGGATTTTATGGGTTTTTCATTTTTTCTGCTCTTTTAGTATATGATAAAACCAAATTAAACAGCAGCAATAACAATGACAAATTCAAATTTGAGGAGGATAGAAAGGATGTCAATAATTAGAAGGAAGAAAAATACTTATCAGGTGCCTACTAAGTCCCAGCTGCTGCAAAAATTTATCTTATTTAGATATAGAGTAAAACAGTACTTAAACCTAAGTTTGTCTGACTCAAAAGTTCTAGTTCTTTACATTATACCATGTTGTTTCCAAGAAGAGAGTTCAGCTTGGGCTGTGTGCATTTTCATACCTATGTTTATATTCCTGTATGCTTAGAATGTGTTACCATATATGGGAATTTATGAGTGTGCACATATTTATTGCTATTCATAAAATGGAAAATCTTTATGGCCCTGGCAAGTTTCATTTCCAAACTATTTCCTTACTTGCAATAGTAATAGCCACTAATACCTTTTGATCACTTACATGTGCCCTTAAAGTACTTACAGATCTTAATTAAGTTAATCCCCACAAAACTCTATGAGGTAGCTAATAGTATTAATACCATTTGAAAAATAAAGACACTGTGGCTAAATAAATGAAGAAGTTTCCCAAGTCATACAGCTAGGAAAAATGGAGCCAAGATTCACTTAGGTAGCCTGATACCAAAGCCTGTGCCCTGGATGCAAAATCGAGTAAGTATTCCTTATCTCTCAAGATCTTGAGAATTATATAAGATGGCAGATATGAAAAACACATTGTAATCTGGAAACTGCTAGGGGTATGTTAGGTGGCATTTCCCACCACTCCCCAGATTCTATTGTTTAAGCCATTTGGATCATAAGTCACCACTGTTGAATGCTTGTTCACTGTATGCTGATGGCCTGTACTAGTCTCTCCCAGGAATATTTTCAGTTTTATCATGTGTTTCTCCAGTTGTGGAGCTCTTGCCTGGGACAGTTTTCTGTCTAGGTAAATGAGTTCAAGGCACAACTGCTTTGTTGACACCTCTCTGAGAAAGAAGATTGAAAGGGGTCCATGTTGCATTCAGACTTGGAATGAACCGAGGACACTCCCTCCCTGTTGAGGATTCCAAGGCATGACTATTTGTGTGACCATATATAGAGCTATGTGTAGGTGTATGTGAGTACGCCTGTGTTTCATCAGTGAATGTAAGTATTGGCAGCATGTGAAAGCTGGAAGGACTCTTTGAGAGCTCATTACATACCACATTTTTATGGTTCTGCACTTAGATTATCACACTTCTGTGACTCCCTCAAAAGGTAAGAACTATATAGTCCAGCTTTATATAGTCAATTATTTTATAGATGGGAAAAATGAGGTGAAGAAACTTGCCTAAGTTCACCCTGAACAAGTATTAGAACTTGAACCAGACCCAACTGATGGAAAAATGTATACTTGTGCTTCTTTATGTCACTTTAACAATAGCTGTTATTGCCCATCTACTTGGCCTCCATCGCCATGTCGTAATAGATACACAGCGACCTCTAAAAAATGACATTCTCTCTCAAGGAGTGTGTAGTCCAATCTGGGAAATGAAGACAGTTCATGAGGCAGGTCATGAGATGGAAAGGTAACAATAATACAGAGTCTGACTTAATCTAATTGGGTGCTATAGACAGTAAGTAGCCCTGCAGAGGACAGTGATATGAAGAGGCTAAAGGTGGCCTTCTGGAGCAGTTAGTATTCAAATTAACCCTTGGAGTAGGAATATAGAAAGTATGATGGATGTGAGACTGTAGAGATGAATTAACAAACTGCAGCCAGGAGGGAAAAGGAAGAGGAAGGCAACCAGTAGTTACTACTGCCTACTATGTTCCAAACATGGATTATACTTGTCCGTTTCATGTAAGCTTTCTGATTTATTTCTCCAGGGCTGATATTATTATACCCATTTTACAGATGAGAAAACTGGTTCTGAGTGGTTAAGTAATCCCCAAGGCTACACAGCTGGTCAGTGGGAGAGCCAGGTTTTGGAAAAAAGGACCCCAAAACAGATCCTCTCTTACATCAAGAGCTTTCTGCCAAATATAATATGGAATCTAGGGATTAACACTTGGGTCACTGCTGCGTATGGAGAGGACTGAGAGTTTGTGAAGTAGTCTATAAGTTTATTTCTTAAAAAGGGTAAATATCTGGGGATTTTCTATCCATATGTGAATCTGTGCATATATTTGATTCTCAATTTTTTATTAACAATGCCTATTTCATATGCTTGGGTTGAAGATTTAGCGAAATAATTTATATAAAGCACTGGACATGGTGCTACTATGTAATGATCTGTCAGTGAATAGTAGCCATTATCATCATTATCATTAATATAATCTATTAGTTATATCTCTGCCTACATGAGTATGTATGTCTGTTTGTAAAGTGATTATAACTGCATGTAATTGCTTGTTTCAGAATGTATGTGTTTTTTCATAGATATGGCTGTTGCTATAGGCATATGTATGTTCTCTGTGTATATACATGTGAGTGTGCAAGTATATTTTTGTGGAAGGTAGTACAGCATGGTGATTATGCTGGAGCCACACTTCCTGGGCTCAAATCCCAACTCTACCGATTTTTATCTAGATGGCCTTGGGCAAACTGCTTTACACCTCTCTTCTGAAGTTTCTCCATTGTAATATGGGGATAATAATGGTGTCTACTTCATAGGGTGGTTGTGAGGAATAAATGATTTAATCTGTGTAAAACATTTGGAACAGATGTACCATGCACATACGATAAATATAGCTTTATTATTATTATTCTGAAGTTGACTAAGATTTTATATAACAGAGTGATTTTATGTGTAAATGGAAGTGTGTGCATCTCTGCTTTTAGGTAAGACTACATGTACCTGTGTGTGCAAGTTTATGTATTTATGTGATGTTGTCTGTGTTTCTGTGTTTGACTGTAACTGTGTATGGTATCACTGAGTGCTTCGTCCTAGTCCCAGGAAGTCTAACGTCCTGTCTTATGCATTGAAGTGAGAGGTTAGAATCTTGGGTCTGATTCTGACTCAGGATTAGACCTATGAAATGAATTTATGAATAGCCTTGGGAATCAGCAGACAACATTTCTTCTGAGAAGTTCAAAATACTTCCCTCACATACTGTCATTTATTTTTGGTTCATTGTTAACTTTTGAAGTATAATACACATAAAGTGCACAAATCGTGTTTATAGCTCAATGTATTTTCACAAACTGAACACGCTTTTACAACCAGCATGTAGATCACAAAACAGAGCATTACTTAGAAGCCCTCCTCTTCCCTTCCCAGTCACAGAATCCTACTTCAAGGCAAACATTATCCTTACTTCTACCAGCATAGATTACATTGGCCTGATTTTGTACTGTATTTAAATGAAATCATACAATATGTACTCTTTTGTGTCTATTTTTTTAAACATTACATTTGTCATAATCATTCATATTGTTGTGTGTAGTTGTAGTTTGTTCATTATTATTGCTATAAAGAATTTCATTTTATGAATAAAATGCAATGTATTCATTCATTATAGTGTTCACGAACATTTTGACTGTTTCTATTTTGGGTTTATGAATATTCTAGTAAATATTTTTTAGTAAATTCTCACTTGTTGTTAAGTACAATTTATAGAGGATAGGAAGTGGCAACAACAATGAGTGTTCCCCTTTTGCCTATGGGAAAAGAGAGGCAAAGGGAGAATTAGTGTTAGTGGCCCAATAAGGCTTCTGGTGCCTGTTTCCTGATTCTTGGGACAGAGCACATTCTTCCTGCTACACCATTGAAAAAACTGGATCCAGATCTCTCTTCTGAAGGAACTAGTAATACATGATTAGCAGCACGGGTGACTTTTTAACTATGCCCTTCAAAATCCAATCATTGAAAACTTATTGAATTAAAAGGAATCAGGTAAGTTAAAGAAACTGGGCTAAATGGGTTTTGCTTTCTCAGTCACTCAACCTGGCTCTTGCCTCTTCAGTTTTCTGGACACGTAGAAAGCCCCTTTGTTCTCTTTCTTCTACACCAGCAGTTTTTATTTGCCTGTTTCCCAGAGTAATGTGGGCCATGGAGTCAGGCCACCTCCTCTGGGCTCTGCTGTTCATGCAGTCCTTGTGGCCTCAACTGACTGATGGAGCCACTCGAGTCTACTACCTGGGCATCCGGGATGTGCAGTGGAACTATGCTCCCAAGGGAAGAAATGTCATCACGAACCAGCCTCTGGACAGTGACATGTAGGTTTAATTTCTTGTGGTATTTGAGGGGAAGTTATGGGAGCACTCTTGAGGTCAGGAAGTAGCCTCTTGAGGCCCCTTTCCCAGGGTGTGGTAGCAGCCAGCTCCTGATTGCTCCGAGCTGTACATACTCAGTGGCAGATTTCCTGGGAAGAAGGCTAGTTGAGTCAGAAGCCAGCATTTCATCTGGAGTTTGCCGTAACATTTTTAGAGTCCTAAAGAGAATTCCATATTTGCTGTTTTCTAATCTCATACCCACAATGCTTACTTATTTAATAACAACTGTTTGACTTTAAAAAAGAATAATGAAATATATACAGTGTTTGTAAGATGTATGGGTGGGAGCTATGCTTCTATAGTTTGGTGAAGCTACTGTATATTTATTTCAGATATGTGAAAATGTGAAAAAAGAAAGTAAGCCTTAGAATCAAGGAATTAATGGTAATAATTCTCACTTATGTAATACTCTGTGACACAGACCATACTAGAAATTTACATACTTTGTCTCAACTCTCACAAAAACTCTAGAAGGTAAGTATGTGTGTAGTTATTTTATAGATGAGAAAACTGAGGCTCAGAGAGGTCAAGTGACTTATCCAAGTCCTATAACTAGTAAATGAAAAAGATAGGATTTGAACCTCGATAATGAGAATGTAAACTAATACTCTTCTCACCACTCTGTCCCTCATAGATCCCACAGGATTAACCTTTCCTGATCTTAGAAAATAGCAAGTGCTCCACAAATATCTGTTAAAGAATAAATGAATGTACGAAAAACTATTTTGTGACCATGACTCATTTTTTTCTCTCCAAAGCTTTGGAGTTTTCCAAAGTTGATTGTAATATCTCTGAGTTCTCTGAGAAGAATTAGAGTATAGTAGGAATAACAACTCTGTCTTTTTTGACACAAAATATTCATCTAGTTTCAGAGTCAGAGTCCTTGTATTAATTTTTTTGAGGGAATAAATTCATTATCCTTCATCCCTAATACTTTGTAGTAATATTCCACATTTATTGAACTTTTACTATTTGCCACTGTCCTAAGCTCTTCGTGTATTTGAATTTTTTTTTTTTAGTCACCAGTAAAAGCTGTCTGAGTTAGGAACTATGATTATTTCCATTCCATTTTACAGATGGGCAAATTGTGTTCAGAGAAGTTAAGTAACTTGTTCAACATCCCACTAATTTGGAAGTGGCAGAGTCAGCAATCAATCCAAGTGGCTTGGCTCCAAAGCTTGGAGTTATAAGCACTATGCCCTAAGGCCTCCCATATGTATCAGAATGATGCTAAGTCAGGCTACATTGACGAGGAGTCGATCACTTAAGGAGTCAGTCCACAGTTGGTTGTCTCTTTGTTACTGCATATTGTGTCAAGCTATGTGAAATTGCCTTTTATGTGGGTTTAAAGTGGTCAAATATGAGCAATTTCATATGCTGATATTTGAAATTTTTAATAGTTAAATCTAAAACTTTCATGTTTTGATCAGTACAATGCCATTTCCTCTTGTTTTGTCCTAAACAAAGATAGTCACTTTTTGGTCAGTATCCTCTGGAAAAGGAACCTCTCAAGGCTTGAAGATGGGGGGCAAAATTATGACTCTTTTTCTTCTTTCCCAGAGTGGCTTCCAGCTTCTTAAAGTCTGACAAGAACCGGATAGGGGGAACCTACAAGAAGACCATCTATAAAGAATACAAGGATGACTCATACACAGATGAAGTGGCCCAGCCTGCCTGGTTGGGCTTCCTGGGGCCAGTGTTGCAGGCTGAAGTGGGGGATGTCATTCTTATTCACCTGAAGAATTTTGCCACTCGTCCCTATACCATCCACCCTCATGGTGTCTTCTACGAGAAGGACTCTGAAGGTAAACCATTCCACCGTTTCTTTCCCCCATGCCCAACAAATATCACTTTTCCTTTATTGCCAGGTGAAGGAGAAGAACTGGTAGTGAAGATTTTCTTTTCTTCCTATTTATCTGAGGTGGCAAAGACTCTCCTCAGAGTAAACAAGGGTGGGCACTGGTATCAGTTCTGCCATTCATATACTGTGTGACTTGGACGAGTCATTGTCTCTCTCTGGGTCTCAGATTCCTTCTCAGAAATGTGAAGACACAGTCTACCTCTTAACACAAGGAACTATTTGAATGGCATCTCCATAGAATATTTGAATATTCTATGAAAAGAAAAGAGAATGCTATAAATGTGAAGGATTGTCATCCTAGTGTCACAGTCTTCTGAAAGTTCCATTTTGTTTTTCCCTAAAGGGGAGTTCAGCTTATTTATCTCTATCTCCCTTATTCCTGGCCCAGTAATTTATAATACTGACAACAGTGAGTAAGAGGAATAGAAAGGGAAGTCAGAAGACTCTGGCTGGGCCACTAAATCCCTGTATGATCCTGGACAAGTTACTTTTCCTTAGTTTTCTCTTCCATACAATGGAGAAGTGAACCAATTAATCATTAAGTTGACTGCAGACTGAAATTCTGTGATTGCCTGCTTTTTTATTTTAAGTGAGTGTTTGAAGGGAGGGAATTCTGTCTTCTTGCTTCTATGCCACCAGCTTTATGCTATGGCATTACCAGATCAGGCCAAGCTGTACTTTTCCTAGCCACAGAACTTTTCCAGTGGCTACAAGCTTTCCACCCATTGTTAATGTGAGGACTGGATTTTTTAGGTTAAATGTTACCTAAATCTGTGCTCTCCTTAGGTTGTGAGGAATACTATGTAGGTCATTAGCATGCTACATTTTATAAGACTGGACCTAGGGTTCTACATGTCAGCTCTGTCTTAATTTATGTATTTGCCACGGTCCCTCACTTATTCTGGGCCTGTGCATGTACAATTTCATTTCTAGGTTCCCTATACCCAGATGGCTCCTCTGGGCCACTGAAAGCTGATGACTCTGTTCCCCCGGGGGGCAGCCATATCTACAACTGGACCATTCCAGAAGGCCATGCACCCACCGATGCTGACCCAGCGTGCCTCACCTGGATCTACCATTCTCATGTAGATGCTCCACGAGACATTGCAACTGGCCTAATTGGGCCTCTCATCACCTGTAAAAGAGGTACAGGTCCCAAGGATAAGCTATGAGGTGTAGTTTGGGACATCTAGGGGTAGCAGTGATATGGTTGAACCACCTACATATTGGACAGCAGCCTGAGGAGTGCTAATTCAGCACTCTTGTTTATTAGCAAGAAAAATCTCTGCTAAACTCACTTTGCACTATTTTTTTTTTTGCAATTTCATTACTTTTTTTCTTTGTTTGTGGGTTAGGAACAATTTTTTTTTCAATAGGTTATTGTGGTACAGGTGGTATTTGGTTACATGAATAAGTTGTTTAGCGGTGATTTGTGAGATTTTGGTGCACCTATCTCCTGAGCACTATACACTACACCCTGTTTGTAGTCTTTTATCCCTCGTGCCCCCCCAGCCTTTTCCCCAAATCCCCAAAGTCCATTGTATCATTCTTATTCTTTTGCACCCTCACAGTTTAGCTTCCACATGTCAGTGAGAACATACAATGTTTAGTTTTCCATTCCTGAGTTACTTCACTTAGAATAATAGTCTCCAATCTCATTCAGGTCGCTGCAGATGCCGTTAATTCATTCCTTTTTATTGCTGAGTAGTAGTCCATCGTATATATGTACCACGGTTTCTTGATTCACTTGTTGATTGATGGGTATGTGAGTTGGTTCCATGATTTTGCAATTGTGAATTGTGCCACTATAAACATGCATGTGCAAGTATCTTTTTTGTATAATGACTTCTTTTCCTCTGGGTAGATGCCCAATAGTGGGATTGCTGGATCAAATGGTAATTCTACTTTTAATTCATTAAGCAATCTCCACACTGTTTTCCTTGTGGCTCTACTAGTTTACATTCCCACCAACAGTGTAAAAGTAGCTGTTCCCTGTTCACCACATCCAAGCCAACATCTACTGTTTTTTGATTTTTTTTTGATTATGGTCATTCTTGCAAGAGTAAGGTAGTAGCGCATTGTGGTTTTGACTTGCATTTCCCTAATCATTAGTGATGTTGAGGATTTTTTCATATGTTTGTTGGCCATTTGTATATCTTCTTGTGAGAATTGTCTATTCATGTTCTTAGCCCACTTTTTGATGGGATTGTTTATTTTTTTATTGTTGATTTGTTTGAGTTCATTGTAGATTCTGGATGTTAGTCCTTTGTCAGACGTATGGATTGTGAAGATTTTTTCCCACTCTATGGGTTGTCTGTTTACTCTGTTGACTGTTCCTGTTGGCGTGCAAAAACTCTTTAGTTTAATTAAGTCCCAAGTGTTTGTTTTGATTGCATTTGCCTTTGGGTTCTTGGTCATGAAATCCTTGCCTAAGCCAATGTCTACAAGGGTTTATCTAATGTTTTCTTCTAGAATTTTTATAGTTTCAGGTTTTAGATTTAAGTCCTTAATTCATCTTCATTTGATTTTTGTATAAGGTGAGCGTTAAGGATCCAGTTTCTCTTACATGTGGCTAGCCAATTATCTCAGTACCATTTGTCGAAAATGGTGTCCTTTCTACACTTTATGTTTTTGTTTGATTTGTCAAAGATCAGTTGGCTGTAAGTGTTTGGGTTTATTTCTGAGTTCTCTATTCTGTTCCACTGGTCCAAGTGCCTATTTTTATACCAGTACCATGCTGTTTTGGTGAAATGGCATTATAGTATAGTTTGAAATCAGGTAGTGTGATGCCTCCAGATTTGTTTTTTTTGCTTAGTCTTGCTTTGGCTATGCAGGCGCTTTTTTGGTTCCATCTGAATTTTAGAATTGTTTTTTCCAATTCTGTGAAGAATGATGGTGGTATTTTGATGGGAATTGCATTGAATTTGTAGATTGCTTTTGGCAGTGTGGTTATTTTCACAATATTGATCCTACCCATCCATGAGCAGGAGATGTGTTTCCATTTGTTTGTGTCATCCATGATTTTTTTCTGCAGTGTTTTGTAGTTCTCCTTGTAGAGGTCTTTCACCTCCTCAGTTAGGTATATTCCTAAGTATGTATGTATGTATTTATTTTTTCAGCTATTGTAAAAGGGGTTGAGTTCTTGATTTGATTCCCTGCTTGGTCAATGGTAGTGTATAGAAGAGCTACTGATTTTGTACATTAATCTTATATCCAGAAACTTTACTGAATTCTTTTATCAGTTCTAGAAGCTTTCTGGAGGAGTCTTTAGGGTTTTCAAGGTAAACTATCATATTGTCAGCAAACAGTGACAGTTTGACTTCCTCTTTACATATTTAGAGGCCCTTTATTTCTTTCTCTTGTCTGATTGCTCTGGCTAGCATTTCCAGTACTAAGTTGAAGAGGAGTGGTGAGAGTGGGCATCCTTGTCTTATTCCAGTTCTCAAAGGGAATGCTTTCAACTTTTCCACATTCAGTATAATGTTGGCTGTGGGTTTGTCATATATGGCTTTTATTACATTGGAGTATGTCCCTTGTATACCAATTTTGCTGAGAGTTTTAATCATAATGTAATGTTGGATTTTGTTGAATGCATTTTCTGCATCTATTGTGATGATCATGTAATTTTTTAAAAATTCTGTTCATGTGGTGCATCACACATATTGACTTGCATATGTTAAACCATCCTTGCATTCCTTTCATATGCATCAAGTGAGTATGAAACCCACTTGATCACAGTGGATCATCTTTTTGTTATGTTGTTGGATTCCATTAGCTTGTATTTTGCTAAGGATTTTAGGACCTATGTTCATCAGGGATATCGGTCTGTAGTTTTCCTTTTTTTCTTTTTATTATTATCATACTTTAAGTTTTAGGGTACATGTGCACAATGTACAGGTTTGTTACATATGTATACATGTGCCATGTTGGTGCGCTGCACCCATTACCTCATCATTTAGCATTAGGTATATCTCCTAATGCTATCCCTCCCCCCTCTCCCCACCCCACAACAGTCCCTGGTGTGTGATGTTCCCATTCCTGTGTCCATGTGTTCTCATTGTTCAATTCCCACCTATGATTGAGAACATGCGGTGTTTGGTTTTTTTGTCCTTGTGATAGTTTGCTGAGAATGATGGTTTCCAGCTTCATCCATGTCCCTACAAAGGACATGAACTCATCATTTTTTATGGCTGCGTAGTATTCCATGGTGTATATGTGACCTAGGCAATACCATTCAGGACATAGGCATGGGCAAGGACTTCATGTCTAAAACACCAAAAGCAATGGCAACAAAAGCCAAAATTGACAAATGGGATCTAATTAAACTAAAGAGCTTCTGCACAGCAAAAGAAACTACCATCAGAGTGAACAGGCAACCTACAGAATGGAAGAAAATTTTTGCAACCTACTCATCTGACGAAGGGCTAATATCCAGAATCTACAATGAACTCAAACAAATTTACAAGAAAAAAACAAACAACCCCATCAAAAAGTGGGCGAAGGATATGAACAGATGGTCTGTAGTTTTCTTTTCTGGTTATGTTCTTTCCTGGTTTTGGTATTAGGGTGATGCTGGCTTCATAGAATGAATTAAGGAGGGTTTCCTCTTTCTCTCTCTTGTGAAATAGTGTCAAAAGGATTGGTACCAATTCTTCTTTGAATGTCTGGTAGGATTCCATGGTGAATCCATCTAGTCCTGACTTTTTTGGTTGGTAATTTTTTTAACTGCCATTTTAATCTTGCTGCCTGTTACTGGTGTATTCAAGGTACCTAATTCTTCCTGGTTTAATCTAGGAGGATTGTATTTTTACAGGAATTTATCCATCTCATTTAGGTTTCTAGTTTATGTGCAGAAAGGTGTTCATAGTAGCCTTGAATCTTTTGTATTTCTGTGGTGTCAGTTGTAATATCTTAACGTTTCATTTCTTAATGAGGTCATTTGGATTTTCCCTCTTCTTTTCTTGGTTAATCTTGCTAATGATCTATCAATTTTATTTATTTTTTTCAAAGAACCAGCTTTTTGTTTCATTTATCTTGTAGTTTTTTTGTTTCAATTTCATTTAGTTTTTCTCTTGATATTGGTTATTTCCTTTCATCTCTAGGGTTTGGGTTTGGTTTGTTCTTGTTTCTCTAGTTCCTTGAGGTGTGACCTTAGAATGTCAGTTTGCACTCTTTCAATCTTTTTGATGTAGGCGTTTAGAGCTATGAACTTCCCTTTTAGCACCACTTTTGCTGTATCCCAGAGGTTTGGTTTTTATAGGTTGTGTTATTATTGTCAATCAGATTGAAGAATTTTTTTTTTATTATACTTTAAGTTCTAGGGTACATGTGCACAACGTGCAGGTTTGTTACATATGTATACATGTGCCATGTTGGTGTGCTGCACCCATTAACTTGTCATTTACATTAGGTATATCTCCTAATGCTATCCCTCCCACATCCCCCCACCCCATGACAGGCCCCAGTGTGTGATGTTCCCTTTCCTGTGTCCAAGTGTTCTCATTGTTCAATTCCCACCTATGAGTGAGAACATGCAGTGTTTGGTTTTTTGTCCTTGCAATAGTTTGCTAAGAATGATGGTTTCCAGCTTCATCTATGTCCCTACAAAGGACATGAACTCATCCTTTTTTATGGCTGCATAGTATTCCATGGTGTATATGTGCCACATTTTCTTAATCCAGTCTATCACTGATGGACATTTAGGTTGGTTCCAAGTCTTTGCTATTGTGAATAATGCCGCAATAAACATGCGTGTGCATGTGTCTTTATAGCAGCATGATTTATAATCCTTTGGGTATATACCCAGTAATGGGATGGCTGGGTCAAATGGCATTTCTAGTTCTAGATCCTTGAGGAATCACCACACTGTCTTCCACAATGGATGAACTAGTTTGTAGTCCCACCAACAGTGTAAGAGTGTTCCTATTTCTCCACATCCTCTCCAGCACCTGTTGTTTCCTGACTTTTTAATGATTGCCATTCTAACTGGTGTGGGATGGTATCTCATTGTGGTTTTGATTTGCATTTCTCTGATGGCCAGTGATGATGAGCATTTTTTCATGTGTCTTTTGGCTGCATAAATGTCTTCTTTTGAGAAGTGTCTGTTCATATCCTTCGCCCACTTTTTGATGGGGTTGTTTATTTTTTTCTTGTAAATTTGTTTGAATTATTTGTAGATTCTGGATATTATCCCTTTGTCAGATGAGTAGATTGCAAAAATTTTTTCCCATTCTGTAGGTTGCATGTTCACTCTGGTGGTAGTTTCTTTTGCTGTGTAGAAGCTCTTTAGTTTAGTTACATCCCATTTGCCAATTTTGGCTTTTGTTACCATTGCTTTTGGTGTTTTAGACATGAAGTCCTTGCCCATGCCTATGTCCTAAATGGTATTGCCTAGGTTTTCTTCTAGGGTTTTTATGGTTTTAGATCTAACATTTAAGTCTTTAATTCATCTTGAATTAATTTTTGTATAAGGTGTAAGGAAGGGATCCAGTTTCAGCTTTCTACATATGGCTAGCCAGTTTTCCCAGCACCATTTATTAAACAGGGAATCCTTTCGCCATTTCTTGTTTTTGTCAGGTTTGTCAAAGATCAGATGGTTGTAGATATGTGGTATTATTTCTGAGGGCTCTGTTGTTTTTCATTGGTCTATATCTCTGTTTTGGTACCAGTACCATGCTGTTTTGGTTACTGTAGCCTTGTAGTGTAGTTTGAAGTCAGGTAGCGTCATGCCTCCAGCTTTGTTCTTTTTGCTTAGGATTGACTTGGCAATGCGGGCTCTTTTTTGGTTCCTTATGAACTTTATAGTAGTTTTTTCCAATTCTGTGAAGAAAGTCATTGGTACCTTGATGGAGATGACATTGAATCTATAAATTACCTTGGGCAGTATTGGATGAAATATTCTGTATGTATCTGTTAAGCCTATTTGTTCCAAGGTATAGTTTAAATCCACTGTTTCTTTGTTGACTTTCTGTCTTGGTGACCTGTCTAGTGCTGTCAGTGGAGTATTGAAGTCTCCCACTATTATTGTGTTTCTCCCACTATTATTGTGTTTCTATCTATGGCATTTCTTAGGTCTATTAGTAATTGTTTTATAAATTTGGGAGCTCCAGTGTTAGGTGCATATATGTTTAGGATTGTAATATTTTTCTGTTGAACAAGGCCTTTTATCATAATATAATGGCCCTCTTTGTCTCTTTTAACTGTTGTTGCTTTCATGTCTGTTTTGTCTGATATAAGAATAGCTTCTCCTACTCACTTTTGGTTTCCTTTTGCACGAAATGCCTATTTCCACCCCTTGACTTTAAGTTTATGTGAGTCCTTATGTGTTAGGTGAGTCTCCTGAAGCAGGAGATGGTTGGTGACTTCTTTTCCATTCTGCATTTTTGTATTTTTTAAGTGGGGCATTTAGGCCATTTACATTCAATGTTAGTATTGAGATATGAGGTACCATAGCATTCATCATGCTATTTGTTGCCTGTGTACCTTGTTTTTTTTTTATTTTTTTGTTTTTGCTTTTCAAATTTTATTTTTGTTTCATAGATCCTGTGTGATTGATTTATGCCTTCAAGAGGTTCCATTTTTATGTATTTCCTGGATTTGTTTCAAGATTTAGAGCTCCTTTTAGCAGTTCTTGTAGTGGTGGCTTGGTAGTGGCAAATTCTCTCAGCGTATGTTTGTCTGAAAATGACTGCATCTTTCCTTCATATATGATGCTTAGTTTTGCTGGATACAGAATTCTCGGCTGATAATTGTTTTGTTTGTGGAAGCTGAAGATAGGGCCCCAATCCCTTCTAGCTTGTAGAGTTTCTGCTGAGAAATATGCTGTTTATCTGATAGGTTTTCCTTTATAGGTGACCTGGTGTTTTTGTCTCACAGCTCTTAAGATTCTTTCCTTCTTTGTCTTAACTTTAGATAACCTGATGGCAATGTACCTAGGTGATAATCTTTTTGTAATGAATTTCCCAGGTGTTCTTTTTTTTTTTTTTCACAGCTGTATTTTTTTTTTTCAGTCATTATTTGTTTGTACAGCTGTGTGAATTTTTTTTTTTTTTTTAATTATACTCTAAGTTTTAGGGTACATGTGCACATTGTGCAGGTTAGTTACATATGTATACATGTGCCATGCTGGTGCGCTGCACCCACTAACGTGTCATCTAGCATTAGGTATATCTCCCAATGCTATCCCTCCCCCCTCCCCCGACCCCACCACAGTCCCCAGAGTGTGATATTCCCCTTCCTGTGTCCATGTGATCTCATTGTTCAATTCCCACCTATGAGTGAGAATATGCGGTATTTGGTTTTTTTGTTCTTGCGATAGTTTACTGAGAATGATGGTTTCCAGTTTCATCCATGTCCCTACAAAGGACATGAACTCATCATTTTTTATGGCTGCATAGTATTCCATGGTGTATATGTGCCACATTTTCTTAATCCAGTCTATCATTGTTGGACATTTGGGTTGGTTCCAAGTCTTTGCTATTGTGAATAGTGCCGCAATAAACATATGTGTGCATGTGTCTTTATAGCAGCATGATTTATAGTCCTTTGGGTATATACCCAGTAATGGGATGGCTGGGTCAAATGGTATTTCTAGTTCTAGATCCCTGAGGAATCGCCACACTGACTTCCACAATGGTTGAACTAGTTTACAGTCCCACCAACAGTGTAAAAGTGTTCCTATTTCTCCACATCCTCTCCAGCACCTGTTGTTTCCTGACTTTTTAATGATTGCCATTCTAACTGGTGTGAGATGATATCTCATAGTGGTTTTGATTTGCATTTCTCTGATGGCCAGTGATGATGAGCATTTCTTCATGTGTTTTTTGGCTGCATAAATGTCTTCTTTTGAGAAGTGTCTGTTCATGTCCTTCGCCCACTTTTTGATGGGGTTGTTTGTTTTTTTCTTGTAAATTTGTTTGAGTTCATTGTAGATTCTGGATATTAGCCCTTTGTCAGATGAGTAGGTTGCGAAAATTTTCTCCCATGTTGTAGGTTGCCTGTTCACTCTGATGGTAGTTTCTTTTGCTGTGCAGAAGCTCTTTAGTTTAATTAGATCCCATTTGTCAATTTTGGCTTTTGTTGCCATTGCTTTTGGTGTTTTGGACATGAAGTCCTTGCCCACGCCTATGTCCTGAATGGTAATGCCTAGGTTTTCTTCTAGGGTTTTTATGGTTTTAGGTCTAAAGTTTAAATCTTTAATCCATCTTGAATTGATTTTTGTATAAGGTGTAAGGAAGGGATCCAGTTTCAGCTTTCTACATATGGCTAGCCAGTTTTCACAGCACCATTTATTAAATAGGGAATCCTTTTCCCATTGCTTGTTTTTCTCAGGTTTGTCAAAGATAAGATAGTTGTAGATATGCGGCATTATTTCTGAGGGCTCTGTTCTGTTCCATTGATCTATATCTCTGTTTTGGTACCAGTACCATGCTGTTTTGGTTACTGTAGCCTTGTAGTATCGTTTGAAGTCAGGTAGTGTGATGCCTCCAGCTTTGTTCTTTTGGCTTAGGATTGACTTGGCGATGCGGGCTCTTTTTTGGTTCCATATGAACTTTAAAGTAGTTTTTTCCAATTCTGTGAAGAAAGTCATTGGTAGCTTGATGGGGATGGCATTGAATCTGTAAATTACCTTGGGCAGTATGGCCATTTTCACGATATTGATTCTTCCTACCCATGAGCATGGAATGTTCTTCCATTTGTTTGTGTCCTCTTTTATTTCCTTGAGCAGTGGTTTGTAGTTCTCCTTGAAGAGGTCCTTCACATCCCTTGTAAGTTGGATTCCTAGGTATTTTATTCTCTTTGAAGCAATTGTGAATGGGAGTTCACCCATGATTTGGCTCTCTGTTTGTCTGTTGTTGGTGTATAAGAATGCTTGTGATTTTTGTACATTGATTTTGTATCCTGAGACTTTGCTGAAGTTGCTTATCAGCTTAAGGAGATTTTGGGCTGAGACGATGGGGTTTTCTAGATAAACAATCATGTCGTCTGCAAACAGGGACAATTTGACTTCCTCTTTTCCTAATTGAATACCCTTTATTTCCTTCTCCTGCCTGATTGCCCTGGCCAGAACTTCCAACACTATGTTGAATAGGAGCGGTGAGAGAGGGCATCCCTGTCTTGTGCCAGTTTTCAAAGGGAATGCTTCCAGTTTTTGCCCATTCAGTATGATATTGGCTGTGGGTTTGTCATAGATAGCTCTTATTATTTTGAGATACGTCCCATCAATACCTAATTTATTGAGAGTTTTTAGCATGAAGGGTTGTTGAATTTTGTCAAAGGCTTTTTCTGCATCTATTGAGATAATCATGTGGTTTTTGTCTTTGGCTCTGTTTATATGCTGGATTACATTTATTGATTTGCGTATATTGAACCAGCCTTGCATCCCAGGGATGAAGCCCACTTGATCATGGTGGATAAGCTTTTTGATGTGCTGCTGGATTCAGTTTGCCAGTATTTTATTGAGGATTTTTGCATCAATGTTCATCAAGGATATTGGTCTAAAATTCTCTTTTTTGGTTGTGTCTCTGCCCAGCTTTGGTATCAGAATGATGCTGGCCTCATAAAATGAGTTAGGGAGGATTCCCTCTTTTTCTATTGATTGGAATAGTTTCAGAAGGAATGGTACCAGTTCCTCCTTGTACCTCTGGTAGAATTCGGCTGTGAATCCATCTGGTCCTGGACTCTTTTTGGTTGGTAAACTATTGATTATTGCCACAATTTCGGAGCCTGTTATTGGTCTATTCAGAGATTCAACTTCTTCCTGGTTTAGTCTTGGGAGAGTGTATGTGTCGAGGAATGTATCCATTTCTTCTAGATTTTCTAGTTTATTTGCGTAGAGGTGTTTATAGTATTCTCTGATGGTAGTTTGTATTTCTGTGGGATCGGTGGTGATATCCCCTTTATCATTTTTTATTGTGTCTATTTGATTCTTCTCTCTTTTTTTCTTTATTAGTCTTGCTAGCGGTCTATCAATTTTGTTGATCCTTTCAAAAAACCAGCTCCTGGATTAATTAATTTTTTGAAGGGTTTTTTGTGTCTCTATTTCCTTCAGTTCTGCTCTGATTTTAGTTATTTCTTGCCTTCTGCTAGCTTTTGAATGTGTTTGCTCTTGCTTTTCTAGTTCTTTTAATTGTGATGTTAGGGTGTCAATTTTGGATCTTTCCTGCTTTCTCTTGTAGGCATTTAGTGCTATAAATTTCCCTCTACACACTGCTTTGAATGCGTCCCAGAGATTCTGGTATGTGGTGTCTTTGTTCTCGTTGGTTTCAAAGAACATCTTTATTTCTGCCTTCATTTCGTTATGTACCCAGTAGTCATTCAGGAGCAGGTTGTTCAGTTTCCATGTAGTTGAGCGGCTTTGAGTGAGATTCTTAATCCTGAGTTCTAGTTTGATTGCACTGTGGTCTGAGAGATAGTTTGTTATAATTTCTGTTCTTTTACATTTGCTGAGGAGAGCTTTACTTCCAACTATGTGGTCAATTTTGGAATAGGTGTGGTGTGGTGCTGAAAAAAATGTATATTCTGTTGATTTGGGGTGGAGAATTCTGTAGATGTCTATTAGGTCTGCTTGGTGCAGAGCTGAGTTCAATTCCTGGGTGTCCTTGTTGACTTTCTGTCTCGTTGATCTGTCTAATGTTGACAGTGGGGTGTTAAAGTCTCCCATTATTAATGTGTGGGAGTCTAAGTCTCTTTGTAGGTCACTGAGGACTTGCTTTATGAATCTGGGTGCTCCTGTATTGGGTGCATAAATATTTAGGATAGTTAGCTCCTCTTGTTGAATTGATCCCTTTACCATTATGTAATGGCCTTCTTTGTCTCTTTTGATCTTTGTTGGTTTAAAGTCTGTTTTATCAGAGACTAGGATTGCAACCCCTGCCTTTTTTTGTTTTCTATTGGCTTGGTAGATCTTCCTCCATCCTTTTATTTTGAGCCTATGTGTGTCTCTGCACATGAGATGGGTTTCCTGAATACAGCACACTGATGGGTCTTGACTCTTTATCCAACTTGCCAGTCTGTGTCTTTTAATTGCAGAATTTAGTCCATTTATATTTAAAGTTAATATTGTTATGTGTGAATTTGATCCTGTCATTATGATGTTAGCTGGTGATTTTGCTCATTAGTTGATGCAGTTTCTTCCTAGTCTCGATGGTCTTTACATTTTGGCATGATTTTGCAGCAGCTGGTACCGGTTGTTCCTTTCCATGTTTAGCGCTTCCTTCAGGAGCTCTTTTAGGGCAGGCCTGGTGGTGACAAAATCTCTCAGCATTTGCTTGTCTATAAAGTATTTTATTTCTCCTTCACTTATGAAGCTTAGTTTGGCTGGATATGAAATTCTGGGTTGAAAATTCTTTTCTTTAAGAATGTTGAATATTGGCCCCCACTCTCTTCTGGCTTGTAGGGTTTCTGCCGAGAGATCCGCTGTTAGTCTGATGGGCTTTCCTTTGAGGGTAACCTGACCTTTCTCTCTGGCTGCCCTTAACATTTTTTCCTTCATTTCAACTTTGGTGAATCTGACAATTATGTGTCTTGGAGTTGCTCTTCTCGAGGAATATCTTTGTGGCGTTCTCTGTATTTCCTGAATCTGAACGTTGGCCTGCCTTGCTAGATTGGGGAAGTTCTCCTGGATAATATCCTGCAGAGTGTTTTCCAACTTGGTTCCATTCTCCACATCACTTTCAGGTACACCAATCAGACGTAGATTTGGTCTTTTCACATAGTCCCATATTTCTTGGAGGCTTTGCTCATTTCTTTTTATTCTTTTTTCTCTAAACTTCCCTTCTCGCTTCATTTCATTCATTTCATCTTCCATTGCTGATACCCTTTCTTCCAGTTGATCGCATCGGCTCCTGAGGCTTCTGCATTCTTCACGTAGTTCTCGAGCCTTGGTTTTCAGCTCCATCAGCTCCTTTAAGCACTTCTCTGTATTGGTTATTCTAGTTATACATTCTTCTAAATTTTTTTCAAAGTTTTCAACTTCTTTGCCTTTGGTTTGAATGTCCTCCCGTAGCTCAGAGTAATTTGATCGTCTGAAGCCTTCTTCTCTCAGCTCGTCAAAATCATTCTCCATCCAGCTTTGTTCTGTTGCTGGTGCAGAACTGCGTTCCTTTGGAGGAGGAGAGGCGCTCTGCGTTTTAGAGTTTCCAGTTTTTCTGTTCTGTTTTTTCCCCATCTTTGTGGTTTTATCTACTTTTGGTCTTTGATGATGGTGATGTACAGATGGGTTTTCGGTGTAGATGTCCTTTCTGTTTGTTAGTTTTCCTTCTAACAGACAGGACCCTCAGCTGCAGGTCTGTTGGAATACCCTGCCGTGTGAGGTGTCAGTGTGCCCCTGCTGGGGGGTGCCTCCCAGTTAGGCTGCTCGGGGGTCAGGGGTCAGGGACCCACTTGAGGAGGCAGTCTGCCCGTTCTCAGATCTCCAGCTGCGTGCTGGGAGAACCACTGCTCTCTTCAAAGCTGTCAGACAGGGACACTTAAGTCTGCAGAGGTTACTGCTGTCTTTTTGTTTGTCTGTGCCCTGCCCCCAGAGGTGGAGCCTACAGAGGCAGGCAGGCCTCCTTGAGCTGTGGTGGGCTCCCCCCAGTTCGAGCTTCCAGGCTGCTTTGTTTACCTAAGCAAGCCTGGGCAATGGCGGGCGCCCCTCCCCCAGCCTCGTTGCCGCCTTGCAGTTTGATCTCAGACTGCTGTGCTAGCAATCAGCGAGATTCCGTGGGCGTAGGACCCTCTGAGCCAGTTGTGGGATATAGTCTCGTGGTGCGCGGTTTCTTAAGCCGGTCTGAAAAGCGCAATATTCGGGTGGGAGTGACCCGATTTTCCAGGTGCGTCCATCACCCCTTTCTTTGACTCAGAAAGGGAACTCCCTGACCCCTTGTGCTTCCCGGTGAGGCAATGCCTTGCCCTGCTTCGGCTCGCGCATGGTGCGCACACACACTGGCCTGCGCCCACTGTCTGGCACTCCCTAGTGAGATGAACCCGGTACCTCAGATGGAAATGCAGAAATCACCCGTCTTCTGCGTCGCTCACGCTGGGAGCTGTAGACCGGAGCTGTTCCTATTCGGCCATCTTTGCTCCTCCTCCCCCAGGTGTTCTTTGTGCTTCTTGTATTTGGATGTCTAGGCCTCTATCAAGGCCAGGGAAGTTTTCCCCTATTGCTCCTCCAAATATGTTTTCAAAACTTTTAGAATTCCCTTCTTCCTTAGGAATACCAATTATTCTTTAGGTTTGGTCATTTAACATAATCTCAGACTTCGTAGGGGCTTTGTTCATTTTTTCTTATTCTTTTTTCTTTGTCTTTGTTGGATTGGGTTAATTTGAAGACCTTGTCTTCAGACTCTGAATTTTTTTCTTCTACTTGTTCAATTCTATTGATGAGACTTTCCAGAGGATTTTGCATTTCTATAAGTGTGTCCAGTGTTTCCTGAAGTTTTGATTGTTTTTTCTTTATGCTATGCTATCTATTTCCTTGAATATTTATCCCTTCACTTCTTATTTTTTTTGTTGTTGTTGTTGTTTTTATTATTTCCTTTCACTGGGCTTCACCTTTCTCTGGTGCCTCCCTGATTAGCTTAATAACTAACCTCCTGAATTCGTTTTCAGGTAAATCAGGGATTTTTTTTTATCTTGGCTTGGATCCATTGCTGGTGAGCTAGTGTGATTTTTTTGGGGTGTTAAAGAACCTTGTTTTGTCATATTACCTGAGTTGGGTTTCTGGTTCCTTCTCATTTGAGTGGGCTCTGTCAGAGGGAAACTCTAGGGCTGAAGGCTGTTCTTCAGATTCTTTTGTCTCAAAGGGTGTTCCCCCATCTCTCCCTCCTTTTTTATGGATGTGGCTTCCTGTGAGCTGAGCTGCAGTGATTGTTATCTCTCTTTTGGGTCTAGCCACCCAGCAAGTCTACCTGGCTCTGGGCTGATACTGGAGGTTGTCTGCACAGAGTCCTGTGATGCGAACTGTGTATGGGTCTCTCTGCTGTGAATACCAGCACAGTATTTGGGGTGTCTCCCGGGTCCTGCAGGAGCAGTCCATTTCCTTCAGAGGGTCTGTGGGTCCTCTTGGGATTCCTGGTGTGTTCATGAAGGGTGCTGGAGCCAAAATTCATGATGCAAGCCTCCACATGCTGCTCTGTCCATCCGAGTCTGAGCTGCAATTACTCCTGACTCTTGTCCACCATGATGATCCTACGAACCTTTTTTAAAATTATTGTTATTAAAAACAACAAAACACCAAACTTTTCTCCTTTTTATTTTTTTTCTTGCTTCACTTTTAAATCTCAAATTAGTCATTATAGGAGTCAAGTCGCATTGAAATCAGATATGTAGTAAGAGTTTAGATATGGATAAGATTGAAAGTGTGGTCATCAGGGTTTTGGAGGATTTTGCTGATAATAGGATATGTCAGACTTGAAGACCAGAGGGTGGCAGGAATGTGGTCAGGTTCAGGCCCTGGGTTGAAGACATAGGCAGGGATGGTAGGAGGGAATTATTGTAGATCCTATGTGTCCTAACATCAAGTCCTAGGTTCAACTGAATTGGTGGTTTTAAATGGGGAGTTTGGAAATGGAAATTAATCTAAGAGGGTTATTTCTGCTTTTCTGTTGCTTACAGATTCTTAAGACCCCTCTCTTTCTATTCCTTTCTTATGAGTACCCCTTTCAGCTTACTATTGCTAAGGAAAGGATCTTCTCAAGGGAAACTGTCTTACTTGCCCTAGGAGCCCTGGATGGGAACTCCCCTCCTCAACGCCAGGATGTAGACCATGATTTCTTCCTCCTCTTCAGTGTGGTAGATGAGAACCTCAGCTGGCATCTCAATGAGAACATTGCCACTTACTGCTCAGATCCTGCTTCAGTGGACAAAGAAGATGAGACATTTCAGGAGAGCAATAGGATGCATGGTGAGTTGGGAAAAGGTGGCCACATTGTGACAGGGAACATTGTTGGAGGGTATCCACTGGGCCTAGTATTTGGTGGATGCTTTCACATACATAGTCCTTTTTAGTCATCACGAGGGCAAGGAGTAGTAGATGGCTCTTCCCTGTTTTACATGTGAGGACACTGAGGCTCCTAAGATTATGCAGCAGATAAATGGCACAGCTAAAATTCCAACCTTGGTCTCTCTGACTGCATAGATTGTGCTCTTGCCATTAGGCTATTCTGCCTCATAATGTGGAATAGCACACAGTCTAAAGTTATATAGTATATGGTCAATTACTTTGCTGTGGGTTGCCCACTGATACAATTAATCAATATTGATTTGTTTTAAAAAGGAAGAAGTTAGCAGAATTATCCACTTTGTGGAGAAAAATGGTTTCTTTCAAGCTACCTTGCTTATATCTCCCATCGTACTCTGTGCTTATGTCTATAAGGACATTGACCATATTAATTAAATTGAAAAAGAAACTAAAGGCACAGAAGAACCGAGGCATGAATATTGAACTGATTTTAGGAATATAAACAAGTCAGTTTTGTTTTTGTTTCATTAAGGAAGTCATTTACTGGCCATTCATGACAGGGGTGGGCTAAAAACCATACAGTCCCCAAAGGAGGTGGAAATTCAGAAGGAAGATGTAAAGGATGGCTTGGATAGCTCAACTTTTTCTTGAATTTTATACCAATTGATTATAAAAGCCATGTTAATTAGTCAGCCAATTTGACAATTGTCCTGTGGAAATTTTTAGAATGAAACCACCCTGAAAGAATAGCCTGCAAAATAACTAAATTCCTTAGAGAGCTTCTTCACATTTCTGGTTTGGAATATTGGCTGTAAGCATTTATTAGCTCTATGGCATTGGGAAAGAAGTAACTTCACCTCTCTGAGTCTTGGTTTTCTCTCTCTCTCTCTTTTTTAATGAGACTAATGATATCTGCCTATTTCTCAGGGATGTTTTTGAGATTTAAAGAAGATAATACATAGGTCAACACAGTGTGCTGTTTATAACCTCATTTAAATATTATCTATTATTGTCAAATGGTAAGGCTTCTTCCATTTGGCTGTCCTTTCCTAATCCTGATATTTTCTTTGGGTTTTCTTTTGCAGCAATCAATGGCTTTGTTTTTGGGAATTTACCTGAGCTGAACATGTGTGCACAGAAACGTGTGGCCTGGCACTTGTTTGGCATGGGCAATGAAATTGATGTCCACACAGCATTTTTCCATGGACAGATGCTGACTACCCGTGGACACCACACTGATGTGGCTAACATCTTTCCAGCCACCTTTGTGACTGCTGAGATGGTGCCCTGGGAACCTGGTACCTGGTTAATTAGCTGCCAAGTGAACAGTCACTTTCGAGGTGAGATCCAACATTTCTGACCATTGGGTTGTAAGAGAGAGGTATGATAATGGTCAAGGGAGGCTGGGTTTCTGGCCTGAAGCCATAAATAAGTCCTCCAGTTGAGGCATCTTGGGATAAAGGATAGCACACTAGATTAGAAGTCAGGGGACCCAGGTTTTTTCCTGAATCTGCTGGGAAACTTGCTGGATAACTTTGGGCACATCTCTCTGTGTTTAATCTTCCCCATCTTGAACATAAGACAGCCTGGGGATGGATAAGTAGACTTTTAATCAGCTTTTTATTATTTGCTTAGAATTCTAAACAATTAATACCTGGAGACATTTTCAACATATTGAACAGGGAGTGAAGGAGAGATTAATTAAAAGAGAGTAACATTTCTGTAGGAGATCATGGTGTATTGTGGGTACATAGTTACACTCTGGTTGGAACTCAATAGAAGTAGGAGTGGAAGGTTTTATTTTCAAAGGGAGAAACATTAATGTCATTGCAGAGCAATGTATTGAGGAGCATCAGATGCATCAGAGGGGAGGAAGAGCGTATGAAGCAATGGAAAGAATAGTAGATAAGTGGTTAGGTTTGAATGGTAGTCTTAAGTTTGTGAAAAACTTTATATGACTTTAGACAGGTGTCTTTCCATTTCTAGGTCACATTTGCCACATCCGTAAAATGGGAAAGTTGGTCTAAATCGTCTCTTAAATCCTCTTCAGCTGTCATTTTCTAGAATTATTTGATTTATGGTAAATTAGAAGGGTGTCAGAAAAATGATATGTGAGTACTTGAAGTGGATTTTAGTAGGTTAGGAGTTGTAGACTAATAGGATAATAAATCTTGGGTGTTAGGTTTGACACAATAGGGGACAGTTACATGTACTCCATTATCCAGGGTATGTCTTAGCCCCAAAGCTTCCTAGGTAAGAGAGTATAAATATGGATTGGGATTAGAGATGCAGCATGATAGTGGAATAAGCATAGACCTTAGAGACAGACATGCTTGGATTCAAATCCTCGTTCCATCACTTGTTTAGCCACCTTTGATAAATCATTTCACTTCTCTGAGCCTCTTAATAGAAGTAGTGATGTATACCTCATAAAATTGTAATGAGGTTTTAGAGTAAAAATGTGATTTTGGATCTTAGAGAATAGGGGGATGATATAAACAAGATAGTAGATATAAGAAAATAAAATGAACAATTAAGATCTGTAGTTGAAAGATGAGAGTTTAACTCTCAACTCCACCTCTGACTAGCTGTGCAACCTTGGGCAAGTTATTTAACCTGTCTGACCTTTAGTTTTCTTCATCCGCAAAAGGGGACATTAAAAGTCTATTTCATACAATGGTTGTAAGGATTGATAGAGATAACATATGTACTCCCTGGGACTGAAATTTTAAAAAAGATGTAAAGCACCTGACACAGAACCTACCTAACATAATACATGTTGAAGAAAATAAATATTTTTTCCTCTCCCTTCATCATACCTCAAGTTTCTAATTTACAAATTTCAAATCTCCCTGGGATGCTGTGGGATGCTAATAAAATAATATAGCTGAGTGACCTCTATAAGTTGCTAAGCCAATATAAGACAGTACCATCCATTGCCATTGTGACGCAATGTAGTATATTCCACATTTGAAAACACTACTTAGAATCTACATTTTCCTTACGGTCCCAAGTCTGAAGCTTTATCTTCACTGATAGAAGATGTTCTATTATTTTGGGAGCTTCCCAGTTTACAAATAATTAACCCCTATTTTAAATTTGATGCTCCTACCAGCCCCATGAGGTGGATTTTCCTATTCTCTCCTTTGGCAAAAGAGGGAAGCTCAGATTGAGGAAGTGACTTGCCTAAGGTCCTACAGATAGTGCTTAAAGCTTGGGCTTGAACTCGAGTTTCCTTACTTCTGTCTCTGTGATGTTGCTACAATGTGAGCCTTTATGAAGAGGCAGGAATGAGTATCTAGTAAATGCATCAGTGGTGGTATAAGCAAGTGGAGGTACCTGAATTCTACCCTGGACTCTCTCTCTCAGCCATGCACTTTAAGAGTGAGAGAAAGCGGCCCATTTTGGAGCAGGAGTAAAGAGAGTAGTGGAGGGTGGGTGGAGGAAACACTAACAGAAGGAGGAAGGTGAGTCCTCTGGGTTAAAATCCTATTGGATAGAATGGGGTCAGCCATAATGTTCTTCCTTCAGATGGCATGCAGGCACTCTACAAGGTCAAGTCTTGCTCCATGGCCCCTCCTGTGGACCTGCTCACAGGCAAAGTTCGACAGTACTTCATTGAGGCCCATGAGATTCAATGGGACTATGGCCCGATGGGGCATGATGGGAGTACTGGGAAGAATTTGAGAGAGCCAGGCAGGTAAGAGGCAGTGGGATCCCTCTCTTTAATTCTTTAATTGGTCCAGCTCCAAACATTTATTATCTTTCTTCCAGAAATCTCTCACTTTACTCAGGGATCCAAATCATTGTCTGGCTGGGGTTACATGAACCAACTGTTAGCCAAGTTCTTGTGTCCCCCTGGAGAGCTTGCTCTTGGGGAGATACAGGTAGCAAAGCTTTTTGTGGGGTTATTCCATATCCCCACAAAGGGTCCAAACAGAGTTTGAAGTTGGTCCTACTATAATTCCTGGCCATTTTCATAAAGGAAAGCCCAGGTGGGACCAGTTCTTGTATCAGTTGAAATAGCTTTTATTCCAGGTTTCTTCACTTTACCCATTATTTACCTCCTTGCTCCTTCATTTCTTTTCTATAGTCTGAATGAGGCATTTGAGCAGGGGTATAAAAAGCACTCTGAGAAATGTAGGAAGAGAGGCAGCCTGCTTTTTGGCTATCACATGCCCATTCTTTTGAAGGAATTTCTCCAAGTTCTCCTGCCTCATCCATGACCCAGATATGGGCAAGATAGAGTAGGAGGTTAGTGCCCTACTCAGTTGCTGGGTCTTAAGTCATACCACTCACTGGGAAATCGATGATGACAGGTCTTCCACAGAGGAGGCACTTGATAGGTAACTAAGAGAGGGGTTGGGGGAAGATCCTTCATGGTTATACTTCTAGCAGGAAATAATAGAGTAAATCTGGAGAAAACTTAGGAAAGTTGGTGTTTGAGTCTCAGCATGGATTCTACGATTTCCAGCTGGGCTTATTAACATAGTGGGCTTTCATTTTGGAGTGAAAGGATTATTAATACCTAAGGATGATTAAGGACAGATGTAGACTATGAATCTCTGGAGGGCAGAACTGGTCCCAGTGCCTGGAAATTATAAGCAAGAATATTCCAACTTACACTAAAATAGAATTCCAATAATTTAAAATATCCAACAGTAAGGGAGATTGTCTCCTCTGGATATGAGTTTCCTATTTTTGGAAAGGCTCAAGCAGAAGCTGTATATAACTTTCTAGTGGTGCCACCAAAGGAGATATCTTCACTGGTGGGAGTTAACTTAGATGAGCTCTGAGGTCCTTCCTAAATATAAAGATTCATAACTTGGTGAGACTAAGGGTGAGATGGGAGTCTATTTGATACCTAATGAAATAATATCATATTTTCCTTTTTATACATCAGTATCTCAGATAAGTTTTTCCAGAAGAGCTCCAGCCGAATTGGGGGCACTTACTGGAAAGTGCGATATGAAGCCTTTCAAGATGAGACATTCCAAGAGAAGATGCATTTGGAGGAAGATAGGCATCTTGGAATCCTGGGTGAGGAATTTTTAAATTATGAAATTCATTTACTAGAGCCAGAGAATTGAGGAAGACTTTGAAACTGAGGCCTGGACATCACTTAGGAGCACATTGTAGACCAGCATCTCCCAAAGTGAGTCTTATGAGATGATTGTTTTGTGAAAGAGTTATGAGTCTGAATGTGTTTTAAAACCACTAAGTTAAGCAGTTAAATAGTGCTTTTTATGCTACAGGATTTCTAGGAGCCTTAGGTTTATTTTTGTTTATCATGAATCTCCACTTTTTTTCAGTGAATATCTTCCAATACCACTGATGTACAGTACACATTTTTAGAATTCCTTCTCTAGAAGTATTCCTAAAGGGCTATATAAGGAAGTAAGACTGTATAGGTTCTCAGCAATCTGGGGCCAGTAGCAGATTGGCATGACATGCAGACATACTTGAAATAGGAGGAATGCAGAATAGGCTTAGAGTCTGAACTTGAAGAAGGTATCTAGAAGGGCTAAACCAAGGTTAGAAGTGGTTTAGTAGCATGATGGAACCAGAAAATAAAATAGGCCAGATGGAAAAAAAACTTTGGAAATTAATATAATGGACCATACTCGGGATAGGTGTGTGCCAGTTGATTCTAGATCTGATAATGGACAATAGATCTTACATCAGCTGGATAGGGAGATACAATGAGGAGAAATCCACCATAGGAAGGAGAGATGGTGGTGAGCCTGAAGGAATTATCATTGGCTGGACTTCAGTATGAGTGCCCAGTCTTTGAGATGAGGTGAAACATTAGATGTGGAAATTGAATAGGAAACCAAGCTAGAAACTCTGACCAAGAGTTAGAGCCGGAATAAGTGCCCAGTTTTGGTACTTTTTGTCTGCTTCAAAGATGACCTAAGCTAGATTACATGTGGTGGGTAATGAAGTTCAGAAGAGTCCAGGAGTTGTGGCTAGATTACCTAGTACAGTGCCTGGATAGAAGATATCATAATTCTCTTTGCTCAGAATTGGTTTCAGATTGAGGCAAGCACAGATCTTAGATAGGTCCACAAAGACATGTAGCTATGGGATCTGGGACAATAAAGTAAGTGAAAATGAGATTGGGGCTGACAATGGGATGAGAGAAATTGCTGGCCTCTGGTCCTGGCTGAATGGCTTATCAACCATTTAAATTTGCATAGGTAAATTCCACTTCTCTCAGCTGAAATTTTCTCATCTGTAAATTGGAGTTAATAATTTTTGCCCTATATGCCTTAAAATGATGTTTGAGAATCAAAATAAGATAATGGATTTCCCAGTGTTTTCTGTAATTGTAAATTGCAATATACTTGAAAGGAATTGTTCTTATTATTACAAAGAAAAGTTTTTTATTTTCTTCTTCACTTTCACTTTCCTTTTCTTTCCCTCCCTCTTCTTCCATTTCCTTCCTCCCTGTTTATCCCTTTCATCATTCTCATTGTCTCTCCTTCCCATTTTCCAGGGCCAGTGATCCGGGCTGAGGTGGGTGACACCATTCAGGTGGTCTTCTACAACCGTGCCTCCCAGCCATTCAGCATGCAGCCCCATGGGGTCTTTTATGAGAAAGACTATGAAGGCACTGTGTACAATGATGGTGAGCCAACAGGGTTTCTAGTAAATGTGGGCTCTAGGTGGTACCATGTGTCTCTAGAAAACAAATAAATGGGAGATGGAGAGGATGAAGTAGGCAGAATTATTTGCCATATGTGGATGTTGTTGAATGAATGAATAATATAATAGTAAAACAGAGCTGGGCTTCAATAATAAGAGAAAATTTCTTTTAAATATATTTAAATATATCCTAATTTTAAAAATAAGTTTATTATAGAACTCTGAAAAGCAGACAATTACAAAGTAAATAAGCATCATTTATAGATTGTCATATAAATTTTGATATACCTTTAAATATTTTTATGTGCTTATACAAGTCTATATATAGAGATATGTGATCATATGGTTTGTACAGTTTTGCATCCTACTATTCTCAGTTACCATTGTATTGTGTTTGTTTTTCTATGCCATTAAAATGCTACAAACATTTTAATGACTATAAAACACTTTATCTCAAGGATTTGTCGAAATTTATTTACTTTTTCCTCTATTGCTTGGACATGTAGGTTTTTTTCAGTATTTTTGAATATTGTAAGTCAGGTTGCAATGAATGAATGCATATATCCTAGCTTGCATTTTGGATTACTGTATCAGGAGAGAATCTTAGAAGTGAGAGTATTGTGTAATTGATTTTTTACTTTATCTAAGAATATTAATGCATGCTAATTCTAGCCAAACTATAAAAGAAAAACTGAAAGCATAAAGAGCAAAGTTGCAGACAAATCTAGAATGAACATTCTATAAGGCAACTGGTCTAGTCTCTTCAAGAAGTCAATACCATCAATAAGGGGATTAGAGACATAACAAATGAAATGTGCAAATTTTGATTGATTCTGCTTGTAAAAATAGCTTTAGGAGACATTTTGGAGATAATTGCAAAATTCTTGATATAGACTGGATATTAGATGTTATTAGGGAATTTTCTTAGGTGGAATAATGGCATTATAGCGACATAGGAGATGCGTGCTAATATCATGATGTTTGTATTCTACTTCCAAGTGATTCAACAAAAGCAAACAAACAAAAACTGTATGTATGTGTGTGTAGATGTATATACACATAGAGTAGATAAATAAAGATGGCAAAATGTTAGCAATAGACTCTAGGTGATAGGTTGATCATTGCACTATTTTTTAAAGTTTTCTGTATATTTGAAAATTTGAAAAGTAAGAAATAATGAATGAATAAGGAAAGGTAGGTTAAAACCATCCTAAATTATAGCCCCTTGTTATAAGCTATACTAGAAATATCCTTCCATATGTTTCTTTGAATGTTTTTATAAACCTTTCTTCAGAATATATTTTTAAGTTGGGGAATTGCTATATCAGAGGCTATGTACATTAAAATTTTTGGTACCTACACCCAAATTACTCTCTGGAAAGATTTGCAGTCCTATCAGTTTAGAGTTCCATTAGCAGTACCTGAGGAGGACTCCTTTTCTTACAACCTCATCAGCACTGGGGAAATCTTTTTAATCTTGTCAAAATGACAGTCTTGTAGGCAAACGACAGCATCAACAAAACTCACTGTTGTTTTGATTTACATTTGTTTGATTATTTCATGTTGAACATTCAGTATTTATTGCATATATTATTCTACTTGTGCATATGAACCTTTTAAAGAAATAGCTTTGTCTACATTTTGGTGTACTTTTTTTTTTTCAAATTTTGTCTATATTTTTTTTCAAGTGTTATTCCCTTTTACATTTACACTCTTTATAGGTGAGTGAGTAGGGTAGGTGCCATCTAAACCACTTCTTACCATCATGCATTATTACAATTTGTAAAATCTTTGCTAAATTAATTTGTAAAAAAGTTATCTAGCTATTTTCAATTGTACTTCTTTGATTACTGATGGCATGAAAATTTGAAAAAGGTCTGTGCATTGCTTGACCATGTCTTGTGTCCATTTTAGAAATTACAGCCTTAGTGTTTTATATATATATGTATATATATACATACATACATAACATATACACACCCACATGTACATAATACATATTAAAAGAAAAAAATTAAATAATCAGAGCTGTTCAAAGATGACATGGACTATAATGGCAGGTAGTGAGTCCCCCATCACTGGAGAGTTTTAAGCAGAAGTAGGGATGTAAGAGCAGATTAATGTATGTTTTCAAGTGAGAGATGTTCCAAATAAGTCTTAAAGTCCATTTTTAGTCCCAAAGTCCTATGATTTTGGAAAACTGAAACATAGGGAAGATTAAATTGCTGCATTTCATATAGCAAGTAATGGAAGAACGAGAAAATAAACTCATCTCTTGACTCCTTGACCAGAGTTCTCCTCATTATTCAATATTCCATGTTGCTGCTACTGCTGCTCCAAAATGCCTTTGTAGTTCATAATCTTTATTTCACTGTTTGGAGCTGATGATTCTCATTCTAGTCAATCTAAGTAATGAGTCCCATATTTTCACTACAGGCTCATCTTACCCTGGCTTGGTTGCCAAGCCCTTTGAGAAAGTAACATACCGCTGGACAGTCCCCCCTCATGCCGGTCCCACTGCTCAGGATCCTGCTTGTCTCACTTGGATGTACTTCTCTGCTGCAGATCCCATAAGAGACACAAATTCTGGCCTGGTGGGCCCGCTGCTGGTGTGCAGGGCTGGTGCCTTGGGTGCAGATGGCAAGCAGGTATTGTCAGGGTTATCTGGCTGGAAAGCCTGCTGGGAGAAGGATGAAGCTGGGTTGCTGGATAGGAGTTAAGCATGGAACTGGGTTCTAAAGTTTAGGGAATAGAAGAAAAATAATCAAGCTGGTCCATCAGAAATTAATAGTTGGTGACCTCATACTATCTTGCATGTTATTTTTTGTACTGACAAATATATATCTTCCTTAGCCTTGCAGATAATTCATGATATCCTTTCATCATCTTCTTCTTTCCTCCCTCCTTCCCTCCCTCCCTCTCTCTCCCTTTCCCTCTCCCCCTCTCCCTTTCCCTCTCCCTCACCTCGGTGGCCCCTAAACCTTGCTCCTGATCCATAAATCTGCTTTAATATTTGCTTGTCTTCTTTTGTATTCAGCCCACAATTTCTAGCTGTGTAACATTGGGTGAGCTACTTAACTTCTCTTTGACTCCGTTTCCTCATTTGTAAAAATGGGATAACGATGGAAGAAGACACCTTGGATTTCTGTGAAGATTAATTAAAATAACCCATATAAAGTGCCTAGCACAGTGTCTGGCACATATTAAGCACTCAGTAAATGTTAGTGGTAACAATAATTATCACTGATATTACTTATCTTTTATTTTCTAGTTTCCCCCCAAGACCCTCCCCTGCTTTTCTAGCCACCTCCCCTCATTCCTCTCCCCAGGTGATTACCATCTCTCTTCTTTTACACTCTATACCTCTTATTTCTTATCCTATGCTCCTTCCCTGCCCACTTTCATACAGTCTTCCCTGTCAGGCTTGTACTTTTATTGTGACATTCTTCTCTCATCTGCAATTTGAGGTTACCTAAGGAAAAACTGCTGCAGCTCTGGATAGGAGGTATGGTCTCAAAATGGGAAAAGGAAATGGGAAAGAATCTGGCATCCCTTGATCTGTAACGACACAGTCTACAACTGCTGAAACTATTGTCATTATTCCCTCTACTTTCTTCTATTGGGCCTGCAGAAAGGGGTGGATAAAGAATTCTTTCTTCTCTTCACTGTGTTGGATGAGAACAAGAGCTGGTACAGCAATGCCAATCAAGCAGCTGCTATGTTGGATTTCCGACTGCTTTCAGAGGATATTGAGGGCTTCCAAGACTCCAATCGGATGCATGGTATGGGGAGTACTTTTGCCCTGGGCTAAATTGAGGGTCCCAAGTAAAATCTAACTTTAACCGTAATCATGACCAATCCTGAAAACACTGATTTTATTGGTCATCTCTGTCCAAGAGGCGAGCTAGATTGAGAGGCTCAACCGAACACAACAGATCTTATACTTAGTACCTTTGGGTGCTGTGTCCTGTGTTACACAGTATGGGGGAAACTGGAAGAAAGTACTGCAAAATGAGGGTGTGCACAAGAAATCTACAAGAGATTGTGAAGAATAAGCCAGATGATACCTTTCCAATCTTATCTCCCCTCTTCCTTATATTTTAGTACCTTGGGTCCCCCCCCCCCATACTCCAGCCAACTGGGGCTATTTTTCTTTGTGAACATGCTGATTTCATGCTTTTGCAGTGCTGTTCCCTTCACTTGAAATGCTCCATCTCTTGATTCCCATTACTAGTTAGTTTCATCATTTGGAAAAAGTAAAACCATCTCATGAGCAAAGTTCATTCCAGTTAGAATTTACTGAGCGCCTAATTGGTACTAGGTAATGTGCTAGGTGCTCAGGCAGTCACATAGATATAGAAAAAAAATGATATGCTTCCTGTTATGTCAATCCAGTGCAGGAAATAGATTTGTAAGTAAATCACCAGAAAGTATATCAGTTACAATCCATGGCAACTGATACTGCAGAATTTTGTGGGATAAAATTTTCATGGATCGAAGAGAGAGTAAAGTATAGCTGAACGAAGATACGACAGGTAAGTGGTAGGATGCCATAGAAAGAGACCATAAGGGAAGTTTATTCCAGAAAGAGGAAATCATGTGAAAAGTCAACAGGTATTATCAAAGCACCTACAATATTTAAAGCTTTGGTAATGCAGAGAAAAATAGAGCTCACAGGACAATGGTGTGTGTGTGTGTGTGTATGGAAGAGGATGGGAGGACAGACTGCAGGTAGGGGTACCAGAGAGGAGGCTATTTTAGTTCAGGCCAGGGAGGATGAGGGCCAGAACCAGGGCAGTAGCAGTGAAGATGAAGAGGAGGAAACAGGTTGAGAGCTGAAGATGGAATTTTCAGATCCCCAACACGTATGGGGGCGTGGAAAATGAGATCTATATGGAAAAGGAACAATCAGAGTGGTTGTAAAAGGACCAGAAAGTATGTTGCCACAGAAACCAAGGAAGGAGAGTTTCAAGAAATAGGGAATAGGAGAGATTGGTGTGTGTGTGTGTGTGTGTGTGTGTGTGTGTTTGGTAGTGGAGAATAGTTCAATGTTGTCAGGATGTGGATCATGGTGGAGGTGAGGCCAGAAAGGACAGTTGAGCACTCATCCCAAAGACAGAGATATTCACGAGTAGAGTTAAAGTGGCATAGAGAGGAAGGCAGAGGTGTTGAGGATGACTCAGCAGTTTCAAGTTGTGTGAAACCATAGTACATAGCTGATGCCATGCTCCTGGCCAGTGCTGGAGTAGTCTGGTCTCATCTCCCCACCTTGTCTTGTGTTTTTGTTTTCCAGCCATTAATGGGTTTCTGTTCTCTAACCTGCCCAGGCTGGACATGTGCAAGGGTGACACAGTGGCCTGGCACCTGCTCGGCCTGGGCACAGAGACTGATGTGCATGGAGTCATGTTCCAGGGCAACACTGTGCAGCTTCAGGGCATGAGGAAGGGTGCAGCTATGCTCTTTCCTCATACCTTTGTCATGGCCATCATGCAGCCTGACAACCTTGGTAAGTGCCTTAGCAGCTGGCCCTAGAGGCTTTGTTGGGTATAGGGCCAGGAATGGGGTCGGGAAGAGGGAGGGATGGTGAAGAGAAAATAATAGGCATGTTAAGGGTTCTAGGAAGTTTTTAAAAACACTTGTCTTTTTCTTCTTCAATGTGCTCTCCATGTTCTGGTTACTTGGATTCCCTACTCAGCTGCAGGCAGAATAGTTAGTAGAAGGTGGAGGAAGCTCTTTTCTGGAACAACAGAAGGGAAGTTGGGATGTTGCTCAGCTTTAGTGAAGTTCTTATATGGCAGGGAGTGGACTTGACAACACAGAGATTTTATAGGTACAGTACTTTTATTGGGAGGAAGGTCAATAAAATGCACTTATAAGTGCTATCAAATTGATATTCTGTGAGGCTTTCTACAGACTCATTTCTGATCTCTCCCTCTCTCTTTCTCTTTCTACCCATGATGCGCCCCACCCTCTGCCCCCTGCCACCCCGTGTGTGTGTTTGTGTGTGTGTGTGGTGATGTAACAATTTCAGCCTGGAAATCAGAACACAGGAGCCCTAGTTCAGGCTCTTTCATTAACTTGCTGCGTAACTTTGGTCTAATTACTTCCCTTCTCTCTAGCTAGATTTCCTGCCTTGATTCTTTCCTTTCTGCCTTCCTTCCTTCTGTCCTTTTGTCCTCCCTCCATCTCTCCTTCCCTCTATATCCTTTTTCTTCCTTTTATGAAGATATTTGACTATAATGTTTCTTCAGATTCTATGTATTTCTAGAATTTCATAATAGAGCAGTTATCTTTTCTTTAGTCCCTATGGTGTATTTTTTTTTCCAGCCATTAGATGGCAATAGTGTTTGTAAGAACAACCTGTCAGCTCCACGCAGTTCCTATTAAACTTTTGTTTTACTCCTGTAAATTTCATTCATATCTGGGGGGAAAAACATCCTTGAACAAGTGTCTTCAACGCTTTAATAATATTAACCTAGTCCTGAGTTTGACAAACACTTGACATAAAGCTGGTCTCCTCAGAAATAGAAAGGACAATTTGGAGGCTATTGCAGTTTTCTCTGTGAGAGAAGCTTGTGGCTTGGACTCGGGAAGTGGCAGTTTAAACGAAAAAATAATTTTGAAGGAATTGCTGATAGGATTTACTGATGCAATAGATAACGGTGGTAAGGGAAATAGAAGAAGTAGATGTGGAAAGAAATGAGTAGACCCTTTCTTTCAACGTGTTTATAAACTAGTAGAAGGGATCATTTTAAAAGAGAGGGGCACTTAGCCCTTTAACATGTGGTTTAGATATAAAGTGCATTAGAGGTGGAGAAGTGAAGAATGTAGAACTCTATTTGGGCCAAAATAGTCAGGGAGGGCTTTCTGGAAAAGAAACATGAATTGAGTCTTGGATAATGAGTGGACTCTCATAGATACTTGGGGGTGGGGTGGGCAGGTAAGTTCCAGAAAGAGGATAACAAAATGAATGAAGATTTCAAGGTAGGAATGAATGAGATGTGTGAGAGAAACAGTCAGAGTTCCATGTAGTTGGAGTGCTAGTTGAGTTTGAGACAATGTGTGGGAGGTGGAACTGGATTGGTAGTTTGGTGCCAACTCATAGAAGGCTTTGAAAGCCAGGAAGAAGAGTTTGTAGTGATGGGATAAGCACTGAGCAGCAAAGTAAGGAAACAATGAGAGTAATGTTCTAAGAAATTTAGCTTCTTTTGATCGACATTGAGTTTGAGTATCCTTGAGTTAGAAATTTGGAGCTTAAGATCTGGTCCAGGCAACTTCACAACACAGACATTTAAGACTGTTACCTGCACATTCCATTGTAAAAAATGAGTGAAGGACCTTCTAAAGCTGTCTTAGGTAAGCATCCCTCTGCAATCAAGACATTCTCTTTCTTTTTACCTAACTATTGAAGTCTACTTTATTTCTTTGGTACTTGATAGGAGACAACTCATCAATGTTTTTCTTGGAATAAGAATTATTACAGCTATATTTACTTATTTATAGCATCACTTAACTGAACATTGAATATGTTCTATACTAAGCACTGTTCACAAATTATTGTGTTTAATTGTAAAACAACCAAATAAAGTAAAATAATCCTCATTTTACTGATGAGGGAACTGAAAAACACAGAGGTTTAGCAATTGCCACAAGGTTTTATGTGTGCATATATATATATATATATATATATATACACACACACACACACACATAATATATTTTTATATATGTATATATATATGATTTATATATAATAAATGAAAGATAGGGTTACCAACCATGGCAGTTTGCCTAGTACTGAGGGGTTTCTAGGAATATGGGACTTACAGTGCTAAAACTAGAAACACCCTGGAAGAAGTTGGTTATTCTAGCGGCAGAGTTTAGTTTTAATAAACCCAGTGTATGTAGCTTTGGAGCCGGAGCTCTTAACCTTTGAGCCCATTACTCTCAATAAACTTTAAATACTCTTTTATCTATGTGTAGTTAAGGCAAGAGCCTTATCTGAGACTATCTGAAACTAACTCTTTTCTGCAGTATGCCTAGGGAAAGGCAGGAAATCCCCCAGGCACTACCCAGGGATGTTCTGAGTCAGATTTTTCTCTCTGATCCTCCCTCAGGGACATTTGAGATTTATTGCCAGGCAGGCAGCCATCGAGAAGCAGGGATGAGGGCAATCTATAATGTCTCCCAGTGTCCTGGCCACCAAGCCACCCCTCGCCAACGCTACCAAGCTGCAAGAATCTACTATATCATGGCAGAAGAAGTAGAGTGGGACTATTGCCCTGACCGGAGCTGGGAACGGGAATGGCACAACCAGTCTGAGAAGGACAGGTAAGGCTTCATAAATGGAGAGATTACACTTTTAGAAAAACATTTTGCAAATGAGAATACTGAAATTCTGAGATGAGGAGACTCTTATCTCAGGTCTCCTAATGTGATACCAACAGATTTGGGAGATGGGGCTATAATGCAGCTCTTATGAATTCTAGCTCACTGCTGCTTCCATATTGATATAGGGAGGGAATAAAGCTTGCCCACACCTTCACCCTCTTAATCTTTGTCTCTCTTCTTTCAGTTAGCTGGAAGTATTTACCCTGGGACTTAAATTTTACAGGATTTACTCAAGGGATTGAATGTCTCAAGCTCAGCTGTCCCTTGACAAAATGGCATTGCATTTATTAAGGTACAGACTAAGCTATGTAGCAGAAAATGTCTAAAACAGAGTGATTTAAATATGATAGAATTTTATTTCTTATTCACATAATAATACAAATATGAGCAATTCAGGGCTGGCAGGTGAACCCTATCATCCTCAGCACTTGCTTTCCTTTCTGGGGCCAAGATGTCTGTTCCAGTTGTAGCTATTCCCGGCTATCATGAAGAAAGAAAGAAAGAAGTCCAGGGCAAGCAGCATTGTCTATAAGGACACAGCATGGAAATTGTATATATCACTTTTTCTTATACTCTGTTGTTCTGAACTAATTCTTATGGCCATAATTGGCTGCAAAAAGAGTCTAAAAGATGTAATCTCTAATTAGTCAGCCATGTGCTCAGCTAAAAGTTAGGTGATTCTATTACTAAAAAAGAAGGAGAGAACGGAAATGGAGATACAAATTAGCAGTCTCCACTACTTTGTTTTTGGTGCTGTCACTACACTTTAGCAATTTTTACTCTTTGCGTTGTTCGTTGAAGGTTGAAGTCTTCCTGCTAAACATCTAAAAATTTTACTTTATTTTTAATTCTTGATTTTTGATGTTCAGATAGACATACAATTATGAAAACAAAAATCCATGGAATGTATGCTAAGTTTTCTGTAAACAGAAGCAGATAACTGGGCTGGACATTTTTTTGAAGATTCCATCTATCACCTCTGTCTATATACATGCTAAAAGGAAAATATGTTACTAATTGATACTGACTTTGAAAACACTAATTTAAGCCACAATTGAATTATCAGCAACTACTGAGAATAAAATTTGACTTTATGTAGAAATCAGTTATTTATTTAGTTCCTCTCACTTGTTTCTGATCAGAACCCAGTGAGATACTTCTAACAAGATCTTATAATTTAAAAAAAAGAAAAAGGAAAAGAGATATTTACATCAGTTTTTTAAAAATATAATATTAGTTGCTAGCATTCAGGTAGGGCCCAAGTGAGAATGGTTTTTTTAATAATTTGGACTTTTATTATAGATTCAGGCAGTACATGTGCAGGTTTCTTACATGGGTATATTGTGCAATGCTACATTTTAGAATATAAATGATCCTGTCATCCAGGTAGTGAGCATAGTATCCAATAGTTAGTTTTTCAACCGTTTTCCGCATCCCTCCTCCCCCTTTAGTAATCCCCAGTGTCTCTTGTTAAATCTTTCTTTTAATTAATTTCAACTTTTATTTTAGGTATGGGGGTACATGTGCAGGTTTGTTACATGGGCATGTTATGTGATGCTGAGGTTTGGGGTACAGATCCCATCACATAGGTAGTAAGCATAGTACCCAATAGTTTTTCAACCCTTGCCCTCCACCCCAATTTCTATTGTTGCCATCTTTATGTCCATATGTACCCAATGCATAGCTACCACTTATAAGTGAGAACTTTTTTGTTTTCTGTTCCTGCATTCATTTGCTGAGAAATTAATGGCCTCCAGGTACATCCATGTTGCTGAAAAGGACATAATTTCATTCTTTTTCAAGTCTGCATAGAATTCCATTGTTTGTACATACCACATTTTCTTTATCCAGTCCACCACTGATGGGCACCTAGGTTGATTCTATGTCTTTGCTATTGTGAATAGTGCTGTGATGAACATATGAATGCATGTGTCTTTTTGATAGAATGATCTATTTTTCATGCTTTTTTTTTTTTTGAGATAGAGTCTCAGTCTGTCACCCAGGCTGGAGTGCAGTGGTGTGATCTTGGCTCACTGCAACCACCACCTCCCAGGTTCAAGCAATTCTCCTGCCTCAGCCTCCCAAGTAGCTGGGACTACAGGTGCACGCTGCCACACCCATATATTGCCCATTTTTAATGGGGTGATTTGTTTTTTGCTTGCTGAATTGTTTCAGTTTTTGGAAATTTTAAAAAGTGACTTCCCGTCTCTGAACCTGGGTATACTCATCTTGAAAATGATGCAGTATAAGATGAAAGAACAGGACTAGAAAACGAGGGAGGGAAGGAGCAGCAGACTTGAATCTAAATCCTGGCTCACTTTCTGGCTAACAATGTCACTTGTAGAATAAGTCCTGTCATCTCTGTGCAATTGATTGCACCTCTGGCACCTACCTACCCCATAGGCCTATTAGAAATATCAAATGATAAATCTGTTTGTAAACTAGACAGAATCCTATAAGGAGAAAATCTGTAAGATTTCATTCCCTCCCTATGTCTCACCATCCTTTGCCCTCTGGTTGCAGCAGTAGTTAATACTTTCCTGCCACCTTGTATCTTGCCTTTTGTAAAACTAATTTCATCAAGACATCATTAGGGCTGGAGCTAAAGCCTGTGGCTTCTGATTCTTAGCCCAGTGCTCTTATAGTATGAATTATATACCAAATTTGTATTTGGATGATGGCAAACAAGGAAACCTGCCATCTTTTTTTTTTTTTTTTTTTTTTTTTTTTTTTTTTTTTTTTTTTGACAAAGCCTCACTCTGTTGCCCAGGCTGGAGTGCAGTGGCATGATCTTGGCTCACAGCAACCTCTGCCTCCCAGGTTCAAGTGATTCTTGTGCCTCAGCCACCCAAGTAGCTGGGATTACGGGCACAAGCCACTACACCCAGCTGATTTTTTTTTTAATTTTTAGTAGAGATAGGGTTTTGCCATGTTGGGCAGGCTGGTCTCAAACTCCTGAGCTTAAGCAATCTACCGGCCTTAGCATCCCAAAGTGCTGAGATTACAGGTGTGAGCCACTGTGTATGGCATACCTGCCAACTTTAATTGTGGTTATGCAGCCAATGTGGTGAGAAGTCTGACATTAGAAGAAATAGGGGCCAGGTGTGGTGGCTCATGCCTGTAATCCCAGCACTTTGGGAGGCCAAGGTGGGTGAATCATCTGAGGTCAGGAGTTCAAAACCAGCCTGACCAACATGGAGAAACCCTGTCTCTACTAAAAAATACAAAAAGTAGCCGGGCGTGGTGGCGCATGCCTGTAATCCCAGCTACTCTGGAGGCTGAGGCAGGATAATCGCTTGAACTCGGAAGGCGGAGGTTGTGGTGAGCCGAGATCATGCCATTGCACTCCAGCCTGGGCAACAAGAGCGAAACTCCGTCTAAAATAATAATAATAATAAATAAATTTAAAAAAAAGAAAAAAAAAGAAATAGGTCCCCCCCCTTTTTTTTTTCTGTCTGTGACATGAAGCTGGTTCTGACTTAGCTTCCCCATAAATACTCAAATGAAAATGAGGGGTTGATGGCCAGGTGCTGATAGTACTCTTTGGATTCCTCTAGTTATGGTTACATTTTCCTGAGCAACAAGGATGGGCTCCTGGGTTCCAGATACAAGAAAGCTGTATTCAGGGAATACACTGATGGTACATTCAGGATCCCTCGGCCAAGGACTGGACCAGAAGAACACTTGGGAATCTTGGGTAAGGGAATTCTACTTCCCTCCTAGTGTTTAGCAGCCTGAACTCCACCTAGGGAAGCTATGTTATACCAGGATGGCCTCACTATTCCCCATTCTCAATGTTTTCATATGATATACTGGAATTATGGAATATTTTATGAAACAACCATGACAATAAACAGTGAAGGGGGAGGAAGGAAATCATGAATTCATGAACCAGATTTTACTGGGTTTTCTATAGCTTCAAGGTATGAGTCTCTGAGGATGGTAAGTTGTAATAAATGCTAGGGGCAGAATAACTTAGGAACATCAAAATGTGAAAAAACTATATATATACACAAGGAATCAGTTTTTTCATTGTACCGCTGTTTAATTATTGCTTTAGGTGGTTTCCCCCTTATTCTAGTTATGGTACAGAAGGGACCCACTGACTCCTAAAGAGATCCTCTCAATTCTTTATTGTCTGCCAAACTTATCACTCTTTATCGTCAATGATTCCACAGCACCTTGATTCTTTAGACCCTTGGGCTGTTATAGATAGAGGGTAGGGGTGGGAAAAGTGGAGGTAATTGGAAGTATAATCTTGTCATTGAAGTACCTTCATCCTGTGGGTAGTAGTAACAGTTTAAGGACTTCTGAATCTTAAAATGGAGCCAGCCATGCCTTCTAGGTCTTAGAAGGATGTTTTGTCAGGGTAAACCACTAATTCTATGAAGTGCTCATATATGTCCCTTTCTTTAATGCTCCCTGTGCTCCTGCATTAATGAAACTTTATTTATTTAATTATTTTTGTTTACATTAGGTCCACTTATCAAAGGTGAAGTTGGTGATATCCTGACTGTGGTATTCAAGAATAATGCCAGCCGCCCCTACTCTGTGCATGCTCATGGAGTGCTAGAATCTACTACTGTCTGGCCACTGGCTGCTGAGCCTGGTGAGTGGGGACACTTAGTGAAAGAACAAAGGACATGCATCACGTCTGCTTCAGGCTTCTGGATTTTTCCTTAAAAAATTAATGTACTTCAGACTGGAGTGATAGCTCATTCCTGTAATCCCAGCAGTTTGAGAGGCTGAGGCGGGTGGATCACTTGAGGTTAGGAGTTCAAGACTAGCCTGGCCAACATGGTGAACCCTCATCTCTACCAAAAATACAAAAATTAGCTGGGTGCAGTGGTGTGCACCTGTAGTCTCAGCTACTCGGGAGGTTTAGGCAGGAGAATCTCTTGAACCCAGGAGGTGGAGGCTGCAGTGAGCCAACATCATGCCACTGCACTCCAGCCTGGGTGACAAGTAAGACTCCATCTCAAATATATACATACATATATATATATATATATATATATATATATATATATATATATATATGAGCTTAGAGACCTGAAATAGGAATATAGCCAAAACTAAGCCACAGCCTGAGTTTTTCTCTATCAAATACTCATTTTCTCAATCCCCGAATAGGCTATGGCTTAGACTTGGCTAATATTCCTGTTTCAGATCTCTATATACCCTTGGATACAGTATGAGCTCCTAATCTTGACTAGAGAGTGATGTGACCTAGGCCACAAGCTGATCATTCAGCCCTTAGCCCAGTAAATAAAGTTCTTGTACCCTTCTTGCAGACTGAATTCTAACCCCAGTCACATACTAAGCTCCTAATACTAAATATAGAATAATCATAATCTTGTCAACATTCTCTTTTATTAATTCATTCATTGAATAAACACTTACTGGAGGCCTACTGGGTGACAAGAACAACTTTAGAATCTATCGATGCAGTAGTGAACACTTGCTCCTGTCTTGAAGAAACTTGAGCTGTTATGATAGAAACAGGTAAAACTGGTAACTATAATCCAGTGTGTTAAGTGTTAATAGGAGTTTTTACAGTGTGATAGGCATGTGAAGAAAAGGGTATTTAATCTAATGTTTGAATAGTCAGGAATGGTTTTCCAGATTAGGTGATATCTCAGCTGAGACCTAAATCAGTAGTTTTCAAACCTTAGCATGTATCAGGATCACCTAGAGGCTTGCTAAAACACAGATCGCTGGAATCAACTTTGAAAGTCTCTGATTCAGTAGGTGTGTGATGGAGCTCAGGAATTTGCTCATTCAAATAAGTTCTCATGCTGCTAGTTCAGAAACTACACTTTGGAAACAGGTGACCTAAAGGATGAAAAAAGGGACATATGGGTGAAGGTAAAGTACAGTATGGAAGAAAAGCAGGGAAAAGGAAGTTCCAGATTTAAAGAATGCAGTGTGCAAAGGCAAAGAGATTGAAGTTGGTGTAAAGGAAAAAGAATAGATTCTAAAAAGATCAATGAGGTAAAATAAGCAAGATATGGTGATTAATTGGATTTTGAAGGTGAGAAAGATAAGTATTATTGAATGATATCGGTGTTTTTGGAGAAAGATTCTTAAATAATACCCAGTTTTTGATTTGGACAACCAGGAAAATAGTGATGCCATTCATCAAGATAGGGAACATAAGAGAAAGGTGACTTGAGATGGAGTGGGAGGATTGGAGTATTGGATGATGATGAGTTCCCTTTTGAATTTGTTGGATTTGGTATATTTGTAAGTTGATCAAATATAGGTATCTAGACATAAAGATAGACTTACAGATCTGGAGCCCAGGAGGAAAGTATGCTCTGAAGGAATAGATGTGGGAAGCATCAACATCTAGATAGTGGTTAAAAGCATAAGAGTGAACACAGTTACCCCAGAAGAGTATATTGAATGAGAAAGTAAAAATACTCAGATGAGACCCCGAGGAAGGCCAATTTTTAAGGGAGGTACCGATTGAAATGTGAGCCTGAGAAAAAGTTAGCAAAATAGGAGGAAAATCAAAATGAGATTACAGATGTTAAGAAAGGTCATGTCAAGGATGAAGTAGTCAACAGCTTCAGCTGCTCCAAAGAGTTCAAATAAAATAAGAGCAGAAAATTTTCCATTGCTTATAGCAATAGGGAAATGGCTGATGATTTTGATAAATTGGGGAAAGAAGCTATATTAGAATGTATTAGAGAGTAATCGGGAGATAAGAGATTGAAAACAGTGAGTATGGCTTAATTTTAAGACTTAGGCAGAACAATTTTAGGTAATGAGAAGGTCAGGGTTGTGCCCAAAGGCTAAAGTAAAGTGGAGGCAAAGGACACTACAGTTGAGGAGATCTAGGGACTAATAGGCTAGAGTGTTGGATAAATCATCCACATGCACCTTGAAGTCACTCAGAAAAATGGTGGGGATTGGGATGGAAAAGAGGATGGTGATCCAGGTACTAAAATAATCAATAAATGACCATTAAGAGAGAAGGGATACATTGGAAGTTGGGAAACCAGTTAGAAGGTTGTAGTGATCTACAAGTGATGATAATGGCTTAAACAAAGGTAATAGAAAATGAGAATGGAGACAACTAGATAAATTTGAGAGATGTTAAGGCAGAATAAATAGGATATTTTGATTGAATGGGTGTTGAGAAGATTAGGGAGATGGTGGAATCAAGGTTCATAACCAAGTTTTTGGATTAAGCACCTGGATGTTGGTACCACTCACAAAGAAAATAAATGCAGGAAGCAGGGGGCAGTTTTTTGTTTGTTTGTTTGTTTAGAGTGGGGAGATGTTGACTTTATTTTTGAAAATCTTAATATGAGATGCCATAAAACATCGAGGTGGAAATGAGAGAGCTGTACGGATAGAAGATTATCATCAGTTTGAGATATGGATCTGTAACTTGGAAGAGACACCTGGGATAGCATAGGAATTTAACAGTCATAAGTAATTACAATGGATGATAGTTGAAATCATGATATGCATGTAATCACCCAGTGAGATAGTGTGTAAAGTGACAATGGCATCAGCTGAGAATGAAACTTTGGAACATACTATTATTTAAGAGGAGGTACTCTATCTTAAATAATGTATAGGTTTAAAGTAGTTCTAACTTAAATTACAGTTCGATATTTTATTTTATTTGTACAAATGTAAGGAGTATATGAGAAATTTTGTTACATGTATATTATGTATAGTGATCAAGTCAGAATATGTACAGTGTCCATCATCCAAGTATAATATATTTTTGTTAAGTATAGTAATCTTAATCTGCTATCAAACATTGAATTCATTCCATTTTACTGCATATTTGTACCCTTTAAATCAGTTTTCTTCATCTTTCCCTTTCTTTCACACTCACCACCCTTCCCAGTCTCTGTTATCTACCTTTCCACTCTTCACTTCCATATGATCAAATTTTTTAGCTCCTGCATATAAGTGAGAAAATGCAATGTTTGTCTTTTTGTGTCTGGTTTATTTTACTTAAGATAATGACCTCCATTTCCATCCATGTTGCTGCAGATTATATGATTTCATTCTTTTTTATGGCTGAATAGTATTCCATTGTGTATATATACCACATTTTCTTTATCCATTCATCCCTTGATGAACACAGGTTGATTTCATATCTTTATTATTGTGAATAGTGCTACAAGAAATATATAAGTGCAGGTATTCCATTGATATATTGTTTTCTTTTCATTTGGGTAAATACCTAGTAGTGACATTGCTGGATTGAATAGTAATTTTTTAGTTTTTTTAGAAATTTTCATACCATGTTTTATAGTGGCTCCACTAGTTTACATTTCCACCAATAGTGTGTAAGAGTTCCCTTTTCTCTGAATCCTTGCCAGCATCTGTCATTATTATTTTTTTTTCTTTTTAGTAATAGCCATTCTGACTAGGGTAATATGATCTGTCATTGTGGTTTTAATGTGCATTTCCCTGATAATTAGTAATGTTGAGCATTTTTTCATATACCTGTTGGCCATTTGTATGTCTTATTTTGAGAAATGTCTATTCATGTCCTTTACCCACTTTTTAATGTGTTTTTTTTTTTTTTCCTCTTAACTTGCTTGAGTTTCTTGGTATTCTAGTATTAGTCTCCTGTCAAATGAATACTTTGTAATTTTTTTTTCCCATTCAGCAGGTTGTCTTTTCACTCTGTTGATTATTTCCTTTGCTGTGCAATAGCTATTTAGTTAAATATAGTCCCGTGTGCCTATTTTTGGTTTTATTAACTGTATTTTTGAGGTCATAAATTCTTTGCCTCAACCAATGTTCAGGAGAGTTTCCCTCCAGTTTTCTTCTAGTATTTTTATAGCTTCACATATCCATCGTGAGATAATTTTGTATATGGTGAGAGATATAGGTCCAGTTTTATTCTTCTGCATGTGGCTGTGCA